>NC_000005.10:5010000-6260000 GCF_000001405.40 Homo sapiens | reverse complement strand
CCTCCCTGGCTCTCCTCTGCTCTTTGTTTGTTGCTTTTGACCTTTTCCTAAGTGGAACACGTCTTGGTTACTTTACGAGGCAGGATTATATTTGGATTATCACACCAGTAGTTATAGGAAACGTGTGTGTGGGTTTGTGTGTTGTGTTTGTATATGTGTGTTGTGTGCATGTCTCTGTGTTATTTGTATGTGTGTGCATGTGTATATTGTGTTGTGTGTGTATCTCTGTTATTTGTATGTGTATGTGTGTGTAGCATGCACCTCTCCATGTTACTTTTATGTGAGCGTGTATGTGTGTGTTGTGTGCACATCTCCGTGTTACTTGTACATGTGTGTGCATATGTGTGTGCTCATGCCAATCTGAGATTATGATTATTTCCTATGGAATCCTTGAGCATGTGCTACATGAAACCAACACCTCCTCACTGGGGGAGCAAAATGAAACAAAAGGAAACAGCTCAGATGAAACAACGAGAACAGCAAAAGCAGTTTAGAATAACAAGATTTTCCTGCAAAGCTGATGTGAAATGCTGTCACGTTGAAATCAGGCGAGCATGCAAGACACATTTCAGAGTCCTTTTCTATTTTCTGTTTTCTTTGAAAGAGCAAGCTAGGAAGCTCTCTGGTGGGGAGGGGCCCACTTGCAGGAGGAGTGTGACACTGCGCCTGACTCTGCTGGGACGTAGTCCACTGTCAGTCCCCCTCTCTTTAGCTGATGATGTTTTGTGAGGGCTGTTTAGGATGCAGAGAGAGTTGCTCATGGTCCGCATTATGTATCACTTGGCAATAAATGATCTTTACGGGTGCTTCTTCCTCACACATGGGCAATGCACATGCAATCCAGGATGAGTTCTCCCCAAGGGCTGTTTACAAAGGGGAAGTGGTCACGGCTTGAATAACTAGAAAGAAAGTCCTGATGGTGACATCTGGGATGACATAGGATGCAAGAGCCTCAAAACGCAGGTGAGAACGTGTGAGGAAGGTGCTGCCATGCTCTGGACCAGTTTTAATCCATCTTTTGAGGGAGTGTCGTCTTTCACTGAGCCATAAAACTCTTCCATGTCACTCTGTGCTTCTCTGAGCCTGTATCAGTTCAGTGCGCTCTTTGGGCCATTTCCGCCACTTGTCCAATCAACGTTGCCAATAGATTATGGAGCAGGGCTGTGTCCACTCTGTTTGGTGTCTTTGAGTTCCCTTAGACGTCTTTGCAGTATTCAGTAATGCACGTGAAATACTTTGGGAATTCTAATGCTCTGGACAAATACTAGTACCAATTATGATTACCACTATTTTAATTGATTCTGTCCTGGCAGCATTTTGTCAGATGCTGTAAATGTCAAAATTAGTAGCTTCTCCTCATAAGGAGAAGACTTACCTGCACCAATATACCTAGATCCCTGTTCTCTCAAGGTGCCCTAGTCCTCCAGGTTTAGCAGCAGTTCTTGTGTTCAGACTTTTGATTCTATATGAAAATATGTTGCCAACCAGGAGACAGTAGTTCAAAACTTGGACATGGAAGCAGATACTGCCCTCTGCCCTTGGGATGCAGACAAGCAAATCAGAGGCAGTCCCCTTCCCTGCCCACTTGGAGCCCACGCTTTGGTGAGAAGGCAGTTACTGAACAGATAATTACACTGAAGGATGTATTAGACACGTTCTTTCATGCAGTAGAAGACACTGCACTGAAAGCATGCGTTCCAGAGCTGGGATTCCCTGGGGAGAGGGGAGGTTCCTCTTCATTGGTGCTGAGTTGGTACTGGGAGAGGAGAAGGAGAAGGAAGGACCATACCCAGGCTGTGACTTGCGCAGCTGGGTTGTGGGAGTGCCAGTCACCAAGCAGGGAACATTGGGGACTGTGTTTGTGGTGGGAGGGGTGTGCATGAGGGTGAGTTCATCTACTGACATGCTGAGCTGAAGATTGTGTTGAGACACTGGAGTAAAGGTAATGAGTATGCACTTAGAAGTGAGAACCCAGAGCTCAGGAACAAAGTCTGCACCTGAGAAATGCACCTGGGGGGCTTTGGGGAGGCATGTGGCATTCAAGAGCTACCTACAGTCTGCATTCCTGTATCGTCACCACATTAATTTTTTTAGCTACTAGCTCCACTGAACCCAGAATTTCTATGGACGAGGGGCTGAAGTGGAGAGTGATACAATCTGATATGTGCATCTTCAAGATCCCTCTGACTGCTGTGTGGCTAATGGACTGGAGCTGGAGGGGGTGTCAGTGGGAGCAGGGAGTCCGAGTATGTCTATTTTGATCATCCAGGTAAGAGATGCTCTTGGTCCAGACTTGGCTTTGGGCTATTTTGCAGGTGGAGTTAATAAGTGTTGTATGTAGGATGTGAGAGAAACTGAGAAATCAAGAATAATTCTTTGATGTTTTATCTGAGCAACTAGGATCATGGTGTGCCAGTACTCAGAGCTGGGAGGCTGGCGGGGAGCAGAATTCTTGAGGAGGGCTGTGCTGTTTGAGATGCCCGTTTGTATTCATCCATTTTCATACTGCTATGAAGAAATACCCAAGACTGGGAAATTTATAAAGACAAAAAGGTTTAACGAACTCAGTTCCACATGGCTGGGGAGGCCTCACAATCATGGTGGAGGATGAAGGAAGAGCAAAGGCACGTCTTATATGGCAGCAGGCAAGAGAACGTGTGCAGGTAACTGCCCTGTATAAAACCATCAGATCTCCTGAGACTTATTTGCTGTCATGAGAACGGCAGGGGAAAGCCCCACCCCCATGATTCAATTACCTTTCACTGGGTCCCTCTCACAACATGTGGGGATTATGGGAGCTACAATTCATGGTGAGATTTGGGTGGGGACAAAGCCAAACCATATCACCTTTCAACACCCACGTGGAGGCATCAGGGAGAGGGATGGCGATTGGGGTAGAGTTTGTGGGCAGCCCAGGACCACAGAGGGACACTGGAAGGAAGGGGAGGGTCCCAAGAATTGGGATACCTGTTGCTGAAGCCACCTTCATGCACTCTGAAATGTTGCCTTAGGATGGGAGGAGGAAGAGGTGGGTCCCAGGATGTAGCTCCCTCTCTCCACTCCTTCCTAGCTCCAGGTACACATGATTATTCAGATAAATTAAGGTTGGAATGATCACCAAAGGAGACTCAAATATTTCTGTAGATTCTTTTAGTTTTCCATCTTCTTCATACTTCTAAGGCATTTGACAGGGAAGGGTGTGTAGGGTAAGGAGAGAACTGGCCTTGTCATAAACATTAGCACGAAAGAAGAATGAAAACTTCCTACTAGCTCTCTGGGCCAAGGCCTGGACTCCTGAGTGGCTGCACTTGAATACTAAAGAGGCTGTTTGATCTTTGGAAGATTCTGGAGCTGGTTAAGGCTCAGTTCACACTACATTCTTCTCATGCCTTTAATATTCTGCCTGATACCTGCCGCAGCCACCTGCTTTGCCATTATCTCAATGAATAGTCCATCCTCTCATAGGCCCCCAAACTCACCTGCTCATGCTGTTCTCAAAATAACCCGTTTGATTCTCCAAGAGACCCCTGGATTTCACCCCAGGACCCATGAGAAGGGGGGAGACTCTTGGGGAAATTCAGGGACAGCAAGAATGCATCTTAAGATGTTTCCTCTTCTGTGTTCACACCTTAATACATGTGTTCTGCTCCTTTCTGGATTAAGTGGTTTTCTGCACTGGGTACCACTGCATGTACTTGTTAAACTGTGATCCATACTTATTCTGAAATGCCTCTTGGCTCTTAATACAATTGCAATGCAAAGATGTCAGCAGCAGCCAGTGCGGCCTGTGAGCTGCACCATCAGAGGTTGCATTCCTGGATGTCCTGATGCATCATCCCTGGAGGGCCAGCTGCACTGACCCCTCCAGCAGGGGAACCAAGCTGAGCTTGTTCTAGATTATACAAACATCTGGGAACATCCCACCTCGAGGTTTCTGACTGGACATTGTCAACCATTTTCTGGCATCAATGTCTCTTTTTAAAAAGATGGAACAGCAGGACATGCAACAAAAACCTACAGTCTTTGAGCATCTTCCTTGTGTGGTCCTGCGGAGGAGGCCTCAACTCCTCAGGAGTGAGCAGGTGCAGGGCTCTTGGGTGGAAGTGGAGCCTGGGAGTCCATGGTCTGAGGAACCTATAGCTGTGAGGCTCTGGGCTGATGGTCTGCCATTGCCTCTCTGTGGAGCCCCCTCTCCCTATCTCTGGGTCGTCTGTGTGGGTATCTGGTGGCCCAGGGCCTCTGTGAGAGGGGAGAGTGGGCCACTGGCTCCTCTCCTGGAACCAGGTGGCCAGGGCTCTACCGGCTTTTGGGCTGAGGTTTGTGATGTACAAATCAGCATGAGATGGGGTCTTTCCAGTTCTGATGTAAACCCAATTTCCAAGTTACTGGTACTATTTTTTCAAACTATTTTGGAGGGAATAAATTCAGGCATTTCGCTCTGTTTGTATGTAAAAGCCTCCTCCTCCTTCTTCTAATTCCCCTCATTCTCCTCCTCCTTCTCTTCATCCTTCTCTCCTTCTCATCTTCCTCCGCCTTCCGTAGAATCATTTGCTCCTTTTCTCTGGACACTGATTCTTCTATAGAATCTTTGGAATCAGAACTTATGGTATTTATGTCTCTGAGTGCTGGATGAGATAAATCAAATCAGGCTTGATTTTCCACTTTATATCTTGGGGACTTTGTTCCTGTAATCTTTCCACTTATTGATTTAAGACAAATGGTGCTATCTTTAATTTGCAAGTTCCCCACTTCAACATTTCTTTGCTGATTGAATACCTGTGGCCTAATACTTCTCCTGATAAGAATTTCCCTAGGTCATTAATGCAACATTATCAAAAATCGTTTTAGAAATCAGATTTATTTCCATTGCTATAAGTCTTCATTTTTATCCTCATAAGAGCTTCCTGGAAATCTTTTATGGTATGTTTCAAATTTGATTCGACAAGATTTGACATATTTTTCAAAGGGCCTTAGAATGACAAAGAAAAATCTTCACTGGATATTGTTGGCATTAAAGGACCTGAGTGCCCCAGCAGAATTATTTCTTACATTATTATGTTCATTTACTTTATGGATTAATTTTATGGTAGAAGAAACTGCCTGCTGATTTCTTCTGGGAAACACACAAGAAGTCCAGATTTTAATATATTCTTTCACTCTGCCAAGAAAACTTCAGGAAGTCACAGCTTTGTGAATAGATATAACCAGGATCTCGGAATTCATTTGTGGGGTAGTCTAAATTTAATCCATTAGACCAAATCCTAAAGTTCCTCTGTATGCAAAAGCCTCACTTAAGTTTAAATTAATTGATAAATAGCTTCATCTTTATGCTCCAAATTATTTCAGAAAGTGCATGGTTTGGCTTTCATTTCTAAGGCAGTTAGTAATGAATGGCTAATTTTAACAAAGTTTTACATCCATCTTGAAGTCCTTATCTATTTAACTCTTAGTGATAAGTAAAAATAGATTCTAATAAGGCAGCCAGGCAGATGGATGAGCCAAACCTTGTAGCAGCTGCCGAAATGGAAATTTAGCTACCATAGACCATAGGGAGCATTAAAGCAGTTGCTGGAGGCCTAATTCTCTAACAGACAGCCTGAAGTCCAGAGCAGCTATGGCTGCTTAGCTGGGAGCATCCTCAGTATGTTCTTCTGAGGAGATTCTGCCTAGCTCCTGGGTGAAAGGACAAGGACCCTGGCAGCCCGTGAGTCCTGGCCGCATGTGGAAGGTTGCGCTGGGCATTTCACAGAGGCTGCTTCCTGGTTGCTCAAGAGGTGCCTTGAGGATTTGAAGGGGAGGAGGATCAGGGAGAAGTGTAACTGCTCACAGGGGATTGAGGCATTGCCTGGCTGGAGTTGGAGATGAGACAGGGCTCTGGTCTATGGGAGGTGATGTGCTCCATGGAAGCCAGGGTACAGTCAGAGGCCTGCACAAGTCCCAAAACAGGGCCTGGCCAGAGGATATGAAAGCCAGGGCAGGCCAAGGCCAGGGACCTGCAGGTGCACAAGGTAACAGAAAGCAGCAGCACTTAGCATTGGGAGTCTGACTGGAGGCCGCCATGGAGGTGAAGGTCAGGAGCTCTTACCCACACCTCCGCTCCTGGCTTTTGTGAGTTCATGCCATCCTGCGGGGATGGGGTGTAGGAGCCTGGAATGCACCCTGCTCACCACTTTCTCACCTGCCAGGCACAGCGATCCCAGGAACTCTGCTCAGGGTCCCCAGGGAGGGATGGGGAAGGACTCTTCCATACACCGTCAGATTCCAGACCCTGCCCTGGGGACATGCCGCTCTGGGCATGGGGAGCCACCTCCCCTGTGTACTTTAGTACCCATGGGGCTCCAAAACAGTGAGCCTTAGTGTGTCTGGGGACCACAATGAGCATCCTCAAGTGGGCTTGGATGGACATCTGTCATACCTTTGCCTTTCACAAGGTACGTGTCTATGCTCTTGGTTTTGACCTGAACTAATCTCTGCATTGTTTTCTCATGAAATGTGGCATTGGGTGATAAATAACATGATGGAGACTGCTGGGGACTACGTTTCCCACCCCCGTGGAACCAGATGTGGCCATGTGACTAATTCTGGGCCGACAGGACATGGGTGGAAGTGATTTCTGCACCCCCAGGTTGTGTCCTGAGCTGTGAAGCCCCAGTTTCACTCGTCTCAGACTCTGTTCCTTCCCTTTCCTTCCCATGGGTTAGAATGCAGGTGGTGGAGCAAAAAGACAGAAAGAACCCGGGCCTCCTGAATGGCTCCTGGGGGAGCCCTGTCCCACCTGCCCAGGGCCAGCACAATGCAACTGGTTAGTGAGAGATACTTCTTTTTTAAGCAACTGCATTTTGAAGCTTCTCAGGTTAGAGCTTGTTACCATGCACCTGAAGGAACACACCAATGCTTACTAAGGACTTACTATGCTCCAGGCACCCTTCTAAGCATTATACAGATTATCTTATTTAATTCCCTCATGACTTCAGGAAGGATAACTATTGTCATCATTTTAAGCTGATGAAACAGAGGCGAAGAAAAATTGGATAACTTGTCTCATACAGAGATAAAGGATGAAGCTGGGATGTAAATATTCTGACCCCAGAACCCACGGCATTAAGTAGTTTGAATCCCTCAGCAAGGATCTCTGGCCATTGGGAAAAGGAACGACTGAATGAGGCTGTCTTTGAAGATCTTGAGTCTCAACAATACTCCCTGGGTGACTTTAGATGTGGGGCTGTGTTGTCCCGGGAAGCTGCTGGAGACGCAACACCAGGACAGCAGCAGAGCTGAGCTGCCACGGAGTTCACTGCTTTAGTCTGTTGGGAAACCCACGTAGGTTGCAGCAAAGTTTTTGGTCTCAGCTGTCTGGCTGCTTCCCCAGGGCTTTCAGATTTCTTTTTTAAGTGTTGTGTCCTGTATAACATTCTGGCCTCTCCTTGAGGCTGCATTCGTTTCTCTGGGACTTCACTTTCTGTTCCTGCATTGCTTCGACTGATTTCTAAAGGGTCAGATCTCAGCATCATGATAGGAATTCAAGCCCTTCTGTGTTTTCAGTGAAGCTATTTATTTGGAGGTGAGGATATAGTATGGGTGACAGTGTGAGCTATGCCTACAGGGGTAGGCAGGAGGTAATGGGGATGGGAATGCCAGTGGGCAGCCAGGGCTTTGTTGAGCAAGGTCCTGACTCCACGTTCTAGAGGCCACTTGGCCGATTGGAGACCCTTGGAGTCAACCTGTTCCAAGAACCCACAGTAGGGAAGACAACCACCAAAGCTCTGGCTTTCAGTCTTGCTTAGACCTGGTAGTAACCTACCACCTTCTAAGACTCTGAGAGCTAGCCTTCAAGAACCTGCAGAAGCTTCTGAAAGCAATTTCAATTTCAAACGACATCAGACCTAAATCAGGATGTGAGGACAGCAGCCTGCTTTTAATCAATCACTGAGGTCTGCTGCTTTATGATCCTACTGGCAAAAAGTAGATTTAGTCCATTTAATAAGATGGCCCAGCCAAAGTGTGACCAGGGCACTGTGGGGTCCTCACCTGGGAAATAGCAGAACAGATTCTAGGAAGAGCCAGTACCTGCCTGGGTGGCTGGGTGGCTGGGTGTCCGGGGCCCCTGGGGGGAGTCGCTTATGCCCAAGGGTTTCTGACTGACACTCCTCATTTAGAAGGTGACCCTGAGCAGAGAACCTTTTAATTAGCTCAGATCCAGCCCGCTTTGTGTGGGTGACTGTCAGTTTCTTTGCCTTTTGTGGCCCTCTGTTGCTATGGCAGCACTCTCCTAACAATGGATTTTTTGGGCAGAGGCGAGAATTTACAGAGGAGGCTGCCCTGCGCGGCTCCCAGCCAGAGCATCAATAGCCTGATCAGACCTCAAGGTTAGAGATGGAGCTGTCTGTGAGTTTCGCTATTCACCATCAGCATGGCACCCTGGAGGGATGGGGGTAGTGAAGGGAAGCTTGCTTATCTTTTATAAAAATGAAGTAATTAATTTAAAAAATCGAAGTAAGAAACTGTATGTGTTTATCATGTGCAACACGATGTTTTGAAGTATATATACATGATTGCATTACCTATATGGTTTTCATCTTTGGGGTGAGAGTACTTACCAGTCAGTCTTCACTATAGTCACCATGCTGTACAGTAGAACACTTGAGCTTATTCCTCCTATCTCACTGTAAATATATGCTCTTTGACCAACACCTCCCCAACCCTCTCTCTGCCCTAACCACCCCAGCCTCTGGGTGGTTCTACTCTCTACTTCTATGAGGTCAACTTTTTACTGGGTATATAGCCAAAGGAAATAAAATCAGTATGTAAAAAAGATACTTGAGCTTTCATGTGTATTACAGCACTAGTCACAATAGCCAAGTTACGGAATCAACTTAAGTGTCCATCAAAAGATGAGTGGTTAAGAAAATGTGGTGCATCTACACCGTGGAATACTATTCAGCCTTGAAAAGGAAGGAAGTCCTGCCATTTTCCACCACATAGATGAAGCTGGAAGATATTATATTAAGTGAAATAAGCCAGGCACAGGAAGCTTGCTCATTTCAAGGCTAAAACAAACAAAAATACCAAACTTTCTAAAGAAAAATACCTAGGAAGTGACAACACTCCTTAGCTATGGCATTTTGACTTCCCTAACATCGACTATTCCCATGGAGATGGGAAGAACACAGGAAAATCTTTATTAACAGGAAATACATGCCTAGCCCAATCCATTTGTTTAGTAATGATGTCAAGTCACAAGGGAAGGCGATTAAAACCCTGAGATCCAGTCCACACATAATCCAGTCTCCTGAGTCATATCAACATCTCTGGTCGTATAAACACATTTATTGTATCCCATGAGGATGTATCAGGATGAGATGATCCCAAGGCAGAAGCGGCATCTTTGCAAAGGACTCTACCCTCTGGAGGCGTCATTGAAATCCTGCTATCGATCCTTCAGACTGTCTGGAAGGAAAGAAATGGGCCTGGCCACAGTCAAATTCAGGCAAAGCCTAGAATGCAGCCTTGAGCGCTTGTCCTGGGAGTCTGATCTTAGAGGCCCGAGTCTGGATGGTGCACTCTGGAGCCTGAGGGAGGCTTGTGAAGGACACCACCTCTTTCTGGCTCTCGTCTTCATTTCTGTCTGTTTTTCACCAGCTCCACCAAGCCTGCACTGTGCATCCTCATCAGGGGCCGTGTGTCCACTGCTGGTGCGGCCTCACCATCTCTGTTTTGGTGTGGTAGGCCCTGGGGTGCTGGTTGGCCTGACTACTGGTGGTCAGTGCTGGCATGGTGCTGGCATACAGGGCAGCCTGGGCTAGAGGCTGATGAAACCGGGCTCCTTTCCACCTAGTGATGTGGTCCCACGGAGGACCATGAATTACCCATTGAATCCTTAGATCCTCAGGGGAGCGAGTCTCATTCCACAGACACGGGGTTGCTTCAAGACAGAGGGAAGACTTGCTATGTCCATACTCATAAGAATGTTTCATTAAGTGCTAAATAACTACTGTAATTGCATTACCTACAGTGTACTTGATTATTTAATTCAGCCTGTTGAGGAATTAATTACTATTGAATCAGCATGGTCATTTAAAGGATAGGCAAGTTCACGGAGTTTCGGTGCCAGTAATGACACGCCACCGCTCTTTCTCTCGGTCGGACTTGTTCGAACAGCTGGAGGCTGACTTCAGTTAGCACCCTGGATCCTCTAAATCCAGACAAACATGGGCTGGGTGTTGGCAGAGCACCCACAGGGGGGCTGTATCTTCAGGACACCAAGAACATTGCCAGTCTTGTGCCATCACTACTGGGGACTCTGGACATAAGGCAGGAGTGTCTCCAACAGTGAATACTACTGCTGAATCCCCCAGGAGTCAACTGGGTGTTTGTGAAGTGGAAAACCAAAATTGTATTCAAATATTTCCAATGGGCCAGCATTGCTCAGAGGAGAGGGAAGATTAAAACAAATGAACAAACAAACAAACTTCTACTCTGCCAAAAACACTGTCAAGAGAATGAGAAGGCAAGCCACAGACTGGGATATTTGTAAAAGACACATCTGATTAAAAAAAAATCCTGCCATACAAAATATACAAAGAACTCCTAAAACTCAACAATAAGAAAGTGAACAATCTAGTTTCAAATTGGGCAAAAGGCCTCAACAGACACCTCACCAAGAAGACATACAAAGGACAAATAATGGCCGGGCATGGTGGCTCATGCCTGTAATCCCAGCACTTTGGGAGGCCGAGGTGGGTGGATCACCTGAGGCCGGGAGTTTCACCTGGGCAACATGGTGAAACCCCGTCTCTACTAAAAGTACAAAAATTAGCCAGGCATGGTGGCATGCACCTGTAATCCCAGCTACTTGGGAGGCTGAGGCAGGAGAATCACTTGAACCTGGGAGGCAGAGGATGCAGTGGGCAGAGATCACGCCATTGCACTCCAGCCTGGGCAACAGAGTAAGACTCCATCTCAAAACAAACAAACGGCAAATAATTATATGAAATGATGCTTGATATCATATGGCATTATGGAGCTGCAGATTAAAACAAAATTAAGATCCCACCCATTAGAATGGCCAGAATTCAGAACACTAACACCACCGCAGGCTGGCGAGGATGTGAAGCAATAGGAACCCCCATTCGGTGCTGATGGGAATGCAAAATGGTACAGCCACTTAGGTAGACAGTGTGGTGGTTTCTCACAAAACTAAGCATGCTTTTACCAAAGGATCCAGCAATTGTGCTCTCTTGTATTTACCCAAAAGAGTTGTAAACTTGTGTTCACATGGACACAAATATATAGATGCTTATAGCAGCTTTATTCGTATATCAAAACTGGAAGCAATCGAGATGTCTTCAGAAGGTAATGGACAAATAAACTGTGGTATATCCAGACAATATAATATTATTCCACGCTAAAAATAAATCAGCTATCAAACCATGAAAAGACGTGGGGGAACCTCAAATGCATATTGCTGAGTGAAAGAAGTCAGCCCGAAGGAGCTGCCTACTGTACATTTCCAACTATATGACATTCTGGGAACAGCAAAACTATGAAGACAGTAAAAAGGTCAGCGGTTGCCAGGTATTGGGGTGGGGGATGGCATGAATGGGTGGAGCATAGGGGATTTTTAAGGCAGTGAAATTACTCTGTATGACATCATAATGGTGGATGCCTGTCATTGACCATTTCTTCAAACCAACAGAGTGAATCCTAATGTAAACCATGGACTCTGGGTGTTACTCATGTGTCAGTGCAGGGTCATCAGTTGTAAAAAATGTAACAAATTGTAGCAAGCTCTAGTGGGACGTTTGATGATATAAAAAGCTGTGTGTGCAAGGGCCCAGGGGCTATACCGAACTCGATGCACTTTATAAACAATTTTGCTGTGATTCTAAAATTGCTCTAAAAAATAAAGCCTAGGAATTTAAAAAATACACAGGACTTTGAACAGTATTACATGTCAAGATTGAGATCTCAAGATTACCGGAGAATCATCACTTTTAATCAGGTGTAGCTGTGTACCTGTAGTTTTTGCATGGAGCTGACCAACTTCTTGACTAATTGCTTCAGATGGGAACATACATGGATGAAGCCTGAACGGGCAGCCAGCATTTTCCATCTTTTTGTGATGCTGCTGGAAAAATCAGACAGCTGGCTGAATGCTCTGGCTAGATCTTGACAAGGTTTTTAAGTGTTTTGGGGTTCTTGTTGATCAGCAGGATTTTGCAGAAAGATTACTGTGAAAACCTCAAACCTCAGACAAGAAACCTTGTCTTCTCATCCTCTTGACAGTGTTTTTGGCAGAGTAGAAGTTTGTTTGTTTGTTTGTTTTAATCATCCCTCTCCACTGGGCAACGCTGGCCCATTGGACATTTTAGAATCCATGAGAAGGGTGTGCACCTTCCTATGTCATCTCTGGGGATCTTCTCTCTGTGGGTTGTGGATGGTTTTCCCTGTGATTGGTTTGAGCATCTGAAGTTAAACCAAGAGACAGCTAGAAAATGCTGAGGAAACCTTTTCTGTACAAAGATGTCAATTGCAGTCAATCTGTAGCATTCTCAATTAACTTTATTATAATGGCTAAAATTTACTGGGTGTCTCATAAGTACTAGGGATATTTAAAATCTATAACAACCCTGTGAGAAAGTATTGCTCTCATTATCTTATAAAGGAGGAAGTAAAACTTAGAGAGGTTAGGTGGCTTATGAAGTAGGGATTCTGAGCCACCTCTGGCTGACTCCAAAGCCAGCGTTCCTTCTCCTGGGCTTCCTGCAGAGTTCTCATCCTGCTCTGATTCATCAAGGGGAAATTTCAGCTCAGCCACCCACAAACCTTTAAACCACCCAGATTTCACTGACCATTGTCAAAAATAAAGTCAGATAAACTTTAAAAATTTGAAAGTTTACTGCGTATGCAAAAGAACAATTTGAGAACCAGGAGACTTCAAACCTAAGGTGGTAAGAGGAAGCTCAGGCTGGCTTATAATGCAAAAATGGGCAATCATTTACCTTTTGCAGTGACTGCTGACACAATGGTGTTTTCCGAGCGCAGAGGTTGGTTAAAAGGGATCATCTTACTCCATTTTTGGAAGGTGACTGAAGTTTTGTGATGACCAGAGGCATTTACAAGAAACAAACTAAGGTTCCTTTTGTGGCCTAGCCAGTTTTGTCTGCTAAGAGATTCTCAAGCCTGGCCTTCATTTTATTTTATTGTAGCACCATCTTCCAGAAGGGCCTGCTTTAGCTAAGAAAATCTATGCTGTGAGGTGCAAATGGGACTGGATCCACATATCAAATCTCACTTTCCTTCACCTAGGAGATGCCACTTGTTGCCCATGGATAGTCTAGGTCCATTTCTTGGTACATTCAGGTTTGTAAACCAAAGTCCAGTTCAGGACACCGTGGGGCTCCCACAATGTTGCCAACACACAGATGATCCCAACAGAAGGCCCAAATCTCAGAATCCATCCCCAACATGCGGACTTGCCCGCAGGTCTGCTCCCCACTTCTGGAACCAGAGGGCACAAGCCCTCCCTCACTCAGCAGCTCACCATAGTTTCAGCACCTCTGAGTGTAAGGGAGCTCTTTTTCTATGGTCAGCTGAGACTTGCCTGCCTCTAGCTTCCTCTTCTTATGGTGGTCCTGCTTATAATTACACAGAATAATGCTCCCCATCATGGGCCAGTTGGCAGAGGGGAGTTCCAGACCACTCCTCAGGCTTCTCCAGCTCCCTTTTCTTTTCTTTTCTTTTCTTTTCTTTTCTTTTCTTTTCTTTTCTTTTTTTTTCTTTTCTTTCTTTCTTTTTTTTTATGCTGTAGTGAGAAGACCCCCATCCTAACTCACCTTTGAATTCAGATTTCCAGTTTTGTTGTACATGGAGAAGATTAGGTACCCTTTGCACAATGTTGCTTGGAGTCCTATCATTTTAATTTACAATATATGCAAGAGAGAAGGTGGTGGCGGATGCATGAGAATCCTTGCATTTTGTTTTACAATAGGCACAAGGGAGAAGGACATGGTGGGCACCATCGATGGGAGGGAAGCATCCCAGGCTGGCAAAGCCAAACTCAAGGGCATTCTTGAACCAGCAGGCAGACAAAACTTGTCCTGGCCTTGCCCAGCCAGCCTATCCCCTTGGGCCAGCCCCGAAGTCCCATGCGTGTTTCACTTCTTACTTTATGTTTCCACTGGAGGCTATTCACAAACTCAAACTCAATGGAAGTAAGTGTACCAACTGGTTTAACCCACGTGCCTCTCAGGGACAAGTATACAAACCCCAAACCCTATACTGCTCAATTTCACATTTTTAAAGAGACTTAAACAAATCAAGTGATATTTTCATTATGGTATTAAAGTACAGAAATGTCACATGTATATTAGCTGGGGAATCAAATAAACTGAACTTCCCCCTTTTTGCTTCTCTGTACCCCCTTTCATCTCAAAACTGTTAAGAAAAATAAAATAACTACTTTAGAGGGAATTTATTTTGTTTTCCGCTCTCTCTCTCTCTATATATATATGTATATATATATATATGTAGATAGATAGATAGATAGATAGATAGATAGATAGATAGATACACACACACATTATTTCTCAAAGTATGCTCAGGAAGATAGGGAAGAAAATCTCATCTGCTTTAGAGCCATTATTAATGTAGTATTTGTGACTTGATCTGGGAATTTCTTTGCACACACAATGATACATTTACAGGTTTAATTCAGTTATTTATTTCCCTCTGATGACAGTCTTGTATCTGAATACCACTTCTTCCTGGATGTAGAGATAAAAAGCTTTCTGTAACCAGCAAAATAAACAGCAGACTCATTTCTCACCTCCAATTCTAATTCATTGAAATTCTGATGTTTCTCTCACCTGACATCTTTTTATTACTGCTCCTACGATAAGGTGAATAGTACTACTGCCTTTGTGCCGTTGACCCCTTATGTCTCATTAGGTCTAAATTCCAGAATAGAAGCAGATCAGGGCAGAAGATCATAAAAGCAAGTCATAATAGCACTGGATGAAAAGATCTTAACAGGTGAAGAATTCATGGCACTGCTTAAATGCAATGTAATTTCAAGACTCAAAGACTGGTATTTTCTGAAAAGTTCAGGAGAAGATGAGAGATTTGCTGCATTGAGAACTGCAGAATGTATAAATTAGCAGGGGAAGTACATAGGCAGGAGGCAGGATCATTCTGAATGCATGATAATATGCATTTTAGCATTTATAGTTGCCTTGTATAAATAAGGGGCAATTTTAATTCTGCCATTCCTGCAAGAAAGGCTAACATGTTTTGGCCTCTTCATTTAAAATGGTGCATGCTGCATTCAACAGGGCGTTTTAACACTATATTTGTTAATCCATCATAATGGGACTCTATAATGCAAAGGAAGTCTCAAGTTTTGTAGCTGGGCACAGGGTGCAATGAAATTGAGAATACATTCTCTTGGCACAGAGCATGAATTATGGTTTCCATAATGGGCTGCAGTTCCCTGTAAAATGCTTCCTATTTATTGAAAGTGAATGTTAAATTGTTAACAGTGTATTTCTCTGCATTTCTCAAATGATTATTTTATGGCAAGGAATGAAATATGGATTGCAGTCATAAAAGCCTTTATACTAAGCATCAATTCAAAACAGTTTGCTGCAGCAAAGCGTGGATGTGAATCAATGAATGGCAGTGGTCTGGACCCAGCCTTCCCAAAGCAGCAGACAACCTATTAGTGTCTGCAGCCCTTAGGCCAGGCCACTAACCCATGTCATGCTTGCTGAGCCTGGCTAGGGGTGCTGTGCCTCCCAAAGATGGACACGTCCTGGGAATAGGCAGTTGAACTCTGTGTGACAGTTAGTGGAGGTGGGCACGTTTGTGTGTGTGCACGTGCATGTGTGTACTGGTGCTGTGGATGAAAAGCCATGATTCATGTTTAATTTGACTCTGTGGTTTCCATGGCACCCTCTTGATGTTCCTACTCTTTCTCTGTGGGGATGAGCTGCACCTGCTACTATCACTGGTCTGAATCCTAGGATATATATCCAAGCTGCCCAGATGTACACCGTTGAATGTGAAGGGCCGTTTTGGTGAACTGCATGGAGCACTGGAGGAAGGAGAGGGGATGGATTGCAGAACAGCTCCAGGAGCACAACAGAGAGTTAGTGCTGGAGACAACCTGGTGAAGTTCATCTGGGCATGTGGCCCATTTAAGGCATTGAAGCTGGGTGGGGCCATGAATTGGTTGCCTGTGGCTGCTATAATAAAGTAGCATAAATTTGGTGGCTTAAAACAACAGAAATTTGTCTCTCTGTTGTGGAGGTCAGAAGTCCAAAATCAAGGTGTTGGCAGACCGTGCTTCCTATGAAGCCTCCAGAAAAGCATCTTCTGTGCCTCTTCTAACTTTTGGTGGTTGCTGGCATTCTTGTGGCTGCATCTCTCCAATCTTTGCCTGAATCTTCACATTGTGTTCTCACTGTGTGTGTGTCCAAATCTTCCTCTTCTTATAAGGAGAAAACTCATTGCATGGGCCTACCCTAGTTCAGCATGACCTCATTTTAACTTGATCACAATGACCCTGTCTCTGTCCACACATCACCATCACCCTACACTGCAACCCATGTGGTAAATGGAAATTGTAGGACTCCAAGCAAAATTCAGCAAAGGATCCCTTAATCTTGTACATTTTTACTAAAATTGTGAATAGACCAAGACCCTCTTTCCAAATAAGGTCAAATCCACAGGTTCCAGGAGGACATACGTCTTGAGGGGACACTGTTCAACCGAGCATAAGCCCTGCATCTAGTTCTTTCCAGTGGCCCGTGGTGGAATTAACATGGGCCACTTCTGAGCTGAAGCCCTTAAGAGTTGGTGCAAGACCCTCTAGTACCCTCTTCTCCTGTTGCGCCTTGTGGAGTTGCATGTGATGGGTAGGAGGCAATTACATGCTGGTGGAGCCCCTGTGGGCTTCTGCGCAGGAGAGAGTTAAGCTAGGTAGTCGTCTGGTCTCATAGTGAACATTGTGAAAATGAGTAAAAAGCAACCCTGTGCTGTGTTAAGCTACCTTGGGGACAGAAGCAATCTTCTAGGTTGATGAGTTTGAGAACTTTATGGGGTAGAGGTGTTTCTTCACCCTTGTTTCAGACCCTCCCCTCTGAGGACCTATGTCCTCTCCTCTTTCCTGGGCTGAGCTCAGGGTGCAGATTCTCTCCTAGCCAGGGGAGCACTGCATTATGTGGTCCAGCACTGCCAGTGATAACAACTAAATGAATCCCACTAATTCTGAGGCCAGGGATTGGCGAGTCTACTTGGCAGGCTGACGGAAGCCATGGTCTTCAACGTCAACTTAACCAAAATAAAGGCTCTAATTTTCTTTTAACTTTTATTTTAAGTTCAGCATATATGTGCAAGTTTGTTATATAGGTAAACTTGTGTCATAGAGGTTTGTTGTACAGATTATTTCATCACCCAGGTATTAAGCCTCATACCCATTAGTTATTTTTCCTGATACTCTTCCTCCTCCCACCCTCCACCCTCTGATATGCCTCAGTGTCTGTTGTTCCCCTCTATGTGTCCATGTATTCTTACCATTTAGCTCCATAAGTGAGAACATGTGGTATTTGGTTTTCTGTTCCTGCATTCATTTACTAAGGATAATGGCTTCCAGCACCATCCGTGTTCTTGCAAAAGACATGATCTCATTCTTTTTTATGGCTGAATAGTATTCCATGGTGTATATGTACCATATTTTCTTTATTCAGTCTACCACTGATGGGCACCAGGGTTGATTCCATGTCCTTGCTATTGTGAATAGTACTGCAATGAATGTGTGTGTACATGTATCCTTATAATAGAATGATTTTTATGCCTTTGAATATATACCCTGTAATGGAATTTCTGGGTCAAGTGGTATTTCTGATTTTAGGTCTTTGAGGAATCGCCATGCTGTTTTCCGCAATGGTTGAAGTAATTTACACTCCCACCAATAGTGTATAAATGTTCCTTTTTCTCCTCAACCTTGCCAGCATCTCTTATTTTTTGACTTTTCAATAATAGTGATTCTGGCTGATGAGGTGCTATCAAACCTTTGTTGGATGCACAGTTTGCAAAAATTTTCTCCCATTCTCTAGGTTGTCTGTTTACTCTGTTGAGAATTTCTTTGTTATGAAGGAGCTCTTTAGTTTAATTAGATCCCATTTGTCAATTTTTGCTTTTGTTGTGATTGCTTTTGGCTTCTTTGTCATTCAATCTTTGCTTCTTCCTATTTCCAGCATGGTATTGCCTAGGTTATCTTCCAGGGTTTTTATAGTTTTGGGTTTTACATTTCAGTCTACTCGTTATTTCTCCTACGTTTTTCTCCCAGATGGTTTAGAAAGTGAGTGTGGAAAAAAAAGGATGGCATTCATTTGTTCCTAATAGAGATATTATATCTATAAAACAAAACATTTGACACAGGAAAACCCAAAAGGGTACCTAGCTTTTAGAATATAAAATAATACATACTAGTAAATAATAATAATAGTAATCATAACAATAACTCAATTTACATAGTGCTATTATGTTACAGGCATTGTTTCAAGCACATTATGTCTGCCTATCTATCTATCTATCTATCTATCTATCTATCTATCTAACATCTATCTCTCTATCTCTACCTGTCTATCTGTCTATCTAATCTATCTATCTATCTATCTATCTATCTATCTATCTATCTATCTATCTATCATCTATTCCTGTCTATCTATCCATCCATCCATCTATCATCTATCTGTCTGCCTGTCTGCCTGTCTGCCTGTCTGCCTATCTATCTATCTATCATCTATCTATCTATCTATCTATCTATCTATCTTCTATCATCTATCTGTCTCTCTCTCTCTGTGTCTGCCTGTGTATCTGTTTATCTATCTATCTATCTATCTATCTATCTATCTATCTATCTATCCTCATTTAATCCCCATGTCAATCTTCTGAAGTAGATACCGTTTCTCCTCTCATTTTTAAAAGTTGAAACTGAGTCACAGAGACATAAAGTAACCTGTCCATAGTGTCTTCAGAGTGTTTTCACTTAATTAGATTATCTTCTAAAATATGACTGCTAAAATAAAAATTCCAGTAGAATGACTGAATGAAATAAAGGAAATTATCCACAACATAGAGAAAGGGATAAACAGACAATAAGAAAGCTATAAATAGCCTTTCTCATACCTAGATCAAAAAGTCTTCCCACCATTCTTTTCTTTAACTCTATTTCATCTACTACATTTAGATCTTTATTCCATGTATGATGTGAGGTAGGGATTCAGTTTTATTTTTTCTTATATATTGAGCCAGGTTTCCCAACAATGTCTACTGAGCAATCTTTCTCCATGATTTTTGGAGCCATCACTATCAGACATTAAGTTCCCATATATGTAAGAGTCTGAATCTATTCTCTTCCATTGGTCTTTTTGCCTGTGCTTACACTATCAACTTTTGTTTTTTATTAGCAGGTCTTTGTTGAATGCCTTCATAATTGATTAAGATAATTCCAAGATACTTTATAAATTTGTTGTTTGTGAATACTATCTTACTTTAAATTATATTTTTGGTTTGCATGAAGGTGAACTGTGTAATTTTTTAGATTGACTCTGTATCCTGCAACATTTCTCAACACTCTTATTAGTTCAAATAAATTGTTAATTATGTTAGTTTCTCTAGGTGAGTGTTCATGTCTTCTTGAAATAATGACAGTTATATCTCTTCCTTTTGCATGTTTATAGCTGTTATTTTTTCCTCTTCCTTAAAAAAGAGGTATGTTCAACAGTAGAAGCGATAATGGGATTCTTTCTTGATCATGAAGGAAATGCTTGCAGGTCTTTCCCTTCTATTCTTGTTTCCTACTAGATTATTTTATTTGATACATTTCAGCACCTAGTTATAATTATTTTCTGAATAAATTGGGATACTCAGATGATATTTTCTTTGTTAGTATATTGATGTTGTAAATTAATAGGTTTTAAAATAGTGAACCATCCTTGCATTCCTAGGATAAATTTTCCTCGCTCATGGTGTTCTATTTTCATTAATATACTGTTGGATTTGATTAGCCACTATTTTATTTTGAGAACTTTATACTAACATTTGTAAGTGAATGAGGCCACAGATTTTATTTTTTGTATTGGTCTCCTCAGTTCCAAAATGAATACTAGTAATCTCATAAAATAAGCTGTGTATTTCAAACTGTATTTTCTGAAAGAGCTTGTGTAAGAAAGGAATGAACTTAAACTTTGGTAGAATGCACCTGGACAGCAAGTTAGGCCTTTTTTGTTTTGTTTTGTTGTGCTTTTTTTAAATTTTAATAAGAAAAGGCCAATTTATTTAATATTTACATATTTTATATATATCATCTATTCTTCTAGTGCCAATTTGGTATTTTATATATTTTTAGGAGTGCATCTATTTCAATTAAGTTTTCAAGTTTATTACTGTTTTATAGGTTTTTAATTTTATTAATGCGTAATTACTAATAATATTCTTATTTTTATTTTACTTTCTAGCTGCAATTTAGCTTTCTTTTTTGTTACATCTTTGCTTTTTGCATCTTTTAATTTTTTATCTTGATTAGTTTTTGCCATGGTCTATATAAATAATCTTTTATTATGTCAGTTTTTGACTTTGTTAATCTTCTGTATGATTTGGTTCTCTGTGATACTTCTGTTTCTATCTATGTTTTTCAAAACCTTCTTGTTTGTTTATATGTCCTTCTTTTTTTTCCATCTTCTTGTTTTTTTTGAAATTAAATTTTTTATTTGTATGGATTTAGGGGTACAAGTACAGTTATGTTACATGAATGTATTGCATAGTAATAAAGTTTGGGCTTTTAGTGTACCCATCACCTGAATAGTGTATATCGTAGCCAATAGGTAGTATTAATATTTCATCCTTCACCCCCTTCCCACCCTCTCACTACTATCTGAAGTCTCCAGTGTTCATTATTCCACTCTGTATATCCATGTGTGCCCATTGTTTAGCCCCTACTTTTAAGAGAGAACGTGTTGCTTTTGATTTTCTGTTTCTGTATCATCTCACTAAGGATTATGGTCGACAGTTTCATCCATTTTTCTACAAAAGAAATGATTTCATTCTTTTTTATGACTGAGTATTATTTCATGATATATATAAATCTCCATATCTGTATCTATATATAATTACCTATACATATATATATAATTTTTTTCATCTTCTTAAGTTAACATAGCTGCTGTTCCTGATGATAGCCAATGAACTAGAAATTGAGTTATATGTATATTATTGAGAGTTTCAGAGGTGAAAAATTGTATATCTATCTATCTATCTATCTATCTATCTATCTATCTATCTATCTTTAGATAGATATAGATATCATGGCTTTTTTTTCCATCTTCTTAAGTTAACATAGGTGCTGCTTCCTGATGACAGCTTATGAACAAGAAATTGAGGTATATTATTGAGAGTTTCAGAGATGGGCTATGGAAGAACCAAAAATGTCTCTGGGATGACACTGTATGAGCTCTGTCTGGCCTCATCCTCCAGCTTCATTGCTTCCTGGCTATGTGATTCCCAGCAAATATCTCAGTCCCTCTGTGTCTGAGTTTCCTCATTTGGAAAGTGAAATTAAAATGGCATCTACCTCATAAGACTACTGTGAGGTTTAAATGGATTAATAGTTCTTTAATGCTTAGAACAGTGGCTTCCCAGGCTGGGCACGGAGGCTCACACCTTTAATCCGAGCACTTTGGGAGACCGAGGCAGGTGGATCACCTGAGGTCAGGAGTTGGAGACAAGTCTGGCCAACATGGTGAAACCTCGTCTCTACTAAAAATACAAAAATTAGCTGGGTGTGGTGGCACATGCCTGTAATCTCACCTACTTAGGAGGCTGAGGCAGGAGAATTACTTGAACCTAGTATGGGGAGTTTGCAGTGAGCTGAGATTGCACCATTGCACTCCAGCCTGGGTGACAGCAAGACTCTGTCGAAAAAAAAGAAAGAAAGAAAGAAAAAGAACAGTGCCTTGCTGTAGTGATGATCAGTAAATGTTAACAAATGATGATGATGATGATGATAATGATGATGATGCCATTGACAGTGATGTGGGTTAGTATGAATGTAAATCTCAAACATTAGAGGAGGCAGTCCTCACAGCTTTTTCTGTGCCCTCACATGTATCCATGATTTCGTCTTTTTAGGTATATAACTAGGATGATATTTTTTCAGCTTTTGCTTCTAAATGGGACCATATGACTGGTTCTCACCAATGTGGTGTGAGACAAAGTGATGTGTGAAATACTGAGTTCAAGCTACTAAAGGAGAGTGTGCCCATCTCCACCCTCTGTCTTCCGCATTCACCAGGTGAATGCAGAGAAGAAAAAGGCTCTAGCATTTGGTGGAAGTTTGGAGCATTTTCCCTTGTTTGAATTTTAGTAGTTTGTGGTTTTTAGGAATTATTATTTTAGGAATTATCATTTAGGAATTATTTTAGGAATTATTAATTATAAATTAGTTTAGTACAGTCGCTGCCTCAAACTCCATTTTTAGGCCTGACTTAAGAGGTTTTGAAAGCAAGTTGTACCCTGAGACCTTTGCCCTGGTTAAGGTCTCCCCTCTCCATGTGGTTGTTTGTGATGTAGCTTGTGTGTTCGTCATCCCGCTGGCCCCCAAACCCCACAGCTGCTGAGTATGGTTAAACCTAATGGTCAACCCCGAAGTCATGCAAGTAATTTTTCTCTTCGCATGTGCTTTCTTTAAAGAAGCCACTCACGACCTCCTCCAGAAAGCCTAAGGAGTGACACCCATAGACTTTGACAAAGGCCTGGTCCCGCCGTTCCTCTCTTTCTCTCTTGCTCCCACCCACTGGTTAAGCTTCTGCTCCCTGTGGACTTTCCATCAGCCTCCCTTTGGCACTGCTAACCTCTCTGGGTCCTGTGAGTAAATATCTTCTTCTGTGTTATGCATTTTGGTTTCACTTCCTCATATGTCTCACCTGAAGCACACACTGAAACATAATTTTCCCTGTTCAGGTCTCTTCTGGAGTGTGGCTCTCTGGATTATGGCTGCTCTGAACAGAGGGAACTTAAGATCAAATTAGGAAGAAATTGTAACCACAAAAATCACAACAGTCCGTTCCATCTAACTTGTTGAATCTATGGTGTAAAGTTGTTCACAGTATTCCTTGTTATGTTTTTAATGACTGGAGGATCTATAGTGATCTTTCCTATTTTATTTCTAATGGTATTGATTGATTTTTTAGAAGATGAAGGTTTTCACAACAAATCCTGCTTAAAATCATGCAATGGATTTCCATTGTTTATCTTATAAAAGTCCAACTTCATGGATGCCAGGTCACCCAGGGTGTGCCCTGACCTCAGTCTTGTCTTTCCTGCTAGCTCACCTTTCCCTGCTCCCCAAGCTGCTTTTGCAACTACTCTGGAAAGACTTGAAGTTCAAAAGCCATTGTGCGTCCTCCTACTCTGGCCTTTAACACACCACCTCCTCTGCCTGCAGACTTCTTCCTCCCATTTTCCCTTCTTTGTTTTAGTTCCTTGGGGATTCACCTTGCTGTTCCTTTAAAAAGTTGAGCGGCAGAAAAAGCAGAAAAGAACCTGAAATGTGGTCAGGATGTAGCTTACATGAATCATATGCTGCCTTGCTCCACCCAGCTTTCTCCAAACCTGTTCTACATCATAGAAATGATACTGCCTTCTTTCTGAAGGAAATGTATGGCAACAGCATTGACAGCAGCTGCCTATTGATGAAGTTATACATGCCAGTGTCTGTGTTTCAGTGTCTTTTCTGCAGTCTAATTTTATTACTGTAGAAGGGCATTGCCACCTCCTTGCCTCACAGGTGAGGAGCAGAGACTCAGCATAGGTAATGTTGCAGGGGATGTGGGGTCTCTTCTGGTAGCCCCTCTGCAGCCTCCTGCACTCTGCACTTCTCTCTGTTCTGGAAGGTCCTCCCTGATCTCTGGCTTCCATGCAGGTTTGCCCAGGACGAAGCTCCGTCAGGAGATAAAGACATTTATTCTCCAGGCTTCTTCTCTGGCAGGAGATAAAAGCACATATTCTCCTGGCTTCCTTTCTGGCACTCCCTTTGGGCTGGTTTCTCTCTAGGTGACCAGATCCACACAATTCTCCTTCTACCATCTGGCATCGGCACCTTCATTTCATCTTTTCAGGCTTAGGCCTGGTAATAGCTCCTCTGCTACAAGCCCTGGGCTACTGAGCTCTCCCTTGTGGTTCTCCTATACCCACACCTTTGTAAAGAGTCCCTTAATGACGAAATTCTCCTCCAGTGCCCTTATTTCTTTTTTCTTTTCTTTTCTTTCTTTTTTTTTTTTTTTGACAGAGTCTTGCTCTGTTGCCCAGGTTGGAGTGCAGCAGTGCAGTCTCCACTCACTGCAACCTCTGCCTCCCAGGTTCAAGTTATTCTCCTGCCTCAGCCTCCCAAGCAGCTGGGACTACAGGCATGCACCCGTGCACCCAGCTAATTTTTGTATTTTTAGTAGAGAGGGGTTTTCCCTATGTTAGCCAGCCTGGTCTCCAACTCCTGACCTCAGGTGATCCACCTGCCTCGGCCTTCCAAAGTCCTGAGATTACCGTGCCTGGCCCCAGTGCCCCTATTTCTAATGTTTCATCTACTTCATATTGAAACATGACAGATCAAGCAGGTCAATGGAAGAAGTGGGGCTTCAGTTTCATGTTTAGGGTTTCTAGGTCCCAGGTTCCTGACGGCCACTCTCTGCAACACTGTCTTTACCTTCCCCAGTTTTCAGTCACAGAAACAGGCTTTTCGTCCTGTATACTACCAGTGTTGGTTACTGAGTTATCCCATGGGCTTAGAATTCCTTCTGGCTGAAGAGGTAAATGTCACCAAAACAAAACAGATAGCACTGTCTGAAATTCACATTGCCCCTTGGTATATTTTCAATAGGACTTAAAGGCCTAAAGGTTGAAAGAAAGTAAGGTGTGTTGTTGAAAACCTAAAACAAAGACAGTCAAGTTTCTGAGGAACCTAATGAAAAACCTAATGTGTCATCAGATGCAAAATATGCAGATATGTGATGTGTGATGTGAAAGGTCTGATGATCATTCGAACCTTGGTACTCTGATTCATCTGAAGTTACAAGACATGAACAAGGGAAAGAACTATATTGAAAAACATTGCATGGATGGTTTTGGAAATAATTCTGGAATACCTGGTAAGAACAACACAAGCCATGCTCAGCCTTTCTTGAGCTTGGGCAGCTATTTTAAGAAAGAAAGATTTTCCTTATTCCATAACTCCTATATTTTTTGCACTATATCAGGTGCTTGTATATGCTTTGTCTTACCTCATCTAAATGATAGCTTTTAGAGGCATGCGCTCAACATAGTGAAAACCCATCTCTACTAAAAATACAAAATTAGCTGGGCTTGGTGACGCGCTTGTAGTCCCAGCTACTTGGGAGGCTGAGGCAGGAGAATCACTTGAACCTGGGAGGCGGAGGTTGCAGTGAGCCGAGATTGTGCCAGTGTACTCCCGGGTGACAGAGCGAGACTCCATCTTAAAAAAGAAAAAAAAAAAAAAAAAGGCAGATGCTCTTGTATCTATTTATAGAGAAAAACAAAAAAAAAAGACCAGAAGACCAGAGTTAAGAGAGGTGAACTGACTTGTTCAGGGGCACAAAGCTAGTGTAGTAAGTGATTGACCCATCTTCAGACCCAGATTTCCTAAGAGCATATATTTTTTTCAGCCAGAAGAGAAAATTTTTAGTTCTAGGAGAAATAAAAATTTGAGAAAACCTTTTTAGGGCAGATGTAATTATATTGCTCCTAGACAAATAATATCTTCCTGAAACAAACAAAAAGAAAATGAGGTAAACAACTGATAAAAATGTTGTTAACACAAAAGTGGCCAGTAGTTCTGCACCAAATCACCAGCCTTCCAAAAACAGAACTTCCCTGTACATCACAACAGGGAAGGGACCCTAGGGCCGCCCAGTCATGAAATGTGCTCATTTTGTGACAACTTCATGTTGCGTGGATCACACATTTGGAAACTATTGGCTGCATGTTCTTGGCTAGCAGTATGTAGGCAATAATTCCTTATTCAAGGAAGCAAAAGGCTTGTTTTGCTTTGTACTTAAAAAACAATTATGCAGGACAAATACTTTCTGGAGAAATACTCAGTTTTTCCTGAGGAAAGTTGTGGATACTTATGGGTAGTACATTTTCACAATTTTAGTAGTTTATCGCTCTCCTCTGCCACCAGTGTATTCTTTTTAATCCATTGGTCTTTTTAACAGGCCTCTCTATCTTTGTACCCGCTGTCAGCCTGTGGACTTAAGTACCTGTTTTATCTCCACTGTGTTTCCATTTGTACTAAGTTCTACCTGCTGAAGGTCGCTCTCACAAGATCCTTTCTGTCCTCTGCATCAGTGCCTTCCTCTGTGCTGGCTCATTCACAACAGCCAGAAACTAAGCTCTGCTCTGTCTCATCTTGAAAGAAAGAAAACAGGCCGGGCATGGTGGCTCATGACTGTAATCCCATCACTTTGGGAAGCCGAGGTGGTTGGATCACCTGAGGTCAGGAGTTTGAGGCCAGCCTGGCCAACATGGTGAAACCCCATCTCTACTAAAAATATAAAATTTAGCCGGGTGTGGCGGTGGGCACCTGAAGTCCCAGCTACTCGGGAGGCTGAGGCAGGAGAAGCACTTGAACCCAACCCGGGAGGTGGAGGTTGCAGTGAGCAGAGGTCGTGCCACTGTACTCCAGCCTGGGTGACACAGCAAGTCTCCGTCTCAGAAAAAAAAAAAAAAGATAAAACAAAGACCCTGCTAGATACTATGCATTACTTTACTGTGTCTTCATTTCTTTCTCCCCTCCTGCAGCAGAATCCTCCCTCTTCTCTTGTGAGACTTCAAGTCTTCCAGCATAAGCTTGCCTTCAGTCTCCTTTGCTGGCTTCCCTCCTCTTCTCAGCCCCAGGGCTCCCTCCTCCAGCTATTTCTCCCTCTATCCTCTCCTGGGCACTCTCACCTGGTACCTTCACTTTTAAACACCATTATATGCTGGCAACTCCCCAAATTAATCCTCCAGCCCCATCTTCTCCCTGAACCAGATGTGCAAATGTGACTGTTCACTTCCATCTTCATTTCCACACCTGAAAGATGTGTTAATGTGACGTGTCCAAAAAGTCCCCCACCTCCACTCCAAATCTGCTCCTCCCTCCATCTTCTCCACTCAGTGGATGCCACCTCCATGGGTGGCTGTCCCCCACCTCCATTCCAAATCTGCTCCTCCCTCCATCTTCTCCACTCAGTGGATGCCACCTCCATGGGTGGCTGTCCCCCACCTCCACTCCAAATCTGCTCCTCCCTCCATCTTCTCCACTCAGTGGTTGCCACCTCCACAGGTGGCGGTCCCCCACCTCCACTCCAAATCTGCTCCTCCCTCCATCTTCTCCACTCAGTGGTTGCCACCTCCACCGGTGACGGTCCCCCACCTCCACTCCAAATCTGCTCCTCCCTTCATCTTCTCCACTCAGTTGTTGCCACCTCCATGGGTGGCTGTCCCCCACCTCCCCACCTCCACTCCAAATCTGCTCCTCCCTCCATCTTCTCCACTCAGTGTTTGCCACCTCCACGGTGGCTGGAAGCTTGGCCAAGAACTCTGGAGCACTCCCTGGCTCTCCTTTTCTTACACTCCACCTCCAATTCATCGGCAAGGCTGTCCAATTTCAGTTTCCAAGTCTATACAGTCCACCCCTCTATATCCATGGGTTCCGCAGCCATGAACTCAGCCAACCATGGATCAAAAATACTTGAAAAAAATTGTGTTTTTGTTGAACATGTAGACTTTTTCTGATCCTTATTCTCTAAACAATATAGTATAAAACTATGCACATAACATTTATATTGTATTAAGTATTAGAAATAATCTGGAGATTATTTAAAGCATGTGGGAGGGTATGCATAGAATATATGCTGTACACACCATGCCATTTCATATCAGGGACTTGAGCATCTTCAGATATTAGTATCCAAAATTCGTAACCCACAGTAAATAGATTCCTCCAAAAGTGGGAATCAACATTTGAAAAACTGGCAGCTCTGGCCATGTAATCTTCATGTATTTTTCAGGCACCTTACATATTAGTAGGGTTGGTAGCTTTTAAAATAATGTCTTATTTAGTTCTGTCCTGACTCTTGGATTTTAATTGCTTATTGTTAATCAAAGCCACATATCATTCTCAACTTGAATATCGAAAATAAAATAAACAGAATGGGTTTATTTACTTCTCTTCAGTCTAGTTCCCATGAAATGAAATAATGTTGTCTGATGTCAATCCACTTTCAAAGGAATTCCTCCAAATGATATTCTTGGATGTATTTCTTTCTTTTAGAATAATTTCTTAAACTAATAAACAACCACTCCAAGCTTTATCTGTTTCACCTAAAGGTGTTTTTAAAAAATTCCAAGAGAACTGATTAACTTCTATACACCATTATGGCTTTCATCTATATATTTGGGGTATTTTTTATCTGAATTTCATTAGACATTTAATTTGTGTGTGAGAGTGTGTGTGTGTGTGTGTGTGTGTGTGTGTGTTTGTGTGTGGTTTGGAGAGAGTAGTTACCAAAGAAAGGTTTAGAATATGTACAAGTCTGAGATATCATACTCATTAATATTCATTCAGCAATATTTACTAAGCAACTGCTCTATTCCAGGCACTGTTAGAAACAGAAATCCCTGCTCTCATGAAGTTTACATTTTTCCGATAATGTTTCCATTCCTTGCGTAGAAAGATAAGTAATATATAGTCTAAATGCATAGATATATGCAGATATGAATAGGTAGGTAGGTAGGTAGATAGATGATAGATAGATAGATAGATAGATGTGTAGATAGATAGACAGAAAAAATGATGGACCTCCGTATACTCATTTCATTCTCTACTGTATTCAATACCCAGAGTTTGATTCTTAACCCAAGGGAGAATACTGTAAATTATATTGAGCTGCACAAATATTTGTATAGGATACAACTCAGTATGTAATTGGACCACACAAGTCTACAAGGTAAAGAAGACCACATAGTCCCTCTGGGGGACTGCCAGTGTGCTTGGTCTGATTGGTGGGAATAGACAACTGTACAAGTGGTTGTGAAAGTGGGTTGGAGAAGGGGCCCCCCAAAAAAGTCAGCATGAGTTCAGGAAAGTGGCACATCTCTGCAACAGAGTCAGGTGTGATGGGGCAAATAGAGTGAATGTGAAATCGCTCTTTCAGCTGCAATTATACATAATGGGTTGAATAGTGTCCACCTCAAATGTATATCTGCCCAGAGCCTCAGAATGTGACCGTATTTGGAATTAGGGTCTTTGCAGATGTAAATGAGTTATGGATCTCTAACTAAAAGTATCCTAGGTTTAGGGTGGGCCCTAAATCCAATGACTTACAAGAACAGGAGAGGACACACAAAGAGGCAGAGAAAGCTATGTGAAGACAGAGACAGAGATTGGAAGGATGCGGTCACAAGCCAGGGAATGCACGGATTGCTGGAGACCCCAGCAGATGGGAGAGGCATGGGGCAAATTCTCCCCAAGAGCCTTGGGTAGGAAGTGTAGCCCTGCAAACATCTTGATTTTGGGCTTCTAGCTTTCAGAACTGCAGGAGAAAGTATTTCTGATGTTATAAGTCACCAGTTTTGTGGTATTTTATTATGGCAGCCTTACAGAACCAATTCAGCATTACAGGAAAATGAAGATTTTTTTTTTTCTGATGGAGCGGGAGAGATGTGGTCTGAATGGAACTTAATAATTGAAAACTGGCAGCAGAAAGGCCTGTATTAATTTCTTACAAATGCAGTAAAAACATGCATGACTGTCCAAGAGTTACACAACATCTCCATGCCTCAATTTCCTCTTCTGTTTGAGAATAATAATAGTCTTAGCCTCATAGGGTCTGGCTCCAGAGCCTGTACTCTTAACAGGAGTTTGAGTAAATCAGGGATGGCAGTGACCAGAAGGAAGAGCAGGTAGCAGTGAAGGGGTGGGGAGGACCTACCGTCAGAAGCAGACCTGAAGGAAGTCAGGGAGAGGCACATGTACAGGTGGTGTTGAAATCCAGACCTAAGAAAGAGAATCTAGTAGCCCTGCATGTTTTGCCCAAGGGACACTCAGTTGGCACCTGTCATTTCCCTGTGGGCCAGAGGTGAACAGGAGCTGACATTACCTGATAGTGACAAGGCACTTGGACCCTTGATTTGTTTTGTTTGTTTCTATTTCTTGAAAGCTAGGGGTGATCTGCAATGGACTGAATTGTGTATTTCTGCCAATATGGAAAAAGCGCAGTATTCCAAAGACTTCTGTGCTGACTGTAAATGAACACTTGTTTGACAGTCAAGTGACCACATCCCTTTTTGTGGGTCAGAAAGTTTTCTGCTAACACATCTGCTCTTGCTAAAGGAAGCCAAGCCAAGGGTTTGATTCAGCTGCCTGAGGGATGCCAATGAATAATAGAAAATGGTTCTCTTCTTTTTCTTCTTTTTTCTTATCATATTAAATAGACATGCTGGAGCCCCCAGAATCCCCATTTCTCTTGGTTTTTGTTTTCTCTTTTCTTTATATTTTGACCTTGTTAAATAATTTCAAGCATCCTCTAGCCCAGATGACTACAATCAAGAGAGATGATGGGGTTTTCACTGAGGTTTTTCATTTGGGCTGCCTTTATTTTAAGGATTGATCTCCATTGGTAGAGAAAACCTCTGTCTCAAGTCTGCCTCTCAGTGACAAATAGATATTGTCTTGGATGTAGATACTGAAGCCTTTATTGACTGTATTTAAATTATGTACACATTGAACTAATAAATGAGTGAGCCGATGAATGAATGAACAGCCATTGGTTTGATAAGGGATAAGGTGGAACCTAACGGTAGGTGAGGAGAGGGCCAACTTCCCAACAGTCCCACAGCCAGGTCCATGACCACATCAAAGAAAAATGACTGGTGGGGGTAGCCGATCACCTGGGGGGAAAACCCATTAATATCCGGACCCAGGGCTGAGCGTGAGTGATCACCACAGAAACATCTGGCTAAATGAATTCCTGAACAAAACCCGGTTCTGCCAGGAACAAATGGGAGAGAATGAGAATTGGAGGTTGAGTTAAAAGACAAACGTGTCTGCTATGAGCTGTTTGTTCTATTTGTCATATGTGGTATTTTTATAGCAGAGAAACTGAATTCTTTTTAAACACAGCTCTCTTGTTTTCCTTTGCAGTTTCCAGCACTAGTGCAAGGGCTTGAGAGCCTTCACAATGTCTCAGATCCCCTACTAGTTACCTAGGCTTCATTTTAGCGCTTAGATGGTCTAAATTGTTATATTTACATCTTGCGTTCATTTAGATATAAGGGGAGATAAGGGAGTCAGTATCCGCCAATATCCCTTAGTAAACAGATTATAGGCGTGTAGTCAGGGTTGAGAGAACCAGCAACTGCTGCCGAGGCCCGAGAGAGGAGCAGGCACAGGAGCCGTTCCCGGCCATCGCTCTATTCCAGTGATGGCTGGAGCTGCGGGAGGGACCGCGGTGCCAGAGGGTGGCGGGGACAGTGATCTTGGCTGGACACACGTTCACTGGTGGAACAGCAGTGCTGAAGCTGGCAGAAAGTGGAGAAGAAAGACTTTTCCCCTCCCCTCTTCCTAGCCCCAGACTGTCAGTGATTCCTGTGGCTGACGCGTTTCAAGCCAGAGGGCAAAGCCTCCTTGATAAGTCAGTTGCAGGGATTCACCTCTCTGGGCACAGAGCTGGGCAAAGCTGGGCAAAGGAGGGGTGTGCGGTGGGGGGAGGGGATGCAGAGTCAGTACCACCATGACTGAGTTCCCCCAAACACTTGGCAGTTGTTGTAATTGTCTATTTAATTCTGTTCTTACCTCACCTTTGTCTGCTATTAATAAATTGTGATGCCTGCTTGGTGTCTCTGCTATTTCATGAAAATGGCAAGAGTGAGACAGAATGTCTGATTAAAATTTGGGAAGTGTAGAACTTGGGTCCTTAAAGGAGTTTCTAGAAAATCATTATAAGGGTTGAGAGAAGGGGTAGTGGCAAATTCCATTGTTTTCATGAGAGAATACTTGCGTCCATTCATTAATTCATCCATTCCTCAACATGCACTGGTGACAGCTGCGCTCTTGCTGGCCACAAAATAGGCAGGGAGGATGGTGAGGAGGCTGGCACTGTTACTGCAGGAAGCTGGTGATCCAAGAATTAGGCTCTGGCGGTCCTGCAAGGAGGGCCCTAGGGAGGCACGTGAGGGTGTGTGAGCTTCGAGTGGGCTCATAGTTAGCCTAAGCAGCAGCTCACAGGGATGTCACTCTTTTTGGGGTACTGGAAACTGTCGTGGAACATCAGCGATGATGGGATGCAGGTGCCATTGGTGCTTTGGGAATGTCCGGGTCACTCATCCTCTGAGATCAGACTCCATTTGCAGATGTTGCTACTCTTGCATCTGAATCATGGCTGTTCTTGTAGTCAGAAAACTTTTTGAAATGAACAAGCACAGGGTTCTGGAGGAGGCTGCAGATGCCACAGTCGTGCCTGATAACACACCTTGAGGCTGGCATGGAAAAGCACCCTCAGGAAATCACCTAGAAAGAAGCCCAGTGCTCATAACAAATGACTGAGTGATGGCAGCCACTGGCTAGGTTCCTGTGATGTTTAATTTTATGTGTCAGCTTGGCTAGGCTGGGGCGCCCAGACATTTGGTCAAATACCAGTCTACATATTGATGTAACGGTATTTTCTATATGAGATCCACATTTAAATCACCAGACTTTGAAGAAAGTAGATTAGCCTCCATAATGTGGGTGGGCCTCATCCAATCAGTGACGGGTTTTATTGGAAAAAGGCTGACCTTCCCAGGAAGAAGAGGCAATTCTGCCAGTAGATGGCCTTTGGACTTCAACTGTCATTCTTCCCTGAGCCTTCAGCCTGCATGCCCACCTTGCAGAATTTGGATTTATCAGCCCCCATAATTAGATGAGCCAGTTACTTAACATCAATTAATTTCTCTCTCTCATACATACACACATGTGTGCACACACACACTGTACAGAACCAGGATATGTATGTGTATCTGTGTATCCGTCTAGATCGATAGATAAATATATACCTACATCTAGATATACATCCTGGTTCTGTTTCTTTGGAGAATCCTGACTAATGCAGTTACTCATAAGAAAAATAATAACCTGAGATTCCATTGCTGAGAACAGATATTAATGGCTCTTCATTTCTCTTCATATAATTTAGTGTTTTCTCATTTTACTAAATAAAACAATTTAAATGCAAAATGAGTGTGCAGAAGTATTTAGTTTAGAAATATGCGTCTGCGTATGAGTGCAGGTAGCTTCAAGGGTCTAATGAATAAACAAAGGGGAATGAATGAATACTGGCTCTATTAAGCAAAGACAAAAAGTTATCAGTCATACTTCTTTTCTCCATTTTTGCTTTTCAAAACCATAAGCCAATTATTGCCTATTCAAAATACTTTTTCAGTGTAGTCATTAATTGCATTAATCTAAGAAATTGTGTTTGCATTGGAAAAGATGATTTAGAAATATTTTGAAATTTAATCCCCAGGAGGGCAAGCTCAGAAAATAATTTCAAAAGCTAGCATCTCTGTCTCATTTGGAGTTATTATTCAACTAACCTTTAGTGCGTGGGTTAGAATTATAAAAAAGTGGATAATGTATACATTTAATAATCTCCTTCCCTCTTTCCTGAGGATACTGATTTAGTAGAATGATACTGCACTGTACCTAACTCTGGCTAACAATATAGTTTGTGCTGGGCCCTGAATATCTACTCGTAGAGAAAGATTCCACAAACAAGATTTTTGCAATGAGACTTCTGTAGTCATTTTTCCTGAGGAGGGGTGCTGGAGGGAATGCATGACTAAAACCCAGGACAGGAGTCTTGGAGGATGACAGCGGTAAACACAAAAGCCAGTAAACCAGGCAACAATAAAAGCAGGTGGGAGAAAGAGAAAGTGAGCGTCTTCTCTTAGTGTATGTAAGTCAAATGTTAGCAGAGACCTTTACAAATTGAATAAACACACTTACTGGATTACCCAGTCAATTTCAGGACAAAAGCAAGTGGGTTTTCAATAAATAGAAAAAATATTGTGGAGGCAAGTGGTACAATGTGATTCAGCCCAGACGAGAACAAACCATTGCTTAATGTAAAATGCACCAGTTAAAGGAATGTATGAATGTTTGTTCAACAACAACAACAAATGACTATCTTATGTATGACAATCAATATAATGACGCAAAAGCCAGACTTAGACTTGATTGATCTCATTAAAATTTTGCTAGTTAAGAGTAAGAAATGATAAACAGCTGCCCAGCAGCACCACCATTAGGAATCTAAATTGGCATAATGGGAGGTAAACACAGTCAAATATTTTGTAAAGCAAAAGCGCTCTCAGCTCTTTTTTCACAGAAAGTCTTCTGAAAAGGACACGCTTCCATGGAACGAGGCTGGGAGCTGTGTGGAGGATGCTAAGATAAACAAAACTGGGGCGAAGGTGCTGAGCCACCTCCCGAGAGAAGTCCCAGTGGCAGCAGATCCCAGCAGGTCCTCCGGGCTCTTGCCTGTGTCCAAAGCCCAGGATACTCTCTGCAGTGTCTTTAATTACAGTCAACAGAGCAAAGTGCCAGCCTCCTTCCTGAAATAAGAAATGGCTGGAGCCAAAACAGATGTGATTGGAGCAGGTCTAGGGGCAGGGAGCAGTGGAGGGCAGGAAACAGCTATATGGCGACAAGACACATGACCTAGCAGATGCTCAAGGCTTTGGTCAAAAGCAATTTATTGAGTGTGGAAAAGCTCACATGGTCCACCAAGTGCTTGGTGAGGTTGTTCTGCATTCTCCTGAAGAACTGATTATGGCCCCAGGATTGGTCTGGGGTGTTCGCATGTAAGTCCTTTTTTTTTTTTTTTTGAGATGGAGTCGCGCTCTGTTGCCCAGGCTGGAGTGCAATGGCATGATTTTGCCTCACTGCAACCTCTGCCTCCTGGGTTCAAGTGATTCTTGTGCCTTGGGCTCCTGAGTAGCTGGGATTATAGGCGCCTGCCACCATACCCAGCTAATTTTTGTATTTTTAGTAGAGATGGGGTTTCACCATGTTTCCCAGGCTGGTCTTGAACTCCTGACTTCAGGTGATCTATCTGCCTTGGCCTCCCAAAGTGCTGGGATTGCAGGCGTGAGCCACAGCACCAGTCCCACACGTAAGTCTTGGCTCCAGGCATAGAGTAGAAATTTCTTATCTGCTTGGGGAGAACAAGTGAGGGCTGCCCTCTCTTCAGCCAGCATGCAGAGCTGAACAGTGTGAAAAGCAAAGGCACAGAATTCCGGGCGCACACACTTGGCCAGAATCATGCGAGCAGCAGACACAATGTTTTCATTTTCATAATTATGTTCTAAAATTTTAAATATATTTCAGAGTCTCAGCCAAAGCTATGCACATATAACCTACCAGCTATCCTATCTTCTCTTTTAAATGTCCAGGAAAAAAAGTTCCACAGGATTTCTAGAAAGTGTATTTATATGTAACTCATGTTTCTAGGTTTCTTCCTAGAAAAGGAATTGAAACAAATATTCCAATGAACTTCTAATCAGTTATCATCATGGAGCATTTGTTATTTTCTCATATATATATATTTATATATACACAATAAATTCATTTTTCCCTGTTAATCTCCTTTTCTTTGACAAGCAAGCTGTGGACAGAACTGTGTTTTCCCAAAATCACATGTTGAAGCTGTAATCCTCATTGTGATTGTATTTGGAAATATAACCTGCAGGAAGTCATAAAGGTTTAATGAGGTCATAAGGATGAGTGTGGGGCCCAAATCCAAGAGCATTGGTGGCCTGTGAGGATCTCTCTCTCTTTCTCTCCCTGTAAGAAGAGGCTATGTGAGCACACAGTGAGAAGACGGCCGTCTAACAAAGAAGGAAGAGAGCCCTCCTTGGAAACCCACCATGTTGACACCCTGATCTTGCGCTTCCAGCCTCGACAACTGTGCGAACATAAATTTCTGTGATTTGAGGCTCTCAGTCTCCTGTATTTTGTTTTGGCAGCCCAAGCCGACTAATTCAAAGCATGGGCTCTGTCGGTTCTGAGCATGCTCCTGTGTTTTTGTTCTGGAGGCCCCAGGGGCATGTGGAACTGTTCTCGCTGTTGGGAATGCCCATGGGTGCAGATCTCATGTGTGCTCTCCTGAATGTGGCTTCAGTCCCACCCACCACATTCCCTTTGCCTGCTGTGTCTGGTTCTTCCGGCTCCTCCCTGACTCAGCCTCCCTTTCCTTAATCGTTTTTTTTTTTTTTTAATTTTTTTCCTATCTCTCAAGGGCAATTTCTCAGCCTTCCACTATTTGCATTTATTTTTCTGGATGTAGTTCTTTTCTATGCAGTATAACTTACATTTCTAAGTGGGTCCCAGGAAGCCCTCTCCAGGAATGTGGTGGAGCCTGTGTTTGGCAGCAGTGCAGATGCACTTAAAGTAGCTGAAAAAGCAACTTTCTTCAAAATGCTTTGAACAAAGAGCTCATCCATTTACCCCATGAGCATGGTCAAACAAAAAATGAAATCAAGTGTTATAACTCTAACTCTACAACAGATTGAACTAGAGTGAGTTGAATTGAAGAGATTAAAAGAAACTTGGTCCCACTACATTTCTTGACCCTCCATGCAAAAACACAGTTGCAAAACTCAGAACAGAGTAGTAAATTGTCATGGCATTCTCATGGGAACCTCTGCATTTGTGGATCAGCATTAAGGAAAAACAACCCTGGTTAAAAGATGGAGGAGAAGTGAGGATTTGAATGGGTTGGAAGTGACACTGGTTCTCTGTTCCATGAGGCAAGCAGACCTGCCTTTTCTGGGCTGGGTCTTCAGATGAACAGGTCATCAGTGGGGCAACATCAAAGACACGGTCAAGTTCTGAGAGCCTAGAGCCAAGTTCTCGGCTTTGCTCAGTTCACACTTCAGAGGAGGCACATTCTCACAACTCCACTGCTATGTCACTGCAGGTTGCCCTGCATGGATTCTCTTTTCAAAAGGGTTTGAATGTGAGCTCTAGAGTAGTTGACAATGAAGAATGTTTTAAAACTCATTTTAAATTATTTGAGTTCCAAAGAACAGTGTTAAAAGATAAGCTTGGGCCGGGTGCAGTGGCTCACACCTGCAATCCCAGCACTTTGGGAGGCTAAGACGGGTGGATCATTTGAGGTCAGGAGTTTGAGACCAGCCTGGCCAACATGGTGAGACCCCGTCTCTACTAAAATACAAAAATTAGCTGGGTTTGGTGGCAGGTGCCTGTAATCTCAGCTACTTGGAAGGCTGTAATCCCAGCTACTTGGGATGCTGAACGCAGGAAGTGGAGTTTGCAGTGAGCCAAAATCACACCACTGCACTCCAGCCTGGGTGACAGAGCAAGACTTTGTCTCAAAAAAAAAAAAAAAAAAAGCTTGGGCACATTACAATTTTCATAAGTTGATTTGAGCATTCGGTGATTCATGCACTGGGCAGCAACCAGACCACAAGAGGTTCAGGGCTCCACTGAGGGAGCGTGAGGTTCAGGCTGCTCGCGGAAGCAAGATCAAGAAAATATTTGATTGGTTAAAGTGGAAAGTCGCTAGTTAGAGGTTTAGTTGGGAGTTTCAGCTTGGCAAAGTCTCTGGTTAGAGGTTAGTTGGCAGTTTCTGACTGGCTAAGCTCAATTTCGTTTTCCCAGGTTGTGACCATTTACTCTGAGTAGGGTTACAGTTACTTACGTAGGAACTCAAGTCACTGGAACTGTTTCAGCCTAATGGCCTCCCAACTGATTATTTTTAACAACTGTAATGATCATGGCTAAGAGCTACTGAACATTTGGACATGCCAAGTGCTGTCCTAAGTCACTTGTATGCACCACCTCATTTGAACCTCACAACAAACCAGGAAGGCGGGAGCCATTATTAACCAAATTTTATGGATAAAGAGGCACAGAGAAGTGAAGGAGTGTCAACAAGAGCATGCAGTGAGTAACTGGCAGAGCTGCTGGGAGGGCACTAGGCTGCAGCTTTCCTGCTCTTGACCACATCAGTGACCACATCAGCGCAGCAGAGATGCCTGTGTGTCCATGGTGGTCAAAGTCAAGATCTTCAGCAGGCCCTAAGTCAAATGCTAAATAATCTTGCCTCTTGTGTCTGTTCCAATCATCCTACTCATTCCCTCTGTAGTTAATCAAGGGGAAAACTCAGCTGAAATATTCCCATTGCTTTATGCTGTCAGTCTTCTTTCTTCTCTTTGCTACGCAGATTATGAAATGTTGCCGTAAAGACATTTTTTGGCTGCCTGGTCTTCTCCTAGGTACCTAGGGCCACTTCCTTCATTTACCACATCAAGAGCCCCAGGTGCATTCTGATGCCCCATCACTGGCCTGTTCTTCCATCTTTCCAGGGCAACAGGGACCAGCTGGAGACCAAATTGCCGAGAGTCTGGTCTCAGAGTGACCTTTGAGTGACCGCTGGCCCGGCCAGTCAGGTGGCCACCAGGGATTGCTCAAGGGACTGCAGGGCTTCCAGGGAGAGCGCGAGGTGTGGCAGAAGAGATTTGGCCACTTACCAGCTCCCAAGAGGGGCACCCTAGTCCCTCGGGGCACAAGGGGCTCTGAGTGCAGCAGTGTTTGGTCACCTCAGCAAGTTCCAGGCAGGTTCCTCATAGATTGGGTCCAAAGTGGGTAGAGGTGTGTGTGAGTGAGACCTCACCTCTTTTATTAAACAAACAGCAGGGCTGGGGGGTGGGGGAGGTGAGTGAGGGGCTTAGGGCACAAAACAGGGAGGCAGCTTCGGTCTCATGGCCGATGCTCTGCTTGTACCACCTGGAGAGTGGGGCCTCCTTCCACCATGCCCTGGGGGCTTCACTGAACTCGCCCTAATATCAGCTGTCAGGAGCTGAAACGTGTTTCCCTCTACAAAAGAAATGTTGGTGTCCTAATCCCAGAAGCTCAGAATGTGACCTTATTCGGACACGGGTCTTCAGAGAGGTAATGCAGTTAAAGTGAGGTTGTTAGGGTGAGCCCTAATCCACGTGACTGGTGTTCTTATGAGGAAGGGAGGGTTTGGCCACGGGGTTTTGCACACAGTGAGAAGGCCAAGTGAAGGTGAGGCAGAGGTTGGGGAGATGCATCTCCAAGCCAAAACACACCAAAGAGGGCTGGCTGCCACTGGAAGCTGGAGAGGGGCCAGGGCCAGAGGCTCCCTCAGATCCTCCAGAGGAAACAGCCCTGACCACAGCCCGATCTCAGACTCCAGGCCTCCCAACCGTGAGACAATAAATGTGTGTTGTTTAAGCTGCCCAGCATGAGGCAGCGTTAGGAGGCCCGCCAGCCCCTGGCCCTGACAAGCATGGTTGCTTTGGTGCTCAGAGTGCAAAGTGCAGCCCGCACTGAATGGGGAGGGAGGAGGAGTGTGGTGTCGGCTCTTCCCTGACTCCAGAGGCCCTGGCACCACTCGGCATTGGTGGGGAGCTCAATGCGGCGAGGCCTGAGCCCAGCTGAGGTGGGAAGAGGCAGGAGTGGCTGGGTGGGGCTCCTGGACACAGCCTCAGGGTGAGGGCCTTACAGCAGAGCCCTCAGCAAAGGAGGGAGGAGAGGTAATCGTGGGGGTAACACTGTCCCCAGAGTGCCTCTTGAAAACACACAAACAATGCCCAAAGGGACCCCCAGACCTAATGGGAGCCAGGGCAATGGGGGCAACCTTTGATGGGGCTAGAGGTTTTCCAAAACCAAGAGCACACAGACTGAAGTGGCTTGCAAAAATAGAAATTACAAACTGCTTTTTCTCTGCACAGTTGTTGTACACAGAGGGTTTTGAGTTCATAAGGGCGGTTACTGCCTCCATTTAATGGACTTTGTTAAGTGCTGGGCACCATCATACACAAAGGGAGAGCTGTACAGTACAAGGTCATGAGGCTTTTAGAAATAGGGACCTTCACCAATTGCAGAACAAGCACTGGATTGAAAGCTCAGAGACCTAAACCTCAGCCCATGAGCATCTGGTAACTTTGATTAAGTGACACAGCCTTACCAGGCCTTAGTTTACTCAACAGTATAATGAGATCACTTAATATCCTGTCTTAATATTTCACAGTTTTATGGTATGCTTGTTTTTCTCTGAGATTGGGATTTAGGCACCACATAGAGGAACATCTTTGTGTTCTTAAATGCAAATTAGAAATGAACAAGACTAAGAGTCCTGCCCTAGGGAGAAGACATGAACAAGCATGGTGGGCGTGGTGGCTCCATGTCATTCAGCCAGCGGGGAGAGCGGTGGAGAGGGCTCTCCTTGCCACCAAGGTGACTGGTGGTGCTCAACTGTCCCAAAACTAAATACAGCAGCCCATGTACTAATGGCTAGAGCGTCGACAGGTGCTCAACGGAGAGAGGCTGGAATCCATCAGTGGGGTGGGTGGGATCACTCAGCATGTTCAAGGACTTCTCCAATTCCCACAGTTTTCAGAATTTCTCTTTGGATTCTGTGTATAGTGGGAATAAAATCTGCAGAGGCAGATATCATGTTTTAAGCTTACAATGATTCAGCTTTCTGGGGAGCAGGTTGTGCCGTACTAAATGGCACATCAACAAGCACAGGGAACAGTGATAAACAGTTTATGAGCCGCCATAAATGTAGAGGAATACCACTTGGATAAAATAAGCTTGTTCAATCGTGTCCCAAGCATAGGTTGCAAAATGAACATCTCACACTGGATTTTTATCTAAACTCTTGGTTAAGGTTTCTATTTCCCTATCGAACCAAAAACCTTTCCATTGTATGTTGTGCTGGAAATTTGACGAATGATCCCTCCTACCTGATTTTGTGCCGGCATTAGAAATTCATCATTTCAATTTATCATCCGTCTCCTTGGTGTCAGAGCTGACTTGTTCTTTGCCTCGGCATTATTTCCCTCTGTGCTACCAGGAATGGCTTGCAGGCATCACACAGCCAAGGCTGGCTCAACCACAGCGGCAGTGGGACGTGTGGAGCTTGCCTGCTCCCTGCCCTGCACGTGACGAGCTAGTTGGGCTCACAGGACTTCAGAGATAGCTTCCTGCCACTGATCACGAAATTCTCAGTGGTAGAAAAGTGTCATCATACAAGAGCCTGCACTCAGACTTATCCAACGTCCTCTTGTTTCCCATTGTTGAAGGCTTGATGAACCTGGCCTCCTCCACTCCAGCACAGCAGCACTTTGAACATTTACCAGGGCGTATGGACTATGGTGATGGATAGCAAGTGGGTGTGCAAAGGCCAGCAGAGGCAGATGGCAGTCCCATTTGGGGTTGCAAAGGCAGGATTCCAGGGCCAGAGCTGCCAGGCTAGGAGGCTCACATGGGGGCATGTAGGCTTGAGGAAGGCTTCGGCAGGTGGCTCTGCCCCTCTGCCTGTGGAAAGGTGTTCACAGACCCCATGCATCCAGAGGCTGGGAGGTGAATGTGGGCCAGTAAGTTAAGAGCCAGGGAAAACCCCATGGGCTGGGTGGGGCCTTGGTCAGTTTTTTTGTCTCTTCAGAGCAGCTGCTGACCTCTCCCAGGCGCCGAGAGGCTCCTTGCCAGTGTTAGTTGTTTGGTTCTCTTTGAATCAGGCAGCTTCTTTCCAGGCAACCCCTGCCCAGCCCTATCTTCCTCGCCTTCCAGCCTGCAGGCCTGGGTGGATGCTAACACTCACCTGTAACAACCATCGAGCGTGGCTCTGTGCAGGGCTCCCCGTGGACCTGCTCCTGTGGCTCAGCTCACCAGCAGCACAGCATCTTCCAGGCCCTTCTGCACAGGGACCAGACCAATGGCACGTCCTCTGCTATAAGAGTCCTATATAGGGCCACCATGTGTGCAGTTCTAGAGGGCAGGGTGGGGTTGCACTGGGTCAAAGTGAACAGCCCTATTAGGAAGGGCAGCCTCAGGGACACAGGCTTTCCAGCCCTGCTCAGACACATAAGAATGGGCTATGGGCCTGAGACACGTCCTTACCAAAAGGCAGCATCCTCACAACCTCTCCTGGACCCATCGCCTAGTATGGGAACATCTCTCCCTGTTTCAGAGTCATTGTGTCCTCTGTTCTGCTTCAGTGTGTGCATCACATGGCACCTGGCCAGCCCCACTGCTATGTCTGTCCCCTGTGGGGAGAGGGCAGGTCCTTCTGCCGCAGCATAAGAGGGAAGAAGGGTGTGTGCCTGCCAGTGGCCCTGCATTGGCTGTTGGGAGGGACCCACTCGTCGTGGCAGACCAATGCCCAACATGGAAATGGATCTTAACCTGCTTCTTTTCCACGTGAATACAGCCCTGTTTCATCCAGTGCTTAACTGCTTGTGATCCTTGGCGACTGTGATGCCAGAATGCAGTGGGCAGAAGTGCTTCTTATAATAGATGACAGAGGCCGCTTGTATTCCCCAGAGGTGCGTGGTATGCAGTGCATACAGCGGGTGCATGGGGACCTGGTTTCAAACCACAAGGATGCATGGAACTTTGGTGCTCTGCCTCCAACATGGCACCAAGCCTCCCTCCTTCCTGGAGGCACTTTCTGCAGAGCCTGCTCCCCTAACTGACCTCACAGCATCAGACCAGCGCCCTTTTCCTGTTCCTCCTTGGGCCGTGTACCCTCCCCACAGGGGAGCAGCAGGCAGCAGGGGCAAAACCCACATACCTGGGAAACAGCACCAAAGTGTCCCACTCCATAAATGCTTTTTTCTCCTCCACATAAAAATATTTTGCTTTTCAGATTAATAGTTGATTCATACTTAGTGTAGAGAAAAGGGCAAGTAATATTTTTAATACATACTGTTTAAAAAGGAAGGACTATTTGAATGTTGCAACCCAAAAAATCATCATTATTGGAATAGCAGCCATCCTTTCGTGTGTCTCTGTATGAATCCCTGCTTTCCAAGTTGATCTTGGAACTAGAGCGCAGCGTGCCCAGCTCAAGAGGATCCAGTGTAGAAAGATCGGTGTGAAGGGGCTGGTCCCCGCGCTTGAGCCCAGGCCAGCTGCCCTCTGCTGGTCCCTCCTACATGCTTCTGGCCACCCTGTCCCCTTTTTCCAAGACTGACCAGCTCCCCAGCATGTGAACGCAAGGAACAATGACTCTGTGTTCCTCTGCAGAATGTGAGTGCGTGCAGAAAAACAAGGGGCTCTGAGAGTCCTTCCATTGAGTGTGGATGCAGCCAGGATGGGAGGAGCACATTCTGGGGCTCCAAGGAGGCTCCTCCCTCTCCACTGCCCATCAAGGCTCAGGTTATGTGCCACCTGCACCCTGCTAAGAGGTTAAAGCAAGAGCAAGCATCCCTCTCTAACAGAATCTCTGCTAATGGGAAGCCATCCATCTCACCACAATGGGTGCCTCCCTCCCTATTAGCTGCCAGCAATATTGGTCCTTCATTTCCCAGCTTCTTGAGCTGCTGATTCATGGCTGTCCTCAGGCCACCAGTCACCGGCCAAACCCTCCAGGGTTCAGACATCGGAGGATTTCTAGGCATCCTGGAGATTCACCCTCTGTAGCTTCAGACACAGTGTTTAGTTTTGCTCCAAGGAAGTTGTGTCTGTGAATCTAATAAAACCGCCTCCCAGTAACCAAGATCCATAATGATCTAGTTGCGGTTTACAGCTGCCATGGAGTGCTGCCCCAGGAAGCAGACTGGGAGGGAGTCGTGTCTGTGTTTCTGTGTCTGCTTTGGGGAGTGAGCCTCTAAGGAAGTGAGGGTGGTGGGGCCATGTTCGAGGGAGATGTGGGCTGGTAAGTTGGGTGCTGCCAAGTCCCAGCGTGATGGGACGGTTGCTCAGGGTTTTCACAGACTGAAAGGGAGGGGGCCTTGCATGCATGCAACCTTGGCACCGTTGCAGCATCCTTGCTGCAGCCAGTCGCTGCCATCGCCCACCCCCTGGGGGCCACCCTTTCACGAAGCAGCTGTTCTCTGTGGCCAGGGGCAATGCCCAGTGTATTAGTCAACTAGGGTTGCTGTAAGGAAGTGCCACAGACCAGGGGATGGACACAACAAATGTATGGAGTTGCAGCTCTGGAGGATGGAAGTCTGAAATCAAGGTGTTGGCAGGGCCGGCTCCTTCTGAGGGCTGTGTAGGGAGGAAATCTGTGCCAGGCCTCTCTCCTAGGCTTAGAGGTGGCAGACCTCTCCCTGTGTCTCTCCACATTCTCTTCCCTCTATGCATGTCTGTCTCTGTGTCCAAATTTGTCCTTTTTAAAGGACATCAGTCCTGGGTGGGCGTGGTGGCTCACGCCTGTAATCTCAGCACTTTGGGAAGCCAACGCGGGCAGATCACCTGAGGTCAGGAGTTCCAGACCAGCCTGGCCAACACGGTGAAACCCCGTCTCTACTAAAAATACAAAAATCAGCCTGGCGTGGTGGTGCATGCCTGTAATCCCAGCTACTTAGAGGCTGAGGCAGGAGAATCTCTTGAACCAGGGAGGTGGATGTTGCAGTGAGCCAAAATTTCATCACTGCACTCCAGCCTAGGCCACAGAGCGAGACTCTGTCTCAAAAACAAACAAACAACAAACAACAACACAACAAAACAAAAAACAAAAACAAAATACGAAAACCATAAAAATACTAAAAACATGTAAGTAAAGAACACCAGTGTTACTGGATTGGGGCCCACCCTAAGGACTTCATCTTCACAAATTACATCTGCAACAATCCTATTTCCAAGGAAGATCACATTCTGAGGTTCTGAGGATTAGGAATTCAACATATTTTTCTAAGAACAAAATTCAACCCATAACACCAAGGAAGATCCCAACTGAAAGTCATCAGTAGGTGACGCCCCCAGTAACTGGGTGATGGGGTATGCTGGCCCCAAAGACGGCATCGCCGTGTCCACCTCCACAGCTTTGCTGAAAGCCTAGAAAATTCTTGAATAGTCTAAATTTAGTTTTCATTTTGTGGCTGAAAGCTGTAAGCTTTGCCAAATTAAATAAACTGTCTAGTCCATGTTTCTATAACATTGACATTTATCTTGTCATCCAAAATAGATGTACCATAAAAGTGCATATTAACTTTGTCAATTCCATATTTATTTGAATTCTAAATTTTTCTTCTCTTCATCCCTGATTTGGATTTTTGGAGTGACTGTTTGTTCTCAAGCTTGTAATATACAATGTCATGCCATTTATTTCATAGTTTTCTCGAACACAGAAGAAAATGTTTTTCCCTTACCTTATATATATTTTTTACCTTAAGATGATTTTTTATTTTAATAAAACTCAGATTATTATTGATACACTCTTCTCAAATCACTATTATGTAAAATTTTCTGAGGAAACCCACTTATGCCGAAATTGTTCTAAGGCCTTGTTAATTGGAATCTGTGGATGAGGATGAAAAAGATTCCCCACTGTCAATTTCGCTTGATCCTATGCAGCAGTAAGTCATGACCAAATGAAGCGGTGAGCGTATTGGATGGGGCATTAGGAGGGCCAGGTTCAGACCCCTGGCCTGCCACTCACTTGCTGTGGACCTCGTGCAAATATTCACAGCTCTCCTATGTATTTCCACATCTGGTGGGAGCAGCAGCCCAGGCAGTGGCTACTGTTGAGAGGGTGAGTGGAAGATTGTACTTATTCTCTTATTCTAGGGAACTTTCACATGTGGTCACCACAGCAACCCATGGGAAAAGCCAGTCCAGACAGCCAGTGCTGTTCCTCCCAATGTGTTATTCAGAGCACTTCAGCAAAGCTGGTTAAATCTATTACAGGCAGAGCTCTCTTTGTTCCAGCTCATCATGAACTGCAGGTTGGTTGGACACAAGAGCAATCGCCTATGCAGTATACCTGGAGGGACACTCACAGGTCTCCAAGCCTCCCCCAATCAACTTTGTTTTCCTGTCGAAGATCTGATTTCTCTCACCTGGTCAGAGTTTGCCTTATCAGAACATTCCATTGACTTAGCAAATATCTAAGTCAAATGAGTTCATGGGGGCCACCAAGCCAAGAAGGCCACATTAAAGTACGGATGTTGCTGGGAGGGGTTACTGTTAGCTGACTTGACTTGTTAACATCAAAGATGTCAAAACTTGAATCATGTTACTGTGATCATGGGATAGAGAAGACTTAGGTTTTGCTTGAGGTCATGGAGAGGGGACACAAGAAGGGGCATCCCTACAAGAGGGGAGTCTGGGGAAGACGGGGCCAGCCTGGAAGCAGCAGGTGCCTGTGTATGAAGGAGAGTTTGGTGGGAGCATGAGTGGGGACAACCAAAGGGGTCGTCATGACTTTGCTCTGGAGTCTCATTTTGGGAAAGAAAGCAGGGAATGTGGTAAATGTGCATAGTTTTCTCAAAAGCATGAGTTTATTAATATATTTAGCATACTAATGCAACTTATTCATATGATATTAACATTTACATCTGTATATTACCATTAAAAAACTAGAGATAATAACCAACATCTATGATGACTTTGGCTACCTTAAAAATTATAAATCAAAGTGCTTGCCACCTATATTAGTGCATCACTTATTTAGTGAAAATCGTGGTCTAATATGAAGCATTTGGCCCAAGGCTAGGTCCGTAACAGGTACTCAATGCATATTTATTATTGGTATTATTATTATTTAAGAAGCCTTGGACTCTAATTTATAGTTCTAGTTCTTAACTACCCTATAAAATGAGGTTTCTGAACCTTACTTGAATTCTGATTAAATTACACTCAACATTGTATTTAGCAAATTACGTAGACACTATATCCATTTCCTATCTGCTTACTAGTTAAAACTTCAATTAATTTGGGGCAGGGTTCTTCCTGGTATTGAGTCTAGCTGTTCTTGTGGAAATTGGAAGAGGACTAGTTGTCATGAGCCATCACATCCTGTCTTGGGCACACGGCAGCACTGAGACATCCTAACAATTTCTACAAATACATAATAGTGTTAACTGCGGTTAAATAAGGGGATTTCTCCACTCTTGGTAATAAAATTATCCTTTCACTCTTTACTGTCACCAAAGCATCATTCACCTGTTATCTCATTTGAAACTCATGAAAGTGCTGTGGAGTAAGGTGATCACAGGTCTGGACCCTAGTTTATTGAAAAGGAAACTGAGACCAGAGGGACACTTGGCTTTTGGGGGTTTCATGGCCTGTGAGCAGTGTGAGAGCCTAAGTGACAAGCAAGATTAACTTGGTGTGATTTCTTCTTCCTAAGCCTATTTTTTTAATGACCAATAAAGTTTCTCATGAAGAACACAAAAGAAAACAAACACTGTTACAATAGTTTAGTGTGAGATTGTAATCACAGATTGTCTTAGCTCTTTCAGGCTGCTGTAAGAGAGTGCCATAAACGATGTGGCTTATAAACAACAGAAACTTATTTCTCACAGCTCTGGAGTCTGGGAAGTCCAAGATCAAGGTCCTGGCTGATGCAGTGTCTGGTGAGGGCCATTTCCTGGTTCATAGACAATGTTCTGTCACTGCATTCTCTCATGTAGAAAACAGAGAGAGGGAGAGGGAGAGAGAAACAAGCTGCCCTTATAAGGGCACTAATCCCATTCATAGGGCTCCACCCTTATAACCTAATCACCTCCCAAAGGTCCCACCTCCAAATATCATCACACTGGGGATTAGGTTTCAACATATACAATTTGCATGAATGCAAATATTCAGTCTATGGTATCCCACACTGGCCCCCAAAATCCTTAAAGTGCATTCATTCCATCCAAATAGACCCCTAAATCCCAATTCATTCCAGGACCAACTCAAAAGTTCAAAGTCCAGTGTCTCATCCAAATAAGATCTAAATAGCATATGAGTTCGACTCAAGGTATGATTCATTCTGTGGCAAATTGTTCTCCAGCTGTGAACCTGTGAAATCAAACAAGTTATGTGCTTCCAAAATACAATGGTAAGGCAGGCATGGAACAGACATTCCCGTTCCAAAAGTGAGAAACAGAAAAGAAAACAAGAAGTTACAGGCTCTAGGTAAGTGCAAAATCTAGCAGGGCAAATGAAATTGAGCCTAAGGCTTGAGAATAAGCCTTTGAGATGCCCCCACCGCCGGGGCTGCAACTCTGCCTCTGAGACACACTGGGCTTCTCGAGGCAGAGGTCAAGCCCCCATGACTCCAGGTGGCCCTGCCTCCATGGCTTCCCTGGGCATCAGCCTAATACGGGGCTGTCTGTGGTGGCTCTGCCTATTGAAATCCACATGGAGATAGGCATGCTTCCTAGGCATGTGAGCCCTGGGTGCCAGCAGAGATGGCATCATGTGATAACAGCAAAATTTGCTGCTTGTGATATAGGAGTTAAGAAGAAATTATTTGGGCAGAGAGTGAGGGTATGGAAGTCCTCAGTAAGGTTTTCCTTTTAATGTAAAGCAACCCCCAAATCATTTTTTTTTTCCTAACAAAGAACAGCCTGTAAAATTGAGCTGCAGACATAGACAAGGAAGCTGGAAACTTGCACGGGTGAATGCCAGCAGCTGTGCCAATAGGAAAAAGCTACCTGGGGGCTAGACATGTCCAACATAGTGGCTCCATCTTCCCCTTTCCTTGTCAACCATGTGCACAGTAAGGAGCAGGCAACATGGTGCCACATAAGTCGAGACTCCATTTGCATAATATAAGACTAGGATGGGGTGGTCAGCTTCCTCGTGTGCTATGGAAATGTCACACCTGGTCCAACCAATCTTTGGGCCCGATGTAAATCCGACACCACCTCCTCAAGCCTGTCTATAAAGCCCTGTCCACTCCAGGGCCAGAAGTCCCACTCAGGAGCCCCTTTCTCTTGCAGGAGAGAGAGCTGTTCTCTTTCTTTTGCCTATTAAACCTCCGCTTTTAACCTCACTCCATGTGTTTCCATGTCCTTGATTTCCTTGGCATGAGGCAAGGATCCTTGGTTGTTACCCAAGACAATGACACTGCTTCACCTACACCCACTGAAGCCTGTGTTGCTCCTGCCAGAGCCACAGTGCGGGTCCCCATGCTCTCAGGGAGCAGAGCCCACCATGAGAGATGACGGTGGGCCAGTACATGTGGTGCTTCCACGGATACCAGTGACTACCATTTTGAAACTGCTACAACCCCACCCCTAGCCTTTGCACTCAGCCTGTGATGGGAGGAGCAGCCCTGATGATCTCCAAGTGGCCTTCAGGATCATCCTTCCACCCTCCTGGAGAAAAGCTCCTGGCTTCTGTTGGGATGGATGATCCTACTAATCTCAGTATCAAATGGCCTCTTAGCCACACCCTTTGCATTCTCTTCTAAACATGTTTTCTCATTCTCCTCAATACGAATAGGCTAAGAACTTCCCAAATCCTTAAGTCCTGCCTTCTTTTCAATGAATAGTTCTGTCTTTAAGTTGTTTCTCTCTTCTCCACTTTACTGTAGGCAGTCAAGAGAAGCCAAGCCTACCTTCATCCCTTTGCTTAGAAGCAGCTTCAATTCAATATCCAATTCATCGCTTGCAAGTCCTACCTTGACAAAACACTAAAATTTAAATTCAGTTTGGACTAGTTCTTTGCTGTTTCATAGCAAGGGCTGTGGTTGCTTGCTCTCCATTTTCCAGTGGCATGTTTCTCATTTTGGTCTGAGACTGCAGCAGGATGGCCTTTACCATCCATGTCTCCACCAACCTTTGGGATGACTTACGTATTTTCTAAGATTAAGGCTTGCTCTGCGGCGTTCCTCTCCCCCGGCTTCCTAGTCACCTGCTGTTGTAGACTGCATATTTGTGTTTAACCACTGAAGCTCCTGTGTCAAAATCCTCACCCCCATGGTGATGGTATTAGGAGGTGGAGCCTTTGGGAGGTGATTGGGTCAGGAAGGTGGAGCCACATGGATGGGATTAGTGCCCTTATGAAAGAGGACCCCAGTAAACAGTAAACTCCCTCAGCTCTTCGACCATGTGAGGATACAGGGTGCCAACTTAAAATCAGAAAGCAGGACCTCCTCAGATACCAAATCTTCTGGCACTTTTTTTTGTTCTTTTTTCTAATTTTTAGTTTCAGGAACATGTGTGCAGGTTGGTCCCATAAATAAATTACGTATCACAGGGGTTTGGTGTACAGATTATTTAATCACCTAGGTAATAAGCTTAGTGCCCAATAGGTAGTTTTTCAATCCTCACCTTCCTCCCACCCTCCACCCTCAAGTACGCCCCGGTGTCTGTTGTTCCCCTCTTTGTGTTCATGCGTACTCAATATTTAGCTCTCACTTCTAAGTAAGAACATGTGGCATTTGGTTTTCTGTTCCTGTATTAATTCACTTAGGATAATATCCTCCGGCTGTTTCCATGTTCCTGCAAAGGACATGATCTCACTGTTTTTGATAGCTGCATAGTATTCCATGGTCTATATGTACCATATTTTCTTTACTCAGTCTACCCTTGATGGGTCTTTAGGTTGATTTCATGTCTTTGCTATTGTGAATAGTATTGCAATGAACATATGGGTGCGTGTGTCTTTATGGAAGAATGATTTGTATTCCTTTGGGTATATATCCAGTAACGGGATTGCTGGGTTGAATGATAGTTCAGTTTTTAGCTCTTTGAGGAATGACCACATTGTCTTCCACATTGCCGAACTAATTTAGACTCCCACCAGCAGGGTGTAAGCACTACCTTTTCTTCACAGCCTGTCTTCTGGAACTTTGACTTCAGACTTCTCAGCCTCCAGAAATGTGAGAAATAAGTCTGTGTTGTTAATAAACCATTTGGTATTTTTCATTTGATACTTTGTTATTGCAGCCTGAAGGGAATCAGATGCCTCTCAAAGGCCCTGCCTCTGAAGACCATCATGTTGCGGGGGTTATGTCTCAACGTAGTCATTTTGGGAGAATATAAGTATCCAGATTCTAGGAAAAAATATTTAAGATCTTTAGCTTTTGCTGAGTTCTTCTGCCTCTGAGCTTTATTTGTCCACCATGTTGTTCTACCTGCCTCTCTGGCATGCAGCTGCAATGGCTGAGTCCCCAAAGTCATCGTGTGCCTGCAAAGTCCAGATAGTCTGAACTGTAGAATGGTAAGATTTCTGTTTTTGAAGGCACAGATCTGAGAGCTTCCACCTTTGTGTGTGCCCACACCGCTTCTTGCCTCCCCTAGAGCAGGACCATGTGCTCCCAGGACATGTCAGTCAGCAGCAACAAGACCTGCTGTGTAGAGGAGCATGGTGTCCCTGTCCTCCCATGTCCCCTCTGCACATCCTCTGCACGAACATCTTACTGGTCTCTGTAGAGGTCTCTTGAGGCCTTAGTATTTCCAATAATGTTCCAGGTTTCAAAAATGTCTGAATGTTCTGACAATTCAGAAAATGTCTTGGAAAGCACTCTGAGCTAGGCACAGTACAAGGTGAGGCTAGAAGAAGGTGAGCAGGCTCTGTCCTTGTGCTCATGGTGCTCGAGCCTGAGAGGGCAGGATGGTGTGAGTTTTCAAGTCACTCAAGAGTGGCGTGGGAGTGAATCCATATTGTCCCACTCTGGGATGCTGACCAAGCCAGCCTCCAAGCTGATGAGGACCATTGACGCTATTGGAAACAACACATATCTTAAAAGCATTCAGGACCCATGGGAGAAGGGAACATGAATATGAGGTGGGATGGAACCAAACAGAACCTCTGCTAACTACCATAAGGTTAGTGGGTCTGCATTAGCAGGCAATAGGAACCTAAACACAAATGGTCTACTTCACGAGATATTTCTTCAAGAACAGTATGAGGATTTAGAATAACGATACTCAAAACACCATACACTCAAGACATCTTGGAGTAAGAGGTTTCAATTGTACTTTAGGGCAAAGAGGTGTTAGGCTTATAAATACTATCATGCTGCAGGCAGGCATGTAAACCCTTCTGAGGATTCATGATTGCAGTAATAGAATGGCTGTGTCAGGTAGCCATGGTAGTCTTTGAGGCAGTTAATTTTCTCTACAGAGGAAGAGTTCAAAGACCCAGGTGCAAACAGGTGCAGGTCCAGGGAGTATCCTTCCTAGATGCAGTGTGTGTTGGAAGGACTGCAGAGCTTTGTGACTCAGGAACCGGCTCCTGGCAAGGGGAAGTCAGGACTCCTGATATTCAATTCCTTTGGATCATAGTAATCGGGTGGAATAGGAAGATTCCAGGGATCCATATCCCTTAACTGACAGCAGAGGTGGAGTGCTCTTGGAGTCTTGGTATAAAGGGCGTGTGATAGCCTGGAACATTCAGAAAACTCCCTTCACTGGCAGCAGAGGTGGAGTGCTCTCAGAGTCCTGGTACAAAGGGTGTGTGACAGCCTGGAACATTCAGAAAATGAAGTAATTGTCATCACAGAGTGAAATGGCTGCATGTTTCTCCAGCTGGCAGCTGCTGGCCCAAACACTGACGAGACCTTACAGAAATATGTCAAATCTTTCTAAGATCAATTCTCGTGAGAAATGACAAAATTATTATTTTTAATTATTCTGTGACTACATTTCCCCTGCTATTTAGCTTGAAAGCTGAAAGAAAGGTCTTATGAAGGTGTTATTTTATTTATTTATTTATTTATTTATTTTTATTTTAAGTTCTGGGATACATGTGCAGGATGTGCAGGTTTGTTACATAGGTAAATGTGTGCCATGGTGGTTTGCTGCACCTATCAATCTATCACCAAGATGTTAAGCCCCACATGTATTAGCTATTTATCCTGATGCTCTCCCACCCCCTCACCCCCTGACAGGCCCCATTGTGTGTTATTCCCCTTCCTGTGTCCATGTGTTCTCACTGTTCAGCTCCCTCTTATAAGTGAGAACCTTCAGTGTTTGGTTTTCTGTTCCTGCATTAGTTTGCTGAGGATAATAGCTTCCAGCTCCATCCATGTCCCTGCAAAGGACATGATCTCTTTCCTTTTTATGGCTACGTAGTATTCCATGGTGTATCTGTACCACATTTTCTTTATCCAGTCTATCATTGATGGGCATTTGGGTTGATTCCACAGGAAGACGCTATTTTATTAAATAGTGAAGAATGCAGCAGAGAGAGCTGATGCTTTGAAACTCCTGATGGCAAGTGGATGCCGGGTGGTGTAGGGAACAAGCAGCCAGCTGCAGGAGCAGTGCTGTTAAGATTCCTGTGGCCCTATTGATGAATGAAAGCAGCTTTGTCTTACCAAGGGACTTTGCCAAATGTAGCATGTTACTGGGCCGCTGGAAAAGAGGCTTTCAGCCATCCAGTGTTTCAATTCAGGAGCCCTCTACCATTTCTCAATCATTGTGTGTCCACCCCCTGCCAACATCTTTCTTCCTCAACTTCTGCTGGTGGGCTGTCCTCCTGGTATTCAGAACACTGATCATTCTTTACTTTTTGTCTTGGGGCAGTTTGATTCTAGAATGTGCCAAAAGAAAATGAGCTCAATGGAAAATGAGAACAGATGGTGTATTTGCAGGCAGAGGAAGTATAGGCCCAGGTTCTGCTCCCTTCTTGCTATGAGAAAGTTGCTTGAGCTGCTTAAGATGCAGCTTCCTTTTCTGTAAAAGGGGAGTAATTTTAATCACACCAGTATTTAGGGTTGCCTGGAGAATCAAAAAGAACTTTTTTTTTTTTTTCTGAGACAGGGTCTTGTTGTCACCCAGGATGGAAGGCAGTGCCAGTCACTGCTCACTGCAGCCTCAACCTTGCAGGCTCAAACCATCCTCCCACGTCAGCCTCCCTAGTAGCTGGGACTATAGGTGTGCACCACCAGTCCTGGCTAATTTCTGTGGTTTTTTTTTTTTTGTAGAGATGGGGTTTTGCCATATTGCTCACACTGGTCTTGAACTTCTGGGCTCAAGCAATCCACCCTATTTGGCCTCCCCAAGTGCTGGGATTACAGGCATGAACCACTGCACCCTACCACACAGAACTTTTTTGAGAACGTGTTTTCTGAACTGTTCAGAGTTTGGTGGATGTTTAATTTTACTATCCCAGTCAAAGCTCCATTGTGGAGCCTCTGGCAGGACTGTGTTTCCAACCTGCTTGTGCTTCTCTGGACTCCATCCAATGTCATAACATCCTTCCCTATCCGTGTGTGCTGGAGCCATTTCAGATGATTTCAGCTCAGAAGAGACCCAGTGGGGGTCACATTTGGCAGGGACACCCCAGCACAAGCAAGCTGTCCTGCTCTGGAGACCCCCAGGGTTGTAGCTCCATGAAAGTCTTGCCTATAGAGAATGGGGAAATCCCGGAGAACAGAGAGAGGGGCCCAGGCTCTCAGCACACCACAGACATTGCACGTGTGATCTTGGAAGAAGAACTCTTGGGTCCCAAAAACCCTCTCCGCAGAGAAATCCACTAACTTCTTCTAGTTTTAATTTACCAAGGTGAAAATTTCTACTTTTGCTGAAATAATCACTAAGCTATATTTTCTGTAAAACAGGAGGTCACAACTTTGTTGCCCCATCTGAAGCTACCGTTGCCCCCACATAATCTGGGAAATCGCTTTGGCAGTGGAAATATAAATAATGTGATCTCATCAGGACTGAAATAATTCACAAACCAATATATCATTAATAGACTGAGAGAGAGAGAGAGAGACAGAGACAGAAAGAGTGTGATCTGAAGACAAATATTCAAAAAAGGGTTCCCTAGCCAGCATCTTTATTTGAATTTCCAGCAACTAAGATGGCTCAGAAACATAACTGTCTTTGGAATCTAGTACAAGCTCTAGTTCCCCTTCTAGTTGGCGGAATCAAGGTCCAGGTTTCTAAAATGTGGAGTGCCTGGAGAGACTTTAGGCTGTGGAATCAGGGTAGCTTGAGTTCAAATGCCTGCTCATGTCACCTACTACATGGGCACCTTAGTCAGTTCACCTGGCCTCTCGAGGCAGTTCCTCTGGTCTGGGCTGGGCTTGGCTGATCTTGACTGGGATCACCCATGTGGATTGACTGGGAACTGCCCAGTCTGGGATGGCCTCACCTGACGTGACACGACCTCATACTCTACCAGGTGACTGCAGGCTCCTATACAGTGTCTCGGCAAGGACCCAAGGGAATATGGTACTAGGCTTGGACTGGCACCCATCACTTCTGCCACACTGCATTGGCCAAAGTAAGTCACATAAGGGCAGTCCAGGTTCAAAGGGTGGGAAATAAATTCTACGTCTTGAGGAACGAAGTTGAAAAATCATATTGCAAAAGGGGGATGCATACATAGAAGGAAATAATGACTGCTATTTTTGAAAGCAATCTAACACAAAAGGTTAAAAAAAAAAAGCCAAACCAAAACAAAAATTCAGGTCACCATTCAGACTTGGGAAGGAGGAAGAAATCCTGGTTGTACTTTATGAGTTGGTGGCTCCTGGCATATCTTACCTTCTGGCATATTTTACCTCTGCTCTCTCTTCTGAGCTGAGACAAGACCCAGTCCCATCTTTGGCAAGGGAAGGGGATGAGTGCCTCATCTCCACTGTCCTCATACCTGAGGTGATCCTGGCAGACACATGAGCTGCTCTGGAGCTGTGATAATTGGGATAAAGTCTGTACTAGCCCATTTTCACTTTACCCCTCTCCTGAGTTGAGATGTTAGGAGAGCTCCCTCGATATAAGGGTTTGTTCTTTTATCTGTTTCCAGCAATAGCCTCCTGACAGGCCACTGTAGACAGCAGGAGAGGCATATGGGGAGAAACTCTGTGAACCTCCTCTGAAGTGCAAATGAAGTACAATCAAACTTTACCTGAATTTAATTTCCTTATTGTTTTGCCAATTTTGAATCACTATATACAAAATGCCCCTTCTCCTGCTGTCAACGAGCTTGGAGTTTACTATGGCCCAAACTCAACCCAAATGGCACAAATGGGTTCTGACACAATGTCAGCTTCTCCTGAAAGTTGTGAGGACTCAAGGATCTCCCTGGAGCTCCTGTTCACCGCAATGAATGCTGCTGGCCTCTCCCCAAGAGCAGGCTATGGACCCACCGTGCGGTCTCCCCTGTCTCTTAGATGTGCTGACCCGGAGCCAGCCTACCTACTAACAGTATATTGGATGCCTCCTTTGGCACAAAGCAAACTGCTTGCAGGATGTACAGAGGGACTCTGTCCACGTTTGCATGTCTCAGGCTCCTAGAATCTTGGGAGGAGCAGAAGCCAATACTGCCCCTTGTGCCTGCTGGGATTGTGATCACATAAGCCATGGTGGGATCTGAGAAGATCTGGTGTTTAAAGAAGCTCAGGTCTGGGCTGTGGAATTTAAGTTGGTAACCTCAATTGCTTACAGTTGAGCCATACATTTACATAAATGTTTTCATGCAAAGGAGATGAAATAGAAGAAAAAACCCTTTCTTTGTCAATATTAATACTGAAGCAAACTCTGCTTTTGTATAAAACAATGAGAACATGGTGAGGGGCTATTGATAGCAACAGTGAAAAATGCACACTTGGCTGGTGACTGTTTAATAAAATCAGGGAGGTTTGTTTGTTAAAAAATATAATTAATAGGAGATGTCTTTGCAATGTCTGTCACAAATTGTAATGGAATGAAAAAACTCTGCAAAACCAGGAGATATTTTTTAAAAACCTGTGATTTTTTTCAAGACCAGAAAACATGAGTCGGATGGAATCTCTCCCTGCATAGAGACCTCAGCAGGTTTTTCTAACGAAAGAAAGCTTTTGCACCCAGAGCCTGGGAGCAGTGTGTTACATGGGCACTCCTGTGAGCTGGACAAGCAGCTCATTAACCCACTCACCATGCCTGCCGGCAAGTAGGTAGGAAGCATCGTTATCTGCTTTTCACAGATGGACAAGGCAGAACCCAGAAACATCACACAGGTGACTCTGCAAGTGGCCCTGGTGCTCTGCTGTCCAAGGTCAAAATGCTTTCTAGATCCTCCGAGCAGGCAAGTAGGTTAAGCAGAAAGAGGGAACTGAGAGATAGCTTGGGGGAAGCCAGAGTCTCGAAGCCCCTGAGAGCTGGGGCCTTGTTGGAACCCACTACAGCCCCAAAATGCCACAGTGGGAACTGCCCCTTGGAAATTAGTGTCTGGTCCTCCTAATTAGATTTATCTCTTAAAATGCAAAACTTTAGAAGTGGAAGTTTGGATGAAATGTAAAGTATGAATGATTTTATTTTACTTTTTAAGTACAAAAACAAAGGCTGCCTGCTTCTTAGTTTTGCAAATGTTACCTCTTAACCTTGATACCAAACAGATGTCCAGGCCCCACAGCCCCCATGTGGTCAGCCTCTTTAGTGCACCTGGGTGTTGGGTCTTGTTTGCTTTCTGCCTGTCATCCCAGTGACCCCAGCACGCCCATGCTTGTGTGCTAATGGCCACCCCAAAGCAGACCTAATGAGGTGCACCAAATGGAGCTGCAGTGTGCTCAGGGGGGAGGTGCACACCTCATTAATCACCCAGGCTGCCTTCTGGGCCTGAATGGTCTGACATGGGGCATTGTGAGGGCGCCTGCATCTGCCAGGCCCACCAGATGCCTAGCACAACCTCCTGGCCCAGGGAAACTATTCCTCTATGTCCATTATTGGCCACAGTGGACTCAGCTCCTAATTAGGGCCAGGTGAAAGGAAAGAGAGAAGGTGCATGCACCCTCTCAGGCTGTGCTGGAATGGGCCTGTCTCACCTCACATAAAGGGCCGGTGGCATGGCCTCTAGGGACAAGCCAGGAGTGAGTGCCAGAGAGGCTGGCTTTGTCAGAAACACTCACAGTGCTGGTGCCTCTGGGCGTCGGGGAGCCAGGCTCTGCATTTGTGGGCTTTTATCTCACAGGCTGGTCCTTGTTGCTGAGAGGGCTGGGATAAGTGGGCTGCCTTGAAGATACCAGGGCCATTGCGTTGTCTGGGAGGTGGAGGTAGGCCCACACCCCTCTGCCTTTCTGCCCCCTTGGACAGTGTTTCTCAGTCCTGCACCCTCTGTCTTTTCACCATCAGATGTCAGAGTCTGGCCCGGCATCATCTCTGCAGTGGCAAGACTGCAGGACTTGGATGGCTCCGTGTGCATGGCTGCAATCATCTCTGTCTCTCTCTTTTGCTCCCTCTAGCTCTACGTTACATGATCTCCCCATGATCCTTTACAAACTGTACCCATTGAAAGACTTGACAAACAAACTTACAGGTCAGACTGCCATTGCCTTTGTCAGTTGGTTTTCTTTTTTTTTACTGAAATGAAAAGTAAGTTGATCTGCTGCCAAATTACCACCACAGGAATTTACTGGGAGCTTGTTTGAGAATGCTGCCTCCTCTCTTTGAGCTGCAGGGTTTCTACCAGCCCGAAGATGCTAAGGAAAGAGACTGGACCTTCTTCTCAGGCCAAGACAGAGGCGGGAGCACCCTTCCTTTGGAAGGAGGTTGGATGTAGTTCACAGAGCGGAAGTCCAACAGATTCTACGTGCCGAAGCCAGCCAGGGTCAGCTGGGTTTTCCCAGTGGCAGTGACAGAGTGCTGTCAGTCTTTACTGGATAAAGGAGTTGCGTCCACAAGATGCAAACAGAAGCTGAGGACTTGCTTGAGCCTCAATGAGGAAATTTGCTACAAAGAAGCTTCCAGAGCATCCATCCAGACAGATGTGTATTCATTCATTCATTCATTCATTCATTCATTAATGCACACTTTTCCATTTAAGAGACACTGTACCCCGTATCCTGGAATACAATCAAGGATGGTTCCTGGGAGCTTTGAGGGCCCTGTAGAGCCATCCCTTGGGGGTCTGTTTCTAATCTCCAGCCTCCAGTGTGGGTCCTCACTGCTATAAGGTCACATGGGGAGGCTGCTCAGGATAAGCCTAGAATGGGCCTGAAGTTGAGCCCCCTCACAGGGCCCCCAGCAAGGCCCTTCTTTGGACTTGAGTCTTCCTTTCGCTTTCCTGCCCTTGAATCTCCCCTTCAGCCATATCCATTTCCATGAGAGCTGATTTTCACCCAGGAGAAGGATGCCTGCTCCTTCAAACAGAAGCAGATACAGTTGGCCACCGAGAGGAGGCCAGAGACGTCTGCCCTGGGAGCCATCCAGAGGAACCTCTACCCTGGCTTCTAAGCTGAGACGAGACCCAGTCCCATCTTTGGCAAGGGAAGGGGATGAGTGCCTCATCTCTGCCATCTTCACACCTGAGGTGATCCTGGCACACAGGCTACTCCCAGAGCTGTGATAATTGGGATAAAGTCTGTATTAGTCTGTTTTCATGCTGCAGTTAAAGACATACCTGAGACTAAAGACAATTTATGAAAGGAAGAGGTTTAATGGACTTACAGTTACACATGGCTGGGAAGGCCTCACAATCATGGTGAAAGGCAAGGTGGAGCAAGTCACATCTTACATGGATGGCAGCAGGCAAAGAGGGAGCTTGTGCAGGGAGACTCCCCCTTATAAAACCATCAGATCTCATGAGACTTATTCACTATCATGAGAACAGCATGAAAAAGACCTGCCCCCGTGATTCAATTACCTCCCACCAGATTCCTCCCATGACACGTGGGAATTGTGGGAGTTACAATTCAAGATGAGATTTGGGTGGGGACACAGCCAAACTATATCAAGGTCCAAGGAAGAGCCCCATGGAAGAGCTTGCCAAAGGGTGAAAGGATTCCTAGGTCCTGTTATTTTGAGGGCAGAATGAACACATTGGGGGTGCCTGCAGCCTAGTTTACATGGAGAGATGGTTTTCCTGGTCTCACTTATAAAATAGAGTGATTGTGTTCTTCCAAGCTCCCTGCCCCCTCTAGTAAGTGCTGTCAGTCTTCACTAGGGGAAAGAGGCCACATGAAGACAAGGTCTGTTATTATTATTAAACTGTTCAGGACTTGTTAGCATATTCATGAGGATATTCAATTTAAAATATATCTCATTTCCTTTGAGCGGCAAATGATTCGCCTTTTTATGATGGTTGTGGAATTTAATATTGAAGGGATTTCACTTGGCAGTTTGCATCTGTGAAAATTCAGTTCAGAGTGGTGGTGCATAAAAGGGAGAAAGAGACCAGGTTGTTCAACTCAGCAAATGAAAAAAGAAATTTTGCTGAATCTCAGGAGTTTATATGTAGCACAGACAGCATGAATCAAAACACTCCACACTCCTACATGCTCATGATGGCTCCTCTCACAGTAAGCAAGAACAAGTGTGTGCTTCTCTAGTTTTTCAAGGGAGGATGCATTTGGCAAAAGAACGGGTTGCTTTCTTTGTGTGCACTAGCAGCTGAGGATATTCAATGATATCGTATCTACCATCTTTCAGTGAGAAATGGTGATGTGGTGGCACTGGGGTGGGCTAGGGTGGATAGGGGCTGGTGAGTGGGTTCTATTCTCTGAGGGAAAGGCAGGGGCCATTGCTGTTTCTTGTGCAACAGGAACAGTTGCACAAGTGTAGTCCTCACTGCTGCACACACACCGGTGGTGCTGAAGATGTGCTAATGTTTCCAACCCAGTGGAGAAGTAGCGTTAGCACTCCAAATTGATTGATCCTCACTCTGGACTCCAGAATAAGCCTAGAATGGGCCTGAAGTTGAGCCTCCTCACCAGGCCCCTTGGAGCTGAGTCTTCCTTTTGCTTTCCTGCCCTTGAATCTCCCCTTCAGCCACATCGATTTCCATGAGAGCTGATTTTCACCCACATTGATTTCCATGAGAGCTGATTTTCACCCAGGAGAAGGATGCCTGCTCCTTCTAACAGAAGCAGAAACAGCATCTGACATATGCAGGGAGATTAATTCCAGTTCAACAGATCAAGAGAAAAAAACATATTTCCCTTAAACAATTCAAATGTTGGAAGGTTTTAGGAGGTGTTAAAGAAAAAGGAACAATGACAACACAAAGGAAAGAGGGCTGGAGATTATAAAAAGCATCCTGCCTGCTTATAGGAAGCCTTGAGGATAAAGTCGGGACCAGAATTTTGGATTTCAAGTGGCTGCCAGGACCCGTGTGACTCATAGGGGATGGAATCATTACTATTATTCATTCCATTCCAGCATATCAGAACTTCTGCCTTACTTCTCTACTGCATAAAGTTTCTGTTGTAACTCAAAATACTGAATGCATTACATTTGCTAAGCTTTCTTCCTTCTGATAATGTTTATAAAAATGGAAATATATTCTGATAGATCTTAGAATTTTGAAAAATTACACCTTTTTCTAATGAAGGGCATATTCCCTAGCCCCCACATTCTGCATCCAGAAAGAAATCATTGCTGATTCTGTCCTTGAACTATTTCAGTTAATTAAAAGAATGCGGAGGAAGCCTATCTCTCTGGCTCGGTATTGTTAATTACAAAGGTATTCAATATGCCACTGCAAATGGCATTCTGCTAGTGCTTAATTAAAATAAATACAAAAATTTAAATGAACTAAACAGATTTTGGCACTGGTCTGTGGTTACTGGGCCAAATTTTATGTGTGGCTATAACACGAGCATAGGAATTAATCTTTACTCTTTGCTCTTAATGGCCTGGCATCTGGCCAGAGGCAGGGGCGGCAGCCCACTGTTCCATCCACTGCATCAGTGGAGATCGCCTCCACTCACCTTCCTCACATCCTTGTCCCTACAGTCTCCCCATCCATGGGTGGCTTTAGTGAAACCATTCAAAATCTTAGGGGAGGGATTGTTTCCTGAATCCATCTTTCCTCTAAACAATTCATAACGTGAAGAATAACATATCTTTATTTACTGCGTTTCATCACTGGGCTCTGAGCCACTTTTCAGATGTGAACCCATTAACCTTACCCACTCTTTGCAACGTGGGGTGTTGGAAAGGAAGCCTCTTCCAGATTGACTGACAAGCAAATGTGTTCTTGTGGACACTACTCCTTCCACTGTGAGTTCCAAACCTCAGCTGCTGAAAAATGACCTTTGGATCATCCATAATGGTGCTGCTGTGGAACAATTTGATGCCACAAATCAAATGAATTTCTTCACAAAAATCAAGTTTATCCACAGGTTTCCAAGCATTTAGGGCCGCTGTTTGTATATAAATGACTGATGGATTGGACCTTCCTTGATCCCCCATCTGTGGACCCTATGCGCTGGGACATCTGGTGAGCAGAAGTGTGTCTGGGAAGGTAATGAAATTGCTGTCGTTACTGTGAAATTCACTCCATTTCTTCAAAAGCAACTAAAGTTAAATTCAATTTAGAGAATATATTAAGTGCCTTGAAGTAGCAAAGGAGTTGTTGGGTTAAAAGTGAAAGAAACGGCTGGCTCCCAATACGAAGGGAATCACTGGAGGGCCCTGGCATGGGTGGGGTGGCTCTCTGATACCCCAGGAGAAATGGAGCACTGAGAGAAGCAGAAATGAGGTAGGAGCTCCGGAAACGGTGCTGCGAGCGCTGGATCCCTCTCTGGACTCTCTTCCAACCCTCCCCTCGGCTTTTGTCTCTCTCTGGCTTCTTTTGCTTCCTGTCCTCCCCAACCCCATCTCCACTTCCTCCTTCGCCTCTCTCAGGACTGCTGCCTCTGCCTCTCGTGGTGAATGAGGGCACCAGCCTGGGCTGCACATCTTACTGTTTTAGGCACTGAGAGAGTCTAGCCTGGTGCCACCCTAGTCCTGAATCAGGAAGCCCAAAGTGGTAGCTTATTGGTGCTGGGAGCAGGGGTGCAGGCCCCCATGAACTAGACTGTGGCCACTCCTATGAAAACCTATAGTGTGGGAGGAGGAGGAGCCCCTAAGGGGGAAACTGCTCTTGGTTAGAAGGGGGCCTGGACAATGCGTGTCCCCTACACGCATGCTGGCAGGGGCAGAGCACAGTGCCCAAGGCTGCAGGGCACTGGAGAAAGGAGTGTGAGATACAGGCTGTCTGTAGAACAGAGTAAGGGGCATAAACTAAGTGAACTGGTGACTGTCATCCAAGACGCGGAACAGAGCCTGAGGTTCTGGCTCCGTGAAAGCCAGTTATTGAACGAATGAATAAAATACATTTGCTCCAGGGCTGCATCTGTGGGAGGTTCTCCCAGGTCATGTGGGCAGGCTGCAGGGGAGTGAGTGTACCCCACAGGGTCATCAGAGAACATGAAGACATGGCAGGCTTGGGGACTCTAGGGTTCTCCCAGGCAGCATTACTAGGGCAGTGGAAAGGAGGGCACTCCAAAAGTAAAAGAACAGTTTGAGAAAGCGTAAGAAAAGCAGAGAAGCCTGAGTGTCACCCGGAAATGATGGGCAGCCTGGTTTGCTGGTGTGTGGGTGAAATGATGTGTGTTGGTTTCTAGGGCTGCTATAACAAAATGCCACCATCAGGTGGCTTAAACAACGGAAACGTATTTACTCAAACAGCGTTGGAGGCTGGAGTCCGAGATCTAGGGGTCAGCAGGGTTGGCTTCCTGCAAGGCTTCTCGTTGGCTTGCAGACCGCCATCCTCTTGCTGCCTCTACATGCAGGCTTTCCCCTGCTGAGCATCCTTGGTGCGTTTTCTGTGTGTCTTAGTGTCCTCGCATTACAGCACCAGTCCCATTGGACTAGAGCCTCGTAATTACCTCTTTGAAGACCCCATCTCTAAATACAGTTACATTTTGAGGTGCTATGTGTTGGGGGTTCAAAATAAACATTGGCGAAGGGGCCCTAATTCAGTTCATAACATGATGTAACCAGTCTTTTACAAGGGTCCCATTTTAAGGGACATTGAAAGTCCCAGTGAGGAGTTTGTCCTCTACCCTCAGTAAGCATATGCAGTCAGACTCAGTCCCTTGAATAATTAAGCAATCGGTCAATGGCCAATAAGATCAACTGGGGAATGCGATTGAAATGGGAAATAAGTTGGAAGATGCCTCTGTTAGTCCCACTTTTTGGTGATGTGGAACAATAACTTGCAAGGTTCCAAGTCGAGTTAGCAGCCCTGCCTCCCATTTGGCGCTCCTGGTGCTGGGTCTGCAGAATAGCGCTAGGTGGAGCCTCATTATCCTATTGGCCCCTAGGATGCCTCCAGGGAGGGAAAGGGGGAACCAAGAGCTTCCAAGGGCATGGTCGGGGGTGATGTAGGGCATCTGTGAAGCAGAGTCAGCAGGTGTTCCGGCCACTGACGTAAGAACCAGGAAGTAAGTATCTGGGACACGAGGTGAAGGGGTAAAAAAAGGTAAAACAGTATCTGGAGCTGAGATGTCAAAGGCATTTGAACCACAATGACCCCCATCTTGAATAAGGGCTGGGTAAAATGAGGCTGAGACCTCCTGGGCTGCATTCCCAGGAGGTTAGACATTCCTAGTCACAGGATGTTTACGGTTAAGGGAACAGGTTAATAATGTTTGCTGAGCAGACCCAGGACTTAACAGACTCAGGAAATGGCCTGATGTCCTGATATCTTAGGGGCAAAGTCATTCTTAATTTAAGAATAAGTTCTGCTTTAAGAATAATGATATAGATTCTCATGGAAGATAGTAGTTACAAAAAGATTAACAATCATTTGTCACGAGCCCTTGCCACACAGCACACCTCCCCATGCTGTTTTGTTTTGTAATTGCATCAGTCCATTCTCACACTGCTATAAAGAACTATCTGAGACTGGGTAATTCACGAAGAAAAGTGGCTTAATTGACTCACAGTTTCTCAGGCTGTACAGGAATCATGACTGGGAGGCCTCGGGAAACTTACAGTCATGGTGGAAGGTGAAGGGGAAGCAGGCATATCTTACTACAGCAGAACAGGAGAGAGAGTGAAGGGGGAAGTGCCGCACACTTTTAAACAACCAGATCTCACGAGAACTCACTCATTATCACCAGAAGAGCAAAGGGGAAATCAACCCCTGTTATCCAATCACCTCCCACCAGGTCCCTCCCCCAACATTGGAGATTACAATGCAACATGAGATTTGGGAGGGCACAGAGAGCCAAACCATATCAGTTATGTTACATCTAAACAAGCATTGCACCTAAGTTGGACTCATTCCTCCTCTTGCTTTTGGGAATGACCTGCTCTATCTATGAAGTAGCCATTCTTTTGTTTCTTTACTTCTCTTGCTTATAAACTTGCTTTCACTTCTCTTCTCTTGCTAATAATCTTGCTTTCACTTTACCCTGTGGACTTGCTCTGAATTCTTTCTTGCATGAGATGCAAGAACCCTCTCTTAGGGTCTGGATCTGGACCCCTTTCCAGTAACGGAGGGTCAAGGTGAGAGGGAACCAGAAGAGACAGTGACAGGAGCTGCATCAGCAGGAAGACCCTGCCATAGGGGTGCTGGCTCTCTCATGCACCGGATTTGGTTCTGGTGTCTGGGGAGAAGCTGGACCTATTTTGAGAGGGGCCGAGGGGGACAGGGGCGAGGGGTCATGAGAACAGCCCCACGATGCAGCATTGCAGTTGGCGGTTTACCCTCTTGCTTCTCACAGGTTGGCTGCAGCCCTCCCTGCATTGACCGCCTCCTGTGTTGGATCCTTCATGACCCCAGCTTTGCTTGACCCAGAAGACAGACAGGTGTTCTCTCTGAGCAGGAGGAAGCAACACTTCCTTATAGCTGCACTGGTGCAGGGCTGCATTAAACCAAATACCTGTTTCTTCAGGATATGTAATTAGTGCCAATTTTGCAGGAGACTTCTTAGCACTGATTAAAAGCACTGGAGGCAATGGTGTGTGAACTGTCAGGACCGTGCCTCGCCCTCTCGGAGCTGTGCATGAGACACCCTCGGAGGGAGTGATAGTTGTCAACATTCTTGCTGTCAGAAGTACAACTGGAGGCTGGGCGCAGTGGCTTACGCCAGTAATCCAAACATTTTGGGGGGCCGAGGATGGAGGATCACTTAAGGTCAGGTGTTCGAGACCACCTGGCCAACATGGTGAAATGTTTTCTCTACTAAAAATACAAAAATTAGCTGGATGTGGTGGCATGCACCTGTAGTCCAGCTACTCGGGAGGCTGAGGCAGGAGAATCACTTGAATCCAGGAGGCGGAGGCTGCAGTGAGCCAAGATTGTGCCACCACACTCCAGACTGGGTGACAGAGTGAGACTCTGTCTCAAAAAAAAAAATAAAAATAAAAAGAAGTACAACCAGGTACCCCTCAGAATCCTTCAGCTTCCACAAATGGGGAAAATTACCAGGCTGACATCTGGCATCTTCAGAGTCACTCTGCAGCCTTTCTCACACAACACTTGTCTGCTTCCAATACAACCTCCAAACCAAGCCACGTTCTCCACATTGGCCTGCCTCTCTTTTTCCTTCCATTTCTTCTCCTCTTAGATACTGCATGCTTTCTCAGCTTGCCATCTAAAAATACTTAAAGAAATTGTAGGAACTTTATTTAATAACATCTAAATAACATCAATGTATGGCTATAAAAGTCACAGAAATTAGGGTCAAAGCCTGTAAGTAAAACAGAAAATACACATTTACTTAATAAATTAACATAGGATTAAACTTAAACATAAATATGGGCTGTAAAAGACGCACTTGACCAACATAAAAATGAAAGATCTAATCTTTTCTAATGTGTTTGCTCAACTAGTTAATTCTTCATTGCCTAGCTACAGCAGGCGAAACTCATTTTCACTGAGCAGGGAGGGAGCGGCCTCTCAGGTGCCTGAGGTTTGCGGAATCACCTGCTCCAGCACCTGTGTGGGCCGCAGGCGTTCAGGACCTGGAAAGGGGAAGGACAGGAGTGAGTTTTCTCCTGGGGGCACTGAAGGAAGTAGCAATGTGCATGCTATATTCAGGGAATCCTAGAAAACTGGCCCAACCTGAAGGATGACTGTGTGGGGAGCCAAGGTGGGGTGTGGAGGAAAGGGGATCTGGGAGAGGAAGGCGCTGAGAGGCCGAAACAGGAGGGCCTGGAGGCTGTTTAATTAAAAAAAGAAAAGATAGTTGAGAACCAAAAGTAGTATATAGCAATTTAAAAACTAATATAAAACAATTCAAAATTGAGCTGAGTAAAGGGGAATGAGGGAACCAAAAGCTCATTTTTTGTAGAAGGGAGTCGGTAAGTTGTTTCTGAAGTTAGTAAGTCAAACAATAGCTATGTGAAGCCTTTCATTTAGAGAGGGCGGTAGCTTAGGAGAACTAAGGTGAATCCTCTAGGAAGCAGAATTGCCTGTCAGGAGGGTCCACGGGAGGCTGGTTTTTCATTAGAAATCTTATTGTGTGATTGGACCCGTGACCTGTACATGAGTTACTTAGGGAACACATCCAAATTCTTTTCAAAATCCTGGTCAAAATGTGACATTTCTCAAAGTCCACATTGATAATTAAATAGACATTATTTTTAGAGCAATTTTAGGCCCAGAAAAACTGAGCAGAAAATGCTGAATTCCCATGTACTCCCTTCCCATGCCCACTGTTTTCCCTGTGATGAACATCTTGCCTTGGTACATTTGTTACAATCAATAAGCCAATACTGATATATTATTATTAATTAAAGTCTAAATTTGCCTTACAGTTCACTCTTTGTGTTATATATTCTATGTTTTTATTTTCAAATGCATAATAGCATGTTGCACCATTATAGTATTACACAGAATAGTTTCAGTGCCCTAAAAACTTTTTAAAAACCAAATTTATTAACTTTTAAAAGCATCTCTTGATGTCCAATTTCCATAATATTGTGCCTAATCTTCTCTCTTCGCCCAGTTTTTATTGGTTCTTTATTTTCACATTGTCAAGGCTGATAACATTTATAGTCTACTTTGAAATTACTTTTTATTTTTATCAGTTAGTATAAGAAGTTGAAAATCTTTACAGAGCATACACTATTATGACTTTGAAAGCTCATGCCCTGCGGAATCAGGTGTTATGCTAATCTTATGTTTCCTTCTTTACAGGTCCTGGGTCATGACTCTGGCATGACCCTGGTTACTAGGTGGAGAATGTTTCTAGCATCAATAGCAACTGAATTTTATTTTCTTATTTTATTCAGTTCCTCATAATTGTGTTTCATTTTTATTTGCTACCTATTTTGAGCTTGATTTTATTGTACAGGTTCTTTATTTTTATATATTTTCTAGTTATCTTTTTTATTCTTGTCAAAAGAGAATGTCACTTTTACACTGTGTCTCTGATATCATCTATTCTGTTTTTCTGAAAGACCTACTGTAAGCACAATCACTGCGCTTCTAGTTTAGATGGGTAGCTTTCTAGATTAACTGTAGCACTTTTGTTCTGCAGTTTCCTCATGAGATTAGAGTCATTCTTCTTGAACTTGCTGTCTTTCTCTTTCCTGATATTATCCTTCTTTGACTGGAGTAAATCCTCAAATAACTTTCTAAGAAAAAGCATGGACACTTTTTGAGTTTTTGCATTTCTGAATCTATATTTATTTTCTTTGAAGCTGAGTTGGTAAGTTGATTGGATTTAGAATTCTAGACTCAAAGGAAAATATCAGGAGTTGTTGCTGAGAAGTCTGATGCTGGTCTCATTAGTATGCTTTATAGGAAATCTGCTCTCTTTCTCTAGCAGCTGTTAGACTCTCTGGATTCTTGGTGTGCTAAAATTGTACAAGATGTCTTAAATGAACTATTTTTTATTCATTCATTTTTATGCTGCTTAGTAGATTCCTTTAGGCTTTTGATTTATCAGTTATGGTCTCAGCAGAAAACAGATGTCTACTCAACATAGGATAATTTGTAAAGAATTTATTTATGTTAACATTTGTATGGCATATGGTTATATGCATATTCTTAACACTGCCACACTGATGATAATCATTTGAATCAACTCCACAGTTGCGTTATGATAAGAAGTCTTTGACGATTATCCTTGAGTATTGACTTTTTTAACATTCGTATGATTAATATTTTTAAAGTAATTTTTATTGTGTATATTTAAATCCTTTTAAAAATCTATATGTATCTCAGAACTTCATGTTGAAAGATATTTAAATTTGCAAAGTGTAGGCAGAAGTGGGAGACCAGAGAGGATAGTGCAGGACCCTGCGGTATGATAACCAAGCTCCATTAACACCCCAGACCATAGAGAAGCCACTCTGAGGAAGCCTGGAGAGGGGCTCAGCCTGCCAGCTGCAAGCCTGCAGGGAGAGGCTGCAGGAAGAACCCTGATCTCTGATCTCTGTCTTCTCCCCTTCTGTAGCAGCTGCTGCCCATTGGCTAAGCCCAGCTGGAAGCCAGAGGGCAGAGTCGAGGTCCATGTGAGCCTGACTCCCGGGGCGTTGAGTGGAGTGGAGAAGGGTAGAGAATGGATCTGAAGTGGCGAGCAGGAGCCAGCCAGCCCGGAAGATGAGTTCTTAGCTGTGCAACAGAGCTAGCCATTTTTCTTTGAGTTTTTGCCTCTTGGTTTTCCTGTTTTTCTCTTTCCGGAATCAGTTGAATGTTGAAGTCCTTGATGTCTCTTGTACTTTTCTTCTGTTTGTCCTTTTGCTCCCTGTTCTGGGAAATTTCCCAACCTTCTATTAAATTCTTTCCCCCACCGCCCCCACGAGACGGAGCTTCGCTCTTTCGCCGAGGCTGGAGTGAAATGGTGCGATCTCAGCTCACCGCAACTTCTGCCCCCCAGGTTCAAGCAATTCTCCTGCCTCAGCCTCTGGAGTAGCTGGGATTACAGGTGTGCACCACCATGCCCGGCTAATTTTTGTATTTTTAGTAGAGATGGGGTTTCACCATCTTGGCTAGGCTGGTCTTGAACTTCTGACCTCAGGCGATCCATCTGCCTTGGCCTCCCAAAGTGCTGGGATTACAGGCATGAGGCACCGTGCCTGGCCTATTAAATTATTTAATTTAGGAAAACATATGTTTTACTTCCAAGAGTTCTTAGTCTCTGTTCTCTTTTCATTGCAAACTATTCTTCTTTTAAAAAAGAAATCATTGGTTTTTCACTTACTGACTTATAACCTACTATATGCCAGACACTGTTTTAAGCCCTAGAGCTCTACTAAGGAGCAAATCCACTGCTGTCGTGGAGCTGAGATGTCATCTGTGGGCTGACCCATAGCAAATGAACAAGTAAATCAATACTTGGTATGTCACCATGTAGTGCTGAGTTCTATGGGGACAAGATGCAGGTAAGGTGGCTCGGGAAAGGCAGGACTGACGGGAGATTGGGGAAGGGTTGTTATTTTATAAAGTGCAGACAGGAAAGGCCTTGCTGATATGGTGACTTTGGGATGTAGATCTGAAGGAAGGGAAGGAGCCAGCCATGATGATATGTTTGCTGGATGCAGTAATTTGTCAAATCACTTTGAAGAGTTTCATCAAGGTCTTTTGTTTTGTTTTGTTTTGTTTTGATCTTCCCCGAGATATCACATCCCCCACACCTCTCTCAAAGGTCGGTTGAATTATCAGTTTCTCTTACGTGTCCCATTTCTTTCATTCTGATGGTTTTCTTCACATGCTGCCTGATCCTGCAGTCTAATCATTTTAAGAATGGCTGGGTGGGTTAATATATCTAGAAATTGGGTGTAGGTTTCCTCTGCTGTTGTGAGTGGAGAGCTAACTCCTGAATATGGAACCCCTGGAGAGTCTTGGGTATATAGAGGAGGCCTGTTGCTGGACAGGACTTACCTAAGTGTCAATGAGTGGGTGGCTGGCTTTTGGGAAAAGGTTTACTACATCTGTCTATCCATCCACTTGTCCATCTAACCATTTGCCTGACCATCCATCCATCCATCCATCCATCCATCCATCTCTCCATCCTTCTTTCTTGCCTTCCACCCATATAATCGATTTATTTTTCCTGGAGAAAAGTCTGAGATGTTGGAGCTCTGTGTTCACCAAAATAGACTTTCAGTACCTCCATCCTCCCACCCTGTTTTTGGCTCCTCTTCCACCTCCACCCACTATCTGCCATCTATGGGTCTAGAGCTTCTCTTAGGTTCTGTGCACAACAATTTATCTTCCCCTTCCAGGGCATGGTGTGAAATTTGAAGCCAGGTCTCCTGGGTACCCATCCTGACTTCCACACTTATCAGCCTTAGGATCTTGGGCAAGTCACGTAACCTCTTGGGCAAGTCACGTAACCTCTCGGCGCCTCAGCCTCCTCAACTGCAAGTGGAAATGATGATAGCACTGATCTCAGGTTGTTGTGAGCCTCGATGTGAGAATGTGAGTCGAGGGTTTATCACTGGGCTGGACACCTGATCCTCACTCGGTGCATGTTACCTGATATCATGGTGCTCCAATTATTATTATTAATCACTGGGCTGGACACCCAATCCTCACTCGGTGCACATTACCTGATATCACGGTCCTCCAATCATTATTATTATTGCAGTTATTTTTCTTATCCTCTGCTCTATGCTTTTTCAGTGAAATTTTGGCTGTAATGTTTTATTTTGTTTTATCACTTTTTAAGCTTCCTGGAATTTGTTGAAATCTCTCATTTGTCAATGAACTCTTCTTTTTCTCTTTGCCATTATGAGTTTATTCCTCTGTTATTCTCTTTTGTTCTTTTCTGTTCTTAGTCTCTGTCTCTGGTAATCATTTTGCTCTCATTTTATTGGTGTCTCATTAGCAGGGGAGACACAAAAGTGAGTGCTTGATCTTTTCCTCTATTTATTTTTTGACAGTTCAAAACCACCTAAGATGACTGGGTCCATTCTATTCAAAAGATAGGATAGCAGCTTCTTTGTGGTGGGCGCTGGGCTCTTTCACTTCCGGCTCAGCTGTTTCATGAGTGGTCTCGCTCCGCCGGTCAGAGCTTTGTGTAGGTGTCTCCTTGCATCTGCTCTCTCTTCGGGGCCTGCAGATCATAGAAATTTATTTTCATGTCTCTCTCAGGGACCCCAGAGCATGTCACACAGCATGACCTTTTCACTACTAAGTAGAAGGGTAAATTACATTATTAACTGACCCTCCACAAGCACTGTGTCTGTACTAAGGAATAGCAGGTAACAGGTGATGGTTTGCTGGGTTCACTGTGATCTCAGGTACACGTCAAGGACTTGCTTTTCCAGTGGGGGAGAATTGTGTTGTGGCAAATCAGGAGCACTGAGTCACTCCCTATTCCACAACTTTTAGCTGAAAAATGGGAACAGCCACTCTTGCTACTGGTTTGCAAAATATTTGTGAGGTTTAATGAAAGAGAAGCAAGTTTTCTTTTCAAGCGTGCTCAGTGTTGTGTCACAGCCACACTGGATGTAAAAATACATGAATAAAACTCAGGCTGTTTCTGACCATGACTGAGCCTTCCTCCTCCACAACCCTTCATGGTGACTGTCAGTAACAGGCAAACCAACCTGATGTTTTCTCATTAATCTTTGAAATGTTTTCTCTGCTAAGGGTCAACAAGGAGCTAAATGAGAGAAAAGATAAGAAGGAAAACAAAAAAATAATAATAAACTACATAATTAAAAACTAAAGAAAACACACCAGTGGCTTCTGAACAATCAGAGTAGCAGTGTGAGGACAGTGTCACCTCCCCAGCTGCCTCTGTCCCTCATCCTCCCCTAGAGACCTTGCCTTCATGTGGGCTCCCAGGGGACGTGGTTCTTTGACCTCTCCTCATGGTGAGCGTGAGTTTGCCCTCCCTTGTGTGCCAGCAGTGGGTTGTCCAGGTGCATGTTTGTCATTGGACCCCCATGCAGGGTATTTATGTTGCTTTAGTTCTTATTGTCCAGTCATGCACTGGTTTTGTGGAGATGATCTTCTTCCGTGAATCCGATGGTTGCTGGGGAAAGATGGAACTTGAAAGATGGAAGTCTTCACAGAGTTTCCCTGAATAGTAGGAAAAAACAAAACAACTGGCTGTTTCCTCCTGCTATACTCTTAACACAGATCACTTCTGGTGGGGTGGGTTTTTTTTCTCCACACCAAGTAATTCTCCAGTGGACACCCACTGGGTGTCCTACAATTCAATTCAACTCTGACACTAACCAGAGTTCCCACAAACCCCACAGGTTAAGGGCTCAGTCCTAAAAGACTGCTTCCACTTCAGACACCAATAACAAGTACCAGATTGTGTCCTATGATTATGACCAACCAGCTATAAATCAGGGTCTCCATGACCCCCTCCTTGGATAATTTGATAGGACAGCTTACAGAACTTGGGAAATGCTAACATTAACCAGTTTACTAGACAAAAAAAGGATACAGATGAACAGTTGGATGGAAGAAAGGCACAGGGCAGAGTTTGTGGGAAGGGGTGCACGGCTCCCATGTCCCTCTGAATGTGCTGCCCTCTAGGTACCCCTATGTCTTCGTCAATCTGCAATCTCTCCAAACTCCATAGTTTTGAGATTTTAATGGAGGCTGCATCACAAGGACATGATGCCTTACTAACTCCATTTCCAGCTCCTTTCCCTCACTGGAGAATGGGAGTTGTGGCTGAAAGTCCCAAGCTTCTAATCATGGGTTGGTATTTCTGGTGACCCGCTGCCATCCAGAAGCCCACCAAGAGTTGCCTCACTAGAAAAAAAAGATGCTCCTGTCACCCAGGAAATTACAAAGGTCTTAGGAACTCTGTGTCAGGAGCCAGAGTCAAAGACCAAATATTACAACAAAGATGTTCCTAACTCCCCTATTGCTTAAGAAAATTCCAAGGGTTTTAAAAGCTCAGTGCCAGGAACCAGAGTTGGAGACCTATGTATGAATATAAATATATTTTTTATTGTTTCACATCCCCAGTCAGACAAATCATAAAGCAGAAAGGAGTGTGTGCATCTGCTTTGTATTTGTTACCTATTCTTGGGTGACAAAGTGCCCCAAAACTTTGTAGCTTAAAACAACAATGACCATTTATTGTCTCTCCCCGCTTCTGTGATCAGAAATTCAGGAGTAGTTTGGCTGTGACATTCTGGCTCAGAGTCTTCCATGAAATTAGAGCCAGACAATCACTGTGAGGAAGTCATCCCAAAAGCTTCTTTGCTTGCATGGGTGGTGCCTGGGTGAGGGACATCCCCAAGCTGGGCTCTTTGGCCATCAGTGGTCTCTCCATGTGGTCTCTGCAGCACAGCAGGGATGGATTCCCTAGGAGGTGGCTCAGGGCTTCAAAGCCACCTTCCCTGACAGAGAGAGAGAGCCAAAGAGACAGGGAGAGACAGGAGTGTCCAGTCGAATACATCGCCTTTCCTGACCTGGCCTCAGAGGCACACAGTGCCACTTCTGCCACAGTTTATTTTCAAAGGCATCTGCATAAACACCCGGGTACAAGGAGGGTGAAGAGAAGCCTCCAGCTCTTGATGAAAGAGGAGGTTTTGAAGGAGTGCATGGGGCAGGAACCATCACTGTGGCTTTTGTTGGAAAGTAGAACCCACCACACGCCTTCTCTTCAGGTAGAAGCCACCACGCACCTGCTCTTCAGGTAGAAACCACCTCACGCCTTCTCTTCAGGTAGAATCCACCACACACCTGCTCTTCAGGTAGAAACCACCACACACCTTCTCTTCAGGTAGAATCCACCACACACCTGCTCTTCAGGTAGAAACCACCACACACCTGCTCTTCAGGTAGAAACCACCTCACGCCTTCTCTTCAGGTGGAAACCACCTTACGCCTTCTTTTCAGGTAGAAACCACCTTATGCCTTCTCTTCAGGTAGAATCCACCACACACTTTCTCTTCAGGTAAAATCCACCACGCACCTGCTCTTCAGGTAGAATCTACCTCATGCCTTCTCTTCAGGTAGAAACCACCTCACACCTACTCTTCAGGTCTTTTTACTTTTTCTTTGATGACAATGGTAACCTTCCCTTAAAATGGATGGCCACTCTCCCCTGCTTACTGTAATCACATGTGCCTTGTCATCTCTCAGTCCCACTAGGGTAGCAACCTTGGTACATGACTTGGGACCTGATACTGTTCGTCCCACTATTATTAATAGATGACTTTAGGCAGCTCACTGAAGTGGGGCCAGCTTTTCCCTCTCTAAAATTGTAATGAAAATGCCCATTGTGGGCCGGGCACTGTGGCTCACGCCTGTAATCCTAGCATTTTGGAAGGCTGAGGCAGGAGAATCACTTGAACGCAGGAGTTCAAGACCAGCCTGGGCAACATGGTAAGACCCCATCTCTACAAAAATTTCAAAGTTAGTCAGGCATGGTGGCTCGTGCCTGTAGTCCCAGCTACTGGGGAGGCTGAGGTGGGAGGACCACTTGAGTCCAGAGGTTGCAGTGAGGTATGAGCACACCACTGCACTCCAGACTAGGTGACAGAGGGAGACGCTATCAAAAAAAAAAAAAAAAAAAAGAAGGAAAATGCCCATTCTGGGCACCTGGCCAGAAAGACCTGTGACATCTTAGGACCCAGGGGAGAAGAGAAACACCACATGTGAACAAACGCTCTTAACATATCTCCAAGTTTCAAGGTAATGTCGGTCCTATGGTCTGAATCCCTAAGTCCTTCCTCAGGAGAGGTGCACAGGCTGTCACCTGGTTGTCTGTTCCAGCCAGGGGCGCACAATGGACAAGGCATTGGTTCAGGTGCTATCTGGAAGTCAGCTATTTGGAAAATATGGAATCAGGGCATCCACTTGAAGCCCACCATCCTCTGGATTGGCTGCAATATCTGGGCCTACCCTTCTTGGGACTGGCCCCAGTACCTGGGCCCTGAGCATTTTGCAGCCACACTCTCTGACCCCTTGTGGCTCTGGAGGCCCCTCCCAGGCTCTTTGTGCTGATATGACTTGGGCCAGAGCCCAGGGTTTCAGGATGAAGACTGAGGTTGGGAGGGGAAGGGATTGGAGAAGGAAGAAGAAGGGATGAAATCCCAGCTGTGAGAGGAGAGATGAGAGGCAGCAGCATAAGGACATCCTTTGTGGCCAGGCAGGAGATGAGTGGCACTTTGATGGCTGGTCACAGGGAGGAGGTTGGTCCATAGAAGCATGCCCGAAACTGCTTTTGATCGACCACACTGAAGAGGACGAGCATGTGCTGCCAGGGCCACCTCCCATGGGCGCAGCTTCTGACTGTGAGGAGGACACTCAGGAGCCTGGGCGGCAGGGATGTCAGCCTCTGGCCTTGAGGTGGGTCCCACTGACTACTGGAGACCCTTGAGTGAGAGGTGACAGGGGAAGCAGATGAGAGGCCTCTCTGCCTGCTCAGACACCTGCCAGGTGGGGTCCTGAGGGGTATGAGGGGATGAGGCTGGCTGCCTCCTCTCCTGTTCCTTGTCTGGCTGCAGGAGGGCCCCATGCCATCAGTCACCAGCTAGGGGTCATGTCCTTGTCGGGACGTTCTGGAAAGAGCAGGATTTCATGGCTCTGTCTGGCCAGAAGCTTCAGTTTCCAATTACTGGGGCTTGATTAACTCTCCAGGTAAGAGGGGACCCTTGTTGCACCACTGTCCATCCTCAGGGCCCTCTGCGATTGTTGGTATCCCAGGAGGTGGTCACCTTACAAAAGGGATCTCCACATCTCAGGGCAGTTCCCAAGTTGTAAACACAAAGAGCGCTGCCCTGGGAGGAGCCCACGTGAAGAGGATCTGGGAACTGGTTTCCAGCGACCATGTCTGGGTGTTTTCCCCTTTCACAGCAATCTTCCATGCCAAATTTTGAGATTTACCGTACGAAAAGGTGGTAATCTGATGCAGTCACACTCCTTCCCCTTGCGTGTCCTCTGTGCGACGCTGATGTGATAACCTTGCTTCTACAGTGGTTCCTTGCAGTGTGACTCAGAAATCCTGGCCAGTAGGGTTTACCTCCCGGGCAGCAATGCCACACTCCCACAGCTGTAGAGGACACCAGCAGGATGTGATGTTGACTCTAAGAGGTTTCAACCCAAACTAGACACTGGGGAGGAAAAGACATAGTGCTGAATATTTGTTTCTGTCATATTTTGGAAATTAAAAAAAAAACACATTATGAATACACACATACACATAAGTTATTGTCATGTTTTTACTTTATTTATAGAGTAATTGGTAAAGAGGACACGTGATAGTTCTTGTTTCTAATTACTTTTCCATGCAATTTCCATGGAGCATAGTCATTCACATTTATTTGTCTTTATTTATTATTTTTTTTGAGACAGAGTCTCAGTCTGTTGCCCAGGCTGGAGTATAATGGTGAGATCTCTGCTCACTGCAACCTCCGCCTCCCGGGATCAAGCAATTCTCCTGCCTCAGCCTCCCAAGTAGCTGGGATTACAGGTGCCTGCCACCATGCCTGGCTAATTTTTGTATTTTCAGTAGAGAGGGGGTTTCACCATGGTGGCCAGGCTGGTCTTGAACTCCTGACCTCAGGTGATCCACCCACCTCGGCCTCCCAAAGTGCTGGGATTACAGGCGTGAACCACGGCACTGGCCTATTTATCTTTATTTTTAAGTCTTCAAGGATGAGCTCTCTCGGAGATGAAGAAAGGTAACCAGGAGAGTAGCCGACCTGCAGCCAGGGGCTTCATCATCTCTTCTCACTCCTGTCAGAGTGGGAGGACAGGGTGTGAAGGCTGACCTGGGGACAAGGTCCTCCCAGGGCAGTGGGTTACCATCCCATTGATTCGGACCTCACCTGAGCCCATTCCTTGAAGCCAGAGATTTGCAGTTTTTCAAAAAGCCAAAACAAACCAAGGTCCCAGGCTCAGCAGCACTTTCTCCATCTCGGGAATGTGGGCATCCTTACTTGCTCTGCCACCTGAGCTTGGCGTGGGGTGCAGGTGGTGAGCCATTTCTCCAGATGCCACGGGGAAGCCTGGCGAGCTGGTTGCTTAAGGTGACCAGGGCTGGCGCCCATCCGCTGTGACCACTCGTGACGGCGCGGGACTCCCAGAGGGGTGGGGGCCTCGGGGACCCTGAGGGAATGGCGGCATGGTCGGAGGCTGGGGCAGGAGCGTCCAGGTGTTGATGATATGGGAGGCAGCTTTGAGAGCGTGGGGTGTGGTGTTTGGTCAGCTTTTATAGCTCATGTTGGGAGAGCCTCCCGGGCATCCGGGGCGATTTCATGCTAAGTCTCCCTCACGTCGGCAGGGGCCACGCAGCCAGCGATCAGTCTCCACCATCCACAGCCTCAGGAGGTCAGATCGTGGCCGCTGAGAAGGCCTGGAGAAGGGCAGGATGGGCGTTTTGTTTGGAGGGTAGGTTGTGCCTCGCTGAGGGTCTCTGCTGGCTCTGGACTCCATCTCCGTCTAGGTCGGGTGTCTTCAGAGGACAGCATCTGCACTTCTCAAAACAAGTTGGTCACGCTCACACCTGAGCCCAGCTTCTGTCACCTTCTGCACTTTTCCGAGCCTCGCTCTGTCTGTCTCTCTGCGGAGAGGAGTGAGGCGGCTCTGCACCTGAATTCACCACAATCGCTCCGTCGTAAGGTACAGTCTCACCACAGCTGGAGCTTCAAGGGATGTAAAATGCTTGTAGCAGACAGAGGAGCACCCCAAACGTAAGTGCCAGATTTCAGTTTTCTAATGGGCTGTGGAAACAGCAAAATGACATAATCCTGTCCTGCATATTGATTACTTAGACACTAAAAGCATCTCTCCTCTGTTATACAAAGGAACCCAGACAAGAAAAACAACAATAACGACAAAGAGCAAACCTCCTGTCAGGGTGGCTGTTCCATTCTCAAGCAGGAGAGCAGCACCCATGCAGAGGGAGGTGTTTTGTTGGACTCCGCCGGCATCAGCCCTGTCGGGTCAGCCCTGGGATGCAGTGCAGGCATCAGCTCCTGCCCAAAGACAATGCTGGGTGCAGGCCGGAGGACAGCAGCCTCTCAGCCCAGGATTTGCCCTGAGGTGGAGGGAGGAGTGGCTGAAAGAAGTGAAAAAAGGAGCCATCCACCAGGTGATCAGAAACCTGAGACCTCAGTGCCTCCAGACACTGTTCATAGGAGGAGCCCGTAATGAAGGCAGTCTAATGGGAATGACCTGGCCTCTGCAGGAGCAGCAGAACCATATGCCCTGTGGCCTCCTGAGAGCAGGGCTGCCTGCACCTCCTTCAGGATGGAGAGGAGGCAGGGGAACCACCAGGGAGTTGGAGAGAGGAAAGGGCACACCTCCCTCAGGATGGAGGGGAGGAAGGAGAGCACCATAGGAGAGAGGGAGAGAAGGGTCACACCTCCCTCAGGATGGAGGGGAGAAGGGGAGCACCACAGGAGAGAAGGAGAGGAGGGTCACACCTTCCTCAGGATGGAGGTGAGGAGGGGGAGCACCACAGGAGAGAAGAGAGGAGGGTCACATTTCCCTCAGGATGGTGGTGAGGTGTGGAGCACCACAGGAGAGAGGGAGAGGAGGGTCACACCTCCCTCAGGATGGAGGGGAGGTGGGGAGCACTACAGGAGAGAGGGAGAGGAGGGTCACACCTCTCTCAGGATGGAGGGGAGGAGGGGGAGCACTACAAGAGAGAAGTAGAGGAGGGCAACACCTTCCTCAAGATGGAGGGAAAGAGGAGGGAGCACCACAGAAGAGAAGGAGAGGAGGCTCACACCTCCCTCAGGATGGAGGGGAGGAGGGGAGGAGGGGAGCCCCTCAGAAGAGAGGGAGAGGAGGGTCACACCTCCCTCAGGATGGAGGGGAGGAGGGGAGCACTATAGGAGAGAGGGAGAGGAGGGTCACACCTCCCTCAGGATGCAGAGGAGGAGGAGGAGCACCAGAGGAGAGGAGGGTCACACCTCCATCAGGATGGAGGGGAGGAGGGGGAAGCATTGCATGAGAGAAGGAGAGGGGGTCACACCTCCCTCAGGATGGAGGGGAGGAGGGGGCACCACCGGAGGCAAAGAAGGGAGGGTCACACCTCCCTCAGGATGGAGGGAAAGAGGAGCAGGCATTGTGTAGGAAAGACAGTCCTGGGGTGGGTCACACTGGAAGAGATAGGGTGGCTCAGGTGGAGGGCAGTCAAGGACAGGTGCCTGGAGCTGCCTTCCAGGTAAGTGGGGGCACCCACCTCCTGCTTGCTTGCTGGGTGAGACACAATGGTGCCATGGGTCTCTGTCCAGGTCTGGTTGGGAGCCCTGCCCTGCCCCTTTCTGGCTTTGTGATCACGGTCAGTGGCAGAGTTGCCCTCTGCCTCTGTTTTCTCATCTGCAAATTGGGGATTTGTAATAATGACCCTACTGGAGTGTGTCTGCTGGAATTCTTTATGTGACGGTCTGAGAGGATGCCTGATGTGTGGGAGGCATTCCATCAGCAGGATCCTCATGTCACTCCTGCAGCTGATACTCCTGCCCTTTCATTGCTATCACTACAGCTTCTGCAGGTGTGTTCATGTGCCATCCTACTATCTACACCCCACATGTTAAACAAAACTTGTCTACAGCAATGGCTCCAAACTTGTGGGTACATTAGAATCTCCTGGGAATCTTGTGAAAATTCCAAAGCTTAGCCATGTCCCCAACCAGTAAAATTCTAATCTCAGGTTGAGACTCAGACCTCAGTGTGTTTTGAAGCTACCCTGGTGATTCCAATGCACAGACAGGTTTGGGAATGACTGGCCTAGACAGTGTATTAGAGCAGAGGAAAGAGCCAGCCATTGGTACATACTCAGGTGTTTGTAAAGACTGTCTTTTTCTGGTAAACTGTTAACTCCATTTCTCAATATTCTTCATGACATAGGAGACCACCAACCCAATGGTCAGACTCCATTGTGTGGACACAACTAAAAGTCAGGTGCTGATTAAACCTTAGCAGGGTCCATAGCCATATTACATCATCTTAATTTAGAAGGAGCGATGTTGTTCTCATCCTTCTCAATGTCTTCTCCCCTGATCAAGCCATTCTCTGGGGACTTTTGTTCAAGCTGGATCCAAGGATCACATAATCTCCCATGACTGTGCCTTTCCTACTGAAGTTTCAAGCTCCCTTTGAAAATAGGAGATTCAAAGGAGAACAAAAGATTTCAAAATGGATTTACCAAGACCCAATAAGGGGCTATTTTTACCCATTAATTCTAAATGCCTTTCTTCCTGCTGCAAGAGGGAATTCATCATTTTTGGCAGCATAGCTGTGCTGTTCTCCCACACAATTCATTACCCTCCCTACCTGCCCAGACATTTCTGTCTTTTCTTCCAAATGACTGCACCTCTTTCGCTGTCAGGCCGATGGCTTCCCTCTGGCTATTTTGCCACATATTTATCCACATCAAATCTTCTCTTCTTTGCACCTGTCCATTTCAGAAATTTAGATTTATCTATTCTGTGACTGAGTGAGAAATTTCCTGTGTCAGAGTTGCTTGAAATTGTTTGCAGTGGGAGTTTAGAAATGGTAGAATGCTGGAGTACCCTGCCTGCCTTCAGTGTAGAGGCTGTGAATGTCCCCCAGGGAGGGCCCTGAGCTGTGCTGGATGTCACTGCAGGCAGCTACAGACTCTCCCAGCATGCCCTTGGCATGAAACAAACACAGATTGGATTTTATGTCCCAGCATTTACATCTGTAAACATTTTGGGATCAGGCTTATTCTAATGTTTTCTTCTGCTCCCATCCAAGTTTCTTCCTTTTTTTTTTTTTCTTTTGAGACAGTCTTACTCTGTCACCCAGACTGGAGTACAATGACACGATCTCAGCTCACTGCAATTTCTGCCTCCCGGGTTCAAGGGATTCTCGTGCATCAGCCTCCGTAGTAGCTGGGACTACAGGCATGCACCACCACACCTGGCTCATTTTTGTATTTTCAGTAGAGACAAGGTTTCACCATATCGGCCAGACTGGTCTCGAACTCCTGGCCTCAAGTGATCCACCCGCCTCAGCCTCCCAAAGTGCTGGGACTACAGGCGTGAGCCACAGCGCCAGGCCAAGTTTCTTATTTTTTATCTTAAATGACACACATGGATATCACTTTACACTTGTAAAACAATATGCCCATAGTTTTCTCCCAGGGATGCTGTATCTGTCTTGATTCTTGCCTAGGCTCAAGCCTTTGTAGATGGGCCCTCGAGGAGCACTGGTCTTCCCTGTGCTTTTCTACCTCGCAGTGAATGTACATGTTGTGTGGACACCACTGTTCCTTTTTGCCCTTTCCTTGCTGTTTCTCTTCTCTTACCTTTCAGGCAAGTGAAGCTATGACTGGTTGTGTTTACATCGGTCTCATCAGCCTCATGGGCTGAAGGACTTGCATATCTTCTCTCCTCAGCTTCAGATGCTGAGAAGTGATTGCCTTGCCCTCTAGGTAGGTGGAAGGGGTGTTTCCTTTCCTTCTCTGTTTGTACCTTAGTCACATGCTGTGCCTCACCCGCTGCTCGGATCTTGTGTGTGTATGTGTTCCAGTAAAACTTTATTTACAAAATTAGGAAGTGGTTCAAATTTGGCCCACAGATCATAGTGTGCCAACTCCTGCAGTAGACCTATGACATGCTCACTGCTGTGTTCCAGATACACCTAGAAGCGAGCATGCTCAACATGATGTTTGTTGAGACACAAGATGCTCGACAAATACATGTTGAAAAAACAAGTACATAAATGAATAGAAAGAGAACAACCCACAAAGACGGAAATTAAACTCACCAGTAAACACATAAAATTGTTCAAGCTCACATAATGAGAGGCAAGTTAAAATCATGGCATAATTTACTTACTCTCAGATTCACAAGGTTGATTTGTTTTTTCTTGTTGTTCTTTAACTTTTATTTTAAGTTCTGGGGTACATGAGCAGGCTTGTTATGTAGGTAAAGTTGCATCACTTGGGTTTGCTGTACAGATTATTTTATCACCCAGGTATTAAGCGTAGTACCTATTAGTTGTTTTTTTTGATCCTCTCCCTCCTCCCACCTTCCACCCTCCAGTGGGCCCTGGTGTGTGTTATTCCCCTCTGTGTGTCCCTGTGTTTTCATCATTTAGCTCTCATTTATAAGTGAGAACATGCGGTGTTTAGTTTTCTGTTCCTGCATTAGTTTACTAAGGATGATAGCCTCCAGATCCATCTATGTTTCTGCAAAGGACATGATCTCATTCTTTTTTATGGCTGCATAGTATTCCATGGTGTATATGTACCACATTTTCTTTATCCAGTCTACCACTGATGGGCATTTAGGTTGATTCCCTTTCTTTGCTATTGTGAACAGTGCTGCAATGAATATAGGCATGCGTCTGTCTTTATGATGGAAGGATTTATATTCCTTTGGATAAATACCCAGTAATGGGATTGATGGGTCAAATGGTATTTATGTTTTTAGGTCTTTGAGGAATCACCACACTCTCTTCCACAATGGCTGAACTAATTTACACTCCCACCAACAGTGTATAAGCATTCCTTTTTCTCTGCAACCTTACCAGCATCTGCTATTTTTTGACTTTTTAATAATTGCCATTCTGACTGGTGTGAGATGGCATGTCATTGTGGTGTTGATTTGCATTTCTCTAATGATCAGTGATGTTGAGCTTTTTAAAATATGATTGTTGGCTCCATGTACCTTTGTCTCTTTCTGCCCATGGACATAAGAGATCACGTGCTTCATCACACTCCAGGAAAGCAATAGCCATTACTATAAAATACAATCTTTGCTCCAAAAAAGAAAAAACTTAAAAAGAGGGTTCTTAAAGGTTGAGGGAGGGGTGGGGCAGGAGCAGGGGGGAGCAATGTCCCTGTTGCACAATAAAAGGAGACCCCAATAAACATAATCATGCCGTCTCAGGGAGAGGAAAGTGACGCCAAGAATGCCAACCATGGTGTTTCAAGAATTCCCATCTAGTTCTCTCCATGTCAGAGGAACCACGAGCAACCCCCCTGTTGCTCCCCAAAGCTGCACAGCCCCAAATCTCAACCTAGAGGGTCTGTCTCTCCCTGCAGGAAATCGAGGGGGAGGTTGCTGAATGAGACCACATGAAGCTTTGGCCAGCCCCAGCTCTCTGAGATCCATCTCTCTCTGATGCTTCTCCGTGCAGCCTCTGGGTTTGAACAGTGAGAACTTCCTGTTTCTACACTCTGCCAGCTCACTAGCTGACACCTGTCATGTCAGAGCCCTCACCTTTCTCTGTCTGGCTTTCACAGGCTCCCTGTGCTACAAGACATGGCTCCCTGTCTCTGCTCTGCTTCTCTTAATGGCGCTGGCTGTTGCTACCAGCTGACACAGCAATATTTCACTGCAGCAGTGGTCGGAAGCCATATACTGCTCTCTGTGGCTCTTGCTCTCCAGTAGCCTGGTTACATTTTATCCTCTTATTTACTGGGTGCATCATAAACATTAGGTAAATTGATAAAATCAAAATCATAAACATAACCATGCTAATAAATCTATACCATATCATTTTCTTCTTACTACTTACCTACTGATTCTTTACTATATATTGACCATATATCTATCATTAATATGTTAGATTTACTAACATAAGGAGACTTTGATGCTGAAGAAAAATGATACTATAAATAAGTCCGCCAGAATGTGTTAGTTTAGAGCAGGCAGGGATGACCATCGCCAAAATGTTTATATGAGAACTGACTTTAATGTGGCAATGGAATAATTCCAAACTAGAGCACATCTCGACTAATGATGTAAATAAAGGGAAGCAGAGGCATGGATAATCCAAAGCAATGAATAATAAAAGAGGTTTTATGCTTTGGATTAAAGTATTTATTTTACATTTTGCAACTCATGTGTGTCTTTCATGCTGTTCTATTTAAAGTGGCTTATTGATTCCACAGTGACCAAAGATACCAGAGGCAGAAATGGGCCAGACTAGGATTTGTTCTATGACTCACCTGCAGAATGAATGCTGTATGTGGAGCAGATGGCAGCCACACTCAGCAGCACACATGGACACCGTGCTGGTCTCATGTCAGAATGCATTAGTGTTCAGAACCACATATACTCCATCCCACTCTATGCTGTACATCCCTGGAATATTCTGTTGGTCCTGGAACATTGCAGACGTGATGGGGACAGGGGCTTAAAACATGCTTGTGTCATGGGGCTGGCTCCCTGGCAATTCTGTCGTCACCATGAGAAGATCATGCTTGGTTGGCCCATGACCCATGAAAAAGAAAAAAGAAGAGAGATGTAAAGAGCAGAGACCTTTGGCTAAGGCCAGCTGGGTACGAAAGCCTCTGGGTTAAATGACCAGGGTGATGCTCTTCCTGCTATGGGGATATGCAGTCTTTCTGGGTGGCGTTCTGGGGACAGGGTGACTTTAGCAAGCAAGAGAGGCAGTGCCGCTGGGCACACAGGGAGCAAGCTGGCATCATCTCTGCTCCACCTGTGGGCAGTGGAGACTTGAGCCCATTATTTGAAATCTCTAAGCCCCAATTTTCTCATCTGTAAAATAGCAATAATTATACTAATCTTGCAGGGATTTATTGAGAATTAAATGAGCCAAAGTATATGCATATAAAACACTCAGCACAAGTCCTGGCTCTTAGAAAATGCTCAGTACAGTGGCTGGTAAAAAAAAAAACTACAGCAGAACATGGGAAGCACTGCTGGTGGAAAATGCTGGGGTCTGAGTGTACCCCCTGCACGCTTTCTGGAAATGACAGAGACTATGGTACCTGAACTAGCTAAGGTCTGAGGAGTTATAGGTATTTATGACAAAACACTTCCTTGTTTTCTGTGAATTGTGAATCCTCAAAGGTGTTTTTGCATGATGGAATTCTATCTATAGCATGTATCATTGAGCCCACAAATAGATGTCAGTGTAGGTGAATTCAATAATTAGTTTTGAATCCTACACATGTAGTATTTTGTAACAGGAGTCTGAACCCAGCAAGTGTTTTCTAGCACTGTTATGTGATGCATGGTTAGCTCTGGGATAATACTATCATCCAGCCCAGCCCTGCCTCTCAGAAAGAAATAAAAATTAATGTTCATAGAATGACTGTAGTTTGTATAAAATTATAGATTGATAGTTTGTCAGACATAAAATGGGGAAAGGAGATAAACAGAAAGCAGTCAATTCATGGGTTATATCTCATTTTAAGATTTATTTTTAATTGACAAATAATAATAATGTATATTTATAGGGTACACTGTGATGTTGTGATTTGTCTATACATTGTAGAAAGAATTAATCCAGCTAATTAACATCCATCACTTCACCAACGTATCATTTTTTTGTGGTGAGAACATTGGAAATCTATTCTTTCAGCAATTTCAAAATGCACAATATTGTTATTAAATGAGGTCAAGATGTAGTGCAATAGATCAGGAAAAGGTATTCTTCCTGTCTGATTGAAACATTGTACCTTTTAAACAACATCTCTTCTTTCCCATTCCTTCCCTCCAGCCTCTGGTAACCACCATTCTACTCTCTTTTTATGGGACCAACTTTTAAAGATTCCTCATATGAGTGAGATTATACAGTATTTTTTGGATTAAGAAAATGTGGCACATATACACCATGGAATACTATGTAGCCATAAAAAATGATGAGTTCATGTCCTTTGTAGGGACATGGATGAAGCTGGAAACCATCATTCTCAGCAAACTGTCACAAGGACAAAAAACCAAACACCGCATGTTCTCACTCATAGGTGGGAATTGAACAATGAGAACACATGGACACAGGAAGGGGAACATCACACCCCGGGGCCTGTTGTGGGGTAGGGGGAGGAGGGAGGGGGGAGGGATAGCATTAGGAGATATACCTAATGTAAATGACGAGTTATTGGGTACAGCACACCAACATGGCACATGTATACATACGTAACTAACCTGTACGTTGTGCCCATGTACCCTAAAACTTAAAGTATAATAAAAAAAAGAAAAAAAGAGATTATACAGTATTTTTCTTTCTGTTTCTGACTTACCACTCTTAGCATAATGTCCTTCAATTCCATCTGTGCTGTTGCATATGACAAATTTTCTTCTTTTGAAGGCTGTATAGTATTTCAGTGTGTATATGTGCTGCATTTTCTTTATTCATTCATTGATGGACACTTAGGTTGATTCCATTTACTATTGTGAATAGTGCTGAAATGAATGTGGGAGTGTAGATAGATATCTCTTTGACATACTGATATCGGTTCCTTTGGCCATATACCCAAAAGTGGGTTTGCTGGATACTGTGGTAATTTTACTTTCAGTTTTTTGAGGAACCTCCATACTGTTTTTCAAAAAGGCTGCACTAATTTACATGCTCACCAACAAGGGTTCCCTTTTCTCCACATCACCAACAACACTTGTTATCATTAGTCTTTTTGAAAATAGCCATTCTAACAGTTGTGAGGTGATAGCTCATTGAGGTGTTAATTTGTATTTCTCTAATAATTAGTGATGTAGAGCATCTTTCATATACTTCTTGGCCACTTGTATCTCTTCATTTGAGAAATGGCTGTTCAGATAGATCCTTTGTTCATTTTTTAATCAGGTTATTTGTTTTGAGTTATTTGAGTTCCTTATATGTTTTGAATATTAACCCCTTAACAGATGCATGGTTTACAAATATTTTCTCCCAGCCTGTGTGTTGTCTCTTCACTCTGTTAATTGTTTCCTTTGCTGTGCAGAAGGTTTTTAGTTGGGTGCAATCCCATTTGTCTATTTTTGCTTTTGTTGACTGATGCTTTTAGAATCTTATCCAAAAGGTCACTGCCCAGAACAATGTTATGGAGCATTTCCCTGTATTTTCTTATAGCAGCTTTATAGTTTCAGGCCTTATATTTAAGGTTTTTATCCACTTTGAGTTGATTTTTTATATGTTGTGAGATAAGGATCAAATTTCATCCTCCTGCATGTGGATGTCCAGTTTTCCCAACACCATTTATTGAGGAGACTGTCTTTTCTCCATTGTGTGTTCTTGGCACCTTTGTTGAAAATCAATTGACTCTAAATACTTGGGTTTATTTCTGGGCTCTCTATCCTGTTGCATTTGTCAAAGTGTCTGTTTTTATGCCAGTATCATGCTGTTTTTACTGCAATAGCTTTATAGTAGTTTTTGAACTCAGGGGTTGTGATACCTCTAGTTTTGTTTTTTGTTTCTGTTTGGTTGTTTTGCTCAAGATTGCCTTGGCTCTTTAGGGTCTTTTCTGATTCCACACAAATTTTAGAATTGACTTTTCTATTTCTGTAAATAACACCATTGGAATTTTGATGGTAGGTATTGCATTGAATCTGTAGATTGCTTTGGGTAGTGTGGACATTTTAACAATATTAATTTTAACAATATTAATTTTTCCAATCTATGAACCTGAGCTATTTTTCCATTTATTTATGTGTTCTTCAGTTTTTTTCACCAATATTTTACAGTTCTCAGTGTACAGATGTTTCACCTCCTTGTTTAATTTACGCCCAAGTATTTTATTTTTCTTATGCTAGTGTGTAAATGGGATTTTTAAAAGTTTCTTTTTTGGATAGTTCATTGTTAGTGTATAAATAAGCTGATTTTTGTAGGCTGATTTTGTAAGCTGCAACTCTACTGTATTTATCAGTATTAACAATTTTTGGTGGAGTGTTCAGGATTTTCTATATTATAATTTAGATTACCATAATTACAATAATTTATATTATATATTATATATGATACTTTATAGTTAATATAACATTTTTAATTTAATAAAATAAATATAAAATATAAATATAAAATATATTATATATTAAATCTTTAATTTATTAAATGTGAAATTTAACATATTATACAATCTATTATATATTATATTTAATTTATTAAATATGAAATTATATATATTTTATATATAATAAAATTATAATAAATTAATGTTATATATTTATATATAATAAAATTATAATACAATTTATATTATAAATTTTATATACAATATATAAAATTTTATATTATGTATTTTATATATAATAAATAATATAAGCTATAAATAAGTTATTATTTATGTTATATATAATTTATATAATTATACATAAATTATATATAACCTATATTATAATATAGAAAATGATCAGGTTATCAGCAAACATGATAATAATAGTCTTTAGGGTTTTCTATATTGTATATAATGTATATGTAAATGTATTCTAAATATTTTCTGTTATAATATGGAAAATAATATTATGTTATCAGCAAACGGAAACAGTTTCCCTTTTATCTTTCATATAAGAATGACTTTGTTTATTTTTCTTGTCTAACTACTCTTGCTAAGACTTGCAGAACTATGTTGAATAGAATTGGCAAGAGTGGGCCTCCCTGCTTTGTTCCTAATCTTAGAGGAAAAGCTCTAAGCTTTTTACCATTGAGTATAATGTTAGCTGTGGGCTTGCCCTATATTGCCTATATTATGTTTAGATATATTCCTTAGATAAGTATTTTGTTAAGAGTTTTTTTTTTTATCATGAACAGATGTTAAATGTTGTCAAATGGTTTTTCTGCATCTATTGAAATGTGGTTTTTGTCCTTCATTTTGTTAATGCAGTATATTGTATTTATTAATTTACGTATGTTGAACCATTCTTGCATCCCTGGGCTAAATCTCACTGGATCATGGTGAATGAACTTTTTAATGTGCTGTTGTATTTGCTCTGCTAGTACTTTTTAGAGAATTTTTGTATCTACGTTCATAACAGATATTGGCTGGTAGTTTTCTTTTCTTATAGTGTCCTTGCCTGGCTTTGGAGTCAGCATAATGCTGGCTTCAAGACAGGAGTTTGAAAGTATTTCCTCCTCCTCAATTATTTGAAGATTTTGAGAAGGGTTGGCATTAGGTCTTTTAAAAATGTTTGGTAGAATTCAGCAGTGTAGGAATCAGGTCTTCAGCTTTTCTTTGATAGGAGACTTTATTACTAATTCAATCTCCTTACTATTGTTCTGTTCAGATTTTCTGTTTCTTCTTGATTCAGTCTTGGTAGGTTGCATGTTTCTAGGAATTTACCCGTTTTTTTCTAGGTTATATAATTTGTGGGTGCATAGTTGTTTATAGGAGTCTCTTATGATCATTTATATTTCTGTGGTGTTGATGTAATGTCTCCTCTTTCATTTCTGATTTTATTTATTTGAGTCCTTTCTCTTTTTTCTTTGTTAGTATAACTGTCAATGTTGTTTATCTTTTAAAAAACCCAACATTAGTTATGTTGATGCTTTCCATTATTTTTCTAGTTTCTGTTTTGTGTATTCTCTAATCTTTATTTCCTTTATTTTGCCAAGTCTGAGCTTATTTTGTCCTCTTTTTCTAGTTATTTGAGGTGGAACATTAGGTTTTTTGAGATTTCTCTTCTCTTTTGACTTAGATGTTTATTGCTAAAAGCTTCCTCTCAGGACTGCTTTACTGCATCCCATAAATTTTAATATGCCTCCATTTTCATTTGTCTCAATATATTTTTTAATTTCTCTTTTAATTGCTTTCTTGATGCCTTGGCTATTCAGAAACAATTTGTTTAATTTCCACATATTTGTGAGTTTTCCAACATTCTTTCTGGTTTTGATTTCTAGTTTTATGTAATTGTGCTCAATATGATTTCAGTCTTCCTAAATTTATTAAGTCTTGTTTTGTGGCTTAACGTATGATCTATCCTGGATAATACTTCTTGTGTACTTGAGAAGGATATGTATTCTGTTGCTGTTGGACGGAATGTGCTGTATATTTCAGTCAGGTCCATTTGGTCTAAAGTGCAGTCAACTCTAATGGTTTCTTATTGATTTTCTGTCTAGATGATTTGCTTAATGTTGAAGTTGGGGTATTGAAGTCTTCTATTATTATCGTACTGTAGTTTCTCTCTTCAGATCTATTAATATTTGTTTTATATATTTAGGCGCTCTGATTTTAGGTGCATATATATTTACAATTGTTACAATTTCTTAATAAATTGACCTATTCTTATATAATGACCTTCTTTTCTTCTTTTTATGGTTTTTGACTTAAAATCTTTTTTACTCTGATATAAGCATAGCTATTCCTACTCTCCTTTGGTTTCCATTTGTGTGCGATATCTTTTTCATCCCTTCACATTTAGTCTATTTTGTCCTTAGATGTGAAATGAGTCTCTTGTAAGAAGCATACAGTGGGGTTTTTAAAAAATTATTCAGCCACTCTATGTCTTTTAACTGGAGAATTTAATCTATTTATATTCAAAGTAATATTGAATGGTGAGTATTTACTATTGCCATTCTGTCAATTGTTTTCTAATTAATTTGTAGATCCTTTTTTCTTTATCTTTTGCTGTCTTTCTCTGTGGTTTGGTGAATTTCTATAGTAGTATGCTTTGAATCCTTTCTTTATATCTTTTGTGGTTTTGCTTTGTGGTTATTATGAGCCTTACATAAAAACATTTTATACTAATAACAGGTCAGTTTGAGCTTGGTTATAAGTTAACTTTGATCACTTATGCAAACTATGCCTTTACTCCTTGCCTAATTTATTTTTAATGGTATGTTTTGTATCTTTTATACCTTTTATTCCCTTAACAAATTATTGTAGCTATTTTGCTAATTTTGGTTTTTTGCCTTCATACTAGTTATATGATTGACTTCCACACCACCATTATGATATAATAGTGTTCTGAGTTGAATATATACTTACTTCTGCCAGGAATTATATATATATATATATTTATTATTATTTTTTTTAATCTCTCTCAGTTTCTTTATTCATTCATCCATTTATGGATACCCAGGTTATTTCACTTCCTCTGGATACATACCCAGAAGAAGGATTGCTGGGTCTTATGATGGTTCTATTTCTAATTTCTTTTTTTTTTATTATACTTTAAGTTCTAGGGTACATGTGCACAACGTGCAGGCTCGTTACATATCTATACATGTGCCATATTGGTGTGCTGCACCCATTAACTCATCATTTACATTAGGTATATCTCCTAATGCTATCCCTCCCCGCCCACCCCACCGCACAACAGGCCCTGGTGTGTGATGTTCCCCTTCCTGTGTCCAAGTGTTCTCATTGTTCAATTCCCACCTATGAGTGAGAACATGTGGTGTTTGGTTTTTGTCCTTGCTTTGTGGTGTTTGGTTTTTAAATATTTTCATGTTGCTCTGCTTTCCCTACTCATTTCTCTGTGGAAATTTTTTTAGTTGACCAGTGTATGAGTGTATGACAGTCCTTTTTTTTTTTTTTTTTTTTTTAAGACAGAGTCTCACTTTGTCACCCTGGCTGGAGTGCAGTGGCATGATCTAATTACTTTTCCATGCAATTTCCGCGGAGCATAGTGATTCAAATTTATTTGTCTTTATTTTTTTTGAGATGGAGTCTCAGTCTGTCATCCAGGCTGGAGTGCAATGGTGCCATCTCAGCTCACTGCAACCTCCGCCTCCCAGGATCAAGCAATTCTCCTGCCTCAGCCTCCCAAGTAGCTGGGATTACAGGTGCACAACATGATGCCCTGCTAATTTTTGTGTTTCTGGTAGAGACAGGGTTTCACTCTGTTGGCCAGGCTGGTCTTGAACTTGTGACCTCAAGTGGTCTGCCTGCCTCCACCTCCCAAAGTGTTGGGATTACAGGCATGAGCTACCATGTTTGGCCAATGTGTGAGAATCTTTCAACTGGATTATGGATTTCTCTTAGAGGGAATTGGTCCACATGTGGGTTCACTCAGTGTATCTGTTTGTAGAGTGATAGTTAGGAGTCTCCTCTTCTGCCATATTGCCAAAGTCAACCCTTCATTGGCTATATCCTTAATGAATGCTTCTCACCTACTTGCATATTTTGGAGATGCTGCCTTGCTTTATAATGACATTGTAATAATAATGAACATTCTGAGGTTTGGCATATGGGAAGTGATAAAGCATGTTTTAGGACTGCTTGACCTTTCTACCACTTTCCCAACTCTTCTTGGCTTATCAACGTGAGGAGGCAGCGCAGTTTGTAATTACTTCATCAAACTGTTCATCTTTGTTTATTATACAAGGAAGCCACTTAATTTGACATACATCAACAGAATCTTCCAATATTTAATGCAACATGTTGCTCTGTAGGATGCAGAATTGACCAGGAGATGTTCCCTGACCTCAAGGGGTTATGCAGATAATTTTGTGTCATAGGTTGGGCTTCTTAGGAGCAACTCTGAGATGGAGATGTGTGTGCAAAAAGTTAATTTGGAAGTTGTTTGGGGATCCACACCAATAGGGGAGGGAAGGCAGCAGGACTGGGCAGAAGAGGGAACTGAGATGTTAAGCAGCCACAGCAGAGGCTTCAGTTGGTCCTGGATCTTAGGGGAAGTCTGGAGCTGAGAAGTCTTTTTTAGTTGCCATCTACTGGGGCAATGGGGCTGGGCCTTTATGTTGCCTCCCTAAACTGTTATTTATCATTAGCTCCCCCTGGAAATGGGACCTGACCTTGCATGTGGCAGCTTTCTTTAGCCAAATCCCAAAGCAGGCCTGCACTGCCATCTGTCAGCATCATGGGACTGAGGTCCTAGCAGTTCACATGCATGAAGAGTATGGGGTCTATCAGAGAAGCTCTAGGGGACCTCAAAACCAGGAAATGATTTCCTAGGAAATGCTTTAGGAGGGATAGCTTCCGAGGTGGGTTTAGAAGTATGGAAAATATTTTGCACACCACATGCCCTGGGTGGGTAGTGTTTAACTGGAGATGTCAAAACCTTGAAAGTCTGTGAGACAAGTTTGGACAAGAGTCAGGAGCTGTTCTGTCTGGTCACAAAGCAGAGACGGGATAGTGGAAGAGCAAGAGATACTCAGGGAGAGACAGGCTGAGACCTATTCTGGAAAGGCATAAGAAGTAGGCTCAGTTTCTGGGCTTTCTTCTTAAAACTACCAATGTTTCTCACTAAGAATGAAGTGATCAGAGCAGGGCTGAGCCTTTGGGCAGCCATTTAAGTGAGTCTGGAGAGTGAGAGGTAGGAAGGCCTATGAACTAGTGGTTCCCCAAACCCAGGTGAAGATACACTTAGTATTACTGAGCTAGACTGGGTTGAAAAGAGGGATGAGGGTTTCAAATGCCAGACTTAGTGCATAGAAGCTGTTTGTTGCCCAAAGAAGGATTGTTAAGGGTTTTTGGATCTGCCTTACTATAGAGTGCATGACCCAAAATGGCACTGAAGTGTCAACACTTGTCAAGGTAAGATGCTCAGAGAGCACTAGCTGTATTCCAGTTTGGGGTAAACACCTTTTAAGCCTCCACTGAATGTCACAAGGGTATTAAAGAATGTATCACAGACCCTGGCCTTGACAACAAATGCCAATTTTAGCATTTTCACTGTATCTTCTTTAGTCATGACTAGTTATGTACCAAAGAGATGTGGATTGCAGGTACATGTTTCTAGTCTAAAACAATTGGTTGTGCAGCACTGGTAGAAGGAATAACTAGTAGCGTTTCCTTTGAAGACTTTTTTTTCCCATTGTGAGTCTGAAAGAGAATATGATGAAACCAAATAGGATGCAAAGATGGGCTTTCCATTCATCTGTAAACTGTTGCAGTCAATATTAATTGCCATCATTTACTATAATTAATCAATTAAATCATTAATTTAATCTCTTGATTCATTGGCAACAAAATGCATAATAATGTATATTTGCCAGAATGATTTGTGATCTCAGTTAAAACAGTAATTAAGCAATTAAATATAAAGGAATTCTATTATTTTGGATTGCTTTTTCTTACCAAAGCAGTTAATTACAAAGTAGAATAATTAGTCAGAGATGGATACTAATGAAAGTATGAGTGGCAGTGAGAAACATGGCCAAGGAAGGGTATGCAAAGTCATTGCCAAAAGGCAAGGAGTTGATTAATGTTTAGGTAAACTTTTTCACTACAAAACAAGGGTTCTTATAGTGCTTATTTCATGGGAAAAATAGAAAGAATAACTAACAACAATCATTGAAAAGCACTGTGCAAATGCAATTTTCTATTAAATATTTGAAAAAATAACAAAATAACAACAACCACTTATTTTATTTAAAAATCAACACTTTGAGCCAAGGAAAGCTATTGGTAGTTGTATTTGTTCGTTTTCATGCTTCTATGAAGAAATACCTGAAACTGGGTAATGTATAAATTAAAGAGGTTTAAGTGATGCCCAGTTCTGCATGGCTGGGGAGGTTTCAGGAAACTTACAATCATGGCAGAAGGGGAAGCAAACTCGTCCTTCTTTACATAGTAGCAGGAGAGACAAGTCCCAAGCAAAGGCGGGACGTTCCTTATAAAACCATCAGATCTTAGGAGAACTCACTCACTATTGTGAGAACAGCATCGGGAACTGCCTCCATGATCTAGTCACCTCCCACAAAGTCCCTTCCCGAACACGTGAGGATTACAATTCGGATTACAATTCAAGGTGACTTTCTGGTGGGGACACAGAGCCAGACCATATCAGTAGTATTGGACAAATAAAAAGTATCATTTAAATGACTTTTGCCTGCTCCCACTTTATTATTGTAAGCTGTAGCCTAGACGGGAAGTCATTGCCCTGCATGTGAAGGCTGCCTTATGGCGGTTTTTTCTTCCCCAGGACCCCTGCTGCACGGGGCTCCCGTAACTCATCACAGAAATCCATAATAAACTTGATAAACTCTGGAAAAAATATGGAAACTCATTCTGGGAGGGTTTGAAGCCAGCAGGAACTGGAGGAGAGTTGTGCCTTACGAGGAAATCTCACTTCTGGGTAAGAAATCCATGACCCTGCTGGGGCAGGTGTGTCACAGGTGGAGAGGAGATGGACAGTTTCCAGACACTTTTCTCACCAGGTTAGAAAAAAATGAAAGCTTTGAAAAAAAATTTTTATAACATAAACATTACAAAGTTTTATATATCAAAATACATCATAAGCCAAATAAATAGAAACAATGGCTTAAATTAACTGACTCTTTGTGGTAAATATTTTTATCCACCTAACATGTCTTTCAGCATGCCTGAGAGGTGGGCACACTACCTATCTTTAACCTAAACATGAGGAACTGAAGTCCAGAGAAGTAGGGGTCCTGAATGAAGGCAGCAGAGCCACTGAGAGGCGGGGCTGAGACGCCGACCCCCCTCCCACCCAGGTGGGCTTCTGAACCCAGAAGCTTTAACCAGGACCGTATTTAAAGTATATACAGAGCTTTCTAAATCGACTAACAGAGATAAACAACACCGAAAACAAATTGGTAAAGATTTGAATAGCAAATCCAGAGAAGAACAAATCTGAATGATTCATAAGCATATGAAAAGATCAAGTTCACCAGTCTCAGGGGAATGCAAATAACATAAAAAGCAACTGTCATTTCACACACATCCCACTGACAAAAGCTAAAATAGAGCAAAGAGCCCACTGCTAGGGATGCTGCAGTGTGAGCAGGAACATTTCTAGCGAGACACGAAGTGCTACCTCCTTCAGCAACAGCGATTGTAGTGAACGATACCCATGTCTGTGTCTTCAACAGTCTCCCTCCTGCGAACCCATTACACAGACAGGAACACTGAGTCTTGCAGGCACATATGGACAAAGATATTATTGTGAGGTGGCAAAACCTGCTAAGCATTTAATTGTCCATTGGTAGGGGAATTGCTGAATGATTGAATTATTCCAGCTGCATCCACCGCATGGATTAGTATGCAGTTATTGAAAAGAATGCATTAGAAGCTATATCAAATGGATTAGGAAGATTTATACAAAGTACTGTTAAAACAGGAAGAGAAGCATGCATAATATCTTTTTATTTCTGTAAAACCAATAGTGTGTAAGTTGTATGTGTGTGTGTGACTGTGTAAGAATGCCTAGAAAGTGGCACCTTGGGTTTCTTAGGATGGGGTAGGGAAAGAGCTTCCATGAAAAGGAAGGAATAGGGCAGAAAAAAAAAAAAACAGAAAGAGGCAAGAAAAAAGAAAATGAAAAAGACTGCACTTTAAATTAGCATAATCATATAATCCAATTTATGTAAATTAAACCTGTGAGTCCACAAAGAAAAAAGAAAAATAGAGATACTGATAGATCTGTATCTACCCTCTTCTCTATCCACTGACCAAAAGGGATGCCCGTAATAATTGAAGAAAGCAAAGTATGGGTTAATGTGCGCAATACAATCACATTTTGATAAAAAACAAAAAACACCCCTCCCCATATACGTGCAGATCAACTGGTGTGGAGGACGGGCTCCAGGCTGTGGGGTTGGTGATTCCTGGAGGAGGCTAGGACAGGCGGGCAAGCGAGGAAAACAACTTTTTTTTTTTGCAAATAATTGTTTTATTCCAATTGGAATATTCAGATACATCTTTTGTTTTGCAATTTCAAAAATGATAAATAAAGACATATTTTAAAATAAAAAAGAAAGGTCAAGACCCACACTTCAAACTAATAACTGTTGTGTCTCCCATGAATAAGCTAAACTTTTTTCCTCAATCAAACGTCTCTGGGTGGTCTTGGATAATTCTGGATGGACCCCCAGGGCTCCTGTGACCCCCACCCCATCGTTTTGGCGCATTCAAAGAACGCCTTGTGCACTAAGGTGCCCTTAGAGCCCATGAGCCCCGCCCTGCTGGGTGTGACTGGCTGTCCGGAGGCTGGAGCAAGACCCACGAGCTCCAGTGGACTGGGCAGAAAGATTTGCCAGAGAAAGGAGCCAGATGAGAACATCTGGCTCGAGGAGATGCTGAGGACTGAAGTGAAAGTGTGAACAGGCTGGAGTTGGCTTCCTCATGTATTTGTAACCTTCAGCCTCTAAGAACAATTGCACATATAATCTTTCAATGTCAGAATTAAATCCATATTGAAGAAGAAATTGTGCCTAACTAACAAGGTGTCTTCTCCTTCCCGCATGTTCACAGAGATAATGAAAGTACCACGGCACCCTTCTTTTCTGCTTCCTGTGTTGCCCAAGACAACTCAACTGAATTCCTCAGTGACCCCAAGTTGTCCACATGGGGGACCAGAAAGAAGGGAGCTGAGGCAGGGGATACTGAACATAACCTGTTTATTCACATTCATATACATATAGGTGGGTTATTTTCTTTAATATTAAAAAGCCCAGATTTTTAGTACTAGATTTTCTTTTCTCTTGCCATAAATAGCTCAGTACATTGCTTAATACATAGAAGACTTTGACCACAACTGCTGACATGCACACACACACAGACACACACACTCCTTATCTTTAATGTCAATTCTGACTCCACTCTGTCCCTAAGCTGTGAAAATGAATGTTGAACTATGGACACCCAACAGACCTAGCCTAATCCTCTCCAAGAAGTGTCCAGATTACCTTGGCCAGCTGTTAACCTTTGTCCCCAATAGTCCCGGTTTTATTTGAAAACCTCCCAGCACTGCTTGTGTCTCCTGTGTTAACAGGCAGTTGATGAGGGAACTGTGTCTGCCATGTTAATCAAGTACAGCTGGAAGATGCAGAGATTCAGAATTACCACTGGGGAGGATAAAGGGGCCTGTGTATGCATAATTGTGTGTTTTCTATTTTGTGTATGGAGCTGCCTATGGAAACATCTTTGGGATTTTTTCTCCACTCTAAAGGCCAATGGGACCTCTGCTTTTGAGATAAAGGAGGAAGCTAGCTGCCTTCAACTTTCCTTTGCTCTCCATTGGGGAACTCTGTGATTTGCATTTTAGGTGTAAATTCTTGTAAATCAGCACTTATTTTCAGATGAAATCCTACCATTGAGAACAATCTGGAGTCATTCTCTAATGCCAATATGCATTTGATCCCCATATAATTTCTCAGCATATGGATTAAACCTGCAATAAGGGTGGTACAATCATGATTGGGTATGCAAGACAATTGACCCTTATTTTGCCACAACGATGGGAAAATCTAATTATAACGCCCTTGCCAGCATCTGAGACAAAGCAAGGCTGCATGCCAGCTCAGTCAATTAGCTGGTGTGTGCACCACCCAGTACTATCCCTTTGTTGGTCAGTTACATTCCCTTTAGCCTTTAGTCCAAAGAAAGCACCCCATCCCTGGCCTGGTTATGGCCAGCCAATGCCTTTGGTTTCAGTGAAATAAGGGAATGCACGAAAATCAACCCAAATTAACCATTCCTCAGGGGCAGACCTTACCACCTGGCTGTGTTCCTGTGAATGACGGATGCGTCATGCTGATGATCACATCTGTGGCCTGAGCAGAAGACGTAAGGGAAGACGCCGCGATACTCAGGTCATTGAAATAAACAGATGTCGACAGGACACAGCAGGTGCAGCCCTCATTGGGCATGAAGAAAACAAAGGGAAGGTAGAGAAGTTCCTGAAGGCTGAAGAGTTCAGGAGGTATCTAAAGGAACCTACTTTCTATATGTGAAATATCATTACATGGATTTATATAAGCTTCAGAAAAAAAAGCCACTGAGCCTGAAATGAAAGAGCACCCCACTGGAAAAAGCATTGGTCTATACAGTAAGACATTATTTCAGACTGATTATGAAGTGGCTCCTGACATGCTTTTGTAAAAAATATGTGACAAAATGCATCCTGGACAAGAGGCACGTGGAAAGAGGAGATGTCCAGGTGAGAATGTCTGCCAGAGGATGGCCATGGATGGAATGGTTCTTGGTAGTCTTCAGTGCATCCCGGATGAAATGAACTCAGCAGCCTCTCAGACAGTTCTGCTGGGGGCAAAGGAAGTTCGAGTAGATGGCATAGTCTCTCTATAATACCAGGAGACAGATTTCCAACAATAGTGAAAAGAAATGAGACTTTTCATTACCTCCTTATGATTTTTGTAAACCTGTTTCAAATGAAACAAAACTACTTTTGATATGTGAATGCCTAGTCTTTGCTGATATTTTCCACTTTCCTTCTGTTTTAAAAGATTTGAGGCTTGAAGTTTGTCATCACCACTAACTATTGTTCTGTCTCAGGATTTCGGCTGATTCCCCTGAGTCGTCAACAACCATGGCTTATTCTTTGGGACCTGACAGCCTCCCCAGGCCCAGAGTCAGATGGGAGGGATGAGCAGGTGGAGGTTAAATTAGCAGGAAGAGCCAGCTCATTAGTAGGGAGGGATGGGGGTCTGCTGGGTCTGCCAGGAAGCAAAGGAGGTAGCATCTCTTTAAATGGAAGGGCAAGGGGAATTAGTGAGGAATTGGTATTATAATGCAGACAGAAAGGCTGTCGCTAGATCTTTATGCTCATTCCCATAATGAGTGGGCAATAAATAGAGGTGTCCCACTGGAGAGCCCACAAATGGAGTGAAAAGGGCCATTTAAGGAGGAGGTGTCTGTAGAAAACAGTGACTGTGCTTCAGGGCTTGAAAGCTGAATTTGAGGAAGAGACAGAATAGGATGAATTATTCTAGTGATGGAAGAGCCATTTTCAAGAATAAAAGGGGCTGCTAGGCTGAGGAGGGTAACCAGCTGTCCCTTCTTTCTAGTGACACTAGAACAAAAGGAAGTGAAGTCAAGGAACAGCAGGAGGGAAGGGGTGTGGAGTGGAGGGTGCAGGGACAGGGTTGGGGGATGAACAGCCCAGTCGTGAAATCTGTGAGACCTGGAGAGAGGTCTCAGCCTGAATCTGCCTTAAGAAGCTCCCTGATAAGAGAGGGCACTGCCTCCATGGGGCTCTCTGAGGACAGACTGTGGGGAGAGGAGGGCAGACATGGCCTGGAGGTCAAGCTTGCTGGGCTCTGAGTGTGCACTGCCTCAGAAACAGTTGTCACAGACTGAAGACAATGGGGACTCCACAGGGCTGAAACTGCTTGCAGGGGTCCCCCTCTCTGTTTACACGATCACAGATGAATCCTGCAGCGCAGCTGAGGTTTTCACCAGTATGCCTATCTCCTGCCTTCTCCACTTCTTGGACAAGCTCCAGTTCAATTCTGCCTCCTTGTTTCTACCAGTCAAACCCCACAGGCACACACTTCCAAAGTAATTACGTAATAGCAGCCTATGGCAAAACAAAGCAATGATCGTAATGATACTGGGGAAAGATGGAGCCACAGACTCTTCTTCAAAACCTTTTGAAGTCACAAATAGTTCTCTATTTTAAAGGCGATGGCTACTGATTACATTAGGAATAATCTCTTTAATCTTTGGAGAATGGAAGCTGTAAATTCAGTTCGTGTAATGCAGCAAAATTTTCTGCTTCAAACAGGTTGTTAGTAGCGAACGATTCATTCTGGCTCTCAGTGCCTGTCACTTTCTGAAGGCACTTCTCTTATTTTAGTATTTCCTGTTTGGGAACAAGGTAATGGAAGATGAAACGTCACTTACGGAACCTTTGCTGAGGATGAGCAGAGAGTAAATACAGCCACAGAATGCTTTTCTCCTTAATCCTCATAGAAATCTGCGTCCTTCTCTTCTCTAATTTCATACATACTCATGACTAATATCACCAGCCCCGCTCAGTGATTCATCTTCCCAGCAGTTATCAGGCATGGTCATGCTTGCTTAACAGAGGAGATGGGAATGATCAATAGATTAATCACTAAGCCTTGTGCAATCAGATGATAGAAGCAACATCCTAGCTGGCCAAATGCTTCTTTCAGTTGAGATTATTTTGTTTGTTTTAACAGAAACATTGCAAGGTCTAGGCTGGTGCGGTGTCTGGGGAGGGTGGCTGACTTCTCTTCACTAGTGCAAGAGCAGAAGGCACGATGACCTCTTCCCTCTGCTCAGCATCTTAGGAATGCTGTGAGCCCTTACCAAGTTTTGTCTGGGAAAAATAATCTAACCAATTTTTAAAAAAGACTTCATTCACATATCATAAAACTCACCACTTGAAAGGATATATTTTAGTGTTGTTTAGTATATTCAGAAGGTGTGCAACCATAACCACTGTTTAATTTCACAACAATTTTGTCACTTCATCGCCTCTTCCCCAGACCCTGACAACTACTAATTTACTTTCTTTTTCTATGACTTTACCTATTCTGGACATTTCATGTAAATAGAATCGTGAGATCACACAATACATAATGCTTTTTGACTGACTTCTTTCACGTAGCATGTTTCCAAGGCTCATTCATATTGTAGCCTGTACCTGAGCTTCCTTCCTTCTTGTTACCAAATACAGTAAATCCTCACTTAATATCATCAACGGGTTCTTGGAAACTGTGGCTTTAAGTGCAATGACTTATAATGAAACCAATTTCTTTTCTTCCATCAATATAATGAAATGATGTTGAACGAAATTACGTTATTCAAGGACCTGCTGCAAGTCCTTTGGCTTAAAGTCACAGTTTCCAATAACTCATTTAAGTCAGAACTTACTGTAATATTCCATTGTATGGACACACCGCATTTTGTTTATCCATTTCATTAATTGATGGACGTTTATGTTATTTGCACTGTTTGGCTATTTTGAATAATGTTGTTATGAACATGTATGTACAAGCTTTTGCATGAACACGTTTCATTTCTCTTAGGCATATACTCAAGGATTGATTTGCTGGGTTCTGTGGTAATTCTACATCCACCTTTAGAGGAACTGCCTTGCCCTCCACAGTGGGCGTGTGCCACTTAACATCCCGCCAGCAACTGCTAGGGTTCCAATGCTCCACATTCTTGCTAATGCTTGCCATTTTTTCCTTTTCTAATGATAGTCATTTTCGGTGTGTTTGAAGTGGTATCTCATTGTGGTTTTGATGTTCAGTTTCTTCATTACTGAAGATGGTGAGCATCTTTTTGTGTACTTGTTGGCCATTTATATATCTTCTTGGAGAAATATCTGGTTGAGTCCCTTTGATCTTATTTTAATTGGGCTATTTGTCTTTTTCATTGTTGAAGTTTAATTGTTCTTTATATTTTCTGGATACAAGTCCCATACAGATATATGATTTGTAAATATTTTCTCCTACTTTTTAGACTATCTTTTTAGTTCCTTTATAGTATTCTTTGATGCTCAAAAGTTTTTAATTTTGATGAGAGCTTGGCCAACTTTTATTAAAAAGGCTTAAGTCAATATTTCTCAGTTTGTTTTTATTATCACCCCCCTAAAGAGAAAATTTCAATTTAATTGAATAAGATAAATTAAATATTGAGAAACAGATTTTTTTTTTTTTGGGTAGCATTGAGCTTTGAAGGACCACAAATCATTGCAATATGTAAGACTTTATTTTCCTCCAGGTGTCAATTTTTGCCTCCTTACTTCCGTTGAGAATGCTTGGATTGGCTCAAAAGAGTTGCCTTTTACTTAAGCAAGGGGTGAGAGTGTGGACGTGATCTGAGCCACCCTTTGTGTGAGTTTAATCTGCTCATGTGCCCAAGACCTTTGTCCAAGCCCTGAGTCGTCATCATGTCCTTTCAACCTTTACATGTTGGAGGGAAAGGAGCTGATGGTTTTGTTCTTCTCATCCAATATAGACTTAGACCCCTATCTGCTACCAATGCCTCTGAGTATTTCTAGCACATTGTTTCATTTACACAATTTACTGCTTAATTATATAGTATGGGCATATGTAGCTGTGTTTCTATCTGCCTGTCCTCTTTTGCTGATGTTTTCACATAATGCACATCACCAGCACTGAATAAACTCTTGGAATGTTGATGTAAATCTTACTTCTTCCAATTTGATTTTAAGGTTCTATGCTATACAATGTCTTGAAGACATTTTTTATATCTTTGCAAGTATGAACTTGGTGTTGTGAACAAGTATGGATTTAATACTTACTGGCAGTCTAAAATTTGTGTTTTTCTTTGCAAAAAGAAATGATGCAGTTGCTTTGTTGGAATAACAGCCCAGTGGTTCTATTTTGCTGAGCATCACTGGTTGTGTGGGTGGCATTCATGCAGTCAGGGTTATCTGTTCTGTTGCATAGCCATCCTGGTCCAGGCAGAGGGGAGTTGATACAGTAGCAGCAAAGGTCCCAGATACCTGAGATAGAGTCCTGAGGACCTAGGAGAGAAACAAGATGGAGAGTGTTCTCCCAAAGCTATTGGAAACCATGCTAGTCTAGAGGCTGGGTAGCTTAGGAAGTGGAAGCAGAGGTCAGGACCAATCAGTTGTATTCAGCGTCAGACAGGTGGGTCCCTACGAGGCTGATGAGTGATGAGGAGCCACAAGGAGATGAGGAAATGGCATAACACAGGTTGCGATGAAACAACCCTATAGGAAGCTGCAGACAGCCCAATCCAGTAACCGCTTCTATTGGGAGATGGCCCAGTAGGATTTGAAGGTGTAGCCTGTTCCAGATGACTGCCTGGTACAGCATGATGAGAAGTCAGGGGACAGTGAACAGCCCTGGGAATGTGCTCTATCCCTGTCCTGAAGACAATGAAGCCAAGCTGGCATTCAAATCCTGGAGGCTAGGGAGCTATGTGCTAGCTGGGTCCTTTTGGTATTCTTACTTAGAAAGCTTTTAAAGAGATGGGCCAATGGATACTTATTAACTCTAGACTCCATACTGCCTCATAATAAGGGATTTTAAAGTACCTCATATCTATAATGACAAAACTTCATTTTTCCTCTGAACTCTCCTGAAATGCCTATGGACACCTCTGTTCACCTTCACCTCTGACACCTGTCCTCATGTCACGTGGTCCAAGGGGCTGTGGGATTGGGGGTTATTTAAGGGGCAGGGTTTTCGGGAAGTGACACTTAGGCCGGCTCCTTTTAAGGCCCTCAGAGGCGAAATGCTTTCTCTCTCTCTCTCTCCTTCCGTCCTCATTTTCTCCTCTCTCTCCAGTAACTCCCATTGTCTTCATTACTAAATTTCTCTCTTGCTTTTTTCTGTTCTTCTTATGTAGGAGGAGAGTGGGTTGGTAGGAGGGAAATGATGGAGTTGGTCTTTCATGTACTTTGCAGTCCAAGAGTCTCCTGGTGCTCTTGTACTGTGTGCTCTTGACGACTGTGATTTTTCTTATTGCTATGAACAAGCCTAGTTAGTGGCCCTAGTAACATGCGATTAAAACAAGGAATCTGGAATAAGAGATAGCTACATGGCTCTATGAGGGGTCCACCGCAGACAGACATGGTGGTTTGCCTTCAGTAGAGATCAGGTCTGGTGCATCCATTTTGCTCAGCCAGTGTCAGATGTTGACAGTCTCCCCAAGGCCAGGCCAGCCAGGCTGGGGCTGTTCTCATCAATCCAGAACATCCAAACATGCTGGTTTCTTCTCTTGAGACTCTACAGCAGCTGGCAGGTGATACTAGATTACCAGGAAAGGGCTGGACTTACGCAGCCTGCAGTGTGGTTCCCGAGGAACGTCACGGGAGCCCCCACCAACACACACACATAGCACTGTGAGCCCCATTGTGAATGTGGACCCTCAAGAAGAGGATGGGCCCTTCTTCACCTAGTGAGCAGTGCACAGTTGGTCTCCAATAGGCATGTGGATCTCCTGGTGAAGAACAGGAAAATCTAAACTTTTTTGGAAGAATGTTGATGTGTCTCAATGGCTTGTGGGCTCTTGGGCTCTCCCTTCCTCAAATACTCAGAGGTCTCAGAGAACACCGACCCCCATACCTTCATAAGAGAGTCTGAAACTCCAAACAAACCCAGATGTGCTTTGATGACTGGAAGTGCATGGGGGCATCTACCGTTGAGGCTATGAAAGAGGTCTTTGAACACATGAGTGTCCTGACTTCTTTTTTCTTTTTTCGTTTGCAACAGAGTCTTACTCTGTTGCCCAGACTGGAGTGCAATGATGCCATCTCGGCTCACTGCAACCTTCGCCATCCAGGTTCAAGTGATCCTCCTGCCTCAGCCTCCTGAGTAGCTGGAATTATAGGTGCCCACCACCATGCCCAGCTAATTTTTGTATTTTTAGTAGAGACAGGGTTTCGCCATGTTGGCCAGGCTGGTCTCAAACTCCTGGCTTCAAGTGATTCGCCCACCTTGGCCTTCCAAAGTGTTGGAATTACAAGGGTGAACCACTGTGCCCGGCTTGAGAGTCCTGACTTCTATACTTGGCTGTGTTCACTGGGTAAGAAACACCTTCAGGTGAACTGATTCACAGCTCCCACAGCGCTGAAATGGGGTCTTGCCAGGTATTGCTAGGTGATCAACTGGGATGCAGCCAAATCAGAACTAATGGCCACAATGAGTATTCCAGATTGTCTGTGACTTTCTGCCTCTTTATTGTTTCCCAGTCCTGATTGCCCAGATAACGAGGCATGACCAGCTCGGGTGGCTGCTGTTGCAAAGCCTTCTCTACTGCAGAAGTGTTACCTTTCTAGAGAGGATAAAATTAGTTGATTGGTGCAAAAGTAATTGCGGTTTTTGCCATTACTTTAAACAGCAAAAACCGCAATTACGTTTGCATCAACCTAATAGATGTAAGGCATGGTTAGAGCTTACGTTTCACAGCTTCTTCCCTTTCTTCTTCTCTTATCCTCTGTTGTACCAAATGTTTTATTTCCTTACTTTAAAAGCAGGTATTATCCTCAAGCATAGAAGGTTGAAAGATTAGTGATCGCAAGATCCACTGTAATTAATACTTTCTTGGACTTCGTGGTAATTTCTTTAGCAACAAGAATCTCATTATGGTATTCTCTCTGTCTACATTGGGACACCATTGAGTTTTCTTGACTTATTTCTTGAAACCTGTCACTACCTAGGGGAAGATGTGTGTTCATCCATGACATGTTTATGGCAAGATTTAGAAATCCAGGATAAGGGTGCTTTTAAAATGAGACGCCTTTAATTTTCTCTATGTATGATAAATGTGATGTTCAGAGGAATTGATAACAGGTTTACTCTTCATTAAATAATTATTTATCACTTATTATGTGGAAAATACCTTAAGTACCATGAGGGCTTTGTGGTAGCATGACCTAGTGTCTCTGACTGGAGACAGCTCATCATATAGTGACCAAGATCAAAACCCACATGGGAATACTGGAAACCAGTAACTGTGAAACCAGACAGTTCTGCCAGCAAATGATCGCATAGTCTAGCATTTCAGATGAGGGCAATTTAAGCTTGAGTGACTTGGTGCAGACATTGAATTAATTAAGATTATGAAAAAATAAACAATATTTAAGAAATCAGATATGAGAGAGAACATTCTTGGTGGGGGCATGGTGCATGAGAAGAGATAGGGGGATAGGAAAAGGCAGGAACAGCAGCCCACTATGACTTGGGTCATCACAGAACACACAGAAGGAATTAGATGTACGCGAGGGTGCTGTCAGACCACTGCCACCCAACAAGAGTTTTAGCTCAAGTCCAACTTACAGTGGGTCCAGAGGGTCCCTGGACTCATCCTGTGGTCATTTCCTCAGTGTCAGAATGTATAATTGGCATCAACATATTTAGCAGCTGGCAGAACCCCCACATTGGCTCCCTGAGTGGGAGGATGAGGGCTATTATGATAGGAAAGGCCAAATGGAAGTCATTAGAGCTGGCTCTACCTAGAAAAATAGTTAAGTCAAAAACAATATCACATCCCTGAAGGGACTGCGGAGATTAGTGCCACCATCGAGGACCTGAAAGACACAGGGGTGGTGATTCCCACCACATCCCTGTTCAACTCTACCATTTGGCCTGTGCAGAAGACAGATGGATCTTGGAGAATGACAGTGGATTATTGTGAGCTTAACCAAGTGATGACTCCAATTGCAGCTGCTGTACCAGATGCATTTCATTGCCTGAGCAAATTAACACATCTCCTGGTACCCGGTAGGCAGCCACTGACTTGGCAAACACCTTTTTCTCCATTCCTGTCCATAAGGCCTACCAGAAGAAATTTGCCTTCAGCAGCAATATACCTTTACTGTCCTACCTCAGGGTCATATAAACTCTTTGGTTTTGTGTCATAATCTTTTTCGGAGAGACCTTGATCACTTTTTGCTTCCACAAGATGCCACACTGTTCCATTACATTGATGACATGATGCTGATTGGATCCAGTGAGCAAGAAGTAGCAAACACATTAGATTTATTGGTGAGACAGTCACATGTCAGAGGATGGGAAATAAATCTGACTAAAATTCAGGAAACTTCTACCTCAGTAAAATTTCTAGGAGTCCAGTGGTGTGGGACCTGTTGAAAGATAATTTGCTGTATTTGGCCCTTCCTACAACCAAGAAAGAGGCACAATGCCTAGTGGGCCTATTTGGATTTTGGAGGCAACACATTGCTCATTTGGGTGTGTTACTCTGACCCATTTATCGAGTGATCTGAAAGGCTGCCAGTTTTGAGTGGGGTGTAGAACAGGAGAAGGCTCTGCAACAGGTCCAGGCTGCTGTGCAAGCTGCTCTGCCACTTGGGCCATATGACCTAGCAGATCCAGTGGTACTTGAGGTGGCAGTGGCAGATAGTGATGCAGTTTGGAGCTTTTGGCAGGCCCCCATAGTTCAATCACAGTAAGTAAGTAAGTTACATGAGGAAGTGGCTCAAATGCCCATGGTCTCCACTCTTGCCACCCTGCCTTCTCTCCACCAGCCTGCACCAATGGCCTCATGGGGAGTTCCCTATGATCAGTTGATGGGAAGAGAAGACTAGGGTTTGGTTCACAGATGGCTCTGCGTGATATGCAGGCACCACCCGAAAGTAGACAGCTGCAGTCCTACAGCCCCTTTCCAGGACATCTCAAGGACAGCGGTGAAGGGAAATCTTCCAAATGGACAGAAATTTGAGCAGTGCACCTGATTGTGCACTTTGCATGGAAGGAGACATGGCCAGATGTGCGATTATATACCAATTAATTGGCTGTAGCCAATGGTTTGGCTGGAGGGTCAGGGACTTGGAAGAAGCATGACTGGAAAATTGGTGACAAAGGAATTTGGGGAAGAGGTATGTGGATGGACCTATCTGAGTGGTCAAAATCTATGAAGGTATTTGTATCCTATGTGAGTGTTCACCCATGGGTGACCTCGGCAGAGGAGGATTTTAATAATCAAGTGGATATGATGACCCATTCTGTGACACCACTCAGCTCTTTCCTGAGCCACCCCTGTCATCACCTAATGTGCTCATGAACAAAGTGGCCATGGTGGCAGGTTTGGAGGTTATGCATGGGCTCAGCAACATGGACTTCCACTCATCAAGGCAGACCTGGCTACAGCCACTGCTGAGTGCCCAACTTGCCAGCAGCAGAGACCAACACTGAGCCCTTGATATGGCACCATTCCTTGGGGTGATCAGCTAGCTAGCTCATGGCAGTTTGATTATATTGGACCTCTTCCATCATGGAAAGAGCAGAGGTTTGTCCTCACTGGAATAGACACTTACTCCAGATACAGGTTTGCCTACCCTGCACACAATGCTTCTGCCAAGACTATCATCCATGGACTCACGGAGTGCCTTATCCACTGTCATGGTATTCTACACAGCATTGTCTCTGACCAAGGCATTCACTTTATGGCTAAAGAAATGCGGCAGTAGGCTCATGCTCATGGAATTCACTGGTCTTACCATGTTCTCCATCATCCTGAAGCAGCTAGACTGATAGAACGGTGGAGTTGCCTTTTGAAGTTACAATTACAACACCAACTAGATGACAATACTTTGCAAGGCTGGGGCAAAGTTCTGCAGAAGGCCGTGTATGCTCTGAATCAGCATCCAACATATGGTACTCTTTCTCCTATAGCCAGGATTCATGGGTCCAGGAATCAAGGGGTGGAAGTGAAAGCACCACTCATGACCACCCCCAGTGATCCACTATCAAAATTTTTGCTTCCTGTTCACATGACATTATGTTCTGCGGTCCTAGAGGTCTTAGTGCCAGAGGGAGGAATGCTGCCACCAGGGGACACAACAACGATTCCATTAAACTGGAAGTTCAGATTGCCACCTGGACACTTTTGGCTCCTCCTACCTTTAAGTCAACAGGCTAAGAAGGGAGTTGATGTTGGTTGGGGTGATTGACCCGGATTATCAAGATGAAATCAGTTTATTGCTCCACAATGGAGGTAAGGAAGAGTATGCATGGAATACAGGAGATCCATTAGGGCATCTCTTAGTATTACCATGCCCTGTGATTAAGGTCAATGGGAAACTACAACAACCCAATCCAGGCAGCATTGTAAATGGTCCAGACCCCTCAGGAAAGAAGGTTTGGCTCACTCCACCAGGGAAAACAAAAAACAAAAAACAAAAACAAACACAAACAAACACAACCTGCTGAGGTGCTTGCTGAAGGCAAAGGGAATACAGAATGGGTAGTAGAAGAAGGTAGTCGTCAATACCAGCGTATGTTTCTTTAGTATTTTTTCCCCTTGGATTTATTTTTTTCTATTGTAATTGGTATTTTTATTTCTGTTTTGTAACCTTTTATTGTTGATATGTAGAAATGAAATTGATGCTTATATGTTGAGTTTTGGTAAGCTTTTAATTTTGCTAAATTTTAAAAATTATTTCTAATGAATTATATATGAATTCTTTTTTATGTAAAGAATTTATATCATCTAGTTGTTATAAATTTTTTCTTTTCTTTGTTATTCTTACCTTATTATGCTGATTGGGTTCTCCAGTACAATGTTGAAAGGAATTTTTGATATAAGGCATCTTTGTTTTGTTCTTGATCTCAAAACAAAACAAAAAAATGAAATTTTTAACAATTAAATAGAATGTTTGCTATGGATTTTTTGTAGATGCCTTTTATTCAGCTAAGACATATCTCTTCTATTTCCAGTTTCTTAAGCAATTTTTTTCTGTGTGTGTGGAAAACTTGATCAAATGCTGTTTCTGGATCTATAACATTCCACACTTGATCTGTCAATACCCTGGATTACACTGAATGAGTTTTCACTGTTGAACCAACCTTGTGTCATAAAGCCAGGCCTAATTTATTCAGAATGTTTCATGCTTTTTAGTGCTTTACTAGGAAATCATTCTTTTCATATTTAATGCAGTTGCTGATGTATTTGGATTTAAACATGCCATCTTAGTTTGTGATTTGTAGTTTTCCAACTCATTCTATAAATTTTTATCTCTTTCATGACTTCCTTTAAATTAACAGAGTATCTTTTTAAAGTCATTTTTCCTCTTCATAAGTTTGAGAGTTTTATATTTTGTTTCTATTATTTTAAGTCCTATCCTGTTAATTTCAACATGCCTACTTACCACTTCTAAACTAATTTAATATTTGTATTCTCTTTTCAAACGATGGAAGGAACATATAACACTTGAATTCATTTTTACTCTCTCCTGCCTTCACTATTACTGTTGTTTAAAAAATTATACTTTAATCTTCAAAAGACATTTTCTTTTTTATGTTATAAATGTTATTTAAATGATGCATGTATTCCACTTTCTTTGGTTTTAATTTCTTCTTACATTTTAAACTCTCTATGTGAGATAATTTTCTTTCTGTTTGACCTACATTCTTAAGAATTTTTTTTATTATTATGTTGTTGAAAGCACTCTCACTTTTTTTTGAGTAAAGAATGTTTAGCACTTATTCTTGCAAGATATTTTCAAGGGGGATGTAAAATTTTATCCCTTCTTCACGTTGAAGATGTCATTTCCATGTGTTATGGTTTAAATGGTTGTTATTGGGAAGTCAACTATTATTTTCATTCCTTCAAAGCACTCTCTGTCTCTGTCTCTCTGTTTCTGTCTCTGTCTGCACACACTGTCTGTGTGTTACGTATATGCCTTATATATATGTATTACATTAAATATATACATATACATATATATGTATATTTCTATCTGCTTTTAGAACTTTATCTCCCTTTGGGTTTTGGAAATTTTATTATGATCTGTTTTAGTGTGGATTTATTTTTATTTCTCCTGCTTGAAATTGGTTGCACTTTTGAACCTGAATAGTTAGGTAAATTATGACAAAATAGCTTGTGAGATGAGGAAGAGTTGAAAATATGATATCACAATGAAAGAAATAACCATATTTGGAAGGTGTCTGCTGGAGAGGTAGGGGTTGAAACCGTCAGGGCCAGGTGCTTAGAAAATAAGCAACATGGAGCAGATGCAATTTCAGAGTTGGTGTTGGTCACACCTGAAGGAAACTCAGAGGCTGTGTGAAATGTAAATTACCTTTCTTTTCAACATCTCACTGAATTCCTATTACAAAGTTATAAAAGCGAGAATCCAGTAACAAGAGATTTCTAAGATTAATTCTTGAAGTCCATCACCATGGTGAAAACTCTGAAGAATAAGCTTGAACCTTAGGGTCACAATTGCAATTTAAATTTTTTCTGACGTTAAAAAGAAGGTTGAATTTTCAGCTGTGTCACAAAATTTGAGTATATGTATTGAAAATAGGTATAAAAATGACAGCGTCAAGCAAATGAAATCTGTTATCTTCACAGAAGGCAACATATATAAAATATAGACACCTTAAAACTCCTACAATTGTGAAATTTTTGAATCATTTCTTTTTAAGAATACAAGTAATAAAAAGTAGATTTTATTCCTGTAGCTTAATGCCTTGATTAATTAATTATTCTTGAAGATACCCTGGTGAGGGGTGTGTAGTGCCTATTGATTTCTAGGACTCATACAGGGCGGTGCAAGTGCATCCATGGGGAGCAGTTCTGATGCATCAATCCGTTCCAATTGCTTTGTTGAAACTGATCCGTATTTGGCTTTCTAGGAGGTAGGCATTGTCACCCGGGTCCCTTTGTCGGCTCTCTGGGGATTGGCTGTGGCTATGGTTTGAATGTATCTGGTCCAAAATTCAGGTGTTGCCAATGTGATGATATTAAGAGGTGGGGCCTTCCTAAGGCAATTAGGCCATAAAGGCTCTTCCCTCATGAATGGGATTAGCTGCCCTTCTAAAAGGGCTGAAGGGGCCAGGTGCAGTGGCTCACTCCTGTAAGCTCAACACTTTGGGAAGCTGAGGTGGGTAGATCACTTGAGGTCAGGAGTTCAAGACCAGCCTGGCAAACATGGTAAACCCAGTCTCTACTAAAAATACAAAAATTAGCTGAACATGGTGGTGTGTGCCTGTAATCCCAGCTACTTGGGAGGCTGAGGTAGGAGAATCACTTGAACCCTGGAGGCAGAGGTTGCAGTGAGCTGAGATGGCACCACTGCACTCCAGCCTGGGCAACAGAGCAAGACTCTGTCTCAAAAAATAAAAATAAAAAAAGGGATGGAGGAGTGAGTTCATCCCTTTGGACCTCTTGCCTCCACTATGTTCCTCCCCTCTGGTGGACGCAGCAAGAAGACCCTCACCAGACACCAGCTGCCAGTACCTTGATTACACAGCCTCTAGAACCATGATAAATAAATTTCTGTTCTTTATATATTATCTAGTCTCAAGTATCTTGTTATATCAGCCCAAACAGACTAAGACAACTGTTGCTATTTATTCTAGAAGAAATAAGAGAGACCTCGAGCTTTCACAGCCCATCAGGTTTCTTCCTGTAAACTACCTAATCTCTTAATTCTCTTCTATTCCCCAGGGCACTAAGAGAAAAACACACAGACCCATTAGCTCTCAGATAATCAAAGGTTCTCAAACCTTTTCCATTTCTGAGGAGCAGATATGTGACCCTCTACACCCCATAAACCTAAAGCCAACCTCAGCAATGAGCCTTGAGCATCCATTCTTCCCTTCTCCCTTGCTCCTCCTTGGGTGTGCCTCTTTCTCCTGAAACTGCACCTGCTATTAGATGATGTCAATCCCAGCCCGCTGATGTTGCCTAACAAAAAGATTCTGTATAAACACAAGCCCACCAGCAGTAGCACTGTAAGCCTCCCTTTGTAAGTCTTTGTAAGAAGGATTTCTGCTATGTCAGCCTTCCTCATAGCTTCCACTGATGAAAAGTTACCTGTGTGTGTATGCATGCATGCACCTATGTATGTGTTTGTCTGTTTGGTTGTTTTGCAGTCAGACAGCTGATCCACATGAGATCAGACTCAAATTCTCACTTGACCCTCTAATAGAATAACAGACACACCAGCCTGGGGTTAGGTACTCAGAATCCACCCCTGGAGAATAATGATAGCAGCTCTGCCTGAAACTCACAGACGGTTCAAAGGATTTAATGCAACATGGCAGGAAAGTCTTGGACCACCCTTAGTCCTCACTTTGCTACTGATTGGTTGGATGATCCTGGATACAATTGTTTTACCATGTGCAAATTAGGATAATTCTCACCTAATTAGGGTTGCTGTGAGGGCTAAATGAGATAATGCATGCCCATCCCTTGCCTGTCCCATGGTAACTGTTCAATCTGAGGGAGATGCCCTGGCTGGTTAGAAGATGAAGATGACTGGCACAGATGGTCTCTAAACCCTTACATCTGGTCACTCTAATACTGCTGAGTCAGGGTTCAGGGGTGTATATTTGCCAATGAACTTACCTGGATTTTTATATCAAACTTTCTTTTGATATCTAAACGGAAGCTCAGAAGACAATGATATGGTAGCCAAGCTGTGTAAAGGCTTCTCTCTGTCTTTCTCAGACCCTGCTTACCAGGGAACGTGTGTAACCAGCACCAGTGAGCTGAGATGAGGAAGCTGTTTGCTAAACACCAACTATGTGTTAGACTTCTTCATACAAGCTCATTTAATTCCAATAAAACCCCTCCAAGGTCGGCATTATCAAATTATTTTTTGCAGCAAGGTCTCAAGGGTGGAAAGAGATGAAGCCAGAATTTGAGCCCTGTACTGCCTAAATCCAAAGCCTGTACTCCCTCTTCTCAACTGTCCTTTGGATATCAAGCCAGGGGTCCAGAAGAGAGGAAGGATGGAGCAGTGAGCACCCTGGGGAGGTGGACGTGGATGGAGTTAGGGGTGCAGAGCCGTCTAAAATGGGCTGATGGTAGCACATGCATTGTTGATGGTCAGGGTTTTTTCTGTCTTGGGTTGGAAACAAGCAGGCAAGAATTTGAGACCAGCCTGGGCAATATAGTGAGACTCTGTCTGTTAAATAAATAAATAAATAAATATTTATTTATTTAAATAAATATTAATTTATTTAAATAAATATTTAAATAAATAAATAAATACTAATAAATAAATAAATTGGCTGGGCATGGTGGCTCACATCTGTAATCCCAACATTTTGGGATGCCAAGGCAGGCAGATCACCTGAGGTCAGGAGTTTGAGACCAGCCTGGCCAACACAGTGAAACCCAGTCTCTACTAAAAATGCAAAAAATTAGCCGGGTGTGGTGGCGTGCACCTGCAGTCCCAGCTACTCAGGAGGCTGAGGTGGGAGAATCACTTGAACCCGGGAGGCAGAGGTTGCAATGGGCCGAGATCATGCCAGCCTGGGTAACAGAGTGAGACTCTGTCTCAAAAAAAAAAAAAAATTAAGACAGGAGTGGTGGGGTGCACCTGTGGTCCCAGCCACTTGGGAAGCTGAGGTGGGAGGATTGCTTGAGCCCAGGAGTTCAAGGCTGTAGTGAACCATGATTGCACCACTGCACTCCAGCCTGTCCCAAAAACAACAACAACGACGACAACAACAACAACAACAAGCAGGAATGGGACATTCTGCAGAAAGTCAAGTCCAAGAGTTCACCACACGTAGAGAGCAGGAAATTAAACAGAGGGTAACCCTCCCTGTCTACCTCAGTTAATGCCTCTGTTAAGGACTGCATGTTGTACGACCCCAAACACATATGTTGAAGCCTTAATCCCCAATGTGATGTCATTAGAAGGCAGGGCCTTTGGGAGGAGATTAGATAATAAAGGCAGTGCCCTCATGAATGGGATCCATGCTCTTATGAAAGAGGACCAGGGAGACGCCCTGCCCCTCATTGTGGGCACGATTGTGTGAAGACACAATGAAAAAGCAGAAAAATGGGTCTTCACAGACACCGAAACTGCGTTGATCTAGAATTCCAGCCTTCAGGACTCTGAGATATAAATTTCTGTTGTTTGTAGGACACGTAGTTTATGGTATTTTGCCATAGCAGCCCGAATAACTAAGAGAGCCTCTTACCTCTTTCTTTATGCAAAGGTTGTGATGGTTTCTTCCTCATGGTTGGATAAACAAGTGAGTGAAGACTAAGGTCCCAGATAGACTGTTATGATCTTACAAATTCAGAAAAGAAGACTTAAGTGTCTCTAATGCTTGAAAGGTGTACAAAAGAATAGAAAAGTGGGCCAATTACACACATTTCCTGCTTTACGATTGTCTGGTAAAGAAAGAGTAAATTACTCTGGAGTTTCTTTAAATTCATGCTTCTGTAGAGCATAAAGACAGTGTGGTTACTAGGTCATTTATTACTAAATGGAGAGCTTCAGAGACAGAACAGATGTGTAGGCAAAATACGATTTGATTTACAAACATTCAGCTTAAATATTTCAAGAAAATATCTGTTAACGGAGCCAAGGTATGGCTGCCCCAGAAAGATGTGTGTGTTGCTGACGTTAAGAAACTCCACTGTTGGAATGCTGGTGTTCTGTCATTCTTTACCAGATGACTTGCTTAGTTGGCTTCCTATCATAGGAACATTTCATCTGCTTCTAGATTATTAACTTCATTTCACATGTTACAATCTTAAATCCAATTTCTTCTGCTCTTTATTTAATTGGAAAAAGCTAACTGAATTTACTAGGCTTCTGTACTATGTGTTTCTCTTACTGTGAGGTCAGCGGCAGTCTGGCTGCCCTGCCTCCATTTGGACAGTTCTTTTGCCGATCCCTGACATTGAATATGGTCTGCATATGGGAGCACAATCCACTCTTTACTCATGGCACACAGCTGGCTAATTACACCTGTCATGAAGAAGATGGTTTGCTTTCATTGCTTAGGATAAATTGCTATTCTTCCAGTATTGGTTTTTGGATTATGATTATTTTAGGAATAAAAATAGTACATATTCATCTATTCTTAAATATCCATTTTACAGGAAGGTAAATCCAATGGTCAGGAGGTGAGTTCAGAGTTGCACAGATTTAGGTTGAATCCTAGCCTTGCCACCTGCTGCATGCTGGGATTTTCTAGCTCAGTGAGTTGTTTGTTAAGCTATTGTGTGGCTGAAAGCTCGCCCCTCTGGACTCTTGTGGGCTGAGGCTGGGGCTCTGCAGACCACATTCCTGCTTTGCCAGTTGCTCCCTGTGAGGCTCTGCCAAAGCGCTAGAGGGAGGCCTCAGGCCGGGGGCAGTGAGGGAATGAACTCTCCCGTTTGGCCATTTAAGCAACACCCCTCACCATGCAGAGCCTATTAGTTTCAGCTTCTGGTTTTTATTCACACTTCCCAAACCGGTGAACCCCTCAAGATACCAGCATCAGCAAGACAGCACCTCACTTCTGAGATTTAAGTATCAACGTCATGAGCCCTCACCTCTAAAGCTCCAGTGCTCCCAGCACCAGTGGCTCCAAACTCTTCATGCCCTCGTCCAATTTCCTAAACTTGAATAATCTCAGCCTTTTCACTTGGTTTGCCAATCCCAGGGAAGGAAGCTGTTTCCTGCATGTTCAACCTTTGCGTTATTGTTTTCTTGTACCTTTTCAATGCTCTTATGCCTGTTTACTCATTTTTCCATACTAAATTCTCTCCGTTATAATAATTGGTGTGATTTCTGTTTTCCTAAGTGGGCCCTGGCTGATACTGTTGATTTCTTTATACAAAAAATAGCAATAAGAATACCTACTGCTACAGGCTGAATTGTGTTCCCTCAAACCCCATTCATATGCTGCAGTCTTAATCCCTGGCACCTCGGAATGTGATCTTGTTTGGAAACAGAGCCATTCCAGGTGTAACGTGTTACGATGAGGTCATTCTGGATTAGAGTAGGCAGTTGATCCAGTGACTGGTGTCCTTAAGAGACACAGACACAGGCGTGGAGAATGTTCTGTGATAACAGAGGCAGAGGAGGGAATGAGGCATCTGCAATCCAAGGAGTGCCAAGAATTGCCAGCGACACCAGAAGGGAGGAGAGAGACAAGGAACAGGTTCTTCCTCAGAACCCTCAGAAAGAGTTAATTCTGCCCACACCTTGATTTCAGATTTCTGGCCTCTAGAGTTGTGAGAGAATAAACATCTATTACTTTAAACCACCCAGTTCGTGGACCTTTGTTGTAACAGTTCTGGGAATATACTCATTGAATGGTTATATGGAGTAAACGACCAGAGTGTACCCTGTTTGGGACCTGACACATGTAAATTCTCAATAAAAGAGACCTATTCTTATCATCATTATGTTGACAATTATTGGTAGCTCTTGTAGTCTGCGCTTGGCCTGCACTTGGTCTTTTATTCAGCTGCCAACAAGTCTCGTGGCAGGAGCACGTTCTGAGGGTCATGGGGTTTGTAAACAGAGGGACCCCTGTTAAAGGTCTATGCCAGCTCCCAAACTCCTGGTGGGATCTGCTGAGGCTGCTGTGAGGATGCATAATTCTATCATCTTCTTCCTCCGCACAGTCCTGCTTCCCTTACCCCTCACAGGTGTTTTCCTCAAACCATGCAGGCACATATCTTTCTCTAAGTCTGATCCCCTGGTGAACTTGACCTGTGATACCTTAAAGTAAATATAAAGCCTTGCATTTGAATTTTACAAAGTACAATTTGCACTTGTATAGGGCCAGAGTTGAAACAATGGATTCTATAGACAACTTGTGATTTTAAATAATTATTAGTTCATCTAATAGCTCAACGCTGTTCATCAATATGAACAAATTGATCCAAGTAGGCAGGCTTTGTCTACATGGCTCCTATTTCAGAACACTTATACATTCTATTTAAGAAACATAGTAGATCCTCAGGTTGTAGTTCTCGGCTGATTTAAATGTTATCTCCCCAATCATAACCCCGGCCGGGGTGGTCTCAGATGGAATTCAATGTCCACCAATTTAAGACTGTGCAGCTCATGGGCCTTCTGATGCAACTGGGCTAAACGTTGCTTGTAGAAGATTGTATTCGGACACATGTAATCCTCTGTCGATACTAGAAGAAAATAGATTCTAAATGATAAATAATTAAAACATCTGTGACAGTGCTCTTCCATTTGTTCTATTTTAAAGATGTCTTCAAAGTCATTTGTAATCTGAAAAAAGATGTGAATGGTTTGGAGTTCCAGATTTCCTCCTTAGTAGAGTGATTGTTTTCTTCTGCACATCTGTGTGCTCATTTACATGGTAATCCACAGGTACAATACTCCACCGGGAGTAACAAGTCGGTACAGCAATTGCTACATTTCAGGAAGAAATGTGGGGTGTTCACTGTTTACCATACAGATGGGCAACTGAACAAAATCCGTGAAGATATTCTAATTATCTTAGACTGGAGAAGGAAGGGAGTCTCGAACATTCTTGCATTTCACCTTGCTTTCTCTCATTTCTTTTAGAATGGAAAGTTAGAAGTGAGTAAGCATTTGGAATGCAGGGTAGTAGCTCCTGGACATTTTCAGTAAAACTTCTTCTGCGATATCATTTTGGGGGAGTTCATATGAGATAGTTGTACTTTTTTTTTTTTTTTTTAAGACAGAGTTTCGCTGTTGTTGCTCAGGTTGGAATGCAATGGCGTGATCTCAGCTCGCTGCAATCACTGCCTCCCGAGTTCAAGTGATTCTCCTGCCTCAGCCTCCCGAGTAGTTGGGATTACAGGTGTCTGCCACCACGCCCAGCTAATTTTTTTTTATTTTTAGTAGAGAGGGGATTTCACCATGTTGGCAAGGCTGGTCTTGAACTCCTGACCTCAGGTGATCCACCTGCTTCGGCCTCCCAAAGTGCTGGGATTACAGGCGTGAGCCCAGCTGAGATGGTTGTACTTTTAATAAACACTAATTGAGGAAGTATGATAACAGATGCGAATCCTGTGACACTTTGAAATGGTTTTGTATTTTGCTAATCATTGTAGCATCTACATTTTTGAAAAACAGAATATACGTGAGTTAGAGAAAGTATGTGTATGTAGGTTCATGTATGCTATTTTTATTTATTTATTTACTTTTTTAAAAAGCATAGTTGGTGCAGGAACTCCCGCACTGCTGCAGGATCCTGAGATCCATGGTTGGCAAGGGAAACTTCCAGACTGGTCCTGTAGCCTGTTTTCTTCTGGGTGTCCTATTAATTGGCTGTGTGACCTTGGAGAACTCAACCTGTTGGTTGTTTCTGTAGAATAGAGTGTGGGTTTTAGAAATGCAGCTCATTTCAGTGTCACCTCCCGTGAGTCTCTTCTGAATTTAGGGCCATGGTATTTTGCATGCAGCGATTTTCTAACTCCAAGACACAGTTTCTACCTGCTTTGTGAATACACTGCCGACCCCTTCATGTTTTTGCCCCAGAATAGCTAATGAACATCAGCAGGGATCAGGAGCTCCTGTGAACATTAAATTAACTGAGGAAGCTGCTGTCCATGTGGCAGTAATGGCCAGTGCCCCAGTCCCCAGGAGGTCCTCTCAGAGCGTAGTTCCTAGGCTTGGCTAGAGGTTGTTGATGGGGCCATTAATCATACGTCCTGTGCCGGCTCGTTTCAGACCTCCTCCAGGAACTGACTGATTTGTGCCCTTTTTCTCTGATTTTCTCTCTTTTTCCTGCATGCATTTAACCATCATTATGAATTCTCTTGCTCCTTGTTTGAGTCTGAGTGCAGAGCAGGGCCAGGTGGTTCTCTTCTCCTTCGTCTCTTGCTTGAAAGCAGAGCTCCTTTACTAGGACTTAGCAATGGCAGAATGTGTGGAGGATTATGAGACATTTCAACCCAGTGTTTCAATCTGAAGACTACATGGACTTTGTGGTTAAGATAAAACATTCTTATCAAGTTCACACCAACACTAAAGAACACTGATGGATAAAGTACTTTCTAAAGCTTACTTCCTTAAACCTTGATCAAATTTGTATGTAGCGCAGCTCAACAATTTATACATTTTTCAATTATAGGTTGTCTTTTTAAAAACTGGATGCATTTTTTACTAAAATTGTTTGTATTGGGGTAAATTTTAATTTATGAAAATTTTATATTGATGATTTGGTCCGCCAATAGCTTGTTGTACACATGAAACTTAGCTTCTAGCACTGAGAATTATTGTTTATGGCCATTATTTCCATGAAGTTCAATTTTATAGATCTAATTTTCATAAGGAAGTTATAATACTTTTGCCAGTTACTTGCTAACAAACTATACCACTTTCAGTTTTAGCCTCTGACATTTTTTTCTAAATAGCAATAATATAGAAATAATGATAATAATTATAGATTGGATGAAATAATTTTGTAGGGTTTTCTTTTGATAAAACAAAAGAAAATTATTTACAATTTCTCTCAGATATGACAGAATTCCTTCACTAACTAGGTTTGGGGAATTTTGTTGTTAATTCGACTTTTCAAATTCTTTGAGTTACATCTAGAAAATAAAATGAAGTACGTGATATATCTTTCTATACTACTTTAAATGGCATCATGTATTTCATTTTATTTAACAAACTGTATGTAAGAATTGTATACTTAAATCTCCAAAATATCTTGCTGAGAGAAATTAAAGACTTAAATAAGAAGAAATGTAAGTTATGTACATGAATTAGAAAATTTAATATTGTTAAGATGTTAATTCTCTTTAAACTGATCTCTAAAATTTATACAATCCCAATGAAAATTTTAGCTGAATGAATACATAACAAAATATACACTTTAGATTCTAGTTGAAATTGCATGAAAATCTTAGATTAATTTAGGGAGGGTTGATATACTCTATTGAGTCTTCTAATCCATCACTATTTAGGTTTTCTTTAAACCTGTAATTTCACTTTTTGCTGTATCCTTCTCAGCATTTGATATCAAAGTTAGATGTACTTTCTGTTGTTAAATTGCAAATGTATTTTAAGTTTATACATGTACTTTGTCTTCATCATTTTAACAGGTGCAGGTCGTGTACATTCACCACTTTTTTCATTCCTGTATTGGTTTTTGTGTATCCTTCTTTTTCCCCTTGATTATTCTTGCCAGAAATTTAATTTATTCTTCTTCTAAAAAGAATCAACTATGCCTTTGTGATTCTACCTCTCATTAATTTGTATTCTTATCTTTATTATTTTCTTCTTCTATTTTAGTAAGTTCACTTTATTGTTCATTCTTTAACAACTTGAAACAAGGAAAGACCAGTCTTTTCAATAAACTGTATGAATCAATTGGATATCTATGGGTAAAGAAATGAAATCTGACCTTCAAATCAAACCTTATAGGAAAATGAATCACATGTGGATCAAAGACCAACTATGAAAGATAAAACAATAAAGCTTAAAAAATATTACAGAGAAATATCTTCATGTTCTTGGGGCAGGCAGCACTTCTCAAACATGACACTAAAAGGACTAACCATTACATAAAGGATCAATAAGTTGTACTAAATTTTTTTTTCTTTTTTTCTTTTTTTGAGATGGAGTCTTGCTTTGTCACCCAGGTTGGAGTGCAGTGGCACCATCTCGGTTCACTGCAACTTCTGCCTCCTGGGTTCCAGCAATTCTCCTGCCTCAGCCTCCCAAGTAGCTGGGACTACAGGCATGCGCCACCACACCCAGCTAATTTTTGCATTTTTTTAGTAGAGACGGGGTTTCACCCGTCTCTGACCATATTGGCCAGGCTGGTCTCGAACTCCTGACCTCGTGATCTGCCTGCCTTGGCCTCCCAAAAGGCTGGGATTACAGGCATGGGCCACCACATCCAGCTGTACTAAATTAATAGTATGAAATTTTATTCACCAAATGACACTATAGAGAGAGTACAAAACAAAGCCATGGTGTGAGAGATCTTTGCAAGACTCATATCCAGAGTTTATAAAGGCATCCTAAAAATGTATACAAATGGCCAAAAAAAATGAAAAAAATGCTCAACATCACTAATGATCAGGGAAATGTAAATCAAAACCACAATGCAATACCACCTTACTCCTGTAAGAATGGCCGTAATCAAAAAATTAAAAAATAATAGATGTTGGCATGGATGCAGTGAAAAGGGAATACTTTTACCCTGCTGGTGGGAGTCTAAACTAGTGAAACCACTATGGAAAACAGTGTGGAGATTCCTTAAAGAACTAAAAGTAGAACTACCATTTGATCCAGCAATCCCGCTACTGGGTATCTACTGAGAGAAAAAGAAGTCATTATATGAAAAAGATACTTGCACACACATGTTTATAGTAGCACAATTGTAATTGCAAAAAATGTGGAACCAGCCCAAATGCCCATCCATCAACAAGTGGATAAAGAAACTGTGGAATACTACTCAGCCATAAAAAGGAATGAATTAATGGCATTCACAACAACCTGGATGGGATTGGAGGCTATTATTCTAAGTGTAGTAACTCAGGAATGGAAAACCAGACATCGTATGTTCTTGTTCATAATTAGGAGCTAAGCTATGAGGATGCAAAGGCATAAGAATGACACAATGGGTTTTGGGGACTGAAGGGGAAAGGATGGGAAGGGAGTGAGGGATAAAAGACTACAAATTGGGTTCAGTGTATGCTGCTTGGGTGATGGGTGTACCAAGAATCTCACAAATTAGTATTAAAGAACTTACTCATGTAACCAAATACCACCTGTTCCCCAGAAACCTACAGAAATAAAAAACTTTTTTAAAAAACACAGTGCTGGCTACTAAGGAGAAAAAAATAAATAAATGTATAAGTGAAAGAAAAATAACACAATTAAAATATGAACACAAGTATTGAACTGTCATTTTATAAAGGGGGACATTAAATAACCATTAAATGTTTAAAAATTCATTAGGGAAATGGAATATAAACCAACAATATGATATACCATATTGTTTTGATATAACACTCCTCCTTAAAAGGCAAACATTAAAAAGAAATCAGTAAGACAATACCAAGTACTGTCGAGGGTGTGGAGAAACCAGAACTTCTCTCAGATACTGGTGGTGGGAGTGAATTTCTGCAGGAACTTTCACCACTCAGTTTTTTCGGCAACATCTTGCAAAGCTCGACCTGCACATGCCCAGCAACACCTGAATCATAGGTACAAACCCAAAAGAAATGGAAACATATGTGCAAAAGACATGCAAATGAATGTCCACAGCAGCATTATTCATAAAAGCTAAAACCTGGAAACAACTCAAAAGTCCATCAAAAACAGAGTGGATAAATTGGGGTATATTCACACAGTGCAATTTGATACAGCGAAGTCAAAAAAGAAACCACTGCTCCACGTGCAGTCACAATATTGAGTGACAAGAGTCAGCCAAAAAAGTGTGCATACTGCATAATCAATTTATGTTAATTTTAAGAAAAACAAGTAAAGGAAATCTATGGGACAAAAGGCTGAGAATACTTTTGGAGTGGGAAAGTTCTGGGAGGGACACCTCCATGGTCTTGGGGTGCTGGAAGTGTTGAGTATGTTTATTTGGGGGGTAGTTCCATGGTGAGGCCATTGTGTAAAATTTAATATGTCAGTGACACAAGGTTCCCTAAACCTCCAGTTATTTCCCTCCCACTGTTTGCCTCCTTGATGCCTACTCAACCTTTAGGCCTCAGCTTAGATAGCATATCCTCTGAGAAGAACTTAATTATGTCTTCAGCTATTTCCTCTTTCAGGTCCCCATACTTTTATTTCATAGCATCAAAAGGAAATGGTTTCTATGACTCAAACAAAGTTTGAAAGCCTTCCCTGGAGATGTCCCTTGGGGAGCACCTGAAGACCAAGTGACGCTCTGAGCAGAAGCAGGGCACGTGGTGAAGTGAGCAGCAGGTGTCCTTGTGGTTTCATTGAGGGAGCAGGTTTCATCCAGGGAGCAGGTTTCATCTTCACCATCAGCTATACCCGTGGTTGGAACGTGTAGATATTGTTCTGGCTTAATCCCAACCTGATAACTGTCAGGAAGTTACCATGGAGAACCGTTTTTGCAACACTTGTGACTTGTGAGTTACTCAAGGTTGAGTGTGGGGCAGGTAGTAGGAAAAAGGGAAAGGAAACAAGAGTCAGAGGCAAGGGTTCTTTTTCAATAGTGTTTTTACAATCCATATGTATATAAATATATACATAGTATTTAGTATAGACATATCTATAGTATTAGAGCTATAGTATTTTTGCAGTCTCTCTATATCTATAGTATTTAGTATAGACTGCAATAGTATTTTTGCAGTCTATATGTATCTATAGCCTGCAAAATATGTATCTTATATATAAAATATTGGTAAATATTCAGTGTATTCAGACCAAATTCAGTGTATGTGAGTAGGTATGCATACATATACATATTATGTATACTATATATTATATAATATAAATATATATTCATATTGTTTATATATTTATATACAATATAAATATGTACTCTATATTAATATATTATATATTATAAATATATGTTTTCTAGAAAAATATGGGTTATAAATCTTATATATTACATATCATATTTATATATTATAAATATACTATATCATAGACAATATTAATATTTATAACATATGTATAATTGGATATGTATGCATACCTATTCACATACACTGAATTTGGTCCACTATCCTCAAAAACAAAAAATATTGTATTCTGAACATTCATATTTCACATCAATGTTAACTTTACTAATTTAACTTCTTTACTTTTGGGAATATAATCATATCCACTCTAGCCACTATAAAGGAGCCATTGGCTGCTGGCTAAATCCCCTCTGTGATCTTCCAGGCCGGGCCACAGGCAATTCCAAGGCTCTGGGGGTGGCCCTCCCCAGGCCATGCTTGGTTCAGCCAGTGTGTGGAGGCTCTGGAGGCAGCTACAGCCAAGGATCTTGGCCCCTGCCCACCCCCTACCCCAGAGGGCTGTGCTTCTATGCAGAGCTGGCTCCTAGCCCAGGTGCCTCCATCTGGAGCCTCTATCTGGGGCCTTCAGCAGAGGCCAGGCTCAGATTTTTCTGCTGAGATCTCCTTACTGGGGGAGGGGAATCCTTTCTCCCACTCTTCCTCAGGCATCAGTTATTGTCCACGCCTAGCACTTTCTCCTCCCCAGCCCTTCTCTTGCCAGGGGTCCCTAAAACTGCAGAAGCCTCTTGTTCCAGGCTCCCTTAGTAGTAAGGCACCCCCCACGCCTTTGCTGGTCCACCTGCCCCACCAGCAGCTGCCTTCCTGGTCAGCCTCTAGCACACACGGTCACAGCGGGAGATGAGAGCTTCACTGGTACTTACATTTGCTTGTTGTCTTCATTGGCTACTCCAGCTCCTGGCAGCTCAGCCCTCCTCAGCCCAGCTGAACTCAGAAGGAGGTGAGAAAGCCCACGACCAGCCCAAGCCGGGGGCTGCCTTTCCATGGTATGGAACCTGGGCTTCCTGGACCCTAAACCGTGAGATGGGCCTGGCCTTCCACCCACTGGAATCTCCACAGCCCGAGAATCCCACGCTAAGAGAGCCATATTCCTAAAATCCAGCCGTGCCCTTGCTGCAGGGGTAAGACCTCCCCCGGGTGTGAGCTCCGCGACCATCAGAGGGAACGGTTGCCCCCGTGTGTGCTGCACTGTTTCCCCAGCTTTATTGCACATCCTGTGGGCAGCGGGCACTCAGCCCCTGTCTGCTGAATTGCACCACAGGAAAGGCAGTCCTTCCAGATTTTTAAAAATAATCCCTATAACTGGCTCATGTCTGCCAAGATAAATGTCACTTCAACAGTGCTGCTGAAATATTTAATGTGATTAGTACTCGCTCATTTCATATGTAAAATAGGGAGGAAAGGAAAAGACAAAGATGAGGAATTTGAGGGACACGAGTGTCAAAAGCACAGTCAGTAATGTAGTTTGGGTGTGAGACAAGGAGCTCACTTCTTGCTTTCATGTTTAACTGTAAAAGAAATCCAAGTTGTTTCCCATTAGATCTGATTAAGTCACAGCAAAAGTCTCCTTCCCCATGGTGGTTCTGGGTTTTGCTTTCTTGAACTCCCTCCTGCCACTTTGAACACAGCCCTTCTTGGCCACTATGTGCCTGCAGGTTGCCCATTCCCAGACTGGACTCAGTCTGCAGGTCTCACCTCCCCAGTTATTCTCAGCAGCTCAAAGTGTGTGAAAGCAAGCTCATCAGATTGTATGGCACATAAAATAAAAGCATTCTGTGGTTCAATCCCACCACCCTACCCCACCCCACATCCACTTGTTTCTATTAATTATTGTGTGCCCCAGTCAGTTGTGACGTGAGCTCTCATTCTGCCTCTGGCTATCACCCCTTAATGTGAAGGGCACTCCAGCAGGAATGTTAATTTTTGACGTTCAGAACTGTGGCTCTGGAATGAACTTCTATAATCCCAGGAGAACTAATAAGGTGTCCTATCAGGTCTCCCAATCTCAGTAAGATGTTCCTTCCAGTCAAACATGTTGGAAGAAGAAAACTTATAAATCGATGAACAATATTCCAGGATTGGCACATACAATCACCATGTGAAGTCTTCGCCAGTTCTTCCCACTTGTGAACAGATATTTCCCTGAAGAGGTCCTCTTTGTCCCTATACTTGTCAATTATACTATAACACAGTCTATATATTGGAGGAAGTATACCTATTTGGAAGAAATGAAATGCCATCTTTAGCTTCATTCAAGATAATATTTATTGACTACCTGCATGTGCTGGGTACTAAGATATCTGCTGGAGGTAACATTCCTAGAGAACTCTTCAAGTATCTGAAGATTAACCAAGACACTTCCACACTTATAAATTTAATGCAAGGTGACAAAGGGCATGTATTAGTTGATTCTCACACTACTATAAAGAAATACTTGAGATTGGGTAATTTATAAATAAAAGAAATTTATAATTGGATCACAGTTCCACAGGCTATGCAGGAAGCATGGCTGGGGAGGCCTCAGGAAACTTTCAGTCATAGCAGAAGGCAAAGGAGGAGCAAGCTCGTCTTACATGGCAGGAGCAAGAGAAAAAGAGAGAGAGAGAATGGGGAGGTGCCACACACTTTTAAACAACCAAATCTCTGAGCACTCACTCACTATCATGAGAGCAGCACTGAGAGGGAAACTCACCCCCATGATCCAATCACCTCCCACCAGGCCCCTCCTTCAACAGTGGGGATTACAATTCAACATGAGATTTGGGTGGGGACACAAATCCAAACCATATCATTGTGCCCCTGGCCCCTCCCAAATCTCATGTGCTTCTCACATTGCAAAATACTATCATCCATTCTCAACAGTCCCCCAAAGTCTTAACTCATTTCAGCATTAACTCAAAAATTTACTGTCCAAAGTCTCACCTGAGATGAGGCAAGTCCCTTCTGCATATAAGCCTGTAAAATAAAAAACAAGTTAGTTACTTCCAAGATATAATGTGTGTGTAGGCATTGAGTAAATATTCCCTTTTCAAAAGGGAGATATCAGCCAACAGATAGGGTCTACAGGCCCTGTGCAATTCCGGAACCCAGCAGGGCAGTCATTAAATTTTAAAGCTCTAAAATAATCTCCTTTGACTCCATGTCTCACATCCAGGCCACACCAATGCAAGGGGTGGGCTCCCAAGGCCTTGAGCAGGGTGTAAAGGGACATACTCCAAATGCTAGGGAAGCCTCACTGTTAAGCGTTAGAGAAGGAAGAGCATGAAATCTGTTGTTTTCAGGGAAAAAAAAAAAACCAAACTAGAATGCCACTGAGAAACCTACCAACTGAAAACACCCATTAAGCCAGGGTGGTTGATACCACCCACTATTTTTTTTTCCATCATTTCTTTATGTGCATTGCCAGTAGGATTCAGGGTAGATGGGATAAAAACAAGGTTTTCACCAACAGCATGAAGTGGTAGAGCTACATCACTGCCAAAGAGAACAGTTCAGGGCAAAGTCACCCGACAGAATTATTCTATTGAATTGTTGAGTTGAAAGGCATTACAAGAATGCATACGATTTTAAAAACTTTCTCTTCTTGACTTCTTTTTTAAAAACTTATTTTTTATTTCAATAGGTTTTTGGGGAACAGGTGGTATTTGGTTACATGAATAAGTTCTTTAGTAGTGATTTCTGAGATTTTGGTGCACCCATCACCCAAGCAGTGTGCACTGTACCCAATGTGTAGTCTTTTATCCCTTGCCACCTCCCACCCTTTCCCCTCAGTCCCCAAAGTCCAATGTATCATTGTTATGCCTTTGCATCCTCATAGCTTAGCTTCCACATATGAGTGAGAACACACGATGTTTGGTTTTCCATCCGAGTTACTTCACTTAGAATAATAGTCTCCAATTTCATCCAGATTGCTTCAAATGCCTTTACTTTGTTCCATTTTATAGCTGAGTAGTATTCCATATTCCATGGTGTGTGTATCACATTTCCTTTATCCACTCATTGGTTTATGGGCATTTTGACTGGTTCCATATTTTTGCAATTGCAAATTGTGCTGCTATAAACATGTGTGTGCAAGCATCTTTTTCTGTATAATGACTTCTTTTCCTGTTGGTAGATACTTGGTAGTGTGATTGCTGGATCAAGCAGTAGATCTACTTTTAGTTCTTTAAAAAAGCTCCACACTGTTTTCCATAGTGGTTGTATTAGTTTACATTCCTACCAACAGTGTAAAAATGTTCCCTTTTCACCTCGTCTATGCCAGCATCTATTATTTTTTGATTTTTTAAAATTATGGACTTTCTTGCAGGAGTGAGGTGGTATTGCATTGTGGTTTTAATTTGCATTTCCCTGATAATTAGTGATGTTGAGCATTTTTCCATATGCTTGTTGGCCGTTTGTATATCTTCTCTTGAGAATTGTCTATTCGTGTCCTTAGCTCACTTTTTGATGGGATTGTTTGTTCTTTCCTTGCTGATTTGTTTGAGTTCTTTGTAGATTCTGGATATTAGTCCTTTGTCGGGTGTATAGATGGGGAAAATTTTCTCCCACTCTGTGGGTTGTCTGTTAACTCTGCTGATTATTTCTTTTGCTGTGCAGAAGCTTTTTAGTTTAATTAAGTCTCATCTATTTGTTTTTGTTGCAGTTGCTTTTGGCTCTTGGTCATAAACTCTTCTACACATTTGCCTAAGCCAATGTGTAGAAGAGTTTTTCTGTTATCTTCCAGAATTTGTATGGTTTCAGGTCTTAGATTTAAGTCTTTGATCCATCTTGAGTTGGTTTTTGTATAAGGTAAGAGATGAAGATCAAGTTTCATTCTCCTACATGTGGCTTGCCAACTATCCCAGTACCATTTGTTGGATAGGGTGTCCTTTTAACACTATATGTTTTTGTTTGCTTTGTCGAAGATCAGGTGGCTGTAAGTATTTGAGTTTACTGCTGGGTTTTCTGCTCTGTTCCATTGGTCTATGTGCCTATTTCTATACCAATACCATGTGGTTTTGGTGACTATGGCCTTATAGTACAGTTTGAAGTTGGGTAATGCGATGCCTCCAGATTTATTCTTTTTGCTTAGTCTTGCTTTTGCTATGTGGGCTCTTTTTTGGTTCCATATGAATTTTAGGCTTTTTTTCTCTAATTTTGTGAAGAATGATGGTGGTATTTTGATGGGAATTACATTGAATTTGTAGATTGCTTTTGGCATATGGTCATTTTCACAATATTAATTCTACCCATCCATGAGCATGGGATGTGTTTCCATTTGTTTGTGTCATCTATGATTCCTTTCAGCAGTGTTTTGTAGTTTTCCTTGTAGAGGTCTTTCATGTCCTTGGTTAGGAATATTCCTAAGTATTTTATTTTATTTTTTTGCATTTATTGTGAAAGGGGTTGAGTTCTTAATTTGGTTATCAGGTTGGTCGCTGTTGGTTTATTGCAGAGCTACTGATTTGTGTACATTAACTAATTTTGTATCCTGAAACTTTGCTGAATTCATTTACCCATTCTAGGAGCTTTTTTGATGAGTCTTTAGAGTTTTCCAGGTATGTGATTATATCATCAGCAAACAGTGACAGTTTGACTTCCTCTTTACTGACTTGGATGCCCTTTATTTCTTTCTCTTGTCTGATTGCTCTGGCTAGGACTTCCAGTACTATGTTGAATAGAAGTGGTGAAAGTGGGCATCCTTGTCCTGTTCTAGTTCTTGGGGGAATGCTTTCAACATTTCCCCATTCAGTAGAATGTTGGATTTGAGTTTATCATAGGCATTACTTTAAGGTATGTCCCTTCTATGCCAATTATGCCTAGGGTTTTAATTATAAAGGGAGGCTGCTTTTTCTACATCTATTGAGATGATCATGTGATTTTTGTTTTTACTTCTATTTATATGGTGTATCACATTTATTGACTTATGTATGTTAAACCATCCATGCATCCCTGGAATGAAACCAGGGATCATGGTGGATTATCTTTCTAATATGCTATTGGATTTGGTTTGCTAGTCTTTTGTTGAGGATTCCTGCATCTAAGTTTATCAGGGATATTGGTTTGTAGTTTTCTTATTTTGTTATGTCCTTCCCTTGCTTTGGTATTAGGGAGATACTGGCTTCATAGAATGAATTAAGGAGGATTCCTTCTTTCTCTATCTTTTGGAATAGTCTCAATAGTATTGATACCAATTCTACTTTAAACAATAGAATTCAGCTGTGAATCTGTCTGGTACTGGACTTTTTTTGTTGGCAATTTTTTATTACCATGTTAATCTTGCTGCTTGTTATTGGTCTGTTCAGAGATTCTGTATCTTCCTGGTTTAATCTAGGAGGGTTGTGCATTTCCAGGAATGTATCCATCTCCTCTAGGTTTCCTAGTTTATGCATGTAAAGATGTTCATAGAAGACTTGAATGATCTTTTGTATTTCTGTGGTATTAGTTGTAATATCTCCCATTTCCTTTCTAATTGAGCTTATTTGTATCTTCTCTCTTCTTTTATCAGTTAATCTCACTAAAGGTCTACCATATCTTTCCAAAGAACCAGCTTTTTGTTTCATTTATCTTTTGTATTGTTTTTTGTTTCAATTTCATTTAGTTCTGCTCTAATACTCATTATTTCTTTTCTTCTGCTGGGTTTGGGTTTGGATTGTGCTTGTTTCTCTAGTTCCATGAGGTATGACCTTAGATTGCCTATTTATGTTCTTTCAGACTTTTTGATGTAGGCATTTAATGCTATGAGTTTTCCTCTTAGCACTGCCTTTGCTGTATCCCAGAGGTTTTGATAGGTTGTGTTACTATTGTCATTCAGTTCAAATACTTTTTAAATTTCCATCTTGATTTCATTGTTGACTGAATGATCATTCAGGAGCAGGTTATTTAATTTCCATGTATTTACATGATTTTCAGGGTTCCTTTTGGTGTTGATGTCCAATTTTATCCCTCTGTGGTCTGAAAGTGTACTTGATATAATTTCAATTTTCTTAAATTTACTGAGACTTATTTTTGGCCTATCATATGGTCTATCTTGGAGAATGTCCCATGTGCTGATGAATAAAATGTATATTCTGTGGTTATTGGGTAGAATGTTCTGTAAATATCTGTTAAGTCCATTTGTTGTGGAGTAGAATTTAAGTCCATTGTTTCTTCGTTGACCTTCTGTTTTGATGAGCTGTCTAGTGCTGCCAGTGGAGTATTGAAGCCCCCACTATTATTGTATTGCTGTCTATCTCATTTTTTAGGTCTAGTAGTAGTTGTTTCATAAATTTGGAAGCTCCAGTGTCAGGTGTGTATATATTTGGAATTGTGGTATTTTCCATTCAGACTAGTCCTTTTATCATTATATAATGTCACTCTTTGTGTTTTTAAATTACTTTTGCTTTAAAGTTTGTTTGGTCTGATATAAGAATAGCTATACCTGCTTGTTTTTGGTGTCCATTTGCATGGAATATCTTTCCCCGCCACCCCTTTACCTTAAGTTTACGTGTGTCATTATGTGTTAGGTGAGTCTCCTGAAGACAGCAGAAACTTGGTTGGTGAATTCTTATTCATTCTGCCATTCTGTGTCTTTTAAGTGAAGCATTTAGACTATTTACATTCAATGGTAGTATTGAGATGTGAGGTACTATTTTATTTGTTGTGCTATTTATTACCTGAATACATTGTGATTTTTTCCATTGTGTTATTATAATATAGGTCCTATGAGATTTATGCTTTAAGGAGATTCTATTTTGGTGTATTTCAAGGATCTGTTTCAATATTTAGAGCTCATTTTAATAGTAGTTCTTGTAGTGCTGGCTTTGTAGTGGTGAATTCTCTCAGCATTTGTTTGTCTGGAAAAGACTATATCTTTCTTTCATTTATGAAACTTAGTTTCACTGGATACAAAATTCTTGGCTGATTATTGTTTTGTTTATTGAGGCTAAAAATAGGACCCCAATACTTTCTACCTTGTAGGCTTTCTGCTGAGAAATATTCCGTTAATTTTTTAGGTTTTCCTTTGTAGGTTACCTGATAGTTTCGCCTCACCAGCTCTTAAGAGTCTTTCCTTTGCCTTGATTTTAGATGACTATGTGCCTAGGCAATGACCTTTTTGCAATGAATTTCCCAAGTGTTCTTTGAGCTTCTTATATTTGGATGTCTAGATCTCTAGCAAGGCCAAGAAAGATTTTCTTGATTATTCCCTCAAATATGTTTTCCAAACTTTTAGATTTCTCTTCGTCCTTGGGAACACCAAGTATTCTTAGGTTTGGACATTGAACTAGTCTCAGACTTCTTGGAGGCTTTGTTCATTTTTAAAAATTCTTTTGTCTTTGTCTTTGACTGATTCAGTTAATTCAAAAGCCTTGTCTTTGAGCCCTTAGTTTTTTCTTCTCTTTGTTCAATTCCATTGCTGAGACTCTTCAGTGCTTTTTGCATTTCTCTAAGTGTATCCTTGATTTCCAGAAGTTGCAATTGTTTTTTTTATCTATGCTATCTATTTCACTTAAGAACTTTTCTTTCATATCCTGTATCATGTTTTTGATTTCTTTAAGTTGGACTTCACCTTTCTCTGGTGCCTCCTTGATTAGCTTAATGATCAACTTTTTGTATTCTTTTTGAGGCAATTCAGAGATTTTGTCTTGGTTTGGATCCATTGCTCGTGAGCTGGTATGATCTTCTGGGGGTGTTAAAGAACTTTGTTTTGTCATATTGCCAGAATTGTTTTTCTGGTTCCTTCTCATTTGGGTAGACTCCGACAGAGGGAAGACTTGGGATTCAAAGGTTGCTATTCAGATTCGTTTGTTCCATGGGGTGCTCCCTTGATGTGGTGTTCTCCCACTCTCCCTCGTAATGGGGCTTCCTGAGAGCCAAACTATAGTGATTGTTTTTGCTCTTCTGGGTCTAGCCACTCAGTGGAGCTACAGGGCTCTGGGCTGGTACTAGGGAGTATCTGTAAACAGCCCTGTGATGTGATCTGTCTTCAGGTCTTATAGCCGTGGATACCAGCATCTGCTCTGGTGGAAGTAGCAGGGCAGTGAAGTGGACTCTGTGAGGATCCTTGGTGGCATTTTTGTTTGTTTAGTGCACTGGTTTCATGTTGGTTGGCCTCCAGCCAGGAGGTGGCACTTTGAAGAGCGCATCAGCTGTGGTCCTATATGGAGTAAGCCAACTTGCCCTAGGGTCACCTGGTTAAGTATTCAGGTTTCCCAGGCAGAGGGCAGGGCCATAGAGCTCCCAACAGATTATTACCAATGTCATTGGCTACCAGGGTGGGTAGAGAAAGACCACCAGGTAGGGGCAGGGATAGGTGGGTTTGAGCTCAGCCTCTCCTTGGGCAAGGCTTGCTATGGCTGTTGTGGGGGTGGGGGTGTGGTTCCCAGTCCAGTGGAGTTATGTTCCCAGGGGGGATTATGGCTGTCTCTGCTAAGTCACAGAGGTCACCAGGGAAGTGGGGGAAAGCTGGCAGTCACAGGCTTCACCCCACTCCCACACAGCCTGTAGTCCTAAAGGCCAGTCTCACTCCCACCATGCCCCACAAATAGCACCAAGTCTATTTCCAGGCAGTTGGTGACCAGGACTGAGAATGTGTCCCAGACCACAAGACTTCCCACTGAGAAAGCAAGCAGACTCAGTGTTTTGGCATCTCAGGGAGCACACAGCAGTGATCCAGTTTCTTCAAAGAGTCTGTGTATTCTCTCAGCTTTCCTGGTATGTTCCTGCAATAGTTCTCGAAGCAAAAGTTCATAACGAGAGTCTCCACATGCTGCTCTGTCTCTCCAAGCAGGAGCTGCAAGCTAGTCCTGCCTCCTATCCATCATCTTAATCTCTCTCTCTCTCTGCCCCCCGGCTTTTTTTTTTTTGAGAAGGAGTCTCACACTGTCACTTGGGCTGGAGTGCAGTGGCATGATCTTGGCTCACTGCAACTTCTGCCTCCTGGGTTCAAACAAGTATTTTGCCTCAGCCTCCCAAGTAGCTCGGATTGCAGGTGCCTGCCACCAAGCCCAGGTAATTTTTTGTATTTTTAGTAGAGATGGGGTTTCACCATGTTGGCCAGGCGAGTCTCAAACTCCTGACCTCGTGATCTGCCCATCTCCACTGGAGTATGCTGGAATTACAGGCGTGAGCCTTTAGTTTTATTTTTCTTAAACTTTATATCAAAAAACAACTCTTTGATTGCTTCAAGAATCTATTTCAGAAAATTACAAGCATGAGAGTATTTTTCAATTTGTTCCCACTGGACTTCTTGTGAACAAAGGTTCTCTTTCTTTCTCATTGGGCCCCTAGGACCCAGCCTGTTACCTGGAGTGCTGCAGGGACTGTGTGGACACTAGCACATTGACAATTGACAATTGTCTTGTTCTAACAAAGGTGCTGAGCAGGCTACCAATAAGATGCTTAGTAGAATTTATCTAATATGTAATGAAGTCTAATGTAAAGGTGAGATAGCCAATAGGTGTGATATGGTTTGGCTGTGTCCCCACCCAAATCTTATCTTGAATTCCCACATGTTGTGGGAAGAACCTGGTGGGAAGTAATGAATCATGGGTGCAAGTCTTTTCCATGCAGTTCTCGTGATAGTGAATAAGTCTCATGAGATCTGATGGTTTTAAAAATGGGAGTTTCCCTGCACAAGCTCTCTCTTTGCCTGCTGCCATCCATGTAAGATGTGACTTGTTCCTCCTTGCCTTCCACCATGTTTGTGAGGCCTCCCCAGGCATGTGGAACTGTAAGTCCTTAAACCTCCTTTTCTTTATAATTTACCCAGTCTTGGGTATGTCTATATCAGCAGTATGAAAACTGACCAATACAGTAAATTGTTACGAGGAGTGGGGTGCTGCTGGAAAGATACCCAAAAATGTGGAAGGGACTTTGGAACTGGGTATCAGGCAGAGGTTGGAACAGTTTGTGGGGCTCAGAAGAGGACAGGAAAATGTGGGAAAGTTTGGAACTCCCTAGAGACTTGTTGAATGTCTTTGACCAAAATGCTGATAATGATATAAACAATGAAATCCAGGCTGAGGTGCTTGCAGATGGAAATGAGGAACTTGATGAGAACTGGAGCAAAGGTGACTCTTGTTATGTTTTAGCAAAGAGACTGGTGGCATTTTGCCCCTGCCCTGGAGATTTGTGGAATTTTGAACTTGAGAGAGATGATTAAGCATATCTGGGAGAAGAAATTTCCAGGAAGCAAAGCATTCAAGATGTGACTTGGGTGCTGTTAAAGGTATTCAGTTATAAAAGGGAAACAGAGCATAAAGGTTTGAAAAATTTGCAGCCTGATCATGCAATAGAAAAGAAAATCTCATTTTTCTGAGGACAAATTCAAGCCGGCTGCAGATATTTGCATAAATAACTAGGATCCAAATGTTAATCACCAAGACAATGGGGAAAATGTCTCCAGGGCAAGTTAGAGACCTTTGTGGCAGCCCCTCCCATCACAGGCCTGGAGACCTAAGAGGAAAAACTGGTCTCATGGGCTGGGCCCAGGGTCCCTTTGCTGTGTACAGTCTAGGGACTCTGTGCCTTGTGACCTAACCGTCACTAAAAGGGGCCAACATATAGCTTGAGCTGTTGCCTCAGAGGATGGAAGCTCCAACCTTGGCAGCTTCCATGTGGTGTTGAGCCTGCGGGTGCACAGAAGTCAAGAACTGAGGTTTGGGAACCTCCACCTAGATTTCAGAGGATGTATGGAAATGCCTGGTTGCCAAGGCAGAAGTTTGCCACAGGGGCGGAGCCCTCATGGGATATCTCTGCTATGGCAGTGAGGAAGGGAAATGTGGGGTCAGATGCCCCACACAGAGTCCCTGCTGGGGAACCACCTAGTGGAGCTGTGAGAAGACCACTGTCCTCCAGACCCCACAATGGCAGATCAACTGACAGCTTGCACCATGCACCTTGAAAAAGCTGCAGACACTCAATGCCAGCCTGTGAAAGCAGCTGGGAGAGAGACCATACCCTGCAAAGCCACAGAGGTGGAGCTGCCCAAGACCATGGGAACCCACCTTTTGCATCAGCATGACCTGGATTTGAGACATGGAGTCAAAGGAGATCATTTTGGAGCTTTGAGATTTGACTGCCCCACTGGATTTGGGACTTGCATGGGACCTGTAGCCCCCTTGTTTCAGCCAATTTCTCCTATTTGGAACAGCTGTACTTATGCAATGCCTACACCTCCATTGTGTCTAGGAAGTAACTAACTTGCTTTCAATTTTACAGGCTCATAGGTGGAAGGGGTTTGCCTTGTCTCAGATAAGACTTTGGACTGTGGACTTTTGAGTTAATGCTGAAATGAGTTAAGACTTTGGGGGATTGTTGGGAAGGCAAGATTTGTTTTGAAATATGAGGACATGAGATTTGGGAGGGGTCAGTGGCAGAATGATATGATTTGACTGTGTCCCCAGCCAAATCTCATCTTGAATTCCCATGTGTTGGAGGAACCTGGTGGGAGGTAATTGAATCATGGGGGCAGGTCTTTCCCATGCTGTTCTTGTGATAGTGAATAAGTCTCATGAGATCTGATGGTTTAAAAAATGGAAACTCCCCTGTGCAAGGTCTCTCTTTGCCTGCTGTCATACATGTAAGATGTGACTTGCTCCTCCTTGCCTTCCACCATGATTGTGAGGCCCCCCTAGCCATGTGAAATTGTTGAGTCCTTAGACCTCTTTTTTCTTTACAACTTATCCAGTCTTGGGTATGTCTTTATCAGCAGTGTGAAAACAGACTAATACATGGTGACACCCATACCCACACTCACACCTGCAACACATCTCACATACACCCGCTTTGCTGTTTTGGATTCTACTTTCCAGTCTCAGCAGCTGTGAGCAATGCATAATCGAGCCTGGAGACCACCCATTGCTGCACCAGCTGAGATCTCCAGGAGTTAGTTTCTTTATTCCAGAATGATGAGGTTGGGCTGAATGTTGGCTCAGGTTCTTTCTCTTCCAGAAAAGCCTCTATGGGTCTGTTGATAATTTTCAGAAATTAAATAATTTTATTTTGAATGCAGGTGGGTCATCATAAAATAAAGTGGCCCTGACATATGCCCATGATGATCATTTCTTTTTAGGAAAGTTAACCAAACTCAAGCAAAGAAGACCATTATTAATTTTGTTTTTAAACTAATTCCAATTGTATTGGTTGGAACACTTCATTCTAAGAGTCCTTCCCACAGATGATCAAAGAAAAAGAAGTGTGCCATAATAGCAAATAACAACTTCTGTAAAGACCTCTTTTCCATGGAACCAAGAAACCCTGTTTTTCTTATATGTATAAAGCTTCTTTGTTTGGATGAGAGGAATTGAAGCACTGCCTCAGAGAACCACCCTCTGCTCTGAGCCCCCAGCTCCCTCCTGGTTGGGTGGGCCCTCCAGGTCCCTCTTGGCTTTAACTGCCTGTTCTGCAGAAATCTATGCAGTCATCGGAAAACCTAACCCACATTTCCTTCTACTTCTTAGAAATTCCACAAGCTTGCCATCCTTTGCCTGAAGCTGTACTTCCTTTCCTTGAGCTAAATCTACATTTTACAAATATTAACAAAAGTATCAGGAGGTTCTCACAAGGGCTATCTATTTTCTTATTATACCAAACTGTACAGGAACACATTATCTTCACTCTATGTATGTGTTCAGTGTTTAACCTTTTGAAAGGAGAGATGATCTTGCAATTACTTTTCCTTCCCAATTCTGTCATTAATTTGACAATGTGCCTGTAAATACTGGTGACTTTTAACCAATTAATTCCATCCTACCCAAAATGTTGTTTTTCTGAAGAACAGTGAATGGGTTTCTTTTTCTGGCAGGCCTGATGTGGGCAGAAAGGTGACACTGTGTGCCAAGATCCTTGCCCACTGGTTCATTGTGTGATTCTGAGCAACTGCTCATCATTCATCATCAACAGAAGGGCCCACATGGACGCAGTCCTGTGCTCTCAGTTGTCAGGTGTTTCTTCTTGGCTTCTTTGTGAAATGGTGTCATGGCTTTGTGTTTGCTACTCTGCAGAAATTTGGATCAAGGGAGCACTGCTGGAGAGAATAGAAATGGAGTTACGTGGACTGGAGATCAGATCACAGCTATTTCATTTACCAGCTGTGTGGCCTTGGGGAACTTGCTCACCCTCTCTGAGTCTGGGGAAGGAACAATGATGGCTGCATCCCAGGCACCTGGCTCTTTGTTGACCTTAATACAGGCACTTGCTCCTCCTTTGGTGATTTTCCTTAGTGAGGGCACATAGAATGCACTGCTATTATATTGTCAACAGCAGAGCTTACTCCAAAGCTTCAGTGAGCTGGGATTTATGTGTCTGGAGACCCGACATTGAAGGGAATCTGGGAAGACACTCTGTCATTTTGTCTCCTGGAGCTGATACATTTGAACATTCACAAGTTGATGGAACCAATGATTTAGAAGAGACACCCTCTAGGAGAAGCAATTTTTTCTTCTCCCTAAAAAAGCAGTTACAGGTGAAAGATAGTCATGAGAGGCAGTGGGGATGGATGAAGAGATCCAGAATTCTAGAGGTAAGCCTGGTCAATAGGTGTAAGAACAGCACTCTGCTTGCTTTTAGCATCACTTGGATTTATCCTGCAGGATATAACTATAAAGAGAACCAAAGAAATAGAAGTGATTTGAAAGTAGTGATGGACAGGGAATTGCCAGTCTTCCCCTCTTTAATTTGAAGTTGTGAGGATTGGAATAGAATATGGGCATCTGTGCCAATGAGCCAGGTCAGCAGCTCGTGGAGTGGGGGTGGGTGTTGCAGGGTGCTGCTCACCACATTGACTCCAGGACACTTTGGCGCCCAGGAAGCACACCCGAGGAGTCTAACCTGGCTCATCAAGGAAGAGGATGCCGGGGGGTGGGAAAGGCAGGAGCCCACCTCTCAGGTGTTAGTCCGGTGGACACCTCCAAGCTGGCCATCAGGCTTCTTTTTGGAAGGTTGCTGATGTTAGCTGTTCTGAGATGTCACTCAGCTCTCAGCTCCAGTGATGTGCTTTTTGAACACGTTCAAAGAAAAATTTTAGACAAGTTACATTTCACAGAGTTTAATTAAGCAAAGAATGATTTGTGAACTGGGCAGTCTCTAGAACTGGAGTAGGTTCAGAGCAAGTCCAGGCTGCTGCATGGCCTGAGATCATTTATGGACAGAACCAGGAAAGTGAGTTATGGAAACAGCTGGATTGGCTACAGATGACATTGGCCTCATTTGAACATGGTTTGAATAGTGGGCCGCCTATGACTGGCTGACATCCTGTGATGGGCACAAGAATAGGCTACCATATTTATAGGTCCAGTTAGGTTTCCATTCATGATGTGTGGAGAGACCTTTAGGCTGTACTTAACATATGCAAGGAGGTGGCTTTGGGCTAAAGCTAGCTTAACAAATACAATCGCTGCTCACAGAGGTCTCTGTTGACTAGCTGCAATTGAAGTACAACCCAGGGGTCTCTGCTGACACCAAACACAAAAATTCACATGGAAGTATTTTCTTTATTTGGTGGCAAGTCACATTTTGGTCTTCACCTCTCTGATTTCACATACACCAGCACACAATTAGAATTATCACTCTCTGCATGTGGTGTGATTCTGGGAAGGTATAGGTGGGTGGAGTGGAACAGGTTCTCCCATGACTTCCTGCAGGACCTCCAGTGGGTTAGTCTCTCCATCTCAACTTTCTTTTTTATAATATAGATAAGGTAATAATTCTCAGACCACAGAATAACAAAGGGTGTCTAAGGTGTTTTGTATAACATTAGGGTTACATGAATAATATTTGTATGTTACTGGTACACATCTGTATGTGGTATGTGAATGAGTGTGCACATATGTGTGTGTGAGTATGCTATTTGTGTGTGTGTATGTGAAGGTGCTTTTGAGTGTGCATGTGAGTATGTGAGTGTATGGGTGTGAGGGATTGAGCCTGTGAGGATGTGTGTGAGTGTATATGTGAGTGAGTACAAATGTGAACATGTATGATTGTGCATGAGTGTGTGATGTGTCAGTGAGTGTCTGAGAGTGTGGATGAGCTGTGTGAGAGTTTGTCAGAGTGTGTGTGTCCACTGTGTTGAAATGTAGTGGTGTCCCAAAGCTTATGTGTGCCATGTTTTTTCATGTAGTTGCAAAAAAACCCATCTAATAGATGCATCCCCCAAATCTTAAAAAAAAAAGTGAGTTTTGATTCAAAAATAAACTATCATGAAGGGAGAAAACACATCATATCCCAGGAAACCAGTTGAAATTGATAATCCTAATGTCCTCAAAGCATCACAGCCTCTTCACTGCCTCTGGGGGCTCCTTGCAGACACACCCCCCTCAAGTTGACTTAGAGTGATTTTTGTAGGCTCTTTCTCGAGAGAGAGATGCTCCCCACCAAGCTGCATCCTCCCATCTAGGCGTGTTCCTGCCTTTCTCAGGCAGAATGCAGAGAGTTGCCCCCTTTACCCTCCACACCACGCTCCAGGGCATAGCTTCATAAGACCCCCAAGTTCTTCTCAAGGTCTTGAATTCTTATAAAACACCATCATTCTTCTTGTGGTCCCTAATTTAAACAATAAGAGACTTCAGATGTATTGAAACCACAGATCTTGCTTTACCATATTGGATTATTTTTTAGGTAGAGGTGATCAGAGTCCAAGGAATGACAAATGCCATGAAATTTCCCCTGGCATGTGGGAAACTAGTAACTTGGTTAACCCACCACATTCTTCCCGCAATGCCCTCTGGAGATGAGTCAGTGGATGAAGGAGTCCCCATGCTGATAGTGCAGCTGCCTCGCCACATAACTGAGCAGAGCCAAGGAGACATTTTGTTTCATGTCCTGAAGCCAGGAAGCAGGACCTCAGATCAAAGCCGGAAGAGAGTCCAGCCAAAGGAGACAAAGGTGAAGGACACGTACAGACCCTCTGTCATGCAGACTTGAGAAAGTCCAGAGGCAAAAGACCCTGGGGTATAGGACAAGAGCCCTGCATATACACGAAATGGGTGTTCTTCAACAAACATGTTAAACATGCAGATAGTCTCTGAGGGGAGACATAGCCTTGAGTTAATTGTGAGTTCATAAAGCAGTCTTATGTAATATTTATTTCAAAGTAGGATTATCTCCAATTAGCAGGAAAGCACTGCTGCATCGGTTACATTTAAAATACATTAGGCAAGAATTGTATATAAATCAAGACTTAAACAGGCTTTGGCTTTAGTTTTCAACAGAATGCCTATTCTTGTTTGTTTTTGCTTAACATCATAGACAGCGCTAAATGTGGTTTAATGATCTCAAAGTAATTATTTAATGAGGAAGACCTGCTAGAGTTTGAGTGGGTGGTTTAAGGAACAAATCTAGAGTCCTTTTGTCCTGACACTTTGGCCTGTTTTATAAAAATGATGTGAATTTCTCCCTCGAGCCTGGTGCACTTAATTAATGAAGATGGTTGTAGGGCTAAGCCTTCCCCGAAAAGAAAATAAGTTCAATTACATGTATATAGGAAGGAGCGAGGTGCCACACATCTACTGGGAATTCAAAGACATCCCTCCAGATTAAAAGCAACAAAACCACAACAGGAAAACACTGCAAGCCACATTCGAAGTCTCTGAAATGTCCATCAAGCCTAAAACTTTCCATCACGTTTGAGTATCACTGCAGTAACACCATGCCCATCTCTTTGTTTTCCTAAGCACTCCATTGATTAATCAATAATAAAAAATTGATATACTACATACACTATATATAATATATATAATCGATATATAGTGTATATAATCAGTATATAGTGTATATAGTATATCAATAAAATATAGTATGTAGTATATATAGTATATAGTATATCAATAAAATATAGTATATCTATACGTATAGTGTATATAGCATATATAATGTATATAGTATATCTATACACACACACACTATATATATATATATATATATATATATATATATATATATATATATGCATGCATTTCCCTAAATGTAACTTATTACTTCTGGTTATTAAAGTCAGGATATTTTGCTAAAGCAAATTTGATGAACCAAAATTCAGATGAAACAAACTGCCAAAAGCAGCAGCTCAGATAAAAGTCCCACTAATTACAGAAAGCAAGTTTTCCATTTTTTTCCTGTAAAGCTCAACACCAAGCAGTTTAATATTTAACAGAAGTGCAAGCATCATGCCATGGTCAACATGTAGGGGAATCCCATCTTTTGCACTTGAAACTAGCAGTTGGTTTTAAGTGTTGGAAGTAACAACACACCATTTCAAGATGAGCTTTATTCCTGACACTCTCAAGTTCATCCTGTGTGATTCTAGAGCCAATCACACCCCTTTCCTCTGGGCCAGACGCTAGCACATCCAAAGTGTTTTCAAAGCTAAGTAAAGGGAGGCCTTCTAGAAGACTTGCAGAGAAATACACTCTGCTCTGAATTTCAAGAGTAGGAGCAAGCCTCCCTAAATTAATTTTATCTGTATATTGCAGGGTATGTTTAGGGTGCTTATGTGCAAACAAACTAATTTTACATCCTAATAAGTCTATGAGGGGCAATGATTACCTGGGTCTCCAAGCGTTAGCGTTGATGGACTCTATTTTCTTGCAAATCATGATGTCATTCAGACTTCAAAAAAATAGTTTGTTGTTGCTTGTTAAATTTGAAAAATTTATAGGGACAACCTCAAGTTAATGTGTTTAAGCCCTTTCAATTCCAAACTGGCATAACCACCATCACCATGGTTGTCGGGTTATTGTTTTGTCTTCCCACAGAGCTCAACAAAGGAGCCGGTTGCCCTACTCTCTTGTTTCCTTTAGATGGAACAACAAATTTTGGGGACTCCTTTCTTCACCAAGGCTCCACTCCACATTTATACCCTGTCAGGGTCAGTGGCTGAATTTGTCAGGGTTTAGCAGAGAAACAGAACCAATAGAATCAATCTATCTATATCTATCTGGAAAGAGACTCTAGATGTATGCCATCATCCTTCAGTATCTTCACGGTATTGGTTTCAGAACCCCATGTGAATACCAAAATCCAGGAATGCTCAAGTCCCTGATATAAAATGATGTAGTGTTTTTGTAGAACCTATACACATCCTCTCATATACTTTAAATCATCTCTAGCTTGCTTATGATACCTAATCCAGTGCCTACACATCACTACATCTATGTGCATGCAATGTAGTCCTTGGCATGTGGCAAATTCAAGTTTTGTTTTTGGAACTTTGCGGAATATTTTTTCCTGAATATTTTTTTATCCACAGTTGATTGAGTCAATGGGTTCAGAACTCAGGACAAACTCAACTACACACACACACACACACACACACACACACACACACGCTATTAGTACTGGAAGAAGAATGCAAAAACTCAAAGAAACATTAATGAGCTGAGGTTTACTAAGGAGCTCAGGGTGGACTGAAGATAAGAAAAAAAAAAAAAAAAAAAAGACTCAATAAGAAAGAGAAGACAGACCTCTCATGATTTATTCTGAAAAGACAAAAGCAGCTCCAGACATCTGCAAACTGACCTGGTTCTATCAGCCAGAGCCTGGTGTTGCTAGGAGCTGGAAGTCCCAGAAGTGCCTGAGTATTCTCCAAGGTATTCTGCCTTGGGCATATAAATCTTCCAGAACAACAACACAAGAGAAGGCTGTGGCTATCATAGTGCCAGAAAATAACAAGACCGCTCCGTAGTCATATTGGAACAAACAGCGTGAACATTGCCCAAACCATAAAAATAGCCCATACGTCCCCCAATCCCAGTTAATAGAAATGGTTGCTGTTTCTTTAACAACTATAGCTTAAGCCATGGTTCATTTGTTTTGCCCTATAGATAAGATTTTTAATACACCCAATCATAGAAGTACTCTGACATTCTGAGAGCTTTCAACCCAGAGAAATTCTCAGCTTTCCTGAAACTTCCCCAGATCACCTTAACAAAAAGCTCAAATCCCATAATAATTCCTTTCTAACCCCCTCTTAATGAAACACCCCACAATTTACCATGGTGCATGTTCTTCCTTGTTGTAACAAGTCAATTAACACAATGCTGCTCATTCATAGATGCTTTAGTCCTTTTGGGCTGCTAGAACAAAATACCACACCCTAGGCAGCTTACAAACAACAGAAATTTATTTCTCATAATTCTGGATGCTGGGAGGCCCACGATCAAGGCGCCTGCAGGTTGGGTCTGTGGTGAGAGCCTGTTTTCTTGATAGAGAGCCATCTTCTCACTCTAACCTCACCTGGGGAAAAGGGTGAGGGTCTCTCTGGGGTCTCTTTTATAAGGGCACTAATCTCATTCATGAGAGAGCTGCTCTTTTTCCCTGTTCTCTTACCAGAGGCTACACTTCCTAATATCATTACTTTAGGAGTTGGATTTCAACATATTAATTTTGGGGGGACAGAAACATTTAGACCCTAGCAACAAGTGAGCTCATAGTGAGGTTTAGGTAAGAGACATTCAAGAACCATTTCACTAATACTCACAGAGCATCTATTGCATGCCAGACATTCTGCTTAGAACACCGTCTTGGGCAGGCACAATTCTGACATCATGGTATGCAGTGTACCAGGAAGTATCACAAAAGAGAAGTGGAGGAATAGGAGAGCTGGTCACCATAAGAACCAACCTGGTCTGTGAGACCTTTCCAAGGAAGAGATGTCATTTCCGAGACCTAAATAGAAGTAGGTGATAGCTAGAAAAATAGTATGGGGTAGGGGTTCCCAAATAGGGAGGCTAGCAAGGGCGAAGACCCTTAGATTAAAATGTAGATGACACTTTGAAAGTTGCACCAAAAAACATGTACAGCTGGATGTTGGAGTGTAGGTAGAAAACCCATCCTGCAGGTGCTGGTACAGAGAACCATTGTCCCAGTCAGGCAAATCATCCAACCATTATTGAGTGATTTATAACCCCAAGATCCAATCATTTCTCCAAGGCAGATTTTTCCTAAGATTGACTTCTTGGGATAATCAGTCAACTATGATTGACCCTTGGTAGTTTGTCAACGTTCTGTGAGGTTCTATGGGAGAGCCCAAGAAGAAAGCTGTGGTCCTGTGCATGACAGTTGAGCATCCGTAATTGCTGAGTAGGCAGCAAAACTCATGCAAAAGAGCAAAGAACAGTTCTTTGTTGTGGTTGTTGTTGTTTTTGATATGGAGTCTTGCTCTGTCACCCAGGTTGGCGTACAGCGGCGTGATCTCAGCTCACTGCAACCTCTGCCTCCCAGGTTCAAGTGATTCTCCTGCCTCAGCCTCCCGAGTAGCTGGGATTACAGGCACCTACCACAATGCCTGGTTAATTTTTGTATTTTTAGTAGAGACGGGGTTTCACCATGTTGGCTAGGGTGGTCTCAAACTCCTGACCTCAGGTGATCCACCCGCCTCAACCTCCCAAAGTGCTGGGATTACAGGTGTAAGCCACCACACCCGGCTTAGAACAGAACAATTCTTAACAGTTCATAAAGAGCATGGACAGTTCCCTCAAGCCTCCCTCTCTTTTCCTTATTTTCCTGGTCCTAAATGTGTTTGCTCTCTCTGCTTTGATTGTTCTCTTACCTTTGTGAAAATTATATAAATAATACATTAAAAATGAATAAAGAAAGCATTATTCCCCCATTATCTGATGTGTTATCACCTTCTCAGCATTCATCTTTTAAATGTATATGTACTTAAAAAAAGTCCCACTCAAGTGTCTTCCCATTGCTCCTCCTTCATCTTAAGAACAATAAGCATGTACAGCAATTACTATGTGCCAGGAATTGTTATAAACTCCTTGGATCCTCAAAGCAACCCTAGGAAGTAGGTGCTACTGTGTTCCCTATGTTCCCATGAGGAACTGAGGCAAAGTGAGGTGGAGTAAATTGCCTCCGTTCACACAACTTGGAAGTGGCCCAGCAGGGACTTGCATCTGGGCAGACTGGCCCCAGAGGTCATGCTTTTAACCACTAATAACATCTCTTACTCCATCTCATGTCTTGTGAGCCCACACGGAAAACATAAAAAAGTCCAAGGATGTTTAGGTAATGTTTTGAATGATGGCTCTATAACACTGCCCATATGACTCACACCTAGGGACTCTGGACATGCCCGTCCATCAAGGTGGCCCTCAGAGGGTCCATGACAACCGGTCAAGGTTGATTTGTTACAAACAACACCTTGTTGTTGTTGTTCTTGATGGATGATGTCCCCAATCCCAATCTGTAACAGCAGGGCCAGCACAGAAACGAGACAGCAAATGCTGCTGTGAGAGGATCTTGCCTTCATAAGAGAGGGTTTTTTTCCCACCCTCCACCCAACACTGGGATGGATGCCTTGGAGCTGGTCTGCTAGACCCCATCCCTCAGTGATATTCCCAAACATGTTGAAACCTAACAACCGAACAGGGGGAGCTTTTACTTTGTGTCAAAATGCTCTAGGCACCAACCATTTCTTTGAACCACATGATGGACAAATTGCTTTTGAGCTTCCTTCATGATACTGAGTATATTTCTTCTGAATGTTGAACTCTTAAGCCCATTACTAAGAAGCCAGCTTTCACCCAAGTCACTCCTGTACAATAGAGTTTTAAAAGCACATGGTAAATGATAAAAAGAATAAGAAAACAAATGATTGGAATCATTTACACATTGTATGAAAATATAAATTTAACAAAACCCGTGATTTATTTTAGAGAATAATATTGCAGGTCACCAAATGGAATCATTGATCAATTGGACACCAATCAATTCTAGGTATCTGGCCCCCAGAGTCAATCCCAACTCTAAATTTGCTGTATTGTTAACAAAGAATGTATCTCATTGAGTACAGCAGTACAGGCTACATGCAACCTACAAAATTGTTGTGAGAGTTAAATTAATAACCCTGGGAATGTATACATGCAAGGAGATACACTCAAGTAAACTTGTGGTTGGTTTTACATATTTAAATTTTTTATTTTAGTAGAAATGCCTGTGAAAATGGTCCATGCTGCAATTTAATTTGCATATTTTCTCATCCTAACTACCTCAAGAGTTGACTTTAGAATAGCAGTCTGATAGCAAAACCTTTTATAGAACTCTTTGAGCTGCATGAAAGAAAAAAAACTAAGTAGATTCAAAGGGATGATAATAATAAATCAGTCCACAAAATAGAGGGTTTTATTAATTTTAGTGGTTTCCTTAGGAAATATTGGTTTACTTCTTGAATAATTGAAAGTTTGCCAAATGCATAATATATGTGTGCATGGCAATGGAATCGGAGGCTCATTTGTATAAGCCACTGAGAGTTGGGATCACTCTGTACAGAAATGACAGAGGAGCCTGATGCTACTGAGCGAGCAGATGCTGGGGGTCCCTAAAGCACAATCTTCTTTTCATTTCTCAAGATGGCGAATGAACCATGTTCATAATTTCTGTATGAATTGTGCTCAGCATGACATTAGGTTGGTGCAAAAGTAATTGTGGTTTCTGTAAGTACTTCTAATGGCAAGAACAACAACTACTTTTGCACCAACCTAATAAAACATGAGAATAAAATATATTGGCATAGTCCTCCCTCTTGCCCTGTTTATGAACAGGGTGATGGCAGATGACTAGGCACACTAGATGCTCCTCCTGAAGCATCCTTTCTTTGGGACCCCTGTGCTATTTCTAAGACATGAATTTGATCATATGCCTCCAATGGTTAAAACCCTGCAAGGCTGAAATTCAAACTCCTTTGTAAGTGCTGTGGACTGACTTGTGTCCTCCCAAATTCATATAGGGTCTTTAGGAAGTAATTTAAATGAGGGCATAAGAGTGGGATCCTAGCCTGACAATATTGGTGTCCTTATAAGAAAAGTGAGAGACACCAGCACTCCTGCCCCGTGTGCACACACAAGGAGAGGCCACGTGAGCACACAGCCAGAAGTCAGCCAACCGCCAGCCAGGAAGAGAACCTTCCCCAGAAACTAAATCTGTTTGCTGCTTGACCTTGAACTTCCGGCCCCCAGAATTGTGAGAGAATAAATGCCTTTTGTTGAAGCCCCCCAGCCTGTGGGATTCTGCGAGGCAGGCAGAGCTGACTAAGACAGGAAGGTGCTCAGTCTTCTTCGTGATCTGCCTTCTAATGTGTCTTGAGCCCTCTCTCTCCATGGCCTTGTGGAAGCTTCATCTTAGATACTCCGGGCTCTGTGGGGCTCTGGGAATAGACCAAGCTCTCAGGTCTTTCTTTCCTTCCCATCAGGAATGCTTTGTTCTCTTTTCCTCAGCCTTAGCTGAGCTACCACCTCTTCCAGACACCTGCTCAGGCCCACCGTTCTGGTCAGGTGCCTCTCTGTGGGCCCCTCCTGCACCTGAGCACAGGTATAACAGTGCCCTCACTCCACGATGTAACCGTTGGTCTCTGTTCTGTCACCCTTACTAGACCTTGAGTTTCAGAGCAGTGCAATCTACGCCTTGCGTTTCTGAAACTCCCTTCCTTCACCCAGATCTTGGCACACAGTGGGCAGTCAGCAGTGTGGAGAGTCACGGTTGACCGAATAAGGAAGGGGCTGATGACATAGGAGACATATGGCTTTGTGCTCTACTTACCATTGAAGTCAGAGATTGGGCCCCTTATGGAGAAAGGGGATGGGAGGTGAAGGAGGGGCCGCGCGACTGTCCTCTGTTAGCCTGTGTTTCACTACCTGCTACCAGACTGGAGCTGACTCTCTCAAAGCCCCCTCCTTGCCCCTCCCTTTACCTCACTTTTCTTTTCAATTCCCTGCCCCTTCCCTTCTCCCTTTCTGGGGATAAAAGCCTTGGAGGAAGTTTTGGCCAGGAGTCAGAGGGGAGGTTTAGAAAGACGAATGTGGTAGGGTGTCCATTCCAGACTCGTGGTGCTGAGATGCTGGACGTGCAGTCTGGCCCTGGAAGACCTGCAAGCACTGGCAGTGCTGTGAGGTGAACTGCACCCAGGATGGGAGCCCACCCAAGCCAACGGTCCAAGGGGCCAAATTCAAGACAAACCCATGTGCCAAAGAGACTGGGACGGAGTGAAGCATTCAGAAGAAATGAGGTCCCAGCCACCCCCGGCCTGTGGTCCAGGTACACTGACTGTCATGTCTATGGTTCCAGCCTTGGAGAGGCAAAGTTAATTTATCAGAAAATATTTACTCACATCTCCCATGCACCACCTTCTAGGTGCTTAGCAAACCTCAGTGAATGCATTGACATAGGTCTTGCCTCCTGGGGTGTTACACTCCAGCAGAGGATTCAGAAACATTTCAAAAGATACAATGACATTTTTTTTTAAAATCTATCTTTTAGAAGAAGAAAAGTCCTGTGGGAAAAGACAGAAGTAGAGCAGAATGAAAGGAAAGTCAAGGCCTGGTCCAGAAGGACTCAGTGAGTTCGGGTTGAAGGAGTGAATAAATTAATCCATCGATGCCCTAAGCCTCTTCAAAGTTACTTGACATTAAATTCCCCATCCTCACAGCCTTCTCTGCTTATCTGCCTCTGCCCTTTGTTTCCCAATCTTCAGCACAGAAGGAACTTAGTAAATGTTAGATGAATAGATGGACTTTTGCTGTGGGTCCCGAATGAGGGCTTCCTCCCATCTCAAGTGGACATTGCAGTGGAGACTCAGTTCTGAATTCGGAGTCCCCCAGGGTCTCTCCTCATCAATTCAGAAGCCATCCTACCTCACAGCAGCTTGATCATAAAACACAGCCCAGCCAGCACTGGGCACTTTGACTCACTGTTTTATTAATGGGTTCCTTCTGCAAATATTTATCACCTCCTTTGGGATTTCAGGTAGCTCTAGGCCCTAGTCTGCATTTACTTTGTCCTTGAGAAAGAACAGAAGCTGGGTTTTTCTAGTTGTCCCCTGTGAGAGTGGGGTTCAGATGAATGGTCTGGACAGAAACAAATCATACCATCTCACCCAGGGGACCAACCAACAACCTCCCGAAGAACAGATGAGGGACGTCCTTTGAAAAGTAAGGTCTAGATCAATGTGATTATCTGTGATTCATAGGCCCGCAGAGCCTCACCACCCTCCCTAGGGGCACTGCACATAGTCTTTGCTTGGCTAATGCTTGACGGTTGCTGCCGCAGAGTCAGGTGGATAAGGCGGGGGTTGGTGATGCATGGCCTCCCTTTTGCATTTTGGGACAAGGGACTGTGGCTCAGACGGGGCCCTTGACTTGTGAGAGGCTCACAGCCAGTAGGTGAGAAAGCCAGAATTGGAACCCACCATGCCAGTGGTGGGCACAAACCCCCATAGAAGGTCCTAGCAGGAGACTAGAGGGTAGGCACAGGGAATAGGGCCTCAAGAGATTGCAGGAGAAGGAGGAATATTCCTGAACCCCGGCAGGTCATCAGGAATCCAGAGTCCTGCATACAGAGTGCACACTCAGAGCCTGCTTGTGGGGGCTCAAGGCAGGAGTCCATGTCAGCTGGGAGTGGGGCACTGTTGCTGTGGCTTGGGTGGAGCTGACCTCCTCGTGGCTGAGCCTTTGTCTGGGGAGAAGCTGCTCAGCAGGCAGCTGAGAAGCTGTGTCTCCACTCATGTAGGCGGGAAAGGGGTGCCCCGACAGCTCATCACTAATCTTAAGGCCCACTGGAGGCCTAAATGTAGCTTCTTGGGACAAGATGCTGTCCCATAACTTGATTCTAATGGTGGGACAAAATGGAGCGAAGCTATTATTCTTTTTTTAAAACAGCTATGCCATATGTGAAATATACATAAAATAGATGTGCATCTCTGTGTGTGTATCCAGCACATACTTAGAAAATATGTGAGTTCTGTCTCCTCACATGACGTCCCATTGTGCAACGGGATATAAAGTTAAAACTGCTTGCCTTCTCCTCACCCCCACTCCCCAGGCCCAGAGGAAAACTATCTTAACAGACTTTTCTCGGTGTGTGCAATTTCCATAACCAGGGCTTCTCTTAATACAAATCTGGATATCCACAGGAAGTGCCCGCTAAATAGCAGATGACAATATGCTGGGGGATTCCCAGTAAGTCAGTGACGTGTGTGGGGGGGATTCTGTAGTAGCACAAAGGTTATCACAGAGAGGCACTTAGGCTGGAAATCTGAAATACACGAAACCTGAAATTGTGAAGAGCCTGGCTCAGGGTGGCAGGCAGGTAAGAAGGCAGACGGCCCCTTGCTGCCAGCCTTGAGAGGAGCTGATATTTATAATGAATGTATTATACTTTATGCTCATTATAAATACCAGCTCCCTATGACCTTGAGATGGCAGATGGGGAAACAGGCACCAGGGAGTCTGAGGGCTCATCTAGGGCCCCACACTTGGGCAGAGACAACCCTGGGGCTCAACATGGCTATGTGCACCCACCTCTTCTCATGCCCCAGGGGTCACTGAAGCCCTGTACTCTCTGGGCCAGAGGCCTTGGAATGAGTGGCAGCCCAGAGGTGGGAACTGTATGATCTGAGGTCTGTGAAGGAACAGCCCAAATCCATCACACCTTGGCAAAGCGGGCAGGTGGGGAGCATTCTGGTAGCGATGGCCTCTCTACACCTAATGCAGATGCTCTGTTCCAAGGAGTAGAAAGCAAGACCATGGCACATCTGAATGCACAGCGACACAGAGGAATGTGCTCTTTCTCTCACTGGGACTAGCATTCTGGGCCTGGAAAAGCTAGATTTGACCTCATGAGCAGGGAGGCAAATATAAAGCTGCTTCCCTCCCCTCCCGGTGCCACTGCGCGCTGCTACAGTGCAGGAGCAATAAACAGCACCAGGAGAATGACTGGCAGCTGCTTCCCCACCAATCTTGAAATTACTTCCAACCAAAGAGTGTGAACCGCAGAGATAAAGCTGTTGTGAAACATGAGCCGGCCCGTGGCTGCCTGCCTGCTTAAGCTCTTTGTTTTTTTTGTTTTTGTTTTTGTTTTTTTGAAATGGAGTCTCGCTCTGTCACCAAGGCTGCAGTGCAGTGGCGCCATCTCCACTCACTCCAACGTCCACCTCCCTGGTTCAAGTGATTCTCCATCCTCAGCCACCTGAGTAGCTGGGATTACAGGTGTGCGCTACCACGCCTGGCTAATTTTTGTATTTTTAGTAGAGACGGGGTTTCACCATGTTGGCCAGGCTGGTCTCGAACTCCTGATCTCTGGTGATCTGCCCGTCTCGGCCTCCCAAAGTGCAGGGATTACAGGCATGAGCCACCGCACCTGTCCTTAAGCTCTTTTCAATGTTTAATTCTTCTATTTTCTTTGGGCCATGTGCTTTTACCAGCTAAGTGATCTGCATAGGCTCCTAATGCAGTGCGGCTCTTGGTGAGCAGGAAGAGGCTTAAACTGAATGTCTTCAAAGGGCTGCTGTGATCTCCGCGTGGTGTCCTTGTGGTGGCCAGAGTAATTATCCACTCAGCCCTGACAGTGGGGTGAACCCAAGCTTGGCCTGTTCTGAGTAGACCCTGGGAACAATTATGAGTGGGCGTTACCTTCACATGATACAGTGGTGGGTGGGAAGCATGGTGGGAAGTGAGCCTGAGTTAATTTGCTAACCATATGCATCATGCATATGGTTGAGTCATGACTATTCTTCAGGTTGACCTCGTAAAGTGGCATTTCAGCCACCAGCCGATGGACTCTTACCTTATCTGAGGGTGCAGAACACCCCTCAGCATGTACCCCTCCTGCTCCAGTCTCACACCCCGCCTGCTGATTCTCACAGCCTTCCTCACGCAGGCATTGAGGATTCTCTGTCCCAACTAACCTGCACGCTCTGCAAAACAGGCACCAACCAGGTTTTGTTCATCCACACGGCTCAGGTTATGCATAGATACCAGTGCTCAATAAATGAAGTCTGAGTGAATAATGTCTCAGTCATCCACCATATTTCAGTCCCTCCTTGGCTGCCTCTCTACCCCAGCCACAGAGGCTTCTGCCCACGACATCACCACCCCAGTTAGTGTCTAGAAAGAGTGTCTTATTTAATTCCCTTTATTATTTTGCATTTTACGAAGTATTTCTCATTATTTGCAAAATGATGCAAAGTGAATCTGAGCTCTCCTAAATGGAAAGACTAAGGGAAGAGCTCATCTCATACTTTGTGGACTTGGTGTTTCAATCCACACGAGGACATGATTGCAAACACTGCCCGGAAATCAGGTGGACCTCATGCTCAGGCCGCTTTATTCAGGTTTTCCACGGTGGCACTATTCACATTTAGAGCTGTGTCTATCTTTGTTATTGGGGGAGCCCTGTGCCCCATAGGATGTTCAGTGGCAACCTGGCCTCTACCAGCTTATGCCACTAGCAGCCTCCTCTAGGACAAATGGCAACCAAAAATGTCTCCAGATACTGTTTATCACCCCCTAGTAGGGCAAAATAGTGCCAGGTTGCCAACCAAGACTTCAATGTGGTGGTGGAGAAACACGCCTCTCGCCAAGAGTGCCAGTGTTGATGGGTTCAGCAGACACTTCCGTCAGAGCAAGTCGGCTGCACACCTTCTGGCAATGGGAACTTATGACAAAACATATTAATCTGTGATGATTTGAAAATATTTAATATGTTATTACCATTTGTGGATCAGAGCATCTTGTACTTCCTAAACTTTTTGCAATTATAGCCCAAGCAACTCTTCCAGCCCAACTTGAGTCTGAGATGGTTATCACAAATGTGCCCATTATGTGGATGGAAAAACCAAGCCCTGGAAGGGTTGAGAGGCAGGAGCAAGGCTGAGACAGTATGGCACTGGAACACAGACCTTTTAAGCCCTAAGCTCTATAAAACCATTTGATTTTGTTGCTTCAACATTTCTTTTCTGGGGAGTAATTTGGCTGATTTTACTGGAATCTCCTGCCAGCCATGTGGTTATTACACTCTTGTTGCTTCTATAGACTGTCTACCAGATAGCTAGGTTTAGGGAATCCTGCTCCTGAAATGGGTCCACTGAATCCAGGACGCCTTGCAGGTTCTGGCTGGGTGGCGTGCTTGTTTCTATCACTGAAAAGAAACAATTAGACTCACTCAGGGGACCTGAATCTCAGAATTTCTTTGCTTTTGCAAAGGCATGGCACTATTTTTGGATGGCTGCAGATGCAAACAAGGGCTTTGGCAGGCAGAGGTGGGCCCAGCTGGGGAGACGATGCAATTAACAGAATGTCATTGTGGAGACAGTGTTGGTTACCCTAGCTGCTGCAGGTTTGGGTAGACTCACAGCTAGCAACGGGCCAGGAAGTTTGGGAAACATCATCAGGCTGTTCTGGAAATGCTAATGAGCCCCTGCTCAGCTGTTGCTTTACCTGTCTGTTTGATGAGATGTGTGGGTGGGCATTGCGCTTCCCAGGAAAGAAAGCAATAACCCAGGCTGAAAACCTGGGCACTAATAAAATGCATCCAGAGGAGATGATGATGGCTTTATGTAGGAGTCATGAAGTCTTGGCAACAGCAAAAACAAGAGAAAGTGAGTTGGTAACGGGATGATCAATTTCACACTAAAGTACACAATAAACCCAAATTAAAGTCCGTGTTCAGGAGCCAGCAGAGGCATTGTGCTGACTGTAATTGTGGCTTCCATTAAATCACCCTCTTTTTCTTCCAGCTTCACTGCTAGGACTTCTACCTCCAAGTACAATAATGCCCCACATTGCGTGGAAGGTGCAGTCAGCTGTAGTTCTCAGTACCTTTAATTACCAAAGGTAGGAGGGTCTGCAACAGCATGGGAGAATTTCTCAGAAACTGCTACTAGTATCATCTATTTAACAAACAAGTCAGCTGTCACCTGTTTTTAGGTTTAGCCACTGCCTTCTCACATCTGCATCCCAAATAGACCCTGTGGTGTAACTGAATTTAGATCCTTTCCTCTTGAGCAGTGTATGAGTTTCCCGAGGTTGCCATAACAAATTACCACAAATGTGGTGGCTTAAAACAGCAGAAATTTGTTTTCTGGCAGTTTTGGAAGCTGGAAGTCTGACCTCAAGGTATCAGGAAGGCTGCACTCCCACTGAAGGTTCTAGGGGAGGATTCTTCCTTCTCTCTTCCAGCTTCTGGTGGCTGCAGACGTTGGCTTGTGGCTGCGTGGCTCTGAACTTCCCTTCTCTGTGTGTCTCTTCAAAGAACACCTGCTATTGGTAGCCGGGTGTGGTGGCGTGCGCCTGTACTCTCAGCTACTCGGGAGGCTGAGGCATGAGAATCGCTTGAACCCGAGAGTAAGAAGTTGCAGTCAGCTGAGATCATGCCACTGCACTCCAGCCTGGGGGACATAGCAAAACACCATAAAAACAAAACAAAACAAAACAAAACAAAAACCTGCTATTGGATTTAGGGTCCACCCCGATAATCCAGGATGAGTTCTTCTGAGTTCTTCACCTAGAGATCCTTCACTCCGTTCTTTACTCTGCTGTAGACTGAATGTGTATATCCCCCTAAAATTCATTATTTGAAATCCTAACCCCAAATGTGATGGTATTAGGAGGTGGGGCCCTTGGGGGGCGATTAGTTCATGAGGACAGAGCCCTTGAGAACGGGATTAGTGCTTTTATAAAAGAGGTCTGAGGGAGCTTGGTTGCTCCCTCCACCATATGAAGACAAAACAACAAGTCGGCGTCTGTGAACCTGGAAAGTGGCCCTCACCAGACACCAAACCTGCCAGCAACTTCTTCTTGCATTTCCCAGCCTCCAGATCTGTAAAAAATAATTTTCCATTGTTTATAAATTGCCCAGTTTGTGGTATTTTGTTATAATAGCACAAACGGAGTAAGACATCCATGGATGTGACCCTTTTTCCAAATAAGGTCACATTCAGCGGTTCTAGGGGTTAGGAGGTGGAAATATATTTTGGGGGCCATCGTTCAGCCCACGACAAGCAATGATGCATCTGAAAGGCCTGGTGTGGGAGAAGGGGTCACTACTTACTTGTGCTTCTTTTTGTGCAATGCACTATCATTTCTGGCCTGTGGATCTATAGTCATCAAGCCTGGGAGCGTGTGGCTGGCTACATCACCTCTCATGTCTCTGCTGAAGGGCCTTCATGTTTCAGAGGAGTCTTTCATCATGTTGGGGATCAACTCAAAGCTGTTGTCTGGACAGAGGTGGGTGGAAAGACAGCAGAGGCCCAGCAGGTGTGAAATGACCTATGGGCAGGTGGATTTGCCCACATCTCCTCGGAGCATGGGGTCAGTCTGGGAACACAGATGCCTGCATGTAGAGTGCTGTGTCAGGATCTATGGCCTCCCCTCAGGGTGTTGAATGTCTTTGACACCTGCTAGGGCAGGAGGAAGCACTACAGTCATCAAAGAGAAAGTGGAGGCTCAGCAGATGCTGAATGAGTATGATGCCTGCGGAGTCTGTTATTCCCAGGTTTCCTAAGCCGTGTGCTGCTGAGGCCTGAAGGGAGGCAGGGATATAAAGAATGGACATGAACTGGTCCCCAGATGGAACTCTCTGCTCTGTCTGTCTCTGGGCTTCCTCGTTTAATCAGGAGACAGTTGGGAGAATGCAAGACTTCTGTGAGCCTATGAAAACATAGGCCTCAGTAATGGGGCAGCTAGGGAGTTCCAGGTCCCAGTCTCCTGGTCAGCACCTGTAAGGATCCATGCTTTCCTCCTGGTCTTGTGGATTGACTTCCTATCAGGATTTCTGAGCCTAGAGTCTCTCCTGAGGAATTTCCAAAGCCTACAACTCAACGGCATATCATTAGCTGATCTTAACCTGCTACTACTATGTTGGGCTCAAGTGACTGCTTTCCTTTTACAATCATTGTCTTCTTTGACAGATGAGAAAATTGAGGCACAGAGAGCTCAAGAAGCTTGCTCCCAATCACAGAGCTGATAAGTAGCAGATCCAAGATGCAAATCCAGGTGATCTGCCCCCAAGGCTCACACTCCCAGCTACTGCACACAGAACCTCAGAAGCCCATGCTTCTGGCACAGCTGTGCTGCAATGAGTTTGTGTGAGTAAGAGTTCTGAGAATTTCTTTATTTCTTTCAAATTCTCCATGCTTTTTTGAGCGGTAGATGGTATTTTATATAATGAATACACAGTAAATGTTGAATCAAAATTAATTAATTATAGCATGAATGAGGCTAATTATGTAATTTATCATAGTCATAGATTTTCTATATTTCAAATAAAGATGATAGAATTTGCTGCCTTATAGCTTTAAATATAAGATGAGAAACGTAAATCCCAGCTCACGTGCAATGGGCTTGCTGGAGAACCCAAGGGGGAGAGAATGAGGCTGCCATTTGTAACTGTCATTGAGCACATTCAGCTGAATTCCAGGGACAAGTGTGATTCTATTTTGGGGTCCAGGAAGAGGCTATTTTGAACCTTCAGATCTGGGTTGCCTTCTCCCTTCTCACTGCAGCATCAGCTCTCAAGATAATCGTGGCATCAGACACATGGAGATGTTAACCCTACCGCAAGAATCCAACTCATTAGTGAGGCCACCAATTCCACTGAAAACCCTGGATGCCCTTTTCCAGGAAGCATCTGCCTGCCCTCTCATGAAATAACTCTCTCCTCCCTCTTTCCTTCCCTCCCTCACCATCCCGACCCACACCCGATTTCCCAGATAGACTTCTTTCAAAGAACTTTCTGTGTCATTCTGTTCATAATGTAAAGAAAAATAAATTAAAATAGGACTACTTCTTTTGTCCCAGAGATTAGTCTATAAAGATTGGCCTTTGTAACATGAAGAAAGGACAGAGCTCATGAAAAGTTCAAAAGAGGTGATTCCCATATGAGCTAAAATTTTTAAAAGTCATGCAGTGGGGAGGGCCATATGATGGGAAAGTTCATGGGGTGGGAGGTCCAGGGAGTGGGAGATCCATGTGGTGGGAGGTCCAGGGAGTGGGAGGTCCATGGGGTGGGGAGGTCCATGGGGTGGGAAGGTCCATGGGGTGGGGAAGGTCCATGGGGTGGGAAGGTCCATGGGGTGGGGAAGGTCCATGGGGTGGGAAGGTCCATGGGGTGGGGAAGGTCCATGGGGTGGGAAGGTCCATGGGGTGGGGAAGGTCCATGGGGTGGGAAGGTCCATGGGGTGGGGAAGGTCCATGGGGTGGGAAGGTCCGTGCAGTGGGGAGGTCCATGGAGAAGGAAGGTCCATGGGTTGGGGAGGTCCATGCGGTGGGGAGGTCCATGGAGTGGGAAGGTCCATGGGGTGGGGAGGTCCATGGGATGGGGAGGTCCATGGAGTGGGAAGGTCTATGGGGTGGGAGGTTCCTGGGGTGGGAGGTTTATAGAGTCAGGATGCCCATGGAGAGGGAGGTCTATGAGTGGGGAGGTCCATGGAGAGGGAGATCCATGGGTGGGAAGGGTCCATGGAGTTGGAAGTTCCCTGGGGTGGAAGGACCCTGGGGTGTGAGGTCCATGTGGTGGGAGGTCCATGGAGTGGGAGATCCATGGGGTGGGAGGTCCATGTGGTGAGAAGTCCATGGGGAGGCCCATGGAGCTAGAAGATCCCTAAGGTGGGGAGGTCCATGTGGTGGGAGGTCCATGTAATGGGAACGTCCATGGGGTGGGAAGGTCCATGAAGTGGGGAGATTCTTGTAGTGGGAAGGTCCATGGGGTGGGAGGTCCATGGGGTGGGAGGTCCATGGGGTGGGGAGGTCCATGGATTTGGAGGTCTATGTGGTGGGAGGTCCATGGGGTGGGAAGGTCCATGGGGTGGGGAAGGTCCATGGGGTGGGGAATGTCCATGGGATGGGAAGGTCCGTGCAGCGGGGAGGTCCATGGAATAGGAAGGTCCATGGGTTAGGGAGGTCCATGCGGTGGGGAGGTCCATGGAGTGGGAAGGTCCATGGGGTGGGGAGGTCCATGGGATGGGGAGGTCCATGGAGTGGGAAGGTCTATGGGGTGGGAGGTTCCTGGGATGGGAGGTTTATAGGGTCAGGAGGCCCATGGAGAGGGAGGGCTATGAGTGGGGAGGTCCATGGAGAGGGAGATCCATGGGTGAGAAGGGTCCATGGAGTTGGAAGTTCCCTGGGGTGGAAGGACCCTGGGGTGTGAGGTCCATTTGGTGGGAGGTCCATGGAGTGGGAGATCCATGGGGTGGGAGGTCCATGTGGTGAGAAGTCCATGGGGAGGCCCATGGAGCTAGAAGATCCCTAAGGTGGGGAGGTCCATGTGGTGGGAGGTCCATGTAATGGGAACGTCCATGGGGTGGGAAGGTCCATGAAGTGGGGAGATTCATGTAGTGGGAAGGTCCATGGGGTGGGAGGTCCATGGGGTGGGAGGTCCATGCGGTGTAGAGGTAGATGGGTGGGGAGGTCCCTGCAGTGGGAGATTAATGTGATAAGGGAGGTTCATGGGATGGGGAAATCCCTGGGGCAAGTGGGAGGTCCATGGAATAGGGAGGTTCCGGGGAAGTCCATGGGGTGAGAAGGAGGTCCCCGGGGTGAGTGGGAGGCCCTGGGGTGTGGAGGTCCCCGGGGTGGGAGGCCCACAAGATGGGGTGATCCTTTACTGATAGCCTCTCTGGTCCTTGGTGTTTCCTGAAGCTCCAGGCAAGGAGCCGAAAAGTGGGGCAGGGTATCTCAGCACATGGAAGGGGAAGGGCTGCCCTGTGCTCTGCTGTCGTTAGCCTTCCTCTCCAGCATGTCTCGTCACCGGGGAGCGTATTGATTGACAGAGAAGATGATTGAGAAAAACAGGAACCATCTTTCTTTCTCAACTTCCACTCAAATATATTTATTGAGATTTGTGATACATTAAAAAGAAAAATAATATTTAAAATTAAAATTTCACTGGTCGCATAGTATATAATTTGTCTTTTGGAAATCTCAAAAAAGACACCTTTAGCCAAAAAACCCAAACAACCTGGGATAATTATTGTTGACCATCCAGGGTTTATCTTTCAATCCCTTATCAATGTGATTGAAAAATAGGTCAAATTGCAATTGTCTTTTTTTTTGTCTTTTCTCAGCTCAGTGGAAGTTTATATAATAAAATCTCTAGTGGTGAGTGTACCATTTGATGAGTTTGACAAAAATATATAGTCATTTAACCATCAGCACAATCATGATATAAAACATTATATTCAGCCCCAAAAGTTTTTCTGTACCACTTAGCTGTCAATCCCTTTCCCAAGCCTCCAACACCTGACAAACGCTGATCCATTTTCTATCACCATAGTTTTGCCTTTTCCAGATTGCCTTGTAAGCATAACAGTATGTAGCCTTTTGTATCTGGCTGGTTTCACTTAGCATAATGCTTTGAAGATTCATCCATATTGCAGCGTATAGCAGTAACTTACTATTTTTTATTATTGAGTAGTATCTCATTGTATGGAGTTCTATAATATGCTTATCCACTTTCTGGTTGATGGACACTTGGGTTCTTTTCAGATGCTGGCTATAATGAATGATGCTGCTAAGAATAAACAAACAAATCTTTACATGGACATATGTATTTATTTCTCTTGGGTAACTACCTGGGAGTGGAATTGCTAATGTCTTATGGTAAGTGTGCATTTAACTTGGTGGGATACTGCCAATCTGTTTCCTAAAATGGCAGTGCCATTTCCCAACCTGTCAGCAATGTAGGAGAATTTTGGTTGCTCCAAATTGTTGACATCACTTGATATTGTCAGTCTTTGTAATTTTAGTCACTCTGTGGTTTAATTTACATTTTGCTAACGACCAAAAATGACAAGCGTCTTTTCATGTATGTATTTGCTATATGCATATACTCTTTGGTGAAGTGTTTGTCCAAATATTTTGGCTAATTTAAAAAACTGAGGTATTGGGCAGGCCTGGTAGCTTATGCCTGTAATTCTAGCACTTTTGGAGGCCGAGGCAGGCAGATCATGAGGTCAGGAGCTTGAGACCAGCCTGACCAGCATGGTGAAACCCTGTCTCTACTAAAAATACAAAAAATTAGCCAGGTGTGGTGGCAGGTACCTGTAATCCCAGTTACTCGGGAGACTGAGGCAGGAGAATCACTTGAATCCAGGAGGTGGAGGTTGCAGTGAGCTGAGACTGCACCACTGCACTCCAGCCTGGGCAACATAGCAAGTCTCCATCTCAAAACAAAAACAAAAACAAAAATAAACAACAAAAAAAAACCCTGAGGTTCTTCCTAATTATTGAATTAAAAATGTGTGTGTTACATTCTGAATAGAAATACTTTACTGAATATATGTTACTCAAATATTTTATCTCATATAATATTGTGGTTTGCCTTTTCATTTTCTTAATGGTGTCTGCTATAGTCTAAATGTGTTCCCCAAAAACCATGTGTTGGGAACTTAATCCCCAATGCAGTAGTATTGGGAGATGGGGACTTTTGGCAGGTGTTTTGGTCATGAGGGCTTGGCCTTCAGGAACAGATCAATGCCACTATAAGAAAGGCCTTCAGGAGGGGATTGGTTCTCACTTGCTCTTTTGCCTTCTGCCACATGAGGATGCAGCAAGAAGGCCCTCACTAGACACCACACCTGGATCTTAGGCTTCCCAGCCTCCAGAATGTGAGAAATAAATTTCTGTTTTTTATAATTTATCCATTGAATTAGGCTGTTCTTGCATTGCTATAAAGAAATAACTGAGACTGGCTAATTTATAAAGAAAAGAGATTTAATTGGCTCATGGTTCTGCAGGCTGTACAGGAAGCATGGTGTGCTCAGCTTCTGGGGAGGCCTCAGGAAGCTCACAATCATGGTGGGAAGCATAGGAAGAGCAGGCATGTCACATGGCCACAGCAGGAGCAAGAGAAAGATGGGAGAGGTGCCACACTTTTAAACAACGAGATCTTGTGAGGACACACTTACTATTGCAAGGACAGCACTAAGAGCATGATGCTAACCTATTCATGGGAAATCTGCCCCATGATCCATCACCTCCCACAAGGCCCCACTGCCAACACTGGGGATTACAGTTTGACATGAGATTTGGGTGAGGACCCAGATCCAAACCCTGTCACCTGTTCTCAGGTATTCTGTTATGGTAACACAAATCAGAAGAAGATAGTGGCTTTTGGAGCACGAAAGTTTTAAATTATGGTGATGTTTAATGTAGTTTGTGCTTCCTATGCCTTATTTTTAAAATCCTTGCTTTTCCTGAGGTTGCAAAGTTTTTCTCTATGTTTTCTTCTACAAGTTTTATAGTTGTGGCTATTATTGTTAAACCTATTATCCTTTTTGAGTTAGTTTTTTAAATGGTATTGGTTTAGGTCCAGGTTTATTTATTTTTAGTATAGATGTCCAAGTGTTCTCTCACCATTTGTTGAAAAATGTATCCACTTCCCATATGGAATTACCTTGGCATCTTGTTGAAAATAAATTTCACATATATGCATGTCCTGTTTCTGGACTTTTTCTTTGGTTCCATTGTTCTATATGTTTAAATGTATGCGAATGCTGTCCAGCTACTATAAATTTATAGTCAGTCTTTTAAGTAGTGTGGACTATCGAATTTTGTTCTTTTTCAACATTGTTTGGCTTTTCTACGTTATTTGTATTTTCATGTAAATTTTTGAATTAGCTTATCAACTCTACGAATAATCCTGCTGGGTTTTGATTGGAGTTATATTAAATCTATAGATCATCTTATGTATAATTGCCTACTTACTATGTTGAGTCTTCTGATTTGTGGACATGGTGTATGTCTCCATTTATTGGGGTTCTACTTACTTCTGTCAGCTAATATTTTGTATTTTTTAGTGTATAGATCTTGAACTTTTTTGACAAATTTTTCTTTATATATTTCATATTTTGATGCATTTGTAAATGGTATTATATTATTTTATTAATTATATCTATGTTTCATTATTAATACACAAAATTCAATTAATTTTTATATTACAGTATCCTACAGCCTTGTTTGGAAGATTCATTAATATTTTCCAAATAAAAGACCATTTTTTTTTCATTTTATGTTACTAGTATTTCTTTTTTTTAAATTGTTTTTATTATACTTTAAGTTTTAGGGTACATGTGCACAACGTGCAGGTTTGTTACATATGTATACATGTGCCATGTTGGTGTGCTGCACCCATTAACTGGTCATTTAGCATTAGGTATATCTCCTAATGCTATCCCTCCCCCCTCCCCTGTTGGGTGATGTCTGTTTGTTTTTTGTCTTTTCTTTTAATAAAAAAATGAAAAATCTTTGCTTTAAAATGCAGAACTTCAGTGTTCCCAAGAAGAAGAGAATGAGTTATTTTTCCCCTATGGACATAGAAGGAATGGCAGGAATTAGCATTTTAAGAAGTCTCAATACCTGATCATTCAGATCAAAGCACAGTGTCTTGCAAAGGTGCCTCTTTCCTTGCTTCATTCATTCTACACCCAGTTGGCATGATCGGAATAGAACAGGGAGACGGAAGAGAGCAGTAACAGATGGGAGGAGAAGAGCAACAATAGAAAGAAACCCTGTTCTGCCTTCATTCTGATTCTCTAAAGAAGGAAATCTTGGGTGCTTTCCAAGCTGCTTTCCAGGGCACTGCATGTGTCCCAGGCAGCCAAGTCCTGCTCCCACCCCTTGGATTTGAAGCCCCACACTTGTCAGGGAGGTTCTACAAAGTAGCCACAGACGAAAGGTGATATGGCCTGCAGCCAGCTTCCTGCAGGGAGGAAACCCTATCAGCTTAAAGGGGGCAAAGACTGTGTAATCCCAAATAATGGACTGAATATTCACATGTCAAGGGAGAAGGGATTTAGAGAAAGGAATTAGGAAGTCAAAATTTGTCAAATTTTAACTGAGCACTGAGCTGGAGAAAGAAAGGCTACTTGTGGCATTGACGGGTGCCTCAGTCGCTGGAACCGTGCACTGCTCCTGTGTTGAGGAAACCTCACCCCATCCCACTCCCTCCTCCCCACTCCCCAACCAGAGCGATCTCCCAAAGTGTGGACCCAGAGTACAAGGGCGTAGGAAGGGAAGAATGTATGGGAACTTCTGTTGACATCCCTCTTTTACTTTTCATGTTAGCGTTTCTTTTATAACATCTGTAGCACATTAATATAACAGTGTAGACACAAACGCAACACACACACATATTACTGTACACGGTCAAGTTATGTTGTATTGATGTGGAATGTCATGAAAAAGTGTGTAAACATGTGGTCTTGAGAAAGCGTTCAATTCTATGCTTAGATCTGGTTTCTGAGCCTGTGTTTACCAGCATATTTGGGATTTTACATGTGCTGTGATACTGAAAAGAAAGCCTGTCCATTGTTCAATTCCCACCTGTGAGTGAGAACATGCGGTGTTTGGTTTTTTGTCCTTGCGATAGTTTGCTGAGAATGATGGTTTCCAGCTTCATCCATGTCCCTACAAAGGACATGAACTCATCATTTTTTATGGCTGCATAGTATTCCATGGTGTATATGTGCCACAGGAAGGGGAACATCACACACTGGGGCCTGTTGTGGGGTGGGGGGAGTGGGGAGGGATAGCATTAGGAGATATACCTAATGTTAAATGACAAGTTAATGGGTGCAGCACACCAACATGGCACATGTATACATATGTAACAAACCTGCACGTTGTGCACATGTACCCTAAAACTTAAGGTATAATAATAAAAAAAATAAAGGGTGGGGGAGAAAGAAAAAGAAGAAATTCTGTCCAAAGCTGATGACCATACTTTGGGCTGTGGTGGTCTTGCCAAGGAGACCTGTCCCTGAGAGAGGCCCGGCATGACAGTACCAGCCAGCCCCTCTCACCTGCACAACACTTGCTTTTGTAGAGACTTTATTTTACCTTTACCTTCAGGTGTTTCTCTGAACTTTTCCCAAGCAGAAGAGCGTCTGCATGGTGCTACCCTGGGCCATCCCAGGGAGATTTCCTCTAGAGAATCCAGAATAAAATGTTTCCTCAGGTACAAGCCAACCCCTGTTGCCGTTCTGACCACCTATTGATGTGTAACAAACCTCTGCAAAACATTAAGCAACAATATTATTATCTCTTGTGGTTCCCTGTGTTGAGGGACTCAGCTGGTGGTTCTTCTGCTCACTCTAGATCCTACAGGCATTTGCACTTTGGTAGCAGCTGGAGCTGGAGTCATTGGAAGACTCATTTGAGATACTGGTGTCACCCCAAAGAGGTCCCCAATACAGACCGCAAAAGATGGGTCTTGGATCTTTTGCAAGAAATAATTCGAGGCGAGACCATAGAGTAAAGTGAAAGCACGTTTGTTAAGAAAGTAAAGGAATAAAAGAATAGCTACTCCATAGGCAGAGCAGCAGCAGGGGCCACAGGTTGGCCATTTTTATGGTTATTTCTTGATTATGTGCTAAACAAGGGGTGGATTATTCATGAGTTTTCTGGGAAAAGGGTGGGCAATTCCTGGAACTGAGGGTTCCTCCCCTTTTTAGACCATACATGGTAACTTCCTGATGTTGCCATGGCATCTGTAAACTGTTGTAGCACTGGTGGGAGTGTCTGTTAGCATGCTAATGCATTATAATTAGCATGCAATGAGCTGAGGTCACTCTCATGGCCATCTTGGTTTTTGTGGATTTTGGCCAGCTTCTTTACTGCAACCTGTTTTATCAGCAAGATCTTTATGACCTGTATCTTGTGCAGACCTCCTATCTCATCCTGTGAATTAGAATGCCTTAACCTCTTGGGAATGCCACCTAGTAGGTCTCAGCCTCTTTTTACCCAGCCCCCAGTCAAGATGGAGTTGCTCTGGTTCAAATGCCTCTGACAGTGGGACAGTGGGCCTCTTTAGCTCTCCATGTAGCTCCAGGGACTCTCCTTATAACTCCAGGGTCTCTCCATGTAGCTACAGGGTCTTCTTAGGGGTCCCCAGCGTCTGGGTCTCTCCCCACAGCCTCTCCAGCAGAGTAGCTGCACTTCCAATAAAACAGCTCAGGGCTCCCAAGATTATAAAAACAGAAGCTTCCAGGCCATCTCAAGGTTTAGACACTGGTACAGTGTCACTTCCAAAACATTATTATTCATGAAGAGAATCATAGGCTGGCCTAGAGTCACAGTGTAGTCCTCCGACTACCCGAGAGTGAATGTTGGAAAATGGTTTATCCAAGGCCGTTACAACCTGTTACCATTTGGATTTAGGGAAAATGATGAAGAATCAAACTTTTATAGAAGACCAGGGTATATTTTGTTTGGAAATAAAATGATAGGTACATTTGAGCTGTATGTAACCATCTGTCATGGGAACTGAGATACAGCTTGTTTTTTTTGTAACTAAATACTGCATATTTATGATCAAAGCACAAAATAAATTAGGAGAATTGAGGATGTCCTGAGATATCCACTGTCGTTTCTAGAAACTTTTGGTTTTTAGGTCACAAATAGTAGAAGACAAATAATTCTTGTTAGGATCCTCTGTGACAGGGATAATCTTTTTCTCCCACGGATTTTAGAGGCTTTGAAATGGGCCCAGAGTGATTCAGCATTGTTTTTGTTGTTGTTAAGGATCTCTCCCATTTTTGGTTTATATCTGATTGTCATGTAATGGCTTTCAAGTCTGTCTGTGGGTTGTAGATAAGACTGAGATAGATAACCACCAAATTCAGTTTTATTTGCTTCACTGAGCAGAAATGGAAATCTACATAGTCTTCTTCTTAGGGACTGGATCAATTGAGACAGTGACTGGATCTATTGGAGAAGAAGCCTCAACTGTGCCCTTCTGCTCTCTACCTAAAGCGTACATGACCTTTGCACACTTTCATCAGCACTATCAATATGCACAATGTGCTATTTCACGCACAAAGAGGGTCAAGACTGCCTGTTTAAGGAATAATTGGCCTATCATATTTCTTTTAAGTTACTACTGAAATGCTAGCTGGAACTAGAAAACTAACAGCAGTGGATATGACCTTCAGAAGTTTCCACTGGAATGAAGATCTGAAAAAATTGTCTCAGTGTATTCCATTTATTTATCCACTTTTTGCACTTAGTAGATATTTACTGTGCACCTAGTAGGGCTCGTTCAGATACAGTGTTAGGCACAGAAGCAGAAAAGCTTTCAGAAAGGAAGTGGGTGTTGGACTGGGCCTTGGAGGGAGCACAGCTGGGCATGGAGTAGAATTAACTATAGAGGGGGCAATAGGGGCCCACAGGACCTGGCATAATTAGCACCTGCTCTGGAGCAGGAGTCAGCGGGATTGGTCTAGGAGGGGTCAGGTAGTAAATAACTTAGGCTTTGAGGGCTGTCAGGCCTTTGAGCCCAAGCTAAGCCATCATATCCCCTGTGACCGCACGTATACATCCAGATGGCCTGAAGCAGCTGAAGAATCACAAAAGAAGTGAAAATAGTCAGTTTCTGCCTTAACTGATGACATTCCACCATTGTGATTTGTTCCTGCCCCAACCTAACTGATCAATTAACCTTATGACATTCCTTCTAGACAATGAGTCTCAGAACCTCTCCGCCAAGCACCTTGTGATCCCTGCCCCTGCCCACAAGAGAAAAACCCCCTTTAACTGTAATTTTTCACTACCCACCCAAATCCTATAAAACTGCCCCACCCCTATCCCCCTTTGCTGACTCCTTTTTCGGACTCAGTCTGCCTGCACCCAGGTGATTAAAAAGCTTTATTGCTCACACAAGCCTGTTTGGTGGTCTCTTCACATGGACAAGCGTGACAGGGGCCACATGGCCTCTGTTGCAATGACTCATCTCTGCTGTGAGCCTGAAAGTAGCCATAGACAATATGCAAATGAATACTCTTCTTATTTTACATTAACACTTCACTTAATTAACATAGGTGGCGGGCCAGTTTGGGCCCATGGATCACAGTTTGTGGAGTCCTGTTCTACAGAAGTTCTCAAGCCTTGTATCCCTACGAATCTCCTGGGAGGCTTATTAAAACAGATTTCTGGATCCCACCCCCAGCGCTTCTGATTCCGTTGGTCTGAATCATAATAGGGCCTGGGAATGTGCGTTTGGATTCCCAGTGTCAAGGTAGCTGAGGACTCCCAGCTTGCTCCATTAGCATTCACCTTTCTTGGTGACTTAGTGCTTAGGCTTTCCCCAAAGTCAGTCCTCTGAGCCATGACAGGTGTTGAGTGGCAGGTGCAGCTGTGTTATCAGTGCACGTGTGTAACTACCCGAGCTAGTTCCCAGTTTTGACTGCCTGTACCCTGTCCCTTCCTCCTTTCTCTGTACAGCTACAGCCTCTTCTCACTGATCTTCCTGCCCAGATGGATCCAAATGCCCTTGACTGGTCTCTAACATGCTGGGTGGGTGAAGGAACAATGTTCCCTCCCCTCTGGGTTCTGGATTTATTGAGAAATGGTCATAAGAGACAGAAAGGGATCAGACACATCATTCTTAAGATAAAAATCATTGCAAACACTTATACAAATACTTATGAGGGCCAGGCATTCTTCTCAGATTTTTACCAACTCATTTACACACCATGGCAAGTCCATGAATTAGTGAGGGTTATTGTCACCATTTTACTGATGCGGGCACCAAGGCATGGAGAGGCGAGTCACTCCGTGTAGTAGGTACAGCTACGGTTCCCATTTTGCCAATGTGCATGCTCAGGTACAGAGGCGTGAGTGACTTGCCCAAGGCCACAAAGGTAGAGCTGGGGGACCTGTCTTGCAGAACTACTGCTGGATCTCAAGGTCAAAGTTTGCTCCCTTGACCTCTTCTCTCAACTACTCTGGTCAGAGGAGACAGGTCTCAGAGGCTCAAACAGGGAATGCCCTGAGGTTGCTAAATAAAGGAGAGAAGAATGCTGCTTCTTTTAGGCATACATCCAAGACTCTGTGACCACACAGTGGAGCTATGCATTGTGGTGACTTTATTCCCCATCTGGACAGGTGACTTTCTTTTGTTGGAGTTTTGTTGTTTTTCTTATAAGCACTAGCATCCCATATTCAGGCAGCATATACTTTTGCATAGTTTTCATGGAATATTTCCATGGGCATCAAGTCATAAAGTTGAGTATGGTTTTAACATCAAACACTTTATATCTGGTGTTGAGAAACAGATCAAGGCAAATAGTGTAAGGAGGTTTTCATCATCATGCTGTGAGGTTGTAAGTTGACCCACGGAATCGCTGACTCCATGTGGAAACTGGCCACCTTTGGAATTCTGCTGCATATTTAAGAGTCACGCTTGTGATTTAAAATTTACTCACTTTCACTCTTTTGTAACATGATTCAAAAAATCATGAGATAAAAAACATCTGGCATTTTAATAGTGCTGTCTGATTCGTGAGACATATTTATTATGGATCTTTCTTGTATAGTCATTGCTTCTACGGATTTCACAAATAAAGGTGGTGGTTCTCTTGATGTGAAACTCCTGTGGTGTTGAAGGCTTACAGAGGCAACCACACTGAGCCTCCTCTGGAGCCAGGATCCCCTGCAAGGAGGTGCCTTTCCCAGCTACTCTGATCTGGGTGCCTTCCTCGTATGCGTGTCCCGGTGGTGCTGGGAGTCCTCCAATGCCTGCTGCTCTGGCCCCTCAGGATCTCGTCTTGGAGGAGGTGGATGGAACTCACTTGAAGGGAATCCCACAGCCCCCTGAGCATCCCCATTGCAGAGCACCATTTCCCACTGGCCTTTTTCAGTTCCCTTTTGGGTCTAAAAAGGGCTATGCTTTCTTCTCTTCATAGAGAGTTCACTTTGGACTACATCTCCATTAATTCCTGAATTGTGTCTCAGCTGGATTGTTATTCTCCTTTAGCTCCTTGTGCTCCGTCATCACTGTCCTGCCAGTATTCTTTTAGTGATCGTGTGATTTGATGCCACAGTTTGGTTTTTCTTTTAAGTTATGTTCAATTTATTAGAGAGGCCCTGTATAAGAACCCCATCTCTGCTGACTCATTTATTGAGATGGAGAAGCTGACTATTGGCATGACTAGGAAAGTGTGTGCCATATGCGCAAGTTCATATGTGTGCCACTGGGCTCGGTGGGAGAGAAAACAAGGGAGACAAGAGTAGAATGCACGAAGGACTTTCTAAAAGAAGAGAGATATAATTTCTTAATAAATGGAGTCTAGAGCTTCAGCCTTAAACATAGTAAATCATATTTAAATGTTATTTATGTAAGCAATGATAAATAAAGTAACACAATACATCAAAAATCATGTGATCCTAACAGAAAAAAAGCATTTGGTGCTCTCAGTGGGAGGAAAGGTCCAACATAACTTTGACCTGCAAAGTTTAATAAGATTTGTGCATGCAATTTCCATCACCTACTAGAAAATCATGAGAATAAGATTTTGGTTGTTGTTTCATTTTGTTTATTTTTATTCAGTTGCTTTGTTTGAAGTGTGACATGAAAATGTTAAGTGGTTTGAGTGCTGCATCTTACCAGGGGCTTAGCTACAGCAAGGTCAAACCAAAGTAGGTTTGTCCATAAGAATAAGAAAGGAGCTTGGTGGCCCACAGAACATTGGTGTACAGAGGTGTGGCATTATAGGCCACAGACGGGGGCAACCGAGAGCATTGGAGACTGGATGCAGTGTGTGGTTCTAAAAGACATCAGGGTCAAGTAAGGGGGGCATATGGATCAAGCTCTGCAGAGAAATAAAACCAACAGAAGATAAATATATACAGACACACACACACATGTTACTGGTGGAGGGTGTCCAGATTCTTGGCACCTTGAACAAAGAATTGAACAAAATGCACAAAAAAGCAAGGAAAGCATGAAGCAACAAAAGCATGCATTTATTGAAAATGAAAGTACAGGAGTAACCCAAGCAAGAGCCTCAAGTAACCGGTTACAGAATTTTCTGGGGTTTAAATACCCTCCAGAGGTTCCCCATTGGTTATTTGGTGTATACCCTATGTAAATGAAGTAGTGACCTGCATCAGTCTGATTGGTTGCAGAAAGAGACCAATCAAAGGCTGAAGTGAAGTTACAAAGTATACCCTATGTAAATGAAGACTTGGCCCACAACCAGCCTGATTGGTTGCAGGAGGGGACCAATCAGAGGTAGTTTCAGTGTTTCATCTGCCACTCAGAAAAGCAGGGAGTTGCAAAGAGAGTAGCCTCTGTTCTTTTTGCTACTTGGGCCTGGAAAATTGGCGTTATCTTTTGATTAGTTCTAGGAAGTCAGTGTGAATCGGCCTTAGGTTCCCTGCCTCAGGACCCTATTCTCCTGCCTCATATATATGTATGTCTATTTATGAAGAGATCGATAAGGTACTGGCTCAGGGAATTATGAAGGTGAGCAGCCTCCTAATCCACCATCTGCAGCTGGAGACCCAGAAAGGCCAGTGGGGTAGTTCAAAGGCCTGAGCCAACGGTGTAGATTTCCAGAGTGGGTCTGAAGGCCTGAGAACCAGAAACCCCACGGGCAGGAGAAAATCGACGTTCCAGCTCAAGCAGTCAGGCAGAATTCATTCACCCTTCTGCATTTTTGTTCTATTCGGGATGGATTGGATGAGGCCACCCTCACTGGTGCCTCTTTGCTCAGTCTACTAATTTAAACCCCAGTCTCTTCTGCGAACACACTGAAATCATGTTTAATGAGTTCTCTGGCCCAGTCAAGTAGACACATAAAACTAACCATCACAGAGAGGGACGATGGAGGTCTGGACAAGCAGGCAGATGGTCAGCGCCAGAGGAGTCAGCTGTCAGATGTCGTGGGCTGGAGACTCCCCCCATTAGGGTGAGGTGACCAGCGTGTAGAGACAGGGCCCCTGCTTCTGGAAGAACACGAGAACATTTATGAACAGAGTAGTAAATTCAGCAGATGGAAGCCCAGGAGGAAGTTTGGGCTCAAGGAGGTGCTTGGAGCTTGGGGCTGGACAGAAGCCTGTTATTCAAGAGGGACACCAGATCACAGGCAAAAAGCAGCAAAGCAAGCGTTTATGGACTCATTCAGCTACCCTCTGCCCCAGTGAGGGGCAGGGATTAGGATGGGGTTGGTCTGGGCCGGGGAGGGGATGGATGGTCTCTAGGGTGCCCGTGGCAGAGCCAAGCACAGCGTTGCTGTCAGTCTTGCCAGTGCCTCCCAGAGCAGAGGCTGCGTGTTCTTTCATCGCCACCCAGCCTAGAGCATCTGACTACATCGATGACAGACTGTTCCCTGTGCCAAAGTGCAGCCTGGCAACCGAAATGCGATGCTGTCGAATTTCATGGTGAGTGCTGCCTCCTGCAATTGCACACCATGAAACTCGTTATATATTATAATGTTATACGTTAGCTGCACATGATAAGCCTGTGAGATACTGGGGTAAAGCAAGACGTGAGTTCTGAGTGAAGGTATATGAAGTGTGGAGAAAAGCAAGGAAACATTTTGCCGGATGTAAATTAGACAGTAGTCTTGCTCCTTGGATAACTGTGAGCATGAAGCCATAAAGAACAAAATCCTGCCTTCCAATTCCTTCCAGCGCAGGTGGAGAGACAAGTGCATACGATGAAAGTTGGCAATGCAATAGAAGATATGTTATGATTAGTGCCAGCAAAATGTTGAAACGATGTAAGTGTGGCCTGCTGGTCAGCTCAGGCTGGATGGTGGGCATGTGAGGTGTGGGAGAAGGATGGCAGGCAAGGAATACCCCTGTCTGGGCTTTTCAATACAAGAAACCCTTTTGGTTGGCTATGGTGACAGCAGACCCTTACCCAGGACATGTCTAACTGGAAGTCCAGTTGTCCCACTCACCAAGGCAGGGCAAACCTCCATGTGAGGCCCAAGAAGCACCTGTCTTGGCTTCTCTTTCTTGCCATCTGCCCTTCTCTGTCCATGACATTCACAGTTCGTCGCTGATCCGCTTTGAACTGCTTCTTACTATCAGGCTTGAAAAATGTGGCCAAGTCTCTCAGAGCTAAGCTGAAGAGGGCAATTTGACTAAAAGTCTAGGATGGGGAGGAAAATGTCTGCTTTTCACTTCCTGCATTTTCTACTTACGTGATCATTTCACTTTGCTTGAGTTGTGGAATCATGGCTGTTCCCTAGTGCTGGTGTCCACATGTGCTTCATCCAAAATACATGGGGAAGCAAGCCTCCCACCCAACTCAAAGTTCCGAGAATTCAGAGTGCGTTTGGTTTGGGATATGCTGTGAAAGCTGTCTGCGTTTCCAATTTCTTTCTAAGAAGCTGACAACTGCAATGAGCGACTGAGGCATGAGTCTCCCTCACCCAGGTTTGTTAAGCCAGCTCTAGGGTGAATCTAGGGAATAACATAAGCAACAGACACATATGTGGGTGTTTTTTCTGAGGTTTTTAGGAGGTTTAGGATTTACATACCTTTGAAAAGGGGGCAGGAGGCATGTATAGGGTAGGAGTAATGTGAATGGTTATATTTCTCTGAGACTTCAGTTCAAGCTTGTTCAACCAGTGGCCCAGGACGGCTTTGAATGTGGCCCAACACAAATTCCTAAACTTTCTTAAAACATTATGAGATGTTTTTGCAATTCTTGTTTTTAACTCATCAGCTATCATTAATGTTAGTGTATCTTATGTGTTGCCCAAGACAATTGTTCTTCTTCCAATGTGGCCCAGGGAAGCCAAAAGATTGAACACTTATGCTTTAGTTAGTGTCGAGTAAATCTACATTTCACATAAAAGGTGAATGTCTGAAGAGAAAAAGGGAGTCAAGGAAAAGTCGATTATGCAGAGATCTCTGGGTAGGTGGAGAAATGAGTCTGGACTTTGTTCTGCTCTGCTAAGGTGAGTTTGAAAGGGACATTATTGACCAGTTGTGGTGGCTCACACCTGTACTCCCAGCACTTTGGGAAGCCAGGAGTTCAAAACTAGCCTGGCCAACGTGGTGAAACTCCATTTCTACTAAACCAAAATACAAAAATTAGCCAAGCATGGTGGCACATGCCTGTAATCCCAGCAACTTAGGAGGCTGAGGCAGGAGAATTGCTTGAACCCAGGAGATGGAGGTTGCAGTGACCCGAGATTGCACCACTGCACTCTAGCCTCGGCAACAGAGTGAGTTAAATTCCATCTCAGAAAAGAAAGGGACATTATTGGTGTGGAGTTCTAGCAGCTGGACTTAGATTGCAGACCTGAAGTTAAAATTGGCATGTCCTTGTTTATTGGAGGCCGGCAAAATTTGACTTACGAATGATTTGTCGGGGCAGCCCTTCCAGATGCCTGAGGCCTTTACCTTTTAATGGGGATTTGGCTGTCTAATGCTAGTAACAGCCATTCATTTGTAAGAGCAGGTTTTATGACTCAGCTTCAGGGATTAATGTTTATTTTTGTGTAACTTTGTGGGGGTGGGGGAGCGGATCTTGAGATTTTTATTTTCCTTTACATAGCAAAACAAACAACAAAACGCTTCCATAACGCGGGCTGGATGGAATGCCTATATACTGACTTTTGGGGTCCCTGTACAGTCCCTAGGTGGGTTCCATGAATGGATGTGGTCAAAAAGGACTAGTGGAGCTGACCTTCCTCTCCACCAACCTCCTCGGCTGTCAGGGCTCATGGCTACAGGAACCTAAACGTGAAAATCTATCCTTTTGGGGTGTTGGGTCAAGGGATGAAAGCACAAACCTTATTGGTATGATCAGATATGCTTGGGACATGTTTCCACCCCGGCAGCTTGCAGAACTAACTTCATCTTGGAAGGGTAGAGAGAGATATTTATTTCTTGTCAGGAAAACTGCATGACATTTTAAATTTCTATGTGATTTTCAGAGAATGTATTTCTCTCACAGCTCCTTTGAAAACACACATTACATGATCGATTATATAACCATCCCAGCAATTTTGAAAAGAGTCAGGGAGAACATTAAAAAAAAAGAGAAAGTCTCCCATAACATGAGCAAGATGATCTGCCAACACAGCTTGTCAGTTACCTTATGGCATCTTTTGCTCATCAACAGGATATTGTGCTTTATAAATCAGTTATATCTTCGCTGAGTTTTAAGCATATGTTATAGTAAATCAATGGAACTTGACTGGAGAGTGTTTTAATTGAACTTGGAAGCAAAGAAAAGATAAAGTTTGTATGATATAGCAGACAGTGCAGTTTTTCTGGGTACCAGGTGATACTTGCGAATATTTAACTGCCTGGAGTCAGAAAGCATGTGTGTGAATGTCGGTAATTTATCTAACGGAACAATCGCCCTAGCACAAGGCTGTCCATTTCCAAGTAGCATGTGTGGCTGGGAGAAGACCTTCTGAAATGAATACTCACCCCCTCACCTCCCCAAATTAGCCTCCTGCCTCTGCTCCGGAAGCTTCCTAATGGTCTGTGTGCAACTGTGCAATTACAGCAGCCTGTGTTAACAAAGCTGCGTGATCACCAGCTTTGGGCAAAGGCTTGTGATTGGAGCGGTGTGAGGTGTTGTCTCACCCCTTTCACAGGCAGTTTCTCGTTTTTCACATGCGCCCACTTATAAATGTCTGTCACAGGGTTTCAGGCCATTCACCACTTACACATTTGCTAATTGTTCCCCATTCTTCTGTGTTTCTTAGCCTCAGACTTTTCGTATCCATCTGTTCTAACTAAAATCTCTCTCATCAAATTGAAAGCCCCTCCAAATGATTTCTTACCATTTTCTCCTAATTGCCACTCTAGAGACCTGGCTATCCATTTGAAATACCTTTTTGAAGTCTTGATTATCTGTAGGAAATATTTTTTTCTGACATGATAGAAGTAACCAGTTTTGGTGCTATTTGGGTTGCTTAAGTAACTACAGGCTGGAAATAGGAGATTCTCTTTCCTTTTTTCCTTCTATTTTTCTTTCCGTCCTTCTCTTTCTACTTCTTTCTTTCTCTTTCCAAATATTTATTGCGAGAATCTGTTCTGAGTACTGAGGATACAGCAGTGAACACAAGAAAATAAGTCTGTTTATGGAGCTTACACTTTAAAGAAGGAAGAAAGACAATAACAAACATCTATAACATCTATAGCCTGTATGTACATATTGTAATAAAGATACTTATGTGAGTGTGTGAATACATGCAGACACAGATGTAGACCTAGGCAGGGGAGTAGACGGATACAGGGAATGTGCCGAGCCAGGCAGGGATGAAGGTGTGAGCAAGCCTGTGGGAGGGGCAGGAGGCCAGGGTGGGCAGGATGCTATTTAGGGCTTTTCCTGACACAGCCGTGAGGCCAGTGAGGGAGGAGCCTGGGATGAGGACAGGAAGAGGGGCAGTGAGAGGAGGGAGCCATGATCGCCACCATGAGGCATGGGGAGGCCGGCCTGGCAGGAGCTGAGTGAGCCAGGGGATGAAGGAAGTCAGAAAGGGAGCAGGGGCCACAGGCTGCAGGGCCTTGAGGCCTCGGCACGAGGCCTGGAGCTTTTCCTGAAGGTGACACAGGAAACTTGCTAGGTGAGTTGATTCGAGTCCACATTAAAAGTGACTCAGGGGGTCACATGAAGAATGAATGGCAGGAGTGGGTGACAAAAGGCAGAAACCGGGCAAGGGGCTACACGGACACTGCAGGCGGAGAATGACACTGCCCAGAGCAGGCAGGAGTTGGGGAAGGCAAAGGAAAATGAGAGACACTGAACTTCAGCTTCCAAGTTTCCAAATGCACCAATTGCGTGATGGGAATGAGGTTTACTGACTTGGAGAAAACCGCGAGCAGATCAGCTTAGAAGTGAGCAGGTGTGCAAAGCAGATCTCAGTTTAGGAGTGAGCGGGTGTGCAAAGCGGATCTCAGTTTAATGCAGGACAAGTTAAGTGTGAGTATCCCCTAGGCAATGAATACAGAGACAGAGTTCAGAGGAAGAGGGTGGATGCTAGATAGAAGGTATTTTAAGCAAAGGAGTAGCCTGCATGCATCTAGGGGATGACCATGGACAGATTCTTTTCAGAAACAACCTGTCAGGATTTTCTGCTACAACAGCCATCTATTCTTCATAGGTTGCAGTGAGGCCTAGACAGGATTTCTTCCTGGGTGAATTCTTTGCACTTGCAATTCCTAACTCTGCTCAGCAAAGAAGCACGAGTTGTGAGTCATGGATTCTGGAAGTTACTTCACACAAAAGAAACAACTGGAGAGCAATACAAACCAATGAAGAAGTATTTTTGGCCTAGGTTATTGGTGTGTTAGCAGTGGGGCTTAAGATTATTCACAGAAGGAAGGTTTTATGGGAGAAAGCTCAGACCTGGACCTTGAAGCGCAGAAAAGCAAGGTTGCCAGGGAGGAGAAGAGTGAGGGAGTGGGGTGAGCTGTGGGGTGAGGTGAGGGGTGGGGAGTTGAGTAGCAGGAGGCCTGGCTCAAGCAAAGAAGAGAAGTTCTAGAGGGCAGGAGACCCCAGGCTGGTTCCAGCTGAAGGGCTGTCTTGGCCTGAGAAGCAGGAGTTGAGGAGGATCTGGTGTGGTCTGATTCGTGGTTGAGGGAGAGGTACTTAAAGAAATTAAACTGGAGTTAGGTATGAGAAGGTCTGAAGAGAACAGGGACTTTTGGGCCTCAGATTAGAATTTGGGTCCTCAGGATGCACTGTGCCAGGCTGGCCAGCAGTTTCTACCTTGCTTCACCTGTATTATCTGTTCTTACACTGCTATGAAGAAATACCCAAGACTGGAAAATTTATAAAGGGAAGAGGTTTAATTGACTCACAGTTCCACATGGCTCGGAGGCCTCAGGAAACTTACAGTCATGGTGGAAGGGGAAGCAAAATGTCCTTCTTCACAAGGTGGCAGGAGAGAGAAGTGCCATGCAAAGCAGAGAAAGCCCCTTATAAAACCATCAGATCTCGTGAGAACTCACTCACTATCATGAGAACAGCATCAGGGTAACTGTCTCCATGATTCAATTACCTCCCACTGGGTCCCTCCCATGACACATGGGGATTACAGGAACTACGATTCAAGATGAGATGTGGGTGGGAACACAGCCAAACCATATCACCACCATTCCCTGCCTGAGCCCTGTGTGGTGAGCCCCTGAGCTGCACCTGCCACAGTAATCCCTTGTGCCTCCAAGCTCTCTGAAGCTGTGCGGAGTGGGCCTCCTGGGCATAGAGCTGGGACCTACTCATCTTCAGACCAGTTTTGGAAACATTGCTCTAGGAGAAGTATGTAAAGTGCCAAACAATTAAAAACAAAATCAAACAAATCAAAAAACCTGGCGAACCATATGAATTATACACCATGTAATCAGTTTTGCTTGTTTGCTTGTCTTTAGTTTTCATCTTGTCAAGCTATCTTAAATATAGTCATTCTGTAAATACATGGCATCACCTTCCTGGATCTTTAGGGGTTGAGTCAGATCAGCCCTAGGTCCCTTCTGGCTTCTGAGCTCTCAATAATACCTGCTACTTAAGAGAGTGGAGGCCCGAGAGCTGCCTTGACCTAGAACAGAACCTCAGAGAGGTCCCTGGCAAAGGAGCAGCAGAGGAAATGGGATGGAATTGGGCAGGGGAAGCCATTTCTAAGTAGCAGGCAGATGGCATTGGCTTCCTGGGGGAGGAGATGAACCTAGGGATCTGGGAGAGGAGAAGGAAAGAGACAGGGGGTAAGACAGAAATGCAGGGAGTAGGTGTCAGAGAGATGGAGAAGGATGGCTGTGGAGCAGGGGGTGAGGTGAAGAGAGGCAGAGAATGGAGAGGCTGGGAGGCGCAGGTAAGACGAAGCTTGGGAGTTCTGGGAGGTTTATGGTGTTTGAAACTTGACATCTATTTTGCTGTTGGGTGGATGGACGCACTGCTTGAGTGCATCTGTGTGTGTGTGTGTATGTGTGTGTGCATGCGTGCATCTGTGTGTGTGTGCATGCGTGCATCTTTGTGTGTGTGCATGTGTGCATCTGTGTGCATGCGTGCATCTGTGTGTGCGCATGCATGCATCTGTGTGTGCATGCATGCATCTGTGTGTGCATCCATGTACATGGATGCATTTGTGTGTGTGCATGCGTGCATCTGTGTGTGTGCATGTGTGTGTCTGTGTGCACGTGTGCATCTGTGTGTGCATGCATGCATCCGTGTGTGTGCGTGCATGCATCTGTGTGTGTGTGCATGCATGCATCTCTGTGTGTGCGTGTGTAGTCCCACATGGTTTTAATATGTAGATGAGGTATCTGGGGCTCAGTGGGGTGCGATTACCTGCCCAAGGTGGCACAGGTAGTGGGTATCAGGGCCTGTTGTTGAACCCAGGTCTCCTGGCTCCAAAGTCTAAGTTCTTCCCCCTTGGGAGCCTGCTCCTGGCGCTTCTAGGAAAACCTGACCAACAAAATCCCTGAGGCTTAACACACACCGTCCCTCTGCAGGGTGGGTTTCTCTGGTTGCCCCAGGGTCTACTGTGTGACTCCCAGAGCCCCTGGCATCCGCGCAAGCTCCTCCCCAGAGGAATCCCCGAGACCCGAGCTATGGTCTTTTTCCCTGAAGAGACTGATTTCCAATAAACATGGTAAATTAACAATGTATATTAAAGTTCTTATAACTTAATTATGCTGTTTCTATAATAAGTCATTATAACAGGTAATAAGTTTTAATCACACTGTAAAAGTATTGTAGCTCAGTTTATAACAAGATTTAAATTCAATGCTTTACATGTAATTTAGGTTATTTCTCATTTTCTCCCACTGCACCAACCTCTATTTGATTCATCCTGGAGTTCCTTTGGTTTCTAGCATAAGACCCTCTAGTCTTTGTGAGCGTCTTAGAGCCACGAGTGCAGGTGTAGCCGAGTCTCTGACCTTGGCTGCCTGGCTGTTCTTCAGATGTGCTCCCACCTCCTTCTGCCTGGAGTGGTCTTTTCAGAGATATCCTCATGGTTCTCTCCCCAGCCCCTTAGGGTTTGCTCAAATTCAGCTTTTCAGAGACACATTTCTCTGGCCACCCTATGTGAATATGTGACTCTCACCAGCATTGCCCATCCTCCTTCCTGGATTTATTTTTCTCCGTAGCCTTATTACCATCAGATATGCCAAATGTCTTCCATATTAAAAAAATTCAACTTCACATAAAAATTAGCCATTTTAAAATGAGCAATCCAGAGGCATTTAGTATGTTCACAATGCTGTGCAACCATCTCCTCTATCTAGTTTAAACATTTCCATCACTCCAAAGTAAAGCCCTTTACCCATTAAAGAGTTTCTTCCCATTCCTCTTCTGCAGTCCCGACAGCCTCCAGTGTGCATTCTGTCTCTTTTGATTTATCTACTCTGGATGTTTCATATGAATGGTATCACACAGCATGTAACTTTTTCGTTCTGGTTTCTTTCACTTAACTGATGTTTCTGAGAGTCATCCACGTTGTAGTGTGGTAAGTACTTCACTCCTTTTTTTTTTTTTTTTTTTTTTGTGATGGAGCCTCGCTCTGTCGCCCAGGCTGGAGAACAGTGGCCCAATCTCGGCTCACTGCAACCTCCACCTCCTAGGTTCAAGCCATTCTCCTGCCTCAGCCTCCCGAGTAGCTGGGATTATAAGCATATGCCGCCATGCCTGTCTAATTTTTTTGTATTTTAGTAGAGACAGCTTTTCACCATGTTGCCCAAGCTGGTCTTGAACTCCTGAGCTCAGGCAATCTGCCTGCCTCCGCCTCCCAAAGTGCTGGGATTACAGGTGTGAGCCACTGCGCCTGGCCATACTTCACTCCTTTATAAGGCTGAATACTATTACACTGCATGTGTGTGCCACAATGTGTTTATTTGTCTATCTGTTGCTGGACATTTGGGCTGCTTCTGCCTTTTGGCTGTTAACAAAAACATAACGCAATCTATAAATTTAGAAAAGGAGAGGAGACTTTTTTTCCTATAAAGGGTTACAGCCCGCAAGGTGGCCATCCGGCAGGCTGGGAAGCACGGGCTCCAGCCAACACCAGAGGAGGAGCTGGGGCAGGAGCTTTATGCTGAATGGGCTGTCTAATACACATATTCAACAGGTGACAGGAGGACCTATGAATATTCATGGAGGTGGTCCTGATGCATACGTATTACACACATGCATGTAACATATGACCCATGCTCACTTTGGGGTGGAGACTTAACATTTAAATGTATTACAGTTAGGCTCTATATGTCAAGAGGTCTTTTCAGGATACAGAAGCGTGCAAGTGCGTGGTCTCTGTAACCCTGTCAGAACTGGTCCATAGTCGGTGGTCTTCTTATTAGGAGAAAATTAACAGAAATCAGTCTCTTGTCCAAAAAAAGCTGCAGCTATGGCTGCTGGAACAGGGAGTGAGTTCACGTTCCTGAGCAAGTTGGGCTACAATTGTTTTAGTATTGTTTTATGTCATGGCCAGTGCTTGTTTAACTGCTAGAGAAAAAGAAAAAATGTGTGTTGGTTAGAATATAGTTTATTCTTTAAGTATGGGGGTGTGTGATTTAACATTTGCCTGGTATGGCCTTGGGTCCTGTTTATAATTTGGTATCTTGTTGCCACAGAGTCTGTTCTGTCAGTCTTATGATCTCCATTTTAACATTAATGTTGGTCAGTTGTTGTGTCTAAACTGTAACAGGAAGGCGGTATAACGAGACATGTCCGACCTTCTGTCCCATCATGGCCAGGAGCTCAGTTTGAAGGTTTTTTGGGGTCCTCTTGGCCACAAGACGTTTGGGTGCAGTTGGTGAGGGGCTGAGTTTAGCTAACATGGCTATTGTGAGGAGTACTGCTATACACGTGTGTATGTGAACTTGTTTGATTTTCAGTTCTCCTGGGTATGTACCTGGAGTGAAATTGCAGGATCTTTGCACATCAACACTCTTCTCTCAGGCTATGCTTGTTCCTGTCGCATCAGAAAAGCAAAATATTGCTCTTGTCCCAAGGCTCTGGCAGCTGAATGGTGACTTAACCTTCTGCTATAATTGCCCTGATCTAGGTCACATTTCACTTAAGGGGGTTCTGGCTCAACTAGAGAAGATAGCAGGATCAATACCCCCAGTCATTTATAAAACTCTCTCCTGAGATCATTTAGGGAAGCTCTTTGTGCATGGATTCAAACCTATTATCAGTGACAGACCTTTAAAATTAGTATCTTTCTTCTAAGGAGAGCAAAGAATATTCAGATACTGTTAAGAAATAGAAAATTGCAAGATTAAAATAAAAACAGATGCCTGTAAATTATAATTCAATTTTTTAATATATTTTATCCAACACTACAGTGGCAAAATTAAATATTGGGATTTTCAGGGAAAATTATCTGGGTTATTCTGTAAGTAGAGGCAGAGTTTTTGGAAAAGCATCAGTTAGGAATTATTAAGAGAAAGTTTACCCATAACTAGGTGGTTTGGGTAACTAGCATTGGGAAGTTACTTTGCTTTCAATATCTGATGTAGACTGCATAGTGTAATTTCTGTCAAGTCATGGGCAAAGGTAAAATGAGGTGCCAGTTCAGTGGATCCTAAGCTTGACTTCATATTGAGTCTCCTGGGGAGCTTTTGTCCAGATGAAGCCTGTGTCTTCCCTGCAGGTATTGTGCTTTAGCTTGTTTAGGAGTGTGGTTGGGGCATTTGTATTTTTAAAATGTCTTCCTCCTTCCTGTCACCTTCCAGATGCCTGTAATGTGCAACTAGACTTGAGCATGGCTGTCCTAGGGTATCTCAGAATTTCTTTGGGAAAAAAAAGATGATTTATTTGATGATGCTAAGTTTGTAATAAGAGAGTTGAATTTTTATGTAAAGTTGATATTATGCTTGATATCCCCTAAATGCATATTTCAAGAGCTTATGTCTTAAACACATATTTCATTTTATTTTGGCCAATTGGAGCATCTAGAAGCTTGCATCTCAAAATGAAAGCAGCATTGGCCAGCAGCATTGCCCCAACCTGGGAACTGATTAGAAATGCAGCCCCTGAACAAAGGCATGAACTTGATTGCAACCGTGTGGACATGTACAGGCAGCAGTGAAAGCCTCAGCTGCAGGAGCTTGGGGCATAGGAGACAGCCTATGTTGAGGGGAAGGATGAGGGGGTTCTGCATTCGATCTTGTTGCCATGATGATGCCAAGAATGCTGTGGAGTATAACAAAGAAACAGAGTATGGATGATGTTTCAAACATGACTACAAGACTTTGATCAACCAAAAGCAAATAGACTCAGGCAAAACCAACAGTGTGGATGGAGTTGCTCCTGAACCACCCAGCACATAGACCTGGCAACATCTTGTCCTGCAACGTCCCCACTTTCCGCAGATGGTAGCTGAGAAAATGGACAAAGTTTAAGAAATGGGTTTCTGATTCTTCACCTTCAAAAATGGAATTGATGCCATCCCAAGCTGGGCTGCATTTTATAGAGTAATTCATTTTCTTGTTTTATTCATTGCCTGATAATATACGGAGAAGCCCTGCTGGGTAGCCCTCGTGAACAGCAAAGGACTTGGCAAGCAGTGAATATTGAGTGAATCTGGAACACTTGCACGTTTCTTTTCTTTATGTAGAATTACACCAATGAGCCATGGGCTCTTGACAAACTCTGGGAGCTTTCTTTCACAGTGTGGGGAGTTGAACTGCAGTGTGTATCAGAATTTCATGCACACTTACATAGAGCTTAGATGCCTTCTGTGAAACTGTGTCAATTACCTTTGCTGAAAGGGGAGAAACAAATTGTAGAAGAGGATTTGACTTGGTCTGTGCACTGGTCACACTTTTCATAAATAATTATTGGCAAAAGAATCTCAGTAGAAATGGGTGCCTCCAGTAATTAACCACAACTATTCAAAGGCTCCCATTCCCACAGCAGCAGGCAGGATTTAGAAGATCTATAGGAAAGATTTCTTAACACAGACAGTTATTAAAGATCAGAATGAATTATTAATCAGCCTTTGCTGGAAGTCTTTAGAAAGAGAATGGGTTTTAATTTGCCTGGAATATTTTCCTGGGATTCTTCCCACAGCCGGGATGGTGGCTATGATGCACTTAAGCACACTCAGAGCCCTCAGATGTTGGAGTTTACTTATGAAACTGAACTGGCAGGAAGGCTATGGGTAAATACATAGGAAATATAAAAGGAAGGCAATGAAGCATCTCAGTAGCCATGTGTGTTTGGTTGGGAGGGTATGACTTGGGGAAAGACTGAAGAAAGAGATCATTAATGCATTCCCTGTAATATCGTCAACCGTGGATGTTGCAAACTTTTCCTCTCCATGGAAAGAATGAAGAAAAGAGGGAAGAGGAAAATAGGAAGGGAGAAGAAATGAACATAGAAAGGAGGAGGGAAGAAGGAAAGGCAGATGGAAAGACAGAAGCTAAAATTTACTGAGGTTTGACTGTGTAGCCAATGTAGTCAGCATTTATTACATCTTGTGGGCCATGCCTTTGGATCATTGTCTCAGTTGCACAGATAAGGAGACATTTACCCTGCATATGAGAGGTCGGAGCCCATTTCCTCTCCATAGCACCCATGGCTACTCCCTTCCATGTGCAAAAATGCCTCTGCTCCTCAGTTCATGAAGATGAGAACCATGCCATGTGTCTGGTGCTCCGTCTCAATCCAGCTGTCTCCTGCTCTGTTTCTCTGTCCTCACTGTTGAGGCAATGGCTCTGCTGGGCTTCCTTTATCTCCCTTCTGCACCTCCTACCTCCCTCCCATGTTCCTTTTTTATCTTCATTCATTACTTCACTTTCATCAACTGCTCTCTTCTCTCTTTTCTTAAATAGCTTTTCCCATGGAATGCATTTATTTTTCCCCACAAAAGTCCGTGGAATTTCTTCCATTGTTTTCATTGCCAACTTTCTAAAAGGAATAGTGAAACTCTGTCCCCCAGATGCCTTCTCTCCCCGCCCACTGACCATGGCTTCCTTTGCAACTGGGCTTCTGCTCTCACTGCCCTAAAGGAATTTCTCAGAAGTTCACTGAAGGGCCGTCTTTTGGTCCTGCCTATCCTTTCTCTATTCTTGACATGTTTGACCAGTTTCTCCTTCTTAAACTGTCCCTTTTGGCTTATGCTGTTCGGAAAGCAGGAGCCTAGGAGAGCTAGAGTGACACTATTTTAAAATCAACTTCATCTTAAAAGTAGCAAGGCACATTCCTCGCCAGTTACGACCCATGGTCCTATGATGTTTACAGCCAACTAAGCAGCTTAGAATGCCTGCAAGGACAAACTTCCAGGACAACAGAAAGTGCAGATGTCCCAATGCCCATAACAATAGATGCTTTCAGATAATTATAGTTATGCTTTGATGTACTTACACACTAAAATGTCAATGATAGTTTTCTTTAAATTAATAAAAATAATAAATTTTGTCATGCTGTCGGCCCACCCACACATAGGCACAACTTGGTTTAGTCTTCACATAGACAACTCCTATATAAGAAGAGCTTAAAACGAGGTTGGTGTGTTCCTCTACCTGATTTCTGAGGATGCCCTACCCTGTAATGGAGTGGCTTTCAATATACTCTCTCTTCTCACTGCACTCTGTGACTCGCCTTGAATTCTTTCTTGTGTGAGATTCCAGAACCTTCTCTTGGGGTCTGAATTGGGAACCCCTTTCCTGGCAACAATGTGGCCATAGTGTTCATGGTACTCTTTCTACCTTTTTGACCAAATTTGCCTCCCTTCCCTTAAAGATGTGTGTGAATCTTCATTAATTGCCTTTTCTTCCCATCCTTTTTAGTGATTGCACATGGTCTTGGGTCTTAACCATCATCTCTAGGTAGATGATGAGCAAGTCCCCAACATTCTTCGTGGTTTCTCTTCTGAAGGCCCACCAGGTACTTCAGCTGTCCAATAAATAGCTCAGAGTCGATGTAACAAATCTAAACTTACTTCATGAAATCTGTTTCTCTTTTCATTTTCAGTCTTCTAGGCTAAGGGTCTGGTTATTTTGACCAGTCTCTCCCCCTTGTCCTCTAAATCTGATCTTGCTCCTTTTCTTTCTATTTCAGATACAGATTTGTGTAGTTCAGGTTCTCATTACCTCCTCTCTGAAGTTTTGTAATAAGGTCCTGTCTGGTTGGGGCATCCATGGTGTCTATTCTGCTTGTTTAGGTTTAACACTTCTTTCATTTAAATGGGAACTGTCAATGTCCTCACTGGACCTGTCCAAACATATCACTCACTTTCAGGGTGCTCGTGTTGGTATACCCTGAGTACTGTTCTAAGTGAGACTAACAGGTAGGCCACCAAAATGTTGTTTCATCAACAAATATGCTTGGAAAGTTCTCGGCTAAACAAAGATAAACAGAGTGTTTCTTTACCCAGAACTTCTCAGAGAATTTAATATGTTAATGGACGCTGTATTTCCAAGAAAATACACAAGATTCAGAAATTCCCAAATTTTATGGTCATATGATTTCCTTGTGTGTTGGTGGGTCCGTGCATTTATATCCCCCTAGAAAACAAACTTTACTTCTAGCATGAGCATTTTTTAATCTCTTTATTTTCTCATGTCATTTCTTTGTACTGTATTTTCATGTCCAAATTCTACTGATTTCTGAAAATGTGGTTTAAATGTCCCCTTTTTAATGAAGTCTTCATTTTCCGTTAGGATGTTTTAGATTGTGCATAATGGAACACATAACTTTCCCCTCAAAATAAAAAAAGATAGGAATTTATTGCATTACATCAAGGGTCAGAGCAAACTATAGTCCATAGGACAAATCTGGCCTGTTGCCTGTTTTTGTAAAGCTCATGACCTAAGGATGACTTATGCTTTCTGGTGGGTGGAAAAAAAGTCCAAAGAAGAACAATATTTCATAACTCATGAAAATTATATGAAATTCAGATTTTAGTGTTCATAAATAAGTTTTATGAAACATACCAACATGCCTTCCTTTATATAATTTCCAGGATTGCTTTCCCAATGCAATGGCAGAGTTGAGTAGCTGCAACAGATACTGCATGATACACAAAGCTAAAAATATTTATTATCTGATGCTTTATAGAAAAAGCTTTCCTTTATAGTAGAATGATTTATAATCCTTTGGGCATATACCCAGTAATGGGATGGCTGGGTCAAATGGTATTTCTGGTTCTAGATCCTTGAGGAATTACCACATTGTCTTCCACAATGGTTGAACTAATTTGCACTCCTACCAACAATGTAAAAGTGTTCCTATTTCTCCACATCCTCTCCAGCATCTGTTGTCCTGACTTTTTAATGATTGCCATTCTAACTGACGTGAGATGCATGTGTATATTTATTGCAGAACTATTCACAATAGCAAAGACTTGGAACCAACCCAAATGCCCATCAATGATAGACTGGATAGAGAAAATATGGCACATATACACCATGGAATACTATACAGCCATAAAAAAGCATGAGTTCCTGTCCTTTTCATGGACATGGATGAAGCTGGAAACCATCATTCTCAGCAAACTAACACAGGAACAGAAAACCAACACCACGTGTTCCCACTCAAAAGTGGGAGATGAACAATGAGAACACAAGAACACGAGCAGGGGGAACATCACACACTGGGGCCTGTCGGGGGTGGGGGCCTAGAGGAGGGATAACATTAGGAGAAACACCTAATGTAGGTGAAGGGTTGATGGGTGCAGCAAACCACCATGGCGCGTGTATACCTACGTAACAAACCTGCATGTTCTGCACATGTATCCCAGAACTTAAAGTATAATTTTTTAAAAAAAGAAAAAGCCTTCCTAACCCTGGCTTAAATAACTGAGCAGGTGGGCAGTCCAGGGGAAGAACAGAGCCCCGCATAATGCTTTCCAGGGCTCCACTGATGGCAGTGCAGGCAGTTTCTGTCTCTATGTTTCCCAACAATTCCCTTAGGCAGGTTCTCCCACATTCCCGAAAGAACTGACAACAGCTTCAGAGCCATGTGTTCTTTATTCCCAATGAGCAGAGGACAAATGCCATTGTCCCAGCATTCTCAGCAAAGTCCTGAGGTTTCTTCTACCTGGAAAGACTTAAGCAGATGACCCCCCCTTACCCCACCAACAGACCTACGCCTCAACCAACTCCTGTGTCCATGGGCACAGGCGGCAGGGCTTGATCTGGGTGTGGGCTCCACCCCTGGACCCTGGAACTGGAATCGTTTCCCAGGGCTGTGGAGCTCCTCAATGTATGCCGGAGACTTTCATGTAAGAGGAAAGGAAACTGATGCCAGGGAGACGGTGTGACTGTTCTCATCACCATTCTTTGACCTTCAACTTCACTTCTGCATATCCCCTTCATAGAGATTTATCACTCACTCCCTCAAATTGTGCTTTTGTGTGGGATGTCTCAACCCCTTATTGAGAGCAATGATCATATGTTCAGCTTCCTGTTTTCCCAATGTTGACTATAGTCCTTTGTGCCTAGTGGGCACTTCATCAATAGACTGCCAATGATACCAACCTGAAATGGAATGGAGAGATTATCCTTTACAGACTCTGGAATATTACATGAATGCAGGGACACCAAGGCTGGAACTAGGGCAGGAACCCTTATAACTTGTCCGAGAAAAGAGAACCAACATTAAAATTAGGTTCAATACAGTGAACTGATTTTGTCTCCAGAAAGTGATTCAACACTGACGGGAGCAGTGGTGGCTCATGCCTGTAATCCCAGGACTTTGGGAGGCCAAGCTGGCTGGATCATCTGAGGTCAGGAGTTTGAAACCAGCCTGGCCAACATTGTGAAACCCTGTCTCCACCAAAAATACAAAAAATTAGCTGGGCGTGGTGGTGGGCGCCTGTAATTCCAGCTACTTGGGAGGCTGAGGCAGGAGAATTCTTTGAACCTGAGAGGCGGAGGTTGCAGTGAGCCAAGATCCTGCCATTGCACTCCAGCCTGGGTGACAGAGCAAAAATCCATCTCAAAAAAACAAAAAACAAAACATTGATGGGAGCAGTTGCTAAGTTTAAGCCCATGGTAAAGAAAGAGAAAGGCTGATGATGAACTTATTGTCTTACTCTGAAGTGCCCCTGCCTTCCTCCCAGAATCCATGCACCTCTGTCAGAGCTCTAGAATGCTCCTGCTGGTTTGGTCCCTGTATGGTCTAACTCATACATTAGGATACTCCATTCCTGGCTAAGACAGTGAAAACGTTTAATAACAAAGAAGCTTCTAAAGAAATGTAGTATTATCAGTCAGTTATCTTAACTCAAAACACTTAGATAAAAGTCAAAGGGTACCCAGATCCTGGTTATCACAGTGTCTGTAACTTACTTTATTTCATCATGGACTGTGTGAAATTGTGTGTAGTCACTTTATGATCCTGACTGATTCACTTGCATACTGGACAAAACCCCTGGCTCATCCAATGAGCCACTCAGGGAGGCTCATGTACTTCAGACATAGGAGAGTTGGGTCATGGAGGGTTCCCTTACCCTGGGGCCCAATGTCCTAACATCTTCTAAATCCCAGGAGCTCTTGGGATACATTCCAGCCCATGAGTCTGCATCTCACAAGCTTCCCAATTTTGTCTTTTCTTAACAATTCTAGTACCTTCTTCCATTCAAATGATATGCTTGAAAAAGTTTGAGCAGCAAATATTATAAAAAAAAGTTATTTGGACTTCAACGATATCTCTTGTTTATTATACATCAGTAACGGGTAAAATGTCTAGAGAAAAACAGCAAAAGTGTTGCTGTTGTATGAAATGTCAGCTTTTCTATTTTTTCCTTGAGAAAAAGACTTTGTTTTAATTTATCTAAAGTGGCTCCTGTTTTATTCAAACACACTTGAAAATTGTATCTCTACACTAACTTTCATAAAACGTTAACAAGTAAAGATTTATGTGGAAGATACATTTTACTAAAGGCCAGTGGTTATATTGGAAACTGCAAAATTATCTTACATATACAACTAGTCTAAAATACAGCTTTGCATTGATCCTAAAATGGAATAGACTCAGTAATATCTGATCTCCTAGAATCTTTGTAAGATTGTAATTTAAAAAGCAACAGAAATTCTCATAAACTCAGCATCTGGAGCAAGAATATTTTGCAATGCAAATTTCAGTACATTTTACATTTATGACTATGAATTAGTTAAACACACAGCTCCCCATGCTATTTGCACATGCAAATCAGAGGAAGGAGTGTCACTATAGATTTTGTGTTTGGAGTCCTTACTCCCATTGTGCTTTGCCTATCTGTAAAGCAATCTGACTTGATTATGTGAGACAAAAATTACCAGGTGAATTTAGAAACAAAGCTCCCTCTTTTCCTTTTGAATCAGTAGCGTGTTCTCTCAACACCTTTATTGGATTTGATCTACAGCAGATGCTCAATAAAGGAGTGTGTCTCATGCTCATTCGGGATGCAAATTCTGAGAATTTATAGCCATGCTTATTGTTTTAGTTCGCTTGGGCTGCCATAACAAAATGCCACAAACTGGGTTGCCTAAACAACAGAATTTTATTGCTTCACGGTTCTGGAAGCCCAAAGTCTGAGATCAAGGAGTCAGCAAATTTAGTTTCTTGTGAGAGCTATGATGAAGAAATCTGTTCCATGCCTCTCTCCCAGCCTCTGGTGGCTTGCTAGAAATCTTTGGCTTTTCTTGGCTTGTAGTTCTCTGCCTTCCTCTTCATTTGCGATTTCCCTGAGTGTATGTCTTTGTGTCCAATTTATAAGGACATATTTATATTGGATTAGAGGCCAACTTTACTCCAGTATGATCTCATCTTAACTAATTATATCTACAAAAACCCTCTGTTTCTAAATAAGGTCACATTCTGATGTTCTGGGGGTGAGGACTTCAACATGAAAACTTTTTGGAGAGACATGATTCAATCCATTACACCCATGAAGTACAACCACCACCTAGACCAGACTTATTCCTGTCATTAAGATCCTATTTTCCGCAGAAGTCCTGTTCTAGCACCAAGGTGCTCAGAGCCAAGTGCATATTTTTACCTCATAGGCTTTAAAAAGTCATGACCTTCAGGTTTCCGTTTAACCCAATTAAATTTTGATCTTCCAAGGTGGAATCAGGCACCAGTATTTCTTCAACTTCTCAGATGTGTAGCTTTGGTGGATGGTCATAACCCTGTTAATTGGAGGTCCTCCCATCCTCATTCCTATGGGACATGCCTACTCTCAAAGAAAAACCAAAGAGATCTTTAATATCCCTAAAACAGCTCCCTAAAAGCCTGAGCCTTCACTCAGATTTCAATCAAATCACACTTAGTATGCCATGCTTACTTAATATGCAGCATGGTCTGGTGCCCTGTCTCACAGCAGAGAAGAAGCGCAGAAGCAGGGGAAATCCAGCAGGCTATTGCGGGAGGCTCAATGACAGGCAGGGAGGTGGTCACTGACAATCCCACATTGGAAGAAGAGGCCAGACATGCAGTCCATCCCTAAAGAACTGAGAATCTTGGGGATTTAACCATGTCAATGCAGTCTTTCTTACATTATTAACTGAAGAAAAATTATTGCCCTTTAGAGATTTTTTTTTTTTAATAATGGAAAAGAAGAAGTCAAAATAAGCCAAATCAGGGTTGGGCGTGGCGTCTCACACCTGTAATCCCAGCACTTTGGGAGGCTGACACGGGTGGGTCACTTGAGGCCAGGAATTCAAGACCAGCTTGGCCAACATGGTGAAACCCTGTCTCTACTAAAAATACAAAAATTAGCCAGACATGGTGGTGCATGCCTGGAATCCCAGCTACTCAGGAGGCTGAGGTGGGAGAATCGCTTGAACCCTAGAGGCGGAGGTTGCAGTGAGCCGAGATTGCGCCACTGCACTCCAGCCTGGGCAGCAGAACAAGACTCTGCCTCAATTAAAACAAAAATCAGGAGCCAAATCAAGACTGTTAAGCTGGATACCTAATGATTTCCCATCAAAACTTTTTAAAAATTGCCATTGTTTGATGAGAAGAATAAGCAGAAGCATTGTTGTAGTGGGGAAGGATGCTCTGGTGAAGCTTTCTCCGGTGATTCTCTGCTAAAGCTTTGGCTATCTTTCTCAAAACACTGTCCTGATAAGGAGATGTATTCTTTGACCCTTCAGAAAGTCAATAAGTAAAATGCATTGAGCATCCGAAAAAACCGTTACCTTGACCGTTGCTCTCAACAAATCTTCCTTTGCTTTGACTGGGCCACTTCCACTTCCTGGTAGCCATTGCTGGATTGTGCCTTGTTTTCAGGATCATACTGGTAAAGCAATGTTTCATTTCCTGTTACAATTCTTCAAACAAATACTTCAGAATCTTGGTCCCAGTTGGTTAAAATTTCCATTGAAAGCTCTGCTTTGTCTGCAGCTTGATCTGGACACAATGGTTTTGGCAACCATTGTGCGGAAACTTTGCTAAACTTTTAGTTTTCAGTCAGAATTGTGTAAGCTGAAGCAGTTGAGATGTCTATAGTGTTGGCTGTTGTTTCTGCTGTTACTTGTCAGTCCACTTCAATTAGATTATGAACAATGTTTTTTTTTTTTTCCTCAGAAACTGATGTGGCCACCTGAGCCTCTAGTAAAACCAAAACAAGTGAAAAAAAAATGATGTGGGTGGTCTGCTGCTGTGGGTTTCATCTTCAACATCACCCGCTTCCTTCCTAAAATAAGCTATCCATTTGTAAAGTGCTAATTTCTTTAGGGCACTATGGTCTCATACATTTTTTTGTAGAGCATAAATGATTTCACTGTTTTTCCAAGCTTCTTCATAAATTTGGTGCTTGTTCTTAATTCAGTTGTAGCTGAATTCATGTTGCTCTGACAGGGGCGCTTATCAAACTGATGTCTTATCCTTCTTAGTACCTCAAACTAGATTCTGTTTAGACATATTATAACAAGTTCGTACAAGTTTATTTTGGTGCAAAAAATTTTTTAAATCTATGCCTAGATTTTTAAAATAATTTGTATTTTTAATGAACTTTCTGAAGACCCTTCACAGTATCTTGATGCACTTTTTTTTTCCCAGAATTTGAAAAAATGCAATCTGAGCAAGCCTGGCTTATGTGTTGGAATAATACAGAGCAGATATATTTTAATGAAGGCTTGTTTGGCCTAACCCAGCTGGTACATTTACACATGAGACGTTTATACCTAATGTGGGCATACCTGGAGTGCGTGTAGGCTTTCTCTACCATTCTTCTGCATGTTGATTACCCAAGGGACTCCCAGTCAGGTAGCCTTATGCAGGGTGGCCTTATGCAGGGTGATCTAAAAGCACGACCTCCATGAACCCAGCCCCAGGATCAGCTGATCAAGTGTCCCATCACAATGTCCCAGGAAAGCATGAAGAATTTCAAAGCAGGGGAAACCATGCATAGAAAGAGGCACACTGCAAGGCTGCTATGAAAAACGGCATGTGACCATCTATATTCTAATCAAGTTGCTTCAGCTCAGCTGTTCTAATCAATCTATCTAAGCAAAAATCTCTTTAGCAATCTTCTGCATAAAGATGACAGGATGACAGTAGAATAAAGTCCCTTACCAATGACTGAGGTCAGAAACGTCTTAAAAACCACCTCGCCAACCTGAGTCCAGCAATGAAGACACACAATAAGACAATTAGCATATTCTCCCATTGTTCAAGTAAACCTTATCCAATTCTGCAAGCAAAACAGCAGATGTATTCTATAAAATACCAGATTCATGCAGTATTATCAGGAAATGGCATTTTCGTAAGAATTAATCTTCCATTCTCTGATGTGCACCCCCTCCTGCACTAATATTTCTTTTCATCTTTTGTGGATATGTCTCTCCAAAAATGCATTAAGTGTTTTCCTGCCTTCTTAGGCAGCAGCTGCAGAACTGGCTTTAACCTTTCCCTGATGTGCACGTTCATTATGATAGATGTGTTCACACAGAGCCATGTGTGCCCCTGGGCTCCTGGCTGCTTCTCCCAGTGTGAGGTTGTTGGTGACCACCTCCCTGCCTGTCACTGTTCCTCCTGTGAAAGTCTGCTGTATTTCCCCTGCTTCTGTGCTTCCCATCTGCTATGAGACAGGGCATCAGACCACACTGTATTAAGTAAGCATGGAATACTAAGTGTGATTTGATTGGAACCTGAGTGTACTTCAACTATTCATCCTTCCCTTCTTCTAACCCTTGACAACCAGTGATCTTTTTACTGTCTCCAAAGTTTTGCCTTTTTCAGTATATCATGTAGTTGGACCATACCATATGCAGCCTTTTCAGAATGGCTTCTTTTGCTTACTAATATGCATTTAAGGCTTCTCTGTGATTTTCATGGTTTGATAGCTCATTTATTTTGAGTGCTGAATAATACTCTATTGTCCAAAATGTATCACAGTTTATTTATCCATTCACCTACTGAAGGACATTTTGTTTGCTTCCAAGTTTGGGACATTATGTATAAAACTGCTATAAACATCCTTCTGTAGGATTTTGTGTGGATACACAGTTTAAACTCTTTTGGGTAGCTACCAGGGAGCACAACTGCTGGAGTGTATGGTAAGAATTTGTTTAGTTTTGTAAGAAATTGCCAAACTGTCTTCCACAGTGCCTGTACCATTTTGCATTCCCACCAGCAATGAATGAGAGTTCCTGTTGCTCCACATCCTCGCCAGCATTTAGTGTTGTCAATGTTCCAGATTTTGGACGCTCTAATAGGTACAGTGGTATCTCATTGTGGTTTTAATTTTCATTTTCCCAGTGACATTTGAAATGAAGCATCTTTTCATGTACTTATTTGTTATCTATATAGTTATAACTTCTTTGATGAGGTATCTGTTAAGGACGTTGGACTGTTTTTTAATTGGGCTGTTTTATTACTGTTGAATTTTAAGAGTTCTTTGCATTGTGGATAGGAGTTCTTTTTCCAATATAACTTTTGCAAATATTTTCTCCAGTCTGTGGCTTGTCTTCTCATTTTCTTTACATTGTCTTTCATAGAGTAGAAGTTTTCAATATTAATGAAGTCCAGCTTAGTAATTATTTCTTTCACAAATTGTGCTTTTGGTGTTGCATTGAAAAAGCCATTGCCATACCCAAAGCCATTTAGATTTTCTCCTGTGTTATCTTCTAGGAGTTTTATATATTTACATGTTATACTTAGGTCTGTAATTGACTTGGAGTTAATTTTTGTGAAAGGGATAAGATCTGTGCCTAGATTCCTTTTTTGTTTTGCATGTGGATGTCAAGTTGTTCTAATATTATATGTTGAAAAAACTATCTTTGTGCCATTGTATTGCCTTTGCATCTTTGTCAAATACTACTTTATTATATTTATAAGTATTTAGTATATTTATAAGTGTTTACTTATATTAGTTTATGATATCTGTATAGTTTACTGTATTTATAAGTGTCTTTCTGGGCTTTTTTTTCTTGATCTCTTTATTTATTTATTGACTAATATTATACTTTCTTGATTACTGATAAGTCATGAAGTCAGGTAGTGTCAGTCCTCTGATTTTGTTCTTTTTCTTCGATATTTTGTTGGCTATTCTTGATATTTTGCCTCTCCATATAAACTTTAGAATCAGCTTGTCTGTATTTGCAAAATAATTTGTTGGGGTTTTGATTAAGAATGCATTGGATCTATAGAAGAATACATTGAATCTTCAATCTGACATCTTGATAATATTGAGTCTTGCTATTCATCAATTTGGAATATCTCTCCATTTAGTTCTTTGATTTATTTTATTCAAGTTTTGTTTTCTTCATGTAGATTTTGCTAGATTTATCCCTAAGTGTTTTTTTTTTTTTTGGTGCTAATATAAACAATATTGTTTTTGATTTCCATGTGTTATTTGCTAGCACATAGGGAAGTAATTTACTTTTGTATATTAACCCTATATCCTGCAACCCTGCTATATTGGCTTATTTGTTCCAAGGCCTTTTTTGTTTATTTGTTTTGGGATTTTCTACAAAGACAATTATGTCATCTGTGAACAACAATGGTTTCCCCTCACCCTTAAGAATCTGCATACTTTCATATTTTTTATTACATTATCTAGGACTTCCATAGTAATGTTGCAAAGGAGTGATGAGAGAGGACATCCTTTCCTTGTTCCTGATCTCAGTGGGAAAGCTTCTATTAATAGTTTCTCACTATGAGGTATGATGTTAGTTGCAGATTTTTGTAGCCATTCTTTATGAAGTTGAGGAAGTTTCCCTCTATTCTTAAGTTCACTGGATTTTTATAACATCATGAGTAGATGTTGGGTTTTGTCAATGCTTTTTCTGTGTCTATTGATATGAACATATAATTTTTCTTTTTTTCAGTTATGTGATGAATTACATTAATTGATTTTCAAATGTTGAACTAGCCTTGCATTTCTGAGATAAATCCCACTTGGTCATAGTGTATAATTCTGTTTATACATCATTGGATTCATTTTGTTAATATTTTGGTGAGGACTTTTGCATCCATATTCATGAGAGGTATTGGTTTATAGTTTTCTTTTTTTGAAATGTCTTTGTCTGGTTTTGTTATTAGGGTAATTCTGGCTCCATAGAATGAGCTAGGAACCTTTCACTTTGTATCTATTTTTTCTATTTCTAATTCTCTAAGAGAATTGATATAATTTCTTCCTTAAGCCTTTGGTAGAATTCACCTGTGAACCTATCAGTGCCTGATGCTTTTGTTTTGGAAGGTGAAAAATTATTGATTCAATTTCTTTAATAAATATAGGCCTGTTCAGATTGTCTATTTCTTTTTGTGATGGTTTTGAAATATTGTGTCTTTCAAAGAATTGCTTCATTTAATGTAGGTTATCTAACAATTTTGACAGTGATTATTAGCATAATGAAGAATTCAAAAATAGTTTAATAAAAAATTCTTTTCTTTTCTTACACATCTGAGGAATACCAAGCCCATGATAAACACTACAGGTTAAGCCATGAAGTAAAGAAAAAATATTTCAGTTCTTTCTTATTATTTTTTCAGACACCTGGCCGCAAAAGAAGGGCTTATTTGTATAACAATAGACATTCTAGAATAACCAGTTAATGCAATTTAAGAGGTAAAAACAAACAAATAAAATGAAACTATGTAAGCATAGTTTGGAAAGAGCTGTCTTGACAATAGCATAAACAAGAAGAAAGAGCACAAGATCTAATTGAGTTTAAGCTCAGCAAGAATCCAGAGGGAGGCTATATTGGTCCTTTTCCATGCTGCTGATAAAGACATACCTGAGACTGGGTAATTTAGAAAGGAAAAGATGTTTAATGGACTCACAGTTCCACATGGCTGGGGAGGCCTCACAATCATGGCAGAAGGTGAAAGTCATGCCTGACATGGTGGCAGACAAGACAGAATGAGAGCCAAGTAAAAGGGGTTTCCCCTTATAAAATCATCAGATGTCATGAGACTATTCACTACCATGAGAGCAGTATGTGAGAAACCAACCCGCTGATTCAATTGTCTCCCACTGGGTCCCTCCCACAACACGTGAGAATTATGGGAGCTACGATTCAAGATGAGATTTGGGTGGGGACACAGCCAAACCATATCAGAGGCATACCTCTTTAAAGTTGGCACAAAATCCCGAGCCACATTCAACTAAATCAGGGAAAGAAATAGCTGTGTCCTCCTCTGCATTGACTGTTTCCTATCTGGACTCTTCAGGGCCCGAGACATCAGACACTCTTTGCCTAGTGAATTAAATAAAAATGAGAACTTTATTCTATCAGCTCTTGTAAACTTGGTAAAATATAAAGTACAAGACTTTTTAGTAACATGAATTCTGTGTTAAATAATATTGTGACAAATCCCTCAGGATATGTTTCAAAGTCAAATACGCAGATGATAGTGATACCACTGTCGACTTTGACTGTACCAATTTGTGTCTTTGTCTGGATTTCCCACGAAGCACAGGCAAGGCTGTATTACTAGGTGCAGGCAGCTAGGCTACTAAGGAGGCTGGAAGGAGGGCCCAGGGGTGTGAGGTGGGCATGGAAGGAAAGGGGGCCAGTCCAAGGTGCCTTTTGTGAAGGCTGCCACCTGATGTCAAGGGCTACTGACCACTCCATGTATATCAGGACACATCTCAGGACCTCACATCCGGAGAAAAAAGGAGAATTTAGCCATCTATCACACATGGTTCAAAAGTTTCCCCCACCCCTCCTTGGGAACTTCAGGTTGTGTTTGGCAAGGGTCTCCGTGTCTCCGGGAAACCCTAGAGCAGGGAGTGGAGCAGGGGCTGTGCTTGGTGGAAGTAGTAGGGACAGAAGATACACGGGAAGGATCATCATCAGATTGCCCCTGTGGGAGCTTGATGAGGACCACAGCGCATAGTCTCAGTCATTGAAGAGCTGGCTGGAGGCACCCAAGGACAAATGGTTAGGAGATGCTAAGAGAAATCGAAGTGATATGCTAGGTCTCTGCTTTTCCAAACTTTCACTTGATGCTGGGAAAAATATTCCTTGGCAGAAGATAAACAGCTTCAACATGTGGCTTCAGAATACAGTCTGGAGCCTTACCAAGCACACCCTCTCACCATGACAAAGGAGCCTGGTGACCCACATTCTGTTCTCCCCATTTTCCTATAGTCCCAGAAAGACTTCCTCTCAAAATGCCTAAAAGAAATCAAGGAATAAAGAAGCTCGTGAAAGGGTAGAAAAGCTACCATTCTCTTCTTTTCAGGGGTGCAGGAGGTGACTCAAAGATGAGGAGGCTCAGGAGCATGGCAGGAGGGGGAACAGCTTCATCACAGGCATTCTCTCCGTGAGTGCCCGACACCTACCTTGCATTTGTTTCCCTGTATTTTGTTTATTTTTATGTGAGAATCATTTGTATATCAGTTACAGGGAATTCCTCTTTGAACCAATGTGTTTCACAGTTGTTTCCAAATGAGAAAGATTTTCCACTTCCCAGCCTGGAATTCTGAATTTAAAAAATTCTGTCAAATTGTACTTTTAAAGGTCTGGATCGAATGGCAAACCAAATGAGGTGGCAGCTGCATGAACATATCATCAGATCAATCCCACCTCAGGCTGTCAACGGCTTCTGCAATGCAGAGCTGCCCGGGTCCATGGCATGGGCTGGCATGGGCTGCCTCCAGGCAGAAACCGAGATTTGGAGGCCAGGGCAGAAGGACAAATGCCAGCCTGGAATCAATGCTGTGAAAGTTAAACCTCTGTTCTCTCTCTTCTTACTGCAGCAAACAGAAACTAGTACCATCTATGATCACTCAAACTAACTGAAAAGTGGAGGCACCAGGACATGTTGGACAAGTTGGGACAAGGAAGGAGGGGGAAAGAGAGAGAGAGACAGAGAGAGAGAACGTGTGTGCACATGTGTGCGGGGGCAGGGATGAGGTTGGAGTTGGAAGAAGATAGGAAGAGGATACTGAGGAACAGAAGTTAGGAAATGAAACAAGAGGAGTTTCTTTTAATTCTAGTTTAAGTGGTTGACAGCCAGCAACCTGGCTAGTCTGTATCACAATGGTCTTGTGTCTTCAGAAAGCATCTATCTTGTAATTCTCAAAGTTTTATCCTTTGAATTTTAGATTTAGATGTTACATGCTGGAAAACATATCACCATATCTTAATAATAGGAAGACCTACACGGTTCATGCTAAGATACAGAACTCAAAATCTCAGAATGAAACTATGGCATGTAGAGCACAGGTAACATGCTCTCACCTGGACTTGCCTCAACTGAAGAGACCATTTCCTGCTGTTGTGTTCAGGGTCCTGCCAGACTGGGGATCAGTGCTGCGGTGGATGCTCAGGACTTGTGGGGCCGGTGGATGCTTGGAGGGGGCCCCTGGGACACAGCTCCGTTGTAAGTCAAGATGGAGCGTGTGATGCCTTCCACCTGCTCCCCAGGCTCCTCCTGCTTCCTATTGTCCCACTTTCCTTGTTTCTCCCTTTCCTCCTTTTCTTGCTTCCCTTTAATCCCAGGACCGGTGTGGAGCTCCACGCCTGTCCCTTTAACAAATGGGGACTTACTGCAGATAGAGCCTCTTGGCAGCCTGAACCTGAGAAGCTTGTCATGCATTGCGACAAACTCTCAAACAGCCCCTGTGTTCATCTCTACTTTTCAGTATTTGATGGTGGGGCTTAATTTCTAGGTGTGCTTTCAACTTCAAGAAATATAGTAACTTGCTGTATAAATAAATAAAGTCAGACTTTTTTAAAGTTTCATCAAACACAGTCTATATTAGACCCTTTGGATTCACACTGCCGTTTGAGAAGGGTACACGTAGCATCTGCTTGTTTATGATCAAAACACGGTCACCAGACATCTTCCCCATGCCTCTGGCCTCTCCTGGAAAGCATGCTCCTCTGTGTGGCACACCGCATTGGCTACCATACCATCCAGGTACTAGTCCCAGATCATGCTCTGTTCCTGAAGCATTTCCACTCAAGCATTACCGCCCACGCAGCAACAAAAAGGCACACCATCCATTTCCCAGTGCCAGTGAGCACTCATTAGAGAAGAGAGCTGCTGAATTTCTAATGAAGTGCAGGAGAAAGGGAGGGTCCCTAAAAACAGATGTTACAAAAATAGCCTGTGTCATTAAGGCAGCAAAACAATATGAAAATGGGATGCACTTGAGGCCAGCGTGTATTTCCATAATTTATGGAAATGGCTTTTCCCTACATTTCATGGCCATCGGGAGCTCCATTAAGAACCTGCCCCCTCTCCTTCTGCCTTTGTGCCCTCAAATTAGAAATCACTACATCATTCTGTGTTTTTTGTTTTAATCCCATTTAATTTATTGAAATGTAAGCTGTTGTTTTCTTTCATTTGGGTGTGAGAGTGATCCCAGCATACGCAGAAGGCTCGGCAAAGCCTAGATGGGAGGGAGGCAGGATCAGGAGTGGCTGTTGGCGGGTTCTGTTTCAAGACCGTCAGGCAGCAGGCTGCCTTTATCTGGGGAGGGGTTTTTCCAAAGAGTTCTCCTTCTTCCCCTGGCGGCGGGGTTAACTGATTGGCAGAATCTGAAAGGCCAGGATCCTTGTCAGCTGCCTCTTCAGCACGGGAATTCGACTTATCTGCCTGGCAGGCATCATAAGGGCAGTTTTAATCTCGTCCTCATGTGATTATTTTGAAAGGAAGACAGATATTGTGGGCACAGAAAGGCATCACTCCAGCCCTACTGTGTGGCATGTGAATGAAGTGAGTGAAGGGCAAGTGGAGGACATTCCTGGGGCTCAGCCTGGATGGGGAGTGCAGGACCGGTTCTGCATTCATGGAGAAACCACCCCCCTCACACCTTCACAAGTTCTGTTTCTTATGTGGACCGTGAAATGTCAGTGGTCCTGTCACCTTGCCTTTTCGCTTTCCCCGTGCACACGCGCTTGTGTATTGAGTCCCAATTGTCTGCAGAGGCACCATGCTAGACACCAAGGAACCCAAGGTAAACATGATACACTGTCTGCATGACGCGTTCCCATTGCTCCAATTCGAGTTGATGAATGCTGTGCTAGAGATACTAAGAGGACCCAGGAGCAATGGCTCTAGCAGGGGCACCCAAGGAGAGCTCAGAGGCAGTGGTGATTTCAGATGTTAAGGGGTAAAGACGAGTTGGGCAGACAGGAGGCGGAAGGGCTTCCAAATTGAGAACCCATTACCTACCAAGAGCGGAGGCCCCAGGAGTGAGTCTGGTTAGGCTGAGAGGAGCAGGAACCTGGGTCAGGGGAAAGGAGGTGCCTGGCACAGCAGATGGGAGATACACAGTGAGGGATTCTGTGACCTTCATTTTCACTTGACTTTACTGTCAAGTAATCGGAGACCTGTTGGGGGTTAAAGTCAGGAAGTGACATGGTAAGACATTTGCATCCAAAAGCTAACACAGGGATAACACGGAGATGGAGTGGAAGGGGACAGCTGGGGTGCGTGTTGATATATTCGGAGCAGCACGGGATCTGGGGAGTGTGTGGCCCGCGAGTGGAGAAGCAGCACGGGCTTGGTCCACGGCACTGGGGTGGAAGGTACACAACTCAGTGAACACCTGAAGGGGTGGAGGATGAGGCTAAGATTGCTGGTTTGGTGATGGAGGGCGGAGCAATTACAGTAATTAGGACAAGAAATACAAGGTGAGGAGCAAAAGAAAGAGAATCCTTTCTGCCTCTTGCCTCGTGAGACAGAGGGGCCTGTTTTACTGTGCCTCATGTGGAAGAAATAGGTGGTGTCTTGCTCTCATCGATCGTCAAAGTCAGAGAATTATAATCTTGGGGAAACGGAAGATATCCACATGAATGGGAAATGCACAGAAACTTCCAAGTAATAGCGATAAAAGGGAAGCTGGAGCAAGTTGACCAAAGCAGCAAACATATGAAAGAGAGGGAAAAAGAGGAAACACACACAAAACTAGTAAATTTAAGCTAAGAGGATGGGAATAAAACCAAGTAAATCAATTCAAACATGAATGTGTATAATTGTTTCTTTCTTGCTAAACTTTGTATTCGATAAAATTTCAACTTTACAGAAAAGACATAAGGCTACTATGATTTCCTGTATAACCTTCATCAGAATAATACATTTTTATCTTGTTATATATATTTTATTTTCTGTACATTTCTTTCTGTACATTTGCAATAGTTTTCTGACCTATTTGATGGTAAATTATAAACAAGGTGACCCTTGACTCTTAAATAGTTCAGTATGAATTCCCTGAAAAGCAGGATTTCCTCTAACATAACCACAGGAAAATTGTCAAAATTAGGAAATTCATAGGCTATTATTATTATTTTGAGATGGAGTTTCACTCTTGTCACCCAGGCTGGAGTGCAGTGGTTTGATCTTGGCTCACTGTAACCTCCGCCTCCTGGGTTCAAGCAATTCTTATGCCTCAGCCTCCTGAGTAGCTGAGATTACAGGCGTGCACCAACACACCTGGCTAATTTTTGTATTTTTAGTAGAGATGGGGTTTCACCATGTTGGCCAGGCTGCTCTTGAACTCCTGGCCTCAGGTGATCTGCCTGTCTCGGCCTCCCAAAGTGCTGGGATTATAGGTGTGAGCCACTGTGCCCCATCATAGGCCATTATTGAATCTAGATTTCATATTGATAATTTACCATTTGTCCCTATAATGTCATTTATAGCAAATTTCTTTTTCCTGCTCAGGATCCACTTCAGGCTCACACATCACTTTCAGTTGTCATACATAATTAATTTCCTCTGTTTGGGAGAACTCCTCAACCTTTCTCTGTCTTTTAAGACACTGGCATTTTGGAGGAACTCTGGCCAGTTATTTCCTAAAGTGACCCTTGGTTTGGGTTTGCATAAGGTTCCTCTGCATTAGATTTGGGTTAGATTCAATTCAATTTTGCAGGACTTTTATGTAAGTGATGTGTGTCCCTCTCTGTGCATCATATAAAAAACACAGAATATCCCCTTGTCTCTTTGCTGGTGAAGTTGCCTTTGATTGCTTCACAAAAGCAGGGTTCACCAGGCCTTTCCACCATAAAGTTACTATTTTCTTCCACTTGTAATGAAGTCATTTGTGGAGAGATGCTTTGGGTATTAGTCCATTTTCATACTGTTATGAAGAAGTACCTGAGACTGGATAATTTATAAAGAAAAAGAGATTTAATGGGCTCAGAGTTCTACATGTCTGGAGAGGCCTCACAATCATGGCAGAAGGTGAATGAGGAGCAAAGGCACATCTTACATGGCGGCAGGAAAGAGGGCATGTGCTGGGGAACCGCCCTTCATAAACCACCAGATCTCATGAGACTTATTCACTATCACAAGAACAGCACAAGAAAATCCTGCCCCCATGATTCAATTACCTCCCACCAGGTCCCTCCCATGACGTGTGGGGATTACGGGAGCTACAATTCAAGATGAGGTTGGGTAGGGACACAGCCAAACCATATCACTTTGGGACCATGAACATGTCATGTTTTTTGGCAAACTTTCACTGACTAATATTAGCAGCCATTGATATGGGGGATGAGCATTGCCTCTGATGGAGTTTGGTGTTGATCTTTCTATATGCAGGCAGTTCCATGTGGTTTCTCTATAGTTGTGCTGAAGGTTTGTGTTATGTGGGATTCTATTTGCCCTGTTTTTTTTTTTTTTTTAATAAAGTATTTTTGGTGGCTGTGGGGGAAGATTCAAATCTAGGTCACTGCTCTTATTCTTGGGCTACACAGAAAAACCATTTTTAGATTGGGTCAAACCAAACAAACACAAATAAACAAAACACTAATAAACCTGGCTATATTATGTCTACAAAAAATAAGCAAAACCAAGTGAGTAAAAAGTGGAAGGTTGAAAATAAAGAAGTTCATGAAGAGATTCCAGATACAAGTAAACAAACAGGAAAGCTATGGAACCAACTTTAACATGAGATGGGGTAGAATTTAATGTTGAAAACTCTAAACAATATACGAGGATTTTATATTAATAGCCAGAGTCCTCGTTTATAAATAAACTGCACCAATAATAAACCATAATACACCAAACAACTTAACATTCAATATGTAACAAAAAAATAAGTACGAACAGAATAGTTATGGTGCAAAGCATGCACAAACATCACTCAATCACATATTTCCACTAGAAAACAAAGAACATAGGTTAATCAAAAAATTTATAGATGTATAAGTAAGTAACAAGACATAGATATAGAGAAATGTATTTTCTTCAGAGAGTGTTTTATAGATGTGCATACTGCATATGGATTATTTGCAAAAATGGATATGTACTTACCTATAAAAGTCATAACTCATTTACAATAGTAGTTTTTTGTAGTTCATATTCTCTAATTATAAGCTAATAAAAGTTAGAAATAAGTGATAAAAGGCAATAAGAATACCTTACTTCTTTCGATATTAGCAACAACTGTTTTAGATAATCGTGAGTTAGAGAAAATCAGAACTGAAATTAAAGTTATTTAGAAAGCCACAAAATAGAATGCTTATATGAAAACTTATGGAACAAAATAAAAATTCTGTATATAAAGACTGCTATCACTATTAAAGAAGATAAACTATAAAAAAGTTTGTATTTATCTCAATAAGTTAGAGAAAAAAATGAAGAAATAAAAAGATACTACAAATAATGCAAAATGAAACGATGCAAACAATGATAAAGTAATTTCAAATCTGGGTTAAAAATCAATACAGTGGACAACCATTCACAAGCTTCATTAAGCACATTACTGGAATCATAAGCATGCGCCTATCGGGGGAAATTAACCCATCATATGAAATGCATGAGCAAGAATGTTGGGGCTGCTAATTTTGTGTCATCTTGCAGCAGTTCTTCCACTCTCAATATAACCTAGGAATCTACCTGGATGCTTTTCAGATGATCTGACTATAAGCATGATTTAATCACACCACAAGCTATCTCCTTCAAAAGCAGTTTGGGGCAAATTGTATATCGTGGAGCAAGTGATTTCCTCCTGTATACTTTTGGCTGTGAAAAACTGAGTCCCAACCTCTGCTCCTCCTATACCTCCTCTCCACTCTTCACACATCCACAGGTGCCCTCCTTCCCTTTCTTGGCCATCATTTCATGGCCAAATCAGGCTGAATGGACGTAGATGGAATACATTTGTTTGAATCCACTCCAATATTCTGAGCCTTGGTTTGAGTACTGCTTGAAAGAATCAGATGTGATATTTCCATGACATTATCATACAGGGAAGTTCTCAGTATGGTACCTCAGAAATTGGTGGCCTGCTTTCATTTAACACAGACGTTTATTTTCCTCATGTACCCAGAGTTAAAAAACAGTACATGTAAATTGTAAAAATGCACAAAAACACAGTCTTCTCATTTCTGCATATAAACTAAAGGAATTTTGTGAAGCTGGATCTTGTAGGCATTATCAGAGAACAAGCCAGTATGCTGATGTCGAGTGGAAGACAGCAAGTATAAGTGCAGCACTGTGAGGTGCCATGGTAGATTTGATGTTGGATCTTCCTGAGTCACAGTTTCAGGAACTTAAGAGATGGAAGAGTGCAGTGTCTCAGGCATGGACTCAGTAACCAGCATGATTGATTCCTGACTTCATTACTAATTAGTTGCATAGCTTTAATCAATCAGTTCTTCTTCCTGAGCCTTGGTTCTTATCTGTAGAAAGGGCATTGTATTAAGCCGTTCTCACACTACTATAAAGAACTACCTGAGATGGGGTAATTTATGAAGAAATTCATAAACCGTGATTCAATCACCTCTCACCAGGACCCTCCTCTGACATGTGGTGATTACAATTCAAGATGAGATTTTGGTGGGAACATAGAGCCAAACCATATCATTCCACCACTAGCCCCTCCCAAATCTCACATCCTTCTCACATTTCAAAACCAATCATGCCTTCCAAAGAGTCTCCCAAAAGTCTTAACTCATTCTAGCATTAACTCAAAAGTCCAAGTATCATCTGAGATAAGGCAAGTCCCTTCTGCCTATGAGCCTGTAAAATCATAAACAAGTTAGTTACTTCCAAGATACAAGGGGGGTACAGGCATTGGGTAAATGCTCCCATTGCAAAAGGGAGAAATAGGACAAAACCAAGAGGCTACAGGCCCCATGCAAGTCTGAAACCCAGCAGGGCTGTAATTAAATTTTAAAAATTTAATGAGAACTCACGCATTATCATGAGAACATCAAGGGGAAAACCCATCCCCAAGACCCAATCACCTCCCACTAGGCCCCACGTCCAATTTGACATAAGATTTGGGTGGGGACACAAATCCAAACTATATAATTCTGCCCCTGACCCCTCCCAAATCTCATGTCTAATTGGAAGAGGAGCTTGCCAGGAGGTTATTGGATTGGGGGTGCGGGGGACATTTTCCTCTTGCTGTTCTCATGACAGAGAGTGCGTTTTCATGAGATCTGATGGCTTAAAAGTGTGTGACACTTCCCCCTTTGCTCTCTCTCTCTCTCTCTCCTACAGCCATATAAGATGTGCCTTGCTTCCCCTTTGTCTTCCACCACGATTGTAAGTTTCCTGAGGCTTCCCCAGACATGCAGAACCATAAGCCAATTCAACCTCATTCCTTTATAAATTACCTAGTGTCAGGTAGTTCTTCACAGCAGTGTGAAAATAGACTAATACAGGCATGATATTAATGCTTTTCTTATATGGTTTCCTTATATAGGAATTAAATAGGTTACAATGTAAAGTACTTAGAACACTGATTGACACACAAGAAGAGCTATGTTTAGCTGTTATTATTTCAAGCTAGATCAGTACTTTGGTAGAGTATAATGTTAATACATTACACATTTGTTATTTCACTTTTATGATGGAGAAAAGATACGGAAAACCCTGAGTCTCAATAAACCAAGATTTTTCTCATGAGGATTATTATTATGAACATGAATTTGAAGAAACAAACTTTGAATACTAATGGTATGAATAGATCAGGCAGTTTTCCCCACAGTAAAGAATAATGAAACTGGACAAAATATTGAAACAATAATTTCAGGGCACTGAGGAATGATCAAATGTAGACAAAAATGTGAGAAACACTTTCCCAGGAAAAACTGCTACCGTATTAGGTTAAAATGATGAGTGTGTAGCATTCTTGCCTATGGACCTTTTCATCTCGTTCTGGAAGCGGAAATCCAAGCTCTATCACTCATGGATGGCAAACTTGGCTTGAGATGATGACAGAGAAGCTATAAATTTAGTTGGAGATTTTGGAAGCAAGAAAGCATACAAGGAATGAGACAATAAACTCAATGCACATCCATGGTGACTGCTGAATTCCATGTGCAGGTGCAGACAGAAAGAGACTGGCATAAAACAAAATCCTGGGGAGACTTACGAATTTGATCCACTCTTGAGTGTGTTCCCCAACCCACATCAAGCTAGCAGCCAAACATGGAAGTCTGGCTAGCTTGCGATGAAGAGTAACATCTGCTCAAATTATTATCTGACCACTAAGCTACTCAAGTACATGAGAGAACCGTATGGGTTCAGGCTCAAAACTGTATGAACAGAAAAAGTGGTGATGGCAAGGGGATAGATTTCAAAGTTTGTGTTCAGGTAAATTAATTATCTATTAAAACAAATAACCAAAAAACCTCAAAGGCAAAATAGAATCCAAAGTTGCTAAAAATGTGTTCTCTATAATGTCCAATTTCAAAGCAAGAATTACTAGGTGTTCAAAAACAGAAAAAATAAGTCACATGCTAAGGGGAAAAAAGCTATTGATAAAAAACATCTAATTCAGATTCAGACTCTACTGGATTTAGCAGACAGATTTTTAAGTTACTATCATCTATATATTCTAATATTTTTAAAAAGTACAAATAACTAAAAGAAAATATGCTAATAATATGTAAACAAATATGGAACCTCAAGAGAAAAATGGAAACTATTTTTTAAAAAATAAATGAAAATTCTAGAACTAATACATACAATAATTGAAATAAAACACTAGATGGATTTAATAGCAGATTTAATATGTAAGAAGAAAGATTTAACTTGAAGAAATATCAATAGAAATCATTCAGTGAAAAAACAGAGAGAAAATATTTAAAGACCAGTAAACATTTTCTCAGCTCTCTGGGATAATAACAAGCATTCAAACATATATGTAATTGGAGTCCAAGAAGAAAAAAGAGAGAAAGAGAGAGTCAGAGAAAATATTTTAAAAACTAAAGGGTGAAACTTTCCAAAGTTGGTGAAAGATGTAACTTACAGAATGTTAGTGAACCTAAAATGGAATAAATGCAAAGAAAACAAAACCTACACAACACAACAGTCAGAATGATGAAAGTCAAAGATAAAATCTTGGAAGCAACAAGAAAAAAGTTGACTTATCACACACAGTGGAACAATGAAGTTAACACCTGACTTCGTCTCATTATAAACAGTGAAGGTGAGAAGACATTTGAATGGTATATTCAAAGAGCATACTGAAAGAAGAAAAATCAAAAACCCCTGAAAAATCCATCTGGCAAGAACTCAATATCCAGCAAAATGATCCTTCAAAAAAAAATGCACTCTCAAGAAAGTAACAGAAAATATATTGCTAGCAGAACTTCCCTACACGAACTGCTAAGAGAAGGCCATCAAGCTGAGTGAGTATCTCTAGATGGTAACTTGGAGGTAAAAGTTAGAACGAAGTACACCAGAAAAAGTAAATATGTGGGCAAAGCTGAAAGAGATGTTTCTTCGTTTCTCCCTCTTAATTTCTTTAAAAGACATGTGGCTGTTTAAAATTGTGACACTGTATTTTTGGAATCAACATGTATGTATATGAAATATGTATGACAAGAATCTCACAAAGAAAAGAAAGGGTGTAATAAAGCTATAATATAATGAAACTATAATATCATTAAGTTTCAGCATTTTACCAGAAATAAGTTAATATTAAGTTAGATTTTGATAAGCTAGAGCAACCACTAAAAACATGTACAGAAACATAGCTAAAGAGTAAAAAATAATTAAAGTATGTACTAAAATATTTGTTTAAAACAAGTGAAATTAGTAAAATAGGATCAGAAGAACAAAAAGAAAATCACCAAATGGCAGGTACAAATTCAGCCCTGTCAATATTACATTAAATGGGAATGGAGTGAACAATTGAATCACAGTTAAAAATTATCAAACTGGATGATACAGCAAGATACAGCTATATGTTACCTAAAAAAGATGCACTTTACATTCAAAGACATACCTAGGATGAACATAAAAAGATGTAAAAATATGTACCCTGAATATATTAACCACACGGCAAATAGAATAGCTATTTAAATATCAGGCAAAATATATCTTAAGGCAACACTAGAGACAAAAATAAGCATTTCATAATGATAAAAGGGAAACTAGAACAGGAATATATAACAATTATATTTATGCGCCTAAAAACAGATACCCATAATAAATAAAGGAAAAACTCACAGAATTAAAAGAGAACTAGACATATTAGCTATTATAGTTGGAGACTGTAATATGTCTCTATCAGTAACTGATAGAATAAATCCATACATATAGAGAAGGCGAACAGCACTATCAACTAACGACTTAATTAAGATGGATAAAATACCCTACCCAATAACAGAAGTATCTACACACTTTTCAAGTTTGACTAGAGTTATCACCAGGATATACCTTATGCTGGACCATAGATAAAATCTCAATGAATTGATCTATATATGTATTGTTATGGCGATACTTTATTCTCTTGCTTACTATGATTTTATGGCGAATTTTGAAATCAGATAATTAGTCCACTGATTTTGTTCTTTTACTTTAAAATTATTTGGTTACTCTAGGTCCTTTGCATTTCCATATACAATTTCAATCATTTTGTCAGTTTCTATAAAATGCCTCCTGGGATATTGATAAGGATTACGTCATAGCTATAGACCAATTTGAGGAATATTCCTATTGAGTCTTTCAATCAAAGAACTCAATACATCTCCATTTATTAATTTCTGTTAGTTATTTTGTGGATTTTAGTGAAAAAGTTCTGCAAATATTTTGTCATATTCATTCTTCGTTATTTTTTATGTTATTGTAAATAGATTTGTCTTTTAAAATTTCAATTCTGAACTTTTTGTCTTCTAGTGCAGAAAAATATAATTTTTTATATCAACTTGTATCCTGTAATGTTGTTGAACTCCCTTATCTGTTTTACTGCTTTTACATTCTTTAGGACGTTTTGTATTCAGAATCATGTTGTCTGTAAGTAGAGGCTACTTATTCCTTTCTAATCTGTATGTCTTTATTTTTTCTTGCTCAATTGCTCTAGCTAGTACATCCTATACAACGCTTAATAGAACTGATGAATGTGGACATCTGTGTCTCATTTGTGGTCATAAGACCATTAGCCTTTCTCTATCAAATATCTGATTAGCTGGAGGTTTTTCACAGATGCTCTCAGGTTGAGGAATTTCCACTCCTAATTTCCTGAAAGTTTTTTTCATGAGCGGGTACTGAGTTCTGTGCAATACTTTTTCTGCAAGGGGGATCTGAGGGAAATTTGGGGGATGATGTGGCTGCTTTAAAACTTGATTGTTGTGATGATTGCACAACTGTGTACTTTTATCATAACTCAGCAAACTGCTCATGCAAATTGAGTGAATTTCCTTTTGCATAAAATACACTTCAGTGAAGCCATGTAAGAGTATTTCTGATGGGGGACAGATCAGCAGGGGATGGCTTTATTCAGCAATAATAGTGATAGCAGTTCTAATAATCGCAGTTACTTAGTGGGCCATGCAGTAGGTATTAGCTTCAGTCCTAGAGTTGTCCCCACAGGAGGCAGCATGTTGTGCCTGAGGGCAAACAGCTGGACCTGCTGGCTGCTGGTGTGCCCGGTGGAGCACTTCCAGTACTGTCTCCTAAAAGGGAGGCTAAATTTCTATTGCCCTGAAGTTCTATACTTCAGGCATATAGATGTCTGAAGTATAATTACTTTTCATGAAAAGTAATTATAACAATAATTTATTTATTCCTCATAGACTATAAGCTACATGAGGTTGTATGTGTATACTCACAAATGCATGCATTTGTATCTTCACAAATTTTTTTGCATTTATCCCAATGCCCTGTAAATAGTGTGTAACGAATACCTGTTTAACAAATGAATGCATTAATTATTTCTAAAAAGCCAATCTCAAAATTTTGACAAGTGCAAAACAGGAAATGTATGACCTAGTATCCTGTACTTCTAAGATGGCAGGCCCTCCCGCTACAATTGCTTTGTCTTCCTTTAGTACAATATCCCAAACTATCGGCAGAGGCCACATCATGAAGCTTCTCCTTCCATTTTCTCCCTTATTGGACTAACGCCATTCTATTGACAATTTTAAACAATCCATGTTGTGTCGTAGTGGATAAAACTGAGTGGAGCTGCACCAAATCCCAGCTTCAGCATGGTGTGATTTTTGAATAAAATGGTTTAACTTCTAGAAGTTTTAGTTGGTTGCTTACAAGGTGGGAATCACAGTAACTCACTTGCAAAAAAAAGGCAGTGCATAACGTAGGGTACCTGGCAAAGTACCTGGTGCAGAGTTCTTGCTCCTGTGTGTGACAAGCGTGTGTGTGTGTGTGTGCATGTACCATTAGAGTAACCACCACCTCCTCAACCATTTAAATGGTTTGCAGACTGCAAGCTTTCTGGTCTGTAAAGAATTTATTCTCAGAAGATTCAATGCTCTGAGTTGCAGCTATCTGGCAAACAAACCTCAAAATTAAAAAAGGGTAACAATCAGTCATTCACTATCATTTAGACCAAGTATCCAAAGGACTAGGAGGCGTATCCAAAATGTCCACTTTTATTTTCATCTGAATAAACATCCATAAGTAGAAGGAAAATATTTGAATGTGCTTGTGACTTTAGGCATGAACTAAATCTCTCCTTAATTTCACCTATGCAGCATCTGAAAGTCATCTTTGAAAGGAAAATGTTTTTCTGTTTAATGAACTGTCTGTACTGTGGGGCTTGTGGCAGGGAGGCCCTTGCTCTGAGCTGCTTTGGAGAGGAGGCACCGGGCACTGCCAGCTGTCAGGTCCTCAAAGGCTGCACTGCGCTTCCCCTTTTTGATTATTTTATCTCCAGCTCCAGCCACAAAAGAAGACTGTCCCATTGATTGAATGATTTATAGTATTTCTTCAGGGGATTTACAAAATTTGTGGGGAATATTTTTCAAGGTTTCTCATATTTCAGACAGGCGGCAGTCTATTTTTAACAATTAATTCAGGTGTTCTCCTGATTTCTGCCCCTCAAAGGAACTGAGTTCTGTTTGTCTTGCTTTTCTGGACCAGGTGGGGTTCCAAAGCGCTGGCCCAGGACCCTGGGCTTGCATTCTGTTGAGCGAAGTGAATTAGCAGGAAACTCACCTGCCTCTTATAATGAAAACAATGTTGTGTATTTCTCTGGAGTCCAATAGGGATTACTTTTGAGCGATGGGATTGGGAAGAATAATTTTTATTTTATTCTTCTCTTTCCAAAGTCTCTATAGTGAACATGTTTTACTTCTGTAACAAAAATAAGTACTTTCATTTTCCTAAAGATAGCTATTATAAAGTTATGGACCTCGATCACTGATAAATAAATTGAAGACTTAGAACATGTTAAAATTGTGCTTTGACATTATGTCCCACAGATCAATTAAAGACACATTAGGCCTAATTTTGTATTCTAAGAACTTCAAAAATATGTGTAAATACATAAAACATCAAAAAAGGCTTATGACACTTTAGAAAACTAGTGAATTCAGAGACAAGGGAGACATATGGTGTTTTTATACATAAATAGCAAAGTTTTAAACTTATATTGCTTTTATTTGCAGATCAATTTGGATTTCAATATAATATGCAAATTGAAAATGCAGGTATTTTAGAGGGATTATCTTCTCACATTTTTATAGCATAATAAATCACTTCCAAATCCTTTCTAATGAATTTACTACTTGTTCTAAACGTAACTATATTGGCGTAGAGCCAGTGGAGGGTTATTTGAGAATGTAGTTTGTGCTGTGCAATGGCACAGGGAACAAGAGGGGGTGTTGCATGGAGGAGAGGAAGGGGTTGGGGGCTGGGGGATAGTGGAGCTTTGCTGTTTGATACAGGTTTTTCTTGCTCATCGGGCCACTTTCAAAAAAACAACAGGCAATCTGCCTGGCTGGGCAACTGGGTGGCTGATGGCCCCTCGCCCCCACGTGTCCCAGCAGATACCTTTTAAGTCTTGCAGTTTCTATACTGGCAAAGCCCCGTCGAGGCGGGCGGGAGGAGGCTGGAAGTTTAGGTCTTTCGAGTGAGGGAGCTGGTGCGTCGGAGGGGCAGGGAACCTCCTTCGGTTCTCAAAGGAGAGCCGGGGAGCAAGGCCCTGGCAGCTGGGATGGCAGAGCCAGGCCAGCCGCTATTCTTCACATTTCCTGCCAGAGAGCACGCTGCAAGCTCTAAAGATGTTCAGACTTCACATTTTTCCACTTACAAATATGGATGTGGCTTTCGCACTCTCATAGTGACACCCTTTTATTCGCGCCCATTTTTTGGATTTCCACCATCACAGCGGCTGAAATCTGGGCTAAGGGGCTGAAGAACATGCAGAGCCTGGAGCAGGAAGGAAAGTGTCTGAAAATGAGCTGAGGAGTCTGACCCAGGGGCTGCCGCTGACAGCCTGTGCGGACTTAAGGCTCATTTTTTAGAGGGGTTCCCGGAGCGCACTCTGAGCGCTGGGAGGCCTCCAGGGGAGGTCACTGCTGCCCCTGCTCCCCCAAACCCTGGCCGGGACATTTCTCTGAGCGGATGGAGTCCTATGGGTCTGCTGTCATGGGCACTCCACACACTGAGCTGGGCATGAGCCAGCGGGGTCGTGCCAAGACGTCATCACCTGGCAGGTGAAGGACAGTCTCACAGTATCTGGTCTCACAGCAGCTTCTCCAAGGAGACTGGGGAGCTTCTAGCACATCTGGCCCACCCGCAGGTGTGTGTGTGGTGGAGGGTGTCTACCTCTAGGTGGAAATGTCCTGAGCGGCACCCGGAGTACCTAGGTGAACAGTCACAGTCTCATCTCTAACGCGTGGACTGCGTCCCGTACATTTCCAGAACACAGATCTGGGTGATGGGACTGTTGCCACTGGGGTGGCCCGGTGGGCATTAGAGCCTCTCCTGTTCCTCCTTTTGTTGCCAGTTAAATATGCTGCCTGCTTCCTCAGAGGGGCCATGTCCCATCAGAACTCATGCCTCATCGATTCTGTTTCCCAGGGAGTGGACCGTGGAGGGATGGGAGCTTCAGGGGACACAGGAGGCCGGAGGTTGGCAAGAGTCACAACAGCCCCACCTGCCCAAAGTCAGGGTGTCTGACACAACAGTGGTTTCATAGCAGCTATGTGGCTGATGGAAAGTTGAGCCTGCGCACTGTGGAGTGCCTCATTCCCTCCACCGCTCTGAAATCAGGCAGTTCTGGGATCCTGGCCTTGGGCAAGTTCCACAATCTCACTGAGCCCAGCTCTCCTTATCACTGAAATGGAGTTTGTAGCGGTGGCTGTGCAGGGGCTCCCGCGAATCACGGAGGTGATGTGCACATCACCAAGAGCAGTGACAGGCACTTTGAAGACAGCTAGCCCCGAAAACATGTCTCTAACTCCAGGCTCCCTCCCAGCCAACTCGGCAAGTCTTCCTGAGGATGTCAGCACAGATCCCATGGAATATGTCCAATCCTTCTTTCTCCCTGCAACCTGCTCCCATCCTGTCTTCCCTAACTCTGGGTCCTAATCGGCTTGGGCTACTATAAGAGCCCAATAACAAAATTCCATGGACTCAGCGGCTCACACAGTAGACATTTATCTTTTGCAGCTCTGAAAGCGGGAGGTTTGGAGGCCCTGGCAGATTGGGTTCCTGGTGAGGGTCCACTTCCAGGCTTGCAGAGGACGCCTCTTGCTGTGTCCTCACAGGAGGGTGAGAGCACACTCTGGGCCCTCTTTCTCCTCTTAAAAGAGCACTCACCCTGTCAAGCGTGCTCCACTCTCATGACCTCCTCTGAACCTAATCACCTCCCAAAGGCCCCACCCCAAACACCATCACATTGGCGGTGCAGGCTCAGCATGTGAATTCGGGGAGGACAAAACTTTCAGTCTATAAAAAATAGAGTGTGGCCGCAGTCTCCAGGAAACCAGAGGACTCCAAGTCCTGCAATCCGTTGCACAGGACCCCCGTGTTCAGCAGATCCTGGACTTTCCATGTCAAGCCTGAGCCACCTCCTCCCCTGCGGCTCCCTGCACTGGGCTGCCTTCTCCCTGTCACCTGGAACACTGCCAGGGCCTCCTCACCTGGTTTCAGGCCCCTGCCCACTGCTACCTGCCTTGAGTGACAGCCCTAGGTCCTGGCTGCTTCCCTGTGGGTGGTGGAATAAAGCTGGAGCTCTTTAGGAAGATCAAGAAGGTCCTGCCTCAGACCAACTCTCTTGCAGCACTCGAAGCCTCTCCTATCACCTGAGGCCTTCGGGCCGTGGACGCCCCTTCCTTCACGGTCTCCGAGCTCCTCCAGGAGGCACCTGCCCCACCGATGGCTGCTTTTCCACTTTGTCTCCTCCTCCCCTGCTGGCCTCCGAGGGCCTTCGGGCTGGCTCTGTGTCTGTGAACACATGGTCACAGGGCACTCAGCACTAGCATGCTCAGGAAATGCTGCAGAGTGGAGCAGTTAATAGATTTCCCAGCAGTGCTACTCTCACAGTGGAATCCAGGCTCTACAGTGAAAATCCTTGAAGGACTTTCGAACCCACATCCTGAGGGGCAGCTGGTGGGGTGGATCGCTGCACAGAGCTATGCCAGGCACCTCTTCTGATTACTGCTTCAGCAACAGTGTGGATGGCAGCACATCCCAGATAAGCATTAACAGCACATTCCCACCACCCAAGAGGCAGACAGGAGAATGGGCAGAGCCTTCACATACCTTGTTCCAAGGTATGAGCTTGGCTCTGGAGTCCGCCCTGTGGGTGGCAGGAGGGCTACTCTCTTGACTCCTCTCTCTGGGGAGTGCAGTGAAATGTGGTCAGCACAGAAGGACTGATGGCCACCCAGGCTGGCAGCAGGGACAGGGAGATTTTATTGCAAAGCCTAATAAAAAGAAAAGAGTCCAGTGAGATGATTAAATCTATAGACAGTTCAGAGCTATATTAAGACCTCTGCTTTCTCTTCACATAGAGAATGTAAGTTCCTCTTGCAACTGTTTGTTTCTTTTGTCCCGCAGGAATACAGAAAATAAATATAATAGGAAAAGAGGAAAAGCGAAGCATTTTCCAAGGAACATGAAGAAACTGCAAACGACATGATATTTGCAATGTTAGCCCTTCTGGCATGACGTTTTTATTTTGCTATTTGCCTATTACATCTGAAAACAAAAACCCAGTGTACACCGTGACTTCCATGCTGAGTGTGGCCTTTCACGGGAGCTCTAGGGTGCATGGAGGTTTACCCAGCAGCCCCCAGGCCAATGTGGTGTCCAGGACTCAGTGGCTGTGAGGCTGGGGTAGGGGCTGAGGGTGACTCCAGGCAAAGTACATTCCTCAAAGAATAGCCTTTTCAGTGCAATGGGTGGGGACTGAGCCACAGCTCCTCAGATGAGGCTGGGGCCCAGAACAGGGCACCCTTGCCCACCCCTGGTCGGTTTGCTTTGAAAAGACATTATAAGGAGGTGGCCACACTCTTTTTTATGTTTATTTATTTTTTTTCCTTCCTCAAACTCAGCTTAGGGACAATGGGACAAGCAAGCCGAGAACTGATGAGTTCCAAATCGCTGAGGCCTTTAGGATGCAGACTGATAGATAAATGTAACATTCTTCAGGTATACTTTAATGAATTAAATTTTCAAGTAAATTAAAAAAAGACAAGTTACATAAAGATTATACTAGCTCAAATCATGAAACAGTTTTCTGACGAGAGCATCTTCCTAAAGCTTTGCCCTAGGCCTGGGGTGATGGGGCAGGGCCTCCAGGCTCCGAATCTCTTCCCTCTAGGATAAGCCTTGAGACCTCAGAGTTGGTTGGTGCAGTGACCTCTGGTCACTGGGGGCAGGAGATGTCATGTGCAGAGGGAGGAATATCCATAGGCATGTGTTTGCTGAATACCTAAATTTGCACTTCAGTTTGAGGCAACTGAAATTCACTTAACAAGAGGTGGCAGGGCAGCAGAAGGAAGTTGAGGTGGCACAGGAAAGGTGGGAGCATGAAAGGCCGCGACCAACCACCTGTCCCTCTCCCCACCCACAGCGACCTGCTCTGCAATAAAGCAGCGCAGGCACTGGAGAGAGGGAGAAGTAGCCAAGCATTCCCTTTGTATCTCCTCTAGTTACTTGCTCTCCTCCCCCACTCAAATCTTCACAACATGGTTTCTAGAATTTTCCATGCAGCAATGTCTCTTGCTGCCGAGACCAGCATTTCACATCATTTTCCAGGTGTCTTGTTCAATCTCTATTCAGAATGGAGAAAATGGCAGACAGCTTCTCAGCAAGTGCCACAGCTTGCAATTTTGCAGAGCAAAGAAAATGAGATTAGAGCCTAATGTGTCTAGACAGCATATTTAAACAACCAGAAAGGAAACACAGATATCTCTGGCTCACAATATTGGTGCTACGTGGTTTTGTGCTCTCTGCTCCATTTTCCTTCTTGACTTTCCCTAAAGGGAGCCAAGATGCTCGGCGTGCGTGTCTTGCGGCTCTTGTTTTGTCTGCTTATTAGTGCTGGATTGAATCAATTCACCAGCATCTAAGAATCAGCACTTCTGTGACTTAAAGCCTATCTTCCTATCACCCAGAATGTGCCAAGAACATGCAGAAAATCTCTTCTTTCTGGACATCACCTACTGATGATGACTTCCTTCGTTTATCTGTAACAACTCATCCTTAATTTCTTAAAATATGGAAAAAGAGTTACTATATGTAATCAAAAGTATCTGAGACCGGTCTCAATCAATTTAGAAAGTTTATTTTGCCAAGGTTAAGGACGCACTGTGACATATATACACTACATATGTATGTGAAAGGAAAATAAAGATACTTGGAAACATTGGTTCATTCTTTCATATATATATATATGAAACAAATACAATTTGTCCACAAGGAAATTCTTTTCATATATATAGATATGAAAGAATGAGCCAGTGTTTCCAAGTACATGTTATATAGGAAGAAACGTAACTATTTCATGCAAAGTGGAATAAGCTAGTATGGTGCATGTAACAAGGACAGAGAGGCTTCGAAAGAGGAGGAGGGTCAGACAATGGTGTCTATGTCTGTGGAGGACATTGAAGTGGGAACATTCACCGACCACAGGATGGTGAAACCAGGTGCTGAGCAGAAGGCTGTAGTTACCTCCTTTCAAAATATTTTTATTCATAGAGAAATAATTTTTCTAAGGGAAGCACTAACTGAAGACAAAATACAAAACCCATAGGGGACGCACCCACAAATCATCTGCAGTCTCACAACCGTGCAAGCCTCCCATCTGTCCTCTTGCTGGCCCCCACCTCTCCACAGCAGAACGTCTTTTCACCTCTACTTGGCCAAAACCCTGGGTGCTTAACTTGGAGAAATAGCTCATCCCATCTGGCTGAACCTTTCAGCAGATGAGGACAGAGAACACCACCAGAAATAGAAGCATTGAGAACATTTTGGGAATAATGAGAGGGAGAAATTCAGATAGAAAGATATTTTTCAATCCTGTGGTTATTTTTAATGCATCTTTACATTCCTGCAAACAAAACTGAATGGAATTATATTCCCTCATAGAGAAGAGTTCAAAGGAAAATATTAGACCAAAACAAGTAATACGACCAGTTCTGTCAAGCAGATTGAATTGCAAACATTCACTTTAAGATGTTTGTGAAGAATTTTGGTCAATTATCCTAAAATGAAACAATGACAGCTGAGCAAGAGGAAGTTCTCCAAGGCATCTGAAATGCTGTCCCATCCGCCCAGGGACAGTGTTTTTTGAGGAAACCCATAAGTTTCCATTCCAAAGGCCATGAATTTATTTTCAAATTGGGGAGAAAGCATCTAAGAATGGCGCTGGCATCAATTTTGTGCCAGCTCTCTACATCTTCATTATTCTTTTCTTAAAGGCATTTTGAATCAGGATGTGGGACAGGATGGGGGGTTTTAGATGGGATTTTCCTGATGCCTGTTGAAAATATTTTACTCTTTCATTCAGTTAAATGCTGGTGAGGCAAGGACTACCTGAGTGATGTGATGGTGTTGGACAATCTGGACTCCTTCTTAGATTTTTCTCAATTATAATCACAACCCTAAAGTCATAGCTCATTCCGTCTCCCTGCCCACTGTGCACGATGTTTTGCATCCTGTTAGAGGTTTAGATCTTCAATTTCAGCACTGGTATAGCTCCTTTTCCCATCCATGAGCACAGCAATTCAGGTGCACTGACTAGAGAGTACTGGATGGATACATGTCTAGCGTCTTATGTTACATAAATAAGTCATTGAAAGAGATGCAATTACTAAAGCTAGAGATAAAAACATGTGTTTTCCAAATAAATGGGAAGAATAAGGACTTTATAATCAGCTGGACTGGAATTTAATCCTCAGTTTAATCCAAGGCTCTGAGAGTTCTCTGTACTTCCCCTTTCCTTATTTTCTAGACAGAGATGATGACGTCTACCTTTCAAGGCAGATGTGGAAATTGCACATCACAAGACAATTGTTGCACATAATAACCATTGTAAAAGAAAACTTCTGTTACACAGAGCTGAACTAATTATTTAAAACATGGTTGGAAGAGTGCTTATGTATTAAAATTAGATTGAAGGAGACAGGTATTTCTGGGAACCTGACCTTATAAAAACCTGAGCATCTAACAATTGTAATGGTAGCTGCCACTTACATAGAGCTTTCAAATAGCTCTAAGCAATTTGCAAATGCTTACCTACTTATTTCTTACCCACCCTGTGAGACAGGTAATAGTATAATTTCCAGTTTATAGATGGCGTAACTGAAACAGGGAAGTTCTAAAACATTCCAAAGTTCACGCATCTGCCAAGAGGGACTGGGATTTGAACCAAGGCAGAACGGCTTCAGAGTTCACACTGCTAGGCACTGTGCTGTACCGCCTGCAAAAAACAAACAAACAAACAAACAACAACAGAAAAACTAAGAAACAGGCAGAAATGTTGGATATATTTTAGTAAATATACTTTTAAATATATAGAAAATACATCAGGAAAGCATGAGAAACGTCCAGCAATGCCAAAATTTGAGAAAGCCTTGAAAAGAAGGGTACGGGCAGCAGCTTTCACTGCAGTTTCCTGTTAGGCACAGAAGACAGGTAAAGAAGGCTGGGGGTGGGAGTGACAAATCTGTGTCATCAAAGCCATGGGTCTACACAAGCTCTATGGCATAAAATTATGACCCTCAAAGGACTACATATTCAATGAAAAGGTGGAGAAGAAAAATGCTGATTAGTTCAAAAAGCAAACAACTTTAGTTTTCTTGCCTATACCTGAGTCTTGGAAGGAAAATGGTACTTCCAGAGAACATGTAACAAGGGCCTACCAAGCAGCTGGAATGCATGTCACCTATGCATCAGGGTAATGAATTGTCAGAAACATGGCACACAGCTGGAATACCCTCATGGCAACCAAAAAAGAAACACAGAACCACCCTTTAGGGACTCACTTGAAACCCACTCTACCCAAGAAGGCTGAGGTGGGATGGTCACTTGAGCCCAGGAGTTCAGGGCTAAGTGAGCTGTCATTGTGGCACTGCACTGCAGCCTGGGCAACAGAGTGAGAGCCTGTCTCAAAACTAAATAAATAAAAATAATATAAATTACCTTAAAAAATAATGTTGAAAATTATTGAGGAGATTTTTTAAAAGTGTAGGGTTTGTGATGGAAAGGCAGGTTACTATGAAAAAATGAGGATAAAAAAAGAATTAAAGATCACTTCTAGAAATTAAAAGTATGATTTTTTAAAAAAGCAAAAAAAATGTTGAACAGCACATTTAATACATTTGAAAAGAGAAGAATTTATTGGAAGACAAATATGCAGAAATCACCCAGAATTAGACATGAAGAGATGTAGTGATAGTTATTTAAGGAAATGACTGAATACAGCTTAATGGGAGAAAGTTGAACACATTTCTGATTGGGAGAATTTGGGGCCAGAGTCAATTTTCCAAAAGTAGTGGCAAAGATTTTTTTTCAGGCCTGAAGAGAGACCGGTTGAGGATCATCCCAAGTTCTGAACAGAATAAATAAATAAAGCGTACACACACACACACACACACACACACACACACACACACACACACGTGTTGCTGTGCAATTTCTTAACACCAAACAGAGGAGAAAAGCCTTGAAGGCAAACAGAGAAAAGAGAGATTACTCATAAAGGAATGACAATTTCACTGACATCAGGGTCTTCCTCGTAACAAAAGGAGTTTTCTTCAAAGTGCTCAAGGCAGATAATTGCCAATTTAGGAATCAGAAAAGTCAAGACACAGGGAAATGATCAGGAACGCGCTCTCACTCAGTGGCTTTTGGTAACTGAAGGAAATCAGTGATGAAGAATTGAATTCAGAATAAAGGAACTGGATGCTGGAAGCAGCAGTGAGCAATAAAACTGGGTAGAGACGCTGGCTAATCCAGACAAGCATTAACTGAATAACATACCAATGCAATTCAGTGAGTTCACGTCTTCAAGTACGAAAATCATCACGCCAGACTCCTTCACACGCCCACAGTGGCCTGCAGAGGCGGCTCCTTGCCTAGCTGGCTAACATCATCCCCTGCCTGTTCCCCTTCATTTACTTGGTGCAGCCACACAGGTGTCCCAGCTATTCCACTAATGAGCCGCGGCACTTCATGCATTTGCTTACACTGTCTAAGTTTCCTCAGCTAGACTGTGGGTATCATAACAACGGCTCACAGAATGTTGAAGGGAATAAACAAAGCTTCTGAAAGTCCTTTAACCCACCCCACAGCACCGAGTGCACAGCAGTCTGCATCTGACAGTTTCCTCAAGAGTTCTAAACTACAAAGATTTTATCCGCAGAGATGCAGACAGGCACACAATGCTCACTCCATTGCTGCCTGATAGGTAGGGTCTCGGTATTACTGAACACACTAGGTAGCTTTGTCTTTTGCATGCGTGAAGGGCCCTCCAGAGACTGCCCAGTAAATAGCGGAACTATCCACCTTGCTTTAAGAAAACCTGCTGTCTGAAAGTCTAAACTGTTAAAAACATTGATCTGCACTGGATTACTCTCAGTAATAAAACATTACCTGCAAGCTTACTCTGAATACCAGCCTCTCCTAATGCATGGCATCAAAGCCATACATCCAGATATTTTCTCGTGCAAATTTTAGAGACATGTCTATTCATTAGAATGAGACCATTCTCTGAAAGTGAGTTTACAGAGGCTGATATCCCGCATTAATGCACCAGAGAGAGAAGTCATCTGCAGTGAATTTGAAAAGTTCTCACAGGAAAGCAAAACTGGCACCATCTCCTTTCTCACCAACTTTCATTCCATGGCCGGGCACGGTGGCTCATGCCTGTAATCCCAGCACTTTGGGAGGCCGAGGCAGGCAGATCACGAGGTCAGGAGATCGAGACCATCCTGGCTAACACGGTGAAACCCCGTCTCTACTAAACACACACACACACACACACACACACACACACACGCACGCACACAAAATAATTAGCCGGGGGTGGTGAAGGACGCCTGTAGTCCCAGCTACTCAGGAGGCTGAGGCAAGAGAATGGCGTGAACCCAAGAGGCGGAGCTTGCAGTGAGCAGAGTTGGCGCCACTGCCCTCCAGCCTGGGCTACAGAGCGAGACTCTGTCTCAAAAAACAAACAAACAAACAAAAATTCCTAGTAATGAATGTGGCATTTCTACCATGCAGATTATTGCACTTATGCTGTTGCCTGAGCTTGCTGCAGCACATATTTTTCCCTTAGTAACTCCTCTGTCATGACATGGAACTTACCTTGTTTGAAATAACAAATACCCACAGTAAAGCCATGTCATGCTAATTTTACTCTTTTGAGGTTTGGAAGAAAAATGGATTCAGCACAACTTTCCGAGATTTAATAGATGAGTAAACACTTTCATTTCTACAAGGAATAATTTTAGATAATGATTAACATTTATTAAAAAGGATCATTTGACATGAACTAGAAAATAAGAAAATGATATACAGTACGGGGAGATTATCAACATAGGTTGGCAGAGAGAGCGTATAGGTAGCTGTGGTTTTCTCTTCTTCTGTGTTTATATTGAATTTCTATAATTACAGAGAGGTTTAGATTCTCTTACTCTCTCTCCCTCTCTCTGACACACATGCAGGTACACACACACACACACACACACACACACAAACACAAATAGGTTACTTATTTTGAAAAAAAGAAAATGTATTCATATGATGAAACTATAACTTAACTTACAAATGCAGTGATGTCTTGGCCATTGTCTGCTAATTTAGAAGTTTTGATTATTCAACAGGATTAGGCACTCTCAGGGAAGAAAGACATTGCTAGCAAAATAACTATGCACATAAATTTGTACGCATAAGATAAGAATTTTTTTTCAGAGTCCCTCAAGCATATTTAAATTATCTATCCAGTGGCTTGTCAACAACTGATATATGCTAGTTAAAATAATAAATCAAAGCTCCTTGTTAAAACATCAGCCAATGTAGTTTACATTTCTTTAAAAACATTCAATAACTCAAACTCTTCATTAATTTCTTTAATTAGATCCCACTGACTATAATTAACTTACACACATGTAAACACACATCTACACAAAGGTGTATAAGTTACCTGAAGAATGATTTCTGAATCTCTAACTTATGATATTTCATTGGTCTGAACTTGAACCATCTGTATATTACAATTATATTATTATTTCTTTCACTGTTAATCCAAAATTCTTCTATCTCCTTGCTTTAGGCAGAATATCCCATTTCTATTGTTTGGTTACAGGATACAAGAGCTTTTTAATTTTGATTTTTTTGACACACCAAAGAAGCAAATCTCTTCTTTTTTCCATATTTCAAGGTATGTAAAGTATTGGATTTGACACAGTGATGGATTTCAGGAATACTATTTGGGAAAAATGCTAATAAAAGACAGTATTATGGAAGCAGAGGTGTCATTGGGAAGCCCATATGTGATTTCCAACTAACGCAGGTAGCTCTTTCTGTAAAAGTTTTATCGCTTAAGTAAGATGTAATCAGAAGACAAGCACATAACTTTACAAGAGCAAGTTTATTTTACACTTAATCCAGATTCTCAATTCTGGGGGAGAACAGTTGCTTGAAGTTCAGGTGAGTTGCTGAGGAATTTTTCTACAGCTTGAAATTACCATCGTACTATTCCTATTTGCTCTTTTAAGATAGCTAATTGTTACTGAGAGATTTTCAAGGTTAACGCAATCCATTGAGTCATGATTCACTCACAAGGAACAATCCAGGAACTCTGTATTTAGCAATTAGAAAATTAAGGTTTGTGTGATACTGACTAGTGATTTGAAGACTGACTACCTGTCCTCAGGTGTGTAAGACTAAAACCCATGAAAAATTTAAAAGCTAAGAGTGTGGGCAACAGACAAAAAGAAGAAGGAAGCTAGCCATGGAACTACCAAGAAGCAAATGCTATAAAAGAGAAATGCTCCACAACTAAATGGTCTGTAGGGGAAAGCAGGAGCTCTTTCTCTTGTCTACTTAATAAGAAAGGGATAGCTCACCATGAGCCCAAACAGTAGAAACCAGAGGAATGAGACTGTGGAAATGTGTGAGCCTGATGAGGTTGATACTTGTCTGCATTTCATCAATAGGACATCATAAAATGTCATTGAGAATTTTTTGGAAAAATTCTTTGTTTTTGTTTGGAAAGCATGGAGCACTCCCATTTTTTCACACTCAGTGATCGAGAGCACAACTGAAATGACTTTGAAGGTTTTTCTGAAGTCAGAAGAGGCATCAGGAAGGGGCTGGAGTGAGCTAGGGGAGCATGGCTCATGGTGTGAAACACAAATGTGGCAAGGCTGACAGGTACTCAACTTGGAGTCAGGGTTTATCTGCCTCTGTTGCCACTAGTGCTGGCTGAAAGGCTTAATTACCAGCTCTGATCAGTAGGTATTTGTTGAGCATGCCATGTCAACTATTACACTGAAATGCTGAGGAGGGTTACAGTTTAGCTGAAGTTTGGACAAATCACACAGCCTCTCAGTCTACTCGTCTGAAAAATGAAAATTAAGTTATTGGAGTCTTCAGGTAGCCGCAGTCAGAATAAAGTCTGTAAATGTGCTAAAACAATAAGATAGATAATGAAAAATTATTCTATACCAGGTACTGTGCTAAATGCCTTATTGACTTTATCTTATTTAATTCTAAAGCCATATATAAATAAGAATGACATGGGAAACTTTATCTGGATTGCTTGGCAAGGACAGAGCTAGTATTAGAAGAAGGGAAAGGTCATATGCAGAACTATGACCCTTTCTTCACCCCAGCAGGAGGTGTTATGCCCATCGTCAACTTCCTATTGAATTGGCACCTTGTCCCATGAAACAGAGAGCAAAAGGTGCACAGTTCCCCAGCTGGTGTACAGTGTCCTGGTACCTCCAGATATCCTCTGGCTCAAACATGCCCTTGTGAGATACCAAAAATATGGAGGATTCATGTACCCAATGTCTGTACCTACTAGATGTAAACCAAAAATGAAGTTCTAAGCCATCCAACTGACTGAACAGACCTCCCTCACGTGGTCAAGGGGATCCCAAAGAAAACCTGAAAAGCTAGTTCAGGCCTAGGTGGGAAGGGTGGTCCTGAGAACGTGTACCCAAGATGGTTGGGTTACAGCTTGGTTTTATACATTTTAGGGAGACAGAAGTTAAAGACAAAGATATAAATCAATACATATAAGGTATACACTGGTTTGGCCTGGAAAGATGGTACATCTCAAAATGGGGATCTCACAGGTCATAGGTAGATTCAAAGATTTTCTGATTGGAAATTAGTTGAAAGAGTTAAGTTTTGACTTAAGAATTAAAGTCAGCAGAAAGCAATGCTTGAGTTAACCTAACGGGGGTTGTGGAAGCCACGGTTCTTGTTATGTAGATGAAGCCTCTGTGTAGCAGGTTTCAGAGGTAATAGATGATAAATGTCTCTTTTGGGAACTTGGAAGGTGTCAGATTCTCTGGAGAAGACCTACTAAGGTGAGAAGATTATCTACAGAATGCAATTTCTCCTACAATAGATGGCTTTGCAGGGCCATTCCAAAATATGTCAAAGAAATATATTCCTTCAGGTCCTGTTATCCGTCATGTGATGCTATACCAAGGTTGGGTTGGAGTTGGGTATCTTATTGCTACAAAGAGTCTGTTATGTCAGTGTTACAATCTATATTTTATCTGTATTTTAATGTTAATGCTTATCAGCTGTGTCTACACTCCAAAGGGAGGCATCACAGCAGGGTTTTCCCAGGCCTCTAGCTTTCAGAGAGCCGACTATAGAACTTCACAGCCTCCAAGACTGTGTGACCCAGCCTTAAATATCTTGATTCTGTTTCTTTGGAGACTCCTAAGACAGAAATTGGTATCAAGAAATGGAGCTGCTGCTGTAACAAATGCCTAAAAATGTAGAAATGGCTTTGGAACTGAGTGATAGGTAGAGGCTGAAAGAGTTTTGAGGTACATGCTAGAAAAGGCCTACATTGCTCCAAGCAAACCATTAAAGATGATTCTGGTGTGGGCTCAGAAGGAGAAGAAGAACGCTGCAGAGAAAACCTCAGTCTTCTTAGAGAATATCAAAGTAATCCTCAGCAGAATGTTGGTAGAAATATGGCCTACTGGAAGTGAGCAGCATGCTATTGGACAATGAAAGAAAGTCCAGCTTGCTAGAAAGTGGTAAATAACTAGGCTAGATTGTGTTTCTGTCTTACTGTTTGTGAAAGGTAGAACTTGTGAGCAATAAAATTGGGCATTTGGCTGCGGAAAAGTCAAAGTAACTTATTGAAGAAGTGGCCTGATTTCTCTCAACTGCTTATAGTAAAATGCAAGCAGAGAGAAATGTCTTAACGATGAAATTGTTAATCAAAAGAGAGGAAGAACTTAAAGATTTTGAAAATTTTCAGTCTATCCATATTGCAAAGAATGAGAAAGCCTGTTCCAGGGAGAACAAAAGTATGGCCAAACAACCGTCTGATAAGGACATCAGTCAGCCATCTAACCTGAAGCCAGGACCTATTATCCAAGACAATGAAAGAATGATGCTGAAGACATGTCATAGATTACCAGGGCTGTCCCTCCCAAGGCAGGTGCAGAGTGCAGAGGCCTAGGGAAGCCCCATCTCCAACCCTCCTGTGTGTGTGTCCCTGATCTCATCTCCTCACTCTGTGGAGATCCCTGTGCTGTTTTTCCATGTCACAATTGTCTCATCATTTTTCTATCTCGTGGGCTCAGCCTCTGGAGGGGTGGGGGCTCTTCCTCCTCTGCTCATCCTACGAATTCCAGGCTCATGGGGAGTCCACTTCTGCCCTTGCCTCTTGCTGTCTCTCTATCCCCACTTGACTGTCATCTCCTCACATGGCTTACATCACCCGGGACCACATCAATAACTCCTGAGGCTGTGTCTGGAACCATCACTACTTCCTACCATGAGATCTTGATCCCAGGACCCAGCTGCCCACTGAGAATCTCCACGTAGGTGTCCCACAGTTGTGTGAAATTGCACAGCAGGCAGCTGCCCCAAGCATCTTGTGACCTCTGTCTTGGTACATCATTACTTTAGCCCATGTGCACAAGCTGGGAACCAGGAGCCATTTTTGAGTGATTGCCGTCCTCACCACCCATATGCAGTGATATCGGAGCCAACAAATCTACCTCCCATGCAACACTCACCACCCTCTACTTTTCTTCATCCACGGTGCTACTGCTTCAATTCAGGCCAACCCAACCTCTCACCACAAATCCTGCAAAGCCTCCTAGGTGGCCTCTCTGTCTCCCTCTGGCTATCCTCCACCCTTCCTAACATTGCAGCCAGCACATTCTATTGAAAACTCCAAATGGATGATTTCACTCTTCCTCAAAAAGCCCTTATATGGCTCCCCATGGCTTTCATGGTGTGACTTTCCTCTCCTCTTTCCCTGCTCAGCTCCCTTACCTGCGTTTGATCATTCCCAGGTCCCACTGAAATATTTTCCCACTCTTGTTTACCTTTAGAGGTTTGCATACTCTCATAGAGCACCTTTCCCTAGCCAGTTGTTACTGTTTATTGCCATTTTTGCATTGCTATAAAGAAATACCTGAGACTGAGTAATTTATAAAGAAAAGAGGTTTAATTGGCTCACAGTTCTGCAGGTTGTACAGGAAGCATGGTGCTTGCATGGACTCAGCTTCCAGGGAGGCCACAGGAAGCTTCCAATCATGGCAGAAAGTGAAGGGGGAGCAGGGACATCACATGGGGCAAGAAGAGGCAAGAGAGAGAAGAGGTGCCCCACATTTTTAAACAACCAGATCTTGTGGGATCTCAGTCACTATCATGAGGACAGCACCAAGGCCTAAGGGATCTGCCCTTGTGGACCAATCACATCCCACCAGGCTCCACCTCCAATACTGGGGATTACAATTCAACATGAGATTTGGGCAGGGACACATATCCAAACCATATCAGTTACCTAACTCCATCAGTTGCTAGCTTCCCCAAACCTGCCCACAGACTACGGAAGAGGCACTTCCCGTGAGGCTCCTAAGCTCAGTGAAGCAGCATTCATATGACAGAGCAATCACTTGTTCATTTGTCTGTGTCCCTTGCTACATTTTGTGTTTCTCAAGGGTGCTTATTAATGTACATTTTTTGTATTAAAAACTTCTCATGTCTTTATAATACCTGAATAAATTCTATCACATGGATTTATTTATTATGATTTATTAAGTCATATGTAAGGTACAGTCAAGGTAGAAAGGTAACACATACGGTGGACCATTTTAAGGTAGAAATGTAACACTGAAAACCTTGTGCTCCATTTCACATCATTCTTAACACGTGTGTGTGAGTCATAGAATTTCCCGCTGTGTTTCTTGAATGTTTTGACCATATGCTTAGTTTCTTGATAACTATATGGGAAAATGTAGGAAGAAAAAATTGTCAAAAGTTATAAATCTGTCATTTTGAAAAATGGCCAAACTTCCCAAGTCATTTAAGGTGACATCAATGGAAGCTTAGTATCTATTTATAAAAATTGTTTTACATAATAGTTGAGACTGAGGCCACATTGTTGTCAGAACTGGGTGCTCCCCCAAAGGTCATATTGTCAGCCAAGCACCATACGACAGACGATACAGAGGTGCAAAGATAATGGTCACTATTTCATAGGAGTAATGTTTGATAGGACTCAACATTAAAAGAAAATATTGGAACAAAATATTCACATAGAAAACAGCACACAACTTAAGTGGATGGCTTGATGAACTTCACAAACCTGCACAACCCTGTAGCCAGCAGCCAGGTCAGGGATCAGGACATTGGCTGCACTCCAGAAGTCCCTTGCATGCACCTGTCTCTCACTCTCCCAGGGCTCTAGCATAGAGTGACTGCGGCTGCGTTCGTACCTGATATGAATGAAATCCTATCCTACACACTTTCTTACATGTGGGTTCTTTTGCTCAGCATCATGTTTACGAGATTTACCCATATTGTTGTGGTTAGTTATGGGTTATTCATTCTGAAACCTAAACATTTTTAACTCAAAAACCATGTGGAAGCCTGACGTGCAACAGAGAGAATGCCCTTGTTCTGTATAAATGGACAACAGCAGCGAAGGTCTGTTGAGGTCTGCAGGGAGTCAGCTGTCAGCTTAGCAGGTAGAGGGTTTCTGATTATTACTGCCCCAAGCAGCAGATGGTTGGCCTCAGGGAGAGCTCACGTTCTTCAAGCATGGTCAAGATGGCTTTGTCGAGCACGCTGCATGAGAGACTCCTCGGTCAGGTTGTAGAACAGACTGAAGTTCTCCTCCAACTTCAAGATTCCAGAATTTTTCATATATGACACATTTATGGAATTTCATATATGACCCACTTAATTAGGGCACGTGGGAGATAGAGCTTGTGTATGCCTGTACATTAGACACCTCTTGTGCACCACAGCAGGCTATCTAAGGATCTGTTTACGGAGCCTTTGGCCAATGGTTCCAGCCCCGGCAGCCATGACCACGGTGCTTCGCTTTGTGTGGTTTCCAGACCCCTTCTCATACACACAACCCAGTAGGCTCATGACTTACATGACGGCCTCACACATTTCCCAGCTGCCTTTGCTCTTCCAGGTTCTGCTGCGGGTCCACACATGTCCGGCCCGGAAGTGCAGGGGTAAATAATGCCTATAGGGAGAACTTGTCGCCAATGAGAGAGGGAACTGGAGGATAGATTATTTCTCTTTCCTTCCCAGAAAGACTAAACTGAGGAGCAGCCACTTATGTGGTCTCTGGGGAGATAAACCCACAAGTCTGAATAAATGGTTGCACTTAATAACAGTGGAGGTGAGTTCGCCAGTGCCCCTTGCTCTGGCCTGCTGCCCTTTCCCTCACTGCTGCTCCTGGGGTTACACTTCTTAATAAGTGGTAGTACACAATCCTGTTGTCTCAGACTCTGCTGTCTGAAGCCAAGACCCTGGGCATCTTTTTGAAAAGATGATGTTAGATGGAAATGCAAACACCAAACAAAAAGCAAAAGGAGGCTGGGAACAATAGAGGCAACAGTGACTAATTCTGACTGCGGGGAATGAGAAAGACTTCACGGAAAAGCATTGGAAACTGAGTTCAGATACACAAGTGAACGTCGGCATCCAGGAAGTGAAGTCAAGCGGTGGGAAGACTGAGAGCAGGGTCCTCTATGGTCAAGCTAGGTCCAGCATGAGTACAACAGGCTGGTGCCTTCACTCTCTTTCGGTGCCCCATTCAGTGACTGATGGAGGTTGACTGGCGAGAAGCAGCCTCCCTTACAGCTTCCCTTGAGGCTGGAGTGTTTCCTGATGTGTGGCCTCATCCCCAGAACAAGCTTGTTGAAGTTTACGGGGGAAGCATGGTCAGGAAATATGTAAAAGCTCGGTATCCATGGAGGCATTGGGATCCTCATGGTGGTTAGATGCTTCCAGATACATTTCACCACGTTTTACTATGTCTACATTTTTTTTTTTTTTGAAACAGAGTCTCACCCTGTCACCCGGGCTGGAGTGCAGTTGTGCCATCTTGGCTCATTTCAACCTTCACCTCCAGGGTTCAAGTAATTCTCATGCCTCAGCTTCCTGATGTAGCTGGGATTACAGGCATGAGCCACAACACCTGTCTAATTTTTTTTTTTGTAATTATATTAGGGACGGGGTTTCCCCATCTTGGCCAGGCTGGTCTCGAACTCCTGGTTTCAAGCAATCCACCCTCCTCAGCCTCCTAAAGTGCTGGGATTAGAGGCGTGAGCCACCATGGCTGTCCTATGTCTACATTCTCAAGCTTACATCTGAGCAACAGCTTGTGCATAACCAGCAAGGAGGATTAACATGGAAGCAGGAGAGACAGGAGATCTGTCCTTCACATTACCTTCCTGGTGGAAGGCTGGGTGAGACATGTTGTTTCTGTGATGGGCTGCCCTAAACCCCTACTAAACTCGCGTTCTAAGGCTGCAGGGAGAGCAAAGGCTGCCAAGCATCTATTGAGTGATAAAAGGTTTTCCAACTAAGATTGTGCCTAGAAGGCCAGGCCCTCCTCATCAGAACAGGGAATAGAGAGGTGAGCTTGGTGACCACAGTGACAAAGAGGGTGGAAAGGGCAGTGGTGGACCCTGGTCACCCACCATGACTTCCTCCAGATGGATCCAGGTTAGAATTGTTCCTACATAAAAGAGCCACCCAGGAGGCTCTAAAAAGTACTACTCAGTCCTTTCATTTGCTGAAATTTGCTGTAGGTAGGAACCGTTATAGCTGTAGGCCATGTGAAAACAGAAATAAAATCAAAGACAAGGACTTTGGCCTTGGGGAGCTTCTAGGTAAATGCAGCAGCCTTTCTTTTTGTTTCAAGGATGAAGGTCCCTTTCCTGCTTCTGTCTCTGCTATTGAATTATAAATCATGGGCATTGCTAGTATACACTGAATTTTAGATCTGAAGCAGGGATTTTTCCTGAGGGACCCATGTCCCCAGAAATTATATGGAAAAATATTCTGTGTTCCCCACTCACCCCCATCTCTGGGAGACGTTCCATAGCTTAATTTATGATCACAAAAGAATCAGGAGCCACTGATTTAGAAAAAAATTTAAAAAGTCATTGCTTAATCTGACCATGACCTCAATTTTCCTCCAAAGTAGAACTGAGATGACCCTGATTCTACTTTCAATTTGCGTGTGTGTGTGTGTGTGTGTGTGTACATATATATATATATATATATATATATATATATATGTACACACACACACATAAATCAAACTAATTTTCTACAAACTGAGATAGAATATAGGGGCATCCCTTGGGCTTGTGCCCTGCCAAGTCACTGACATTAAAAGAAATTTATTTCTCTTGTCTAAATATAAAAGCAATGATTTAAAATTATTCCCACAGTTAGCTAACTTATTGAAATATTAAATCAACAAACCCAGAAAGAAAAAAAGAGTCTCTGATTCAAGTGTGTTTTCCTCCCGTTATTAGTAGAAAATGTATGAGTAGGCAGCACAGAATTCATTGCATTCACAACACAAGCACAGCCCAGCCCACGCGTACGCATGCTTTTCTCTCATCCTTCTTCTCTCTGGAGGTTATGGGCTGCATTGTGTAATCACTGCAGCAGGCAGTAAATGATGTATAAAAAAAATCCCATGCCAGGGAACTTAGTTGAGACTCTGTGTTTGTGGTTATTTTTGCTACTGAGGCTCAGAGAAGCAAAGCTTATACAGAGAGAGGTGCAATCACCAGGAGCATAAAATAATGCTGTTTAAAAATCAATAGTGCTCTTCCTTCTTCCTCCTCTTCTTTCCCATCTTATAGGAAGAAAGCCAAACAGAATATTTCAACAGAAACAAAGATGTTAAAATAAAAGATTGGTCATCCTCAAAGGCAGGTTCTATGATATATTCTTTTAGGAGACCAATGTACCTCCTTGAAATGGGAAGAGTGGTCCATCACACATTCACTCTTCCCATAGTTGGCCTGGACCTAGACTGATGCTCTGCAAACATTGCTGATCACGCATCACTATCAATCAAACATTTTTGAATATATGCCCTATGTATATATTTTTGTACTTATGGTTTATTATATGTTATTTCATCAGTAGCTGATTAATCTCAAAGCATTATATATAGACGTTGACCAAGGTTATTGATTAATAATAGCAGATATAAATCTATTTTAAGAATAAACTTCTTGGCAAATTCAAATGTTTTGGCCAACTTTGTGGCAGCATAATGACTAGGTTATTTATTTCATTCAACAAATACTTATTTTATCATTATCGATCTTCCCCCGGCAAAAGGTAAGTTCTAGCAGGGTAGAGGTTGCATCTGTCTTGTTTACTGATGTATTGTCAGTGATGGGGAGAGTCCTGAAAAACTGTACATCATTAATAGATGTGTAAAGCTTATGGGGGTGGAGTGCCCTTTTAGTTGCGTTTTCAGGGAAGGCTTCAACAAGAAGGTGACATTTGCATATAGATTTGGAGGATGTGAGAAGGAACCATGAAGACAGTCAGAAAAAGATGGTTTCAGGTGCAAAGAAAAGAGTAAGTGCAAGGAATTTTTTAAAAATAATTTGCCTGATAAAAATCTTACTCTAGGAATAAGCATCAGCTCTGCTAATTTTTTTGTTGCTTGCTTATGCTGTCATTTATTTGGGAGAATTACCTGCATTCCTATAAATGATCTTGACGTTTGTTATGAGGCACAGTTATGAGACTTAAGAACAGTTCTATCCTTTTGGGTCTTGCTTTTAAGATTTGTTAGGCGGGGCCAGGCGCTGTGGCCCACGCCTGTAATCCCAGCACATGAGGTCAGGGGATCGAGACCATCCTGGCTAACACAATGAAAAATACAAAAAATTTTTGTCTCTACTAAAAATACAAAAAATTAGCCGGGTGTGGTGGTGGGCGCCTGTAGTCCCAGCTACTCAGGAGGCTGAGACAAGAGAATGGCCTGAACCCGGAAGGCAGAGCTTGCAGTGAGCCGAGATGGCGTCACTGCACTCCAGCCTGGGCGACAGAGACTCCGTATCAAAAAAAAGAAAAAAAAAATTGTTAGGCGGTGGGACTGCCAGTCATTCCAGGGATAATTACTCCCCTCTAATGAGTCAAGATCTAACTGAGTACTCTACCCAATGTCTTATGAACAATTCGGGGTCAGAGTCCGGGTAGTGAGACCAGTGCTACTTGTGCCCTGGGTGAGCACTGGGCGTTATTCTCTAATCCTTCTGTGTGGTTCTTTCCCAGGCCTTGGGTAGTTTTCTCAGCCACAGGAGCTGGTCAGTACATAGCTGACTGTCTGAGGACAGTGCTCTGAAGATCTCTACAGCTCTCTCTCCCTACAGCCCTGTCCTCTCCTTTCTTCAGTGATGCAAATTCTGATGACCCATATCTCCCCATCTCTCCGCATTGCCTCTCTCCTGAGGTGGTCGGCCACAATCCCCTGTTTCTCCTGCTCTGTGCTGTGGCCTGGAAAATCTCTCTGGATAGTAAGCTGTCACATCCTTGGGCTCTCTTCATGTTTCCTGCATATCAATAATCACTGTCCTTCACTGCTTGATGTAAAGTGTCCTGAAAAACATCATTTCCTAAATTCTTTTTTCTGTTGTTTTAAGGGAAAGGGTATATGCAGTTTCTGTGACTGACTCCATGTCAGCTAGAAGTGGACGCCTGGAATCTGTGTCCACATGGGGCTCCTGTTTTGTTTTTGACCCTTGCTGGGGGTGACTGGGCCAAACTGTTCTGCTCTCTGGACTACCGAGGTGCAACTGATATCTCTGTGCACACACTTTTGAAATCAATTTTCTATTCCCAAAGATAACTCAGTAACATTAGATGATACAATCTTTAAACGAACTTCTTGTGACACATGTAAGCTGCAAAGCATGTCAGTAAGGCAAATAACCTAGTGAGGTGCCACTGGCTTCCTCTGGGTGCCTATCCATCTTGATTAGAGACCTGATAATAAAACATTACAGATAACTCTTTCCTTTCTCATTAAGATTTAATACAATGAGAAGCTCTTACATTTTCTTTCATGGCCCACTGGTTCATCTTGCTCACCCCGTAGGTCCCCACATCTGATGTGGAAAAAATTGCAGTGGAAAAGCTGGCCTCATGCCTCTTTCTCTGAAATTACTAACACATTGTTGACGAAACCATTAGAAGTGAAATGAAAGGATTCACAGGGGCCACTGGTACCTCTTCAATTATCCAGTTAGTGTTACATCCACATTCATTCTCTGAGATATAGAAAGCTAAATGTTCTGTTTTTAAACCTGATGGGACATAAAGAGACAGAGGTGATATTTGTCCAGTTTCATGTTAGAGAAGGACATGTAACCAGTTCTCCACTTTCTAAACAAAGAGAAGGCTCACCTCTATGCAAGTAATTTTCTTTTTTCTTAATTTTCAAAGGTCAAGATGGCAGAGGCTACAGGATACATTTCCATCCAGGCTTTTCTTCTTGACCCAGAACAGAATTTAATCTTTTCATAAAAGCACCACCACCTAGATTTTTCCTATATCAATTAGAACTGCATTTCAGAACCTTGAATGCAATTGTTAATCATGTTACTATAACCCTTCTTCTATCGCAATGATTTTCTACAACTTGTAAGAAGAAGTGTTGGCTAGGTAATATGTCCAATGCCTGTGCTAATTTCCTCTTAATAAATTCATATGGGAGCATGAGTAGCAAGAGTGCCTAATTTAATCTTCATCCCCTAGAATCTTTAATGCTTAAGTTTCTATCTTTAGACCCCATATTTCACCAAGTGGTTAGCTTACTTGTCGGCATCTTCTAGCCTCAAGTTAAATTAACGAAGTCTCTGTAGTAAAAAATGACCTTCAACAAATACCGTTTCTCATTTTCCATCCACTTACAGTTTAATAGAAAATGTCCATCTGTGATGCTATTAAATATGTCTAGTTGGAATGAGAGAGTACAAGTATTTTAGAAGCTGGGTGCAGTTACACAGGTACCATTTTAAGAGACTGAGATATAATTAACATACAGTAAAATACATAGATTTTGAGTGTTTGATAAGTTTTTGACAGTAGTATAACTCTGTGTGGCCATATTCAACACAAGACACACAATATTTCCATCCTCCTAGAAAGCCCCACTGCATCCTTTCCAGTCTGTCTCCCACACTGGCCTTCATAACCACCACCTTGTTTTTATCACCATGGATCAAATGCATCATGCAGTATGTACTCCTGTGGGATGGGCCAGTGTGGGGATTGACTGGAAAGGATGTATACTAAGTATTTGGTTCCTTTTCCCTGCTGCTTCTCCATTTTACAGATACAGTGCAATGGTCTACCTGTTGTTGTCCTTTCAATAGACATGTGGAATTTTCCCAGTTTTTGATATTTATAAACTTTCTTATACAAGTCTTTTTATTGACATATGTTTTCATTGTTTCTCAGGAGAATACATTGGAGTGGAATTGCTGGCCATTTATTTTGCTCATGATCTTGACTTAGACATGACTCAGTGAAGCAGCACATCTCTGATCCATGGAATGACAACTGAGATATCTTGAAAGATGGAAGGTCTTGTTATCCAGAGGCTGAAATTACTGGGAGATTCACTCACTTCCTGTCTAGTGGTTGAGGTCGACGGGTGACCACCATCCTAGCTATGGTGTCATCCAGAGCGCATACATGTGGTCTCTCTTTGAGGATGCCTGGCTTCCTCACAGCATGGCAGCTGGATTCTAAGAGCAAATATTCCAAGAAAATAAAGCAGAAGTGCACAACATCTATCAAGACCTACTCAGAGGTCACATAGTGTCATTTCTGCCATACCCTATTGGTTGGGGAAGCCACAAAATTTCACCTAGATTTAAGCCCAGGTGCTATGGCCTGAATGTTTGTGTTCCCTCAAAATTCCTATGTTGAGATCCTAAGCCTTAAGGTAATAGTATTAGAAGATGGAGTCTTTGGGGGACACTTAGGACATGAGTGAAGAGCCTTCATGATTGGGATGATGCCTTTATAAAAGAGACCCCAGCGAGCTTGCTTGCCCCTTCCATCGTGTGAAGATGCAACTAGAAGGCACCATCTATGAAGAAGAGGACCCTCACCAGACATTGAAACTGCTGACACCTCCATCCTGGACTTCTCAGCCTCCAGAACTGTAAACAATGTATTTCTGTTGTTTAGAAGTGACCCAGTCTAAAGTATTTTGTTGTAGCAGTCCAAACAGACTAAACAGGGGGCTAGGATGTAGCTCCTACCATTCTCAATTGTAATATTTTCAGCATCACATTTTAAGAATAATATGTGAAATACAATATGTTTTATTAGTCACCTTTGGAAAATACAGTCTTCCACAATCTGGAACCACCTCTTTGGTTCAAAATGTGCCATTCTTCTGTAATGTGTGTGATAAACTTAAAAAAAATCTGTATCCTTTATCCTAATCATCTTACTTGAACATCATCCTGAAACAAATGACAAAAACATTCACAGTTTTATATACAAAGTTATTGGTAACAATGTTCTTAATAGAATTCAATTAGAAAACATATAAAGGCAAAGGTAGAGTTATTTGATGTTATGGTTTGAAAGGATTCCCACACTCTCATGAATATTCTTTATTATGCCAGAGGGACCCTAATTCCCCTGCCTTTGAGTGTGGGATGGCATTGATGAGTTACTTGTACCACATATAATAAGCAGGAAGTGATGGCACGTGACATTGGAAACAACTTCGTAAAAGTCACCGAGACTCACTCCTTGCTTTCTCCTATGTCTCCCACCTGGCAGGAAGCCATTTGCCATCATGTAAGGCGAGTTCTTCTTAGTGAGGCATTGACATCTCCAGCCAGCAGTGCCGTGAGGGAGGTGGGCAGCTCAAGCCTCAGTCAAACCCTGAGATGACCATGGTCCCACTCAACATCTCAGCTGTGACCATGTGGGAGAATCCAAGCCTGAGCCAATCAGCCTAGCTGCTCCCAGAGTCCTGACTCTCAGAAACCATGCCAGATTATACATATCTGCAGCTTTAAGCTTCTGAGATTTTGGAATGACTGATGACAGAGCAATAAATAACTAATACATTTCACCACATATCACTTAGCAGAATGCCATGGAGCTATTAAACACAATATTTTATGAAGATTAGTCTATGATATGGAGATATACTCACAATGTTATTAGCAACACAACTAGACCAACTGAGTATAGGTAGTATAATCTCAATTTGTTCTAAAAATATAAATCTGTACAAAGATAGAAAGACCAGAAGAAAAAAACCATTTAATACTTGATAGATAATTACAATGGTAAAGAATTTAGCCTTGATCACTTGATTTGAGATGGAATCTAACTTGCTAGCTGTATACCCATAGTTGTGGATGTGTAACCAATGATTTGTAAACTAATTCTCAGTTTACTCGTCTATATAAAAGAGCTAGTAATATTACCTATTTCATGCGGCTTGGGAGAAATGAATCAATAATATATAGAAGGGCTTAGTTCTCATATTGTGGCAAGTACTTCACAAATGATAATTTTTACTATTACAATTTTTATAAGGCTTTCTGTAATTCACAAATTTTCTAATATCTATTTTATGACTTTTGAAATAATTCTTACAATATCCCTTTTAGTAACCTTTATTACAAAATCTATTGTAATCTCTTAAAATAATATTCCTTTTTGTTTTTCTCCGAGATAGTCTATCTAATGATGTTACAATAGAGTTACCAACAAATGCCATATTTCATTCCTGAGCGTCTATATTCTTGAGTTCCTAGCAACAGAGAACAAAGTAGCAACCATTTCTTAAGAAAATGCTGAGATGGACACCAGAGTTTCAAGCAATTTTCATCCAGAAGGTCACATGTTAGGAGTAAAAGCTATATGGAATCTTGAACAAGCATAGCATCTAATAGCCTTATTTGATTAAAAAAATGAATACACACAAAAATTTTTTGAAGACTAACTACCCCTTAGAAATGTTCGTTAACTTGGTCAGTAATATAAGCCTACCTCCCATTTATTCAATAGATCAGGTAACTCCCCTCTTTGTTATGAGCCTAGTTTTCTAGAGGTGGACCAGATTCCATCATATGTACATCACTCAGCTAGTTGAGCTCTCTAAATGAAAACTTCAGCCGTAGCCACTGGATAGAAGAATACAAGAAGGAATGCCGACTTGAGGAGCAAGTTGTGTTGAGTTCAGGCATTGCTTTGGAGAATCTGCTTCTTCACCTGCTGGCTTAAAGGGTTGGATGACCTGAGGCAGCAGCAGAAGTTTAGACAATTATGGTTGGATGATTCTTAACTGTCCTAATCCCAAGTCCTCAATTTATAAGTGAGGAACTGGAAAATCATTCACACAGCTAGCTGCAAGCAATGACAGCCTTGGAGAGAAATCAACCTGTGTACAGCTCAGTCCCATCTGAGTTCTTTGGAGAACAAACTCCAGCAGCTACTTCTAGAAAATATAGACAGCATATTCAGCCAATCTCCTGAGCTGGTGGGACATTTTTACATGAACAAGGCCTCCCTCCACATGAATTGCAAAGATTCAGTGGACTTTGCATGATTATTCTTCTAATCTTACATTAAGCTTTATTTTGGATTTTAAAAAAATCTGCCACGTGTAAGGGCACCAATGTCCACCAATATTGTTATATAAAATAACATTATTAATCCTTCCTGTTTATCTTTTAATCAGAACTAAGAGGGATGGTGGATGATGAATGCATGAGTCATACTTACTTCATGATTCTATAAATCCTAATTTTCACTTTTTTTAAATAAAAATTGCACGCAAACCAAAAAGAAGCTGCCTAAAACAGACGTGGAGATACTCTACTTAGGTTTCCCAGGGAAAGACAATTTTAAAAAACAATTTTAGCAACAAAAATACATGGGCAGGGAATACACGCATTTATTATCATTTTTCCTCTTAAAGCAGCTATGATGAGACACGTCCAAAACACCTGCTCTTGTGTACTGCCCAGTTTCACGTGAGTTCTGTGGGATAACACTGAATCCACTCTTCAGCTACAGTGAGGAAGTGATAGAACTGCTTCTGGCACACCAAAGAACAGCACAGAGGTCCAAATACATCTTCCTTAGGTGCCCATGAATTTAAATTTATTTCTGCTTTATCCTTTAAAAAAAAATCTAATGATTTCAAATGCCTTGCTGAAATCAACACCCTCTGCAACAGCCCTCTCAGGATAGTTCATCCTAGTAGGTCTGTCAAAACTGAAACACCAACATGTGAGTTCCTCCTCTGGGTTTTAAATGTTAGTACTGTGACTACTTCTTTGTTTGTTTTCACTTTTAATTGACAAATAATAACTGTATATGTTATACAGTAAATCTGACATTTTGATATAAAATGATAACTAGTGACTATTTATTGCTGTGATGTTGTCCCCGCTTGTTTATTGGCTCTGATGGAACTTTTCAGGGGAATGGTTATAACTGAAAAATCTGTAATGCTAGGAATTTAACTTTTCTACATAAAATGCATTTTTTCTTACTGATATTTTAAAGATTCCTTATTGTGATCTGCATCCTGTCATAAATTTCTTTCCATGGACCATGCGGTAACTTCCCTAGACAGCTACGTGCTGTCTTAGTATATTTTCATCTACTTTCAATTTCCTTCTAGTGCTGTTTGTCCTTCTCCTCCCATGTGAAGTGAAGTTGAACAGGCCTTCAACGTGGTTGGTGTTCAGCCTCCAAACACTGTCTTCCATGGTAGACGCTGTTAAGCTCTCTGCTCAGCGAGTTTTTCCTTCTGACTCTCGCATGCACAGCTGAAGGGTCAATCAAGATCTGACGAGAGATAAGCAGAGATGTTGGTCTTCCTCCTGTTTCTTCCTTTTCCTCATGCCCTCCCCATTCCCACCCACAGTGGCTGCCCAAACTCCACCTGCTGACTTCTCAGCTGGTACCAGTGTGGATTTTGCGTGGGTCTCTCTGACTGTGACAAAGGAACGCGGACTGTCCCTGGAGGAAATGTTGCACGCATGTAGATTTCACTGTGGTTTTCTTCTTTCGAGGGTCAAGCTCCTCTAGTTTATGCTAATTTTTAGTAACAGACAAGTGCATTCAAAATATTGCTTATTATATTTTTTACAGTCTATAACTACTATTGGCTGGAGAGTTATTTCAATACAAGAAATTCCTTTATTATTAGAAGGTATATCTTCTTAATGTTGTTGCTACAATATTTCTGCATTAAAATGTAGCAATTTTATTGCTATAAGAAGTGTAGTCTATTGTCACTATTTATGGTAGTTATAGTCTACAAAGTCACCACAGATGCTGAATTAGTGAATACTTAACCATTGCTCCTAGGGGAAGTACAGAGGTAGGTTCCTGTGGGCCTTCATTTTTATCAACCAGTCAACACATAACTTTGTTTTATGTGTTTCTGTTTAAATCTACCGTATTTATTATATATTGTTGATTCATTAACATTGAACTCACAGCCAACGGCACTGCAACTCATGCAGCATAACTCAACGCACTGTAAGTCACGCCTGAATGAGGCTTAAGATGCATTTTCTCCATAGGGTGCATCCCAGCCTTCCTGTGCGTAGGAGCAGCATTTCAGCATTATGCTTGGGGGACATTTTAAACAGCAAAATCACCACCAAAAAGCACAAAAGTGTGGCACTGAATAGACCACAAAAAAGACACTTTTCTACAGTAGGAAAGCTAAAACAACAAGACATAATGCCGTTTCATTCAACCTCAGCTGACAATGAGCCTTTTGAATGACTCAAATGTTTCACTGTCTTACGCGCGCCCATGAGTGACCATTGATTCGGATATTGATTTTGAGGTTATAACAAATTTTAGTGAGTTCAATGTCTTAAATTTCTTTTTCTCATCTTATATAGCTTCTTTTACTATGTTTTCAAATTCATTTTTTATGGTATTTATTTTTTGTTAATAGCATCCAGTGAAATTTTCTTATTTCTATTAAATTTTTGTTGTATTCCAGATGTTGTGAATTTTATGATTTTGAGCTCTGGATATTCGCTATGGCTTGAGAGCATGGTGGCTTTGGGCAGGCGTATAAGCAGACACACTATTTGAGGGTCAGCTTGGTCCTTTGGCAGCTTGGTTTTATGTATCTTTCAGGATATGTCTGAAGCAGTCTTTAACTCTAGGCTATTTTGTCTCCACTTTTTTGGGAGAGACTCCTACTGATTTTCTGAGGACTCTACAAAAATGCCCTGTGTAGTCAACAAGATATCTTCGTACTGGGTGGCAGGAACTCAAATGATTCTCCCCACCCTGTGGGGATTTTTCAGTTCCCAACTACAGGTAATTGTCTGAATCTGGCAGTAGTCCTTTTCCCCCGCGTCATGAAATGCTCAGCTCTTGCATGGGCAGAGGAGCATTCAAAGACCCAAGGGGGACTTTCTCCCTCAACATGAATGCAAACCGAGTATTCCTTATCCAAAATATTTGGATTTTTAGCAAAACTAGTTTTTCTCATGCTCTTTATTAAGTATGTCAGCATTTCCCTACTGATTTGCAGACTTGCCTATCTTTCCACCTATGGCCTGCTGTCTCTCTTTATTTAGTTAGCTTGTTTTCTATGACTATTAATAATGCTTCATATATTTACCCATAAAGTTACTGCACTACTATTGTTAAATTTAATCCTTAACGTTGTGCGCTTTGCTGTTTTTTCTAATTTTTTTTTTTTTTTTTGAGAAGGAGTCTCGCTGTGTAGTCCAGGCTGGAGTGCAGTGGCTCAGTCTCAGCTCACTGCAACCTCCGCCTCCCAGCTTTAAGCAATTCTCCTGCCTCAGCCCCCCGAGTAGCTGGGATTACAGGCTCCCACCACCATGCCCAGATAGTTTTTGTATTTTTAGTAGAGATGGGGTTTCTCCTTGTTGGCCAGGCTGGTCTCGAACTCCTGACCTCATGATCTGCCCACCACGGCCTCCCAAAGTGCTGGGATTATAGGCATGATCCGCCACACCCGGCCGTAAATGACACTTTCTACAATTAGGTTTTCTGTTTGTTGATGGTTTATTAGAATGCAATCCATTTTTATATATTGATTTTACAACTATCAACATTCTAATATTTTTATTAACTTCAGAAATTTAGCTCTAGTTTCTCTAGGGCTTTCCATGCATACAAACATATCGACTGTTCAGGTCCTTAATATTTTCTTCTTTATTCTTACTTCACAGTGCTGTCTTAGACACCCAGAAAAGAACTAAAAACATATAGTGAGAGAAAACATTTTGTTCTTGCCACTTACTTTAAAAAAATTACTTTATCTTTCTATAATTAAATATTGAGTTTGTCATAAGTTTTTACTTTTTATTACAATAAGAAAAAGTTTTGCTCTTTATAGTTAAAAAAAGCTTTATTTTGAATGTTTATTGTATTTAATTAAATACATTTACTGTATGTCTTAAGTTAATTGTTTTTGATCTACATTTTTCAGTCTCAATAATGGATTTTAAAATGTTTATCATCCTTGCATTCTTGGTATAAACCCAATGTGTTTATGCTATATTTTTAAAAATACCTAACTGGATTTAGTTTGCTAAGATATTTAATATTCTTGCTGCTTCTGGTCAATAGTGAGATTAGTCTGTAAAATTCCATTCTTATAATGTTCTTGTCCCTGTTTTAAGCAACTTCATTCTTAGATTTCAGAACACGCTGCTATTTCCGGTCCTTTAAACAATTTTTTAAATGTTAGAATGTCTGTTCTTTAAGTTATTGTTAGAATTTTCATCTGAAACTGTCTGAATCTGAATGGCATTTTGTTTTCATTTGCTTTAGTTTTGGCGAATTTTAAATATGAATTCTATACTTTTATACAGTTTATTCTGATTCTGATCTTGAGTTACTTTTAGCATTATACTATAGTTCCTCCACCCCAAGACATTGTTCATTTCACTTTATTTTCTAATTTGTTTTACTACACTTTTCCTTTTAATTTCTCATTTTAAAAAACTTCATAAATTTATGGGTTTTTTTAAAAAAATTACTTTGTCATTCTTGCTAGATGTTTTCTATTTTATTATTTTTTTCCCAAATAATTATCTCATTGGGTTTTTATCTTTTGTAAAAAAATGAATTATTTGGCCAGGCGCTGTGGCTCACGCTTGTAATCCCAGCACTTTGGGAGGCCGAGGTGGGTGGATTGCTTGAGTTCAAGAGTTCGAGACTAGCCTGGGCAACATAGTGAAACTCTGTCTCTAGAAAAATTACAAAATTCCCAGGGGTGGTGGCTCATGCCTGTAAGTCCCAACTGCTTTTGAGGCTGAGGTGGGAGGATCCCTTGAGTCCAGGAGGCAGAGGTTGCAGTGAGCTGACATCACACCACTGCATTCCAACCTGGACTACAGAGTAAGACCTCATATCCAAAAAAAAAAAAAAAAACCCAACATTGTTTATTTTATTAACTTCTGCTTGTTTCTTATAACTTTCCAATGCTTTCTTTATGTTTATTCATTTGTTATTTTTTAACTTCTTGCGTTCAATAATAATACTAAATATTTTCTATCATTCTTTTTTGCTAATGTTAGTATATTTCTAAATATTTCTGTAGTTCTTTCTTTCAAAAATTAGTACCGTTATTATCCATTTCTAGATATAGTCTAATTTTCATTATACTCTTCTTTGTGGTACAAGTTCTATATACTTTTTTGGAAATTCTTAACATTTAAATTATTTCTTTGAATAAATTATAACTTTATTGAATGTGGTTAGAAGGAATAGTCTGTGAAGTTTATTGTGATTGGTTTTCTTATCTATATAACATAATAAATATTAATAACTGTTCAAATGTTAGTGTTTCAGGATAAATGGTTCTGTATATGCTTTAAAAATCAATGTTTTAGGCTGAGCACGGTGGCTCCTGCCTGTAACCCCAGCACTTTGGGAGGCTGAGGCAGGCGGATCACGAGGTCAGGAGATCGAGACCATCCTGGCTAACATGGTGAAATCCCATCTCTACTAAAAATACAAAAAAATTAGCTGGGCGTGATGGCATGCACCTGTAATCCCAGCTACTCGGGAGGCTGAGGCAGGAGAATCATTTGAACCCGGGAGGTGGAGGTTGCAATGAACCGAGATCGCACCACTGTACTTCAGCCTGGGTGATAGAGTGAGACTCTGTTTCAAAAAAAAAAAAAAATCAATGTTTTATAATTGTGCCATTAAGCTATCCTTATCATGTTAAACATATCATATATTTAGGTCTCGATTACTGAAACAGGTTGTCTTAATAATCTCCCACAATAATAATACATTTTACATTTTTCCACCTCTAATTCTGTTACTATTTTTTTCCTTTGTGTGTCTTGAATGTCAGAAATAGAGACATGCATATATAAACCATTTATATGTTTGCATAAAAAAATAAAAACACATATATGTTATAAATATATATGATATAAATGTTTTTATTAAAAATTGTATAAATATATGTAATTTTCCTGGAAGAAGTTACCCATTGTCGTTATGTTGACATTTTTATCGTTGATTATTTTGCCTTAAAGTCTACTTTGTCTGAAACTAACATTTTGTTTCTCCTAGTATTTCCTTTGATTTGGTTAAAGTTTGTACTATGGTCTGAATGCTTGTCTCCTCCAAAACTCATGCTGAAACGTACTTGCCATTGTAACAATACTAAGAGGTGGAACATTTAAGAGGTGATTAGGCCGTGAGGGCTCTGCTTTTTATAGGGTTAATGCCATTATAAAACGGCAAGTTTGATCCCTGTTTGTCTCTTTGCCCTTCTGCTTTCTGCAATGTGATGACACATCAGGAAGGTTCTTAACATATTTTGGGGCCTTGACCTTGGACTTCCCAGCCTCAAAACTGTAACAAATAAATGCCTGTCAATTATAAACTACCCAGGCTGTGGTATTTTGTCCTAGCAGCACAAAAGGGAATAAGACACTTGGTTTACATTTTTCTATCCCTTATTTACAACTGTGTGTTTTGCCTTTTGGATGTGATTCTTACAAAGAATACATGGATGATTTTTGAAAAGATGCACACTGATGACTATGTGCGCTATAGATGACTTCTATTAATTTACTTATATTATATGTCACTTATATTAACTTGATTATTGATCAACTCAGGTCTATTTCTATATTCTTCTTTCTACTTACTCTTTTTCTACGTTCTGTTTTTCTCCTAATTTGCCTTTTTTTGTGGGGGCGGGTGGTGACTGAGTTTTACTTATTTATTTGTGTATTATTTTTCTTAAATTCCTGTTTTTTTCTCAACTGTTTTAGAAGTTTTAAAGTTTACTTTTTTTACTACTACTGTTACCCTTAAAATTTTAACATTCATACTTGTTTTGTAAATTTATAGCTAATCAAATATCTAGTTTATTTCCAAGCCACATTTTCTTAGAATCATTGGAACTTAGAATTATCTACTCTAACTGCCTTTATCAGCAGTGTGAAAATGGACTAATACAGTAAATTGGTACCAGTAGAGTGGGGCATTGATGAAAAGATGCCCAAAAATGTGGAAGTGGCTTTGGAAATGGGTAACAGGCAGAGGCTGGAACAGTTTGGAGGGCTCAGAAGAAGACAGGAAAATGTGGGAAAGTTTGGAACTCCTTAGAGACTTGTTGGATGGCTTTGACAAAAATGCTGATAGTGATATGGACCATGCTGAGGTCCATGCTAAGGTGGTCTCAGATGGAGATGTGAAACTTGTTGGGAATGGGAGCAAAGGTGACTCTTGTTATCTTTTAGCAAAGAGACTGGCAGCATTTTTCCCCTTCCCTAGAGATTTGTGGAACTTTGAACTTGAGATGATTTAGGGTATCTGGCAGAAGAAATTTCTAGATAGCAAAACATTCAAAAGGTGACTTGGGTGCTGGTAACGGCATTCAGTTTTATAAGGGAAGCAGAGCAAAAAAGTTTGGAAAATTTGCAGCCTGACAATGTGATAGAAAAGAAAAACCCATTTTCTGAGGAGAAATTCAAGCTGACTGCAGAAATTTGCATAAGTAAGGAGGAGCCCATTGTTAATCCCCAAGATAATGGGGACAATGTCTCCAGTGCATGTCAGAGGTCTTCATGGCAACCCTCTCATCACAGGCCTGGAGGCCTAGGAGGAAAAAGTGGTTTCATGGGCCATGCCCAGAGTCCCCAAGCTGTGTGCAGCCTAGGGACTTGGTGCCCTGTGTCCCAGCTGCACTAGCCATGGCTGAAAGGGGCCAACGTAGAGTTCAAACTGTGGCTTCAGATGGTGCAAGCCCCAAGCTTTGGTAGCTTCCACGTGGTGTTGAACCTGTGGGCACACAGAAGTCAAGACTGAGATTTGGGAACTTTTGCCTAGATTTCAGAAGATGTATGGAAATGCCTGGATGTCCAGGCAGAAGTTTGCTGCTGGGGCAGGGCTCTCATGGAGAACCTCTGCTAGGGCAGTGCAGAAGGGAAATGTGGGGTGGGAGTCCTCACACATAGTCCCTACTGGGGCACTGCCTAGTGGAGCTGTGAGAAGAGGGCCACCATCCTCTAGACCCCAGAATGGTAGATCCACTGACAGCTTGCACCATGTACCTGGAAAAGCCACAGATACTTAATGCCGGTCCATGCAGCAGCCAGAAGGAAGGCTGTACCTTGCAAAACCACAGGGGCGGAGCTGCCCAAAACCATGGGAACTCCCCTTTTGCATCAGCGTGACCTGGATGTGAGACATGGAGTCAAAGGAGATCATTTTGGAGCTTTAAGATTTTACTGCCCCACTGGATTTCAGACTTGCCTGGGACCTGTAGCCCTTTTGTTTTGGCCAATTTCTCCCATTTGGAATGGTTGTATTTACCCAATGTCTGTCCCCCATTGTATCTAGGAAATAACTAGCTTGCTTTTGATTTTACAGGCTCATAGGCAGAAGGGACTTGCCTTGTCTGAGATGAGACTTTGGACTGTGGACTTTTGAGTTAATGCTGAAATGAGTTAAGACTTTCAGGACTGTTGGGAAGGCATGGTTGATTTTGAAATGTAAGGACATGAGATTTGGCAGGGGCCAGGGGCAGAAGGATATAGTTTGGCTCTGTGTCCCCACCCACATCTCATCTTGAATTATATTCCCACAATTCCCATGTGTTGTGGGAGGGACCTGGTGGGAGATAACTGAATCATGGGGGCAGTTTCCCACACACTGTTCTCATGGCAGTGAATAAGCCTCATGAGATTTGATGGTTTTATCAGGGGGTTCTGCTTTTGCATCTTCCTCATTCTCTATTCTATTTGCCTGCTGCCATTCATTTAAGACAGGACTTGCTCCTCCTTGCCTTCTGCCGTGATTGTGAGGCTTCCCCAGCCATGTAGAACTGTAAGTCTAATTAAATCCCTTTCTTTTGTAAATTGCCCAGTCTCAGGTATGTCTTTATCAGCGGCTTGAAAATGGACTAATACACCATTCATGAGGGGTCTGCCCCCATGATCAAAACACCTCCCACCAGGCCCCACCTCCAACACAGAGGATTACATTTCCACATGAAATTTGGAGGAGACACACATCCATATCATATTGCTAATTATATTATATTTTAGGAGTTTTTTTTCTGCTAATTTGGAATGGTTTTTGCCTGCTATGTTTTGCAGTTCTGAATTTTGCACTTTTATTTGGTAGAAACATATCAATGCAAGTACTAGATTAATAGTGTTTTTCTTTCCCAGAGAATTTGTATTTGCCTTTGTAATGTCCCCCAATATTATGACAGACTAGAAACTTCTCTACTTCTTGCCTTGATGGCTTCTAGTTTATGAAAATATAAGCTCAAATCATAAATCCATGAGTGAGCAGCCACTGGTTATACATTCTCAGGACACATTTATTTCATCCTAGATTCTAAGTTTCTGTTAACTTCTCTGTTATCTCTCTTTGACACATGTGTATTTTATCTTTCTTGTCCTTTATTTTAGTGAGACTGTAACTTTCACGGTTCCACCTTGGTTTAGGAGGCTTAGCTCAACTCCTTGCCCTCTGGGGACGCAATGCACATCTGGTTTCCACATGACAATAACAAATATCGATGGTTACTAAGGTCAGAAAGCATCCCTATGGCAGGCACAATCCCAATTCTATCACTCCTTGTTCAGCCTTTTCTGCAAGAAATTTAGAGAGTTCTCATAATGTTGTTAGTCTAGCTATACGTTCAAGAGAATTTTTTTTTATTTCTAAAAATGTTGCAACGTTATTGCAGACTGATTAGGCCACATATAATCAGAAACAGAAGATTATAATATAGTAATATACTTTGATTTTGATATGTTTGTTTATTCCATCCTATCTTTAGCTACTTTCAGCTTCCTGGTCATCTCAGTTTGCTCAGTTTGTTGTTTTTATCATCTTACCTTTCACTTACTTTTTCACTGAAACTAGGTTGTTTTTTTTTTTTTTTTTTGACAGAATTTCCCTCTTGTTGCCCAGGCTGGAGTGCAGTGGCACAAACTCGGCTCACTGCAACCTCTGCCTCCAGGATTCAAGTGATTCTCCTGCTTCAGCCTCCTGAGTAGCTGGAATTACAGGCATGCACCACCATGCCCAGCGAATATTTTGTATTTTTAGTAGAGATGGGGTTTCATCATGTTGGCCAGGCTGGTCTTGAACTCCTGACTTCAGGTGATCCACCTGCCTTCAGGTGATTCACCTGCCTTGGCCTCCCAAAGTGCTGGGATGACAGGCGTGAGCCACTGTGCCCTGACACTAGGTTCAATTTTTTAATAAAATTTTGTTTTGACAAAATTTTATAGAGAAAAGTTTCAGGAAGAGAATAAAGAACTACCACAAATCTTTAACCCAGATTCACTCGCTGTTTCCATGAGACCCTCTTCCTTTGTTTTCCACGTATCCATCTGTTTATCTGTCTATACGTTTATTTTAAGTCACTGGAAGTAAGTTCTAGACATTTCACATCTTTGCTCCTAAATACTTCAATTTATATTTCCCACTAAGTTAGGAAATATTTTGCACTAAAGTAAGGTAGGTAGCTGGGTGAGTGTTGATATTACTTATATAGAAAATAATGGAAGAAGCATAGCTTTAAAGGGGCAATACTGAGCTTGAGGTACCTACACAGATATTCAAGAGCCTCTTCAATGTACGGACTCTAAGCTCAGGAGACAAGTCTGGGTTGGAGAAAACAATTTATTAGAAATCAGAAGGAAGGTGAGTGGTGTAAGCCATTTGAGTGGATGAGATCACTGAGCAAGAAGAGAAGAAGTTGGCCTGGGGAAACAGAAATATTAATTAAGCCCAAAGTTGGCTAGAATAAGGAAGATGAACTAAGGAGGGTAGAGTTCTTAGAAGGGCCTGGCAGCTGTGCAGGAACTGTTGAAGCAGAAGACAATGCTTTCTAGGACGGCTCTGTCGCAGGAAGACTAGACTACCCTCCCCAGCATGTGACCCACATTTGAAATGGAAAACACATGAAAAACAACAGTGGGGGTGAGGGATGGTTCTATGCTGAAATAAGTTTCAGAAATGACAAGTTTTTAAAAATCAAAAAGTTCTTTAAGGGCATAAAATATAAAACATCTTAAATTCGGTAAACCACAGAAATGCCTCGGGGAACCTCCTTTGTTAGCAGCACCCCAACTACCGAGGAGGACTCTCTCAGGGCTGGTAAATGGCGTTTGGGATGAACATTCTATATCCTCACTCTCAAGTCAGGCTCAAAGGATTTCTCCTCATGGCTCTTAAGTTATGTCTTTAGCTCCTTCTAGAGAGTGATGTGACACAATTCATACTCTGTGGGATTAGTAGTAATTTTCACCATCTCACCCCATGACCCCCCCAAAACACACACACACACACATCACACACATCACACAAGTTATGGCTTTCTTTTCAAAGGAAAGATGAGCCACTTCTTCGCTTCTTTCAGGTTAGCTTCTTGGCCTTCAGCTCCGTGGGAGAGACAGAGTTCAGGGAGATAGTTTGAAGAAGGCCAGTCCATCCTCATAAATTTGTCTTCTCCAAGGTAGAAGATCCCAAAGACAGACACACATTTGCACTGTGTTCTTCTGAAATTAGGACATGTCCCAGTGAGGAGCTAATGAGAATCCAGATGTTACTATGCTGTCCTGGACAGCTGATTCTTTATTCTTGAAATGAATAGAATCTACTTGTGTTTTTCCTGTTCTCAAAGGCTCTCAGATTTTCTGGGCAATGGGAATATTCTTGCATTTTGAGTGGACAGACATGCTTGGCAATATCTCTAAGGGCCCTCGGGCAGATGGAGGTAACCGTGTATCACTCACTCACTCACATGCTCTGTTTTTACTGAGCACCAATCCTTGCATAATACAAAGATTTATTACAAAAATAAGCCCATCCCCTCCAGGTGCTCACATTCTAGAGGAATACACAGACAGGGCAGTGGACAGTTATACCTGCTGTCCTCCGACCTGTCACAGAGGTGAACGCAGGGTCTGGGGGCCTGGGAGCAGTGCCTAACCAGATTGTCATCTCTTCCTGCTCACCTTCAGCACTGCAGGTGCAGATAACTCTGGAAATCCATGTGGAAAAGGCCGCAAAGAGTAAAGCTGAGCTTTTTTGCTGGAGGGAGTTGCATCTCCAGAAAACAGGATGGGCAAGCCTGGTAAGGGAAAGGAAACAAACCTTCCTGTGTCCCCTGAAGACAGAAACTCTGAAGGAGGGAAAGACGAAGGATGGGTCTAAGAGTGGTTCAAAGTAATTGAGGATAGAGCATAGAAGGATTTCAGTGACTCTAGTGGAGTCAGTTTGGTCTGTTTTTGAATCTTGGAAAAGGGGAGGAGCAAGTCTGTTGCGAAGCCTGTGCAGAGATGTACAAGACATGCAGATGGGAGAGAGGCCACTGAGAGTAAAGGGTGGCACAGCGGGTTCCCATGTTGGAAGTGAATAACTTTAATTGTATTTAACAGAAGATTTTAGCAGCAGGTAACAGAAGGTCAGTTAATTAGCGATCTAATAGCCAAGATCTAGGGTTTTATTAAATTTTAAAGGCAGTACTGAGACACTGTTAAACTCTGTCCAAAGAAATCAAGATCAAAATGAGGCCTGTTGAAGATCATTCTTTGTGTCTCTGGACATGTCCACTGAAGTCCAGAAATATCAGAAACAGGAAAGTGTCTCAAAAGTCACTCCAGTTGCTGGGAGTTGGTGAGAGAAGAATTGACTGAGAACAAGGATACACATGGAAGGAGTTCAAAAATAGACAACCAAATAGACAAATAGATTCAGCATGACGGGTTAAGGACCTTTAAAATCTCAAGGATCAAAGAAGAACATGGAGACAGATGAAGGCTGTGCAGGTCCCTTCATCCTTGGTTTGAGCCTGTGGATGTTCAATGTAACCATGCACTCACTCACTCACTCACTCACGCACTCACTCACTCACTCACTCACTCACGCACTCACTCACTCACTCCTCACTCACTCACTCACTCACTCACGCACTCACTCACTCACTCACTCACGCACTCACGCACTCACTCACTCACTCACTCACGCACTCACTCACTCACTCACTCACTCCTCACTCACTCACTCACGCACTCACTCACTCACTCACTCCTCACTCTGCTTTTACTGAGCACCAAGCCTCACGCTAAGCATTAGAACACAAAAATTTATTACAAAAATAAGCCTGTGCCCTCCAGGTGCCCACATTCTAGAGGAATATGCAGCTAGGGCAGTGGACAGTTACACCTGCTGTCCTCAGAGCTGTCACAGAGGTGAACACAGGGTCTGGGGAACCTGGGAGCAGTGCCTAACCAGCCCAGGGCTGGGTTGGAGGGGAAGCGCAAGGCAGATCCCACCCCAGCACTCTATAGCAGTCAGTGCCTGGGTCCTTCCTCTCCAGTAAGGCTCTACCCTGCGGCCCTGGAAGGGTAATGCCTTGCCTTTACAATAACGTGTCAGTACAAATGACAGTAACAGACCCTTTCCTCGGGGTGCATTCTGGTACAATGAACATAGAAAGAGATCATTGAGCACAAGAGGCTGAGGGTAGGTGTTGAGGAGAAGGGTGTGGAACCGAGACCAGGTTGCAGCAAGGAACTATCTCAGGTCAAACCGCTGGGCTGCTATGGCCACAAGGTCTAGATGCAGGATGGCAGGTGTGCCTCCTAATAGGTGGATATCCTAACCTGTTAACTATCTCATGATATCACATGGAAAATGAGATTTCATTTTAACTTGAGGTGTCTGAAATGATCTGGGCTTTTACTTATTTATCTAGTTTTTTATGAGACAGGGTCTTGCTCTGTCACCCAGGCTGGAGTGCAGAGGCTCCATGACGACTCCCTGCAGCCTCAAATTCTTGAGCTCAAGCCATTCTCCCATCTCAGCCTCCTGAGTACCTGGGACTACAGGTGTGTGCCACCACACCAGGCTAATTTTTTAATATTTTTCTAGAGGCAGGGCTCTCACTATGTTTCCCAGGCTGGTCTCAAACTCCTAGCCTCAAGTGATCCTCACTCCTTAACCTCCCCCAAAGGCCGGGATTACAGGCATTGTGCTGGCCTGGGCTTTTAATTGTCTTTGTTCCTGTTTCCGCCTACCAAGGACACTTACCTAGTTCTAGGAAGTCTCCCTAACATGGACTTTTGATGGTTCCAGATCCCTGCCCTGAGGGTCTCCGCTCACTGATTGGGGAGGGGAGTCCTCAGGGATGCTTGCTTTCTGTGGAATTGAAATGACTACTTCCTCCCTGGGTGCTGGGGCCATTGGTGCTGGAACAACGCAAAACTGAAACTGCTCAGAACTCTGCACTGGCTTACCCTCTACTGTTCAGCGGGGCGCCCTCCTGCTTTCTCCTTCAGTTATTTATTTACTTATTTATTTATTTATTTATTATTTATTTTAGCCCTGTGCATCTAGTTCTCTCTGCTAGATTTATTAATATCATCTCCCAGCTTCTACTTCTCCTTTTAGAAAAGCAACCTTTCATTTTTCTTCCCTTCTTACTCTGCCATTTCCTTGAACAATGGCTCAAACAGAGATCCCCATACTTCTGCTTGTCATTCATTGGGTCTTTTCAATTCAGTTTTTCTTTACTTGGGCAAGTATTGATTCAGTGCCCATTGTAGGAATTACTAAAGAAAAAGGAGTTGTTGAGCTAAACGCACACACAGACATACTTGGAAATAAATACTATAACCAAAAAAGAGTTGTAAGGTAATAAGGAAAAATACATGATTGCCACTTAAATGAATGTTGCTGGTAACAGTTATTGTGCTTAAAGTAGTCCAAATATTGTTCATGAATTATTTATTTTGAGTTCCTGAGGCAGGACTTGAGCCAAGAATTCAGGGAGTATATTTGGGAAGAGCAGGAATCACTGGCTGGAACTGGGGAAGTGGGAGAGAAAAGGGAAGGCAGTCAACAAAGTGCTCATCGTCAAACTAGCTACCCTGGTGGGAAATGGGAGTTAGTGCCCAGGAGATACCTGGGAAAATTAGTGAAACTTGCATCTTGTCTTTCCTCTGCTCATTCATTCGCTGCCAGGCATGACAGGCAAATCACTGACTCGCAGAGCTGGTTGGAGCTTTCTTACATGCAGATCATGGGATTCTTCCAGCTCTGAAATGTAATGAAAATTCACTTAACATAAAACCACCAAACCACTCTCCTCTAAAGACTCTCTAAGTTGTGTCCCAAATGGTGTATTTCATCTAGGTTTTCCAAATTTTCTTTCTAGTTCTCTCAGCTTAGTGCCAGAGTTTCACACTATAGGATTTTTATTGTCACTCTTGTAGGATTAAAACACTAAAAAGCAGAAAAATATACAAGTCACTTCTACAGTCAAGCACCCTTCCAGCTCTCTGCAGAAGCATCTCATCCCCCGTCACACTAGGGTCCCCTTGGGAGTTCTCCAGCACGAAGGTGCTCTTTGAGTAGAGCTCTTTACCTTCCTACATGTTTTCCTACAGTCTCAAAAAAGTAAGTTGTTCAGTGTTTCAGTAATCATAACATCTTTGCCACTGGCTTGACATGATTCTGTGCCACCTTTCACAGGTGCCCAACAGGCTACACCTACTCTGTGCCACATCCCAGGACCCATCAGCGCAGGATGCAGACATTGCCATGATAGAACATATTATGCACTGGAGCAAAAATACTTTTTTCTGCACTGATAATAGTTTTAAACGGTGTGGCAGAGATTGTCTGGTTTTCCCTCAAGCCCATCTCCTTTTCTTCAGGACAGTGTCTAGACCAGTGTCCTCTGAATTTAGATGAGGCCAGGTGACCACGTCCTGGCAAACAAAACTCTAGAAAGTGATGGATGCCACTTCCAGGACTGGCTTATACAATTCCCATTCCTAGATGCCTCAAGAAGCTGAGAGCCACAAGTAAAAAAAAGGGGTCTGGGTACCAGCTCACAGAACTACCTGGTTGGACTTCACAAGAGGGAGAATGCGCTTGTCTTGAGTTAAGCTGCCAAGATCTTGGGGTCCTATCAGTTCTGCATTAGTGAGGGTCTGCAAGAAGCAGATGGCACTCTTCAAACCATGAGCAAAGGGAGCTCAATGAAGGGCCATTTATTTACAAGATGGAGCAGGGGTAAGAAAAGCTGAGGGCTTAAGGGTTGCCTCCCAGGACCAGCAACACCTGGAATCTGTCACCATCCCTAGGTCTGAAGGACAGGGGAGGTAGCTATTACTGGAACCTTCAGAGATCTTCAGTTGCAGGAGAAAGCCTCCAGACAGCAGCCATGCTCCATGAAGAACTGACTGCTACCCTGCACTGCCGGGAAGGTGAGCGGAACAGGTGCACACCTCACCCACTCTCCACCACCTCCAGCCACCTCCACCCATTGACAGGCTACCACCTCGAAGCCACGGGACAAGAGAACCCATTTGATGCACTTTCTGGAGGCGATACTAGAAGGCACAGAGGGGGTTGTGGGGGTGGAGAGAAATTTCAGGGGACAAATAGGACTCATCCTCAGCACAGTTATCTTAAATGAGTCAGGGCAAATTGCGGTTTGCTGGCAGCTCACGGCATGCTTGGTACCACCCACAGTTCTACACTGTAAACTCTCATTAATCCTTTTTTCTAAAATGTCCTGAGTCTGGGTTCTGTTAGCCACAAAAAGGTTCACTTTGACCTGCCCATCTATGGCAGGTCAGCCTTTTATTCCCATTGCTTCCTTAAAACAAGGGGACTCTAAAAATCCTCAGCAGGCTTTTTGCGTTTCTAAAATAATTTCCAGCTTCTAAACCTCTTCTCAGATTTCATGTCAGTTCAGTTTAACCATCGCCTAGGGGTCATTCTTACTGTATTTACAGGTACCAGGCGATTGACAGAGATGAGTAATCCTACGTTGCTGACTTCACCTATTTATTCCACAGATATTGAGTGAGCACCTGAACAGAGGAAAGATGTATTTAACAGCTTGCCTTACCACAGGCTCTATGCTGAGCACTGGGCTAGGTACTTGCAATAAAAATAACACAATGTCTCCCACTTTCCAGAGCTCATGGTTGATAGTGCACCATCAAAAATCTTTAGAGTCATTTAAGCTGGGCTCAGACCTGTCCCTGTTTCTCCTAGCTGTGTAAATATATTCATAGAGCTCTCAGTTCTCAAATGGTGAACGGTAGAGGGGATAGTAACACCTTAATCAGTTAATTAATTGTAGAATGAAAGGAGATAAAGTGGGATATGCCCTCACACATAATAGATGCTTATGGGCTGGGCATGGTGGCTCACTCCTGTAATCTCAGCAATTTTGGAGGCTGAGGCAGGCGGATCACAAGGTTAGCTCAGGAGTTCGAGACCAGCCTGGCCAATATGGTGAAACCTCGTTTCTACTAAAAATAAAAAAAAAATTAACCAGGCTTGGTGGCGTGTGCCTGTAATCTCAGCAAGTCAGGAGGCTGAGGCAGGAGAATTGCCTGAACCCGGGAGGTGGAGGTTGCAGTGAGCTGAGATCGCGCCATTGCACTCCAGCCTGGGCAACAGAACAAGATTCTGTCTCAAAAAAAAATGCTTATGGCAGGAAGAGTATTATTTCCAATAGTTGGGAGATGAGCCAGCTTGACAGGTGTTTGCTGAGGTGGAATTGGGAGAGGTCTGAGGTTGATGGAGGGCAAGCAGTCTAGCCTGGGATCGGCGGGGCAGCCTGAGAGGAACAGTGTGGCATTGATTTCTGGAGGTAAGCATGAGCTAGCGGGAGGAAGGAAAAAGGACGAGAAAGGGTTTTCCCTTTTTGAAGGAAGGAGAAGGGGACGACATGAAATGCTACAAGGTCATCCTGTGGCTGCTCGCATCTCTCTGAGAAAGAGCTGAATAATTTTCCCCTTGAAGTAGATGGCACCGTCCACTAAAATAGAGGTGATGGTGAAGGTGAAGAGATAAGCAGGAAGCAGATGATGCTAGGGAGTGACCCAGGCTCTTCAGGGCAGAGCTTTCCTCTGCAAGTCTGAGTTGCTTAATTTTATAGTTAGCTCATGGGAGATTAAGGCTGGACAAGGGAGCAGACCCTCTCAAAGTTCACCCTTCACTTTCAGTGACTCAATGCTACATTAATAAGAATAAGATGTACTATGCTATAATGGGGTGGAGGGGTGAACCCTACTACTACTACTAATAATAATAACAAAAATAAAAAATCAGCTAATATTCAACATTGGAGCACTTACTATGTGTCAGCTGTAACTGCTTTATCTTGTTAGGTCTTCTCACGGTCTCCGTTTTATATCACGTATTTTTACATCTTGCCATGGAGGCTTAGTGAGTTTAAACAGTTTGTCCAACCACATGCACCTGCTGATGGTAGAGACAAGATTCTCATCCAGGAGACAGTCCACCAAACTTTGTTATCCAACCCACTGCCACACAGCATGTGGGGAGAGGGGACAGATGACTTCAGCTGATGATTCCTGGGAGGGACTGCAGGGGAACACGGGTCATGAGGAAGCTCATCTAAAAAGCATGAGGTCTTTGAACAATTCTGAAATCTTAGCTAAAATTTCAGCACTTTCAAGACCTGCATCACCAACCTCAAAGCCACTGCTGCCGGATATTTATTTTTCAATAATTCAGCCATTTAGCAAATAGTGTTTGAGTGCTTACGATATGCAGGGCACTGGCTAGGGCTTCAAAATCCATCACCTTCACCCCTCGTCCTCAAGGAGCTCACAGTCTAGTGGGGCCAGAAAATCAAGACTCTCTCACCGCAGGGACCATGAAGGCTGCTGGCAGGGGGACCTCCTCTGCAGTAGGTAATTCAGTCAATGACCCACATACCCTCAAAGGCAGCTCACTGCTCCTTATCCACAAAGCTTGTTTAGGCATCTCTCCCAGGAGGAAACTAAAAAATCACAGGAGAACATGGGAATGAGGCAGGTCCAAGTTTTAGTCCAGAGAGCAAGAGATGAGAGAGCAGAGGACGCAGAAAGGAACAAAGACAGTGCTGCAAACAGCTACAAGTTAGGGAACAGAGGCTCAGCCTGTGTCTTCAGTGAGCCAGGCGTGGGTGGAGCTGCTCAGGGTGTAACTGGAGTTAGAGCAGCCTCTGCAGGTCCAGGACCCACAACAATGGACCCCCATGTGGGAGGGTGAGCTCGTGGACAAGAGGCCGGAGGAGAAGGGGCGGGATGTACTGGAGGGGGGTAAACAACTGAACAGGAGAAGGGGAAGGGAGACCTTGTTTGGAAATGATCTCGATGTCCCTGCTTGTATCAGACCATTGTTTATGGCCAGGTTTGTGTTTTGTTCTGTTTTGTTTTGTTTTAGATCTTAGAAAATAAAAGAAAATTCCATGAAAGATCTACCTTCTCATCACTTTGAACCTGGAGGCCTTTTTCATGCCTGATGATTCTTCCATTTGAATGAAAGATAGAGAAATTGTATTCACTCCTGCCTTTGCCTTGGTGTCTGCCATGGGGAAAGGAAAACCAGCCATGCTGCCTCCATGTCTCTCTAAGACACCCTGAGAGGACCTGAATAGGATGAAGGCCCTTTGGAAAGGCTGCTGTCAGTCCTCTCCAACCTGAACTGGTGTCATTTCCTGCAAAGAAAGTCCATACAGGCTTTGGAAGATCCCTTCCACAGTTGTTAAAAATCAGTTTCTGCGACAAATAGTCTTCTTTAAAAAAAAAAATACAATTTTTTTCCCTTACAGTGTCTGTGTTGTATTAGGATAATCCATGTTTGAAATAGGACACCGTGTTTCACATCCTTCAATCAATTTTCCTGCTGCCCTGCCCTGAATACTAGCAGAAAGCTGAAGACAGGTAATTATGAGCTTGCCACCCCTAAAATGGGAAAACATTGATGAAAAGCTGCTAGAAGGTCCAGGCACCTATCTGGATTCTTCCTCCTGATTACATTCCATGCAGAAACCACTCCTGGAGGCTGGCTGAGAGACAGATGTGGGAAAACCTTGTGGTTTATCTCATTCATCTACCTGCCAATTTCCTTTAGCAACCTGTCCCTCGCCCCTGTTCCACAGCCACCTCTCTGCTATTGCAAAGCTTGCCCTGACATTACGGAATACCGGATACCAGAAAATATGACTGCTGTTCTCATCCCGGACACTTGCAGTGAATCTTGGACAGCTTCGTAGCCCTGTGTATTGGGTGTGGCTCCCTGGGCCCTAAATTGAAATATTTTGTGTGAGAGTAGGCTTGGGGTGGATCTTACTAGTAGTGAGAGTTGTTCTTTTTCTTTTCTGTCATTTGGGGTAACATGGAGGTAAAGAGATGGAGAAAAACAGAACAACTCACTGGAGAAGTGGTTGTCTGAGAAGCAGAACCCAAAGGAGTCTTTATAGAAGACAAATTAGAATATGACTTGTCCTGAAGCCTAGCAGTAGTGCCCCAAGGAAATGAGACATAAAATTTGACATGAATAAATATTTAAATAAATAATCTGATTCCATAATGGAATTCTGACCATGTTAACAACAATGATAACTATAACAATGGAAAAATCAGTAATAATAATCACTAACAGAATTTTCAAAAATTCTGAATACAACATAATAAAGCAGGTTTTCCCCACATAGAAACCACGCCATAGTTTCCATGGCTTCCCTCAATATGAGGGGTAGGTAGAGCTGTGGGTGAGACTGTGGGTTCTAGAGACACAATGCCACTCACTCGCTGAGTAACTTCAAGCAAGTTACCTAGCCTCAGTTTCTCTGTCTCTATAATGAGATAATGATAGTGCATCTCTTACTGAATTGAAAGGACTAGCTAGAATAATGTATTTCAAGCAGTTAGCAGCCGTAGACACTTAGAAAATCATTCCACACATTTCTCTCTTTCACCTCCCTGAGCACTTTCCGGTAGCCCAATCCAGACTTAGAGCCTGTTGCCTACTCTTTCTTCTGTCTCTGACATCGACATCTGTTTTTGGAGAGCACAGCTGAATGCTGGGATTCACTTGGCCTGAAGCGCCAGTTGCTTTGCTGCAACCCCTGCGTTCTGGATACGCCTGGCAGTGTATGCACTGAGAGCTTCCTGGTGTGTGGGGCAGGGCTGTGCGGGCTTGTCCTGGCTCCCTCGCTGACCTCGGCAGGTGGCTTCTCCACTCTGTGCCTCTACATTTCCCCTTTGTAAAATGGGCAGCCCTTCCTATTCAGGCTTTCTTCAAGGATAATGAGAAGATGCAAATGAGGCATAAGTTTCAGGACAAGTGACTCCTTCAAGAACAATTGTCTACAAAGAGACTCCCTGAAGAAGTTCAGTAAAGATTTGCCAGATCCTGCCAACCAAACTGCAGCCTTTTTCTTCCGTGATTTCTTTTCTTCTCACTCCACCTCCTCTACCATTTTTGTCAAGGCCCAAGGTCATGGTCAGGCCAAAGCTAAGTGGGAAAATCCACACTCTCTTGGTCTCAGATAACCTCAAATTTCCTTTCCACCTGTAAAGGGTTAAATGGTAGCTCCTGCCAAAAGTTGTCCATACCCAAAACTCTGAAAACTGGGAATATGACTTTGTTTGGAAAAAGGTGTGATTACATTAAGGATCTTGAGATGAGTTCCTCCTGAGTTATCCCAGGGGGCCTTAAGTCCAATCACCTGTTTCCTGATAAGAGTGAGACAGAGGCAGCTTTGAGAGGATGGAGGAGACAGCTGTGTAGAGCTGGAGGCAGGCACTGGAGAGAGGCACCCACAGTCCAGAAATGCTGGCAGCCTCCAGAGCTGGGAGAGTCAAGGAGGTATTCTCTCCCAGACCCTTCAGAGGGAGTGAGGCCCTGCTGACATCTCAATTTCAGATTTCTGATCTCTGGGAGTGCGATAGAATAAAATTCTGTACCTTGAAACCATCAAATGTGTGGTAATTTGTTACAGCAGACACAGGAAGCAAATATATCACCTTTCATTCCACCTTTAGCAATCAGCCCCGGGACCCACAGTGCCCAGTGCCCATCCTGCCATGGCTGAAACAATCTGCAGAATCACTGGTCCTGTCACGTCAGCAACATCCCGTGACCTGCGCAGAATGTTCTCATTCTGATTACACGGAGGCTCTTGGCTGCTGAGATGTTTTAGAAAGTAGCTCCCTTGAGCTCATTTTGGCAGCACATATAGAAAATAGCTCCCTGGTATGGCTATGGATGCCCATTTCCCAAGGAAGGCCATACCCCTCTAGGTGGCATTAGCCTTTGTTGGCTGCTGGACCTGGATAAAGCAGGACTAACTTGTCTGTGGGACAGAGGCAGTTTGATCTGAGCACCCCTCTGTCTGCTGGTTTATCCCAGAGTCTCTGCCTGGCCACACCAACCTGTAATGTGGCCGCAGTTAGCAGAGCCACATACCAGTGGCCACTGCCATAGCTTATTCACTGGCAGACTCCACCTAACACAGAGTTTCTGCAGGTGGGCCCCCACTGGCGCGCACTTGCCTGCAGCCTCCCCCTGCTGCTTTGCCAGCATTCACACATGTACTGACCTCACCGTGGGTGTACATGCAAATGTGCGACCCGCCATCACCCTGCCACAGGCACACATGCATGCAGGGAATCCAGCTGCCCCACCACTGCTCACCAAAGGCCTTTTGCTGGCCCCCTCTATTGGAGTGTTGTTGCCAAAAGACTTGGAACACCTTGGCCTTTCCAGTACAGCAGGTGCTTAGACTTGAAGAGCCAGAGAAAAAAAAGTGTCAGGCCTGGACCAGTGCCTCATGGTTACAATGTAAGCTGAGACTTGGCCCCCTGAAATCAACCAGAAATGAAGCCAATCAACTAAACCCAACTTATACCAAAGTAAAACCCTCAAGGGCATCAAAGAATATAAAAGCAAAAAAGCTCCACTTAAAAGACAGCAACATCAAACATTAAAGAAACATCAACCCCCACACAGATGAGAAAGAACCAGCACATGAACTCTGGAAAATAAAGTCAGAGTGTCTTCTTACCTCCAAATGACCATGCTACCTCCCCAGCAATGGCTCTTAACCAGACTGAAATGCTTGAAATGGCAGACATAGAATTCAGTATCTAGACGGCAATGAAGATCATGAAGATTGAGAATAAGTTAGAACCCAATCCAAGGAATCTAAGGAATCCAATAAAGTGATAGAAAAACTGAAAGATGAAATAGCCATTTTAAGAATAGCCATTTTAAGAAGCCATTTTATTTAAGATCTTAAAATAGCCATTTTAAGATCTTGAAGATCACAAATTGATCTTCAAGAGCTGAATAACTCGCTACAAGAATTTCATAATACAATCAGAAGAATTAACAGTAGAATAGACAAACCTGAGGAAGAAGCCTCAGTGCTCAAAGACTGGTTCTTCAAATCAACTCAGACAAAAATAAGAAAAAATATTTGAAAAATGAAAAAATCTCTAAGAAACAAAGGATTATGTAAAGAGACCAAACCTATGACTCATTGGCATCTCAGAAAGAGATGGACAGAGAGCAAATAACTTGGAAAACACATTTGAGGATATTATCTATGAAAATTTTCCCAACCTAATAGAGAGGTTGACATGCAAATTCGGAAAATTTAGGGAACTCAAATGATATACCATAAAAGACAATCATCCCCAAGACAAATACTTAACAGATTTTCCAAGGTCAATGCAAAAGAAAAAATATTAAAGGCAACCAGAGAAAAAGGGTAGGTCATATTCAAAGGAAACCCCCATCAGTCTAACAGGGAACCCTTCAGCAGAAACCTTACAAGGTAGAAGAGACTGGGGGCCTATATTCAGCATCCTTAAGGAAAATAAATTCCAACCAATAATTTCATATCTAGACAAAATAAGCATCGTAAACAAAAGATAAATAAAATCCTCTACAGACAAGCAAATGCTAAAGGAATTCACCAGACCTGCCTTATGAGAGGTCTTTAAGGAAGTGCTACACTTGAAAATGAAAGACTATCACTGGCCACCACAAAAACACACTAAAGTACATAGCCCACTGATGCTATAAAGCAACTGTAAAATTAAGTCTACATAACAAACAGCTAACAAGATGATGTTAGGATCAAATTCTCATATATCAATGTTAATTCTGAATGTAAATGGGCTAAATGCCACACTTAAAAGGTACAGAGTGGCAAGCTGGATAAAGAAGCAAGACCCAAAAATATGCTGTCTTCAAGAGACCCATCTCATATGCAAGGACACACATAGTCTCAAAGTAAAGGGATGGAGAAAGATCTATCAAGGAAACAGAGAACAAAAAAAAGATTAAGGGTTGTAATTCTTATTTCAGACAAAAGAGACATTAAAACAACAATGATCAAAAAGTACACAAAAGGGTGTTACATATTGATAAAGGGTTCAATACCACAAGAAGACCTAACTATCCTAAATATATATGCACCCAACACTGGAGCACTCAGTTTCATAAAACAAATTCTTAGAGATATAAAAAGGATAACTACACAATTATTGTGGGAGATTTCAACGCTCCTGAGAGTGTTAGACAGATTATTGAAGCGAAAAGCTAACAAAGATATTCATGACCTAAACTCAACGCTTGACCAAATGGATCTAACAGACATCTACAGAACACTCTACCCAACAACAAAAGAATATATATTCTTCTCATCTGCACATGGCACATACTCTAAGACTGACCACATGTTCCACCTTTAAGCAATTCTCAATAAATTCAAAAACACTAGAATCATACCAACCATGCTCTTGCACCATAGCACCATAAAAATAGAAATTAATACTAAGACGAGCTCTCAAAAGCATACAATTGCATGGAAATTAAACAAGCTGCTCCTGAATGACTTTTGGGTAAAGAATTTAATTAAGGCAGAAATCAAGTAATTCTTTGAAACAAATGAAAACCATTATACAACATACAGGAATCTCTGGAACACAGCTAAGGCAGTGTTAAGAGGAGAGTTTATAGCATTAAGTATTTACATCAGAAAGTTAGAAAGATCTCAAAGTAACAACCTAATATCACACCTAGAGGAACTAGAAAACTAAGAGCAAAACAACTTCAAAGCAGGACAAGAAATAAACAAAATCAGAGCTGAACTGAATGACATTGAAATATGAAAGTCCATATAAAAGATCAATGAGCCCAAAAGTTGGTTCTTTTAAAGGAAAATTAAGAATGATAACCACTAGTTAGACTTATAAGGAGAACAAGAGAGAAGATCCAAATAAACACAATCAGAGATGACAAAGGTGACATTACCTCCAACATCAAAGACATTTAAAAAACCAGGGACTGGTTTTTTAAACACCTCTATGCACAAAACACCTCTATGCACAAAAACTTGAAAACCTGGAAGAAATGGCTAAATTCCTTGAAATATACAAGCTTCCAAGATTGAACCAGGAAGAAACTGAATCCCTGAACAAACCAGTAACAAGAAATTGAATCAGTAATAAAAAATATACCAACCAAAAAAAAGCCCCAGACAAGACCAACCCACAGCCAAATTCTACCAGACATACAAAGAAGTACTGGCACCAATCCTACTGAAACTATTATTTAAAATTTGAGGAGAAATAATTTCTCCCTAACTCATTCTATGGGACCAGAATCATTCTGATACCAAAACTTGGCAGAGACACAACTAAAAAAGAAAACTTCAGGCCAATACCCTGATGAACGTAGACACTAAAATCTTCAACAAAATACTAGTCGAGTATTTTGGACTCAACAAAATTGAGTCCAGAAGCACATCAGAAAGTTAATTTGCCATGATCAAGTAGGCTTTATTCCTGGAATGCAAGGTTGATTCAACATATGGAAATCAAGAAATGTGAGATTCATCATATAAACAGAACTAGAAACAAAAACTTTATGTTATGCCAATAGATGCAGAAAAGACATTTGATAAAGTTCAACAACTCTTCACGTTAAAAACCCTCAACAAACTAAGCACTGAAGAAACATACCTTAAAATAATAAAAGCCATCAATGATAAACCCACAGCCAACATCATACTGAAAGGGCAAAAGCTGGAAGCATTCCCCTTAAGAGCCAAAACAAGACAAGGTTGCCCTCTCTAACCACTTCTACTCAACGCAGTACTTGTCATCCTAACCAGAGCAATCAGACAAGAGAAAGAAATAAAGGCATCCAGATAGGAAGAGAGTAAGTCAAACGATCTCTTTGTGGACAATATAATTCTATACCTAGAAAACCCCATAGTTTCTGCCTAAAGGCTCCAAGAACTGACAAACAATTCAGCAAAGTTTCAGGATATAAAATCAGTGTACAAAAATCGGTAGCATTTTTATATACCAACAATGTCCAAGCTAAGAGTCAAATCAAGAACACAATCCCATCCACAATAGCTACAAAAAGAATAGAATATCTAGGAATACAGCTAACCAGAGAGGTGAAAGAGTTCTACAATAAGAAAACTAAAACACTGCTGAAAGGATTAAGAAACAGCATGAACAAATGGAAAAAACATTTCAGGCTCATGGCTAGGAAGAATCAACACTGTTAAAATGACCATACAGATCAAAGCAATTTAGAGATTTGTTATTCTTATCAAAATACCAATGTCATTTTTCAAAGAATTAGAAAAAAACTATCCTAAAATTCATATGGAACCAAAAAAGTGCCCAAATAGGCAAAAAAATTGTAAGCAAAAAGAACAAAGCTGGGGACATCACACTACCTGACTTCAAACTATACAACAAAGATATAGTAACCAAAACAACATGGTACTGGTACAAAAACAAACACAAAGACCAATGGAAGAGGTTGGAGAACCCAAAAATAAAGCTGCACACCACAACCATCTACTCCTCATCAAAGTTGACAATAACAAGCAATGGGAAAAGACTCCCTATTCAGTAAATGTTGCTGGAATAACTGGCTAGCCATATGCAGAAGATCCCTTCCTTTCACTATAAAAAAAATCAACTTAATGTGGATTAAAGACTTAAATGTAAAAACTGAAACTATAAAAACTCTAGAAGAAAACCTAGTAAATCCCATTCTGGACACAAGGCTTGGCAAAGATTTCATGATGAAGACTCCAAAAGTAATTGCAACAAAGGAAAAAAGAGATAAGTGAGACCTAATTAAACTAAAGAGCTTCTGCACAGCAAAAGAAACTACGAACAGAGTAAATAGACAGCCTACAGAAGGGAGAAAATATTTGCAAACTACGTATCCAACAAAAACGTAATATTCAGAATCTATAAGGAACTTAACCAAATAAACATTAAAAACCAAACAATTTCATTAAAAAATGGGCAATGGGCATGAACAGACACTTCTCAAAAGAAGACACATACATAGCCATCAAGCATATAAAATAAAGCTCAACATCACTAATCATTAGAGAAATGTAAATCAAAACCACAATGAGATACCATCTCATGCCAGTCAGAATGGCTATTAACAAAAAATAAAAATAATAACAGATGTTGATGAGGTTGTGGAGAAACCGGAATGCTTATATACTGCTGGTGGGAATGTAAGTTAGTTCAATTCTTGTGGAAAGCAGTTTGAAAACTTCTCAAAGACCTTACAACAGAAGTACCATTTGGTCCAGGAATTTCATTATTTGATATACACCCAAAGGAATATAAATTATCCTACCATAAAGACATATGCATATGTATGTCTATTGCAACACTTTTCGCAACAGCAAAGACATGGAATCAACCTAGATGCCCATCAATGGTAGACTGGATAAATAAAATGTGGTACATATATGTGAGAGCATATTATCCAGCCATAAGAAATAACAAAATCATGTCCTTTACAGTAGCATAGATGGAGCTGTAAGCCATTATCCTAAGTAAATTAACATCTGAACAGAAAACCAAATACTGTGTGTTCTCACTTGTAAGTGGGAGCTAACACTGAGTCCACATGGACACAAAGATGGGAACAATAGACACTGAGCCTTACTTTAGGGTGGAGGGTGGGAGGAGAATGAGGATCAAAAAACTACTTACTGGGTACTATGCTCACTACCCGGGTGAAAAATCATTTGTACCCCAGACTCCAGTGACACACAATTTACCCACATAACAAATGTGCACTTGTACCCCCAGAGCCTGAAATGAAAGTTGGAAGAAAAAAAGTTTTTGACGTTTAATATGTTTTTCACAAAGCCTGAGTAATAAATAAAACGTGTATAAAAGTAGAAAAAGAAAATAAATGAGCTCCCTGGAATCCATGTGCCCCCCCTCCCCCTGCCATGCCACACAGGTGCCCGCTTGAGATTTCAGTATGCACAGATTTCTAGAATAGCTATTTCATGCGAAAGTGGCTTTAGGTGTTATATTAATTTCGACTGCTTCCATAACAAATTACCACACACGCTATGTAACTTACAACAATAAAAATGTATCATCTTACAGTTCTGTTGGTCAGAAGTCTGACAAGGGTCTCATGGGTAAAATCGAGGTGTTGGCAGGCGTGCAGTTTTTTTGTTTGTTTGTTTGTTTTTTTCTGGAAGGTCTTGTAGCTAATCTGCTCCCGTTTTCTGTAGCTTCTAAAGGCCACTCATGTTTCTTAGCTTGTATCCTCTTCTTCTGTCTTTGAGTCAATATCACAGCTCTTTGACTAAACCTAGCTGGGAAAGGTCTTAAGGACATGTGTGATTGGGCTGGATTCACCTGGACAATTCAAGATAATCTCTGCAGCTCAACATTAACTTAGTCAATGTGCAAAATCCCTTTTACCATATAAGGTAACATAGTCACAGATTCTGGATGTGGATATCTTTGGGGCTGTTATTCTGCCTACCACAGGTGTAGGAACTGATGCAGAGATACCAGTGACAAAGAGAAGGCCTGAAGTTATTACTGATGTTTTGGAAAATTGCTGGAGCCACTTGAGGTGCTCATCATACCAAGCACCCAGGGACAGGCCCTGCCCTTGTGCTCTTGACATGTCTGTTGGGCTGAGAGCATTTCTGATGCAGGCACACCCGTCAGTCTCTTTGCTGACCTGGGTTACCCATTTAGAGGCTGTTCAACATCTGTGTGGATCCCATTCCTCCTAAGCAGCTTTGGCCCATCTATTGGACCGGCCCTAGAGTGGCCCAGCAGATAAGACCAAAAGGGAAAATGGGGAAGGAGGTTCTTGCTGTGATCCTCTTCTCATGGGTCTATTTTCCTAGATCAGGGGTCTTTCCAAGACCCAAAGCCCCTCCTTCCAAGGTGGGGCTTCATCCTCTTTGGGTCATCTATTAATTGTAACCTGTTTTTGTCACTGTTTTGATCCACATGGGCTGTAATTATTTGTTCATAATGTAAAGGTGTTTTTAGACATACTTTCTACATAAAGAGTGTTTGGGTCTGCTGAGGACACAGCTAACTTAAGGGGCTTGCTCTCCCTAAAATGAAAATAGCATTACATAAACACATGTAAAACTGCAATTTCAAACAGAAAGAGGAGGTAGAGAAAATAACTAGGCTGAGTCATCAAATGTTTTTAAAAATCCCAATATGTAGCCTACCTCGTTAAAAGTCCTAAAGTGCAGGTACCTGTTATGAAACCAAGACATTCGGAGAATATTTCTATCTTTAAATCATGGAAATCCTGACTTCATGCTTTCTGCCACACTGTGCTGTACATCACACATCACTTTGGGTCCTGGCAGGAGAAAGCCATTTCCAGCTTTACACATCATCTGAAAAGTCTTTATATTGTCCCTCACTCCTCACTCCCTGAAAAATGATTTTTCAGAAAATGTGAAAGGAATCTAAAGTTTTACTTTCAATTGCTGACTGTGACTTTCAGTTAAAACACTAGTTAAGGCTGGGCACAGTGGCTCATGCCTGTAATCCCAGCACTTTGGGAAGCCAAGGTGGATGGATCACCTGAGGTCAGGAGTTGGAGACTAGGCTGGCCAATATGGCGAAACCCCGTCTCTACCAAAAATACAAAAAAAAAAAAAAAATAGCTGGACTTGGTGGCAGGTGCCTGTAATCCCAGCTACTTGGGAGGCTGAGGGAGCAGAATTGCTTGAATCCGGGAGGCGAAGTTTGCAGTGAGCTAAGATCATGCCATCGTACTCCAGCCTGGGTAATGGAGTAAGACTCTGTCTCAAACAAACAGACACCCACTAGTTAAATTCCTTAGCTATTCATAAATGTCATTGCATGGAGGACTTGGGAGCAGGACTAGAATTCAAAGCCATTTTCATCGCATCAAAGAAGACTAGGTCACGAATAACATGGGAAAGTTCTCGCCTTCTCACCTTGCTGCAACCTCTGAATGCATTGAACTAAGGTTTGGGGGAGGATTGAGAAAGATGGATTTTGTGAAGGTGAGGAAATGGCAGAGGAAGGCAGAGACATTGGGTGGAGGCAAAGCCACTTGCTGAAATGCTGTGGGTGGTATGTCCAGTGTGCGAGGAAGATGGTGACCACCTGACATGTGGGGAAAGTGTGAAATGATGGTTTCTTACTGGATGAAACATGGTAAACACACAGCACCTTGGCAGTTCATGCTTGCATTATGTGGAGGGGACCACGCTACACTGTGAAATATGCATTCTACAGCTGTTCCTTGAATAACGTCGTTTTGTTCAATGTTCTTTCAATATAACATTGATGAGAAAAAATAATCACTTCCTGGCCTGGGCCACTGTCTGTGTTATTTGCACATCTCTGCATGCCTGCATGGATTTTTCTCCGGGTTGTCCGGTTTCCTCCCACATCCTGAAATGGTGCAGATTCAGTTCATCAGCGTGCCTCAGTGGTCCTTGTGTAAGTGAGTGTGTGTGTGTGTGAGTTGCCCTGGGACAGTAAGGCCTCCTGTCCAGGCTGGTGCCTGCCTTCTGCCTGAACTGCCCTGACCTGGAATAAGCAGATAAATCATTATGTTACCTGTTTTAATTAATCTTTCTTAAATGTATGTATAGCTCATATTTATTTCCTTGTTTAATACTGGAAGTGTTCTGGTCTTTAGTTAGAAGTTAGGTGATGTTTTTGTGACCAAAAATATACCATAGGAACATAACTATTGCTCATGTCAATTAGCCCAGGGTAAAATTGGCTTTGTTATACATTGTTTTGCTTAATGTCACAGTTTCCAAGAACCTATTGATGGCGTTAAGTGAAGACGTGGTATTTTATTTTTGGTTTTGCGGTGTGACCTCGTGGACATTGCTGAATTTCTTTGTGTTTTAATTTTAAAGCCATTCTTGATGGATACTACTTTGTGGCCTATTAGAAGAGCCTTAGTCTGGGAACATCCAGGGAACAGTAACATCAGATACACACCGTCATCTGAAAGTGTGATAGGGATGCATGTGGGTTTTTATCAACCTAGCGCTTCTGTGAAAATCAATCCTGGTTTTTAGAGTTATCCAAAGACTAGTTTTCCCGTCACTTATGTTCCCACCTGTTGCTTTATTTCCATGTCTTTCAGTTACATGGTAACTCTGATCTTTCATTGAAATACCAAGCTGAATCAGAAAGAGAACAAGGCTCAGAATCAGGGCCCTGGGGCTAGGATATTAGCATAGCCAGTTCCTCACTGTGTGATTTGAGGCTAATTCTTTAACTTTCAGTTAATCATTTATCTGTGTGTGTGTGTGTGTGTCTGTGTGTGTGTGTGTCTGTGTGTGTGTGTGTATGTGTGTGTATAAAATAATGCCTATCTTGGCCGGGCGTGGTGGCTCAAGCCTGTAATCCTAGCACTTTGGGAGGCTGGGGTGGGTGGATCACAAGGTGAGGAGTTCAAGACCAGTCAGGCCAAGATGGTGTAACCCCGTCTCTACTAAAAATTCCAAAAAATTAGCTGGGCATGGTGGTGGGTGGCTGTAATCCCAGCTACTCGGGAGGCTGAGGCAGAGAATTATTGAACTCAGGAGGCAGAGGCTGTAGTGAGCCGAGATTGTGCCACTGCACTCCAGCCTGGGCAACAGAGCGAGACTCTGTCTCAAAAAAAAAAAAAATTCTATCTTAAAGAGTTGTATCAAAAATTAGTTTTGATGTGGTTTGTTAAAACACTTTATGAAAGGTCACAGTGATTCAGTAGAATTAACTGATGTTGTCATTTGCATATAATTTGTTTGTCTCCATCAAAGCCATCAAAGGTCATATTGAAATTTGATCCCAGTGTGGTGGTGATGGGAGGTGAAGCCCAGTGGAAGATATCTGGGTTCTAATGGCAGATCCCTCATAAGTGGCTTGGTGCTGTTTGCAAGGTAGCAAGTGAGTTCTCTCTCTCAAAAGACTGTGTTAGTTCTGGGAATAAATTAGTTCCCTTGAGAGCGGCTTGCTATAAAGTCAGGACATCCTCAGGTCTCTTCCCTTTGACCGTTTCTGCCATGTTGTGACACAGCACAGAAGCCCTCACCAGAAACCAAGGTCATGTCCTTGAACTTCCCAGCCTGCAGAACTGTGAGCTAAATAAACTTCTTTTCCTTATAAATGACTCAGTCTCAGGTATTTTTATAGCAACGCAAAAAGAACTAAGATAATTGATAATCTTACTTAATTTTTATACCTTATTTCACAACCTTTCACGCACAACCACTTTGTTTTTTTATGATTCTAAAATTTCTTGTGAAGAAAATATAACCTTGTATAGAGTTCTAAAGATATACTTTAACTTATCCACTGAATTTTGATTAAATGCTAAGAGCTGTGCCTGCCTTCCCTAAATCCCCTCTTATTTTTGTAACATAGCTAGTGAGAGGAAAACTCTGCTTTCTCCAATGGCTTTCTTCTTTAGCTGTTCATTTTAAATTGACTTGGCTACTCTGCAGCAGAATTAGAATAGGTATGAATTTTTATACTAAAAATGATTGCAAATGAAGTTATGCACCTGTGATGATTAATTTTGTGTCAACTTGGCTGGCCATGAAGTGCTCAGATATTTGGTCAAACTATATTTTCGGTATTTCTATGAGGGCATTGTGGATGACATGAACATTTAAATTGGTAGATTGAGTAAAAGGGATTACCTTTCATAATATGGGTGGGTTTCCCCCAATCAGCTGATAGAACAATAATTTAAATAGAACAAAAAGACTAGCACACCCTAAGCAAGAGAGATTTCTCCAGTAGACTGCATTTGGACTTCATCTGCAACGTGAGCTCCTCCTTGCCCTACAGCAAATGGTCTTTAAACTCAAACTGGAAACTACAGCTCTCCTGGGAAACTACAGCCTGCTGCCTTCAGACTGTAACTGCAACATCAGCTGGCTCACCCTGAAGACATAGGACTTGTCAGCCTCAGCAATTAAATATACCAATTATTTACAATAAATCTCCTTATATGTGTGTGCACATGTGTGTATGCATACACATACTATTGGTTCTTTTTCTCTGCAGAAACCTAATACAGCAATGTAACCCAGGACTAAAAAAAAAAAAAAAAGAAAAGAAAAGAAAAGAAAAGAAATCACTGGATAATGTTTGCTCTTATCCATTAGCAATTCTGATGTGCCTCATCTCATATCCTGTGCCATTCAAGAAGGGCCTCATCAAATAAAGCGATAGGCCTAGTGTGATAACGGCTCTGAAGTAGCCCAGAGTGGCCGCATTAGACAAATGCAGGGAAATAAAAACAGGATGATTTTTTTAGCACTTTTCTAAGATCAACCAGTACATTAAAAATAGAAAGTTATTGCGAGTGTTCACTTTACAGATTTCAGTGGCATTATGTTTTTTTTAAAAAAAACCAATGTGCACTTATAAAATAAAGTTAATGCCTCATTTTGGCTTCTAAACACCCAAAGCAATGAGCTTTCTGATGCTATGCATTTCAAACAAACAAACAAAACAAAAAGTAATCTTATTTTGATGGCCTCAAGAAGCTCCAGGCAGATTGGTCTGCATGAGGTTTATATGTTCAGTGACAAAATCAAGATATAGAACTATAAATGTACCATGATCTAAATAATGTTGACAATATATAAATATTTCCTGTGCATACATGTATCTGCATGTATATAAGCATAGCATATATATACATACACATATATGTAAATTATATGTAATTATTTAATATACATATGAAAGAAGCACAGCTCATTTTTTTTTTCTTTTGAGATGAGGTCTTACTATGCTGCTCATGCTGACCTCAAACTTTTGCATTCAAGGAATCCTTCCACCTTAGCTTCCTGAGTAGCTGGGACAGCTGGCACATGCCACCACACCTACCTTCTTTTTCATCTCAATGCATTCAGACTAAACTGGCTAATAGTTTAGATCAACAGAGTTGAAATGCCCCTAATTACTGATGTCTATCTCAGGATAGAATTCACCTGGTTCAAGGTGTAACATTAAGTAGCAGCACAATGCTTGCACAGACGAGATGCCCAATACTTATTTGTTGAGAGATGTCACTCCATTTTTCCAGTATTTTCTTAGCATTCTGTCATGAGTATTAGAAAATGAAAAGACGTTAAATGTATGTTGTAAAAATATGTTAAAATATTGTGAAACCAATTTTGGATTTGGTTCAGCTCAATTCAGTAAGGGTCCCAGTCATTGTGTCTGTCTCTGGTCCACTGCACAAAAAAAAAAACAGAGAGGAGTTAGCAGGGAATGAGGGTTAGTCCAGCACCAAAATGGGGAAGGCATCTCCAGTGGCCTGCCCTTCTGATGGGGAGGCAGAGATGCCACCGCTGTTACCTGGAACCAGAGAGAGGCAGGGTTGGCTGCTAGCTAGATAGGGCAGCCCCCAAGGGCCAACTCCTCCTGTCGCAAGACAACTCAAATCCTTGGAGTTCTTTAGAAAAGGTTTCAATTATGGATCAAGTGATATAGAACTATCCCTATTATTGTTCTTGTGTTGATTTTTATAAATGTGCCCTTTTAAAAAATTCATGCCAACACATTAAAAAATTTAGTTACAGCCCAATAGTTAGTTAGTTAGGTGGCTCATGCCTGGCACTTTGAGAGGCCAAAGCAGGTGGATCACTTGAGGTCAGGAGTTGGAAACCAGCCTGGCCAACATGGTGAAACCTGCCTCTAACAAAAAATACAAAATTTAGCCAAGCGTGGTGGTGCACACCTGTAGTACCACCTACTTAGGAGGCTGAGGTGGGAGAATTGCTTAAACCAGGAAGGCAGAGGTTGCAGTGAGCTGAGATCACATCACTCTACTCCAGCTTGAGCAACAGAGTGAGACTCTCTCTCAATAACAATAATAATAGTAATAATTACATGAACAAAGATAATCACAATAATTTTGGGGTCTGTAAGACGTTTAGATGTGCCATGGTTTTCTTTCTTGTTATCAGTTTTCTTTCTTGAATTGAGTTTATTGAAAGCTGGGTTTCAGCTTTTGAAAGCATTGGTTGGTTTCTCCTTTGCCTTTACTCCTGGCTGTATGCCCTCAGAGCCTAGCTGAAGATCTAGGAAGCTCCTCCCTTACAAGCTCTGAAGTCCAATTTTAGTCCTTCTCACCCATGGGGCTGCCTAAAGCCCCTCTAATTTTGGAGTCTCTCTGATCTCTCCTGCCCTATGGCTCCCCCACACCTTGGTTTCTACATCACAAGGCTGTCCTTACTAATTAGCAAATGCCTTGAGGTAAAACTCTTTGGTGAATGTTGGGGCCACCTGTGCTTTCCTTCTTTTGCTGATCTTGTCTTTTTTTAAAATGGTAAAATATTTATTTGAAAAATAAAGATTGTATATATTCTACATGTACAGGTGATTATTTGATATCTGTATGCATCATGTAATGATTATCACAATGAAATTAACATGCTGTGCATTTCATCCCCAGTACTTGTGCATCTTACACCTAAAAGTTTGTATCTTAGATCTTGTCTCGTAATTTCTTCAAAGCCTAGGTAGCTCTTCATGTCTTCTATGAGATTCCAAAGCATCTTCCATTTATTAATGAACATGAGGAAGACCCTTCAGATGATTCAAATATGTTACACTGTGAGGAACCCACCCTCTGAGGAATTAATTCACTGTCTTTTGAGTCAGTTTATATTATCACCATTATGCCATTTTCCTACTCTAACAGTAACAAGAAGTAAATATGCATAGTTACTCTGCCATCCAAGAGCTCAGAGTAATTAAATTTGTTTTTTATATATTTTGAATATATGCATTTAGTGGAGCTTGTGAATAGGTAGACGTTGGGAGGAATTTGGAATACAAACGGCAGGCAAAAGTAAAAAGATTAGATCCACATAAAAATTTCTGTGATTTGGAGACTAGTGGTGAATTAAGGAAAGTCTATGTCAGTTGGGAGAGTTTTCTTTTTCTAATTTGTATTTGGCGGAATTAATGACCGGGAGTGTTTGAATAATTACGAAAGCAAGAAAGAAGCAAGCAGAACCAGATGCAAATTGCCTTGTTCACACAATCACACAGGACTTGCTAGACTCACAATAGCGATTATTCACATTTTTATACTTTCGCCTGTTTTTCATGTCTCAAAGTGGCAATTTACTTTTCTGGCAAGAGGACTGTTTTGGTTGGTTTAAATGGTAATGTGAGACTGGAATAAAGAAAAGCTGCCAATCATAGACTCCCAGAGTTATCATAAAGGCAATCTCCTATCGTGATGGCAGGTCTTTTTAAGGAATTTCCAGTATGTAATTGTTGTTTTGATGTAATAAGCTGGTCAATTGCCAACAGGCCATGAAGTAAACACTTCAGAACACGTTACGCCACTTGGGAATAAAAAGAACTCTCAACTCCTGGTCACAAGAGTCCATTTGAATATGGCCTCCCTGGCAACCTATCTGTGAACCGTTGTCAACGTCAGCAACCCCAGCCACAGGATTGACTGCCGGGGCTCTTGGGATGAGTGGCCAGGGTCTCCTGCTCAGCCACACCAACTAACTTGCCTCCAACCTCAATGGGAGCTCCTTTGCAGTCTCCTTGCCTGTTTTTCCTGCTCTATGAGGCTTCTAAAAGTTTAAATGCCTTTGAGGTTAGTCCTAACTTTCTTCTCATCTCTTCTCTGCAATTTTTGCCTAAATAAGTTATCTATCCAACTGACTTTAAGTATCATCCAATTGTCCAGCACTGCCATGCTTCCAAGACCAGTATTGACCTTGCTTCAGAGCTCCAGATTCAGTCATCTGGTTGGAGATGCAATGGAAAGAGTTGGACATATAACAGTCACCTCACCCTTAGCATTTTTAGACATGATGCCCTGATCTCTCACAGAACCGTGAAGTTAGAGTTGTCTTTCTAGAACTTGCCATGGTTTTCCAGTTCCCTAATCCTCAACACAACTTCAAATGAATGACTATGCTAGTAATGGCTTTCTGCCCACCAAAGTTCATCTCCTTTGTTGGTGACATCTATTAAATCCACATTTCCTAATCTCATTTGCAGTTAGATGTGGCCTTAACTAAGTTCTCTCCAACAAAATGGGAACAGAAGTGGTAACAGCCACATCTGTTTATTTTGAAGGCTCAAATATACAAGAGAGTGCTGTGTTATTAAACATAAAGGGCTTGGAAACTATCTCCTTCATTCAATAAATATTTCTTGAGAATCCACTATGTATAGATACTGCGCTAATTGTAGTTATTTGGTGGGGCACCATATGTAAAATGAACCAACGTATTCCTTGAAAGCAATTTACTTTCTAGGCTGACCTATTTCACTGCAAGGTAGTTCTAAAGCTTCTATAAGCAGGATAAAAAATACATACCAAAAATTATATTGTTGTTTTATTATTTTATCTGTGGCAAATAATCTTTATAAAGAATATTGGCATAGTGTAGTCAAAAAAGAACAAGCAATAGTGTCCCATACTAAGCTTAAAATCTTGGTTCTGCTACTTGACAGCTTTGTTGCCTTAGTTAACTCATTATCCTCTCTAAGCTTCTAATTTCTCCACTGCTAAAAGAAAATAGTAATGGCCACCTAGAAGGATTTGTGGCATATGTTTAGAGAAAACTGCTAGTTTCCTTTATCATATGCACTGAATGTTCCAGCCACCCACTGCACAACCCTTGCTATTCAGAGTAGTGATTATGCTGAAATTTCAGATACTTAATCTTATGTTGTATGCCCCTAAAAGACAACTTTTAACAAACACAGGATTTTCAGTACAATTTCTATTTAAAACATAACACAGTTAGGAGTTCATAGTTTGCCTGGAACAAAATTACATTATTTGAGAGCAAGGGCTCCAAAATTTGCCCTTTATCATGACACAGATCATTACGATTGAAAGCCAGGTTGTTTTTGTCCAAAATTACAAAACAGACAGGCAAAGCCAAGAACTCTTGACACACATAAAAATAATTACAGTCTCCTTTTATTACATGATTTCAGTCTAACCATATAAGGCAAAAAATAAGAATCTCAAAAGCTAACGGATGTTCCAGGTAGAAGCTCCTAGCTGTGGACACCCATGGCTGTTGTTGATGTCTCTGGCTGGGCAGCTATGAAGCCACTTTGGTCTGGGTGAGGGAATGAAAGTGACATGTGGTGGGCAGTGTGATGCCTTTGAAAGGGTAGAGAATGTTAGGTTACCCAGCAAAAGGTACACGTGTCTGGTATCTGAATTAGTCATCAGCCCCACATCTAAGTTCTTCTTCTTCATGGTAACCTGGTATTTATTATGTCTCCACATGCAGAGGTATCATGTTTATCAGTATTATTTCTTACCAAAATTCATGTCTCATTTTTCATTTGAATGAGGGTCAAATGGGCCCCTGGATGAAGGGAAGTTTGGGAGGCAGAAGGAATATTTCTATTTGTACTGTAAGGAAAATGCCAAGCTATCATGGAACACAAAGGTGGAGACAGTCCCTTAGCTCCACTTTCTGAAGCCTTTGCACTTTGGTGGATGGAAGAAGTGAAGGTGTGGACATCAGTGGATGACCAGATCTCCCTGTGACCTGTGCCTGGCGGGATCAAGGGACTAATTGCAAATTGCGAAAACCCATACAAGGCCAAGAAGACCCCATGAAGCAAATCCTTACCATTGCCAAAGCCTGACTGGCAAGTTCTACTGGGAGAAGGCTCTTTGTGGGAGGAGTGTGGGTGCGGGTTCAGTAAGCTTTGAAATGCATGCATTTATGGGGGGTTATTTGGCACACAAGGCTTTCAAGACTTTCAAACATATTCAAATTAAATATATTCTGAAGGCCAAAGTATATAACTTCTGTGGGAATTAATAAGAATGTTTAGTTATGTATATTTAAATATACTTTTAAATATATTTATATAGGTTATAATAAAATTCTTACTTGAATTTTATGTTTATTACATACCAAGGAAACTGTGCTCACACACAGAATGTGGGAGTTAGGGGCTGACTCCCAACCCTCATCAGTGTTGAGAAAGGGCTGCGCTGATTTGGGGAAAGCAGATTCAATGAAGAGCAGCTCTCAGATGACCTTTCTTTAAAGCAGCTCGTGGCTTTCACCAATCAGAGCTGTGGGGAAGGCACAGCTGCCTGAAGGAAACAGTTGTCCATGTTTTCCAGGATTGTAGCAATGAGAGCAAGACAGTGTGGCTTCCTCGCCTGTGACTTTTCCCTGTGAATGTCAGATTTTACATATGCAGATAATGATCCTCCCTGAAGGAAACGCATAATAAATTGTGATGCCTCTTCCCCTGAAGCCAGAGGGAGACTTCTCTCAGAGAGTAGAAACTAGTTTTATGATCTTGCTCCAGCAAAACCAGTGCATCCCAATGATCTAAAGGATGTGTAGTAAACATTTTCCAAACGTTATGAAACGACTTTGCTTGTGGGAGTGAACTAAAGCCTTGCTAGTACAAATAGAGGGAGGACACACACGAGTAGTCCCCGGAAGCATCTAAGAGGTTTGGAGGAAGGAAGGGAGGGAGAAGTCAAGCATGGTTGCAGGCTCCTGGGAGACAGGACAGGCTGGATGACCACATATTTGAAGACAGAGAGAAGACTTGGAGGAAGGGGCAGGCAGGTTTTGAACAGGCTAAGCAAAATGAGCTGTGCAGTTGGACTTTGCCTCTGTGTGTCTGAAGCTTACAGAGGTTTGCAACAGAGAGGCACATTGGGGTTTGTTGTGGAAAGGCTGTTGTGGGCAGAGGCTACAGAGTCAAAGAATATGACTTTGAGTCCTCTCTCTTCTGCACGCTGCTTGAAGGCTGTCAGTGTGTTTTGAACCTCTATCTTCTCCAGGGTCCTAATTTGTCAAGGAATGAAAATAATAGCATTTTAAAAGGGTTGACTCATGAGTTGACCCAGCTGAGGCTTGGAGAGCAGAGAACGTGGTCAGTTATCCTCAATGACTGCCAAGATTTATGTAATGCTGTTTTACAGCATTCCAGCCAAAATCAGTGTTCAAGTGTACCTATTATTTTTCCTTGTGGGAGTTAAAGCCACAGACATGAAGAATTTGCACTAGGAGATAGAAATCAGAGATGACCAGGAGATAAAAGAAGAAACCAGGGGTAACTCTAACAAATGAAGGGAGATAGAATAAAAAAAACTTGAGAGAATGAGGGAGAATAGTGATCAGCGCAGGGAGACCAGGTGTAAGAAGTGGCTAGAGGGGGCAGCGTCATCAGAAAGACCAGCCTGTACCAGGAGGGGCCCTTGTCTTAGTCTCAGATATTCTTTGGCCCAAGGTTCTTAAAAGTTTCACATGCATGCACATCACCCAGGCATGCGGTAAACAGCTGCTGAGTCAGCCAGCCTGGCTGTGGCCTGAGAGCCTGCATCTCTAACAAGCTCCCAGGAGATACTGCTGCCCTCTGCAGAACCCATTTTAAGTAGCTAGGATCTAATACTGGTGGCTGCTTTTGTGTGTGTGTTGCCATTGCCATAATGAAGAACAGGCCACCCACCACTCAGGTAGTAAGAAAATAAGAAATCTTTACACAAGCTTCTCATCTTTCTCCGTCAGCAGAAAGGATTCCCAAGGGGCTGATCTTACTAATGTTTGTCCCTGGCTTAGGACCTAAAACTGAGAAGTTTCACCCTTAGGCATATTGTCCTCCGTTGTACACTCAGTTCGGTCCCAGGCAACTAAAGCCCACAGAGTAGGCTGCACTAAATTTGCTCTCAAACACCATCTGGGACTGAGCCTCATTGGGGTTCTGCTTCTAACCACAGAGCCTGCAATTCTTAAAAAGCTCTCAGGAAATGTAACCTGAATTCCCAAAGCTCAAGGGCTTTGGAGGTGGAAAAGTCAAGTACATGAATTGTGCCTTTTAATTCCATTCTCTAGGACTCTTATTGTGTACTGCTGTGTGGCAAGGTACTAGGTTTCTGGCAGGAAATAAATTATGAATGTAAAAGCTGTGAAGGTAAATTTATAGATGGCTTCTGTTGCACTTAAAATTAGCATTTGAAACTTTCATTGGCATTCTAATTCCACCACATGTGGCTGATCAATTGCTTCCTGGTTAATTTGCTCTCCTCTGTGCTGCAAGCTATTGCTTTCAGGGCACACACGTGTCAATTTGTTCACCGCCTCTTGCAAGGAGACCCCAGGTTTAGATGTGTGGTGCATCCTGTATCACGGGTGGGAGGCTGGGAGTGGGCTTTGGGATGGGGAAGGGGAAGCAGGAGATAATAAATTGTCTGCCCCAGAGCTCTCCAGAAGGAGCAACTCACACTATGATGGGCGTCTCTGTTAATCCCTCCTGAAGAAGAGCGGTGGGTCCCGGACACAAAGTAACCCATCATTTTGCCCGGGATAGAACTCATTGTCTCTTAAAGAAAATTAAACCTCATCCTACTTATTGTAAATTTATATAAAGTACACATAAGTCCCAATAATACTGGTTTAAAATTAGATCCCAGTAATATACATGTAAAGAATAATATCTTTTTAGTAAAGACTTCTCAAGAATTATTATTTTTTAAAATTCTGCATTGGTATAATCAGTGACTGTTCCTTCTTTGACATTTTATATCTGATAATCATGTTGAACTTGTTCCATCTCTGGGACAAACTGGATAAATGAGCAGAAAGATGTCAATTCTAGGCAAAGCCTTAAATAAAACATAAAATGAGACTCAGAACAGAATCCAAAGGTGTTAGCAGCATTTGACCATGATGTATATTATTCATACTCTCCAGAACCAAAGCCAAAAAAACAGACCAATATCAATTTACAAGGTGGAAGAGGGAAGGTGGGGAGTAGAAAACCCAGCTGATATTTCCTCTCCCAGAATACTCTAATGTTAGGAAATGACAACACAGTCCTCTCTGGTTCTGTCCCTACCTCCCTGGTGACATGCAGACCTCACTTCTCATTCACATTCTCCCAGTGTTCTGCCTACCTCACCTGAGTTCCAAGGTCATGGATGGGAAACTGCCTTGAGAGACCAATAAAGCCCATAAATGTTGCTGTAATAAAGTCAAGGTTTAAATGAAAGTCATCTTTCTGTTTTTTCTCCTAGTTTCTACTTCTGCTTCTCCATTCTGAGGTCTCTGCCTGCGTTTCCATCATCTCTGTTTACTTCTTGGCCCACTGCTGAGTTTTGAACTCCATCATGGCACTGAACTGGCTCCCAGGAATGTTACTCATTGTATTAGTCCATTTTTACACTGCAATAAAGCAATACCCAAGACCAGGTAATGTATAAAGGAAACAGGTTTAATTGACTCACAATTCCACATGGCTGGAGAGGCCGCAGGAAACTTCCAATCATGGCAGAAGGCATCTTACATGGCAAGAGAGAGTGCAGGACAAACTACCATTGATAAAACTATCAGATCTAGTGAGACTCACTCACTGTCATGAGAACAACATAGGGGAAAACTGCTCCCATAATCCAATCACTTCCCACTAGGTCTCTCCCTCAACACCTGGGGATTAAAATTCAAGATGAGATTTGGGTGGGGACACAAAGCCTAACCATGTCACTGACGGTTTGCTGATTATTGACCCAGTGCAATCTTTGGTCCTTACCTTGCTGGTTCTCTGAACCGTGCATGGCATTGTTAGTACCTTACTTCTTGTTGGAATTCTTTGCTCCTTTTGCTTCTAGGAAATGATGTTCCTTGCTCATCTTTGTGTTTCCCAATCTTTTAACTTTGGCTTCCTGTTGAGCACCTCTACTCCATGTGAATTTTAAATGTTGGGATCTTCCTGGGTTTCACCTTCCCTTCTTAGCTAACTCAGCAAGTCGCTCTGGGTGACGCTCCTTGCTTTTCCTGACTTCTATAATAACTCAAACCCATCCACTGATGACTGTTCAATCTACATCCATGACTCAGATCTCTATTCTGGGCTTCACTTAACCAATTGGCTGATGGACCTCTCTCCATTTGGACAAAGCATGGGCTCCTCTCATAGCTTGAAATGTCTACAGTCAAGCTCCTCATCTTTCTGAAGTCAGCTCCTGCTCCTGAATTCCTGAACTGTGACTGTCCAGCAGTTAGCCACCCCAGTAGCAATCTGTCACTCACCCTTAACCCATCTCTTCATCTCACCCTGTATCCAATCAGTAAATAAGTTTTGCCAATTTTACTCTCAGTGTGTTTTCATTTCTGCTATCCCTAACTCTTTTGGGGCTTGCCTTGCCTTGGCACTTGGGTCGTATTCACTCAGAAGGCATGTCTCACTCTAATTACCTTCTCCTCTGAGATCACCCTGACAGGTGTGACTCAACTAAGCACCTGTGCCTATCACTCCTTAATTATGGTCTAGGGATGACTCTCCAGCCCCTAAAGGGAAAATCCAACATTTAACTTTGTCCAGGACTACATTTGCACACTCAGTTCCCATCCCTACCCGTTACTGTCCTCGATGCAGTTTTTTCCCAACCCCAGAGTTATAGTCAAAGAATTTTACAACTGGCCATGTAGGGAAACTGACCAATCAGAATAGATGCTGACCACAGCTGGAGTAGGGTCCATACAGTGCCCTCCCGGTGCTGCACAGCAGGAGGATCATCCTGGGAGGGGTGGTGGGTGTCCTGGAGGGCTCAGAGCAGAGGCCTTACTTAGTGCCCTACACATAAGCATTTCAGCATCTTCACACCTGCTGTGCTGCACCTGTGCACACCAGCTCAGCATTAGACCTAACCTCACATGCCCACCTTTCATGTTGCTTATCCTGTGCTCTGATAACTTTTATAAATAGTTAAGTTTTAGCTCAACTCTGCTACTACCTTTGGTCTCGGTTTCTCAGAAGATCTTTTCCCTGCATTCCGCACCACTAAATATATAGTGCACTGTCCTTACTAGTGTTTCTCAGCACACCTGCTCTTTTCTTTATCATCGTTGTTATCACTTGAATTATATTTCAAATGTCATTTAAATTTTTCTATTTTTCCCAATAGAGTATAAGCTTGATGAGGGCAGGACATAGACAACATTGTCCATCATGGTGTGTGGTGTACACTTAATATGTGAGCATGACTTAGACAGCTGTCAAACAGTAAGCAAATCGTGAAAATAAAAGCATAACACTTGAGGGATGTGTGATATTGCAACTTTACAGGAAGTAGGTGTGTTGGAAAATGAACATGTGGGACTCAAGTGATCTGAGACTGGTGGCTTATCTAGTCTTGGAGCACACTGAATATGTACACTGGAAATAATTTCCTTACAAATGCCCAAAGCTTTAAATACAGTGAAGATGCCTTCCCTCCCTGCCCAGGATGTCACCTGGAATTACGACTGGAGAGGTGTTTTGTAAAATATTAAGCGATGCTCATTCTAAGACATCGTCATTCAAATATGTTTTAATGAAGCATAATGTTGGGTTATTAATAAAAATGTGCTATTGAGTGTTTCATTAACTACACTTTGAAGACTATGGCTCTAGAATAAAAGGAACTTAATCAGGAGAAATATTTGATCTCTTCCTACCTTTCTTTCTCCATCTTCTCCTTTTCTTTTGAAAGTCAGTTTGCTTTAAGATCTTCACCATAAAATGTCCTTATTAAAACAGGGCCTGAATTGGGAATAAAGAGCATGGTGGCTGAGTTCCCATTCCTTTCAGATTCCACCTTCAGCTGCGCCCTGCAGCCTTCCCATCCCCCACTCATTCTCTGGACTCTACTCCCTGCTCTGCACATAGTCAGGAACCATACCACATGGTGCCAGAGCAAACATACCCAGCATGGAGCAGAGGAAGAAACTGTTGTGTGCCATCATTTCTTCTCAGCAGTGCGGGTTTTCTGGGTTAGCAGAGAAGAGAGAATGCAAGAGGAGAAGCCACAGCACTCTGAGGAAGCACACCATGTCTGCAAGGCTGTGATATGTGGTTGGAGCACTAAAGTTATTGCACACAAATTTAAGAAAAAAATCCAGTATTCCAGGCTCTCTCTGGCTAACAACACAACCTATTTTATTGATGCGAGTATCACCTCTGGTATGAGGAGAGAAACATCTATCCTACTTCGTGTTAAAGGCAAATTTGCATAAGTGGAAAAGGCACCACTGATGTGTTAAAGTATTAGCTTCCCAGCATTGGTTCAAGCCCATGATGAGGAACTGCATCAGAACCAGTGGATCTCTTCCCTTATTTTCTAAAGAAGAGACACCTAGAGTAACTGGGAAAGGTCTGAATGACCTGTGCAGTCCACTTTCATCTTGGGCTTTGGAGGACGTCCAGTATTTGTTATCCAACCCTGGACATGAACTTCATATCACATTACCTGTGATGCCAGGGGCTTCCAGATTGAAGCAGATATTGTGCATGCTCCTTTTAATAAAATGCAATTCAAGAAAAATACTCATTGTGTTATTGATCTGTTACTTCTATTTTAGCTTCATAATGAATTCACTTTTATGATTTCCCTTATCTGTGGAGAAAGATGGCATATTCTGTTGGAAAATAACATGTGAAAACACTGTGAAAAGTAAGATAAATGTATGGGAGTATAATGTTTTCTTGAAAAGCATGATTATGAACAGGAAATGGCTTGGTTGGCAAGATTAACACTCCATTATTGAATCATCAAGGATGGCTATTAGAAACTATGGAAAACAGAGAAGGCCAGTGAATGCGTATTTTCTCTATACCCTGTATTCTGAAGTGGATGTTAACTGGCCATATGACTTGGGCAAATGAGTCAGCTTCTCTGAGACTTAATTTCCTCATCAATGTAATGAAAAAATGAGACCAGATTGTCTTATGTTCTTAGCTTTATCCTTGTTTTTTAAAAATGTTATAATTAAATGATTCTCTTAAGAAAGTTTTTTTTTTCTTTTCTTTTCTTTTTTTGAGATAAGTTCTCACTCTGTCACCCAGGCTGGAGTTTGGTAGTGCAATCTTGGCTTCCTGCAACCTTGATCACCAGAGCTCAAGTGATCCTCCTACCTCAGCCCTCTGAGTAGCTGGGTCTACAGGCATGCACCACCACACCCAGCTAATTTTTGTATCTTTCATATTGCCCAGCCTGGTATTGAACTCCTGGGCTCAAGGGATCCATCCACCTTGGCCTCCCAAAGTGCTGGGATTATAGGCATGTGCTACCACATCGGTCCCAATGATTCCCCTTTTGGTTATTGGCTTTACTTCCTGATTCAATCACCAAGCATGTATTGAGTGAACCCTGCTAGGTGTCGGGTTCAGACCTGGTTGCTGGCCTCAGGAGTGTCCTAGTCTGTTGAGTTAAATTTTGACAGCTGAGAACAAGAGAATATCTACCTGGAGTGCTGAAATCCACCTGGTTGTTCATTGTCTCCCACCTGAAGACTGTGGGTGCTCTGGGCCTCCTAGAGTTTCCAAAAAAAAAAAGTGTCCTTTCTGGGTATTCATGAAGGAAGTCAGAATGGATAAAGATTTCATGGAAAGTAGGAGCTACATAAAATAGTAGGAGATTCTTGCCAGCTTGCCAAGATCAATGCCACTCCCTGTTCAACTCCTGTAAACGCATCTGACATGCTTCCACTTTTGCGCGTGATGGAGACTGTTATCCACTCTCCTCCTTGGAAAGGCAGACCACATTCATCAACCTCCTGCATCCACTATGCTGCTATCACCTCCTCTTGGCCTTCTCTGCTCCTTCTCCTGGTCCTGTCTTGTACCTTATCTATTGACCTTTGCTTTAACTTTTAAATGAGCCCATCTCAGATCCTGGCCTGTCAGTTTTAAGTATTTGATTCCCAATCATGGTGTCATTTGACTGCTTGTGGTCAGCAGAGAAACTGGGAAGGTTCCAGGGGTAGTTCTGGCTGAAGCGCACAGAAGACAGAATGAGGTTTAGGGCTGTACTTGGGACTTGTAGGTGGGCACAGTGGTCAGCAGATCCAAAATGATCACCAGGGCTGTCCCATGGAACATTTCTCTCCAGTTAGGACCCTGAATCATGATGGGGCAAAAGCTGGAAGCCTGGAGTCCGCCTTCCCCTGCTTTGGTGAGTCCTCCTGTGTGTGATCCTGAGTTGCTCGTCTGCACGAAAATAAGGGATTAGAAGTCATAGGGAGCAGCAGGTGACCTAAGGCCTCCCTGCAATGGTGCAGAGGTGGGGCCAGGGGTTCCTTGGCAAGAGGGGAGGAAATGAGAGGAGGAAAAGCCATAGAAGAACACAGAAGAACAGAATAACATGGCTGTTATGGAGGTAAAGCGAAGGTGTCCCACTGAGGTGAGTGGAATTGGCTGGTTAGAGCACGTTACCTTGGCAAAATGGTAAATATCAGGGCAATCTAACATGATCACACAGCTGCACCATAATGTCTCATTTTACCTAATTCTGTTTTAAAAAACATTGACTAAACATTGTCATTGGGCTGACAACAGTGGCTCACACCTGTAATTTCAGCAGGCAGGTGGATAGCTTGAGCCCAAGAGCTTGAGACCAGCCTGGGAAATATGGTGAAACTCCATGTCTACAAAATAAGTAGCTGGGTGTGGTGGGGTGCACCTGTAGTCTCAACTACTTGGGAGGCTGAGGTGGGAGGATCACCTTAGCCTGGAGAGTTCAAAATTGCAGTGAGTTGCGATTGCACCACTGCACTCCAGTCTGGGCAACAGAGCAAGACCCTCTCTCTAAAAACAAAACAAAACACATTACCATCTGTTAAACATGGGACATTGGGACATGTGCTATTTATAGGAAAAACATAGATGTATTAATTCTGATTTTTCTGGGTTCTAGAAACTCTCAGCCCAGATAAATACACACATACATGCAATGTATATCACTTATGACAATGTTTAAATATAAAAGATTATGTTACATATATACACATGTATCATGTATGTGTGATGGTTAATTTTATGTGTTGACTTGGCTGGACCATGGTGCCCAGATATGTGGTCAAAGATTACTCTGAATGTTTCTGGAAGTTGTATTTTTGGTGTGGTGAATATTTACATCTGTGGACTTTCAGTAGAGCAGATTGCTCTGCATAACATGGAAAGATCCATCTAAATCAATTAAAGGCCTGAGCAGAGCAAAGCACTGACTTCCCCTAAGCAGAAAGGAGTTTTGTCAGCAAACTGCCTTTGGGATCCAACTGAAACATTGGTTCTTCCTGGTTCTCCAACCTGAGAGCCTCTGGATTTGAACTACAACATCTGCTCTTCCCTGGGACTTCAGCCTGACAATCTTCAGACCAGAATGAAAACATTGGTTCTCCTGGGTCTGCAGACTGTGGCCCATCCTGCAGATTTCAGCCTGGCTTCCAGTCTCCACAATCATGTGAGCCAATTTCTCCATACATAACATTTATACATGCGTGTGCACACACACACGCACACACACCATTCCCTATTGGTTCTATTTTGTTGGGATCCTTAATTCAACCCCCAAGGAGGCAATACCTCCCAGGAAGTTGACAGCATCTGATATAGTTTGGATTTATGTCTCTGCTCAAATCTCCTGTTAGATTGTAATTCCAGTGTTGGAGGTGGAGCCTAGTGGGAAGTGATTGCATCATGGGGGCGGGGTTCTCATGGATGCTTTAGCACCATCCACTCCTGGTACTGTGTAGTGATAGTGAGTGAATTCTCATGAGATTTGGTTGTTTAAAACTGTGTGGCACCTCCCCCCTCTCTCTTCCTCCCGCTCTGGTCATGTGAAACGTGCCTGTTTCCCCTTTGCCTTCCACCATGATTGTAAGTTTCCTGAGGCCTCCCCAGAAGCAGATGCCACTATACTTCCTGTATAGGTGAAACAATTAAATCTCTCTTCTCTATAAATTAACCTGTCTCAGGTATTTCTTTATAGCAGTGTGAGAATGAACAGCATTCCCCATCATGGGAAGACCCCTGGAGACATGTTCTTTAGCCTGTATCTCTGCTCAGAGATGAGCCAAGTTTCTAAGAGTCACCAGGGAAGTAAGAGTAACCCTAAACCTTGGCAAATCAAGAAAGAAGGGCCAAGGGAGGACCCTCTCTCTGCAGCCAGAGGGGAGAACAGGCTTCTTAAATGGCTCCACGTAGATTTTTAATATGCTCATCCTGGTGATATTGGCTTAGAAGCAAATGGGTATGTTTTCCTAATAGTTCCAAATTAATGAACAATCTCATCAGCCTTCTTGTGTTTCCTAATCCGTAAAATTAGTGGTCCCTGTGCCTGGATGATCTCGGGGCTCCTTGCACATTAGAACTCTGTTCTCTGATTGATACTTAGGTTTTCTGGAGAGAGCACAAAAGGTTGAACAGATTAAGCCTCTGTGGCTCTGGGCTCGGGGTTAGGTCACATGAGAGAGGTCACCTGGAGGAAGCTTCAGCTCCAGCATCTGTGTCAGTCTCCCTGGGCTGCAGTAACAATTTACCACCAACTGGACAAGCTTAAGACAACAGTCCCAGAGGCTAAAAGTGCAAAGGGAAGGGGCTGGCAGGGCCACTCTGTGTCTGAAGGCTCCCTGGGAAGATATTTTCCTTTCTCTCAGCTTCTGCTGTTTACTAGCAATCCTTGCATTCCTTGGCTTGTGGATATGTCACTCCAAGATCTGCCTCCATCATCACATGGTATCCTCCCTGTGTGTTTCTGAGTACCTTTTCCTCTTCCTATGAGGACACCAGTCATGTTGGATTGAGACCCATCCTAATGACATCATCTGAACTAGATTATATCTGCAAAGACATTGTTTCCCAATAAGGTCACAATCACAAGTACCAGGAGTTAGGACATCAACTTATATCTTCTTGGGGGAAACATGTCAACCCACAAGGTCATCTCAGCTGTCCTGGCACAATGCCAAGGGATGAGAGCTTGTCAATCTGTCTTGCCCTAATTTCTCCTTCACAGCAAAGTGCTGAGGAGCTTGAATCCCAAACTGCATTCTACATTACAAATTTACAAGTGACTCTGCCCAACCCCATCTGAAGTGTTTGAAAGGAGAAATTATTTGAAATTCAAATTTATACCAAACCTCCTTTGTAGGAACCACAATTAAGAATCATTTTTCTCTGCCTTGTTTCTGTGCATTATGATGAAGATGAAAATGCACTTTATTTCAAATAAAGTAAATCAAGCCAAGCATGACCTAAAAGTTCTACAAATATTAAACATCCATCTAATTATGCATTAGACTGTTGTCATTGTTTAATTTTATAAGATAATACCTAAAATGATCCCAATAACTTACAGATGATCCTTTTCTCATTGGAATAATTATTAAAAACAAAATAAAACTTTGACTACAAAGTAGAAATCTAAGCAAATAGAGAAAGGGGAAGTTGAAATCTACAAAAATAACATTAAGAAAGGACCACATATCCAAAGTGAGTTTAGAATGAGGAAAATCAAAGATCAGAACCATTACTCAGGGTCTTCACTGAGGTTTCTGCTACCTCATTTTAGCTCAGCTAGGCTGAGTATTTACAAGTGAAGTTTCCTTGAATTGCAAAGACTTCAGACTTCTGGTCAACGGTTGCTACCCAGAATAGCCATGAGTAGTAATAAGTGGTGTTTGTGGAGAGCTTCTACCCAAGGAATCTAAAGACACATGCAAGGCTGACAAGTTAATCAACAAGAAGCTGGTGATCTTCTTACAACTCACCTCTAGAGGAAATCATGACAAATGTGCCTTCACAGACCTGTTGTTGTATCTACATGCAGTGCGTGTTGCTCCGCTGTCTTTTTCCAGTTTTGCTGTGACACAGGAAAGCCACGTACAGTGGGCAGGTTGCTAATAGTTTGCTCTGCGTTGCTGTTCCATGCACTTCCTTTGGAGCACTAAGCTGACATTGTCACTGACATTTTAATTCAAACCTCAGCTGGTGAATTGGCCTTGGCAGATTACATCCATTCAGAGTAGATCCTGTTTATACATCTGTGCAAAGTAAAGTCATTTTACAAGAATAGATAAAAATAGAATATCAGTAATATGCTTCAATAAATGAGACAAAAGGACATGGCTTGACATTCTATAAACTTCATAGGGATAACAATAGATATGTCACTAAATGAAAAGGTTATTGTGGAATCTATGCATCTTTTAAAACCTACAGACTTAACTGTAAGAGACAGTCTGTTCTAATTCTATTTCCCATGTTTGTTTGCATATTTTTAAACATATTTGTCCGCTTTCATAAAGTTTTATAAGAGTCGTTGTAGAGGATGCACACCTCTAAAAAGCAGTTGCCAAGCATTCAACATTATACAGGATCATATAGTCTTTTTTGGTTATGACCATATTTATTTTTAAAAACTATGGAGATGACCATGGACCAAGTGGCTCTGAAAAATAAACATAGATTGTAAGAAAAAATAAATCTTATAGGAGTTCAAATCATTGTAATTCTGGGATGTTCAATGGGTCAGAAAAAGGACTACAGTGTGAGAAGATTAAACTGCTATAATATTAATATAAAATTTTGCTATGATAATGTTTTAATCAAATGTTGAATTTTTAAGTACAGTTAGAATCATGCCTAAGATAAATACACCGCCTTTGGGAGTCAGTGAGATGGCACACAACTGTTTATCCCAATCCTGTGAGAGTGTGTGCATGTGTGGCATTCCCTCTCACAAACAACACAAAGAAATGAAGCAGTGTTTTTTTGCAACGCTGTCACACAGAGAGCAATCTCCTAAAAATGTGGTCTCCCTTCTCATTTTCTTTTGCCTATGTTACAGCATAATTTTCAATTAAAATCTGTTGATACTTCCGTAGATGGATTAAGCTTCTTATGTCCACTATATTGTTCTTTCCTTAAGGTGTGTCTCTTGATAATGACACACTGAATAACCTGAATAACCAGATACTGTGCAATCTCTTCTACATTTTATTTCTATGTAAAAATATTAAAAACATTCCAAACCTCTCCACTCTGGCAGCAGATCAACATGATTTTATTCCTTACTCAAAATTCTTTACATGACAAATATTTAAAATGAGGCAAAACCCACAACATTAATTCGTGTTTTGGGGTTTCTGCTTAATTATGAAATGAGCTCATGTAATTTCCCACTGCCCTTAGCAGTGGTTACACTAAAGATGAGAAAACAGGTTGAGTCCTGCTACGGACTGAATGACTGTGTCCCCTCATAATTCATAGGTTGAAACCTAAGTCTCCAATGTGGAGGCATCAGGAGGTGAGGCCTTTGAAAGTAATCGGGTAATGAGGGTGGGGCTCCCACAAATGGGACTAGCACCCTTGTAAGAAGAAGTGCCAGAGGGTTTGCCTCTGTCTCTCTGTTCTCCTCCATATGAGAGTACATTCAAGAAGCTGGCCCTCTGCAAACCAGGAAGCAGCGCTCCCCAGACACCAGATACGTCAGCGCTATGTTCTTAGACTTTCAGCCTCCAGATCTGTGAGAAATAAGTGTGTGTTGCTCAAGCCCCTAAGTCTATGGTACTTGGCCATGGCAGCCTGAGAGGACTAAGACAAGAGTATTTAATCAGCAAGTAGGAGTGTAAGAATTGCAGCCCTGGCTGTCGGACAAGAGAGTCCTTGACTGAGCCATTTACTACCACCTGTTTACTACACACACAGACACAGCAGCTTCGCAGACATGCTGGACAATTTCTTTAAGATCTACTTTGGATGTTGTCCCCTCTCAATCTCATGTTGAATTGTAATCCCCAGGTGGAGCCTGGTGGAAGGTGTTTGGGTCATGGGGGTGGCTCCTTCATGACTTGGTGCTGTCATCCTGATGGTGAGTGAATTCTCATGAGAGCTGGTTGTTTAAAGTGTGTGCCGCCTCCCACAGTGATCCTGCTCTCACTGTGTTACCTGCCTGCTCCCACCTTGCCTTCCACCAGGAGTAAAAACTCCAGGAGGCCTCCCCAGAAGCCGAGCAGATGCTGGCACTGTACCTCCTGTACACCCTGGAGAACCATGAGCAAATTAAACCTCTTTTCTCTATAAATGACCCAGCCTCAGGTATTCCTTTATAGCAATACAGTAACAGCCCAACACACCAAGTCTCTTAATTAAATGTGTGTGCAGCAGATTTATTGTGGAATATATTCCTGACATGTTTCCATTGATCATAGAAGCAAGACAGTCAAACCCAGGCTTTATCGTGTCACCTGTCACTAATCTAGTCACTAGACACCTCATGCCCAGGATTCTTGCTAAATAAATACACTGCATGGAGTAAACTCTTAATTAGATGGAAAACGACTCAAGAATTACCATAATATATAGTCGCAAAGTCAACTGCGGATGAGAACAACAGTTCCATGAACACTACTGAAAGCCAATGGGAATAGACAGAATCTGCACGTTTGAAAAGGCAGTTTAATTTTCATAGCTTCCTGAATTTATCTTCCAGTTTTCCCTACTGGAAAAACTCAAAGTTCCAGAGAGAGGCATTTCATAGACCTTCCTCTTTCCAGTCTTTTATTTTATTTGGGTTTTGTGACATTTGAACATTCCATCAGCTTTCTGGGGTGTAGTTTCCTCTTAGTCAAGACAGATGCATGTCACATCACTGTTCTGAGGATTAAATCAGTTATTTTATATGAAATGCTTGGTTAATATTAAATATAAGATAATTATTCTCTTATCTTCTTTCTTCCCTCACTCTGGGAAAATTGTTTATTATGAGAACAGGGTTAGTTACCCTCAAACACTGAGAAGGGTAAAGTGAAAAACTGGTAATTCCTCTCTTCTTGCCTCTGTTTCTTAAACAAGTTACTTCTGGCTCATCTCAATTCAATTTCAGCACTTACCTTTCTAGCTCATTTAAGTGACCAGTTTCCTATGGTTGGCAATGTCCTTTGTAGTTAATGACATGAGGAATCACTTGATATATATAAATTATTTTCTTGTTTTGTCTTATTTTAAAAGATTTCATTAGAAGCAGGCCTCAGACAAGAGACTTCAAGATCAAGGTTAAAGACCTTTATTCATGCCGCCAAGCTTGCTTTGAAAATTATATGGTAATTATAAATATTTGATGTGTATACATGTATCAGCCTCATAATCAACACATTGTTATTATTTTTTGGTTAATTTCAGAAATGTACAATATCACAGCATCATTTCTTCTGCATTTTTTTTTGTCTGTTTATGGCTTGAATATATCTTATGTGTGTTGCTTTACTAATTGTGTCAGTAGAAATTTCTACTTTCAAGGTACTAAGGGTATAGCATCAGGTAGAATAGATAAGAACTTTTACCTTTTGTACCAGTCTGAGTTCTTTGGAAAGCAGATATCAAGATGGAGTTAGGAGTTAAGGGCTGCAGAGATGTGTAGGGAGAACACCCCCATGGAGGGTAAGGGGACGGAGAGTGGGAGCAAGTGGGGAGCCTCTGACCATGAGAATGAGGCCTGGCACCTGAGGAAGAGAGAGGAAAGAGGGGAGGACAGGGCAGGAAGAGCCTCAGGCTGTGGTGCCTCACTGAGAGCATCTTGGCCAGCCCAGTGGGGAGCCCCAGAACACAGACTGATCTTCTGAGACCCCCCCGGGGCTGGACTTTCTGCCAAGCTCCGTCACTCCATGAGAGCAGCCTGGGGGAGGTGGAGCCTGGCATGAACAAGGCAGTGAACTCCAAAAGTGGGGCAACAGTCAGCTACCAATGCTCTAGCTCCGAGCAGCAACTCTCTCTAGAAGGGAGAGAGGAGTGAGGCACCTCCTAGCAGCCACTCCTCAGGGAGCTCGCTCTTCAGTCAGAGGGAAGGAAGATAAGCAAATTAGTGTGAAGCACTGCATGCCCAATGACGAGTGCTATAAGGAAAAGTAAAGCAAAGAAAAATGTGTATTAGGGCCAGAAAGGTTGCAAGTTTCATGTGATATTCTCATATTAATGTGTAATGTTTCTTAAGTTGCTATGGAAAACAGGTGACTTTTGAGAAGAATCTGAGGGACACGAGGGAGGGAGCCATGTGGAGATATGGACAGAGGACTGGAGGCAAAGGGAACAGCCGGTGCCAGGGTGCTGCACAGAGGATCCCTTGGCACATTCCAGGAACAGCGAGGTGGTCAGCATAGCTCACGTGAATTGAGCACCAGGGAGGTGGAAGGAGATGAGGGATAAGGGTATCAGCATCAGCAGGCTTTTACTCTGGTTGGGAAAGGAAGCTATAATCACCCAATGGTTTCTTCCTGCTCTCTGCATAGACAAAACCAGTTCACCAAGACCATGGTATTTTAGTAAAGAAAGAGTTTAATTAACAGGAGGTCAGCCATGTGGGAGAATTGGGAGAATCACTCAAATCAGTCTCTCCAAAGGTTCGGAGGTTAGGGGTTTTCAAAGATAGTTTGGTGGGCAGGGGACTAGGGAAAGAGTGCTGCTGACTGGTTGGAGATGCCACCATCACAGGTGTGTGGAGAAAGGTTCTCGTGCACAGAGTTTGCTGCTGGGTTGGGCCACAGGACCAGTTGAGTCATGAGTCACAAGTCTGGGTGGGGTGAATCTGAAAACCATCTCAAAAAAAAAAAAAAAAGTGCAGGTTCTATGGCAGTGATGTCATCTCTAGGAGCAATTGGAGGAGTCACAAATCTTGTGACTCCTGGCCACATGACTTCTAAGCATCAAGGGATTACAGAAACGATGCCTATATTTTAGCGGAATTTGGGGCCATCTCATAATCCTAAGCTTATGACATTTATTTAGTCTTACAAAGGCAGTTTCAGCCCTGAACAAAGAGGTGGCCAGTTTGGGGGAAGGACTGCTATCATCCTTGCTTCGAAGTTAAACTGTAAGCTGAATTCCTTCCATGGTTGGCTTGGCCTACACCCACGAATGAGCAAAGACAGCAAGCCTGTGAGGTTAGAAGCAAGATGGAGTCAGCCATGGTAGATTTCTGTCACTGTCATCATCTTTGCAAAAGTCATTTCAAAGCCACAGGAGGCTTTCATGGGGACACTGTTGGTTCCCAGCCTGGGAGCATCACTTTCATGCTTCTGCCAGAATAAGTCATGATGGAGTGCCGTGAATGTCCAGGCATTTCCAGCTGCTCGCATGTGCTAAATACATCCTCAGTAGCCCAAGGGTAAGTAAAAGGAATCTAAGGATATCTGGATAATTTGCTTTTTATTTTAGTAAATTTTGCAAAGTGAGACTTTTTCATAAAGACCTACAAATTGAGTACCTCTAAGTCAAAAATCTGAAAACAGAAATGCTCCCAAAATGGAAATATTTTGTGTGCTGTCATGAGGATCATTGGAGCATTTCAGACTTTGGATTTTCCCGTTAGAAATGTTGAACTGGGGTTAGCATAATGCAAATATTCCCAAATCTGAAAAAGAAAAATCCGAAATCCAAAACACTCCTAGATCCAAGCATTTAGGATTAGGAATACTCAACCTGTAATCATTTATGCCAGCAACAGCTCTTGGTTGATCTTTCCCTCTTGTTGCTTCATTTGTTTATTGTTTGTTTGTAGTTAATCATCATACTTCAAGTTCTTACACGTAATTGTGCACACTTATGTGCTTGTATTTGCTTCCACTTAAATGCATTCCTGTTTCAGAGTTTAGATGAGGCTGGGAGCCCTGCCTGCTTCAGTTCACCCTCAGGTTCTATCACTTCTTGTTGAAAGATGGTTACAACAAGTGTTGGAATAACAAAGAACCCCCAGATAACACAATCGCCATTTCTCCAAGCAGAATGCTTGTTAAAGATGCTTTTGGACAAATTGAATGCTTTAAATGTTTGTGACATGGTTGAAGTTGATTTTGCTGAACAAGTTTACTTTCAGGTACATGTTTAATTTTACATGAAATAAACCAATATATTATTTTGAAAATATTAATTTTCCCTGCTCTATTGTCCTTGAACAGTGTTATTTAAAATGTTCACATGGAAACGTTATTTCCAGCATTACAAGAAACACTTTCTGAGTCATTGGATACAGTTCCCAGAACACATTGTATTCAGTTCTGTTTAAATATTTTGTGATACTGCCTCTCAGAATTCATTAATGCATATTGACATGTCTCTAATTTACAAAGAAGGGAACTAACTTTTTTAGAGGCGGGTAGCTTGCCAAGATGCCAAGCTTGTGAGGGCGTGACTTGCTTCTAGCCCTGGTCTGTGTTTGTTCACAGCCAGGTTCTTAACCACCCTGAAACCATTTCTCTAGTTTTCTTTCTGCCAAAACACTGGGATTTTTGTTGTTGTTGTTGTCGTCCTTGATAAATTTAAAACATTTCTCAAATGTGTCATGAAAAATCATACCCAAACTAAGTGTAACCCATCAATTTACCTGCTAACAAAAAAACATGATTATATTTTGCTCTCCTACCAAGAAAGTAGTGCATTGATCTCTTGATTTAAGGCTTTTATATTTCCCAGTAAACTTTCTGTATAAAGGTCAGGCAACTCTTCTTAATTTTATTTCTAAATATTTTATGTTTTTGTTTCTATTGTAAATAGAATTTCCTTATAAATAATGCATTTCAGGTTATTGCTGGTATGGAAGAATGTAATTGATTCTAGGTATATTTATTTTACGTCTTGCCTATCCATGAAATTTTTATTAAGTCTAAAGTTTTCTAACAGAAATATTTAAACTTTCCAAGGATGCTGTTTTATTTATCAAGACCTTCTTTTCTACTTCAGTTCTTAACCTTATCTTTGTTTCTTGTAGCCGAAGGAGCCCAAATAAAACAGAAACGTGAACCAAGACTTACTCAAATCCGTTCGGGGGCCTGTGCTGGTGAAAGGGAGACAGGGAAGTTGCCAAGGTCTCAGGAATGCCACCGGAGGCTGAGCCTCAGGAGAACCCGAATCAGAGAGCCCCAGTGTGGGAAGTGGGAAAATTGTCCCCAAAAATACTAGGCCCTGATCTTATATGGAAAAAGGAGATTAAATTAAAGATCTTGAGATAAGGGAGACTTTCCTGGGTGACCTGAGTGGTTCCTAAAGCCACTGTAGGTAAGAGGTAGGCAGAGGGATTTGACTACAGACAGAAGAGAAGAAGGCCCTGTGCTGGAAGGAGAGGGAGGCAGAGTCTGGGAGGGCCACGGCTGGGAGGCTGTTGGGCATGAAGTGGAGAAAGGGCCAGGAACAAGGAACACAAAGAATGCAGCTCTGGAATCTGGAGAAGGAGAGAAACAGATCATTCCCAAATCCCCATGAGGGAGCACAGTCCTGCCGACACCTCGGTTCTGCCCGGTTCTGCCCTGGTGAAACCCATTTTAGACTGGTGACCTCCAGAACGGTCAGCTACTAAAGCTGTACTGGTTTAACCATCAGGTTCGTGGGGATTTGTTACAGCAGCCATCGGAAACTAGCACACCAGGAACCGAGGCCGGCAGGGTTGGAGCGTGTGGGCCTCCCTGCACCATACTGCTCCCCAGTTCTCCGACTCTGCTGCTTCTCCCCATGCACCCCCACCTCCATGAATTTGCCTTGAAAAAACCCCACGTTTACCTCTTGCCTTTCTTCAGTCTATTGATGTAGCCAAGATGCACAAAGGAAAATAATTCAAGTTTACAAGATACATTTTTTTTTCCAGCCGATTTTATAAGTCCAGGCCTCAGGCCCTCATGGGTAGGTTAACTAGAGCTTTGTTGCCTCGGGGTCAGGTCCAAAGACAGAAGTGGCCACTTAGGGCTTCTCCTTGACCTGGGACTGGGCAGACATGCTTTCCCATTAGAGGCTGTGAGAGGCTAAGTCTATTTCATGCCTATGCCAGTCACTTTTTATGTTTTATGTCCTAAAGAATTACCTACAACTTCCAAAAAATATTAAATAATGTTCAGAAAGGGTAGTTGCAAGTTATTAAAACCCAACTCAAACTGGCCTAAGTAAAACTGGGACTTTCCCTGCTGGGTGGATTCAGGATCACAGTGAACCCCAGGCACTGGACCGTGGCATGGTGTGCCTCAGGTAGAGCTGGGCAGCCTCAGCAGGCGAGGCCCTTTTGCTTCTCCCTGACCTCCTTGCCTCATTCATAGATAGCATTCTTCACATGGCAAGGGACAGTCATCTCTGATAGTCCCCAAGATTCACACCTTCCAAATCTAGTCTCAGAAGAGGAGCTTCCCTGACATGACCCCCAGCTCTGCATCCAGGCTGGTGAAAATGGACTTACGTTCCACAGTAGATCAGGTGTCAGGGAAAAATGAAGGAAGGAAGGGCAGGAAGGAAGGAAGAAGGGGAGGAAGAAAGGAAGGGAGGGAGGAAAGGAAAGAAAGGAAGGAAGGGAAAGAAAGAAGGAAGAAAGGAAAGAAGGAAATAAAGTCCAAAAGGCTGGGGCCAAGAAAGGACAGGGCAGCCTGTGAAACCCCTGTGTGGGAAGGTGGGGTTCTCTAGAGGTGACTGGACTAGAGGTTGGTTTCTAGCTGCCTGGAGAGAGGAGGTGCTGGCTGTTTCATCCAAGCATGCTCTTGGTTCAGCATGCTTGCTTTATTACTGATTTTAAAACTATTTCTTATGTATCTGAGAGTTATTATGACAGTAATAATAATAATAATAATAACAAACACTTACGTGGAGGTTGCTATGTGCCAGGAACTATTCTGGGCATTTCATTTTAGATTCCTGAAACAATTATGATATAGTGTGGATATTTGTCCTCACACAGATCTCATGCTAGTGCTGGAGGTGTTTGAATCATGGGGGTGGATCCCTCATGTCTTGGGCTATCTTCGTGATAGTGAGTGAGTTCTCATGAGATCTGGTTGTTTAAAGGTGTGTGGCACCTCCCTGCCCCTCCTCTCTCTCTCTTGCTCCTGTTTTCACAGTGGGATGTTCTTGCTCCCTCTTTGCCTTCTGCCATGATTAAAAGCTTCCTGAGACCTCATCAGAAGCCAGGTATATTAGTCTGTTTTCACACTGCTGATAAAGACATACCTGAGTCTGGGTAATCTACGAAAGAAAGAGGTTTAATTCGACTCACAGTTCCACATGGCTGGGGAGGCCTCGTAATCATGGCAGAAGGTGAAAGGCACGCAGCAGACAAGAGAGAGAATGAGAATCAAGTGAAATGGGTTTTCCCTTATCAAACCATTGGCTCTCGTGAGATCCAATCTCCCATACTACTAAAAGAACAGTATGGGAGTATCCACCCCTATGATTCAATTATCTCGCACCAGTCCCACAACATGTAGGAATTATGGGAGCTACCATTCAAGATGAGATTTGGGTGGGGACACAGCAAAACCATATCACCAAGTATGCCTGGCACCATGCTTTCTGTACAGACTGTAGAATTGTGAGCCAATTAAATCCCCTTGCTATACATTACCCAGTCTCAGGTGTTTCTTTGTAGCAATCCAAGAATGGGCTAATACAACTTACTTTCACTTGTTAAATGATGATGGAATTGGGGCACAGAGATGTTAAATAACCAGCCCAAGGTCAACCAGTTTGCACTTGGTGGAGCCAGGATTTGATCTCGAGCAGTTTGGCTCCTGGGCCTAGTTTCTTAATCACTACTCCAAGAGCCACACTCTCTTATGCTCATGACATATTCTTCTCTTCCTATTCTGACAGTATAATTTTAAATTGGTATTAAAATATTTCAAATGGCTCTTCCATAGATACTGAAGTGATTTTATGTAATCTCTTTTGGAGTTATAGCATTTTAATTGATTTGTTCATCTGGAATCACCCTTGTGTTTCTGAGATTTATCCTATTCTGTCATGGTGTATAGTTTCAATATGTTGCTGATGTGATATATTTGAGATTGTGGTTTTTATGGTCATAGGAATGTTTAGTTCTAAAATCTCATACATTTGTATGCCTTATTATGAAGGGGGCAATGCTAATCTTCTGTAACATTGTACCAAAGTGAGAACACAAGTTTCCACATTTTAGATAGAAAACAAACCAAGAAATATTGTTAAATAAATCTTTGACTGGAACTTAAAGCATGAGCTCTACCACAGGGGAGACCTCATACAAGCCTGTATCTCTCTGACAGTCAGCAAATATTGGATTGGCATTGACTAGTTATATAAAATACATTGGTAGTCACACAGAAGTTTTTAATATTTGGGGATGGCTGCATTTTAAGGACTAATTTAATTCAGGAAAAGTAATAACTTTAGGAGTTGTAATTTGACTCATCTTGTTTTTATACAGCTGTAGAGCTTGTCTCTCCATAAAGCATCTCTGGATGTTTTTGTTAATGGCCTGATGTTTTCCAGGAGGTCTCGGCACACACTGGTAGATCAGGGAGAGAAGCCAGGGAGTATAAGTAACAATGTAACAATACTTAACAGATAGGCAGCTCTTGGTGGATAATCCTATTTAAGGCTTAAAATAACTGTGGAATTATTCTAAGAACCAGCAACACCACTTCTAGGTGTACACTCAAAAGAATTGAAAGCAGAGCCTCAAAGAGTTATTTGTATGTTCATGTTCATAGCAGTATCATTCACAACAGCCATAGGAGGAAGCAACCCAATATCCATCCATGGATGAATGGATAAACAAAATGTAGGGTTTTTTTGTGTGTTTTTTTGTTTGTTTTGTTTTTTTTGAGACGGAGTCTCAATCTGTTGCCAGGCTGGAATGCTGTGGCACCATCTCGGCTCACTGCAACCTCTGACTCCCTGGTTCAAGCAATTCTCCTGCCTCAGCCTCCCGAGTAGATGGGATTACAGGCATGTGCCACAACCCCCAGCTAATTTTTGTATTTTTAGTAGAGACTGGGTTTCACCACATTGGCCAGGATGGTCTCGATCTCCTGACCTTGTGATCTGCCTGCATCGGCCTCCCAAAGTGCTGGGATTACAGGCATGAGCCACTGTGCCTGGCTATGTAGGGTCTTTTTATTGAAATATTATTCAGCCTTTAAAAGGAAGCTCTGACACGTGCTACCACATGGGTGAACCTTGAAGACTATTCAGTGAAATAAGCCAGTCACAAAAGGATGAATACTGTCTGATTCCACCTTTTTGAGGTACTTAAAGTGGTCAAATTCATAGAGACAGAAAGTAGGATGCCAGGCTGAGGGTAGGGGAAAATGGGGAGTTCATGTTGCATGTGTGTAGAGTTTCAGTTTAGGGAAATGAAAAGAATTCTGGAGACGGGTGGTGGTGATGATTGCACAACAATGTAAATGTGCTTCACAACTGAACTGGACACCTGAAAATGGTTTAGATGGTAAAAGATAAAATCGCCATGTATCATGCATTGTTTTCTTTATTTCACAGGTGAAAACACTGGGCTGAGAGTCTAAGAGTCCAAAGATATGCATAGCCAATAGCAGGCTGGTGTTGAATCTATGGCCTCTCACTATGTGGAACATGAGGACACAGGCATCACACTAAGAGCAGCAGGAGGCAGCCATATGCCTAGGCAGATAGGGGTGGGTCCCTGGTGAAACCCCACCTTCAAGCCAAAGACAGTTTAAACCCTGAAAGCCAAGCTACAAGTTAAATCCTTGGACCAGATTGAAAACCTGTCTTCCTGTTTGGGGCATTTTCCTCTGATTGATCCTTACTCTTCACCTATTTTACATATACCTACCCTACCTACCCTTTCCTAATTGGTTTTCTACACTATCGTGCCCACCTTTGAGTGGTGTCTTGACTTTAACCTTTTTTGCATACTCACAAACCAATCAGCACACACACCCCACACTCCCTATTCTGAGCCCATAAAAGCTCCAGGTTCAGCCATATTAGGGAACTTTTCCCACTTTGGCATAGGGGAACCACCCATCACATCCCCTCTTTGCTGACAGCTTTCCTTTCACTTAGTAAATTCTACTCCACTCACTCTCTAGTGTCCATGCACCTAATTCTTCCTGGCTATGAGACAAAAACTCAGACCTAGCTGAGCTAAGGAGCAAAATAATCCTGCATCAATACGAACCAGGAAAACCCAGTCTTTTGCAGTGTCTTGGCCATAAAAACTGGAAGACAGATATTGTGGGATGTAGGGGCAAAGTGCGAGATTGCCTTTCTTCATCTCTGCATTACATGTAGTTCATGTCCCCTTAAATCCAAGATTCTTCAGAAATGGAAACATGGAGTGCTGGGAAAATTAACATATGTGATTATCTCATTGCATTCAGGTTGCTATAAAAACAACTTAGAATGGGTAATTTATAATAAAGAAATATTTATCAATCATAGTTTTGGAAATTGGGAAGTCTGAGATCAAGGTGCCTGCTGTCTTGGCCCCTGGTGACGTTTGCTCTCTGTTTCCAGTGTGACACCTCACTGTTGCATCCTCCCATGACAAGAAGCAGAAAGGAAAAAGGACCATGGTGCTTCCTGTAGTCCCTTTTATGCTGGCACTAATCTCATTTAAGAGGGTGGAGTGCTCTGACTTCATTAGTTCCCCAAAGGCACCACCTCTTAATGCTATCACATTGGATGTTAGGTTCCAACAGATGGATATTGGAGACACACAAACATTCAAACCAGAGCAGAGGTCCATCACTCAAGTGGGGTTCAGTGCTGGCTGCATGGGATGCTGGTCTCTGCTGACCCTTGTCCCTCTAGCTCCCAGCACAGAGTGGCCTTTGTTTCTCATCTCAACCTGTCTCCATGCTGAGAAGCTCTGCATTTCACAAGTCCTCAGGAAGAAGGGAGCACAAAGACACCAGCAGCCCGCTTACCTGTGTGAAAGCTGTGGCATTTCCTGAGGCACATCTGGAGACAGGGGCTTTACTGGAGGTCTTGGCCTTTGCTCATTCTGAGGAAAGCTACTTTGGGGTTCTTCAAACATCTCCCCATCTTTCCCATCTTCCCTCCCAAACCCTGTCATATTTAAATGTTTTAACATCTTTTGTGTTTTTTACCTATCCAGTGACGAGTCTTCTAGAATCTTCCAATTGGCTCTAGGGTAACACTCAAATCTCCTCTCTTTTCTTGCATTCACAAAAACAGTTTTATCTGACTGTAAAGGCAGCAGTGCCCCCCAAGAGAGATCTTCCCTGCCAATGACTGAATGTGAGACCTTGCTTGGTCCATGTATTTCCTTTCCAGAATGCTCCCATATTATTGAAAATGGAAAGAAGAACATTGAATAAGAAAGAACATTTTAAATATTACAATGTTTAAATATCGATATCACACCTTTTCCGTAGAAATAAGAATTAAACTGCACCAGTAGTTTATGTATTTAGGGCTCCTGCATTTAACTTGGATATGTATGAAACTACAGTAATCCAAACAAAAGTTTATAAGCTCCAAGAAAGTGATATATTTTACATTTCTCCCTTGGAGAAAACTTTTTTTTCTAGAATCATCAAAAACATCCTAAGCTTTCTGTTCTTTATCCTGGATGATTGAAGGAAGGAGGTGAGTCTGATTGATCGCTTGGCTTCCACAGGCTTTGGCTTTGTGCTCCTTCAATGTCAGTTCTCGTGTCATGGAACACACAGCCGGGTTACAGGTGATGACACATATGATCGAAGGTGAACGAACAGTGTCCTATCGTACATGGGCGGGGACAGTAAAATACGGGCCCATTCTGTGGCTTAATGCTGTAGGTAATTTTAAGTGCTTAGTAACTGGTAATTTATATTAAGAGTTGAATTTTGGGCACACTCTAGGGGAAAAGTATGAGATGTTGATTAACCATTGCTGGAGGTAGTTGGTAAAGGGCTCCAAAATTGGAGAGAAGGGCAAGGAGAGCAGGACAAGGAGAGAACAAGACAGAAGGGCAAGGAGAGAAGGGCAAGGATAGATAGCCAAAGAGAAAAGGGGAAGGAGGGAAGGGCAAGGAGGGAAAAGAAGGGAGGAAAAGGCAAGGAAGGAAGGGGAAGGAGGGAAGGGCAGTGAGGGAAGGGCAGGGAGGGAAAGGAGGGAAGGAGAAGGAGGGAAGGGCAAGGGGAGAAGGGGAAGGAGGGAAGGGCAAGAAAGGAAACACAGGGAGGGAAAGCCAAGGAGGGAAGGGGAAGGAGAGAAGGGGAAGGAGGGAAGGGGAAGGAATGAAGGGGAAGGAGGGAAAGGGAAGGAGGGAAGGGCAAGGAAGGAAGGAGAAGGAGAGAAGGGGAAGGAAAGAAGGGCAAAGAAGGAGGGGCAAGGAGAGAAAGCGAAGGAGGGAGAAGGAGGGAAGGAGAAGGGTGGAAGGGGAAAGAGGGAAGGGGAAGGAGGGAAGGGGAAAGAAGGAGAAGGAGGGAAGGAGAAGGGTGGAAGGGGAAGGAGGGAAGGGAAAGGAGGGAAGGGCAAGGAGGAAAGGGGGGAAGGATGGAAGGGCAAGGAGGGAAGGGGAAGGGGGGAAGGGCAGAGAGGGAAGGAGAAGGAGGGAAAGGGAAGGAGAGAAGGGCAAGGAGGGAAGGGGAAGAAGGGAAAGGCAAGGAGTGAAAGGGAAGGAGAGAAGGGGCAGGAGAGAAGGGGAAGGACAGAAAGAGAAGGAGAGCAGGGTGGGGAGGTTGTGAGAGGCCATGGAGGACAGACTTTGTGCCATCTTGGTGGAGTCCTCTCAAGTCAATGTGAGGTGCTTTTCTCAGGTTTGCCCGGAACACCTTTCAAGACCAACCGTCCATGGCCAATTTTGTTATCAAAGTGAAAAAGAATTGACTTGAGGCAGGCAGTGAGCAGTATTGGGGCTTCACCTCCACGTCTCCCTCCGTGAATGCATTGGTGTTCTTCCAGCCCGCTGTGTGTGCGCCCCTCCCGGCTGTGTTCCCTAACCTCTCTCCGTCACATTTCCACTTCTCAATCACTTTGTGGATTCATGGCAACACAGCCACACTATCCTTTTATGAGGGCGTGCACTCCATGAACTGAGCACTGGGACAAAGGGAACTGGCTTTCAAGGAGTAGACACAAGTGCAGGGAGACACACAGGGCATCCCTAGGAAAAACGGCAGCCCATCCCTAGACTGTAACACACACGGGATGCTATGAGCATGAGCTTAGGTTGTTGTTTGAGATCCTTGTAAAGAAGAGCCCTGTCTACAGTGCTTGCATCATGTGTGTGTATTGATTGCCTCTTTGCTGTGTTTTATGTGTTTTATATTTCATGGCGATACTGCTTATTCCATTGTGAAGATTGGGGTACATATATTTTTGGAAGCCAGCTACTTTTAGGAGCTAAGTAAAATGTTGCGTATTTAAGGAGTGCTGTTGCAATAAATGCCATATATTTAAAAAGCACAGTCTGTTCTAAGATGTAGGGCTCAGGTTTCCAGTAAACATCTCTCCGGAATGAACAAGTGAACAAAGTACACGCGCCCCTCCCCACACGCTGCAGTTTAGTGCTGCATCCTTTCATGGCTCTGCCGTTTATGTGAGTAGCTTTGTTAACCTGTCAGCTCTCACAACCGCTCTTAGAGAGATGCATGGCTAGGTCCACCCTATGCTAATAAGATCCCCTTGGCCATTATTAATAATAGCGGCGATTCAGAACATGAAGCCACAGAACAGCAATAAAAAGAGAAACTGTCCTTGTTTCAACCACAGAGCAGAAAACTAGTGGATCTTCCATAATTATGGACATTTGCAGCTGCCAGGCTCCAGCTAGAAGGGAAGACACGGAACTCTACCAGCCAGCAGGCTGCCCTCGTGGGAAAGGGCAGGCAAAATGAGGCTGACCTTGGGCTTGGCAGAGCCATTGTGCCCAGGGAAGTAGGTGCAGGTTTGGCCTCACTCTGAGTGTTCTGCCTTGATCTCTCTTGGCCATTTGGGAAGAAGGATATTTAATATCTATACTTCTATTTCATCATTATTCATCAAACGGCACACATTATGGCTGTGCCTGCATATACCACTACAAACCCTGGTCCTACAAAATATTTCTTCATGTTTATAATTTCTCAGTAACAACTATTATCAAATTTACTTATTAAGGCTGTATTTTCCTTTCTATTGTTGAGGTGTAATTTGATTCAGGAGAGCTGTCCTCTTTTCACTAAATTCATTGTTGGCTTTTGAATTGAGTTTTCAAGTTGAGTACTGTTGAAAATCCAGTTTGCTTTGCAATATTAAGCTGTTATCAGGACTAACTTTAAAAAAAATCACTGTCTAAAATCAGGGCCTGAGGTGTACCACCAGCTTTAGAACTAGGATTCAGGAAGAATATAACGTTTCTTGAAACAGGGTTGAATTTATGTAATGTATAGTTCACAATAAAAACCGCTAGCACAGAATGATTGTTGAATCTGGTGAATTTTCTAACTCTTTCCTACTGCTTTAGTCCAACTATTGTATTAGTCCATTTTTATGCTGCTGATAAAGACATACCTGAGGCTGGGTAATTTACAAAGAAAAGGAGGACTACTGGACTCACAGCTCCACGTGGCTGGGGATGCCTCACAATCATGGTGGAAGGTGAAAGGCATGTGTTACGTGGCGGTGGTAAGAGAGAATAAGAACCAAGCAAAAGGGGTTTCCCCTTATAAAACCATCAGATCTCATGAGACTTATTCCCTACCACAAGAACAGTATATGGGAAACTGCCCCCATGATTCAATCAATTATCTCCCACCAATTCCCTCCCACAACATGTTGGAATTATGACAGCTACAATTTAAAATGAGATTTGGGTGGGGACACAGCCAAATCATATCAGGTACTTTGTGCTGGTAATTACCCCTCTCCTGGCCCACTCTGACTCATGCATTCACTATGATCTGGTAGATTTGCTTTAACATCCCTCTGCCTCAATTCTTCATCTGTAAAATAGGCATATCTAGTACCTAACTCTTAGAATTACGGGAGTTTTGGAGGAGGGGATACAGGGCAAGGCACTTAGCTGTCACTGTGAATTCTAGCCCTGTGGGAGCAACATCTATTGGTGTGGAACTCTATACTGGGCTTGTCATAGTAGAAAGATGAGGCAGGCATAGTTTGCACCCTGAACAGGACTTTCCCCCTGAAGCAGAAGTGTCCTGTCAGCACAGGGCCTGGGTGGGGACAGCTGAGGTGGAGCAGCTGAAAGTGTGTCTTACAGAGATCACCCAGGCTCAGAAGAGGTTTTGGACAGCCAGCACAGCCTCTGTCTCGAGTGAGGCCTCCCTCTAGCTGTCGCTAAGGGGCACATGTTGGTCCCAGCGCCAGCACACCCACCCCAGGGCCACTTTCTTCCAGAATTCACCAGTGCTTTCCACAACCTTCTCAAAGCTTGCTCAGGTCAATAAGGATCATGCTCTGGAGTGCAATTAAGACTAAAAGTCATGGTCCAGAGTGGCAGCAAAAGGAGACCATGGACCCTCTCCCCAGGGACACACCGTAACTGCTGAAAATCATTAAAGAACAACACAATAATGATCATTTAAAGTCAGGAAATTGTCCTCAGGATGTAAAACAGGTGAAGAAAAATTCAGTCAGGAGACTGCTAGATTTTGGTGAGAAAAGTAAGATCTGTGCATTTGAGCCACCACTTACTCTCCCCAGCAAAGCTTGATGGAACCTCCCCTCCAGGAAGGTGTGGCCATGAAGATGAGCTTCCTCATCCATTCCTCATCCCTCAGCCCTCAGACAAGGGCTGTGGTATCCCCCTGGGAGGAGACAGCCATGAGCATTTCTCATCCCCAACTCTGAGATGAAGAAGCTACATTTCTGGCGAGGGTGGCTGAGTGGGCAGGGGCTCCCATCCTTCAATCAGCCTTCATGCATGGGAAAGCTGTGCTGCCACAGACGGGGCCCCCAACAACCCTCAGCCCAGTGTGTCCACAGGGCAAGGGTTTAATTCTGAGAGGAAGCTGAGGAGGCCATAGGCTACCACCCCTGATCATAAAGCAGGGATGTCACTCAGGGAAAAGAGGGCCACTGTCCCTCCACCAACTCCAGAGCAGGGGCTCAGAGACTTTCCCAGAGGGAGGCACAGTACAGAAGGAAAGATAGCTGCAAGTCTCTCGCCAAAGGAAATTATTTTATTTATTTATTTATTTATTTATTTTACAGAGTGTAGAGAAGTTCAAGCCTAAGTGGACTTGTGAAAATAATGGAGATTTTGGTGGGGAGCCTGGTAGCTCCTCTTAATTAAAAACCGGATGGACCATAGGCTAGTTAGTTTATCATAGAGAAATAGGGGAAGAGATAAATGAGAGGAGCCCTCTTGGGGTCAGAAGAAACCTAGAAGACTGGCTTCAAAAACCCATTGCAGGCATTTGATAGAATCCGGCTGTGGAACAACCTATGCACTCGTCCACTGCCAAAAATGAGAGCAATCAGCTGGCAACTAAGGGAGGCAAACAGCTGGGTATTATCCAAACGAAGCTGACAGCTTGACAGAGAGATGAGAGGAAGAAACAGGCAGTGAGAACCTCTTTAAGCCACTGTTACCTGAGGGTGACCGGGTGAATGTCCAAGACTGTAAGGACAGCATCAGAGGCTTCACATCATGGACGAAATAAATGTTACTAAAAGAGTCTAGCTCAGGCCACAAATAAATACATAAGGAAATGGCAACAAAAATATGCCCAGAAGTGAGGAGGAGCTGCTGCAATATATTACCTGAAAAGTTATGTTTTCAATCAAAAATAGAAGATGCAAAGAAACAGAAAAATGTGATGTACACAGAAAAACAAAAACAAAAAAGCAGGGAACAAAATACTACTGTCTGTTAGAAGGCCTAGATGTTGAAATTGACAGAGATGTTACAGTAGCCTTAAATACTATGTTCAAAGAACTAAAGTCAACCACACTTAATGAATTAAGAAAGCTATAATGGCAATGTCTCATCAAACAGAAAATATAAATAAAAAGTAGGAATTATTTTTAAAGAAACTAATGAAAATTATGGAGATTAAAAGTGTAATAACCTAAAGGAAAGATGAATTAGAGGGACTAAAGAGTATTTAGAACTGGCAGCAGAAAGAATCTGTGAACTTGAAGATAGATTGATAGTGATTATACAGTGTGAAAAGCAAATTGAAAAGAGAGTGAATGAAAATGAACAGATTCTGAGAGAAATTTGGAGCATGATTAAGCACACAACATATTGGCAGGGCGTGGCGGCTCACGCCTGTCATCCCAGCACTTTAGGAGGCCAAGGAGGGTGGATCACAAGGTCAAGAGATCGAGACCATCCTGGCTAACATGGTGAAACCCCATCTCTACTAAAAATACAAAAATCAGCCAGGAGTGGTGTCACGTGGCTGTAATCCCAGCTATTCCGGAGGCTGAGGCAGGAGAAACGCTTGAACCCAGGAGGCAGAGGTTGCAGTGAGCCGAGATCACGCCACTGCACTCCAGCCTGGTGACAGAGTGAGAGTTCTTGCAAAAAAAAGAAAAAAAAAGTAGACAATACATGTGTGATAGGAGAATCAAAAGGAAAGAAGGAGAAGAGCAGAAAAATTATTTGAAGAAAGAAGGACTAAAAATATTTCAAATTTAATAAAAAACGTTAATGGAAATATTCAAAATCCCAATGAACTCTAAGCAGGATAAACCCAAACACATTCGTGCCCAGACACATCATAGCAAAAATTCAAAAAAATTTAAAGGCAAGAAGAAAATCTTGAAAGCAGTAGAAGAAAAATGATTTGTCAAGTGAAGGGAAGCCCAGTGAGGTTAATAACTCACTTCTCATCAGACATTGTGAAGACTAGAAGACAGTGAGATGGCATTTTTAAGTGCCAAAAGAAAAAAAAAAGGTTAACCAAGAATCCTATGTATCGCAAAACTGTCTTTCAAAATTGAAGGTAAAGACATTCTGAGATGAGCACAATTGTGATAATTCATCACTAGCAAACTTGCCTTCCAAAAAATACTAAAGGAAGCTGTTCAGGCTGAATGCTAGTGAGCCCAGACAGTACTTGACTTACATACACACGCACACACGCACACACACACACACATGCACACACAAACACACACACCCCAAAGAGCATTGTTACGGGTAATTAATTATGATAGACAATATAAGTACATATTTCTTGTCCTCTGAACTGATTTAAAAAGCAACCGTACAAAGTAGCATGTATATGATTGCCTTATTGGGTCCATATAATATAGAAATGCAATATTTTTGACAATAACAGCTTGAAAGGAGTGTATGGGAACAAAGATGCATTGTAGTAAGGAAATAATAGCAGACAATAATATGAACCCACAGAACAAATGAAGAGGGCCAGAAATAATAAATGAGAAGTGTAATTTAGCAAATGCTGCAACATACATGTTCTCCTTTCTTGTCCCAACTTCTTAATAATAAATATAAAATTATTTAAAGCAATAATTTTAACTATGTATTGTTAGGTTTGTAGTATATATAGTTGTAGGATGTATAACAATGAAAGCACAATAAAAAGAAGAAAAAAATGGCACTATATAAGAGTAGTATTTTCATATCTCAGTGGAGTTAAGTTAGTAAACATCACAAATAGATTCTCATAAGTTAAAGTATACATGGTAAGCTGTAGAACAATTACTGAGAACATAACTAAAAATGGTAAAAAATCATTAAATAAATGAAAATGTTACACTAGAAGCTATTCACTCAATGTGAAAGTATTAAAGAATAGAGAAATAAAATTGTGTGACACAGAAACCAAAAGTAAAATGGTAGACATAAATCCAACTATCAAGAATAAATCCAACTATCAAGACATAAATCCAACCATCAAGAATTTCATGTTATCAAGAATAACATGAAATGTGATTAGAATAAAAGTTTCAATTAAAAATCAGAGAATTTTGAAGGATGAAAATTATTATCCAACTATATGTTGTTGATAAGAGACTTTAGTTAAAATGACACAAATAGGCTGAAAGTAAAAGTATGGAAAAGATGTACTATGAAAATAGTAACCAATAGAGAGGTGAAGTGGCCATACTAATATCAGAAAAAATAAACTTTAGAACAAAATTGTTGCTAGAGACAAAGACATTTTAGATAAAAAATGTCAATCCATCAAGAACATAGAACAATTATAGACATATATGCACCTAAAAACAAACTCTGAATTGCATAGAGCAAAAACTATGAGAATTGAAGGGTAAAATAGGCAAGTCAACAATAATAGTTGCACACTTTAATACTTGACAATGTATAGAATTCTAGACAGAAAATCACCAAGGAAATAGAAGACTTGAACAACACTGCTTACTAACTAGACCTAATGAACATCTGTAGGACACTCCGCCCAGTGACAGCAATATAAATTCTTTTCAAGTGCACGTGTAACATTCTCTAGGACAGATCAAATGTCAGGCCATAAAACAAGTCTCAATAGATGTAAAAGATTGAAATCACAGAAAATATCTCCTCTGATCTCAATGATCAATTTCAAATGATAGAAATTAATAACAAAAAGAAATTTGGAAAAGCCACAAGTCTGATATTAAACAACACATTCTTAAATAACAAGCAGTAAAGCAATAAATCACAAGCAAAATCAGGAAATAGTTTGAGATAAATAAAAACAAATATTAACACATAGTAAAACTTATGGGATGCAGTGAAAGCTGTACTCAGAGGAAAATTTATAACAGTAAATGCCTACAATTACATGAGAAATATCTCATATCAACAGTTAAAAATTCCACCTTAAAAAAAACTAGAAGAAGAATAGCAAACTAAACCAAAAGCAAAACCTCCCAAAAATGAGAAAGATTAGAGCAGAAATACTTGAACCAGAGATAGAAAAAAAATCAAATAAACCAAAAATTGGAACTTTGAAAAAGTTAACTAAATTGACAAACCCTTAGTTAGTTAGACTGACCCAGAAAAACAGAGAAAACTAAAATGCTTCAAATCAGAAGTAAAAGAGAAAAATTACTACCAACTTTACATAAGTAAAAGTGATTTTAATGACATACTATGGACAATTATACACCAACAAATTGGATAACACAGATGAAATGGATAAATTCCTAGAGACATATAAACTACTGAAACTTAGGAAGAAATAGAAAATCTTAGTAGACCTATAAAAAGTAAAAAGGTTGAGTTAGCAATCAAAAATGTTCTAGCAAAGAAAATCCCAAGGCCAAATGGCTGCACTGATTAATTCTACCAAACATTTAAAGGAGAATTGACTTTAATTTTTCACAATCTCTCCTCCAAAAGTAGAAGACAGTAGGAATGAAGGCACTTCTAAATTCATTCTATGAGACCAATATTATCCTGATATCAAACTCAGAAAGAAAATCTTAAGAATGTAGATGGAAAAATCCTCATAAAACACTGGCAAACTGGATCCAGAAATATATAAAAAGAATTTCACATAATGATCAATGGGATTTACCTAGAAATGTAAGATTTGTTTAACGTAAGAAATTCAATTAATGCTGTTGATATATTGAATAAAGACAAAATCCCACATGATCTTGTCAATAGATACAGAGAAAACCCTTGACAAAATACAACACCCCTTCATGATTACAACATTCAAATAACTGGGAATTGAAGGCAACTTTTTCAACTTGATAAAGGGCATCTGTGAGAAACCCACACATAGCATCACACTTAACAGTGAAACACTGAATTCCTTCCCTTTAAGATCAAGAACAGAACAAGAACATCTATTCTCACCACTTTCATTCAACATTATATGAGAGGTCCTAGCCAAGAGAGTTGCATAAGAAAATGACCTATAATGCATCCAGATTAAAAAGAAGTAAAACTGTCTCTGTTTGAAGATGACATTATCTTGTATATACTAAATCCTAAGAAATCCACTAAAAGCTATTGAAATAAATGAGTTCAGCAAGGATGTAGGATACAAGCTTCATATACAAGAATCAATTTTATTTATACACACTTTCAATGAACAATCTTAAAATAAATTTAAAAATTCAATTTACACTAGTATTATAAAAAATAAAATGCTTATAAAATTATCAAAGGAAATCTAAAACTTATATTCTGAAAACTATAAAACATTATTGAAAGAAATTAAAGAAGACCTAAATAATTGGGAAACATCCCATGATCATGGGTCAGAAGACTTAATATTGTTAAGATGTAATATTTCTCAAATTGAGCCACACAATCAATAAATCCCTATCAAAATTCTACCTGGGTTTTTGGGGAATTCAGAAAGCTTCTCCTAAAATTCATATGGAAATTCTAGGAACCCAGAATATCCAAAACAATCTTGTATTGTAAGAGAACAATTCCCAATTTTAAATCTTAATACAATGCTATAGTAATCAAGACAAGTAATCAATGAAGTAGAATTAAGAGTCCAAAAAACCCTAACACATGTTGTCAATTGCTTTTTCAATGAGTGCAAGGCAACTTAAGAAGGAGACAATGGTATTTAACAAATGATTCTGAGACAACTGGATCTCTACATGCAAAAGAATGAATTTGGATCCCCATCTCATATATATAAAATATATGAACTCAAGATGAATCAAAGCCCTGAAGGTAAGAGCTAAAACTACAAAACCTTTAGAAGAAACATGATCTCGCACTAGGAAATAGTTTCTTATATATCACACCAAAAGCATAAACAGCAAAAGAAAAAAATAGATTAATTGTATTTTGTTAAAATTTAAAACACTTTTGCTTTGAAAGATGCTGTCAATAAAGTAAAAACAAAAAAAGAACCTGCAGAAAGAGAAAACGTTTGTAATTTATATATGTGACAAAGGACTTCTATATAGAATACGTTTAATAAAAAACACATAACTCAAGAATAAGAAGATAAATAACTCAATTTTTAAAATGGACAAAGTATTCCAGTAGAATTTTCTCCAAAGAAGACATACAAATGGCCAACATCCAAATGAAAAGACGCTCAACATCATTAGCTGTCAGAGAATGCAAATAAAAACCACTTTATACTCACGAGAATGGCTATAATTAAAAAAACATAATAATTATGAGTAAGAATATGGAGAAATTGGAATCTTCATTCACCATTGTGCATTGGGGAATGTACAACAGCAGACATCTGGCAGTTTCTTAAGAAGTGATGGATAGGTATATACCCAATACAAATAAAAATATATCCACTCAGAAACTTGTACATGAGTGTTCACAGCAGCATTATTTATAATCACCAAAAAGTGAAAACAACCTGAATGTTCATCAATTGATGAATGGTTACATAAAATGTGATGTATCTTTACAGCAGAATATTACTCAGCAACAAAATAAATGAAAGACAGAAGCAGGCTACGACAGGAATGAACCTTGAAAACATTATGCTAAATGAAAGAAGCGAGTCATGAAAGACCACCTACTTCATGATAAAACTTAACAAATTTCCAGCAGATACAAATCTATAGAAACAAAAAGTAGATTAATGGCCACCTAGGGATGAGTTGGGGGAGGCTGGGGAAGAATGAGAAGTGACTGATCATGGATACAGCTTTTCTTTTTGGGGTGGTGATAACTTCCTAAAGTTGATTGTGGCGATGGTTGCCCAACTCTGAGTGTACTAAACACTATTGAATTATACACTTTAAATGAGAGAATTGTATAGTAAATGAGTTATATCTCAATAAAAAATACTAAATATCAGGAATCTCACCTGACTTTCAAACCTTTCATCTCATTTCCTGTCTCAAATATACAAATTCTACCTCCATTGAACTAAGTGCAAATTGTAACCTATTTATTTAAGGAATTAAATCCCATTATGTGACTCTCAGAAGTAACTGTCTAAGTAAGGTTTATGGGGTTTCACCTATCAATGGGAGTTATATTTAAGAAGGAGCTTTCAAAGAAATAGAAAGCTTGACAAACCAGTTTCTGCCTGTTTAATGGTAGAAAGTCAGCCATTACCAGAATGATTGGGAGTGAAAAATAGAAGCTTCCTCAATTCAGGGCACTGATTTGCAAGGCCAGCTCTATGACAGAAGAGAATTAAACCAAACACCCCTTTCTAGACCCCCTGGATCATTCATATGGTGCCAGTTAAATGCCAGTTCAGGTTTTAGGATGTTGGCTGGCTTCTATAGCACCTGTGAAGTTATCCTCTCTCAAATTTGGTTGATTGTCATCTGGGAGGACCCTTGGCTTGTTCTGATCATTTCTTCCCGGTCCTAGTGTTTCAGAAGGATGAACTCCATGTCTGCGTGTCTGGCACCACAGTGGACCTGGGGCCTGGGCCAGATCCACAGGCAATCCTGACAGGTAGAAATGCTACTTTTTTTTCTTGTAGCCTTCTCTGCCTTTGGAAAGACTTGCGGAAAAGTCTGAAGTCCTACATAAAGATGGAAAGACACTACAAATTTACATTTTCGTTTGCTTTTTTTGTATATTGAATACTCAAAAATCAAATGGTTGAATAATTTCTAAACAAAGATCTCTAAGTTCCTGCAGCTTTAATTCGTTTACTGACTTGATGTTGCTGTCACCATGTGCTCCATAACAGCTCTCATGGCGCTGGTGAAAATGCCTTTTCTTCTGGAACCCTGAAACATAAGCTGCTGTCACACTTCACGTAGGCCGTTTCCTGAGACTGCATTACGTTATGATGTGGGCCCAGGTAACAGATAAAGGAAACAGTAATAGCAACTATCTTTTTCTCACTCCCACATGCAGAGCAAGCAATGATGAAAACAAGCAGCAAAGATTTAAACTTCTGCAATGTCTCACAAATAGCAAGTGAAGAGGGGTTTGTTGATTTTAAAGAAAAGATCAGAGAACTGAAGCCTTGTGTTTGATTCCTATGCAAGACCCAGAGAGGCATGGCTTCTCCCTGAAGGCCCGGAATATTGGGAAGAGTGGCATTTACCTGGCCTCTGGGCACGCTGGTCTCCCCTGCTTATTCTTCCAGGATACAGGACAACCAGGACATTTCAAGGGGAAAATAAAATGAAACACAATACTAACCTGTTTAGGTGTTTGTGAGAGCTTTTTATCTAGAAGTTTCCTCAGATGGTAAAAGAGTTATCTTATTATAAATAGAACTTAGAAATATGTCTCAGCAACACTAGTGAAAACCAGTTAATACTGAATGTTGAAACGTAACCATTGTTTAAGGAATTTCATTTTCTTCTGTCATAGTGATGGAGGATGTGGCATATAAGCCCATTTGCTTAGCAGAGCACAATTTTGTTTTCATGTGCTACATGTGCAATAGGGATATATAAAAATAGAGCTTTACGGAGGAGAGTCTTTAGAGCATTTGGCCTGCTGAAATTGGTGCTTTCTCCTCATTTTTCCTCTGAAGAAAATAGACATTTGATTTATACTTGCTTTGTTGAATTTCACCGGGCTCCCTCTTCCGCCCCCTCATCTCTACTTCCTGTGAACTCGGGCTCCATTCATCTCAAGGAATATTCTCAGACAGATGGGATACGTGCTGTGTGGCCATGGTCCTCCTAGGTGGTCAGGGAAAGCCCAGTGGAACCCAAGACCTTGGGAACCTTTATGGGATAAACATGGGCTGGAATTAAATTGTAATGCCATGTTCATTCTTTCCCCTGTTCTCCCTCTATAGCTGGATTGTTAAAACGTTATATAACATCATTGTATTGCCAAATAAAAAACTGGGTAGTATTTCAATTGGACTTTTTTTGCCTCTGCTAATACTGAATTAATAATTATCCATAACACGAAGAAAAAATAAATGTGTCTAGTGTTCTATATAATATTCAAAGTAATAAATGCAAAGTGTTTATCTCACAATAATTTAAATTTATTCCTAAGCAAAGTACTTCTAATTTTCTCACTAGAATCATACCTTCAGTCCCCAACAGCATCACGATTCCTTGACAAAACTTCTTTCATCAGAGATACACCTGGAACAAGACTGGGAGGTGCATTTAGAACAGAGAGATGTTTTCCATCCCAACATGTCAAGTTCAGAGCTCAGCGCACCCAGGCATGTGCCTTAGAGGCTGGTCTAAGGAAACCTTCCTGATTGAAGGCTTTGAAGTCATCACTTGTTTTTTTGTTTTTTTTTACAGAGTAGATATGCAAAGCATTTGAAGAATTCAGTTTTGCGATCGGTGGATTTTAATGGGGTGGCACATGCCTTCCTCACATAAAAATCTCCTCAGCCTCTCTCACCACAAGTCTATCCATCACAGGCTTCTACATCCTGTGGCTTGCCCTCTGACAGAGAAGACAGCACTCGAACTTGCACAACATCAAGCTCTGTAATTGTATAAACCTCATTTTTATATTATTAAGATTTCCTATAACAGTCTTTTCAATGCATCTCTCATTAAACTAAGTAGTGGTGAATCTGGAAAAAGTGTGAACTGTGTTATGTCTCACAACACAGCTGTCATTGCACCTTTAAAAGGTGTTCTTAGCAATTACTTTGCCCAAGAAGCCCAGGAGGAAAGAGTGGAGCCTCAGTTATGTATTACATCGATGATGTTGACATGATGCCTCCCAGCCAGAAGCCAGGTGGCCAGCCTGGTATTTGCTGCTAAGGCTACATAGCCCAAAGCCTTGAGCGAATGGGCTCCCTACCCTCCTTAAGTCATCTTGCTTTTACAGCTCAGGAAGCAAGCTCTAGCAGAGCAAAGCAGCACAATCTAAGGCCATGTGACTGGAGCCGGTGGAATCTGAGCAGAAGGCAACTCCAGATCCCAGTGTGCACATTCGTGTCCATCTGCCAGTGGCACTGTGGAAAATGTCAAAGCCTCTTAAAAGTTCACGTTTAAGCTGCCATTGTAGAAAGCTTGAACACCCCTGGTTTACTCAAGTCCCAGTAGTCTGTGGATAATGGAGAGAATTCTTTCTCCACACCAGGGAAGTGCAGTTAGAACAGGTAAATGGCAGGATCTCAAATCAAGCCCCACCTCCAAACACGTCTGCCCATGACACAGATTCTCTAAAAAAAAGCCCACTATTAGAAATGTCTTTCCATGACAGTAATGCATTAAATGATCAAACCTAAAGGCTGCTTTCTTCAATCCATGCTCTTCTGTAATAGGACAATCAGGGGAACTTAGGTTCTGTGGAGAGAGCTGTGTTTTCAACTGAGATTGGAGAGAGCCAGGAGTCCATGCACCAGAGACTCCTAATTGTCTCACTAGAATCACAAGTCCAGCACAGGAGATGAGTATTCTCCAGATCATTAGTATCTCAGAGATCCTCAGCAAACTTTATTTTGTAAAAATCTAACTTAAAATATTTTATTTTTGTATTATATAAAACAAATATCACATTGAGCAAATGGTACAACACTAGATTTAAACATTACTTTAATTGACACTTTTGAATCCCAGGCTCAGAGGAACAAATGTAACAACTTCTTCCTCTCACAATAAGAAACACAAAGGGTCTCTCTCAAGGTCAGAGGCAAATTTGAAGGAGCATGCTGGTTGATCTCACCTGCTCCCATGAAGTCACGTACTGTCAGGTCTTAAGTCTTTCCTGGGCTGTGCTCTTTGGAAGTAGGTACCCTTTGGAAGTGGGTAGGACTGAGGTGGAAAGAATACATGAAACTGGAAAGTTGAGCTGCTGCAGCACTAAGTTAAAATGAAAGGCTGAGACATTGCATCTGAGTTTCATCTTTCTACATATAAGGAAAATGCCTGCTCAAGTTCAGAACAGCAAATCTGCAGCTGACCTGAACCAGCAGTTGGTCTTCTCTGACACCTGAGGGCCCTTTCCTGTGCATTACCTGGCCTCAGATAGTAAGGGGGCCCTGCAAGGAAACCATGGAAGGAAGTGCGTGCTTGGTTACAACCCAGGGGAAACGCAAATGCTGTCAACTTCAAAAGGCTATTTTGGAAGGCAAGGAAGACATTTTGCCATATCTTCATCAATGTATATGTAGCCATGTGTTCTTAGAGGCTAAAGAGAGGGAAAAGTCTCAAGACCCCATGGATTTTCATTGTTTAATCCTATATATAATCATGCAAAATTATATATGTGAATTTACCAAAGAAGAATCTTAGATTTGGATTTGCAGGCAAAGGCCTCATTTTAAATTTGGCACTCTATTCATGAACAAAAACCTTTCTGACTTCTGGTGACTCAGCCTCTATTGAACACTCCCTTCTTAAGGATTATTCAGCCTCTTATAAGTTTTATAATTAACCACTCATATAGAGTCCTTCATGATCCCAGGCACTCAATTTCTGGAGTCCTGCTAATTTGACAATGTTCCTCTTTGGACATGGAGCCCAGAATGACACACGGCTCTGGCTGAGGCATCTCCCTTAGCAATGCTTGTTCCTTGCTTTGCACCCATTGGCCATGGGTCTGACCTAAGTGCACACAGGTCAACCTCTGGGCAGAGTCACTCTGTGTTGTGACTCTTCCTGCTCCAAGGACTTCCTCTTGCTGCCTCGCTTCATAGAGCACTCTGCCCTCACTCACTCTTGACTTATCGCAGCTCAGTTGCCCTGGAGCCCTTCTTGGTTTCTCTCATTAGGTCAGATTTCTGGTTAACACTCTCCCCCGGCCCATGCAACCCGTTTCCTTCAGAGGCACTTTTACAATTGAATGAAGATGTTTGTTCAGTGTCTGTATAGCCTGTGTACTTTCTGAGGGCAGGTTCATGTGTCCCACACCTCCATGTGTCTCCCTGTCCAGCCAATACCTGGAGTGGATCCTAGGCACTTGTGACATGGTGAGGTGGGCACAGGCTCCTCTGTAGGCTTCATGGGCTGCTGAAGCCTCACTGTTGATGAACAACAGTGGACAGTGGGACAGTGTTGCCTCACTCTTGCTCAGACGTAGGAGTGGGATAGTGTCTTAGCTGCCTTGGCTTGTGTTTTAGTCTATTCTGTGACTCTATAACAGAATACTGTAGGCTTAGTGATTTATAATGGACAGAAACTAATTGGCTCATGGTTCTAAAGGCTAGGAAGTCCAAGAGAGAGGGACCAACATCTAGTGAGGGTCTTCTTGCTTATCAAAACATGCAGAAGGTAAGAGGGAAAGAAAGGGTGGGAGAGAGAGAGAAGGGGTCCAGCTCTTCCTTTTATAATAAACCCTCTCCTGAGATAATGAGCTCACTCCCACAACAACAGAATTAACTCATTCATAAGGGCAGGGCCCTAGTTACCTAATCATCTGTTAGAGGTCTCACCTTTCAACACTGTTGCATGGAGACTGCATTTCCAACACATGAATTTTCAGGACATAACAAAGTATTACAAAGTATTATGTCAATCTTTAACAAAGTATTACAAAGTATTATGTCAATCTTTAACAAAGTATTACACTGAGCAAATGATACAACACTAGATTGCACTAGATTGTCATGAAACACTAGATTGCACACTTTGCTCAATGTAATACTTTGTTATTACCACACAACAGACATTTACTTCTCACAGATCTGGAGGCTGGAAGTGCAAGATCAAGTCAAACACCATTCGGTTTCTGATGAGGGCTCTCTTCTTGGCTTGAAGACAGCCACCTTCTAGCTGTGTCAGATAGGCAGGGCAGTAGTCACTGGAAACGTTTGCACCATTTAGTTCAGCAGAACCTGTAGAACCAGGCCTTTTAAAGACTGTTTTGGAGTCAGCTCTCTGTACCAGAGGCTGCAGCCCCCCAGCCCCTGGCTCACCCCCTTCTCTGCCACACACATCCTTTGTGATGATGTTCCTTCTTCTGGGATGGTTCTGCAAAGACAGAAGAATCCAGAGCAACCACACAGAAAATGGAACACAAGGGACTGAGTGCCCACCCCATCATGCTGTTTTTGCAGGAAGCACATTTTCCCAATGCAGTGTTTTATTTCTGCTAAGGCTGAGGCTGATAAATTTATCCCTTTTCTAAGAAAAAAATTTTATTTTGGCACCCACAGAGCAGAGAATAAGCCCATATTATGCAGGGAGCAAAGGGTGCTATATTTCAGTGGAACAGCACCTCACCTTCTTCTCTCAGCTTTAGATGGATTCTTCCCTGACTTCACATCCCAAAGTAGGACAAACCCATCTTTCTTCACAGCTGACTCATATTTCCTCCTTTCAATTAGGCACATTTTATTCACTTATTCTATAGAAGTAAAGCAAGGGTCTACTATGACCATTTTATGTCCTAGACACTGGGCAGGGACAGCAGCATGAACCCTTCTTAAGTTGCTCATAGGCCATCAAGAAGGACAGATGTTCAACCAGAGTCATTATACATACAGTCGTGGAATGTGACGAGTGTTAGCTGGGGCAATGGATAAAATCACCCTATATTTTCCCACACATGTCTAATGCTGCTGTGACATCTCCTTCTCAGCAGATCCAGACTAAAAAATAAATCATAGACATTTAGATGGTACTTGAAACCATTGAAGGAACTAGACCGTTCTATTTGAAAGCAGGGAAGAGGGCTAAGCTTTTAGCCTAGAATAGGAATAAGCAGGAAAGCAGAAATCCTAGGTAGGGTGGACAGTAGACATGCTGCACCACGGGAGTTTATGCCACAGAACCCCCAGAAGGTGTCGGGATCTGAAGACAGGGAGAAGGATATCTGAAAACAGAGTGTGTTTGAACATGTGCATTAGAAGCACTTAGACCTTAGGGTCCCTCTATTCTCCACCTCAGCAGAAGAGTAGACATTTTAAATTTGGACTGAAAGATAGCAAGCATAATTACAGGGAAGGGGGCCATACTGAAAACACAGGATCAAGTGAATGTACAACCACTGAGCTCGTTCTGCACCAGGCTGTCAGGATGCTGGTAGCCAACCTCAAGCACTCCAGGCAGGAGGCTGGAAGATTTCTCTGCAGGGAAGTTGGCTAATGCAACTCAGAGTTGAGAGTGCCTCGACTCAGTGGTCCTGCAGTGAAGCCCATCACTCTAGAAGCTCTGTTGAGGCACAGTTCCAGGCCTGTTTATAATGCCTCACTCCTAAAAATGAACAGCCAGCCACACATCAAGCCATGTGGGAAAGGACCTGTCATGAAGCACAGAGAACAGAATAAACAAACAGGAAAGAAAAAACTTGAAGGAGATGAAAATAGTACTCAAAGGAGAAGAAAATAATCTTATAATACGTCTCACTATAATTAATGGCCTCAGAGAGATAAGAGGTTGCAAACATAAAATCAAGCATAGAATGCAGTAGAAAGGGAGTATTCAAGGAACAAAACCATCTCTGGGATATTAAAAATATTATGCAGAATTTTAAAAGTAATTCAATAGGGTGGTTAAAAAAAAGGTTCAACAATTGCCTACCAAGTATAATAAGAAGACAAAGAAATGAATAACAAAATAGCAGTGCAGATGAAATTAGAAGATTATTTCAAAATATCTAATATCCAAATAATGTAAATTGCAGAACAAAAGGAAAACTGAAAGGGACAAAATTATGAAAGAAGTAAAATTATCAGGACAGAATGAAGCCACCATATAGAAAAATCCCAGCGTACCTAATGTGAAAGCAAAGACATGCAATATAAAATTTCAGAGCAATGATGATAAGGAACGTTAAGGCATGCACAAAGAAAACAAAATTAACATAAAGGATGGACAACTAGGATTGAGTCAGGAATAAGAAAAATGCCTCAAATTTTTTTCAAATTATTGCTAATTTGTAATTCTATATTCAGATAGATTATTGGTTTCAGTGTGAGATTTTCACTCTCAGAAAAATATTTGCCTGAAAAATTGATCTTAAAATATACTTGAGAAGATGCTCCCAGTACAAGGGACTGAATTATTTTTTTAAGTATAAAATCATTGAATACAAGACGCAGAAGTTCCCAAAAGGAGAAAAACAAAGGTAACATGAAGGGAAATCACCGTGTGACTTCAGGGCACCTGGGGCGGGAAGCAGCCTGGATCAACCGTTCCAGAAAGATGATATCCAGGAAGGAAGAAAGAAAGAAAGAAAGAAACTGACAGATTATTTGATGTGCTTGAATGTAAGAAGAGGAAATTCTACTTAGGGGGGGAAAGTTTAGAGAACAATTACAGACAAAAATTCAAATGATTTAAGACATAGAAAAAATCAAAGCAATGATTAACTTAAGAGAAAACAAAAAGTTTACTTAAAAGCCCAGCCAACATGGTGAAACCCCATCTCTACTTAAAAAAAAAAAAATTAGCCGGGCACAGTGGTGCATGCCTGTACTCCCAGCTACTTAGGAGGTTGAGGCAGGAGAATGGCATGAACCCAGGAGGCAGAGGTTACAATGAGCTGAGATCACACCATTGCACTGCAGGCTGGGCAACAGAGGGAGACTCCGTCTCAAATATAAATAAATAAATAGATGGATATAATTACAGCACACAAAAAATTCAGTTGTGAATTTTGGCCTAATCTTAACATTGTAAGTACTAAATGTTTTGCTGGGAGGAGGGTGGGAAAGCTTCAATGAGCGCAAAATGTTGCTTTCAGTAGTAAAACAACAAATAATAGCTAAAGTGGAAAAGAATCAAGAAATAATTGTACATATCTATTTTTAAATATGGCAGTATCGTGGCCTTAAAATAACATTTTCCACTAAAACAAGCTAAGGCTCCACAAAGAAATAGCGATTCCTGATCTGGGCATGAGATGCCCACAATGACACTGAATCATCACATCATACCGGAGAGTAAGGGAGGCCGGAGAGTAAGGAAACCCGGAGAGTGAGGGAGCTGCGGAAGACTACCAGGACCACATTTAAAGAACTCAGCTGCAATTCTGAACCCAGAGGCTCTCACTGACCAAAGACAAAAATCGTTGAGCCTCAATAGGGATAAGCACTGGCCAGGTGAAACACATGAAAATGCTTAAATCCTTGAGTTCACAAGGATTCTAAGAAGAAGAAAATGCTAACTGATCACGATTGGAGGATGCTAAGGAGCCAACTATTTTTAAAAGTTGGTAAATAAAGAGAAAATCAAACATCCCTCCATGCAAGCTGTATCGCTGGTCTTCCGCATGGTTGCAGACAAAATTTTTTCTACAGAAATATTTCAGTTGATTAATGAAGGCAGAATGATCTAATTCAAATATCACCTTTTCTTTCTTTTTTTTTTTTTTTTGAGACAGAGTCTTGCTCTGACGCCCACGCTGGAGTGCAGTGGGGCGACCTCGGCTCACTGCAAGCTCTGCCCCCTGGATTTACGCCATTCTCCTGCCTCAGCCTCCTGAGTAGCTGGGACTACAGGTGACCGCCACCACGCCTGGCTAATTTTTTGTATTTTTAGTAGAGACGGGGTTTCACCGTGTTAGCCAGGATGGTCTCGATCTCCTGACCTCATGATCTGCCTGCCTCGGCCTCCCAAAGTGCTGAGATTACAGGCGTAAGCCACTGTGCCCGGCCTCGAATATCACCATTTTATATTCCCTAAAGGATGAGTGGATGAAGTCTGTGACCATCAATAGCTGCTCATATCACAACATGAAAGACAACCAGACATTGTGTGTCTTTGTACAGAAGAACACAGAGCCACTTTTGATGTGGTCTGTGTTGAAGGGCAAATAGGCAGTAAGGACGCACACTGGGTCTTCCTCCTCCTTACCATGTTTTTCCCTCAAATATCTTTCTTCCTTCCTATCCACCTCCATGACAGCTCCTTTTCACTCACACACTGCTCTGCTTACTCTTTTTAATGATCAGATTCCAGAAATGCTGACTCTGTTCTCATTGTGACCAGAATGTTAGACAGGCTACCTGCCTGTCTTTTTAGATCTTGTGACTTTGAAATGACAGGGACTGAATGTGGGGAAATAAAAGGTCAGCTGATGTAGGAGTAGGGATAAGAAGTCTCTCTCTGTCTCTCTCTCTCTCTCCCTCCCTCTTGTTAAGAGAGAGTTTATCATGCACAGAAATGAGATGGTATTTATCACTATGTTGTAAATGAGTACCATCAAGCCAAATACTAATGGGACATTAAAATTGTCAATAACAGCAAAGGTCTGACTACAGGGAAAACTACTATTTAAAATATCTTTACCTAATTGCTTACCCCCAGTAATACAGGGGCAAAAGTATTCCCAAAGGGGTGCCAGGTCTCCCAAATCCTACGGTCTTTGCTGATAGGAGTAAATAAATAGCCTCTTTTCCAAAAGGAAAAAAAAAGTTTACAGGAAAAAAATTGACAAAAGTGATTCAATATTATGATATTACATTTCTAACATGCGAACACTGTAAAAATAATGAAAATAAGATATCTAAAAGAAAGAATTCATAATCTCATATTTTTAGTATCACATCAATTTTAATTGGTTTATGTTTCTTAAGAAATATTTTTCAGAATATTTAATGCAATAGAAGCAAGTGTATATGTGATTTAACAGTGCATATCAAGTAGGTCACTGACAGGAAACAGGGTCTACCTTCAACATGAAGCGTGGGATGGGTTAGGAGAGCAAACAAGAGATGGTGAGGTGCTGAAGACCAGCAAAACCAGGAAGCTACCATGCTTAGGGAAGTGAGTGTTCCTGGAGCCCAGAAAGATCCCAAACCCTAAGGAGGCAGCACTGAGCAGGGGCTGTAGTCCCAGAAGGACGTGTTGCTTGCTTGCAACGCAGGACTGGATCATGGGATGGAGGAAGCAGTGAAGAAATGCTCAAATCTATCTCCTCCTTCCCTTGCACTGTTTCCCATTTGCTGAACCTAAGTGGGATGCACAACTGGGACCCCAGTTGCTGCTTGTCTGCAAGGCTGAGGCCCTGGAGCAAAACGACGGCAGGAAAGGATGGAAGAGCCATCTGGGGACTGGATGTGGAGGAAGAGACAGCACCTAGGGCAACTCATTTTCTCTAAGTTTTTATATTTCTTTCTGGACACAGAAACCTTAAAGCATCTGGACTAGATTGTGGCACGTCCTTCTTCCTTCACTGTTATTACTGCTGTTAGTGAAGTGAACTAAACTAGGTTGGGAAATGCTGAATATTGCCAGAGCTTTAGATCCAGTGTCCAGAACCAGCAGCATTCTGGTTAAACTTCTAAATTGTCCTTAATGTTTCCACCACATGAGAAATTGAAGCCAGATTACCTTGGGGTAACATAAGCTGGTCTATGTGTTACCCGTGGAGGGTGTCCAGGTTCTTGGCATCTTGAACAAAGAATTGGAAAAAACGCACAAAGCAAGGAAAGAATGAAGCAACAAAAGCAGGGAGTTACTGAAAATGAAAATATACTCCACAAGATACGAGAGAGCCTAAGCAAGCAGCTCAAGAACCAGATTACAGAATTTTCTGGGGTTTAAATACTCTCTAGAGGTTTCCCATTGGTTACTTGGTGTACACCCTATGTAAATGAAATAGTGGCCCATCATCAGCCTGATTGGTTGCAGGAGGGGACCAATTAGAGGCTAAAGCAAAGTTGCAAAGTTACACCCTATACGAACGTCTGATTGGTTGCAGAAAGCAACCAATCAGAGGCTGAAGTGAAGTTACAAAGTTCTACTCCTGTACAAATGAAGACTTGGCCAGCTACCACCAGCCTGATCGGTTGCAGGAGGGGACCGATCAGAGGTACTTTTAGTTTCTCATTTGCCTCGCAGAAAAAGTGGGGAAGGAGGTGTTGCAAAGGGAGTAGTCTCTGGTCCTTTTGTTATTTGGGCATGGAAAGTTGGGGTTTTCCTTTTGATTTAATTCTAGGAAGTCAGGATGAATTGACCCTAGGTTCCCTGCCTCATATGTGGTAAAATATATCAGCTGTCCTGGCTGATCTTCAGCTAACTTAGTAACTTTTAGATACAACTCTCTAAGACTTGGTTCACTGACTACAAACATCTTTACCTGTCAAGTGTATGTCCTTCCTATCCCCACAGAAAATTTAAAGGGATAATATATAAATCCTAATTTAAATGTTCGCAGATGCTGAGCTGAACAAGGATTCAGAGATGGATAAAGAAAGGTCTGTACCTCTCTTCAGGGAGACCCAGGCAGTAGTAAGGTTTATCAACAGTGTTCAGAATTCATAATTTATTTAATTTCAAAGCTCAAAACCTATATTGCTTTATCAAAAAAGGAAACAAAAGTATAGCTCTCAAGAAATGCACATCTGGGCTATGTTCCAATTGTAACCTCCTGTCTGCTTCTTGTTTTAGAGTTAAAAAGAGAATTCATCAATTTGACATGGGGCATGAGTTGAAAGAATGGGGCAGAAATCTCTTTGAAGGGCCTCCTCTCACTCTCACCCAGTCCTGATTGACACCGAGGATGAAGGTGCATCTCACTTCGTCTTTCCCTTAGCGGTCCGCACCCAAGTCTCTTCATTACATCTTCAATTATCCCAGTTGTTTGAGCCATCTTTTATTGAAGGAGATGATATTAATAAAGCTATTAAAATGCATTTGCTTTTTATTCCAGTTGTGGTAGGAAAGTATTAGAGGGTTTCAAGAAACGCAATGACACTGTTTAACTTCTAATTTTAAGACATCATTCTGGCTACCGTGTGGAAAATGGATGGTAAGACTAGTTAGGTCATCACAGTGATGCAGACATACAGTATTGGTGGATGAGCCTTGGTTGACAGCAATGGAGGTGGTAAATACGGGTCGTATTTATGTTTTCAAAGTAAAGCCAACAAAATGTGCTATTGGATTAGACGTAGGTGTCTGGGGTCAAAAATATCCCTCAGATATCTGCCTGAACAACCTAATGAAGAAACATATTATTTACTAAGGTGGGAAACTGAGGTGACTTTGGCAGAAAAATTCCAGAGTTTTGTTCTGGAAATTTTAAATTAAATATTCCTTTTAGACATCCAGGTGGTGGTATCAGAATTTACAAGTTTGGTGCTCGAGACAGAAGATATACATTTGAGAATCCTCAGTTCATGTGGTATGTAGTATTTAAATAGTAATCTAAGAAGCAAATCTACAGGCAGAGAGAAGAGTTCTAGGGAAACAGATCTAAAATGATTCCAAGATTTAGGGATTGTAAAAGAGGGAGCAAGAGAGCAAAATGGTCTCAAAAGGAGGCTCTAGTAAGATAGGAAGGAATGCCTGTGAGTTTCATTTTTCTGTTACTATAAAAATGGGAGTATGCATGTCTATATAAAGTGAGTTCTGGAATGGAGTCCTGTTCATATAAATTCTATAAAGCAAGTCCAGGGCAGCAACCCAGTGCATTCTCTCTAAAAATAAATAAATCTGTGTTTATATGTGAGTCCATGTATGCATATATCAGGTGTATATGCTTGCACACATTCAGGCATGCATTATACAGACTTCCAATGATACACATGTATGCATATATTCAGGCGTGTATCCTTGCACACATTCAGGCATGCATTATACAAACTTCTGATGATACACATGTTATGCATATATGCAGGCGTGTATCCATGCACACATTCAGGCATGCATTATGCAGACTTGCGATGACACATATGTTATGCATATATTCAATGTGTATCCATGCACACATTCAGGCATGTATTATACAGACTTGTGGTGATACACATGTATGTGCACATTTCTTCACCCACAGCCATACAGACATGATAACACATGATTCCTGACCACCTGTTCTAAAGCGAACCAGTCTGTTTTATTTTCTGGGAGCTCAAATTGACATTTGAATTATGTGTAAAAGTTTAACTAAATATATTCCTATTGAATATTTTGACAAGGTCTTTCATCCGATGTTCTCACTGAGATTCTAGGAACCAACTGTTCAACCATAATTACATAAAATGAGAAAACACAATAAGAATAAGTGGGAAACTTGCCCACTGAATAATTGGAAATAAGCCTTAGATTTCTGGTATCTTGCATTCTGAATATAGTATTAGGTGTCTGTTGCTATGTAACAAATTGCCCAATACTTAAAAAAAATGTATTATCAGAGTGTGTGTGAGCTAGGGATATGGATGTGCCTGTGCCCAGCGCCTCTGGCCTGAGGTCTCTCAAAAGGCTTCAGTCAAAGCTCGACTTGGGGAGAATCCTCTTCCACGCTCTCTCAGTGGCTACTGGTGACTCCAGGTTCTTGTCCTCACTAGCTGTTGACCAGAAGCATCCATTCCTTACCTGGGCCTCTCCACAGGGCAGCTCACAGCACAGCAGCTGGCTTCCCTCAGAGCAAGTGAGTGACACCGGATACCCAGATTGGGGAGATTTCAATTATTTGTATTGATATATATGTGGTATATTAACGGGGTACATGTGATTTTTTTGTTATATGCACAGAATGTAATGATCAAGTCAGGTATTGAGGGTATCTGTCACCTCATGCATGTATCATTTCTATGTGTTGAGAATATTTCAAGTCATCAAATCTAGCTATTTTGAAATGTACAATACATTGTTGTTTACTACAGTCACCCTAATCTATTGTCGAACATTAGAACTTACTCCTTCTGACTGTATATTTTTACCTATTTAACAACCTCTATTCATCCCTCCTTCCCCTCCACAAATACCCACATCCTTCCCAGCCCCTGGAAGCTGGCATTTTTGCAGTCTAATCTTAGAAGTGACATCCCCTCTCTCCTGTCCTCTGTATTCCTGAGAAGCCAGTCATTAAGTCGAGCTCACTCTCAAAGGAGGGTTCACACAAGGTCACGAACGCCACAGAGCAGGAGGAATGGGGGCTCTCTAAGCGGCTGACTGCAACCGATACACCAGAAAACTGCATTTCTTGATGCAATGCTAAGAGATTATATGTATTTGACAAGGAATTTGCAGGGAGCTTCAGATATTCTGTACCCACTTTGATTACAGAAATGGAGCCTCCCAGCTGCACACATCTGGAAATTGGCAGACAATTGGGAAACAATTATGCCCCATTCCCTACCGCAGTGATCTTTTCCTGCATCTCATCTCAGTGCAACATATTTCAACTGAGCAGCAGCCTCCTAGCAGGGAACAGTAACTTGGCAGTGTAGGTTATTTTAATGAACACTTTAAACTAAGTCTTCACCATCTGTTCTGTTTCCTAATTACAAACCTACACTCGTTTGCAGTTGCACCATTAAAAGTGAGATGCTGGCAAAGTGCTCTAAATGCTTGTCTAGGTTGTCCTCTTGTTTCTGAACTAAGTTTCTCAGTTGTGATATCCTGAAGTCCAAGGCATTTCATTTGAGGTGAGGATGTGAAAGAAATTACTGTATATACAGTATTCAGATGTATGGAATTCATGTCTTGATTCTTCCCTCTCTCTTCCTCTCCCTGTCTCTTTGCTATTCTCTCATTACAAACAGAAATTCTCTTTAAGAAGGATTTTACACTTCAAATTCTCCACATGTCTGGTAATTTTAGCTTGCTTTAGGGATAAGGGGAGGATTTAAGTGAAAGCCCTTTAAATAGGAATTAAACTCATTTGCACAATGGAGACCCAGAGATCTCTCCTGCGAGCACGATGAGGCATTTTATAGAATTTAACCCTTCAAATATTGTTTTATTTCTTTGCTTTCCCTCCCTATGGAATTATTCATCAAGATGAACTCTAAGCCAAATCGAGAGATACCAAGAACTATACAGCTTCCAAAAATACTCTGCTCGTATTCAAAAGATAGTAGCCAGTTTTGCAACTCAGAGTGCTAGGATTTAGGAAAGGATGGATGCCCATCATTTGAAAGACCACTAATATTGCTCTTTAGCTAAGTAGACAGGCAATGTGAGCCTTCTGAAAATTGACAACCTGCAAAACAGAGGTCCTAAGGGCACTCACCATAGAAAGCTTGTCTAGCAGCTCTTCTCCCTTCACTGAACACAGGGCCAAATGCCTAACCCTGCATCAGTCCAATCTAGCTTGCCTAGAGACCAAGTGATGGGCTCTAAAACCTTCTGCTAAATTAGCAGATATTTCTGGTTGGTAGACAGGTGAACAGGTCAGCAGGTAGCATGGAATGGCATTGACTCCAGGGGCAATAGTGTTTAGGTTTTTCCCTTGTTCCATAAGCTTCCAAACCCAGGGGGTGGGGGGAGTCCCAGAGTAATTGGCCTTTTGCTGCCAGAATTGCACCAGACCCCCAATGCAGGGGCCATGCATGACAAAGAACTTTGAGGAGAACCATGGGAGGAGAGAGATCTCCCGTTTCTCCACCAGCCGAGGGTTCTAGTTGGAGTGGATCTTTTGTTCTCCCTTTCAGCCTGGTGTTTAAGTGGTTTGCAATAATTTCTCAATCACATTTTAATATTTACCTGAGGATGGCCAGTGTCACAGAAGACCACATCATCTTAATTTTCTCATTTTACCTGAAACTACCTGTCGCATTGAGAGTGCTCCAAGAATCACACCCTGCCCTTTTTATCATCAGCGTGCTTAAGAAGTGCTCCTACATAATTTCAGCAGTACTTGTTAAAAAAAATAGTTACGCAAAAACTGCCGGTTACAGCCTTCTAAATTTTTTGTTTGTTTGTTTGTTTGCTTGTTTTTTTTTGGAGATGGAGTCTTGCTCTGTCACCCGGGCTAGAGTGCAGTGGCACGATCTGGGCTCACTGCAAGCTCCACCTCCGGGGTTCACGCCATTCTTCTGCCTCAGCCTCCCAAGTAGCTGGGATTACAGGCGCCCACCACCACGCCTGGCTAATTTTTTATATTTTTAGTAGAGACGGGGTTTCACCGTGTTAGCCAGGATGGTCATGATCTCCTGACCTTGTGATCTGCCTGCCTCAGCCTCCCAAAGTGCTGGGATTACAGGTGTGAGCCACCGTGCCCGGCCACAGCCTTCCAAATTTTTTGTCATCACAACATGCTGGGCTTTTGAACATAAGCCTTCAAGTGCAGTGGTGACCTGAGGAGCCCTGCTCCAGCGAGTGCAGAGAAGTCCAGAGAAGAGTTTCAGGCAGGACATTGCAGAGGGAAATTCACTGAATGGATGTTAATTAAAGGTGAAGAGCCTCTTACTTTAAGAAAGTCAGGTGAAGCCAACCAGCATCTCCAAGTGCTTCCTGCGGACTTTTCTCCATTCAGATTCCGCCCCTGAGGCACTCCCCTCCTTGCTGTAGAATCTGGATCTCTATCCGGACCTGTTAGGACATGGCACTCCAGAGTGTGGGATCTGGTCGAGGGGAGAAATAGGAAGCATGGCAGAGATTCACAGTCTAGAACACCAATGAGCACACACTCCAAGGAGGGGATCATCAGGGGAAAAGAAGCTGAGGACGTAAAACCCACTTTTGGTTTGAGAAGCATGGATGTTCCTCAGGCGCAAGGGAGAGTTTCCTTCTAAGCATTTCTTCATTCAGTCCTATCACATCCTTGGAAGCTTCCTACAAGTTTGTGGCCATTCAGTGACTCTTTGGAGCTCTGATGTAAACGGTTTCAGGAGGTGTTTAGGTGGAACCCTAAACACATTGTCTGTAGTGTCAAGAGCCTGGCATGGGGGCTGGTTTTCCTGACTGGGAAACTCCCAACAATAGGCAAGTTACTAAGGGCAGAGTCTTAGCTCTTGTGTAGTGTTTCATGCTTTACAAAATGACCCCAGGTCTACTAGCTCTCTCTAATGAAAGTAGAACATGGCCAGGCATGGTGGCTCACGCCTGTAATCCCAGCACTTTGGGAGGCTGAGGCGGGCAGATCACCTCAGGTTGGGAGTTCGAGACCAGTCTGACCAACATGGAGAAACCCTGTCTCTACTAAAAATACAAAATTAGCCAGGTGTGGTGGTGGGCGCCTGTAATCCCAGCTACTCAGGAGGCTGAGGTAGGAGAATCGCTTGAACCCTGGAGGTGGAGGTTGCGGTGAGCTGAGATCGCACCCATTGCACTCTAGCCTGGGCAACAAGAGTGAAACTCCATCTCACACACACAGACATTCACAAAGAAAGAAAGAAAAAAGAAAGAACACATGGTGCTACCCCCAAGATGAGTGAGAAACAAACTACTATTAGAACTGATCCCCATGGAGTCTGTAAGAAGGTACAACATGTCCCAAGTTGTATACATTCAAATGAACCCAAGTTGTATGAATTCAAATCCATGCATAAATCCCATCAGATTGTGGGTGGCGATTACAGAGCCTTGGTGTGGGTGAGGAAGGAATAGCTGGTGGAAGCGGACCAGAGGCATTGAGGCCCCTTCATCCCTTATATCACTGAACAGTTATACCAGTTACTGTGTGTTGCATCTTCTAGCCATGAAACACTAAATGCAATTTCTTGTACTTTCATACCAGCTGTCGAAACCATTGGCCAATCTTCCACTTACGAAAATCTAGCTAGACCAAGGGTGATTTCATAAATCATGAAACACTACACAAGAATTAACATTCAGGCAGCAATTGGTTCCTGGTCCTCAATGCTGTTGTATTCATGAAGAGGTAGCTTTCTGGTGCATCCTTTTATCCTGTCTGTCATATGGAATACTGATCAGATAGGTTGCCTTCCACTAGTTCATGAAGTGCCCTGGACCCTCTTATTACAGGTCTTGGGACACACAAGCTGGCCACCTGCTGGGCCACCCCAGATCTCAGTAGTTCAGCAAGAACAGCCAGATTCCCTAGCCTCACTGGGACACCAGTGACCCTGTAGTTACATGTGCTGACTTGCAGCTCTCGCCCCTCACGGTCATGCAGGAACAAAAAATACCCCATCTGTTTCTGGGAGGCCCCAAGCGGTATTCACCATGTGCTTCTCGCTCAGTCTGTCCAGTCCCCCAAATGTCATCTGTCCATCACACCCTGAGAGCCCCTGCTGTCCTCAGCTCTTGGAGCCAGGCATCCTCATCCTCACCCAGGCACAGGCTTTCATATAGACAAAGTGGCTTTCTACAGCCAGATGCAAAGAGAGAAAATGCACATCTGCCCTCAGTATACGGAAATAATAATATGTCACCAAAGTTACTTGCCTGGATCCCCTGTCATCGTTCATTGACAGGGAAATGGCTCTTTTAGTTTTTACTTGCAGCCCTACCTCTGCAGAGCACCTCTGAGTGGGTTTCTGGCTGGCTGGGCTCAGGGAAGGATCATCACGGCAGACGCTAGGCATACTCAGAATCACCCTCCTTTCAGGCTGGCACTTCGTTCCAACACATGGCATGGAGCCCTTGTCTCCCAGATACGTTGACTGCCAGAAGGCCCTGCAGTTCTTCATGCAGACCCTCCCTCAGGCAGCTCTCAGACCTTCGGAGCATCCAGCAATGCCCACCAGAGCCATGTATAGGTGCCTGCTACCTACAGAAAAGAGCACAATTTCCAGTGTGTCGGGGATGGGTCACTGTCCTAGTGCCTTGCCTTTTGTAACTCAATGTGTCTCAGGGTTGTGCCAGGAGTTTTTCTGAAATATGCAGGAATCATTGAGTTGTTGAACTTTTCCCCATTTATCTTTACTTAGGTGATTAAAGGTGTCTCCCCCAAGCAAATATATATATATATATATATATATATATATATATTCCCTTAAAATATACATATATATATTCCCTTAAAATATATATATATACCCTTAAAATATATATATATTCCCTTAAAATATATATATATATTCCCTTAAAATATATATATATATATTCCCTTTAAAAGAATTACCTCCATAATAGTAAGTTCTACAATAACCCATATTCTATAGTGATAAGACACATATTTAGGATACAAACAAAAAGATTACAATGAGACCTCTAACATTTAAATGGCAAAAGAAAATAGCCCTTTTTTGGTGTATATGATTTGCCTTTTCTTTTTAGCAATAATCACTCACTAAGTAAAAGATAAACACTTCATCATTATTACATGCAAAATCCATGTAGAAAAAATATGAACGGTCTGTAATAGAAAAGATGCAGCTGCAATAGAATCTGTCATTTAAGTTGTCCAAGTTTCAAAAATAAATATAAATATTGACAAGTTTTAGAACTCACTCATGCAAGTCATAATAGCAGGTGTTTAAAAGTTGGACCAGTTATACAAGGCCAGAAATACAAGATTTGAGGTGTGTTCAGAGAGGCTTTGCAACTTGCATCCTTTAGTTGTGAATTGCACAGTAATTATTTCCAAACAGGTGTAGGAAACACTGGCACTTTCCATGGCAGCAGAAATAATGAATACTTTTGCTCATTTACTTCTGCCTCATGCCTGTGGAGGCAGCCTGGGGAATGATCAGAATCACAGGAACCTGGAGGATAGGCAAGATATTTAAAATAAGAAGTAGCTTAATGAAATATTTTTTTGAAGTCTCAACAGAAGAGTTAAGAGATATCATTAAAAGGCAGAAGCGTTGACAGCAGTGTATAAATTGGCATGGAATTTCAACCACCCTCCCCAAAGCAGAGAAAAGACAGGTATCATTTATATCATTTTAGAAGACCAGTGAACCAAGACCATTTGCCTGAGCAAGAGACATATGAGGTTGTTCTGATTCGCTGCAGAGATATAAATCACATTTTGCGTTGATATTTTTAAGTGCTCTTTTTAAATGTCAGATATTTGAAATAAGAGCAACTGAGAAGTTGCAGAGGCACCAGTACATTGGTGGGGATGCTGCCACTGTGAGAATGGAGGCAAATGTTACGGCAACAAGAGAAAGTGGATCCAGCCACCCTGGCTCTATTTACGTTTTTCTTATAAAGACAGTCATATAACTAGTTCACCATTTTCTGCCTTTATTTATGTCATATCTTCTCGATTAAGTTTTGAATATGTGTAAGGCATTACTGTACCCTACCATTCTTTTATCTTCCCATGTCTCTTGAAAATCACAATAGCGAGAAACTTTCTGAAAACTTATCGGCTTAGCCAATGAACAGTCCTTGTAGAAGGGTCAATTATATTTCTGTTTCTTGCAACGGAACTTATATAGAACTCTGATTATGGTGACATGCAAAAATCTTTAAGTAGAAAAAAAAGCTGTCTTTATTTGTAAAGAATGATGTAATATATCAATACAGTTCTTAAGAAAAAAGTGATTGATTCACCTAAATTTTACTATATTAACACTAATATTAAAAAGAAACAGAGGCCAGGCGCGGTGGCTCATGCCTGTAGTTCCAGCACTTTGGGAGGCTGAGACGGGCCGATTACTTGAGCTCAGGATTTCCAGACCTGCCTGGGTAATATTGCAATATCTTGCCTCTACAAAAATGTATGAAAAATTAGCGTGGTGTGGTGGCACAGGCCTGTAGTCTCAGCTACTCAGTAGGCTGAAGTGGGAGGATCACTTGAGCTGGCGAGGTGGAGGTTGCAGTGAGCAGAAATCGTGCCATTGCACACCAGCCTGGATGGCACAGTGAGGCCCTGTCTGAAAAGAAAAGAAAGGAAAAGAAAACAGACTTTAGCAGTGACCTCTAAAACAGGAGGATGGAATCACATGACAATGTTATGTAAGCTTTTTAGCTTCTCTGCTTCTGTGAAAACGTATGGAATAATTTAATGACTAGCTTGGAAAATAAATGATGAAGAAATCACATGTGTCTTTAGAATTCCCACAATAGTTTATGAAACTAGTTGACAATGCTTTTATGAAGCTTGTGTGAAGTTGAATGGAATAAGATATCTGGAGTTTTAATTATGGGGAAAAATTATATAAACTAATATGAAACTTAGAGACATTTTATTCTTATTAACAACTCCAGGTGTTTTACTGCATTCACTTACAATCAGAATTTTAGGACTGCTACCTGGGCTTATCCTGCTGCTAGTTCAGCCGTGACAAATCCCTGGGATGTCATTGCTAATCGTACGCCTGATGATACACATAATGGGGAAATATGGTCGTTCAGTCTCAGCTCTCTATTTGAAGATTGTTTCTGTTTGTTGAATAAAAATTATTTCTGGAACCACCAGCTTATCAGATCAAACTTTTGCATTTTAATAAATGTAGTTCAGGGAGCTCCCCAGAGCCTGTTTGTTTATGCATCAAGCTCCCCTACTAGCAACTGTCATGCAGAGGAACTGCTAATAGAATTTGCACTTTGGGGTGAATCCATCAACGTTTGGAAGAGTTTTCACTGAGCCATCTTTTCCAACTGAGAAGCCTTGGCCATATCAGGGGTGCTGTGGGACGGTAAAAACCTCTCTGTCCTCTGTCTGGCACAATAATACTATCCCTGGAATGCTCAAAAAATATGTAGATGACAGTCTGGCCAGAGCCATTTTTGCATCCTGTGTAATACTATGTGCACCGCTTTGGAAAGACCATCGTTCACCATAATAAAAGCAGTTAGAGGTAATTTGGTGGCTTGCTTTATGAAGGATTTCCACAGGCACAGATACTTTTGAATTACAGGCAAAATTCCCCAGACTCTGCTAAAGATTTGTGCCAAAGTCATTATAATTATACATCTCTGGGTGTTTGTTCCTGCCAGCAATGAATTAATGAGATGATATTACTTATAATCTTTGAACACTATGAAATGAAAACAGAAACAGGAATAAAATAATAATGAGCTAGGGCCTCATTATAGAAGAAACAACAGAACGAGGAGCCGGGCCTCATTATAAAAGAAACAATCTCGATTGTTGAAAAGAAAGCTCATCCTAGCTAAGAAAACCAGAAAAAAGTAAATGACTAATCTTCGTGAACAGACAGTTGAGGGTGGAATGGACAGCAGTAAAGTGGATGAGATGAGCCTTCTCTGTCCATTAGCAATGACTTTTCCCATCCCACCACTGTGATCTCTATGTAGAAAAGAGCCTGTTCTTTTTCCACCTACCTGGGATGGGACTGCAATCATGGGAAGCAACTTTAGACCTTCCTCACAGAAACTTTGCTGCATTGTACCATGGAAACCATGCTAAAACAGAGGATGACAGATGAGTGATGTTTAATTAACTTTAGCTTCCTCTGGTGTGATACATACATCAACAAAATAAATATGGGCAACATAGGTTAAAATGTGTTCTAGTTCCAGCAGGCCATTAAGAAGTAAGTGAGTTTGGACAAGCTCTTTCTCTGCTCCGAGCTTCCTCTTTCTTCGTTTTGGAGATAAGGAGGCACTTTAGATATTCTGTGGTCACACAGGGCCTCCTGACTGTATGAATCTATGAGTCTCTGAATGTTAGAAGACAAATACATTTCCTAAAATAAGAAAACTACAAAATACTCTTTATGCATTATGGAGATATGCATTGTCTATGTTTTCATGTGTATTCATCTATGCATTATTTTTAATTACAACTACAATACTTAGGTGGATGGGTAGCTAAATGATAGACACTTGACAGAAAGATAGATAGATAATATGTATATACAGACAGATAGATGGTAATAGATAGGTCTAATATATACGATGGAAAATGCAAAGTGAACATGGGGTATGGTCCCTATTTTAAGAAGCCCAGAGATGGAAGAATATGCTGTAGCTCAACCCTCCTCCTGCTCAATAATATTCATAAATATGAAAGCCAGGATATGAGTGTGTGGTTCAGGCCATATGTTTGCATGTTGGTGAATCTGAGTGAAAAAGAAAAAGGTCGTTGTGTGTTTTATAGACAAGCTTCCCACATTGTGATGTTTTTTATTAGCAGAGCTCCTTTTCCTTTGTGGAAAGAGAAAATTGTTTCTTATATATTTTTTAAGCAAATAAATCATTTGTCAATTTTTCAAGGTGTCCAATTGTATATTAATTATTACAAAATTATAAAAGCTCAAAGAATCTAAAGGAGCAATTTGGTCTGCTTACCTGCCTCCAGGCAAAATTTACACAAACCAAGAGATATATTTTATATTTGGTGTCCTGCCAAGTGAATTATTTTTTAATCCAAGCATCTATTTTTTTTTTCCAATGAGTGGTTTTAGAATCAAAGTTCGTTCTCATAGTTAACCAATTTAGTTGCTATTGAGATGGTTCTAATATCACATTCCGCACAAGGGGTCCAGCAGTGCAGCTGAGCATCTTCTTGTGGGCAGTGCTATTTCCAGGTAGCCTCTTAAAATTCCCCAAGGTCAGCCAATGTCTCTAACAGTGGTGCTATTAGGGGAAAAATCACCTTAACCATGCACTGTTCAGCTTCTTTCTCATTGTTATTGCCGTCATTTAGAAAGATTTTTGTGTTTTAGATCTTGAATGGTTCCATCAGTGAGGCCAGAAAGAGTAAACATAGGGGACTTTGTGCTGGCAACCTGATCCAAGACCATGAACCAGTAAGGTGGTAAATATGAACTATCTAGCAACCCCTGGAACCTGGCTAGGACTATGGAGGTTACAGCAAATAATAGTAATAACAATAATAATGGCCACAGGCATGCGTCCAAGTGCATCACTCAGTCTAGCCCTTTGCTCAAGTGTTTGTGGTTCAGTGCTGCTCTCTGTTGAGTCTTGAGATTCATAGGGTTTCACAGCCCCTGATCTCATGGAGATTATCATTTAGTGAGGGAGATATGAGTTAAATAACTGCCTTCAATGGATTTTTTTTTTTTTTTTTTTTGCCAATGTGTTTTGGCTGCTCAGCATCTGCCCAGTCTCCCTTCATGTGGAGACCCTGTTCCCTAGCTCCCTGTCCCAGGCCCCTCAGATCTGGGGCACAAATGCATGCCCTAATCTCTCACCTTAGAGGTTTATGTGGGATCCAGGCAAGCCTGTAAAATACTTATTGGCTGTGAGAAGATCATGTTCGTGGTATGGAAGTTGTCTGAGGTCCAGCCCCAAGCCCTTCCCTGGTGGCTGTTCCAGCCCTCAGAGCTGAGTGTGGTCCAAGGAAGGGTATCCTCAGTGCTGATGGTCCCTGGCTGTGTACAGCCTCACGCCTCATTCTTCAGCCTTTCCAGGGAGTCTGTGATATCCCCAACATCCTTTAAACACAATCATTTTTTCATAAATCTGCCAGACGTTGTTCTGTGGCTTACAACTGAAAATCCTGACTCATTGTTCAAACAATATTTCAATTACAAATATGAAGCAGGCAAGTTGGCTACTGTGTGATTGAACCTAAAGAATGGGTCCCAGTCTGCCACAAGGGAGGAGGCCTTTCCAAATAAGCAGTCTTGAAGCAGGAGCTATAGCTGCAACACAGTCATCTTGGAGACTTTGGTACATGTTTTGGAGAAGTCTTACCAAGAAAACATCAATTATTATAACCTGATTCATTCTACAAAAGATGACTAGAGACTGTAGATAGTGTGGATCTAAAGAGTTTTTGTGTCATTACAAACTAAAGACCAATAAAATCCAGTGACAAGTACAGTATCTTATTGAAGGAGTGATATTAATTCTACAAAGATAAATAATGCAAATCATTTTACCTATTACCCACCAGTCTGCGTTATGGAAGATAATGCAGGAATCTTATCCATTTTGTGTGTCTTTTATGTCACTCTGAAGATAGGGGTGCTACCTGCCTGAAAGCAGCACATGTTTATGTATCTTGGTGAACACGGATGGAGCATGACAGTTAATTCATGATGTGCTGTTTCCACGTAAAACAGAGCTGGATGTGCTTCTGCTATGAGCAAGTCATTATGTCACCACGCATCCCCACACACATGCTGAGACACCCAGTGTGCTCCCCCACATGCTTGTGGAGCTCATCCACACAGAGAAGCATTTCGTTGTTGTTTTTCTCCAAATGCAAGCACTTTACAGAGCCATTCAAGTCAAGACTTACTTAGGAAAAAGTTTCCAGATGCATACACTCAGACAATCAATATTACAGTGTTTCTTAAAGAAAGATCTTGCTAAAAGAAGCTTGAAACAAGCCAATTTAGCTTAATAGCCAACAATACATTGAGGGCGTGTGCTTTTCTGATCCTCTTCCCCTTCCTCCTCCTCTTCTTCCTTCTCCTCTTCCTCTTTCTCCTTCTTCTCCTCTTGTTTCTTTTTCTATTCTATCTTTAAATATAATAAAACAAACCCTTAATGATTATTTATGAACTAGATTCAAAATGAGGATTTGCCCAATATGTCTCAGCAGGAGGTTTCTATGGAAACATTTTACCCTGGGTAATAGTCCCTGAAAGCCAGGTTGGCTCTCAAAAGCAGACACTGAAATAAAAACAACAAGAAAATAAACACGTTCCAAAATCCTGGAGTACAAATGGCAGGGATTTCTGTAAGCGTTGGTCATTTGTCAGGCTGCTTCCATTCTTGTGGTGTACATTTTTCTATGAAAGGAAAACCATGAGGCTTCTGAGCTCCTCTGGTAGCAGCTTGCAGACCCTCCAATCTGACGACACAGAGCAAATCGTCTCCAGAAGTTCACATGGTGTAAATTAGTCAAGGTGCAGACGCTTGGAACACAGAATACCAATCTCTTGGGAAACAAAGCTTAATACCATCAAGTGTCATAAAACAAGTCTGCATTTGCTGTAGAAAGGGGTGTAATGGGAGTATGTGCCCATCTCATTGGGTCTGAGGGAAGGTACACCAGGATCCTATTGGAAAGACAGAATTTGAGGGCTGTTGTCCTTTAAGGATACACAGAAAACCATACCTTCTTTCAAATGGTAACATTTAAGGGTTATCTTTGCAGGAAAATGATTCCTGAATGTATTTATTTTTAACTGCAGGAAAAAAGGCAAAAGTCATATAATGGAGACTAAGGCTAAGATGTACAGATAATGTTGTGAGGGTTTTTGAGGGAAAGAAGATGTAGTAAACACAACCTGCGTGACTGTCTACTAGATTTGACAATGCCTTCTGGTTTTGGTCTCTAAAGTGCCCCCTCAGACTCAGCTTAAGTTGCTCAGCTCTTCTCTGTACAGTGGCTCTGGCGGATGCCAGAATACATGTTGAGACCAGTAAGACCGACCCTCAACACGTAGAAACTATAATTTTGGACTTCGAGATTTTTAGAGCCCTACAGTCCCTTGAACCACATATTTTAGACACATATCTTCCTCTTATCTTGAAAACATAGTATTCGTGTTTAATGTATTGTAAAAATACAAATATTCAAAAAGATCTATATTGTAAAGAAAGATCTTGCCTAATAAGGGACGATCCTGGAAGAGATGACTGAAGACCCTGATGTTCCTGCTCAAACACACAGCCCTCCCTGGGGCTTGGGACTTGCCTTTGTGGTTCAGGAAGAATTCTACCTCCACTTTTTAAAACCAGAATTTGGACATTAGATCCACACATTCTGTCAACATTTGCATATGTGTGGGTTTAATAGCCTGGTGAATTGTTGATTGTGCCCAAGACTGAACATAGAACAAACGTATTGGACTGGAAATGAAGAGTCTGGAATTCTGTCCTTTCTCTCAAACTAATTAGCTTTTGAGTCTCCACCTCCAAGTATTACATACAAGGATGAGATCTATCTATCCTAGCTGTGGGTGAACTAAGGAAACAATGGATGTGACAATGTTTAAACAGCATACGGAACTATCTAAGTAGGAAGGATTATTTTCCTAATAGGGCCAGACTTACAGGATCACAGAATCTAAGTATTGAATGAAAGCCAGAGTTATTGCAAGGAAAATACCTCTCAATTCAAGAATCTATTCTACAGAATCATTGATTCATCCATCCATCTAGCCACCTATGCATCCATTCGTTCGTCCTGTATCTCAAGCTTATCATCGTTTATGAAGAACCTACTTTTCTGTAGACACAGTGCACTAAGTTTGGATGCTCAATGACAGAACACAGGTGATCCTTGCCCTCACAACTTCCAGTGGGGAAGCCACACACTAAACAAGCCCTTTGAAAAAAAGAAGAGATTGAGAAGAATGGCAGCACCCCTGAGTAAAAAGTATTGGGAATCCCAGCTGAGCAGGGCCCAGGGAAGCTGCAGGCTAAGGCCCAGACCTGAGGTATACACAGGTGTATGGTAGCTTCCTACTTATATCTGATGTCAGCGAATAGTGTAGGCCAGCCTGAATTAGAAAGAGGAGTGGATTATCGAATATACTGTAAAGCAATTCAATTTTAATAATTTTAACCATATCCTAATGAACCCACTAGATAAAGTCTTTAGAAGGTAATGTTAAGTAAGTAAGAATATTTTTAATCAGCACAAAATTACTCACTTTTAGTACGCAAGATAAATATTAGCCCCATCTTACTTGTTATTACATTTATAGGAACTTAATAACACAAATAAGATGGGGTTAATGCATACAATATATTATATTGTACAGTAGAGAAAATAGGGAGAATGATGACTCCCCACACAAAGATGAGCAGATTAACCCTGTGACCCGTGCAATGTGACCTTACACTGCAAAAGAAGTTTCCCAGATGAGATTAAGACAAAGGATCTTGAAATGGGGAGATTATCCCGGATAATCTTTGTGGATGCAATCTAATCCACTCAAGGCCTCACAAGCAGAGTTGTGACGTGAGAGGGAATCCACCCACCACTGCTTGCTGTGAAGACAAAGGAAGTGGACCATGAGCCACAGAATGAAGACAATCTGGAGAAGCTGGAAGAGTCCTCGGCTGACAGCCAGCACCAAAACAGGGACCTGGGTCCCAGGAGCTCAGCGAACTGAATTCCACCAGCAATCCCAGTGAACGAGCCCCTAGATGCTGGAAAAGTCGAGGGGATGGATTCTCCCCCAGATCATCCAGAAAGGAGCAAACACAGTCTGCAACACCTTGATCTTAGTCCAGCCATCCCCGTGTTGAACCTTGACCTACAAAATGGTAAGATGACAAATTTATGCTATTTTAAATGCTACGTCTGGGGTAATTTATTATGGTGATGATGGAAATATAATAGGTGTGACTTTCTGTGTGTTATAGGCTAAAGACTCAGAAATATAATACAATTTAACTTTGTCCAATATAATATGCTTTCCTTTCCTACCCAAAATTAGTTGGGAGAAAGACATAGGCCAACACCACAGGGCACACGGCCTTTGACCCTTCACACCTGTTCCTGCGGGTGCTTCCTCCAGGCCTCTGTCAAAGTCAGCTCCACCACGGGACTCTTCCCGCACAGGTGAGAGTTTAGTAGGTTCAAGGTAACGGCCGTCACAACACAGTTGCTTTCTCTCAGACCATAAAATAAAATAAATTTGCTGAGGGACTGTCACACTATCCAGAAACTTTTGGCTTTTGGAATTTATCTTTTGTGATGAACTTCCAAAGCTTTCAATTTTTTCCAACAGTAAGCACTGTAAACATAGGTAACAGAAAGACAAATTTCAGCCTAACCCGCAGAAATGATCAAAATGACAAACTGCTTGTGCATAAATGGTATATGCTGAAGTAGATAAGTTCAGGGTATCACAGCAGCAGTGACAAATCCACCATTGCCCCAGAGTTTCAGGATCCCATAAAAATGTAGAAACATTGCTCCTGGTTTGAAATTTATGGGTATTTCTCAGTGATGGCTTTGTGGGCCATTTTCTCCAAGGCTTTCAATTACATTCTCCACTATATGGCTCTTCACCTGAACTGCAGGACATGATACGTTTCCTTTCTCTCAAATCCTTCCACCTCGCTTCCTGCTAGCTGTCTCTTGGCATTTGCTGTATTTCCTGGGCTGTGTCTGACTGGGTTTTGAGGCAATGGTCACACATGGTTCCATCACTCCACTCTTCCAAAATCAGCTAAGCCTTGGGCTGGAAATGTATAAGTGCAGACATTAGCCAGGGCTTATTTCATACTAAATAGAAACATCCACATTTCAAGCCAGAATTCCTTTTGTAGGCCAGCTTTGAAACTGAAAAATTGTGTTCATTTCTATCATTAGATTTTCCTTTATTTCTCTATAAACACTCATAAGGAATAATAATAAAGTTCATGTTTTTCCCAAAAGACATTGGTTGGCAAAAGCCATTATACCTCCATTCTGCATCCTCAGATCTTCCTGCTAGTTCCCTTTTTATCTCCATCAAGTTTCTTCTTCAGGACCCGGGGGTAACCCCAGCATCCATCTTGTCCCAGAGCAGGTAGAAGGCATCCGGGAGGTAGGCTGTGATGGTGGAAAGGCTCACCGGGGAGGGTAGCCATTCTCTCTGTGTAGCTGGTCCAAGGCTTGGCTTCAAAGCCAAACTTCAGCCAGATCTGGCCCATGCCACGTCTAAGGAGAGCAGCTCTCCATTCCTCTGAGTTCCTCCTTTTGGTTGGGTGGTGGTTTGTTTGTTTTAGAGACAAATAACTGCCTCTGTCACCCAGGCTGCAGTGCAGTGGCATCATCCTAGCTCATCTGCAGCCTCCAATTCCTGGGCCGAAACAATCCTCGCACCTCAGCCAGCCATGTAGGTGGGTCTACAGGTGTGTGCCACCACACCTGGCTAATTAAAAATAAAACTGTAGAGATGAAGGTCTCACTATGTTGCCCAGGCTGATCTCAAACTCTTGGGCCCAAGTGATCCTCCTGCCTCAGCCTCCCAAGTGTTGGGGTTAAAGGCATGAGTCACTGCCCATGGCTTGAGAAGCTTCCCTGAGCTTTTCAGGAGAGCAGAGGTCTTAACCCCAGCCCACCCCAGGGTGACAAGGCCATTCAGCAAGGCACCTGGGACCCTCAGAGCTCATTCACGTCTCTCACTATCTTCCCAGGTCAAATGACAGTCAGGGGAATCTGGAACCCAGATGAAAAGAGCAGCCCCTGTTCTTTTTTCTAAATCCCAACATGCTTGAGAGGTGGCCTTGGGTTAAGGAGGGGTCCTCAGTGATGGGAAAGTGTGGCCCACTGGGAGGCCCCAGGGACCAACAGAGTGAATATTGGTTAAGGTTTTCACAGTGGGAAGGCCTAGCCATGCTGGTGACATTACCTGGGTCAGACACGCTTGACTTTCGAAGTTGATGTTAGCTCAGGTCACCAAAAGACACAGCTGCTGCGCACCAGCTACAGAGTCTAACTGGGCACGTAGGTGGACTGTCCTGTTCGGGAAGGTATTCCTCACTGAGAAATCTGCAAATTCAAATTTGTGATGGGCATAAGGTCTGTATTTAGCCAGTTATTCCAGTGAAGGCATTATGCAAATGAAAGTGTATAAGTGAACATCTCACCCCCCACAAAAAAAGTGTTAAACTCAACCTTATACATTTATTTATTTAATTCAAACAGAAAACGAAAACTCTCACAGGCTTCTCTGGACTTCCTTTAGGATTGTAACTTCTCATTTTCTTCCAGAGAAGGGATTATTTCATGATTTAATTTTTTTTTTTTTTAGCTTAGTTAAGTGAGCGTGAGAAGGGCTAATTTCTAGCACAAATCTAAGGAAAAAACGAGAAGGAAAAGGTGCAACTATCTTTAGGAATAACCACGTCAGGCTTGGTTGGGTTGACAGCAACAGGAGAGAATGGCATGCTTTGCATATGAGGGTGCGGATGACACTATTGTTGAATGAACCCAGAAACTTGCTAACTTCAGAGGGTAGATTATTGACTCAAAGACAATTCGCTTCTTTTCCCCAGACAACGATCTGTAAGCTCTTGATGGGAGTGTTGTCCTGGGCACGGTGTCCCTGGAGTGGGCCCCTGTGGTTTTGCTTTCTGCAGCAATTTGGACCAAGGCAGAAGACACGGTCTCCAGATGACACATGTTTGAGAGGGATGCAAATTCAAAAGTAGAACAAAGATTTGAAAGTTGAGTCATGGCATAGCACACCGTCACTAGAGTGGAAGCTATGAAGATGAGCGTAGAAGAATAAAAGTGAAGTTCCACTTTTTGGTACAAAAATCCCATTGCCAAATATGAATTGGGGAAGAGAAAGTTAGATTTGATAAAGATTTGAAAGTTAAGAAATTGTAAAATGTCAATCATCCCGACTGACTTTGAGACTCTGAATCCAGTACACTTTGAAAGTTTTCTGACACATGTAAACATGATAAAGACAAAATGCGAATCAAAAACAGGCAAATCAGAAACAGTCACATCAAAAATCTAGCAAATCTACTTTGCAAGACTGCCCATTAATTAGTTGGTTTAAGTAGTGAGTCCACCTAATTTATTAATTTATTTTGAATACGATTCAGTTGTGGTGACATGAAAGTCTTCTGACAAGCAGCTGCTGTGTAAGTGAGGCCCACCTGCCCATAGGTGCAATCAAAGCCTACAACTGGGAGTCTCAGAGCTGATCTAAGTGAAAGCATTGTCACCTCTAACTCCATGTTGCTCTCTAGCCAAAATTGAACATCGGGGGGGATGTTTTGTTGTGTTTTGTTAGTATTCTGGAAAGGGCAAAAGAGGAGGCTGGTGCATGGGAGACATGAGCCCCAGGACAGCACCTGGTGCTGCAGAGCTCTCCCTGTCTGCACAGTTCCTCTGAGCCAGCCCCCGGGCCAGTTCCAAGCCCAGCCCCTGCACAGAAAGGCTGTGAGCCCACACTCCCCTCCTCCCTGGGGGCCAGGCAGGTATGAGAGCACCCACCAGTCACACAGTAGGTGTCTACAGTAACTAATAAGGCAATGGTGGATACAGGGCTTAGCAACTCTAGAGTGCTGCTGATGCGTTATGATTTTGAAGCCACACTATTTATTTCTAGTCACTAAACTCCTACTCTGTCTCCCTGAGTATATGTATGAACCTCCTGCCTTTCCTTCAAGGAAGAGGAAGGGGTGAAATATAAATTTTTTTTAATCCAGACATGCTCTGTTTTCAGTAATTGGATTTGCAAAACATGGCTTTTACACCTTTTCTAAATCCGAGAGTGGGGGGCTATATATGCATATTTCCTAGAAATCACCCCGGTGTGAACAAATCACTGTCACTTTTCAAACTCCATTCCACTTAATTATGTAAATTACCAAATCTCATCAGTGGGTTTGGTAACCCTTCCTCACTTCACAGTTCAGTCCTCATTTCAAGCAATTAGGTAATTATAATTTTAATGTAATTTCAGTGATTTCAATTACAACGAGGTTATAATACAATGAGATTATAATTTCAACTGTGTTCCCAATTAAAACAATAGAGTCTATAGCCAATTCTATGGCGCATGCACAGATCCCAAATTTCAGCCTAAATCGTTAGGAATGATATGTAACATAAATCCTAAGTGTCTACTTGTTGAGTTGAGATTATTCTGGAATGTACTTTCATGAGAACAGCAAAGAGAAGGACACAAAATGGTCATAGCCTGACAGTCAGTGCCCCAAAATTCTATTTAGTTCTTCACTAAAGGATGTGGCTGAAGCAGCAAAATGACGCATCTCGATTATATTGTCTTGACTTACCAGAGCTTAAGAACTTCCTAAGCAGAGGTCTGAGGTTCAGAAACTATTGCCAGCCACTGTGCAGGTTGCCCATGGGATAACGGCTGAAGCATCTCCTACTTAAAAACACATTCAAGGCTGGATTCAGGAAGATACTATGGAGGCATTTTTCATCATTCGGTAGTTCACCAATGCATGTCAGCCATGCAGGAATCATGATTTGGCCAAAAGAGTCATAAACATACATGCCGTGTGCATATATCTAGAAGTCGCTATGTGTTATCTATGATGCTGAAGAACAAAGAAAAATGGTTCGTGGTACTCAGGTTGTCTTTTTAATACCAAAGCCAATAATTTGTGGTTTTATCTAAGATGTTCCAAATTTCACTAAGATCATCAGTGCTCTGTAATAAATGTCATTGTATCGAAATTTCTGCAGTTCACTTTGAATTGCACATCAGACTCAGGTTCAATAAATGACCATTTTGACCTCTGTTCTGAAAGAACAGAAAATTATTTAGACAATAAATGAGCCTCCATCTCAAAGAATACACTCAAAATTGATTCACATTTCAAGACTTTTTTCTGTAGTGGATGTTGGCAGTTACTGCTCTTTAATGAGGGGTTTACACATACAATGTAATACAAGTTTTAGAAATTGTTCCTTTAAAAAATTTACTCTTTGTTATACAACCACATTTAAAAAAAATTTCTATGGCTTGAAAATATCCATATTTTTTAAACTGTTTCAAAGCTGCTGGCATTTATGAATTGTACTTTTTAAATTATGATTGATGTTTTACAATTTTTGCTGTCAAGTATATGATTTATTGTACGTTAGCATGATTTGCTTGGCCTTCACCAGACCCAGGAAGACCCAGGCATTCGATTTCACGATTAACTTAAACCGGAGTGTGACGCTTATCTGGGACTCTAGCACTCCTGCCTGAGAACTACTCCTGGAGCACTCCTCTTCCAAATAGCCTTCTTGAAGCTGAAGAAGCATGTTGGCCATATTCATGCAAAATTCATGTTTTCTGAACCCAAACGAAGGCCTCATGGCCTGAAATGCATACATGTTTCTATGACAACCTGGGATAAATGGCTTGAGGACAGGCTGTGTTAGAAATCCCAGGACCGATAAACAGAGGTCTACAATCACCAGGATGAAGGGGGTCCGGAAGAGTTCACCATGGAACACAATTGGTCCATGTCCTGGGATGCACATACATCCTCTCCATCCTTATATTCCCTCTTGTTTTCAATGCTTACTCCTCAGTTTATCTTGTATTTTTCCCCACCTTTCTGACTTCCTTTTCATTCTGGCTTTCCAGTGTCCCCTGAGTCTACTTTTTTCTTACTTGTGTGGTTTCTGCTTGCTCACAATTTACTCCTACCTCAATGTTGCATCAGCTGGATCTATCTGGAGCCTCTAGATTTTGTTTTTGTACATGCAATGGGTAAAGAAGCTGCCTGCTGATCACCTCCTCTTAAGTACAAAGACATCATGCATCTCTTCCCTGATCTCCTGCTTGGTTCCAGAATTAAGGCTGAGATGTATATGGCAGAATATGTGGCTAAACAAATAATAGACTAAGGATAAAAATGGAACAAGAACATTGATGTCATGAAACACAGTTTTTATTGGTACAAGAAGGAATACAAACAGTCTCCCCTGGAATGGCTTATCTGAACATTAATTTATTCTTTCAAGTGCTCATTCTGTCATGTATTCACTCAATGATCATGCAAATATTCAACCACTTATTTACCCATTCAATACATTTTTATTGTGTATCTACTGTGTGCTTGGGACACAGTAGGCATCCTAGATGCAGGGAATATAGCAGTGAATAAGCAGAAGCAAACCCTTACCCTACTGCAGCTCACCAGGCCAGAAGCTTATAAAGTGCTATGGAAAGTAAGACAGCAGGAGAGGGCATCTGGCTGGATAGGAATTGGGTAGTGTTCAATTTTTTAAAGAGCAGATTGAGGAGACCTTAGAGAGACGGTGAGCAGTACATGCAGGTGAGGAAACTATTATACCTAAGGCTAGGGGAAGGATCCCCCTAAGAGATTAGAACAGTACTTGGTGCTTACATAGAGTTGGGAATGGTGCCTGTTTCCACCAGCCAGGCTCAAAAGCCTCATTATATAAGTCACTGGAGTTCCATAAAGACAGGAGGAATGCTCAAAAGAACATACAGGATAATAGGTCGGCTGGGCATGGTGGCTCATGCCTGTAATCCCAGCACTGTGGGAGGCTGAGGTAGACAGATCACAAGGTCAGGAGTTCAAGACTAGCCTGGCCAATATGATGAATCCCAATCCCTGTCTCTACTGAAAAAAAAAAAAAAAAATCCGGGCGTGGTAGCAGGTGCCTGTAGTCCCAGCTAATTAGGAGGCTGAGGCAGGAGAATCACTTGAACCTGGGAGGCTGCAGTTGCAGTGAGCAAAAACCATGCCACTGCACTCCAGCCTGGGCAACAGAGTGAGACTCCATCTCAAAATAAAATAAAATAAAATAAAATAAAATAAAATAAAATAAAATAAAATAAAATAGAATAATAATGTCCATTTTTTCCAAATTTGATGAAAACCATAAACTCTCAGATCTAATAAGTACAAGAAACTCCAAGCACAAGGAACATGAAGAAGACAACAGAAAGCATATCCAGTCAAACTGCTCAAACCGGTGATCAATAGAACATCTTAAAATCATGCAGAAGTAGAAAAGGACATGTACTATATACAGAAATTACAGGAAAGGATGATAGTAGATTTCTCATCAGAAACAATGTGAGCAAGAAGATAGTGGAACATATTTAAGGGACATTAAAAATAAGCTATCCACCCAGAATTCTTACTCTCACTCCCCCCCAAAAAATATTTAATAAATAAAGGAAAGTTTTTAGTATGTATAAAAGCTAAGAGAATTCATGATAAACAAACATGCACTAGAGGAACTGTTCAAAGAAGGAAAATCATAACGGATGGAAAGATGACTGTATACACCGGAAAAAAGAACACCCAAAAATGGTAATTATAGGGACAATGTATATGATTTTTAAAATTTAAATCTCTTTAAAATATTATTATTATTTTTTCTTTGAGACAGAGTCTCACTCTGTTGCCCAGGCTGGGGTGCACTGGTACAATCCCCCATCACTGCAACCTCCAACCTCGACTGCAACCTCCACTTCATTCTGTTGCCCAGGCTGGAGTGCAGTGGTATGATCCCCCTTCGCCTGCAACCTCTGATTCTCCTGCCTCAGCCTCCCGAGTAGCTGGGATTACAGGTGTGCACAACCACACCCAGCTAATTTTGTGTTTTTAGTAGAGATCGGGTTTCACCATGTTAGCTAGGCTGGTCTCAAACTCCCAACCTCTGGTGATCCATTTGCCTCACCTCACAAAGTGCTGGGACTACAGGGGTGAGCCACTGCTCCTGGCCTTATTGATTCTTTTTTTTTTTTTTTTTTTTTTGAGATGCAGTCTTGCTCTGTTGCCAGGCTGGAGTGCAGTGGCGCAATCTCGGCTCACTGCAAGCTCCGCCTCCCGGGTTCATGCCATTCTCCTGCCTCAGCCTCCTAAGTAGCTGGGACTACAGGTGCCAGCCAGCACGCCCGGCTAATTTTTTCTATTTTTTTTTTTTAGTAGAGAAGGGGTTTCACCGTGTTAGCCAGGGTGGTCTTGATCTCCTGACCTCGTGATCCGCCAGCCTCGGCCTCCCAAAGTGCTGGGATTACAGGCATCAGCCACCGCACCCGGCTGCCTTATTGATTCTTTAAATGAAAATAGTGACAATGTAGAAGGAGGTCTATGACACGTGAAAATAAATTTTAATAATATGACGGATGTTAGGAGGGAAGAAGCAAAAGTATGTACTATTGGACGATTCCTACTAAAAATACAAAAAATTAGGGGGGCATGGTGGCGCACACCTGTAGTTTCAGCTACTCGGGAGGCTGAGGCAGGATAATCACTTGAACCCAGGAGGCAGAGGTTGCAGTGAGCCGAGATCATGCCACTGCCCTCCAGCCTGGGCAACAGAGCAAGACTCTGTCTCAAAAAAAAGAAAGAAAAGAAAGAAAAAAAAGACAAAAATGGGTTCAAAGGGAAAAGTTGGAAACATTTGTACAATGCTAACAGTAATGAAAAGAAAGCTGGAGGCCTGGAAGGGATATGTCAATAACAAGATAGATTTTAGAGTAAAGATTAATACAAGGTAGAAAGATAATTTTGTAATAATAAATGGGTCAATTAATCAAATGACATATCAGTCCTAAATGTTTATGGACTTCAATAGACATGGAGAAAAAGGGAAACTCGATAGAATTATAAAGAAAAATGGAAAAATCTACACTTGCACTCACAAATAACCTTCTCCTAATAATTGATACAACAAATAGACAAAAAATCAATTAAGATATAGAAAATGTGTACAAAACTATCAGCTGACTTGGCGTAATTGACACTGTCTTAATCGAAGACTCCATTCAACAATGGCAGAATACACAGTCTTCACATGTATATGAGATATTTACAAAGATAGATCATATTCTGGGTCATAAGACAGGTTTCAATAAATTGAAAAAGATTCATGTCTTACAAAAGATGCTCTCTGACCACAATGGCATTAATTTCAAAATTAATATGTAAAGTTCTAAGAGACGTGAGAGAGAAAACTTCAGATATTTGATGAAAGGACATTCCAGGCAGAGAACATAGGAGCAAAAGTTTGAGCTAGGAGTGTTCCTGGCATGCTCACGCAGGAACAAGAAGGAGATTATGCTGGAAAATAAGGAGCAAAAGCAGGAAAAGTAGAAATGTCATCTGAGAGGTAACAAGAGAGGCTCAGATTTGCAAGTCTTTTGGAAACAACACAAGTGTTGACATGCTGATTAAGATGGAAAGCTACTATAAGGTTTTATGTAGAAGAGTTAGGGGATCTAATGTGTTTGTAAATAATCCCTCTGGCTATATGAAGAAAAAAGAAATAAAAATGAATATAGAGTGGGCAAGAGAGTAGCAGAGGAGGGGACCAAGTTAGAAAGCTTTTATAATAACTCAGATGATACAAACTTGGACCAAAGTGGTGGTAAGAAATGATCATATTCTAGATATAACATGAAGGTAGGTTCACAAGATTTTTCTAGATTAAATACTGTGAGTGAGAAAAAGCAAAGTTGACTCCAAAATGCCTGACCTGGGAAATTGGATGGGTGGAGTTGCACTTGCTGAGTCCAAGAAGGTGGTGGTGGGGACTGGCTCTGGTCAGGGTGATAAAAATCAAGTGTTTGGTATCATTCATGCTCAGTTCTCTATTCAATGTACAAAATGCACTGTTAGATAGACAGTTTATAAGTTTCAGGCACAAAAAGATTTCCAAGTTAGAGGTCTAAGCCTTGAGTTGACTGTGTAGATAATAATTAAGGTCACGAGGCTGACTGCGATAAATAAGAGAGGAGAGAGAAGGAAGAAGAGATCCAACACATGGAACACAAACATTGCAAGTTGGAGAAGCAAGCAATACCCAGGAAAGGATCCTGAGCAGGGCAGGCAGACCAGGAAAGTGCAGAAGCTCAGGAGTCATGGGGAGAATATTTATAGGGAAGGAAGGAAGGAGTGACAACTGTGCCGTCTGCAGTAGCTGAGGCTCGACGCTCCAGGACACACAGAGACAAGTCAGATGGGTGCTGTGCACGGGTGATGTGGACAGAGCAGAGCTGTGGGTGAGAAAAATCTATTTCAAAGCCTGGACTCCCCACTCAGTCTCTGCACCACTGTTGCAAACGTCCTAATCCCCCTGTCCAGGAAAGATGATCACGCATCTCTGGGGCCCACTCCCAATGCTCCCTAAAAGCATGCCCTATAGACAAGCAGGATGCCCATGGGTATCATCTTGTCCAATGCTATGTGTCATTTTTGGGGAAAAAATTCAAGGCTGTTTGGTGATTTTCCATGTTCTCTCCTCCTGCTGCAATGATCAGAAACAGATGTTTTCATGGAAGTACCACAAGATTAGAGGAGCTGTGGGCATTACATGAATATGCGAAGGAAGCTGCTTCAGGAAGCTGGTGAGCACCCCAGCAGGCTGACTGAGAACAAGTAAACCTTAAGGCTTAGTGTTATCACCTTAGCAGAACTTGCCCTATCCTGACTGGTATAGGATTTTAACTATCACAAGATTACAAGAGCAGTTTGGAAAATGCCCAGCACAGCCATGGACGGTAATCTTGCCTCAGAATATTTTAAAGTCCAGACCATGTGGTATTTTTAATAATTGCCAGAGCCTTTGTGGGATCTTTGCTTCATGGAGTCTATGAGATTCGTGTGAGAATGGCACTTATTTTCCCCTGTTCCACTAGCTCACACTGCATGCTCTGTTGCATGTGTTAGCTGTAAAGGGCTAGCTGTCTGTTAGAGCTTTCTCCACAGAGTAGGCTGAGCCAGCCGCCTGGGGCTCACACACCAGCACAGTGGCTGGTAGAGGATGCCCTTCCTCCTCTTCCCTCCATTTCTCCTGCTCCCAACTGACCACCTCCCATCCATTTCCCCCTCACATGCGAGCATGTACATCACATATGCACTGTATTAGTCAGGGTTCTCTAGAGGGAGAGAACTAATAGGATATGTATATATATATATATATGTATACACACACACACACACACATATATACACATACATATATATATCATATATATAATACTATATACATATATATAGTATTAACTCACATGATCACAAGGTCACAAGGTCCCACAGTGGGCTGTCTGCAAGCTCAGGAGCAAGGAAATCCAGTCTGAGACCGAAAACTGAAGAACTTGGAGTCCAATGTTAAAGGTCAAGAAGCATCTGGCATAAGAGAAAGATGTAGGCTGGGAGGCTGGGCAAGTCTAGCCTTTTCACGTTTTTCTGCCTACTTTATATTCTAGCCACACTGCCAGCCGATTAGATGGTGCCCACCCAGATTAAAGGTGGGTCTGCCTTCCCCAGTCCACTAACTCAAATGTTAATCTCCTTTGGCAACACCCTCACAGACACACCCACGCTCAATACTTTGCATCCTTCAATCCAATCAAGTTGACACTCAGTATTAACCATCACATGCACATATGCAGACACATGCTGAGTGCTGGTAATGCCACAGGCCACATCAGCAAACTCTCAGCTTTCCTTTATCGCCTTGGCTGGTCTTGCAGGGCAGGTGTGGGTTGAACGGCTGGCAAAAGTCCCCACCCCTAAGACAGTAGTCTCTAAAGGCTTTGGTTTTGGGAACCCCAGTGCAGAGAATTAGGTTTGAATGCCTCCTCTTGGTGGCTAATGTCTGTGACCAAATCTCTGAGCCACCCAGCCTGATGGTCCGATCTGTTTACTGTGACTAACGTGAAAAAGAAGCATACACATAACTTCTTGGCATGGTTCTTTTCAAATCGTCTTTTTATTTTATTTTCCAGTTCAGGTCCTTTATGTCTGAACAATGAGTGGAAAGAATGCCCATTTCTACCAGGCAAAGTTCACCTCCTCAGGGAGTGTGTTGAGTGAAGACGCAGCTTGCTCACATCAAAAGTGAATCACCATTGGACACCAAAGGGCCTGGCTGTCAAGCCACATGACACATGCAGTTTGGAGAACACCTGAGCATGATACCTGAGTCAGGACTGAATTGTGGTGCACTGCAGAAAAGCACACTTACTAAATCACAAACGAGGAATCTAGTGCAGCCTTCATTTATTTCTTCAAGGCTATTCATGCATAAGCCATGTACCATTGAGCAGAGGCTGTATGCTCCATTTTTACAACACATATGCAGCACAGGGGAGAGGGGGAAGTGGAGGAAGAGCATGTATCAGGGGCAGACAACTGTGAGCTGGAGACAAATGCTCAACAGCAAGGGGATTGTCTGCTATCACGCAAGCGTCAATAAAAGCGACGCAGAATTGCTTGTGATCCCAGGCTCATTCAGCTGTACTCTGCTGTGGTTTATGGGCTTGATGGATGAAACAAGGCTCACCCAAGAGCTCATTTCACCCAGGCCTGCCAGGCGGTTCCAGGATGCTGGGCATTAGAATGCTGCTCACCGATCTCCAGGATGCAGGATGGCTGCTTGCTCAGATTCACATAAAAACGATGACTCTCCAGATCCAGGATGGTTTATTTAGCTTTTGCTTAGAGATTTGTCCAGGCTGGATATATTTGAATACCTGGTTTCAAGACCATAAAATCACATCTGTTAGAGTGAAAAATTGGCATAAGAAATTGGCATGGCAAAGGCAGACTATTGAAACACACACACACACACACACACACACACACCCCTCTTCTGCATGTAATTACTGGGAAGCTGCCAGAAGCATACATGTAGGAGTATTTTTGTCCTTTAATTACTCATTCACCAAATTTATATAAAGGGTCTACTATGTGTCTGACCCTGCCACAGGTCAACAAGACTGATCAAGGCCTGGCCTCAGGGAGCTGATGCCCCTGGCACTGGCCATGGTTCTGTTTTGCCTACATCCACCTATGGTGAGCTGCCAATTCTTTGAAATAACACATGGTCTTTCAGCTAACGAAAGAGAAAGGCACATGGCCAAAGAATAGCTACCATCCTCCTTTAACAAACAGGATAAAGCTCAGAAGGCAAAGACTCACAAGTACGTGCAAACATTCGTCATCCTGAGTGTTTTGAAAACATTTCTTTCAGTGTCCTCTTTCTTCTTCACTCATTTCTCATTCCTTACATGTAGTCTATGAGCACTTTTTATTTTTAAGTGGACATGGGAAATAATGATATGGGTATTTTTAGGCTTTAAAGTAACGAAAAGCAAAAACAGTCCCAGGGAATTCCCACCTAGACAAGCTTTGGGGACTCATTCTAGCCAAGTCTACAACCTACAAAGTGAAAGATGCTATATTATCCAGTGAGTTCGAGCCATGTAAGGAGTTAGTTTGCATGGCAAATCCTCCCTTCATCCACTCCCATTCTCAGACATACAAACAGTTGTCCTGGCTAAAGATCTTACAGTTATCTATGGCAAACTACCAAAAATTACAACGAATTCTAATATACCTGCATTACAAAAGGAAAGATATTTTTATTCCCATGGAAATCCAGTGGAAAGTGGGAAGGAGCACAAGTGTCAGAGGCAGAGAAGGGATCATAATGTGATACTATGCTGGTGACACAGTTATGATCTATGGTAAGTTTTACAAAATATTCTAGGTATATTCCTCTGTATTAGTCTGTTCTCAGGCCACTAATACATACCTGAGACTGGGTATTTAGAAAGGAAAGAGGTTTAGTTGACACACAGTTCAGCGTGGCTGGGGAGGCCTCAGAAAACTTACAATTATGGCAGAAAGGAAAGCAAACACGTCCTTCTTCACATGGCAGCAGGAGAGAGAAGAATCCAAGTGAAGGTGAGGAAAAGTCCCTTATAAAACCATCAGCTCTCGTGAGAACTCACTTACTATCACCAGAACAGCATGAGGGTAACTGCTCCCATGATTCAATTACATACCACTGGGTCCCTCCCATGACACATGGGAATTATGGGAACTACAATTCAAGATGAGATTTAGGTGGGGACACAGCCAAGCCATATCATCCTCCAAAACACAGCTACAAGGTGATTAAGAGGAAAGAGCTACAAAGTTGATTATGGAACTATGAATTGAGAAAGTAAACATAAATAATGAAGAAGATGGACATGGAACTGTGAATGAAGAGAGGAGAATTAACCCAAATTACATGTCTACCTATTCTGGATATCATTAACCTGCAGACTTAGTCCTACCTTTTCCTGACTTATATAGTATCAAAATTTATCATTGTTTGGATTCTTCTAAATAAGAGCAGCCAATATCTCACTTTGCAGGGGGAGTTTGGGGACCCTTGAGCTAACATGTCTGAAGAGCTTAATATTTTGGAGATGAAAGGACTCATGAACAAGATGTTATCAAAGCTAAATATATTTTAAAGCCCCAGGACTCCAATTGAGTTTCCCTTTCTCAGATGCCTACTGACTAGTTTAAATGACTTGAACATAACTTTGAAGTTTTATTAAGGACGACTGGAAGATCAAAGGCATGAAAACCAAGTACATGAAGACATTAGAGAGAAGAACAGGCTCAGTTAAGCCACATCAACATGGCATTGTTTTCATAATTAGAGGCCCTTTTTTAAAATAAATTCTTTAAATTTAAAAATAGAAAAACTACCAAGCATAAGAAAACAGAATCCCATATTTCTACCCTTTATGGTTAACGAGGACATTTGTATACTATTGGGTTGCAGTCTACTTAAAGACATAAAATGTTAAAGATATAGCTAAAATTAGTCCCGTCTACTGCCACCTTCTGTACTAAGGGTCAGACATCATTACAAAAACAAACAAACAAAAGTATACTCTTCTAGTCTCTTTTATATTTATAGATACATATGTTGCACTCCTAATATTACATACTATTTTGCATCTATTATCAATTTTTGAGGACTCGACACCATACTTAGTGATGTTCATTTTTCATTTTCATTCTCTATTTTGCTTTTGAGATATTTCTACACTAATATATAGAGAGAAATATGGTGGCAGAGTCCATGCATTATAACTGGTACCATATAGTTTATCCAATTGATAGACATTTGGTTTGTCCTCAACCCTTCATGATTATAAATTATGTTACAATAAACATTCTTATGCATATCTCCTGTATTCAAATGCAATAATTCATCCACATATCCAGAAGTGGAATTGCTCGCTTACAGAATAAGCACATTTCGGTTTTTCAAGATGCTGACACACTGTCTCCAAAATAGCTGTACTATGTCAGCTCCCCACAGAGAGAGCACAAAAGTCCATGTTCCTCGCTGTATGGCCAACACATGACTCTATCACACTTTTTACTCCTTGTCAATCTCTCTTTTGTACAAATGACATTTTCTTGCTGTTCTAATGTGCATTTCTCTGGTTGTCAGTGAAGTAGAACATATTTTCATCGACGTTAAGAGATTTCTTCTGTGAGTTGATGCTTTATACACTTTTCCTATGATTTCTACGAGTTCATCTGTTATGCATATGTATCTCTTGCCTATAATATACATTAAAATTATCCTTCCACAGCCTTTCACTTGCATTTTAAACATTTATGGTGTCATTGGAGATACAGAAGTTTTATATTTTAAAATAATCAAGTTTATAACATTTTCATTGTGTGAGAGTACTTTCGTACAGTTTATATAATTAGAACAAACTATAGAAGAATAACCTTGTAATATCGGGATGGAGAGGATTTTCTTGGAGTTCTTTTTCACATTTAGTTTATTTATTCAACTGGGATGGATTTTTTGTGTATTCTGCAAACTGGGCATCTTATTTTATTATTCTGAATGGAGAGTCAATGTATTTGATTCTGTTCATTGAAATGGTCTTTTTCCCCACTGGCCTGTGATGCCACATTCCTTATACACCACAACTCTACACACGCGTGACTCCACCATTCTCCTCTCTGTTTTGCTAACTCGTTCCCCAATACCATGTGGTTTTACCACATAGTTTCATAACAGGTCTTCATATCTGGTGTGACAGTTTCTCTATCAGTTCTGATTCTTCAAAAACATCTTATTTATTTGTGCACCTTTAACTTTCTGCAGAAATGTTTCCATTTACTTGTAAGCTTTCACAAAAATATGACTGCTAGGGTCTTGAATTTACAGGTGCATTTGGGGAAAATTGGTACATTGGCCATATGAGGCCTTCTTATCATCTTAATAGGATTGTTTTCATTTATTTGGATCTTATCTTTCACATTTTTTTCATAATTAATACAGGTATACTTTTTTAGCTTTATTTTAATCTCATGAGGTAGATTTTTTGTGTGTATTTTTCTGCCATAAACAGTATTTTTTATATAATACTGTATTATATATTATATATTATATTTTAATTTAATACTATATTTATATATTTTAATACAATACTATATTATATATTATATATAATATTTTAATATAATACTATATCTATTTATATATTTTAATATAATACTATAGTTATTTATTGATATATTTATTTTAAAATTTCTTTATTTCTGGTGTGTAGGAAATATTAATATTTAAATGTTAATTGGTAGCCATCAGTCTTATGCAGTTTGCATTGCTTCTAAAATTCTGACCATTGATTTGCTTGAATTTTCTGTGAAAATAAATATATACTCTTCACATGACAAGATTGTTTCCTCTTTTCTCATAGATTTTAAAAGCTTTTCTTATTGTTTTCCACTAGAACAACAAAGTACCATCTTAAATACTGGTGTGACACTGGCAACCTGGTCTTATTTCTGATTTTAATTGAATGCTTCTAATATTTCACCACAAAGTTTGACATTTGTTATAGGTTTTTAGTAGATATGCTTTATTACCATGATAAAGAAGAGCCCTTTCATTTCTCCTATGTTATGATTTATTTGCTTATGTAATGATTAATGACTATCTATAGGCCATGAAATCTTTTTCTTTTGTTTACTGAGATGAGAGAGTATGTTGTTTCTCCCTATCAATGCGGCAAATGACATTGAAGGCTTACCATTCTATATTCATGTCGACTACTTTTCTTTTTCACCAAAATAATAAATGCAAATATTTTAGGAACTGTATAGAACAACAACAAAAACAACCACAGCAACAGCAGTTTATAGCAATATATGACACCTGTTGCTACTCCTTTTTCCATTCCTGTCCTACAAAAACAATTTCAAAGTGGCTAATTTCAGCACAATCTCATTAACAATAGAAGAAAAAACCTTCACTTTCTTTCATTCCTGCGGATCACTGAAAACTGATTTCACTATGGTTATAGCAAAGAACAGTTATTATCTCTCCATTTGCCCAGTGTTCTCAGTTTTAAAATGGAGAACTGGCTGAGTGTTGACTATTATTATGCAAATGTTATACTTCATTTGCTTATTATAGAACGATTGGATAAAAGCCCATTTCTTTTTTAGGGAGCTCAGCCATTAGAAATATTTTTTCATAAACTGTTTTATCATTTTGGATCAGACTACAATTTATTTTTTAATCCTTATGTTTCTTTTGGAGTTAGGCCCGTGTTTTGTTTTTAATGTTGCATTTGTTATGCATAAATTGTAAGCATTCTAAAAGGTAATTTAATTTTTTCTCACAAGAGCCCTTAAAGTTGGTGGAAAGTTTTTTAATGGCTTTTATTTTCTTAATTTTATTAAAAAATACAAGTTTATTATTAAACTTTTGCATACAAAAGATATAAAGAAAAAAATTTAAGTCTTTTTTCTATCTGAAGATATTCAACTTTAATAATTTTATGTATAACTTTACCTCATTTAAAAATATATGCATATACTTTTATAACATTTAGACTATGCTACACTTTGAATGCTATTTTCCTTTCTTCATTAATTATTATACTACTAGTATTTGCTGTATTCATAAATATTATATTAAAATTATAATTTAAATGACAGAACATTCCATTCTATGGACAGAAAAAAATTGATTTTAATATTCTCCTCTACTTGGATATATACCTTGTATCTGACTACTCAATATATTAATATGCTTTTTGCATGATTTTTTGTTTACTTATTTATTAATTATATTTTCTAACTCTTCCTTATAAAAGAATCTCTCAAACGAAATTGCTTGAAGAGATTGTGCTGGCACCTATCTGTTCTGCTGCATTTGTTTCTCCTGAACCTACTAAGTTTCCTTATACAGATATGGCAATCTTGTAAAATATCTAATGAATGTATGACTGAATGGATGAATGAATGAATGAATGATAATGGGAAACAGTCAATGCAAATTTGAGATGCTCTAAAGCCTTGTTATATATTGCCAAGTTACTTTCAAGGAGGACATCTTCAAATTTCATTTCCCCTAAGGGTGTTATCAAGCAAGACAGGCTAATTTTCAGGACAGTAACAAACACTGCTGTTTCAGCAACTTAACACGCAAAAGGTTCTTCTCTTGTCCATGTTACATGTGCACTGCAGTTGGCAGGCTTTCTCTGTTCCTCATTGTCATCAAGGAGCCCAGAGTGAGGGCAGCTCCATGGCAAATGTGTTTCTGACTGTGGCTAGGGAAGAGGACCTTGCCTTAAGTTTAATAGGCTCTTAAAGGTTTGGCCACATGGAGCACACATCATTTCTGCCCACACTCCCTTGTTCAGAGTCAGTCACTTGGCCACACCTACCTTCAAGGGTGAAAAGCTTTTTTAAAGGCTTGAAGAATTAAAACAAACAAACAAACAAACATGAAACAGAAAACCATTTGGTGAACGACATTAATTATTACCACTGAGTGAATAGCCTTTTTTTGGGACTGATATTTATTTTTAAATCTTAACAAATGGGTAGACAAAATATTTGTCTGTTAAGAATTTCGAGTTCACTGATTACAAGTGAGGATGGACATGGTTTTATGTGTTCCACCCTTATTTTTATGACCTCTGGACTTGGTATTCTCTGCCCATACTTTAATAATAATAATATTAACAATAACAATGACACAAATAAGAAAGAGCCAATTTTATTGTAGAGCACTTCACAAGCTGAGCACTGTTCTAGAGAGATGTTAGTGCATTTTTAATCAATGTTTATAAATTTCTTGCATAGTTAAAGTCGTAAATTCTTTATCAAAACTGCAAATATTCACTCACGATATTTTGGTTCTTTAATTTTACCTTAAATGTAGCCTATACTGTGCAAAATCTTATCTAACTAAATCCAATGATTTGCACTATTATGTTTTCTTATTTTACTATTAGACTGATACATTCTCATTCATGCTTAGATTCAATGTAAATTCACTTAAAATTCATTGAAATGTGTTCTCATTTATAAATTCATATTTAAATTGGAATTTAATTTTTTAATTTATTGGAATTATATTAAATACATGGTGTGAGTTGATAACTCATTGAGATTCTTCTAAACAGCTAAAAAGTGTATAAAAATGAAAAAAGACAAAAGTACATACCAAGTGATCTTTGTTTTCTCCACAATTTGTGGTGAGCCTTTTCTTGTGCCCTGTAATCTATATGTAATCTATATACTAGAACAGTGGTCCCCAACCATTTTGGCACCAGGGTCTGGTTTCATGGAAGACAATTTTTTCATGCAATGGGGAAGGGGAGGTGATGGAAATGGTTTGGGATGATTCAAATGCATTACATTTATTGTGCACTTTATTTCTATTATTATTATTACATTGTAATATATAAGAAAATAATTATACAACTCACCATAATGTACAATCAGTGGGAGCCCTGAGTTTGTTTTCCTGCAACTAGACAGTCCCATCTGGGGCTGATGAGAGACAGTGACATATCATCAGGCATTAGATTCTCATAGGAGCATGCAACCTAGGTCCCTTGCATGCACAGTTTACAGGAGGGTTTGCACTTCTGTGAGACTCTAATGCCCTTGCTGATCTGACAGGAGGTGGAGCTCAGGTGGTAATGTGAGTGATGGGGAGTGGCTGTAAACACAGGTGGAGCTTCACTTGCTCACCTGCCATCACCTCCTGCTGTACGGCTGGGTTTGTAACAGGCCGTGGACTGGTACTGGTCCATGGCCTGGGGGTTGGGGACTCCTGTACTATAATCTATGAATGAACTGGTTTCTTATCTAAGCACTATATCAGACTGATATGTGTAGCTGCTAGGGTGAGGTTAGAGATGAGGGAAGGACTGGTCCATGTGAGCCCTTGTCGACTGTGTCAAGGTGACTGTCTTCATCTCAAGCCCATTATAGGGGCTTTTTGTTTTTTAGACGGAGTCTCGCTCTGTCGCCCAGACTGGAGTGCAGTGGCATGATCTTGGCTCACTGCAAGCTCTGCCTCCCAGGTTCACGCCATTCTCCTGCCTCAGCCTCCCGAGTAGCTGGGACTACAGGTGCCCACCACCACGCCTGGCTAACTTTTTGTATTTTTAGTAGAGATGGGGTTTCACCGTGTTAGCCAGGATGGTCTCGATCCCCTGACCTCATGATCCGTCCACCTCAGCCTCCCAAAGTGCTGGGATTACAGGCATGAGCCACCGTGCTGGGCCTATAGGTGCTTTTAAGGTGGGCAGACACAGGTTATAATGGGAGAAGGACAATAAGCACTAGCGAAGTGGGATGGCATGGACTGAATGAATAAATAAGTGAATTCTGTTGCAGAGATATGCAGAAATGCTTTGGTGGCAGATTGTATGGTCTTAAAGGATAAGAAAGCACTTGCAGCCCATGACAGGCTGGGTAGGGTGTATTAAGCCGAGGAGATATCCAGGGCTGCTTTGTGAGAAATGCTTGTCCTCTCTCACACACACAGGCACAGATTATTCACATCAGGATGATAGTTGGCAGCCATTTGATTAACAAAATCCTTTCATTTGAGATAGAGTGAGAGACAGAATTTGCATTTGTGATTGATGTGGAAGCTTACATATCAAAATCTCCTTACCCTTTTCTGACCCTCCTGACTACTCTTCCCCTTCCGGGCTCAATCCCTGCTTTAGGGGAGGACCGTCCACTTGAGGATTACAGTTGATTCAAGGGGAGTTCACATGGTCAGGGCTGAAGCTAGGTCAAGTTAATATCTTAAAAACATGACTTATTCTGTTTGGGGGAGGAGACAGTTAAGTAAGTTAGAAAAAAATGACAAAGCGGAAGAATTGATTGTGCAGAATTATTTTGTTTCGGGCATGGGAGTCTGAAGACAGCCAGGAGTGAAAGCAGGAAGTGGGAGAAGGGAGTGGCCAGTGAGTGTCCCAGCTGGCCAGCGGGGTCGATGGAGAGGGCGTTGTATGCCTTGGCAGCTAGTTTAAGACTTGCCATTGAAAGGCGTTGAGTTACAGGGTGGAGTGATGAGGTGCAGGCAGATATCAGACTAATAGCAACATGGAGAATGATGTTGAAGGTCAAGATAGCAGTCAAGGATACCAGCAAGGAAGAAGAGTGTAGTGGCAGTCCAGGAAGAATAGGGGTCAGCTAAGCTCTGGTAGCGTTGGTGGGGATGGGCGAAGTGAGTCTGATGCAAGAAGGTTGAGGAAGTGGAAGGTGCAAAAGTCAATTGCTGATTGATGTGGGTAGTGAAATAGAGGGAAGATTCAAGAATGATACTTGGGGCTGGGCACAGTGGCTCATGCCTGTAATCCCAGCACTTTGGGAGAGCAAGGCAGGTAGACTGCCTGAGGTCAGCAGTTGGAGACCAGCCTGGCCAACATGCTGAAACCCTACTAAAAATACAAAAATTAGCTAGGCGTAGTGGCGCATGCCTGTAATCCCAGCTACTCGGGAGGCTGAGGCATGAGAATCACTTCAACCCAGGAGGCAGAGGTTGCGGTGAGCTGAGATTGTACCACTACACTCCAGCCTGCACAACAGACTAAGACCCCATCTCAACAACAACAACAAAAGAATGACACTTGGGTGTGGCTGGGATGGGTGGTGATGTTAATTCCAGAGTTACAGGAAACAAGATAAGAACTGCACTAGAGCGTGCAAGAGAGTGCAGGTGCCATGCTCGTTGCAGAGTTCCTGAGTGTGAGGAGAGTGGCAGTCGTAATGGCCAATGTCCAGTCATCCTCCCCTGTCCCTCCTCCCCTGTTTAGGTCTTGGAGGGAAATGTGAGCAGCCTAACTAGTTCTGCTCCCTAAAGCAACCACACAAATTGCCGGGGAATCTGTTCTTGTCTCTTTCTGCAAAGAGGAGTAAGCAGGAAAAACTAAGAAACAGCTGACGGGTGAATTCCCAGGGCAGCAGCCTGTGGCTCTTTGTTTCAGTGGCTGATGCAGAGCAGGGTGGGATGGGCTTCTGGCCACCATCCGGTTGTGCCCCAGCTAGCTGAGTTTACCAAAACACTTGCGGAACCACAAGCCCCTCACCTGGAGAATGGGCGTGGAGAAAATCCACCCCCCAACCAACACCAGTGCTGATGTTGTTTCTAGGCAGTCTTCTTTGGAATCATTTTTGAAGTGTAAAAAGGAAATTGAGGAATCTATGTCAGCTGATGCTTCTAGCTCAAGAAAAATGACAGCCCTTATGCTTAAACAAGGAATCCAGGCTGGGGACTGAACGGAAGTCCGCTCATCTTTCCTCCATGCCCCCAAACTTGGGCTGGTTCCACCTGCCATGAAACAAAGGACCATGAGGCAAATGACGCCATTAGGCCGAAGCTCTCCAAGTAAGAAGGCTCTGCCCAACAGGGTTAGACTAAGAAAGTCTAACCAGGGGGACTGCTCATGGGTATACAAGCAGAATCCAGGTAACCTGCTAGGGACCCAGAGACACTTGGTGCTCGCAACTACAGAAGCAAGGCCAAGAAGTGTCATCTGAGATGGTCAAAGGAGCTAAGGATGTAGAGGAGGGTCCGTCCAATAGCAGTTCCAAACCTAACGCTGATGCTGTGCCAGAACCCCTGGCTCCATAGCAGAGAGGGAGTGGGAGGAGAAAGAGCCCCATCGGATCCTTTGCCAGTCCCCATTCTCCTGTCAATGTCTCCAGTGATGACACTCAGCAGGAAGCCAGTGGGCAAGGCAGCTGGCTAAGGGTGGGCTTGGGATCCTTGGAGCCAGGCACAGGATGGAGGCAGGAAGAGATTAGATCTACAGGGGCAAATGGAGCAGGACTCAGCAAAGGGTGGCTTGGCATGAAGTGCCCTTAGTCAGACCCAGTGTGCAGCCACCGGAGTGAATCAGTCTGAGGGCTGTAGCTGCCTCCTCTTGCTTCCCGACTCCCCAGCAGTCCTTCTCCCTGAATGAGATGAAGGGAAGCAGAAAGACAATGGAGCCAATGGACGAGGAGAGGACTGGGGCCAAGAATGGAGTTTGGAAAGAGGAAGGCACTCTGGAAAAGTGCCTTCCTTTTGTGGAAAAGGAGGTCAGGACCTGAACACTCAATGCCATTTATACAGAACACAACACTTTAATTTCTCAGGCCAGGGAGTTCCAACGCTGTTCAATGTGGTCTTGGAGGCAGGGGTTTTCCATGTACTAAAACCCCCCCGAGCCTTTGAGGGGCTGGTGTAGGAGGAGCAGGCTTCAAGTGTTTAGTCTCCACTTCCAAAGGATTATTGGACACATCTCTATCAAGACTGGCTGTTTGTCATATTGATCTGCTGTCATGGGGAAGTGGTGTCTGAATTCTCTTTAGAGAGAGTGAAACCACTGTTGTCGTTCTGAAGGTAACAAGAGTCACATTCTGGGAGGATGGTGGAAAAGGTGATCAAAGTCAATCCTTGCCTGGCTGCAGGCTCCCCTCCCCTCCCCACAAGCATTTTCTCACTGCCCTTCCCAGGGAGATGGCAGCAGACAGGCCATGCTGCATGTTTCATGTTTGAGGCCTTTTCTCACCACATTCTCGCTCCTTGTTACTAAATCTCTCTGTGGTGCTTCCCTCAGGCCTTAGTGTTAGCTGAGGACCTGCTGATGCCTGGCTCCCCAACCCCCATCGATTATCTGAGATTTTCAGCCCACCTGTGAAACACACACACACACACACACACACACACACACACACACACCCATGGGAAACATCGGGAAGTGGCTGCCCTGGCTGTGCTCCTTAGGACCGCCTAGGAATCCACACTGAATCACAGTCTGGAGAAATATTACACTGTGTGCATCTTCCTGCCCTCAAGATCAGACCAAATCAGGTAGGAAGCTGGCACTTCATCATATATGCATAATTTCTTGTGCCCTGTTAATCAATATGATCTTTCTGACAAAGATACATCACATTCAATCCTTAAGTTAAATGTAACAGCATCTTGGTGACGGTGTTTTAATGAGGTAGGCTACGGTACTGGGTACTAAGATGTCACTGATTGAGAAGCAAACCAAAGCTGCTTAGAGGATTTGTGTGGGCGAGGGTGAGTCATAATTCATAGTGAAGGCAGAGCGATGAAGGCATGCATTCCTGTAGTAAATGTCTTCAAATAGCAGGAGAGGGGAGCTATCCCACACAGAAACTAATGAAACAGGCTTCACCACCTTCTTAGCAGCTCACATCAGCTAGTCAGTGAAATGCTGGATTATTCCTTTCTCCGTCTTTTTTATCTGTTAAGGAAAATTACATTTTTAACGAAAAAACAAGCTGAGTACATGCCTTTATGTTGTCATTCCTTCCAAATAAGAGTGTGCCAATGGAGTGTGGAAGTTGAGTATGAGATCTTTAGTTTTTAAGATAAGCATTAAAAATGAATTTATGGTTTCCCCCTAAATATAAAAGTAAGTATGTGTCTGTTTTAGAGAGCTGAAATAACACTCAAAGGTACACATGCTCAGTCAATTCTTAACCCATGTGCCCCAGTGATGACCATAGTTAACATTTTGAATATTTAATTTATCCTTTAGCTTGATTCATAGGTATACAGATGATAGAGAGTTCAGATAGATGGATGCCTCATTGACAAATGATAGATGGATAAATAGGCAGGCAGATACAGAGGTGAATTGGAGCACTTTTAAAGAAAAAAAAATAGAGTAGGCAGGAATCGCGATGAAAATAATGAATATTTCCCTTTTCCGGTTAAGCATCTGTCTTAATTTGGGTTCTCTCAGAAGTAGATCTTGAGATCAGATTTTGGGGGTAAATGGCTAATTTGGGAGCTGAGTCGAGGAAGCATGAAGAAGGGAACAGGAATTGGGAGAGGGAGGGGAGAAGGTCAACGCAGGGTTGGGGCATTGCTGAGCAACAGCTGTGGACCTCAGGGACTCCATCCCCCGGGGGCTCTGGGAGACCCCGTGGACCATGTGCAGGATGAGAAAACTGTCAGCTGACCACCCACTCCTTTCTTCATTTTCTGGAAGCGGACTTCAAGGACATTGACTAGCTGACATAGTCTCATGTGCACACTTGTGACCAGAGAAAACCACCAGAGAAGGAGTCACAGGTGTTTCAAGAGGAGGGAAGTGGTGTGAACCAGAAGGGAGAGGTGTCCAGAGATATGGGCAGGGCCCGACAGCCACACAGCAAAACCCTTCCTTGTGCTCCCGGCCAGATCCACCATGTTTGAATTATCTATCCCTCCACCCCATGAAAGTTTCTATCATCCTGTTGGTGACACCACTGAAGCAGTTCTCAGACATGCACCCTCCACTCCTTTCCCATCCTCAATGGATGGGAAAGTCTAGTCAGCATTTCCTGAAGCATTTTACACAGAATATGGGTCCTACAAGAAGCTTCGAGAAAAGGAGTTCTGGAGGTCAAACAAGTTTTCTAAATTTTGTCTTTTATTTTTCTTTGGAGATTCACATTCACCAGTTTTTTTAGAACAGTTGGTTTATCCTTATTATTTGTAATATCTTTATTTCATTTTATATTTATTTATTTATTTTTTGAGGAGGAGTCTCATCCTGTCACCCAGGCTGGAGTGCAGTGGTGCGATCTCAGCTCACTGCAACCTCCACTTCCTGGGATCTCTGCCTCTCCTGCCTCAGCTTCCCAAGTAGCTAGGATTACAGGTGTCCGTCACCATGCTGGTTAATTTTTGTATTTTTAGTAGAGACAGAGTTTCACCATGTTGGCCAGACTGGTCTCAGACTCCTGAACTCAAGTGATACACCTGCCTCAGCCTCCCAAAGTGCTGGGATTATAGGCATGAGCCACTGTGCCTGGCCCCTGTAATATATATTTTTATAGTGGGTAAACAATATGCTATTAATAACCCAAGCTTCTCAATTTAAGAAGCACTATATGACTGCAGTACCTTGATCTGCGTGTCTGCTACTGCTCCCTCTGCCAATCCATGTTATCATAATTTTGTGCCAATATTCATGCTCCTTTCAATCTGCCTTTCCATCTTATAACTCTCTAATGCCCCTTCTTTCAGGAAGTACTTTTGCTAAGTTATACTGAGCTCGATTTCCCATTTGTTGCCTATGATTTTCTGTATTCACTTGTGGTTTATTATTTCTTCACCTATATATTTAACAAATATGTTCTGACACACAATTATTCCAGAGTTTAAAAGAAGTGGATTCAAAGAATTGACTTTGCTTACATTTCTTTGTGCTGTGACTAATTGGATATCTATTTCCCGGAGACATCTACTTGGTTGGATATCCACTTTTCTTCATTCATTCAGTTGATATTCAGGTGCCAATAGAGTACAAATGAATGATCTATCATGTTTGTATTTGAAAGTTTTATATGTCTAGGTCTTTATTCTCTGTTAGATCAGCTCCTTAAGGAAATTGTATCTTTTTTCACTTTTGCAGAGTCAAAGAGATGACAGGTGCCTGCACAGGGTCCCACTGGGATGATGTCTATTGTCCTGACAGACCAAGATCTTTAAAAGCAGAAGACAGGAGGCTGACATGGAGTCCCACGCCCCCCAGATGGAAGAAAAGGGGTCTGCTGATCACTTGCTGTGGAACGTGCCTGTGTGTGCCATGCCAATGACTTCCTGGTTGGCATTCCATGAAAAATACAGCTTTCTAAATTTGGGGCCCAAAAGAAACTTTGAAAGATTTCATTAGTCTTGTAAGCAGTGCCCAGGATCTGTCATGAGTCGGAGCAGAGATAAGAGAGAAAAATTATACAAAGGTCTCATTTCCATTTCTTATGATCAGTTGGAAATGGAAAAAATAAAATATAATATCCCTAAATTTCAAGAGAGAAAGAGAGAGGGACTGACTTCCTGAATCACTAATTGGCTTTCTAGCAGATATGCACCATTTCTGTGTATATGGTGAAACAGATAATTTCATGTGGGGTATTATCTTCTCCCATGATATAGCAGTCACCTTCTGTCACCTTCTGCCCATATATTTCAGCTCCACCCACTCTTTCATCTGTGGGTTGCTATGCATCAACTCAGGAACATCTATAAGCCTGTAAGGTCAGAGGAAGAGATTGCCACAGAAATAAAAGGAATCCTGCACACAGAGAGCACATGCAGGATCAGGCTAAGCCCAGACATGACACACATTGAGCAGTTTCTTGTCACAGTTTGTGTTCTGTCATGTGAGGAGCCTTCAGTCCTTTGTTCAGCATCCACAGGGAAATGCACTCTGACAATTTCCCCAGTTAGGTAGGCTGTGACTATGGCCTGCCTGCAAGGAAGGTCTTGGATGAATTCGATCTTGGGGAGTTTTACCATTGTGATTTGGAGAGTTGCTCCAAATCAAATACCTTAAGCCAAAACCCACCCAAGGCGATTAATTGTAACCAACATCTCACAGGAGACACAGCATTGTGCTGCCTATGTATTCTGAGACTTCAGGCCTTGGAATATTCCCCAGGATAATCGAGAAGTTGGACTTATTTCCTCATGAGTTTTTGACAAATTACCAATCTGGCTCCTATACCGTTTATATGTCTTTCCCATCCCTCTCTGGAGAGATAAGGAATCTGGCTGGTAAGAAACAGATGACTGCTGAGGCTCATAATGAGAAAGCTAATAAAGAAGGAATTTTCAGCAGGATAAGTGGCTTCTTGAATAAAGGATTCCTTTATTACCTCATGAATCACAGTTAAAAGCCAATGTCATGGGGCTGAGGAATTATCTGCAGTTCAGAAAAATGAGGAAGAAACAGAAAAAAGAAACCTAGGAAACTTCTCAGGATGTTGACTCGGTGCAGTCTGTCAGAAATGAACCAAAATAATTTTAAAAAATGACCACTTTATCTTAGGGACTGAGAAACCTAATGACTTCTACGTGTCACTGACATTGGTGCTCAACCCAGTTTCTGGTGCCTAAGTTTGGTGGTTGTAGTATAGTTATTTGTAAGAATAGAGACAGAACGATGCTTGAGTTATTTACAATTCATCGTTATGATCCAGTTACTAGGGACATAAGGACAGAGAAAAGAAAAACTCAAAAGCAAAAATCAAGCAATGCAGGGACCTGGGTAAGGGGTGGGGGATTATTGATGGAAACCGGGTGGGTGGAGGACGCCCCACCAAAGCTTCCATCCAGACCCCTCAGTTTTCTGGAGTTTTCCATTCCCTGCATGAAGCATCCAGGGGGAGAGAACTGCTCACTCTTTAAGAAGCGCGCCGCTTTGGGAGTCCACCGGGCCCACAGGACCCGTCCTCGAGGGCAGGTGAGAGCTCTCAGGGCTGCAGGTGGAACTGTAGCCCCACTCGAGCATTCCGGTGAAATCGAAGTGGTCGGTGGGAAGCCAGCGTCGCCGCTCAGCTCAGTGATTGGTTCTCAAACGGGGAGGTCCCGGGACGGCAGGGGTAAAGGGAGCGACTCCCCTTCCCCACCGCCCCCGCCACCACCACCACCCCTTCCCACCCCTGGCACAGCGCTGATGGGCAGGAGCTGAAGCTGGCAGGTGTCACCGCCAGGTGCCTGGGCGGGGCCGCGCGCTCCCTCTGCTGGCGGAGGCGGGAGCGGGCACACGGGCTGCGGGGACCCGGCCGGATGCCTGGGTCTGTGCGCCAGCAAAGCGAGGCTGGTGTTGCAGGAAATGCTGCTGCGTGCTCCTCCACGTTCGTGTTGGGACCGGCTCGTGATGCTTCAGAGACAGCCTCTGCAAGCCCTGTGGATGTTGACGCATTGAGGGGACAATGAAAATTGGGAAGAATAGAAAGGAACCTGCCATCCCCCAGGCCTTGCTGTGTGGATGAAACGCAGCTCGTGTCTCCAGGGAAAACCTGAGCAGTGAGAAAGCAAGTCCATCAGATAATCTCAAAACCAGAAATGTCACCCATGTGACTCGAGACCCACGTAAATGAAGGCCATGTACCCCCCACCCTCCTCTCTGCCGTAGGAACGCCCCCTGGACCACGCCCTGCAGAGGGTGTGGGAGAGAGGGGCGTCCCAAGTGGCATCTCCTGGGGAAATGTCTCCAAGGCTCCGCAGGTGCGGACACCACCCCTTCCCTCGGCCTCGTGGCCGCCTGGCCCAGTTCACGTGTCCACGGCAGGCTGCAGTCCGTGGCGTGGGCCCGGCTCTCCCGTCTCGACCGTAGGTCTGCGGGCCAAGGCCTGTGACTTCTGGTCCCTGCAGCCCAAGCAATGTTCAGTGATTTCAGAATAAATAAATATAGGAACAAATTAGGGAGGGCAATGAGAGGGTTAGAAGAGTCTTGAAATGGAGCCCCAAGTCCTGGAGCAGATTACTGTGGAAAAGGGAGGGAGGGCAGGAAAGGAGGGAGAGAGGGAGGGAGGGGTGGGGGAAAATAAGCGGGGAGGCAGAGAGAGAGAGAGAGAGATTGTTTCATTCAGACAGCACCCTTGAACTCTGTTTTAAAACCTGACCTTTCAGGACATGAGAATCCTCCACCTTAGCCAGCTCCGATTAGTGAGTAAGGAGGAAACAGAACCCCCTAAAAATCACATGAACACGGAGGCACGGCCCAGATGACCCACGATTGCCACAGCCCTGGGGCCACCCTGGGAGCCAGCGATGCTGGGGCTACCGGGTGAGAGCAGTGCGGGAGCCCCCTTATACCATAAGGGCCTCCATGCTCCAATTCCTCTTTCTAAGGAGGTTCTCAGGAGGCAGCTGGGCCACTGCAGCTGCTGCTGGCATCTGGGTTTGGGTGCTCTGGTTGTGGTGGCCCAGAAGGCTGATGGAGTGGATGCTAAGGGACAGTTGCACAAAGGGCTGAGGGCCCTGGGCCATCCCACCGGCACCCTGGGCATCCCCAGAATCCCCTCCAGGGTCCCCCAAGACCTTGCAATCATGGACCACCAAGGCCCTGGTCACTGTCTTAGATACTGTTGCTTCTGCACCAATGGAAGGAAAAACCCACACACCGCCACCCCCCTTCCACCCTTACCCTCATCTCAGCCCCATGACACCCTCATTCCAGTAACTCCTTCCATTCAGCAAAACCCATTCCCCAGCTCTCTGGACACAGGGTGAGCACAGCCCTGCTACAGAAAGTCCCCTCTTGCTGTTTTACATAAGACCCCTGCCCTGGGCTAAAGGCCAACTTGGGCCTCTCCAGCTGCTCCAGGGCTGGAGGCTCCTCTCCTCTGAGGCAGGTGATTCCTTGGATATCTTATCTCTCTCCCCAGATGGTGGAAACCTGGGAGACAGGATCAATAACTAATTCTTTCTCCCTCAAATAGTGCTTAATACTTAAATATCATAGAACATGATGATTTTTTCAATGAATAAGTAATTAGTACAAAGGCCAGCTTTGATCACTTTACTTGAGGGATCCAGGGTTTATTTTTCCTCTCACAGGATATTAAAATCAAAAACTTATTTGGAGAATAGGGGTCTAGATTGGAATGACTGGGGGAAGTGAGGTGAGGGAAGAAAGATGGAGAGAGAGAGAGACTGGTACAGACACCTGCACATTTGGGGATAAACAGCCAGTGCTCCGTGGGAGATGGGAGAGGGACCTGGATCTTGGGATCTTGCCCACCACACCCCAGCTTGTCTAGAAAGTGCCTCAGGAGTTCCAGACAAGCACAGAGGTCCCAGCAGACACCTGAAAAAGGTTTAGAAAACCACTTTTGTTCAACATCCCAAATCTTTGCGCCACCTTGCAACTTACCAAGGATGCAGCAGGGTCAGAAGCTCCCCATCATTTCTGCTCCCGGAGCGCAGGTGCAAGAGCATCCATCCCTGCAGGGGCAGGCAGGTAGGTACCCAACAGGATTGCAGTCTGGCACGTGGGAAATCCCGTGACTCCTGGTCCCCTCCCTAATTCTCCTAGGAACATGAAGCCCCCCATTGAGCTCTGTTAGTTCTCCATGGGGCTAGGCTTCAGGTGATTGGAGAGCCCTGCCAAGGCCAGCCATGGATACACTGTGGACAGCACAGCCCATTTTTAAAGCTGCAGGTAGAGCAGAAGTCAGCTGCTAGTACATCCAGGTCTTGAAAGGTGTGTCTGCAGCCTTTCCTGCTGTAGAAATAAAGACAATCAGAATCTGTGTTGAAGAGAGTTAAGAACACACTCCTTAACTCAAATAACATTTTTTACTATACATTTTGGAAAAGTTATTACATTATTATGTTTAAGGTAGAAAAATAGAGCCTACATGTGAATATCAAAGCAGAATGCATGATTGATTTTCTCTCAGTCTTAATTTAGAAATTTTTGACAATCAATTATCATAGAGGCAGAAGGAAAGTCAATCCCAGACACTGCGGTCAGAATTACCGACTAGTTGCAGGCCTCTGGGCACCTTTCAAAGCGAAAGTATCAGTGTCCTTCCTCTACTGCACACATTGGGATTTTCTTATTGCTCTTCTCTACTGATGAAGATGGTGCCATCAGCCCACTTCAGAAATGCATGTGCTTGGGTCAGTTTCTAAGAGGACACACTGGATTTAGGTGGGTTCACCTGTGCCCTCTGGGCCTGCATAGAATAGGGAAGTCATCATTTCTTTTAGTAAGTGACAGAGTTAGTTTCATCTTTTGTCCTTACCATGGAGCAAAACTCTCTGGATGCATTGGGAAGATGGTGGAGGTAAATTCTGATCACATGCACATATGTTGCAGGAGAGTTGACTCCTCACAGGGCCCGTCAGCCCCCACTTTCTTCTCAAGGGAGGCCATAGCCACTTGGTTGGAGACTAGGCAGATGGGATAGGTTGGAATAAGTAAGCAACTTGTGGGAAAATACGTTTCAAGTTGAGCTGTGTCTTCCAGTGCCGACTCCTAAGTCAAAGCCAGGGAGACCAGGGAGCTCCCCCTGGCAAGCAACCCCTGCTGCCCCATCTGGGCCTTTTTGTTCGGCACCTATGTGGGTGGCCAAAGCCACATGCTCCTTGGTTGTAGCCCATTCTTGCGGCTGAGCCTTGGGGCTGATGGAGGTGGGATCAGAGGAGGTCACAGCCCAGCAGGTCCCTGTGTTTCCTGAGCAGCCAGCAGAAAGGCCTTGCCTTCGTGTACTTTACCAAAGAGCAGATGGAGAGTTAGCTGAGCATAAACAAAGAGCAGAAAACCTGATTGGAAAAAGGGCCCATTGTCTGTGACTTTCAGTCTCTCACAGGCGGCAGAAATTACTTTTCTGCTTGAGTCATGAGCAGAGTGCGATGCCCACATGATGGCATTTGTTAGGCACGTTGGGTGTGTGTGCTCTGAAGTTTCTAAAGCACCCGGGCTACAGAGCTGCCCACCCAGAGCCTTCCAGACCAGCTGATGTCCCAGATTGGCTCAGAAAGCTTCTTTTTCAGATGGAGCTTGGGCACCCTGAACAATCTTATGTACAGGTTTGGGCCAAATGCTCTGTGTCCTGTGCTAATTATTTTCTATTTCTGGCCACCGCTGAGGTAGCTACCTGTCTTTATAAATCAGACATATTGGAAACAACATCCAATCCAATTACTACTCCAAAAATTCAACATTTTACAGGCTTTTGTTTGCATTATTTTTGGTAGGAACTATGGACTTACATATTGCATCTTAAAGCAACCCAAATTTTCAGATGCATCTAGGCTGGATAACCCAGTTATCTTTCTGACACATTATATGCATGCCAAGATGTTGGTACGTTTCATGAATCAAATCCAAACTCTCAACTGGCACTTAGTACCCACTGCCATGTGGCCAACCTGTCCCCATTGCTGCATCTGGCACTCTCTCATGCCAGCTTCTCCACGCTGCTCACCACTCCCCGTGCACACCCCTCTTATCACTTAGGGCCAGCTCCTTCCACGCTGCCTGACAGAATAGTGTGTTTGGAATTGTGGGACTGACGAGGAGGTGTTAATGTAGCTTGTTTCCCTTGCGCAAGATAAACTTCTCAAAGACTGTTATATTTATCCTCTATAATATATACTGCCTTGTCTTGCATATAATAAGCCCTCACTAAATGTCTACTGACTAATATCTAATATCTGCTGGCTGAGTAACTAAATGAATGAATAAATGAATGGCAAGCTTGAGGATAGTAAGCTAAAGGAATAAATAAATATTTGAGGTTCACAATAGTAAATGTCTTAATTGATACTGTTCTTAGTTGCATTTTCAGAAAGACAAAAAGTTTTATCAGACAATTTTTTTCTAAGGGAATTTATAACATACCTTTCACAGCCATGATTTTTATTTTTTTAGAAGGCAAATTCCATAAGATTTGGGATATGCAGAGGTTTCTTCCTTTAAAGGAAACTACTAGATACATTCTAATTTTGCAAAATAGTTTATCCTAACATTTTTAAATCAATGGTTACCTTTATATTCTCAAAGTATAATTGATTGTCAAGATAATTTGTACCTTTCTAATTAGAGAAGCCTGAGAAGCCACTGATTGTAGAAATTTAGTTTTCTCTATTAATTCCTTGCTGTTTAAGAATTATCTACAGTTTCTAAATGAAAATCAGGCATACAAATGCAAACACACACACGCCGGTAAATCCAATGCTTTAATCTGGAAAAACTTTAACGCTTTTGGTTTTATTGTCAATTATCTAAGCTTTTTTATGTGTTGACCCAAATTTGATCCTTCTTAATGGGAGGTTGTGCTTGTTGATTCAATTTGGATATTTAAAATACTTGTAATTGCTGTCTTATTACTCATTCAATCAATCCATATTTATTATGGTATGTCAGATGCCATTCTAGCCACTGGGATATCTCTGTGAATTAAATAGACATAGTTCTTGGATCGAAGAAACAGATGATAAATAAAATATATCAGTGAAACATACAGTATTTTAGGTAATACATATTTTGGAGAGAAATAACCCTGGAGAGATGGCAGGTAGTGTGGGGAGGGTTGTGGTACTTTAACTCTGTTGGTCAGGGAAAGTCTCCTGGGAAGGCCATGTTTGAGTAAAGCTCTGAAGGAGGTATGTGGGAGTCATGAAGAATACTCTGGCCAAGAATACTCTGTCTTGCTATGACACAGTCAGAACTCCCTGGCTGACCTGTCGCCTTCCCCACCCACTCTCACCTCACAGCCATCACTCACCTGCACCATGTCAATTGTCCTGCCTTGGCCGGATTACCTGGGCTGCTGACTAGGGGGAGCTGCAGGACCATCTCTGCCCTTGGGGGCTTTGCAGGTGGCTCCATGGCTCAGATGCAGGGCCCCGGCTGGCTCTTTCCTCACACCACCATCATCCACTCTGACAGCACATGGGGCGGCTGCTGTGGGACCACACTGAGAGCAGCCGTCCTCATCTGGTTGATGGAGCTTCCCCTTTGTGGGGACCCACATGTAGATTTAACTTATCTCTCAAGATGGCTTTACTTTTCCTCTATATAATTCAATATTTATATCATTATAGACATTTTAAATGATCCAAAATTGTGTTCATCCTGAGATATGAGTGTGCAGAATATTGAGCACAGCTTATGTAATCACTGAGTTCATGCCTTGAAGATACGTTCAGAATCTATTCCTACTCCATGAAAAGTAAATTGAACCTGCAATTCCATGCTGGTATCTGCCCTAATCACCAAGGAGAAAGACTGTAGATTCCATTACTGTCAAACCTTAGTCCCTATAACAACCTGCATTGTTAGAGGCTTTAAATAATTATTGAAATTCTCCTCAGCTCTCTCATACTCTAATTTAAGACCATTTTTTACGTTCTTTTCTCAATGGGTACATCTCCTTTATAAAATAATCTTTTGTAGCTGTAATCTTTCCATCTTTTCCCTATTACATAAACCCAGATTGCATAACCACAGCCAGCCTCATGTAAAATTGTCAAATAGGTCTTTCTCTGAGTCTGTTTGTCCTACTTGCAGGCACTCTTGACCAAGACTCAGGCTCTTCTGAAGCAGGAATGTTCTGGGTATTTCAGATAATACATATTTTGGAGAAAAATAACCCTGGAGAGAGGGCGGGCAGTGTGGGGAGGGTGGTGGTACTTTAACTTTGTTGGTCAGGGAAAGAAAAGCACTGTCACTAAGCTAAGGATAATTTACAGAAGATTTAGCTATTTAAACATTCAGTGCAGTCTGGTTAGTTGCTAATATTACAATGTCGGCAATAAATAGTTTTGACGCACATCTTGGAGATGACCCTCTCTGCCCACTGTGGTTTCTAGGTTTCTAAGACACATGTGGTCTCCTGCACATGAGGCCACGGAGCCCATCTGCTGATAACCTTCATACACTGGGTTTTCTCTGCAGGAATTTGAAAATCCTGTGTGTCTTCTCATAGGTTTTTAAAGTCCTTCCCAAGGTCCTAAGAAGTTGCGATAATGGAATTCTGATGGCATAGCAAGAATCCTTTTGCTCCCTTAAAATGCTCAGTCTTCTGATAGGGGCAAGTCTTGCCCCTTCCGCAGTGGCATGTAACATGCCCTCTCATGTGGATACCGCACAAGTTCATTGCTTTCCGCAAAATGCAGTATTACTTAGCTGCCATGTCTTATTTAGTACAATGAGAGATGCTTTCCTTTAGTAGGATCCACATAACTGAATCATGTAATATTCATGTCCCACGTCAACTCTCCAGTCTTTCTAGCTATTATCTCTGAGGAAAGCATGACCCAGCTTCATGTGCATACAACGTGATCTGGCTAAGACGGGATTTATAAAGCCAGGAGAGCATTCCAGGCTAATGGCTGCATGTTTCCCAGCACTGCTAGTAGAGACACGTGGATGTGTGATCCGGAAGGGGTCACAGATGTCATCTAATCAAACCTATACAATGTATAGATACATAAACTGAGACCCAAGGAAGTGATGTGCCTTGGCCAAATGTCAGAATTTAAAAATACAGATGTTTTGAATGAATAAGATGTCTGCATCATTCTAATGGCGTTTTAAAAAATATATAATGATTGTCACATGGAAAAAAATAAAGACATGGTCATGATGTCGAAAGACTAGAAACATCTGTCAATGCTGCGATAAATGACAATTGTAAAGGAGGCATCAAGAGAGGGAAAGAAGGGATAAGTAACTAACAGCAAGTAATGAGTTTGTGTCGGGCCAGGCTGACATAGGCCTCCCTGGGGTTATAACCTTGGGATCTGTATTCTTCTAGCACTAATTCTGAATCATATAAACATGCAGAGCTGCATCTATGCTTATCCCTATTCTGTGGGACCACACCTGGGCTGAGGAGGATGTAAATTGGCATGAAGATACCAGGAATCCCAGTGAGTGCATCAACTTACCTTTAAACACATCACCGCAGTATCTCACCTCTGGCAGGGGTATGGGAATGGGGAGCTGCACCTTGGTGGCTGCTGGGCTTCCTCAGGAGAGGAAGATGCAATGTCTGCTGTAGCCCCGCCCTGCATCCTTCTACAAAGCTAAGTACATTCAATATTGGGTTAAAGATTGCTTATATATCAAAAGCAGAAGAACCAGTTTGACTGGGCCACAACCTCTCCACCATTCAAAAAAATACAAGAAAAAGTAAAAGATCAAAGAAGCAAACAGGAAAGAAATAACAAAAGACAGGCAGTGAGGCAGAAAGTAAGACAGGAATGACACAAGAAACGATAGAAATAAAAAGAAGGAGGGCTGGGTGCGGTGGCTTACGCCTGTAATCCTAGCACTTTGGGAGGCCGAGGCGGGTGGATCAGGAGATCAACAGATTGAGACCATCCTGGCCAACAGGGTGAAACTCTGTCTCTACTAAAAATATAAAAATTAACTGGGCGTGGCGTTGTGCACCTGTAGTCCCAGCTACTCAGGAAGCTGAGGCAGGAAAATCGCTTGAACTGGGAAGTGAAGGTTGCAGTGAGCCGAGATCGCACCACTGCACTCCAGCCTGGGTGACAGGGCGAGACTTCATCTCCAAAATAAATAAATAAATAAATAATAAAGAGAAGGAGTAGACAAAAGAAAGAAAAAGTGAAAAAAGAAGAAAAAGGGAAACGAGACAAAAGAGAAAATGAGAAAAAGAAAGGAAAATCGACATTCCATCCCATCATCTAGAGTTATCCCTTATTTAACTTCTGAGGCTTGCTCATTGTGGATCCTTGGAGACCCATTGTGGCCCAACAACCTTGGGAAGTGGAAATGAGCCGTTCTCATTGGTGATCTGCCTTTGTCACTACATAGAAGAGCATCGCCTAGGACAAAAATACGGGAAGCAAAACATTGACAGAGGCTCACGGTGCCTCCTGACCACATGAAATTTACTAATCCCATTTCTTCACCTATACAGTGTTCAAACAATAAAGGCTCCCAAGGTGTGATATGTTAAATGCAGGCAATATAGAGACATAACTTAATACATATCAGCTCACTATCCTTCCCTGATGGCGTACATATTTGTTATCTTTGTTTGATTTTTAAATTATCATGACTCAGGTACAAATAAGAACAGATTTCTGCATGCCAAGACAAGAAAAAGAAAAATTTTGGGGTAGCTGTTACACTGATACTATTTGAACTTTACTCTGAACCTAATTTTTCCAGTTATAAGAGCACTCATGGAAGTTATGTATTATTTCCAACAACCAAACATCAAGATCGAGAGTCTCAAATTGAAGCTTGAAGATATATGCTAACAAGGGATACTCCCAAAGATCTTGCATTTTTTTTTTTGGTGTAAAATGCCAAAATATAGAGTGGATGCATAAGGAAGCAATGATTTCAAGGTCCTCTCTCAGACTTCTAGGTGATAATCAGTAACTACTCTAAATGATAACCAAAGACAGATAGAATGAGAAAGAGTAGGGTTGCTTACTAAAATGCATGCTTCTGAAAACTGGGGGTATACAAAGGAAGAAACAGGCATAGCCTTGTCAACCCTCACACATCAAAAGTGACATCCCTGCACTCTGCAAAGCTGAGAGATGGCTCCAGCAGGCTCCTGATGAGTGACAGCTTCCACCAGGGCTTCAGAGCGAGAACACAGGATCTTTATCCCTGATACTGTCCTCTCCCAGTCCTAACAGTATCCAATACTGCCCCAGGTTCTTCTGTGGAAAAATAAATAAATAACAAGAGAAAAGAAAGAGGAGTTAGAAAAGAGAAAGAAGAGGCACCTGGGGTATGTATTTGTTTCTTCGAAACACAAGTGCCCACCATGTCCTGGTTCTGTGCCAGGCATGTGGAGGAGATGGATGTGTGAACAGTTGGTTGCAATTCAATGTGACACGTTAATGGAGTTATGTAATAAGTTGAGTCAAATGAAATTGCCTTTATGAAGGTCTAAATGGTTGGATAGTATCCATTTCATAAGGTTCAATCTAATATAGAGAGCTCATTCTTTGGCCTCTGAGGTCACAATTAAATAAATCTTAAAGGTTAGCCTGGCATTTTCCAGAGGACTGGAAGAGAAAGTTGGTTATAAACAAGAGGAAAAAATGCGCATAGGTCAAGGCAAGTCGACGTGAGGTGCCCCTGTGCTCAGGGAGGGACATAAGGCTCTCCGTGGTTGGGGAATAGGTGGCTGCTGACAAGTGATAGGAGTAGCAGAGAGACAAACAGTGTTTTTGTCGGCTGGACTGAAGTTGTCTTCATCACTGGTAGGCAACAGAGATCTACCAAATTGTTTAAAATACAAAAATGGGTCATGTGGTGTAATGGTAGATTTTGGGTGTCAACTTGACTGGATTAAGGGATACCTAGATAGCTGGTAAAGCATTATTTCTGGGTGTGTCTATGAGGATGTTTTTGTAAGACTGACTCCTGAATCAATGGACTAAGTTAAAGAAGAACCACCTTTACCCAATGTAGGGGGAAACCATCCAGTTGGCTGAGGACTTGGATAGAACAAAAAGGCAGAGAAAATATAAATTTCTCTCTCTCTCTCTCTCTCTCTCTCTCTTTCCCCTTTGCCCCCTTCTCTCTCTCTCCCTTGCTCCCCTTCTCTCTCACACATACTTTCTCTCTCTCTCTCCCCCTCTCTGCCCCTACCCCTCAGAGCTGGGTCACTTTTCTCTTCTTCCCTTGGACATCAGAACTCCAGGTTCCCTGGCCTTCAAACTCTGAGACTTGCACCAGTGGCCCCGTGGAGAAAATTTTTACTTTAGCAAAATTGCAAATCATCTCATTCATTCAGTGACTCATAGATCTATTCAATCAAACTGTATTAGATGTATACACTATGTCAGGAACTGCAATGACTGCTGGAAATTTGTTACCAAAGAGACACAAGCTTTTAATGTAGTTAAAATTTTCCAAAACAAATAGACAAATAACCAATAATGGCAAACATGGAGAACCATGAAAGTTCGTAGAAGCTTTCCTTCATGTGATTGAATGAAAAGTATCTCTGCAAGATCCTGAGAAAGAATGGGACATTCAGATAAAGGAGTGCTGTCATTATGAAAGTAGAGCATTTGAAAAAGAGTGTAGAAAACAGAGAAAGAGATAGGGAGATGGAGGGAGAGGAGAGAGAGAGAGAGACAGAATGAATGGAGGAAAACAGAGAAAGAGATAGGGAGATGGTGGGAGGGGAGAGAGAGAGGAATGAATGAATGGAGGAAAACAGAGAAAGAGAGAGGGAGATGGAGAGAGAGAGAGAGAAAGAGAGAGAGAGAGAGTGAATGCAGGAAAACAGAGAACGAGACAGGGACATGGAGGGGGGAAGAGAGAGATAGAGAGAGAAAATGGAGGGATCAGAGATCTGTCCAAGCCTCAGATTCTAATGTAATATTAATGCACTCCAATATGTCAAGAAGGTAGTCACCCTAAGACAAATTCATTCTCTTTGTGGGCAGGTGCTCTGACCACAGGGTGCCCAGCAGTCTTGAGCTCAAGCACATGACTAGAGGTCACTGCTAGGAAGAAGGAAGACCCTCAGGGGATTCACAATTGATGGCACACCATCCACGTCAGTCTGAAATTTAACAGCAGGCTGCCTACATTAGTGTGCTGCCTTCAGTCTTCCATGTTATTGTGACAGATGATTAGCAAAGAAGTGCTTGTGGAATTGTCCCCACTACTCATTATGAATTTATATAAACCATATTGAATTAAACATCTGTTGGCAAATAAGTTAGCTTCCCAAATCCCACTTCCTATGTCATCTATACATGTGTCTTCGTGATATAATAAAAATTCAGTGGTCAAATATATAAGAAATGCTTTATGCAAAGTTGCATAATAGTTTTGGATTGTAGTTTTCAAAATCCATGTAATATGAGTAGTGGTATGGATATTTAGTGCTCTTTTCCTTAATGCACACATTCATGTCAGTGTTTGCTTGCCATACTGAAGTGAACAGTAAAAATACAGGATTTAATAAGTAGCAGGTATCCAAACGTAGATGCTCAAGCTGTTTTTTTTTAACTTAACATTTAGATGTCGAAGTTGTTTTACAAAATAAAATGTGAAGAGAAGATTTAGAAATAAAAATATTGCAAATATGATCATGCACCTGTCTATTAAAGCAAAATTTAAACTCAGATATTTCAATCACATGTATTAATTAGCAAATCACTGAGACCAATCATTGGTTAAACATGCCAAAAACCATAAAAACATTGTTTTGATAAAAACAAACTGAGTAATTTGGAGAGTTAATCTCATTCAGAACAACTTTAAAAGCTGGTAAATATATTTTGCTGAAAGACATGGAAGCACCAGCAAGGTACTGAAGTAATTACAGGACAAGACAAGTGAGAAGAAGAAAGTCTCCAAAGGCAAGCCCAGCATTTTGACCTTCCTTTCCTCTAGGAACATCTACTGATTCCAGAAAGTTGAGAGACTAAGAAACAAAACAAGCTTTTGTCATCCTTTTGGGTCTGAGAGACAAAACTTGGAGTCCAGGGCCCGCCTTGTGGGGTGGTCACTGGTAAGTTCTCCGTGTGCTGAGCTGAGAACCTGAAGGACCACACCATGAGAGAATGAGCACACTAAAAACAGGCTGGATTACATAGACTGAACTCCAGGCTTCAATCATCACAGCCCCTAGATTACCAATGCCCAGATCCACCCACCAGAGGCAAATGAAAATATTCTTTGCAAGATCTCATAGCTTAGAGATTAAATTATTTCTGGTTTATTCATTATCAATTTTTAATACTTAATCATAGGCAATTATGCAAATAATGAGAAAAGAACACATTTCTAAAAGTGACAGACAATAAAAACAGACTCAGGGGAGTTAGATAATAGAGTTGTCTGACACAAAATTTAAAATAAATGTGCCTAACATCTTTAGTAATATAAAAGCAAGACTAAACATTTTGGTTAAAAAAATGAAAATTGTGAAACAGAACCAAGTGGAATCTCTGTATATAAAAAAATAAAAATAAGAACACAATAAGTGTGTTTAATATCCAAATAAACACAGACGAATAAAACATTCCATGAACTGGAAGATAGAGGAAAAGAAAACATTCAGAATGAAACACACAGGAAAAAGAGGCTGGATGATGGAGAATGGGGTCAGAAGAGAGAGTAAAAGCTGCAGGAGGTAGGGAGATGGTCTTACATACACACAATTAGAGTCCCAGGAGGAGAGAAAAAGAGAAAGGAGCAGAAGTGACCTAAAGGCCAAGAGATTTCCCAAACTGATGCAAAACCACAGCAAACTAATTCAAGAAGCCCTGCAACCCCTCACAAAATAAACATTCACGAAAACAAATATACACAACAAAAAAAATTAAAGAGAATGAAAAATATTTAAAAGTAGCCACAGGAAAAATAACACAGCATATCCAAACAAGCAACAATTAAACCATTGAGTTGATTTCTCAATAGAAACTAAGGAAGACAGAAGGCCATAGAATGAGCTCAGCAAAGGGTCAATTAAAAATAAAAGCTTATCTAGAATTCTATATCCAGTAAAACTATTCTTTAAAGATAAAAGTGAAATACAGAATATAGTACCAAAGGATCCCCTTTAGGTAGAAAATCACCCCAGGTAATAACACAGAAGCAGGGAGAATAGATGACAGGAAAATGATAAACATGTGGTGAATTTACATGAATGTGTTCTGGATAAAATAGTTATTAATAATTTACCATGGAGTCGAGGTCAGGAGATCGAGACCATCCTGGCTAACACGGTGAAACCCCGTCTCTACTAAAAATACAAAAAAAAAAAAATTATCAGGGCATGGTGGCAGGCGCCTGTAGTCCCAGCTACTAGGGAGGCTGAGGCAGGAGAATGGCATGAACCCAGGAGGCGGAGCTTGCAGTGAGCTGAGATCGCACCACTGCACTCCAACCTGGGAGACAGAGCAAGACTCCGTCTCAAAAAAAAAAAAAAAAAAAAAAAAAAAAAAATATATATATATATATATATATATATATATATATACACATATATGTAAAAAATAATTTAACGTGGGTTTTCAAAAAATGCAAAATTTAAATTAAAATAATAATAGTGTAAAAATAAGAAGAAGGTAAATGAGTGAAAATATACCAAGGTTCTCATTTTCTTGGAAATGAGTTCAAAAATGAAGCAGAAAACAGATTTAGAAAGTTCAGGTTGTGTACTGTAATTTCCACAGGTAATTACCTTATAGTAGGTAAACACCAGAAGAATGAAAGCGTGTAAATATAATAGAAAGGGAAAATGAAATAAAATAGTTTCAATAATTTTATAAGAAGGAAAGAAAAAAGATCATAGTCAAGACAATTAGAAAATAAGAGTCAGGAGTTTTAAAAAGCAAGCGTATTAATAGTCATATTAAATGTAAATTGACTAATATATGAATTAAAGGGTAAAGAAAACAAAGCTCTTCATTCTGAAAAACAAGCACAAGTACACACTGCTGGTAAGAAACACACTAACACGATATAAATAGAGAAAGCTTGGAACAAAAATGATGGGGAAAATTAACACCATGTAAATATTAACCAAGAAGTGCCACTGTACCATATTCATATGGCTGAAAAGTGACTTCACAGCAAAACATATTACTGGAGAGAGTGACATTCCATAATGGTAAGTCTCAATTCATCAGGAACACATAACAAATCAATCTTAGTATATAACTAATGACACACAGCCTAAACATAAAGCACACGTTTACAGAACTAAAAAGGAAATAGGGAAATCCACTATCACATTGGAAAATCTCAACAAACTTCTGTCTACAAACAATAGAAGAAATAGACAAAACCGTTAGGAAAGGTATAGAAGATGCCAGCAAAACAGTAACATGCATAGATCACTACATCCATCAATTCATGAATCCCATGCTTTTCAGTTGCACATAAAACAGTATTTTTAGATGACCATATTCTGGCCCATATAGCAAGTCGCCACTGATTTCCAAAGATTGAAATCACGCATGGTATAGTCTCTGAACACATCATACCTAAGCTAAAAATTGGTAATAGAAAGATAACTGGAAAACGTCTTGGTTTTGGAAATTATGCAATAAAGTTCTAAATAACCCATTGAATTTCAAATGCTTTGAACTGAATTATAAAAAAACTAATACATGTGGGAGGTAGCTAGCATGTTGAAAACAATGTGGAGATATAAATGTATATTTCAAGAAAATTAAAAAGTTGAAAAGAATTGTTGTAAGCATCCATCTCAAGTAGTTAGAAAAATAATAGAAAATTAAATCTCCATAAAGAAAAGACAGAAAATAGTAAGAGAAGTAACTAGCAGCTGGGCACTGTGGCTCATGCCTGTAATCCCAGCACTTTAGGAGTCCGAGGTGGGAGGATCTGCTGGCTTTATATGCCCATCCGGGGCTTGGTTTGTAAGAGCATGACCTGATGGACTGGACCTTCTCAGTGTGACAACACATCACGTTTCCCAGCCTGTGATGCTGAGGTCAGACCTTAACCCACGCTCTAGTTTGGACACAACTCCACATCATTTATCCACCTTTGGCCACGTTCTGACTTCTCCAGTGGGAAACTTCAACAATATTATGGGCAGGAGCAAGAATGAGAACGAAACCCCTGGGAGATCAATTCTGAGATGCATGAAACACTAGAATGAAGAAAAGAAACTGAAAAACTGATTCATAGTGAACATGTTATTGATAAAACTCCAATCTACGAGCATTTCTTTGTACCAGGGGAAATAAAAGAGTTTTGAACATTTTGTATGAAGCAAAATGTAGTAAACACACAGCAAACACGGTCTCCATTATTATTAAACAGATATATACAGTGTCATGGGTGAGGGCTTTCTTCAGTGTCTGTGGCATATTGTTTTATTTCAGTGAAAATAAATACATTTGGAAGAAATTTCAAAAGTTCAATCTCTCAGAACCCCAGACTGCACTCCTAATTTTCTTATAAGGTCATGGACTTTACAATTTTGAATTCTCTCACATTGGATTATCAGCCTAATTGTTGTAAGAGAAACAACAAAGACCACTGGGTTTCTAACCAGATGTATTTTTTTGCCTAAATGAGAGGACTCTCTCCAAGTCAATTCTGTCCATACATTTGAAAAAGGTTTTAAAAATGCAAGATGAGAACTAAGGTTAAATGATAACACAGTGAAACATCTGAGAAGCCTTGACCTTTCTTTTATTCCAAATAAATAGCTGTCTCTCTGATCTTGTCAACTCAGTATGTCAGTAGCTAGGAGCTTAAAATTCTTGTCCCAGGAGAGGGGCGGAGGAACTTAAGTGTGCCAAGTTTTTGAGAAAGGAACTAGGCACTAAAACGAGTTGGTGTTCAGTTCTGACCTCTTTTTTCTTCTTCTTCTTCTTTTTTGAGACGGAGTCTCACTCTGTCGCCCAGGCTGGAGTGCACTGGTGCATTCTCGGCTCACTGCAACCTGGGCCTCCCATAGTTTTGATCTCTTTTAGCATGAAGAAAGAAAACCTTGGAAAACTGTGTAAAAAACTGTCCTGGAAAACAATTTGGCCTATGCGTCGGGAACTTTGCAATGTTCTTACCCTTGTCATTGGCCCTTCCAGACCTCGAAACACGTCCTAAGGAAAAACTCGCTCAATAATTTCAACTCATTGTTTACTTCGTGTCTTGTGCCAGAGACATTTATGATACTGAGTGACAGACGTCTCTTTCTGCCCTTAGTGTTTACACTTTACTAAGAGAAACAGATATGAAACAAATAATGATCCTCAAATATAATTCTCACTGAGACAGCTTTAATAGTGAAAAGCCAGCGAAAAAGTGTCCATTGTATGGAAATTGTTATATAAACTATAGGAGACAAAATATTCAACACAGTAAATTTAGCACAGACATTTATTTCCATTTCTTCCTCAAATATTACCAAATTACCAAAAAATGTATAAGACCACACAGAAAAGATAATAGAAAACAGCTGCCTACCTGAGGTATTTTCAAAATTTTGAAGAAAACATGGGGATTTGGAGGAGAGCCTGATTTATCAGAACTGAGGAAGCAGTAACTTAAGATAGAGTGACCACCTCTGACCCAAGAACTCAGAAAAACCCATGCCTTTCAGGCACCAGTGACATGGGATGGAGGCATGAGGCCCGGGGCAGAAACAGAGTACTGACTAAAGCCTCTAGAAAAAGGTGTCCTCTCCCTATTTAAAGCAGCCAAGCCTCCTCCAGCCTCAAGCAAGAGAATGTTTTTTTATTATTATACTTTAAGTTCTAGGGTACATGTGCACAACGTGCAGGTTTGTTACATATGTATACATGTGCCATGTTGGTGTGCTGCACCCATTAACTCATCATTTACATTAGGTATATCTCCTAATGCTATCCCTCCCCCCTCCCCCCACCGCACAACGGGCCCCGGTGTGTGATGTTCCCCATCCTGTGTCCAAGTGTTCTCATTGTTCAGTTCTAACCTGTGCAAAAACTGAACCAGAGAAGCTCTAGAACTTTTCCCTGTGAAAAACCTGGCTTCCCCCAGAATCAGTGAACAGTGGAAGTCCCCAGTTTACAAATTACCCCAACCCATACCTGGCCCTGCATGCCCGCATGCACAAAGCATCCATTGTTTTTTGTTTTTTGTTTTTTTTTGCTTTCTGCCTTATTTTTAAATACAAATAGCTGACCAAGGATCAGTACACATTTTGGACAACCTCCAAAATGAAATGAAAAACAAAACAAAACAAAACAGAAAAATAAATAGAGCCCAGTATGAACAGAGAGAGTGGACAAGAGAAGAAAACTCAGATAATCATTCGTAAACTTGCATTCCTAAAACTAAAACACCATGCTATGAAAAAACATCAAAGACTAAGAAGAAATCTCAAATTAAACATGTTAGCTGAACATTAAATCAAACCAATAGAATATTATAAGAGGAATAAAAATGGAGAAGAACTCCCAGAGGAGAGTGAAAGATAACAAATGTGGAAAAACAATAAAATGTAATGAAAACAGAAGAGTCAGATGCTGGTTCAACATTAACTTTGAAAGAAAGTTCAGAATTACAAGACCGGTAGAATTGAAGGAAGACAGCTCTGGTTGGGTGATAATGGCTCCCAAAGAAGTCCAGGTCCAAATACCTAGAACCCATGAATGTTACCTTATTTGGGAAAAAGGTTTTTGCAAATGTGATTAAGGATCCCGAAGTGAGGAGATTATTCTGGATTATGTGGTGGGCTATGTGGCACCATAACTGACTTTATAAGAGGAAGGCAGAGGGACACTTGTAAGACACAGATTAGAAGGCCATGTGAAGATGTGGGGAGAGATTGAAGCAGTGTCGCCATGAGGGACACCAGGAGCCACACAAACTACAAGAGTTGAGAGACGGAGCATCCCCCACAGCCTCCAGGAGGAGTATAGCCCTACTAATGCCTTGATCTTGAATTTTTGGCCTCTTCAAATGTAAGATCATAAATTTCTATTGTTTTAAGTCACCAAGATTGTGGTAATTTCTTACAGGAGTCATAAAAAAGACTCCTGATATCCCAACTTTCAAAGAAATGAAAGTTCCCAGAACTAAAGGAGAAGTGTCCTGATAATAGACACTACCGGCATTTTAGCACAGAGTGAAAAAAGAAATCTACATTAAAATGCATCACTGAGTGTCTTAGTCCTTAAGGGGCTCCCATAACAGAAGACCTGAGATAGGGTAATTTATAAAGAACTAAAGTTCATTTTCTCACAGTGCTAGAGGCTGGGATGTCCAAGTTCAAGGTGCCAGCATGCTTCCACCTTAGAAGCAAAGAGTAGACCGAGGGCTACTCAGTCTGGCGAGAGCTGCTCTCTGCTTCCAAGATGGCACCTTACTGCTGAATCCTCTAGAGAAAAGGAATGCTGTGTGCTCACATGGAGGACCCTGAAAAGGAATGCAGGGTGAGCGAGATGAAAACTTCGGAAGGCAGGGGAAAGCAGAGAGGTTGGTTTAAAGAGAACTTCTTCATTGAGGGGTGCTGAGCTGAGAGACACAGCAGGAGAAGGAATCATCCAGGTTGCAGACAGTGTTTCAGGCTGAGATCTGAAGGGGAAAAGAGAGCAGCCTGTCAATTTGCTCAGAGAATTCAAGGGGTCAGCAGGCACACAGCTGAGATGTTGCATGGGTGTGGGGAGAGTGAAGGGATGGATGGGGGATGAGGAGAGATGTGACCAGAGTTTTCCACAAATTTCAGATCATGAAAGACTTTTTAAAAATTTTACCTTTTAAGCTATAAAGAAACATTAAGTGGTTTCTATATTTGTTTTTATTATTTAAGGAGGAAAGGGGTGACAAGATCTCACGTGTATGTTGGAACACTCTCTCCAGTAGTAGAGATTAGAGAGAGTCAAGGCTGGACACAGGACTCTTATTGGGAGGCATCCTGGCCAGATCCATGAGTGTCCCAGTGTGTGGTGGTGGAAATGGAGCAAGAATCAATGTCAGAAATGTTCAGGAGGTGAGGAGACACCTGTGCAGGCAGAGGTTTCTATGTAGGAACCTGGATGCAGGCTTCTGTGTGGGAACTTGAATGCATGTTTCTGTGTAGGAACTTGAAGGTAGGTTTCTGTGTAGCGACCTGGACACAGGTTTCTGTGTATAAGCTTGAACTCAGGTTTCTGGTGTAGAAACCTAAATCCAGGTGTGGGTGCAGTAACTGAAGGGGTGTTGGTTGTCCTCATGGAGATGAGGGACACAGAGGGTGAGCCATTTTACAATGAGTTTATAGTGTAGCTGTCTGAAAGGGCAGGGTTATTTGCACCATGTACTCTGGAAAGCAGTCTGGGCTTCATGTACTGAGCACAGAGCCAGAGGCCAAAGTCATGAAGGTGAACAGCCTCTCTACCCACAAACGAGCAGAGGGGTAGAAGTGGGAAGATGGAGAGCCCTGGGGCTGAGCCACATTTACAAGTGAGTCCCTGCAGGAGACTGCATGGAAAAAGAGGGCAGGAGACAATAAAGGGGCCGATGAGATGGGGCGGAGTGAGGTAGAGGCTCTAGCAGGGGCAGCTCCCCAAGCCAATCCTGAAAAGTGACTGCAGAATGTTTTTAGAGTCAGCCAGAAGGAGGTCATTAATGACTCAAGGAAGGGGATTCTGAGATGGGCTTAGAGAAGACACAGTGGTATGAAGCCAAAAGCAGGCTTATGGGGAAGAAGCCTGGAGTTGAAGGGTGATGGCTGTGGGTGGTGTGGTCCCATGAGATGAGGATAGCTGAGCAGTGGGAGATGGCTGGCGGAAGACCCAGGGCAGGCAGAACACTGGCCACTGAGAGGTACAGGGGGAAAGGGAGAGGCTGAAAGGTAGACCCAAGGCCATGCTTTGACAATACACCTGAACCAGAAAGGGAGTTGGTCAACATTCATGTCCCCAGACTCCAATCTTAGATGCCCTACCTGTTTTACTCTTCACTCTTGCTGCCACCATCTTGAATCCTTGGCACCAGGTTATAGTTCCTGTACAGTGTTTCTCGCATTAGTCTTTGCCCTTCTGTTTTCACAACCAACATCCTAACGTGGGATCCTGTGGTTTCATACATGGACCACTCTAGGGCCTCCAGACCGGGCTCTGCACATGGCCCTCCCTCTCCTAATCTACTCAGTACCTCTCTGCAAAATAAATATTGCTAGATTTTCTGTACAATTCAGGTGGGAGGCTACACTTCCTATGTTGCTAGTGTTTCTTGGATGGTCAGACCAAGTATCCCAACTGGATGTTAAGATCCTGGAGAGCAGGACTGTGGCTTACAGTCTTTTATTTCCCCACAACTTTTGATTAATAATGTTTTTAAATAAAAGTAATTGGGGCCGTGATGATTCAGTTGGTCAAGCAACAGGCTGAGTACAACGTTTATAGAAAGGCACACTGGGCTGGGTGCAGTGGTTCATGCCTGTAATCCTAACATTTTAGGAGGCCAAAATGGGCAGGTAGCTTGAGCCCAGGAATTTGAGACCAGCCTGGACAACACAGGAAGACCTTGTCTCCACAACAACAACAACAACAACAAAATATTAGCCAAGAGTGGTGGGTTATGCTTATAGTCCCAGCTACTCAGGAGGCCGAGGTGGGAGGATAGCTTGAGCCTGGGAGGTGGAGGTTGCAGTGAGCCAAGATCGTGTCACTGCATTCCAGCCTGGGCAACAGAGCAAGACCCTGTTTGGAAAAAAAAAAAAAAAGGTACATTGGCTTAGTGGTTGAGGGCTTACACCCTGGAATGACACAGTCCCAGTTAACATGTTCTGAAGTAGCTTGGATGGGCATCCTCAAAAACATATGTCCACATCCTAATACCCAGGCCCTGTACACATGAGTGTATTTGGAAAAAAGGGGTCTTTTCAGGTGTAATTAAGGTTTTTGAGCTGTAATCCTCCTGGCTTATCTAGGTGGACCTCACATAGAATGACGACTGCTGTCCTTATGAGAGACAGGAGAAGAAGGCACAGGGACAGAGACCATGTGATGGCCAAAGGGAAGATTGGAGTGACAGAGCCACAAGCTTAGGAATCCCGGGAGGAAGCAAAGGAAGATTGTCTCCCACAGCCTTCAGAGGGAGTGTGTGGCCCTGCCAACATCTGGACTTTGGACTTCTGGTCTCCAGAGTTGTAAGAGAATAACTTGCTGTTGTTTTAAGCCTCTCAGTTTGTGGAACTTTTTGTGATGGGAGCCCCAGGAAGCTAGTGCAGTGGCTTTGGGGAAATCGCTCAACTTCCACAGTCAGGCTATTTCATAGTTGCACAGACTAATGCTCAGAGAGATGCGGTGAAACACTTCATGGAAAGTGGTTTGCCTGTGCCCGACACAAAGTGAATGTTTCCTATAGGCTGGAACACTTGACTGTGGCAAATAGACTGGCTTCTATGAAGATATGGACTTAGGCCTGGAGGTGGGGTACGCAGAAGCAGACAAGTATTTTGTAAGACCCACCCTCAAAAAACAGTGCCTTGTTTACACACAAATATTAAGTTGATGCAAAAGTAATGATGGCTTTTGCCATTAAAAGTAATAAGTATTTTGGATTAGCTATTTCTACTTGCATGGTGAAAATACTTCCTTGGAGAATTGAATGTGTGGATAATTTATAGAATGCATACAATTATTTTATCTGCTTAAGTCATCAGTGCCTAGCTGAGGATGAGGAGAGGAAGGTATGGTTTTATAATATCATACCCATTCATGGTAAGGAAAGGTAAAGGGCAGAGGAATCTTGACATCTGCCTATGGAGACATGCTGAGAGGCAAACTGAGCTCCTCTCCAGTTTCTCCACCTACAGACAGGGAAAGAAAGGGCCAGTGTTGCCTTTGATCTGGGTGGCCTGGGCTGGCATCTGTATTTCCACCTCTCCTCCTGGGTACATGTTACGGTTGCATTGTCATTCTCCTTTGTAGCTATGATATGGGAGGAGGGCAGGGAAGTACTGGGTAGAGAAGGGTGGGGTACGTGGTGAGGGCTCCACCCTCAGGCCTGTGCTCTTGGACCTAAGTGAGAACAGGACCTAAGTGAGAACAGGAACTCCTGTTTTCATGCCCAAATGTTGCATTTTCCAAGATCACTCTGGCCCACCACACCCCCCATCTTGTGCCCATATGAACCTAAGACCTTAGTGGACACACACACAAGTGGCTGAACATCAAGACCAGCAGACCAGTGACAGTGGAACGACGCAGCAGACAAAGAGCGAAGGGAGGGACATCTGGATATCAAGGGGAGTTCCACCGGGGTGGGTGGAGAAGAATCTGGCCACTGGGGAAGATTATCTCCCCCACCCCTCCACCTTCCAGCTCCCCATCCATCTCCCTGAGAGCCACCTCTACCACTCGATAAAACCCTGCACTCAGCCTTCAAGCCTGTGTGTGATCTGATACTTTCAGGACAGGGCAAGAGCTTGGGATTCAGAAGGCTGTCACACTGGGTCTCTGATCTTGACATAAGGCAGAGGATCTACTGAACTTATTAACACTCAAAGCCATCTGAAGACGGCAAAGCTGAAAGAGCTTTGTAACACGGGGGTTGCAGGCACCCACCCCTAGACACTACCTGAGGGCAGGAGCCCAGAACACTTGCCCTGCCCTCTGCACCTGACCCTCTGCATGCTCCCCCTAGGGGTTTGAGCTTCCAGGGGACCAAACAGGTGAGCCACATCCCTGTCACACATCCTGCAAGGGGAATCAGTGAACTCTCCCATTTCAGTTAGGCACATTCATTCGCTTACTTTGGCAAAGAAAATGTGAAGAGTGACATGTGACCGTTGCTGACAGCAAAGCACTGTGTGATCGGTCCTATTCTCTTCTCCCTGCTACAGGAGATAAAGGCTGCAGCCGCCCAAGTGTCTGATGAACCACACCGAGCAGAGCCCTCTGAGCCTGGGTTGTAAAGTGATGAACTTTGTGGTTATAAGCCTGTCTTAGTCTGTTTGGGCTGCTCTAATAATATACCATCAATTGGGTAGTTTATAAAACAGCAGAAATTTATTTCTTACAGTTTTGGAAGCTGGGAAGTGTAAGGTCAAGTTGTCAGTGGATTCAGTGTCTGGTAAGGGCTTGCTTTCTGGTTCATAGACGGTGCCTTCTCACTGTAACCTCACATGATGGAGGGGGTGAAGGAGATCTCTGGGGTCCCTCTTATAAGGGCACTAATCCCATGTATGGGGGCTTCACCCTTGTGACCTAATCACCTCCCAGAAACCCCACCTCCAAATACCATCACAGTGGGCATTAGGTTTCCAAATAGAAATTCTAGTGGAGACACAAACATTCAGTCTATAGCAAAGCTCCTGTGGCTTGGGGTGGTTTCTAATGAATAGTACAACTTTACTGTCTCATGTTTGCTGAATGTATCCTGGTTCCTTTTAGAGGGATTAAAGATTCTCTATGGAAATCTTCCATATGATGTTTTGTTTCCACAACTGAAAGATGGGGCCACGCTATTTCTCAGTAAAATCATGCACAGATTATTTATCAGCTAAATAAATGGGTTTTGATTCTCTGAGATTTAATTTTATACTCTCCATAAAACTGAGCTCTTACAAAATTTGCACCATTAAAATTTGTTTAAAATAGAGAATACTGTATGTGGATATTTCATGCATACAGGTACAATTGTTATTGTTCTTGTTTTGTAGAATGTGAACTGAGCATCTAGGAAGCTATGTTCTATCTACAAGAACAGGACCATATCATGTAGTATTAGTAGATACCTAAAGCTATTCCACTTCCCAATTGCTGTGTGTTACTTAGGGAAGAGACACCACAAAGCCAGGTCTCCTGTTCACCTGCTGGCCTCTCCTGGTGGGGAGTGACTTCCTGAGAGCATGCTGTATTCACCCTGCAGCCCCAACACCTACTACACTGAAAAATACATAGTGGACAAACAATACACCCTTTATAATAATTGGTGTTTCTAAAGTTATACTAGCCTCTAGCCAGGTGTGGTGGCTCATGCCTGTAATCCCAGCATTTTGGGAGGCCAAGGTGGGTGGCTCACCTGAGGTCAGGAGTTCAAGACCAGCCTGGCCAACATGACAAAACCCTGTCTCTACCGAAAATACAAAATAATTTACCTGGGTGTGGTGGGAGGTACCTGTGTTCCCAGCTACTGGGGAGGCTGAGGCAGGAGAATCACAGAGGTGGAAGTTGCAGTGAACCGAGATCCCACCCACCACTGCACTCCACCCTGGGCGAGAGAGCAAGACTCAATCTCAAAAAAAAAAAAAAAAAAAAAAAGGCCAGGCTCGGAGGGTCACATCTGTAATCTTAGCACTTTGGGAGGCTGAAGCAGGTGGATCACCTGAGGTCAGGAGTTCAAGACCAGCCTGGGCAACATGATGAAACTCCATCTCTACCAAAAATACAAAAATTAACTAGGTGTGGTGGCACGTGCCTGTCATCCCAACTACACGGGAGGCTGAGGCACGAGAATTACTTGAACCCAGGAGGCAGAGGTTGCAGTGAGCTGAGATCATGCCATTGCACTCCATCTCAAAATAAATAAATAAATAAATAAATAAATAAATAAATAAATAAATGAAGTTATACTATTCTCCTATTTATTTTAAAAAGTAAACAGCATGTAGTAAACATTAAAATAGATGAACAATATCTTTTGGATGGATAGACAGAAAGGAAGATAAAAATGTCATTCTAAATCTACCTTGTCTCGAGAGAAATGGTGGAAGGCTTTGGTGGATTTCATGTTTTGCCCAATGGCTACTATGACAGCTGGTTGGTGATGCAGATGTCTTAAATGGGACTTTGTTTTTCTGCTAGGGAAACTGACATGCAAATTATATTAACATATGGCATAAGCGTTTGATTAAAATCAGAAAAGGTAATATAAACTACCTGATATTAAATTTTGAAATAGGGCAGAATTCCTTTCATACACATACATTATTTTCAGAAGAATGATTCTGAGAAAAAAGATTCCCAATTATTTTAAGATTATAAAGTCAAAAACAGAAGCATCAGGAAAGTGGAGGGCCAGTTCTGTTTATGTGGAATTTCTTGCATATTTTGAATGAATGAGCTACGTAGAATAATTTCAAGAAAAGGGCTTAAACTATTTATTTGAGACATCAGTTATGGTTTCAAAATTTATTATTGCCTCTTCATTAGGAGTTTCATAGTATTGTCTCTACTTGCTGTTTCAGTGAAATATATACCTTGTGGGAAAAAACCTTTTTTGACTGCATACTAAAGAGCACCCAACCAATAAGGAGTTCAATGTCCCATACAACTGGAAGTTGGAGATAATGTATTTCAGGATAGGTTAGTGCAGAAGCGCATCTATGTCATCAAGGAGCCAGGAAATTTCCCTCCTACTGTTATTCATAGTATATTGGCTTTTACCCTGAATATTGAACCTTTTTCATTGCAAGAGGAAACCATAGTTTCAAACGTCATATGCTTCTATGTAGAAGACAGAGGATACTTTCTTCTCAAGCCTGTCTTTTATTAAGAGTATTAGATTTTTCCCAGGAATCCAACAGCCGCCTTACACTTACATTTCAAAGTCAAAAAATGATAGATAAGTGAGGTGATGAATATGTTAGCTTGATTTAATCATTCCACATTGTATACATATATCACATCAATGTATACAATTATGATGTGTGTATTAGTTCATTCTCACAGTCTATGAAGAAATATCTGAGACTGAGTAATTTATAAAGGAAAGAGGTTTAATTGACTCACAGTTCTGTATTGCTGGGGAGACCTCAGGAAACTTACAGTCATGGAGGAAGGCAAAGGAGAAGCAGGCACCGTCTTCACAGGGCAGCAGACGGAGTGAGTGCAAGCAGGGGAAATGCCAGATGCTTATAAAACCATCAGATCTTGTGGGACTCTCTCATTATCATGAGAACAGCATGAGGGAAACCGTCCCCATCGTCCAATTACCTCTACCTGGTCCTGCCCTTGATACATGGGGATTATTACAATTCAAGGTGAGATTTGGGTGGAGATAACAGAGCCATACCATATCAATGTGTCAATCAAAAATAGTATAATTTTTAAAAGCCAAATATTGTGTTAATTATTGTCTGATAACACTCAGGCAAGAACCCCATAATTAATGTGTTCATCCCCCATGTACTGAAGGGCTGGAAGTCTAACAGCTACGTTTCTGAAACATTCTTGCAGCTTGAGTTTGGGATGGGAAACTGTCAGGAGAGAATGTGTATAAAGTGTTGTAGGCAGAACTGAGGGGGAAGCCATCACAACTCTGTCTGTGCCATGAGGTGTTTTGGTTCCAGTAATGGTAGAAACAGCAGCAGCTCTCCGGAGTCTGCATGGCTATATCCATTGCCAAAAAATCATCTACTGAGGCATCCTGACCACAGCTCTCCAGCACTTCCAATGATGGGAAGAAGCACCTGACTCCTATGTCAGATGACATTCTGCTTGAAATGTCTGTGTGGCTCCTGTTTCCCTCCTTGGACCCTGACTGATCCACAGTTACAGGTGCCATCATGGCTTCTCCTGCCCCGAGTCACAACGAGACCCACATTCCATGAGCGTATTGCCACCTAAGACTTGGATATAAAAAGCTGGCATTCTTCCAGCAAAACAGAAAGTGGGGAGGGTCTCATTGTGGTGGAGGGACAATCAACAGTGACTGCCTTATATCATCAATCTCTATTAGATTTATCTTCCCTACCATTAATTCAAGTCTCCAAAATGGTCATGATAGAAACTAACCTTTTTTAAAATGAGAATTTCATGTTCCTATTTCTTAATAATTTTGTTGCCACCTTGGTTTTCTATGGAGGTGATATAGAAAATCTTGGCCTTAAATTTATTATGCAACTTTGAAGTGGTTAAATTTAAGGATGTGGTGATGTTTTAATTCATGTCTCCAATAGATCTGTGCCTTGTAACAGTTTTTACATTCTCTATGCACTTTTAAATCTTTGCTCAAACCTAAAGCCTTTGTCTGCCAATTTAAGTTGGAGTTACTCTTTAAAATGTACTCTGAAAAGCTTTCATTTAAAAAGCATTAGTTAGTTTGACAACTAGGTCATCTCCTCATACAAAATATATTTCTGTAGGTTTTAAGAACACATTCAAGTATCCTCCATATCTCCTTTTTTATAAGACAAATTATGAATTCTAACTTGTTACTTTCATTTACTTTCCAAGACAAGGAACTGCAATCTTGTTCCAGATCAGGACCTGGGGAAGAGTGCTAAAGTGTCTCCATCCTCTCGGACAGTGATGGTGGTGGCACTAGCAATTGTTGATCTTTGTCTCATTTGCCAGTAGATCCAATCCTGATTATTTCCCTGCTTTATTCTGTAGTGAAGGTTTCTATACTCTACAGACTGCATGCTTCAAGCCCCCATCCACTGATTCCTTTTGGGTTTGGACAATGGCTGGCACCGGAAGGATATTGAAGGTGGGAGGAAGGGAGGAGAGAAGATATTTCTGCTCTCTCTTTGTCTAACTTGGCTGGCATCTCTGTAACCTCACAATCTCTCCAGCTCACGTTGCTCCACCATGATTTTCTTTTGTGCATCATGATCTCAGCCCTTGGCCCTGGCATCACTACCCACTCCCCGCCTTTAGCCTGGGTGATAGTGTATTTATTCATCTCTGTTACATCACTGTTCTCATTTAGATTCTTAGCTCTTTCACCACTGTGTTTACATTTTCTTAGATTAACTTTCTTTATTTTAAGTCCTTTAAACCTTTCTTTATTTTGTATTTAAGTGGTCAGGCCTGACTGACACCCACATCTCATCTGCAGACATGGACAGGTGGAATTGAAGGTGCTTGGAAGTAGACGTTCTGATGGAAGAGCTGAAGGGAATAAAATAGAGATGCCCTTTGAATGGATTAAACAAGCAAGAAAAACTTTTAATGAGTAGCGGACCCCGAAGTTGCAATCCAGGAGAGACTTTTCACACAGCCAGGAAAGACAAGTGCAAGAAACATCAGTCAAATAGGCAAATGAGACATTGTTTGTACATTGGAGCATGGCAGGTTTTTCAGGTGCTAGGATCCTGGAGACGTCAGCCCGACACGTTGCAGCGACTCATCTGCTTTCAGTGCTTCACGGGAGAATCATCAAATATATTCTGAGTAAGGACAGTGGATGCCAGTTCAGATGGTGGGATGCGAAGGTCATCGGAAAGCAACCCTTGCCCATTGTCTGGGCATGGTGCTTGACATAACACTCTTTTGGAATCACAAGACTTTTGAGTATACCTTGAGAAATCACAGTCCCATGAATCCTTTTCTGTTATTACCTTGACAAGAGTTAGAAAGCCATTTTGTACATTTTTTTTTTAAAAAAAGAATAAAACTAAAAATGAGATGTTTTCCAGTAAAGGACCCAGGAGTCAGATGGAAAGGATTATGTCAAGCTATGTAAAGAGCATATAGCTAATAGGTCATAGCCGCTAAGAAAAATAGGGGAATCTGGGTGTAAAGGTAGAGAAATAGACACAAAAGATATCTTTTTTATTTTGTTACTCATGGCCAATGACCTATGTAAGGGACTACTAAGTGAACCTCCACACTGAATCCCCAGGCAAAAGAAAAACCGTTTAACGAAGAGTTATATTATCTGTTTTTCTTCTTCATTTTCTTTTCTTCTTCTTTTTTTTAAGTAAGTATAGATATTCTCATACTTTCAGGATGGACTTTTTTTTGAAATAGAAGCATTATTTTGACATTAATCTGACAATAACCAATATTCAATTCCCTGAAAAATATGAGGTTAAAAATGGGCATTTTGGTGTGACCAATTTGACAATTGATAGCCACACAAAAACTTAGACTAGTTGTATCATTGTTTTTTATTGTTTTTTTTTCTTGAAACACTATAATAATTAAATAGTGATCAGAAATACATGTATGTAGTGTACATATACAGTGTGTATATGCACACACATATGTACACATATATATTTTTATACTTCCTACTACTCCTATATAACTTTAAAAGGCCAGAGAGGTAACAGGAATTTAATTAGATTTCCTGAGCCCCTTTCCTTCAACTACAAATGAAGCCAATAAAATCCACTTCTTAGTGCTGGTATGAGGATTGTGGCTTCCCTATGTGCCAGTTACTCTTCCTTGTCTCAACAGAGAGAGCATCTGGCACATACAATTATTATCCTCCATTATTTGATTATAAGCTTTACTTTCAACCTCTGCAAAACCAAAAGAAAGCCTGATTTCATTGCAAACTTTCACTGTTGAAATGCCGGAGAGGCTCAGATTGGCGCACTTTATCATTATACAGAACAGTTGCAAATCTTAAATGAACACGTCAATTATTCATGAGCCTGAGGTCGTGAATGCCAACTGTAAATTATTAATCAGCTGATGTAAATATTTTAAAACCCTGGTGAGAAACACATTCTGTGAAAGCATTTCTGCAGTGGAGTGGATAAATACCAGTTTTTATAGCAAAAGGTGATGGTCACATAACAGCATTTATTCAAAACTCTGCACACTAGGGTGAAGCACATGGTTCCAAAGCTCCTTTCATTCGGCCCCTATCATATGGGGAAATGCATTTTAAATGCTACTGCTATTAATCCCATGTATTTAACCTTTGCAGTAATCAAATCTATATTTGGTTCTTTAATTCCCTTTATCTTCTCTATAATCCCTTTTAATTTTCATATTGAATGCAACAGAATATCAAAGTATATCTAGGTATCTCCAGTTTTCACTTCAACAAGTTACTTAATGAAGACCAGCAACATTAAAAATGGCTCTATTTTAGGTGACTTAGAGAGATATTCCATTCTACCCAAAGTTTCATTATCTAAGTAAAAATTTTTCTCCATTTCTGTATCTTTATTGTTCCCTTCCCTGTGACCACTCTGCCATTTCCCCTCCTCTGCCCATTGAATCTTACTCATCTTAAGTTGCTGTTTCTTTTTTTGATGTGCCCTATGTGACTATACATCTCAGTGGGAATGAACCACTCCTCACATTTATTTTATTACAATTTTCCCAAATAAAGTTTTAATTCACTGAGGGCTGTATCTTCTTCACATCCACAAATAACCCACAATAAACACAGAAGTTGCTCAGTTAATGTTTGCTGAATCTTGCAAAATGAATGTTTGGATAAATTAATGTACATATTCCAAACATCCTTAATTGGCAGATACCCACATTGGATCTGAAATTAGGTTTTTTTCCTCTTTTATCTATGGAGCCAAGTACCCTGATGATCAAGAGCCTTGGTGCTGAAGCCGGAATAGAAAAGTGTGATGTTTGGCTTTCCTTATTGGGCTGCTGTGAGGTTTACGTGAAATATTATGAGAGGAATACTTCACTCAGTGCCTGGTCTGTCGTAGGTGGTTGAGAGTTATAGTGCTTGTTGTTCTATGCGTTACTATTATCATTTCTGTGAGACTGATTTATGGTGATAATAATAATAATAATGATAATGATAATGATAGGTAATAATGATAATGATAATGATAGGTATCTACCGAGTCGCTAAAATTTCAGTTGCTCTGATGACCCAGTATTCTTGCTAAATTCTTCACTTGAATTAAGTTTCTCTACATAGCTCAAGCCATAGGAGTTCAAGTCTAAAAGTTAGTGTTGTTACAGAAACAAACAAAACACCAGTTGAACTCCTTAAATTACAACCTCACTCAATCCCGCAATACAAATCCAATGTTTTTTAAATTCGACTAACTAGCTCAGAAATGTCCCTGACAATTATCTTATTGTTAAAATGGAGGAGTGGTTTTTCCAATCCAGTATCTTACATGCAAAAAAAAAACCACACTGGACTTGATAGTGTTTTTCATTGTTTCATCTAAAATAAAAAGCTTAAGCACAAATTTCATTTTTGTGATTAGGCAGAGAATATAGGCCAACAGCTGAGAGTGCACACTCGGGCTTTGAATCCAGTCTACCACTCACCAGCGCACAGCCTCAGAAGGCTCCTTAACTTCTTGGTGCCAACATTTTTCTATTGTAAAACTTGAAAGCTACTATTAGTCCTTGACTTATGAAAATGCTTGGAAGATACATTGAGAACAGATTGTGGTGGTGTGTGTTACGCAAATATTAGCTTTTGTGATTATTAATGACTCTCAAATTCAGACAGGAATTGTTTGGGAACCGAATCGAATGACAGCAGTACAGATTCAAGGGTTTTTTTTAAATTCCCATTAAATCTTTACTAAAATGATACTGAGAGATCTTAAAATGTAGAAAGAGTCTTTTGTTAGGACAAATTCCCTATATAAATAGGGTACTGGGTTTTATTAAAACACCTACCTTTTGCAATTGGTATGCGAATGTTTTGATAGTGCCTTCCACTGGATCTTTTATTAGGAAACCAATGCAAATGTTGTAGTGTTTCATAATACATTTGGTCTGATTCAATATAAAACAATATTTTCTGATATTTAATTTATTACTTAAGATTTTCCATAAAACATCAAGTAAATTGAAGATACAAGTGTACTCAGGTCCACAAAGCTACATGAACAAACTATCCACTGCTTGCCAGTAGACCTGTCTTTATAAACCTCAAACTTGGCTTTCACTAAAGCGCTAAATAAGAGACCACTCTATGGGGCCAGGCATGGTGGCTCACGCCTGTAATCCCAGCACTTTGGGAAGCCAAGGTGGGCGGATCACCTGAGGTCAGGAGTTCGAGACCAGCCTGGCCAACATGGCAAAACCCCGTCTCTACTGAAAATGCAAAAGTGAGCCAGGCATGGTGGTGGGCTCTTATAATCACAGCTACTAGAGAGGCTGAGGCAGGAGGATCACTTGAACCCGGGAGGCTGAGGTTGCAGTGAGCCGAGAACATGCCACTATACTGCAGCCTGGGCAACAAGAGCGAAACTCCATCTCAAAAAGAAAAAAAAAAAAGAAACCACTCTATGTGAACGCCCTTTGGATTTTACAAGAAACTATTGGCTACAAGATTATTCACACTGCTCAGGAATCCACCAAGTAACCCCTATAAATTTCTCTCATAGAGCGAGGCCACGAAAAAAAAATTAAGCCTTTTTTTTTTTTTTAAATAAACTGTTGTGCTCCCTAAAGCTAGTTATGAGGACTACACCATAGCTCATTTGGAGACTCCAGGAAAGTGGGATGTGTGTTTTGTGTTCTTCTGGCCGTCCTTCAATATACTTCCAATTTCCTGTGGGTTTCCATATGTGGGTTTCTGTACTTGGTGATTTCTTGGCTTTGATATTATTTTCATTGTGTTTGGATCTGTACCACCTTCAATTTGTATGGATCAGTTAATTTTCACATATAATTCTTAAAGCAAGTGCCATTAGGCTATGATTTAATATTTTATCTTTTCAAATAGTCAAATATTTTGACCAATATACTTTAGGGTAAGCCTGTTCCAGACTCTTCATAGTTAGGAGAGAATATAATTGTGGAGGATAACACAAAGACAGTATTTAGGGCCGCATGACAGAACAAGCTGGAGCCCTGCACCTGGTTCCATCTGCTAACAACAGGAGAGGACCAGAATTATAATAAATGTGCCTGCTCTTGGTTAATATAGAGATTCTTGATTTAAGGATATTGATTCTGGGCTACCACCTGAGACTAAACAGCAAATACCATCTGATATATTAAGCTCCTGCCTCTTGACGTGGCTAAGCAGGTGGCAGCTTTGAATCAATAGCTTGTGTTCACATTGCAGCTGTTATATTGGACTGAGCTGGAATGTCTCATGTGAGATGAAATAAACTTCTGTAATCATATTCCTCATCCTCACCTCTGCTGCCACTGATGATGTTGGTCCCTAGAAATATGCCGTAATTCACAACCTTGTCAATACAGGATTATTTTCTTAAATCAATAGGATATTGTCTTAGTTCTTTTTGGGGTGGGTTAAATATGATCTCTATAAAGCTAGATCAATTTCCGAATGCTTTTTCAGAGAAAAAGGAAAATCACAAAGTATCTGTTAACGGTTTTGCTTAAGATACATATGGCAAAATACATTTTTCTTCAGTGCAATATAAATCTGGAAAATGACCAAAGTTCAGGATAACAGACAAACTTGACTGGACTCCCTTTGGCCAGGTCAGGCCACTAGAACAGTAAAATGGGATTCCCACATACAGAAATCCACAGGATCCCTAAACACATAAAATGAAGGAACAGTTAGCTAAACTCCCTTGAAGATTTACTCCTATCCACTTGCAAGATTGGCAAAATCAAGAAGAATATTAATAACTGCAAAGAGACGTTTTTAGTCAAAAGTCAAGAAAGTAGGCTTAGAGGAGGATTTGGAGCCTAGGTGTTTTCAAAATACATGAAAGATTACTTCAAATATAGAAGTGGATTCACTCCATCCAAGAAGGAGGCTGGGTCTGCTCAAGACGGGAGTGACATGGGAGGGACAGAACAAAGTGAGCGAGGCTCCAGCCCGCAATGCCCTGCACCGGGAGACACTGACTGCAGCTGCCATGTGGCTCAGTATGAGTGCCCAGCTGCAGACTGCTATGGATGGGTTACTGAAGGACCTCAGAGCCACACTCACACTGTCCCTTCTAGTAACTTCTCTATGTGCAAATGTACAAAATGAGGGGGGAGGTTATGATAAGAACAAGATGTCTCTTTCAGTTTTTCACATCTGTCCTATTGAGTCAATGACGACATCCTTTTCAATAAAAAGGGTGAATAGTAATATCAGAGTCTCCAACGGCCTCACCTGGTTCTTCCACCCCCGCTACCTGCTCCTCTCTCCCACGCATCTCTGAAAGTGGAAACCCCATGCTTCCAGTTGCCTGGGAAGAAGTGTTGGGCCAGTTTCTCCCTTCCTCTCACCCTGTGTCCAGTCCACCAGCAAATTCTATTGTCTTTACTTTCAGAGCACTCGAGGGTGTGACTGGCTGACGCCACCCTGCTGCCCTCTGCCCACATCTCTGTCACACCCGAATGGGTTCCTCCTGTGGGGACCTGCTTTTCTGCTTCTATCTCTGCATGGTCATCAGATTTCTCCCCTAAAGGCTGTGTCAGACCACGTCACTCTTGCAGAATCTCCTCCAATGGCTCCCCATCTCCGTTGGGAAAACCATAGTCTCACGATGACCAACAAGGTCCCCATGCAATATGGCACCGCTGCCCACACCTCTGCCACCTCATCACCTCCCATTACTCACTGTCCTTAGGCACAAAGGCCCACATCTCCCTTGCCAAGCACACTCCCCTCGCCTGAGGCACTTGGACCTGCTGTTCTTTGCCCCTGGAGTGCTGTCCCCCATAGATCGGCTTGACTTCTCTGTTAAAATGCTGCTGCCTCCCTGAGGCCTTCCCTGGCCATCCATATGAAGGAGAAACTCTCCTTGGTTTACATGATCTCCTTTCACTATTTTCTCCCCTAGCAGCTTTCAATACCTGGCTGCCGGCTTGTTGCTTTCTGTTGTTATTGCCTGACATATCCCCAGTGCAGGTAGGAGGGACTGGAAGTCATAAGTACTTAGGAAATACGGGTTCAGTGAATGAATAGAGGCAGGTGTTTTTCTTTATAGCCTACAGGCCATTTACAGAAATGATTATTCCATAAAAAGCACCACAACGTGGCAATATAATATGCTGTGTGTGGGTGTGTGTATATCTTGTGGAACCTCAAATTCAGGATTATATACCTGATGTGCAGCTGAGGCCAAACACTGAGTCACAGGTGCTTAGAGATAAAAACTTATTTGATTTGGCCAAAGTGAGAAGGTGAATGGACAAGATCCCTCAAACCCATCTTAACAAAAAGAAGAAGCAGGGAGTTTTTATGCAGCAGGAGAATAAGGTAGGGGAGTTTCAGGAATCCAGGGGAAAAAGTCTGGTTCATCATAGATAAAACCTTGAGCAACAAGACTTCTGGGCATCAACAGCTGGTTACAATGTCCTTCAGGGCGTTCATTCCTTCCGCAGACTTTTTTGTGACCCTGAAGTTATTTCCTCCAGCTTGACAAAGAAACAGGACATCAGCAGTTTATATTTATATTGTAGGAACATAGAATGTTGGGCAAAAAGTGAGCAGTTAACCTGTGCCATCAAGCAAGGGCCTGATCAGAATTTTCATGATTTCAGTGACTAAAAAAATCTGTGTTGCTGAAATCCCAAAGGGTCCAGTTACATGTATGTGTGTGTGTGTGTATGTATATATGTATGTGAACATGTATATATAACTTCATGATGATAAATACCTGAAATAATTATCATTTTATAATTGCCCCTACTCCACACTTACATTGGAATCAAAGCATATTATAGGCCATTCTTCAAGAATGTTTTATATAAATCTGGGTGCTCCTGTGTTGGGTACATATATACTTAGAAGAGTTAAATCTTCTGATTGAATTGAACGCTTTACCATTATGCAATGCTCATCTTTGTCTTTTTTTATTATTATTGGTTTAAAGTCTGTTTTGTCCAAAATTAAAATAGCAACCCCTACTTTTTCTTTTGTTTTGTTTTCTAGTTTCTTGGTAGATTTTTCTTCATCTCTTTACTTTGAGCCTATGGGTGTCATTGAATTGAGATGGGTCTCTTGAAGACAGTATACAATTGGGTCTTGCTTTTTATGCAACTTGCCACTCTGTGACTTTTAAGTGGGGCATTCAACCCACTTATGTTCAAGGTTAATATTGATATGTGAGGATTTGATCTTCTTATCATTATATCAGCTAGTTATCACACAGCCTTGATTATTTGGTGTTTTAAAATAGTGTCAATGGTCTATGTATTTAAGTGTGCTTTGTGTTGGCTGATAATGGTCTTTCTTTTCCATTTTTAGCACTCCTTTAAAGACCTCATGTAAGGACAGTCTGGTGGTAATGAATTCCCTTAGCATTTGCTTATCTGAAAATGATCTTATTTCTCCTTTGCTTATGAAGCTTAGTTTGGCTGGATATAAAATATTTGGTTGGAATTTATTTTCTTTAGGAATGCTGAATATAGGTTCCCAATCTCTTCTGACTTACAGGGTTTCTGCTGGAAGATCTACTGTCAGCCTGATAGGGTTCCCTTTGTAGGTGACCTGCCCCTTTTCTCTAGCTTCTTTTAATACTTTTTTCTTTCATGTTGACCTTGGAGAATCTGATGACTATGCGTCTTGGAAATGGTCATCTTGTATACTATCTCACAGGGGTTATCTACACTTTCTGAATTTGAATGTTTGCCTCTCTAGTGAGGTTGGGTAAATTTTATGGACAATATCCTAAACTATGTTTTCAAGTTGGTTGCTTTCTCAGCTTCCCTTTCAGAGATGCCAATGAGTCACAGATTTGTCTTTTTACATAATCTCAGATTTCTTGGAGGCCTTGTTCATTCTTTTTAATTCTTTTTATTGATTTTCATCTGACAGAGTTGATTTGAAGAACTAGTCTTTGAGCTCTGAGATTCTTTTCTCAGGCTGGTCTATTCTGCTGTTAATACTTGTGATTGTATTGTGAAATTCAGCTCTATCAACTCAGTTTGATTCTTTCTTATGAAGACTATTTCATCTTTCATGTCTTGTATTGTTTTATTGGATTCCTTAGGTTTTTTTGGATTGCGTTTTGGCATTCTTCTGAATCTCAGTGATCTTCGTTCCTATCCAGATTCTGAATTCTATACCTGTCATTTCAGCCAGTTCAGTCTGCTTAACAACCATTCCTGTGGAATGAGTGTGGTTGTTTGGAGGTAAGAAAACAGTCTGGCTTTTTGAGTAGCCAGAGTTCTTGTGCTGTTTTTTTCCTTATCGGTGTAGGATGATGTTCCATTAACCTTTGATTTTGATGTCCTTTGGATTGGGATTTTTTGCTTTTTTATTACTTGATGCTCTTGAGGGTTTGATTGTGGTATAAGGTAGAATCAGTTGACTGGCTTTGTTTCAGGGAGAATTCAGGGGACCAGGGCTCAGCTCATCACTCTTGGGCTGCATGAGCTAATGCCGGGGGGCTAGTACCACATCCCCAGCTTTGTTCTCTGTCCCCTTGAAGTTAGGAACCCGCTGCACTGGGAAGGTCGAGGTGTTCCCTCCCAGTCTGCTGGCAACAACACTCCGATGGGGGGCCCACTAAAGTGCTTCATCAGGGTGGTAGCAGCAACACCTACAAAGAGACTGAGATAACAACATCATAATATAAGTAGACTTCAATACTCCACTGACAGTATTAGACAGATCAACAAGGCAGAAAACTAACAAAAATATTCAGAACCTGAACTCAACACTTGATCAGATAGACATAATAGACATCTGCAGAACTCGTCACCAAAACCCAACAGAATATACATTCTTCTCATCTGCACATGGCACATGCTCTAAAATTGACCAAAAAATGGCCAGAAAACAATTCTCAGCAAATTTTAAAAAATGGAAATTATACCAACCACATTCTTGCACCATAGTACAATAAAAATAGAAATTAATGTTAAGAAGATCACCCCAAGCCATACAATTACATGGAAATTAAATAACCTGTTCCTGAATGACTTTTGGGTAAACCATACAATTAAGGCAAAAGTCAAGACATTTTTTGAAACTAATGAAAACAAAGATACTACATACCAGAAGCTCTAGGACACAGCTAAAGTAGTGTTTATACCATTGTTTATAGCACAGTGTTTATAAGAAAGTTCATAGCACTAAACACCCACATCAAAAAGTTAGAAAGATCTCAAATTAACTGCCTAACATCACACTTGAAGGAACTAGGAAAACAAGAGCAAACCAATCTCAAAGCTAGAAGAACAGAAGAAATAACCAAAATCACAGCTGAACTAAATGAAACTGAGATGCAAAAAAAAAAAAAAAATCATACAAAGGATAAATGAAATTGGAAGTTGGTTATCTTGAAAGAAAAAATAAGATTGATAGAGCACTAGCTAGACTAATAACGATAAAAAGAGGGAAGATCCAAACAAATACAATTAGAAATGACAAAGGGGACATTAACATTGACCCCACGAAAAAAATTACCCTCAGAGACTATTACAAACACCTCTATGCACAAATACTACAAAGCTACAAGAAATGGATACATTCCTGGAAACATACAACCTCCCAAGACTGAACCAGGGAGAAATTGAAACCCTGAGAAGATCAATAATGAGTTCCAAAATTGAATTAGTAATGAAAAGCTTAGCAACCAGGGAATACCCCGAACCAGATGGATTCACAGCCAAATTCTTCCAGATGTATAAAGAAGAGCTGGTATCATTCCTACTGAAATTATTCCAAAAAATTGAGGAGGAGTAGCTCCTCTCTAATGCATCCTTTGAAGCCAGCATGATTCTGATACTAAAACCTAGCAGAGATGCAACTAAAAAAAAAAAAAATAGGCCAGGCATGGTGGCTCACGACTGTAATCCTACCACTTTGGGAGGCCGAGGCTAGCAGATCACGAGGTCAGGAGACCAAGACCATCCTGGCCAACATGGTAAAACCCTGTCTCTACTAAAAATACAAAAAAAAAAAATGCTGGGCATGATGACAAGGGCCTGTAGTCCCAGCTACTTGGGAGGCTGAGGCAGAAGAATTGCTTGAACCTGGGAGGCAGAGTTTGCAGTGAGCCAAGATCACGCCACTGCACTCCAGCCTGAGTGACAGAGAGAGACTCTGTCTCAATAATAATAATAATAATAATAATAATAATAATAATGATGATGATGATGATGTCAGGCCAGTATCTTTGATGAACATAGATGCAAAAGTCCTCAGCAAAACACTAGCAAAGCAAATACAGCAGCACATTAAAAAGCTAATCCACCATGATTAAGTAGGCTTTATTCCTGGGACACAAGGTTGGTTTAACATGCACAAATCAATAAATGATTTATGGTTCAACAACAGATGGTTCAGCACATGCAAATCACATAAAGAGAAATAAAAACAAAAACTCCATGATCATCTCAATAGATACAGAAAGGCTTTTAATAAAATTCAACATCCCTTTATCCCTTCAAAACCTTCGAAAAAGTCAGCATTGAAGAAACGCATCTCAAAATAACAACAGCCATCTATGACAAACCCAAGCCAGCATTAGACTGACCAGGCAAAAGCTGGAAGCATTCCTCTTGAGAACCAGAATAAGATGAGAATGTCCACTCTCACCACTCCTATTCAACGTAGTACTAGAAATCCTAGCCAGAGCAATCAGGAAAGAGAAAAAAAAAGGCATCCAAATAGGATAACAGAAAGTCAAACTAGCCCTGTTTGCAGATGATATGACTTTGTATCTAGGAAACCTCATAGTTTCTGTCCAAAAGCTCCTAGATCTGATAAAAAACTTCGGCAAAGTTTTGGGATACAAAATCAATGTACAAAAATCAGTAAGATTTTAATATACCAACAATGTCCAAGCTGAGGTCCAAATCAAGAATGCAATCCCATTCACAATAGCTACAAAAAAATAAAATACCTAGGAAATACAGCTATCTAGTGAGGTGAAAGAGCTCTGCAATGAGAATAACCAAATGCTGTTCAAAGAAATCAGAGATGAGACAAGCAAATGGAAAAACACGCCATGCTCATTAATTGGAAGAATCAATATTGTTAAAATGGCCTTATTGCCCAAAGCAATTTACAGATTCAATGCATTCCTATCAAACTACCAATGACATTCTTCACAGAATTAGAAAAAAAATTGTAAAATTTACATGAAACCAAAAAAGGGCCCAAATAGCCAAAGCAATCGGAACAAAATGAACAAAACTGGAGGCATCACATTGCATAACTTCAAACTATACTACAGGGCTGCGGTATCCAAAACGGCATGATACTGGTACAAAAATGGACACATTGACCAATGAAAAAAATAGAGAGCTCAAAAATAGAGCTGCACATCTACAACCACCTGATCTTCAACAAAGTTGTCAAAAACTAGCAATGGGGAAAGGACCGTCTATTCAATAAATGGTGCTGAGATAACTGGCTAGATATATGCATAAGATTGAAACTGGACCCCTTTCTTTCACCATATACACGAATCAACTTGAGATCGATTAAAGCCTTAAATATGAAACCTAATACTATAAAAATCCTAGGTGAAAACCCAGGAAATACCATTCTGGACATAGGCCCTGGCAAAGATGTCATGATGAAGACACAAATAAATGGGATCTAATTAAACCAAAGAGCTTTGCACAGAAAAAAAAAAAACTATCAACAGAGTAAACGGACAATCTACAGAATGGGACAAAATATTTGCAAACACAAAGAAGGAAAAATAGACACCGGGGCCTATTTGAGGGTAAAAGGTAAGAGGAGGGTGAGGATCAAAAAACTACCTCGTACTATGCTTATCACCTGGTTAAGGAAATAAACTGTATATTAAACCCCCAAGACACAGAATTTACCTATATAACAACCCTGCACATTTACCCCTGAACCTAAAACTTTTTTTAAAAAAAATAATGTTTTGTAAATGTTTCATAACAGTCCTTACACTGCTTTTCCATTTTATCTAACTTTATTTCTGCTCTAATTTTTTATCTACTTTTGATGAACATTTGTGCTTTCGTGTGAGGTACACAGAGCAGCATAGATATAAAATTTCATCTTTGCATCCTTGCATAGAATCTCATCATTTTGTACTTGCCTCTGTGTCTTTGCCAAATGCAAACGCTTTGTCCCTGCTTCTGAATGTCTTGCTATAACTTCAGACACAACACAATGAAAACAGCTGCTTCTTCTTGTGTGATGGCCTCTCCCACATCACACCCCTTTCACATCCAGGCTTCATTTGTCCAACAGCAGCGGTGAGCACATGGGCAACTCTGTCAGAGGATCCCCCAGCCCTTGTAAACTAGGCGAAAAAAACAGGTTAGAAGAAATTGTGACAAGTTATAAGTAGGAAACAAGAACCTGAGTTAAAGACAAAACAAGCTTTAGAGAAAGGGCTTGGAAGACTTCATTAAGAAAATTATATTTAAGCTGAAACCAGAGGAATAGTAAGGAAAAATAGAAATTCAATAAGTGGGGGTGGGAGGTAGGTATTTTTTAGACAGAGAAAACAGTACGTCCTAAATCAGGAAAGAGCTTGGTGACAGCTTGGAAAGGAAAAACCAATATGACTTGAGACAGTTGGGTAAGAAAGAAGGTAACATAAAGTAGAAAAGACAGGTAGAGATCAAATTATTCACATTCCTACAGAGAGTTTTGGTTTTATTCTAAGCACAATGTGAAACCTTTGAAAAGTTTTAAGCAGGCAAGTGGCATGATCTGATTTATACTTCAAGAAGATTATCTGCTGTGTGGAGAACAGATCGAAGGAAGCAAAGGAACAGAGAAGACTGTGTTAGGAGGTTGGCAACAGGCCAAGTGGAAGATGGGCAAGGTGGATGCTGTGGTGATGCAGAGGCGTGGGGAGACTTAAGACATCATTTGAGAGGACATATGGAGGAGGTGTGTGAGGGCAGATGAAGAGTTAACTATGTGACAGATTAGAATGCGACACCTGGGGGAAACTCCAGTGGAGATGTCAAGAAGGCACCTGAAGATAGAGGAAACGTCCAGGATGGAGAATTAAATCAAAAGTCAGCTGATAGGGAATATTTAAATCCATGGGAATAAGCAATAAAAGGTAGGGAGAAGGTATGGACAGGACAAACGCTAGAAGAATAGTAAAAGGGCAAAGCTGAGAATAAGGACAAGGCAAGGAGACAAGGAAGGAGCAGCCGCTGGCCAGAAGGACCCCCAGGGAGTGTCATTGCTGAGGTCAAGAGGGAGAAGGAAATTTCAACAATGACCTGCAATAGACAACTTCGAATAATGCAGGACCAGGGTATCTATGAGTCTGAAAATAGAGCAATTGTTCATGACCTGGAAAACTGCAGTTTTGGTAGAGTGAAACAAGTAGAAGCAGAACAGATGCAGAATGAAAGAGACAGAAGTGTAGATTGGGAGTAGACACCTTTAATATATGCCTAAGTTCTTCTAAAAAAGCAAGACATAAGAGGAGACAAAGGTATGGGAAAGCAGTTTAAAACAGGCACAGGGCCAAAAGAGATGTTTTTAATGTTGGAAGAGAGAAAAACATATTGTATAATGATAGGAATAATTAGAGGGAGGGCTGATGATATAGGAAAGAGTGGGCTTATAGTTGAAGAAGAAATGGTTTTGAGAAGTAAGGGTGGGATGGGGACAGGAAGGGATCAGCCTTTGAAAGAGGAGAATAAAAAGACGGAGCAAATACAGGTGGAACCATGCAATGGGGAATATAACTGAGTTTGTGGATGAGGATATCAACGTTTTAGTGAAGTATTAGGTTAAGTCACCAGCTAACAGAGAAGATGGAAGTGCCTATGTGGGGGTGGAGAAGGCTTTACGGAAGAGGGAAATACATGAATAGCTCCAACAATAAGAAGTCTAGCCTAGTTGAGAAATACAGTAAAGATTAGTGGCCAGCCTGGGAGCCTATTCAACATTAGTGGTGGCAAAGTTAGTCATAAGACCAGTCAGCTCAGTTTTGGGATCTCTTGACAACATTCTGCTGCTCACGTGCAGGCATAGGAAAATAAGAAAATGGCCGGGCATGGTGGCTCACACCTATAATCCCAGCACTTTGGGAGGCAGAGGCGGGCAGATCATGAGGTCAGGAGTTCGAGACCAGCCTGGCCAATATGGTGAAACCCCATCTCTACTAAAAATACAAAAATTAGCTGAGTGTGGTGGCACGTGCCTGTAGTCCCAACTACTTGGGAGGCTGAGGCAGAAGAATCACTTGAACCCAGAAGGGAGGTTGCAGTGAGCCGAGATTGCACCATTGCACTCCAGCCTGGGCGACATAGTGAGACTCTGTCTCCACAAAAAAGAGAGAAAGAAAGAAAAGACGAAAACATAGTTTAAGACCAAGTGTAGTGGCTCATACCTATAATCCCAGAACTTCGGAGGTCGAGGTGGATGGATCGCTTGAGGCCAGGAATTGGAGACTACCCTGGGCAATATGGCAAAACCCTATCTCAACGAAAAATACAAAAATTAGCTAGGTGTGGTGGTGCACACCTGTAGTCCCAGCTACTCAGGAGGCTAAGGCAGGAGAATTGCTGGAACCCGGGAGGCAGAAGTTGCAGTGAGCTGAGATTGCACCACTGTACTCCAGCTTGGGTGACAGAGTGAGACTCTGTCTCCAAAAAAAAAAAGAAGAAGAAGAAGAAAGAAAACATAGTTTAAGTGGTTGGAGTTTCATGCTGTTTCATTGATGAGGAAAGGAGCAAGATGGTTGAAGGCAGTTGCAATAGAAAGACTAATTATAGTTTTGGTACATTGATTATCTCAGCTGAAGAGGACCTGTCTAACTCAAGGTCACACCCCTTTCTGAGGGGTCCCACAGTCAATGACTGATCCACATAGAGGTATGAAGGCCCAACCCTCTGGCCTAGCTCAAGATAGCACTGAATGGCCACCCCATTTTCTAAACTCCCTGCACGGCAGACGAAGGCTTTCACTGAGGCTGAATCACAACTCAGCTTCTCCCTCTGCTCCATCCTGCTCCCTTCACAGGTATTGATCCCAGCAGCTTTCTCCAATAGTCTTTTGCATGCTAATGTTCATCTCAGGGTCAGTTTCCTGGGAGGACCAAACCTACACGCAGCTGTCTCCAAATTCAATTCAACATACGAATGGCTCTTGCATGGCTATTGGCAGCCATCACTTCTCTCTTAAGCTCCAGACTCTCCAAGTCTCCTTCCAGCATTTTTCTATAATACTATTAAATCCAAAAATTAATATTTCCAATATAGAATTCTTTATTTTACCATTTCTAAAACCCAGTCCTTCCCATGACTTCCTCTTCTTGATCAATGATGTCACCATGGATCCAGTTGTCTAGCCAAAACTCACATCAGTCTCAACGCCTCTTTCTCAATCTCCACATCACATTGTCTTCCAGCCCTGTTGACTCTACCTGCAGAGTATATCTCAGGTAAGCTTCACTTTTGATTCTTTCCTCTGCTGTTCTCCTGGTTCAAGCCTGATACACCCCTGCCTGGACTCCCCCAAGAGCTGCATAATTGTTCTCCGCCTGCCGCTGCTGCTCCCTTCACTTATTCTACAGCATTCAGAACCTAGCTGTAAAATAAAATTAAAAGCAGGATTCATGGTTTCTGAGCTGCCAAATTATGCAAGAGCTTCCCACTGCCCCAGCCATGGTGCAAAGTCTCTTAATGACCTGGGCTCCCATGCCTCCTTGGCCTCTCCCACCATTTTCTCCTTCCTCCATCGGCTCCAGCCACATTGGCTTCTAACTGTTCTTGAACACTCCATGCTTGTTATGACCTCAGAGGCTTTGTGTGTGCTGTTACCTCTGTTTAGAATGCTGTTCTGCCAGATCACTGTAGGACCCACTCCTTCAACAGATTTATGCTTCAAGGGGTTCCTTCTGCACAGAGGCTGCCTGAGTGCATCCTACCAGAAATAGCACCACCGTGGCCCCACATGGTGGCTCACACCTGTAATCCCAGCACTTTGGGAGGCCAAGGCGGGTGGATCACCTGAGGTCAAGAGTTCGAGACGAGCCTGGCCAACATGGCAAAACCCCGTCTCTACTAAAAATACAAATATTAGCCTGGCATGGTGGCAGGTGCCTGTAATCCCAGCTACTTGGGAGGCTGAAGTAGGAGAATCACTTGCACCCAAGAGATGGAGGTTGCAGTGAGCCAAGATCACACCACTGCACTCCAGCCTGGATGACAAGATTAAAACTCCATCTCAAAAAAAATAAATAAATAAAATAAAATAAAAATTGCACCACTGTTATCTGCCAGCTCCTTCCTTGCTTTATTCTCCAGTATAGCATGTGGTCACTGCCTCAAATTGTCTTGCTCATTATTTGTCTTTCCCCTGAGACTCTAAGCTCCATGGCACTACATAAAAACAGATATGTTCTCTGTCATGTTCACCGCAGTATCCTCCACATCGAGAACAATTCCTGGAGCAAAAGATACATTCATTAATATTTATTAAATAAATGTATGAATGAACAAGTGGATAGGTCCCATATTAAAATTCTGCTATAGCAAAAGTGAGAATTTGTTAAGCTCAACCCAGAAATGATCCCAGACCATGTTTTAGAACTTTGAATGATTTTAAGTCAATTTCACATGGAATGCTTGAAGAGATTCAAACTTGGCTTTTGACAAAAACTTCTGGTCTCACAAATGATGGCCTGGTAAACCAACTGTATACAGCAGTGAGATGTAGGATTATCAGATTTTAAAAACAGAATGTTCAGTTAAATTTGATTTTAGATAATGAGATAATTTTTTAGTATAAGTATGTCCCATAGAATATTTTGGATAGTCTTACACTAAAAAGATTTATTGTTTATTTGAAAGTCAAATTTAAATAAGCATCTTTTATTTTTATTTGCCAAATCTGAAAACCTAGTGAAGTAGCCACCCAGCAAAACAAAAACACCTCATTTCTTACAATGAACCATCATCTTGTCCATTAGAACCCTGGTATTTCCTTGTGGGAGCATTTCTAAATATACAACATTAATTTCTTGCTCTAAACTTCAGTTGCAAAGTGTCAGCTATGCAGTTTCTACCAAAACCCCATTAGGACAGTTAATACCATAAAGAAGGATTTAGAAGCTATGTTAATGATTTATTTTCTCAAGATAATTTTTGCTTTACTATATTAAACACATCACTAGAAAATATCAACCTGGAACATTTTTACTTTTGCTCCCAATAGAATTCCCTTTAAAGGGTAAATTATATTTATATGCAACATTGTTGGTGCTCGGTAAAGACTTACGTAGCCTGGGCATTTTCTATCTTCCCCTCCAAAACTGCTATTCTTCTTGCCTGGTTCCCTATCCCCGGAGGTGGTCTTCTGTGGACTATAGTTAAAGTCCCCAGACTTCCTGTTGGAGTCAGCCAGAAAGGTACCCCAGAAGGAGATCTGAGGGGCAGAGAGGCATGAAGGCAAGGTTTTGATACCCTTGGCATTCCTCATGGTGCTGGGGGGTGAGGATTTGCCTGCTGCAATCCTCAAATAAACGACACATCACTTCTCAAGATGGCCATTGCTGTATTATCATCTATTTCCAACTTCCAATAACCACTGCCTCCCCTTATCCCTTCATGCCTATGGGTGGTGATGGACAGCCTCGACCGTTGCATCAGACCTGGGCCACCATACCATCCTGTGGCTTCCGCCCACCTGCATCCTTTGCAAATGCAGTCGTATGTTACACAGCAACATTTCAGTCAAGAAGGCTCAAGTATATGACAGTGGTTTCATAAGATTGTAATGGAGCTGAAAAATTCCTATAGCCTAGTGATGTTATAGCCTTTATAACATCACAGCATAATTACTGTATAATTGTTATAAATTCAGCATAGCCTAAGTGTACGATGTTTATAAAGTCCAGTGTAGTGTACAGTAATGTCCTAGACCTTCACATTCACTCACCACTCACTCACTTACTCACGCAGAGCAGCTTCCAGTCCTGGAAGTCCCATTCATGGAAAGTGCCCTATACATGTATACCTTTTTTTTATCTTTTATATCACATTTTTACTGTGCCTTTTCTATTTAGACGCACAAATACCTACCATTGTGTTATAATTCTCTGTGTAATATTACACAGCATTCAGCAGAGTAACATGCTGTACAGGTTTATAACTGAGGAGCAATAGGCTTTACCATATAGCCTAGGTGTATAGTAGACTAGACTATGTAGGTTTGAGTAAGTCACTCTATTATGTTTGAACAATGATGAAATCGCCTAATGATGCATTTTCCAGAACACCTCCTCATTGTTAAGCAATGCATGGCTGTTCTATAATTTAAAGGGTGAAGGGGGATATTAATAAAGAGACAAACTGGATGAGCCATCTCTTTCCTGTCAGATTTTTGACTTATACACTCTCAAAGTACCGAACATCCGTGGAATATTTTTTTATTTTATCAGGTATTTGATACTGAGGACAGCATTCATCACATTCTTCTATGTCCCTCTCAGAAAATGTTTCCCTCTCACGATGGAGTAGAGAGACATCCCATTGTTATTTTTCTATTCAATTCCTTGTCACCTCTACTAGGCCTTAAGCCACACTGTATTTGTCTAACTTTCTGTTGCAGGAGGATATGGGGAGAAAAAAAACCCCAGCAGGGAATGAAGGAGTCTGTCCCCGAAGCTCTTCTGTTAGTAATGGGTGTGTAATAGGCATAGACTATCTACCTGTGTCTGAGCGAACAGTCATTAAATAGTGAACTATATCATAGATGATGAAGGCTGCAGGATCCTTACGTTGCCCTTTCTGCCTTGACTGCTGAGAAACTACGAAGTTGCTTAAGTTGGGATATTAAAATGTAATTTCTCTTCTCCCTTTTCCTTCTATTTGTAGTGTGTATCTCGGTGTGTGTCTGTTTATAATGTAGGTTTTCCTGTATTTTTACTTACAGAAAAAGTTGTCTTGGTGTCATTTTTGGAATTAGAAGGGCATATATATATATACACACACATATAGTTTTATTATAAGTTCAGGAGTACATGTGCAGGTTTGTTACACAGGTAAACTTATGTCATGGGGATTTATTGTACAGATTATTTTATCACCCAGGAATTAAGCCCAGTACCCAATAGTTACTTTTCTGATCCTTTCCCTCCTCCCACCCTCCACCCTCCTATAGCCCCCAGCGTCTCTTGTCCCCCTCTCTGTGTCCATGTGTTTTCATCATTTAGCTCCCATTTATAAGTGAAAACATGCAGTGTTTGGTTTCCCGTTCCTGTGTGAATTTGCTGAGGATGATGGTCTCCAGCTCCACCCGTGTTCCCACAAAAGACATGATCGCGTTCTTTTTTATGCCTGCAAAGGCATCTATATTAATGAAGATACAAAGTTACTAAATCCTTTTCTCACTTCCATGACCACAGCAGAGGGGATGACTCTATTTCTTGCTGTTTCTTTCTTTTTCCCCTGTCTTCCATCAGGTAATGTAATATTCTCATACGGACCCTTTCTCAATAAAGACCACCAGGGGTATGTCAGGCACTACCCACCATCAGCTTTCTCCAGAGCGGGGGGGCGCTGAGTGATGGCTGCTGAGGTTGGGTAGAGAGTACAGTTTTTCCAAGACCCAGCATCGCGGGGTTCTCCTTCCCTTCCTGTGCTGACCGTGACAAACATTCAAAACCCTCTCAAAAGAAATATTTTATCCCCCACATTTTCTCCAAAATCTCCCATTATTCCAATGACTCAGCATATCTCACTTCATCCCTTAACTCTTTCTGGGTCAAGGAAGTTAGGACCTTGCCCTCTGATCTTTCTCCCTGCAGCCCTGGTCTGAAAAGGGAACTGGGCGGGCTGGTGTTTCTGCAGCCTTGTGGATCCTGCCTCCGACTCCCACCGCAACACCACGACTGACGCAGACTCGGTGTTCATTGCCATGTCCAGCCGCGGAGCTGTGCTGGGTGGCTGCATGTAGGTTTCCTGCGTTTGTGTGAACCTGCTCTGTGTTTATCTGTATTTCAACCTGACAGTCCATTTATAAACCCTATAAGCCATGGATTATTTTCTGTGTTCTCATTTATAAACACCTTGAAAAGTGTCACAAACGGTTAGGTTTGTAATATGTTTTTCAGGAAGATGAGGATGAGGAGGTTTTACTAGCAATAAGATTACTACTTTGCTATTTTAAAAGAGCAAAATAGTTAATGTTTATACTATTTATTTTACAGTTTAGGTGCTTTAAAAATTTGGGATTAGAAATTTCAACATCATTTATAGTTATATCAAATGGTTTGCTTCCCCGTCCTCCCCCCAAGACTACCATGAATTCTGTTTTGATTTATGTGGAAGAACTAATTGGTCCAGAGCTAAGTCCTTCCTCCCGAATTTGGGGCTGTGACTTTCTTCTTTCTCTTCTGGCCCACATTGCTCCTGGGAACTGTGACCTCTGCAGTGGCATCCTCCTCAGGTTTGTTTGCTGGGAGTTGTTAGAAAACTTAATGACTGAGATAGGGCTTCTAGTAGACTAAAGAGAAATAGTTCAACATCATACGTGTTTATCTCAAAACATGAGGCCTTGCCATGGCCAAAGTTTTAAAGGCATTTACTTACACTTTAGTTTTTTTAAGTTATGGGTTCCTTCAGAAATATCCAGTATTTTTGACAAATTTCTGAAAGCTAACTCATCTTGCTCCTTCTATATAAAATGTCTTTCTATCTATATTTAAGTTAGTTTATTTTGTAATAAATTATCAATTTATTTTATTTGGAAGGTAACTACATCATTACTTGCTACCAGTTTAATTTTTAAATATTTACTATTACTATTTTACTATTTTATTTTTTATTTTAACTTTAACATAGGGTCACTAAAAGGTATTAATAAATTCCTAATGAATATTTTTGGTCTTTTATTTGCTTTGCTTTTATAATTCATACATTATAATGACATGACAGGCATGACTTTCATAACATTAAAGATGTTGTGAACAATGAGAACACATGGACACAGGGAGGGGAATAACACACACTGGGGCCTGTTGGTGGGGATGAGGAGAGGGAGAGTATCAGGAAAAGCAGCTAATGCATGCTGTCTTAATACTAGGTGAAGGGTTGGTAGGTGCAGAAAACCATCACGGCACACCTTTACCTGTGTAACAAACCTGCACATCCTGCACATGTGTCCCAGAACTTAAAGTAAAATAAAAGATTTTTAAAATGCTGATTTTCTTTAAGTGTTTGGAAAGAATGAGTCGATAGTCATATTTACCATATCTATTGATTTTTGGTAAGTGTGATTAAAAAAACCTCATATGATGACTATGGATTTGTTAATCTTTATTTTCAAAATTTATTTTTATAAGTTAATAAATTCTAATTAATTTTAAAATTTAGCTTCAAGTTTTTCCATCAAATTGTGCTTTATGTAAAGGTAAAATCACTAGTTGTATAAAATTCTAAGGGCTGACATTGCTAGGGACAATTGGCAAAGATGTCAATGTAAACACAGACACTCATGGACCCACTGCACTGTTCTAAGGGTTACCTGTATTTGCTGTTTCATCCTCACATAGCTTATGACAGGGTAATTTTATCATCTGTATTTTTTTCCTTGAGGAAATTAAGGCAGGGTAGGTGTCCGTGGCTTATCTTTGATGACACAGGAGAATCAGGAGGGGGTGTGTGTGTGTGTGTGTGTGTGTGTGTGTGTGTGTGTGTCTGTATTGGAGGCTGATGATGGGAATTGGCCCCGGTGGTGATGGAAGCTCAGAAGTCACACCATCATCATGGGCACACTGGGGAGCAGGAGAGCCTGGGATGTAATTCAGCCCTGAAGGCCTGAGAATCGTGGCTTAGATGTCCAATGGCAGGAGAGGATGTCAGCCCCAGCTCAAGGAGAGAGAGAAAATCTGCCCATCCTCCACCTCATTTGTTCTATTTTGGTCCTCATGGGATCGGAGAATGCCACATTGGTGAGAGTGAATCTTCCTCAGTCTCATTTTTCCTGGAAACATCCTCATAGACACACCCAGAAATCAAGTTTAAACAGATTTCTGGGCGTTCCTTAGGCCAGTCAAGTTGACACCTAACATCAACCATCACAAACCCTTAGTCGCCAATGCCACCCATTATGGCTGCATCCATACAGTTTTTATAAGGAATGTTATGCTTACGCACCTATCATATATTTATGTACATGAATTCTATAGAGGCAGCCAAAATACACACACACATATACACATCACATGACTGTAACACCCTTTTATATACATTCTGAGATGTATAGATATACACACAGGTATAGGTACATACATATATACAGATAGATATAGATAATCAGTAGATAGGTAGATAGATAATTCAGACGACTGGATGGAGGGATGCGCAGATGCATGGACGATAGACAGTCAGACACTGGAAATGGTCTCTGGCAGGGAGCCAATGGGGAGTCCCACTTTTTGCCAGGATACATCCATTTTCATGCTGGGGGAAGGTCCACTCTCCAAAGGAAGTGCTGAACTCCAAAAGTGATACCAAAATTGACAACTGAGGTAGTCACACAACATAAAAATATAGCTCCATGGCCATAGCAGATCTTAAAGTGCCACATAATTAAAGAACATTTGCACATTCATTCACTTTTTCATTCATAATTTTTTTTTTTTTTTTTTTTAGATAGGATCTCGCTTAGTCACCCAGGCTGGAGCCCAGTGGCACCATCAACCTCTCCAGGATCAGGCGATCCTCCCACTTCAGCCTCCTGAGTAGCTGGGACTACAGGCATGCACCAACACACCAGGCTAATTTTTGTATTTTTCATAGAGACTGGGTTTCACCATGTTGTCCAGGCCTGTCTTGACCTCCTGGGCTCAAGTGATCCACCTGCCTTGGTGTCCCAAAGTGCTGGGATTACAGGTGTGAGCCACTGCACCCGGCCTCATTCATGAGTTTGACCTGAACGACCGCTGTTTGTCCAGGTCTTGGAGCTGGGAATGTACAGGTGAGTGTGCCACAGGTGAGTGAGCCCTTCTCATAGGGGGAGGAACCCCATGCAGCAGTTATAACAGAGTACGAGCTGTGCAGAAGTAAAAAGAAAGAGGGAGAATCCAACTGGAGGAGGGAAAGATGTCCAAGGGGTGGTAGTGGTAGAGAGGAGTCCTAAAGGAAGAGAGATATGTCCTGGGCAGACAGGAGGGAGATGTCACTGCAGGAAAGAAGAGCCACCCAGAGCCACACACCAGGATGGTGGGCACCCATCCCTACCCTCTACTCTGTTCAGGGAGCCCCTTTTGATGCTTTCTTATAGGGCGTCTTCCTCAAAGGAGGATACTTTAAGAAGTAATTGTCATGCCCGTTAGGGGAATGGCAGAGCTTGGACAGGAGGGCTGTGAGCGGTGGGGTCTATGGCTTGTAGAATGATTGCCTTGGCTCTGATACAAGCACTGGAAATCACACTACATAAAATGCTCTCGTGAGTAATAGATCTTTTAAAGTTTGGATAAGCGCTATAAAAATAGACCTTTCAGCAAGTTTTATATCCACTTTAAAAGAGTTTTAATTGTATTTTTTAAAATAATCACTTTGGGTTCTAGGTAACATAAAATTAAATATCACTGAAATAATGTCAGTGCTCTGACATATTTATTGACTGAGAAGGGGTTAACCAGGTCATGCTCTGTTTGATGTTGCCAGCAACGTGTTCTATAACCAGGTATTTGCATATATATGGCTCATGGAACAGAAGCACATTTTGCAAGTGAGTTTTACAGTTACAGTAAAAGATTCAGGTCTAAAATATATGGCTGTTATTTTTGCGTTGAGTGTTACCCGTTCTTGCTGAATTTCATTTTCATTACTGAAATGTTTATATGCTGTGTATATAGCCGTAAAGTGGTCTAAACTCTTCTCCCCCATGTGTAGAATCAGTTTTTTTATATCACCTCAAATAGCTTGAAAATACCAATGGAATGAAACCTGTTTTCAGGTTTATACACATTTTACAGAGAGAAACAAAACATCATTTTTCTTTTTGTTGCAAAAGGTATGATAAAAGCATGTCAGTTGTTTTGAAGTTGACCTATTTCTTTTTCATTCAGCCAGGTTCATTTTTATCCATGCCTGACCTTCCTAACATCAAAGAAGAAGAAATACGATGTAATGTTGAATAATTTGTGCAATAAGTCTTCACTTATTATCACAGTAATTAAGTACTTATTTAATTTTTTTATTTTAGTAGTTTTGGTGGCACAAGTGGTTTTTAAATGGATGAATTTTACAGGGGTGAAGTCTAAAATTTAAGTGCACTGGTCACCCCGAGTAGTGTACATTGTACCCAATATGTAGTTTTTTACCCCTCACCTCCACTCCCACCCTTCCTATTATGAGTCTCCATAGTCCACCATATCACTCTATATGCCTTTTTGTACCCATAGCCTAGCTCCCACTTATAAGTGAGAACATACAATATTTGGTTTTCCATTCCTGAGTTACTTCACTCAGAGTAATAATCTCCAGCTCTATTCAAGTTGTTGCAAAAGATATTTTGTTCTTTGTATGGCTGCGTAGTATTCCATGGAGCGTATGTATTACATTTTCTTTATCCACTCATTGGTCAATGGGCACTTAGGTTGGTTTAATATCTTTGCAATTGTGAATTGTGCTGCAATAAACATACGTGTGCAGGTGTCTTTTTAATAGAATGATTTTTTTTCCTTTGGGTAGATGTCTAGTAGTGGGATTGCTGGGTTGAATGGTAGATTGCTTTTAGTTCTTTAAGGAATCTCTATATTGTTTTCCATAGTGGTTTTACCAATTTACATTCCCACCGGCAGTGTATAAGTGTTCTCTTTTCACCGCATCCATCCCAACATCTATTGTTTTTTGACTTTTTAATGATGGCCATTCTTGCCAGAATAAGGTGGTATCTCACTGTGGTTTTAATTTGCATTTCTCTGATGATTAGTGATGTTGAGCATTTTTTTATGTTTGTTGTCCATTTGTATATCTTCTTTTGAGAAATATCTGTTCATGCCATTTGTCCACTTTTTTATGAGGTTATTTGTTTTTTTCTTGTTGATTTGTTGGAGTTCTTTGTAGAGTCTGGATATTAGTCCTTTGTCAGATGCATAGTTTGCAAATGTTTTCTTCCATTCTGTGAGTTGTCTGTTTACTCTGGTGATTATTTCTTTTGCTGTACAGAAGCTTTTTAGTTTAATTAAGTCCCATGTATTTTGTTTTGTTTTTGTTGCATTTGCTTTTGGGGTCTTAGTCATGAATTCTTTGCCTAGGCCCATGTCCAGAAGGGTTTTTCCTAGGTGATCCTCTAGAATTATGGTTTTAGGTCTTAGATTTAAGTCTTTTGTCCATCTTGAAATTATTTTTGTGTAAGGTAAGAAATAGGGATCCAGTTGTTTTCTTACCCACGTGGCTAGTCAGGTTTCCCAGCACCATTTATTAAATAGGGTGTCTTTTCCCCACTTTTGTTTTTGTATGCTTTGTCAAAGATCAGTTGGTTGTAAGTATTTGGTTTATTTCTGGGTTTTCTATTCTGTTCCATTGTTCCATGTCTCTACTTTTATACCAGTACCATGCTGTTTTGGTAAATATAGCTCTGTAAATTTGAAGCTGGGTAATGTGATGCCTCCAGCTTTGTTCCTTTTGCTTAGTCTTGCTTTGGCTATTTGGGATCTTTTTTGGTTCCACATGAATTTTTAGGATTGTTTCTTCTAATTCTGTGAAAAATGACGTTGGTGTTTTGAAAGGAATTGCATTGAATCTGTAGATTTGCTTTGGACAGTATGGTTTTGCAATACTGATTCTTGCAAGCCATGAGCATAGGATGTGTTTCCATTTGTTTGTGTCATCTATGACTTCATTCAGCAGTGTTTTGTAGTTCTCCTTGTAGAGATCTTTCATCTCCTTTGTTAAGTATGTTCCTAAGTATTTTACTTTATTTTATTATTTTATTTTATTTTTGCAGCTGCTGTAAAAGGGATAGAGTTCTTGATTTGATTCTCAGCTTGGTTGTTGATGGTGTATAGCAGTGTTACTGATTTGTGTACATTGATATTGAGACTTTACTGAATTTGCTTATCAAATCTAGGAGTCTTTTGGAGGAGTCTTTAGGGTTTTCTAGGCATATGAGCATATCATCAGTGAACAGCGACAGTTTGACTTCCTTTTTTCCAATTTGGATGCCCCTTATTTCTTTCTCTTACCTCATTGCTATGGATAGGATTTCCAGTAGTACACTGAATAGAAGTGGTGAAAGTGGGCATCCTGGTATTATCCCAGTTCTCAGGGGGAATGCTTTCTCCATTCAGTATGATGTTGTCTGTGGGTTTGTCATATATGGCTTTCATTATTTTGAGGTAAGTCCCTTCTTTTTTTTTTTTTTTGACGGAGTCTCACTGTGTTGCCCAGGCCAGAGTGCAGTGGCAGATCTCAGCTCATTGCAACCTCCGCCTCCCAGGTTCAAGCGATTCTCCTACCTCAGCCTCCTGAGTAGCTGGGACTACAGATGCACACAACCGCACCTGGCTAATTTTTGTATTTTTTAGTACAGACGGGGTTTCACCACATTGCCCAAACTTGTCTTGAACTCCTGACCTCTTGTTCCACCCACTTCGGCCTCCCAAAGTGCTCAGGTTACAGGCATAAGCCACCGCACCCAGCCCAAGATAAGTCCCTTCTATATTTAAATTGTTGAGTGTTTTCTATCATAAAGGGATGCTGGATTTTATTAAATGCTTTTTCTGCATCTATTGAAATGCTCATATATTTTTTGTTTTTAATTCTGTTTATGTGATGTATCACATTTATTAACTCACATATGTTAAATCATCCCTGCATTCCTGGGATAAAACTCACTTAATCGTGATATATTATCTTTTAAATGTGCTGTTGGATTTGGTTAGCTGTGTTTTGTTGAGGATTTTTGCATTTATGTTGGGATATCGGTCTGCAGATTTTTTGTTGTTGTTATGTCCTTTCCTGGTTTTGGTATTAGGGTGATACCAGCTTCATAGAATGATTCAGGGAGGATTCCCTCCTTCTCAATCTTTTGGAACAGTTTTAATAGGATTAGTACCAATTCATCTTTGAATGTCTGGTAGAATTCAGCTGTGAATCCATCTGGCCCTGGGCTTTTTTGTTGCTATTGGCAATTTTTGAATTACTGATTCAATCTCACTCCTTGTTATTGGTCTGTTCAGGGTTTCTATTTCTTCTTGATTTAATCTGGGAAGGTTTTATGTTTCCAGGAGTTTATCTATTTCCTCCAGAATTTTTAGTTTGTGGACATAGATGTGTTCATAGTAGTCTCGAATGACCTTTTGTGTTTCTGTGGTGTCAGTTGTAATGTCTCCAGTTTTATTTCTAATTGAGTTCATTTGAATTTTCTCTCTTTTCTTGGTTAATCGAACTAATGGTTTAGCAGTGTTGTTTATCTTTTCAAAAAATTAGTTTTTATTTCATTGATCTTTTGCATTTTTTGTTTCAATTTCATTTAGTTCTGCTCTTATCTTTGTTATTTTCTTCTATCAGCTTTGGGCTTAGTTCTTGTTTCTCCAGTTCCTTGAGGTGTGACCTTAGCTTGTCAATTTGTGATCTTTCAGGCCTTTGGATATAGGTATTTAGTGCTATAAACTTTTCTCTTAGCACTGCTTTTACTGTATCCCAGAAGTTTTGATAACTTATGTCACTATTATTATTCATTTCAAAGAATTTTTTAATTTACATCTTGATTTTATCATTAACCCAAAAATCATTCAGGAGCAGATTGTTTTATTTTCATGTATTTGTGTAGTTTTGAGGGTTTTATTTGTAGTTGTTTTATAGTTTTATTCCACTGTGATCTGAAAATATATTTGATATGATTTCAATTTTGTTTTAATTTATTGAGACTTGTTTTGCAATCTATCACAGAGTCAGTCTTGGAGAATGTTGCATGTGCTGATGAGAAGAATGTATATTCTGCAGTTCTTAGGTAGAATGCTCTGTAAATATCCATTATGTCCACAATAAGCACTTATTATAATTGGACCACAACCAAACTGAAAATACCTTCTGTTATATAAGTTGTCAAGAATGAAAGCAGGTTTAAATTGAATTACAAGGATAAGGTTTCTATGGGTTAACCATATACCATATTGAGTACAAGTAATTGCTTTTCTAGACACAATTGTTTCATCTATTTATTTATATATACTCAGCAATACCTATGAAGAATTTTTTTCCAATTCCCTTAACTTATTCTACACATTTTTTAAAAACTCTATTTTTTAAGTAGATTTTTTATTGTGGTAGATATAAAGCATAAAATTTACCTTTTTAATTATTTTAAAGTTTTCAAGTCAGAGAACTGTGTACATTCTCAATGTTGTACAGCACCACCATCAGTTATAGAATGATTTTTTATTACCCAAAATGGAAACTCTGTATCCATTATCCAGTCACTCCCATTTCCCCCATCTCTAGTCCCTGGAGACCGCAAATTTGTTTTCTGTATCTGTGGATTTGCCTGTTCTGGAGATTTCACATAAATGAAATCATACGACATGTAGTTTCTTGTGTCTAACTGCCTTGACTTTGCATAGCAATTCTACCTCTAGGTATATACCCAAGAGAATTGAAAACAGGTGTCCAAATAAAAACTCGTACACCAGTGTTTATAGCAGTGCTATTTACAGTAATCAAAAAAGTGGACATCACCCGGATGTCAAAGTCAGTGGATGAATAAATAAACACAAGGCAGTATATCTAAAAATAAAATGGAACACTGGTCAGCCATAGTAGTAAAGTACTCATAGAGGCTATAACAAGTCTAAACCTCAAATGCATTATCTTAAGTAGATTTTTGTAGGCAAAATTTTCATAGAACAATTAGGCTGGTCCCTTTGTTGACTCAGGGTTGCTGACTGTAGCTGTAGCTGGGAAATGCATTGCCCGTTGGGTTTGGAGACTGTGGCTGAGTGCCATGGGGCCTCCTTCCATCCCTGGCCATCCAGAGCCTCTTCAGCCACCTTGATGCAGAGCTCCATCATCCTTGTATAACAAGAGACAGACCACCTGCAGGGCGAATTAGCAGATGGAAAGATAACGTAAGACACCTTCCTGGATCTAACTGTGGGGCTAAGGGCAGATACTTATATTCTCTGAAGTTAACTTCATCTACAAAAAGTGGAAATAAGACCAGGTGATTACAAATTTCCTGCAACTTTGAAATTCTGAGACAAAAATAAAAATAAAAAATAAATAGCTATCCAGGGTCTACATCGAGAGCTGCTAAGTCCATGGAGGGTTAGAAGGAACAAGCAGAAAGGCTGTTGCAAAGCCTGACCTTGCAGGAGTGACAGCCCACCTGCTTTAGGTGGGCATTTGCAGGAGAACAGGGGTTGGGGCATTGGTGGTGGCCCATCTGGCAGCATAGACATAGAGTGTCTGCTGAATGCATATGGCAGGAATCACTGTAAGAAAGATGTGAGGAAGATTTGTCCAGTGCACCCAGGAAGGCAGGGCCTGTTTGCAGAAAGCAATAATGCTGGCTGGGGACGAAGGAGGTCATGGTCACAGGGACGTTCCCAGGGCCTCATGGTTATTGACTTTAGATGTGTTGGGAGTGACTGGGGTGGGAGAAGGCAAAGGGTAAGAAAACATGGCCTTTGTGCTGGGCTCCCAGCCTTGCTGGGAGACTGACGTGGTACAGTGACTATGGCTGATTTGCACACATGAGGCATCGGGGAACACAGGGCACAGTGACCATCACTGATGCTCATGAGTACTGCATGCCAGCACTATGCAAGTAGCATGAGGACGATGGATGGTGGGGGAATTCTGGCTGGGAGAGGATGAGGAGGAAGCATTTAGTTGCGAAAATAAAGGCTTCAAGGAGCAGTCATGAGAAGGAGGCCAGGTGGGATAGTGAGGTTCCAGACAGAAAAGTCTAGAGCAAGGCTCAGATGCAGAAGGCAGGCCTTGCTGATGGCAGCAGGGGACACTGTGGCTGCCATGGGGGTGTGGGGCTGGGGTATTACTGGGCTGCAGAGGAGAAGGTGTGAAAATCCAGACCCCTGCAGTCCCCCTGGCACCTTTACCTACCACTCTCAGCCCTGCTGGTCTCTGACTTGGTCCAAAGCAGACCCCTTGCCCCATGCCTCAGCTGGCCCTGGGCTGCCCTGCCTGGGACCCTTTACACAATACAGCAGCATCCTCTCCCGAGGCTTGGGGCCTCACCCCTGAAGGGGCACCCAAGAGCCTGTGGTCAGTGCGTGTTCTGAGAAGGTATTTTAAACACCACCACCCTGGGGGATTGTCTTCCATTCCCTCTCACTAGTTTCTGCTTCCAAATGAATACCACATTCCAGATTAGAGGACTTCTTGCAAGATCGCCTCAGGTATCTGTGGAAGAAGTAAAGGTTTGCTGACAGATGAGGATTAAAAACAGTTCACTTGTGGGAAAATTATGTTTTAAAAAGGCTTTGTTTTTGGCAACGCATTATACCAGAAAAAAAAAATGAGTAATTAAATAGTTTCAGACACACACACTTACACAGACACAGAGAGACACTCAAACACACACACAGACATTTATACACACACACTTAAACAGACATACACAAAGACAAAGATATACAAATGCATACACAAGGCACACACACATACTGACTAATATACACACACACAGCTTTCAGCCAACGTCAGCACCCTCAATCTATACTCATCACAAACCTGACATTGTGGTTATCTGCTAAACACTTGTCACTGTGTAAGATAACCTTGAATCAGACAAATATTTGTGATATATAGCACTATAGCACTAAATGCAAGCTTGAGATTATCTAAGAAATCAAAAGATAAGAAAAACATCAATGACTTATTTTCTAAAGAGGGCCGAGGAAATAAAGACGTCATGATTGGAGAAAGAAAGAAAAGGAATTCATCGATCTCTCATTGTCTCACATTCCCCAAGCCACGCAGGGCAGGGGCTCCTGACCAAGTCCTTCAGAGCCTGGCTGCAAGGACAGTCGGTGGGCATGTCAGCCGTGGGTGGTGCGAAGTCCGGGATCTGCCTGGATCTGCCACCCGATGCTTCATTGAGAAAAGACACAGAAAAGTCAGCCAGGAGAGAGCTCAATGGTTCAAAATTCTCTCCACGATTACTTTTGGCTGAGGGGCACTGAACATTTGACGTTGATTGGCTGCATGAGCACAATGTGTGGCCCGAGCCCTCGGCTGCTGGACACGGAGGCATTTGCAGATCTGCTGGTGACTCTGTCCCTCTCTGGCTTCTTGATCAGTTAACACAACCGTGTGATTCAGACCACAAACCTCCACATGGCTCATTCCACTCCCAGGCCTTTCAACCCCATTTGGGTTTCAACATAGGCATTTGGGGAGACACAAACATTCACACCACAGCAAGGTCTGACTCAACTCCAACTCCTCTCTTATTCCAAATTGCAGATCTCACAAGGTCATATTTTTATTTATAGTACTTTAAGAGCATCTATATTTGAGTAATTAAATAACTCTTCATCCTAAGGGAGGCTTTTGGCAGAATGAAAGGCAGTGCTATTAACACTGGCTCCAAAACAAAGGTGTGGATCAGAACAGTCCTCGGGAACAGAAGCGAGGCCACCGTCACCTTTGTTTACATAACTAAGTTTAACTATTTCCTCCACTGTCAGGTATTCTCCTGCATCTGATATTGTTGCTCTCTTTTCTTTTTCTTTTTCTTTTTTTCCTTTTTGAGATGAGTCTCACTCTGTTGGCCCAGCTGGAGTGCAGTGGCACCACCTCGGCTCACTGCAACCTCCGCCTCCGGGTTCAAGTGATTCTCCTGCCTCAGCCAAGTAGCTGGGATAACAGGGGGCCGCCATCACACCTGGCTAATTTTTAGTAGAGATGGGGTTTCACCATGTTGGCCAGACTAGTCTCGAACTCCCAACCTCAAAGGATCCACATGTCTCGGCCTCCCATTTGCTCCCTTTTCTGGTCTCATTCCTCCCTGTCCTCCGTTTTTCCCTAGGTACAGTTGCATGGCAATCATCCTTTTCCCACAAGCCTTGCCTGTTCTGGTGTGTCTCTGTGCTTTGAAGGTGCAATTCTTCTGCTGAGAGGCCCCTTCTGCACCCATTCATCTAACAAACTGGTCATCCTGCATCACCCACTCTACTGTTGTAGCTATCCCTCACTAAGCTTCAGCCTCCCTACTGCATGCTCCCCCAGTACTTCACCTTACCTGTGACAGCGTGATTCCCATCACATCACCATTAGTGGACCCCATGTCTCCTTTGTCTTTTGCTTTTAATCCTCAACTCCTTCCTTGCAGACACACTGCTTTATTTATTCTTGTGCACACTTCCTGCCACCCAAGAATGGATACTTAATCATATTTATTGAAACAAAAAACAAATGAATTCATGAGCGAATAAACTAGATGGCAAATGAATGAGTGGAGTGTACAAACAGGTAAGACCAATGGGAGTCATAAAACATGGAAAACCAGTCATTACACAGCATCACAAACCACGGAAAACCAGTCATTACACGGCATAACACTGAGCCTGAGGGTACCAGGCTTCCTGGCAAATATGCCAGCGTTCATTAGTGACCCAGACAGCTATGCAGGCGCACATAGTGTTCTTGGGTGAGTACCCTTTCATAAAGCAGTAAAGACAACAACAGAACTGTTTGGGACAGAGGTCTCTGGGTGCTCATGGAAAGAGTGCACTGAACAGGCAAAAGCTGCCTTCTGACTACTTGACACTATGGCTTTGACCTGGCTTCTCCTGAACACTAGAGAAGTTGTTTCCGTGAGCTTGGATTTGAAGGGAGCTATCTGCTTCATTAGATGAATACATCACATGGAAGGAAGGGGATTTTTCCTTTCTTTATAATTTTATAAAGGACCTTTATAATTTATAAATCTTTATAATTTTGTGAGTGTTTTACAATGAACATATGTACTTTCATGATAAGGAAAAACAATAGCAAAGTGAATCAATGCAAAGATTTTCTTTCTATGGAAGAGTTGACAGAGGAACATCTTTGTAAGCACATTGAGAATGTGCTATTAGAACATGTTTCTTTCTCCATATGGGCCCTGTGAGGCCATGTAGAAAAATCCAGCAATAAAAGGCAGATGTAAGCATGCCTTCTTTAAGATGCATTCATCTTGCTTCCTGGTTTTCACCAGCAGCCTGCACCAAAGAGAAGTCTCTTGGCTTATTCTCAGAGGAGGTCTACTATGAAGCAAGTTTGGAGTCAAGAAGTAATCCTGTTGGCATGAAGAATCTAATCCCCCAAGTCTCTTTTCTTTCTCAGCCCTGCTGGCAGTAATCCCTCTTCTCTCCTTGTAGGAAGGCTGGAGAAAGACCTTTCCACAGAGACTGGGTTTTCTCTCATGGGGAATCCCAGCATCTCAAAGAGACCGAAGGCTAGTTCTCCCTTCAGGTCTGTTGAATACATAGATTGATGGATTGATAGAGAGAGAAGGGGAAGTGGTCAAATCCTCTTGTAAACAAGTTATTGGCAGATCTCCGGACAAACACATGAACGATACCTGAGTTCTCAGGGAGACCATAACAATGAAATGCTTTGAGCAGGAGGTATGTGCTTGTCTAGGATTCCTTATGAAAAGCAGACTTAGAAACTAGGGATTCACGGCTCATGGCTCCCTGGAAAATGTCATGGAAGTTATGTAACTATCTAAGTATAAAATGGGTATGTTTCATGACCAAATGCCTCTCGTTTTGTGCAAGAAATGTAGCTCTATATTATATTGCACTATTTCATATGTTAATTTGGGCCACAGGGAGTCCTGAGGTGACAGGGAAGGACTCAGGGTATCAAAGCTGGGGCCCCCACTGCTGGGCTGTGCCTTGTGATTGCTTTTACCCTCACAATTATTTGTTAAGCTTGATATACAGAGACACTGCAGATGCATGGCAGTCCCTTGACAAGCCAACCCTTTGTGCCACCTCAAGTCATCAATGAGTAACTTAGCATGGTGCTTATATTAAATTCTCACAAAATAAACATTATAAAAGAGGTTGATCCCCCAAATCAAAACATAACCCAATATTATCTTTATAAAATTAAAGAGACTTTCCAAATATTATGGTCTGGGCATTTCCAATAACAGATGTGGTAAAGGTAAATGTCTCCATTGAGCATTTCATTCCACTTTCTACATAAATGTCCATTTAACCAGGTCTATTTATAGTGGTGCCTAAAGGTCTGAGAAAATGCTGATTTATTCATGCAACATACATGAATTTAGATAAATGAAATACATTTAAGAGATACATTTAATTTCATCTGATCAATTGTTATAAGGTTAGTTTTAAGCTTTTAATTGAAATATTAACTTATTAATAAAAGTTTCTTTTTCTTCATTCAAAATAATTAACACTTAAGCTAATAAAAAATGACACTCTGGAACTCAGATCTGAGAGAAGTGATAATAAGGTTGCAGTTGGCCAGTGTCTCCTGTGTGCAGGGAGTAGGAGCACAGAAGAGGTAGAAAATGTTCCTCTGCTCCTTCCTTGGCCCCATGTTTCCAAAAGCTGGGCCCCATTGCAGCTCTAGAGATGATGCACCAGGATGTTCTTCCAGGTGTGAAACACCAAAGGAGGCCAAGGAATGCTGGAAGGAGAGGAATCTCAGAAGGTGGCACATCTGAGTCACAGGTAGCCGGTCATGGCAGCGACTGGGGCCGGGCCTGTCTGTATACGTGAAGCTGTGGGACCTCAAGGCAGCTCTGGGCCAAGCAGGCTGTGGTGCCCTGGGGAAGTTGGCCCTTTTTCCACTGTGCCCTGAGACTCCCAGCCAGGCCCTTGGTGTGGCCTATGGCAGGATCTGCCAGGCATCTTTGGACACTGTCGGCCCTGGGGGTGGCTCAGCCCTTCAGTGCGGGCACTTGCTCTGCACAGTTTCCCCGAGGGCTTGCTGCATCCACATGCTGCTACAGCTGTGGTTTCCTGTAGGGCTTATGTAGGCTGGATTGCAACTCAGCACCGAATTACAGTCTACAGCCTGAAAGGAGCCTGGGAGAGTTAGGATGAGGTCTTGCAAAGATGTGTTCATTTTCTTGTTTTCATCCCATTTTCAGATTTTAAAACCTCTGGAAGGCTGGATGCAGTGGCTCATGCCTGCAATCCTACTGCTTTGGGAGGTCAAGGTGGGAAGATTGCTTGAGGCCAGGAGTTTCAGACCAGCCTGGACAACATAGTGAGATCCTGTCTCCACCAAAAAAAAAAAAAAAAAAAAAATAGCTGGGTGTGGTGTTGTTCACCTGTAGTTCCAGCTACTCGGGAGGCTGAGGCAGGAGGGTCACTTGAGCCCAGGAGTTCAAAATTGTGCTGAGTCATGATCTGCACTCCAGCCTGGACAACAGAACAAGACCATGTCTCAAAAACACACAAAAAAGGAAAATAAAAGCAAAAACAAAACTACACAAGGAAGACAATGACAGTATATGTAGAGCAAACTGAAAACCTTTGTAACAAACAACGCACAGGAAATGGGCAGTTTGAGTGGGCTGGGTGTCAATCATGGCTCTCCTCTTTTCATCATCAACAAAAATAGATTCACAAAATTCCCATCCCGCTGTGTTAGCTGACAGCCCAGAGCACACAGCTGGGTAATTTGTGATGGTCTTCAAGCCATCAGCTTGAATTAGCCAAGTTCTTTCATAAGTCTTATATTAATTTAAGATTTTTAGAAGACTAAACAGGATCTGGATTTGTTGACAAGTAAGAAATGCAGCAAAATCCTGAAAGCATAACATGTGGGGTCCTGTTTTGTTTCAATGAATGTTTCCCCTCTTGCTTTTCTATCTTATACATTTAATATGATAATTTCCAATCCCGTCAGAGTATTCTGAGATAACATCAGTCCAGCTGTATACTAATTTCCTGTTCCAGTGGCTGTCAGCTTACATAGAACAAAGAATACTGAAGGTAGAACTGATTTTAGTCTATAACTGTCCTGGGCTGTATTATAAGCCATTATGTTCATGTTCACTCTCTCATGACCACTAGGCTGGCACAGAGTAGGATCTCATGTATTTCTGTTGAATGGATGAATGAATGAACACAACTGAAGGTCCCCGTGGCTTTGGAGGACACAGATAAATATTCTCAAGGCCTCTATCTTGCCACCAATTCTTAGCCTTCACTGTCGATTTTTGTGGATACTCAAATATATGATCATGCCCATAAATCAGGTAAAGCTTTCCAAAATAACAGTGCTCCCTTGACTACACCAACCTAAAACTTCACTGAAAAGCTACTTTATGATCATGTTACAAGTAGTATGAGCTAGAAAGTTTCACTCAAAGGGATAAATGCCCCAAAATGAAAATAATTCTCACGTACTAATCAACTCTGAACAGTGGGTAGACTATCTCATGAATTTTTTTAATTACCATGTTCTGCTTATATTCCACCCAAAAATAACTTCTCTTTAGCTGAAAAAGAAGTCACTGGAGGCTGGCATGAGAATTTAAATGCTTAGATTAAAATTTAAAGGCAGTTTCAAGCATCCATTATTGAAAAGGTTCTGCTTCAGGGTGGTTGTCCGAAGTCTATTAACAGAGATTTTGAGGCTATTGGTTTTTAAATTTTTACATTTGCTGCAATATACTAACCTATCCTCCCTTAGAAGTAATTGAGTCCATTTGGAGCTACATATATTGTCACTGCAGGGGTTCCTCGGTGATAATCTCTCTCAACCCTCTTGTTTCACTGTGACGTTCCTGCAGCCCCTCAACTGCAGGTCACAATACCAACCCCACACTTTTACTCTACTGCACATTGTCCTAGCTAGTTTTAGTCTATAACTGTCCTGAGCTGTATTATAAGCCATTAAGAGAGTTTAATTAAGTGGTTTTTGCTTCTCACATCAATTTCATTACAACACCATATGATTTTTATTCATTTTGATAATGAATCTACATTGATAATAAAGAGATCTAGAAATGCATTGACTGAGAGATTAGTATATCCAATTTGCTATAAACGTCTTAAATAATTTATACACAATTACTTTACATGCATGATTTGTAATCTCCTTTGATGAGAGACTTGAATAAGCTTGTGTGTTGCTGTTCTACTCTTTAACAAGGAGGGCATGGCAGTTCTTGCCTCCACCTCTGCAGGGAATGCTTCATAAAACTGCACACCATAGAGACAGAAATAGGTGAATTTCCGTCTGCAGCACTACGACAGAGTAAGCCTCTCTGACCTTCAAGATAGAGGTGTGGCCACCCGAGGAAACTGAGGCAGGACAGGGATCAGTGCCTCCCTGGCCTCTCTCTCTCCTCTTCCCACTTGAACCCATAGGAGACCCAGCAAAAATGGAATCAGGTTCAAACAGTTCAGAAATACTTATTCAGACAAATTACACTAGAGCATACCTGACCTGTTAAATCACTACCATATTATGTGCCGCTGCTGAATGTTTCAGATTACAGGTTATGTTAAAAACAAACTAAATATACAAACTTTTTACCTTCCTATGTTGAAACTATGTTTTCATCATTTAAAAAAATGCAATGTAGCTTTATTTCTTTAAAAAACAATGGTAGGATTCCTTATTAAGGGTGATGTAACTGCTTCCTGATTATTATTAAAGAAGGGCATTAGGACTTAGAGCAGTAACTATTAATATTTTATACCCTGTGCTGCAGCCAGAGAGAATGGCATGGTCAGGAATCCACCACTGGCTAATAATATTAGCAAATCTTGATTAAACAAACTAGTAGGTGCTGGCACTTTATATACATGGTTCCATTATCTTTTGTAACAAACATATAAGATCATCATTAGTAGGTCCTTTCACACACACACACACACACACACACACACACACAAAGAATGGGCCTCAAAGAATTTCATTTGTCCATTGATGTCTCATGGGACAAACACTGCTCTGACCAATTCTAACCCCAGATGGACCGGAGGCCAGAATTTGAGGTTTTGGCCAAGCATTATATTCTCTCACCATTGAGCATGAGACATGGGTCTTTCTATGGGATTGCTCTTCTTCTGATCTTAGCAAGAGTTGCTAAGAACAGGTGGGCCTGAGGTTTGGTTGTGCTAGAAATTGAAAAACATCACTGGGCATCTGTTGTGAGCTAGGGGCTTTAATACCAGAGTTAAAGAATAAGCTTCAAAACACAAACAACTAGAAGACAATAATGATGCATGTTGTAAAAGAAGTATAAAGCCCTCTGGGGGTTCCTAGAAGGGAGAAGATTGGGGTAGAGATGAAAAGAAATGCTGCTACTTGGAGTGAGCTAAGGGGGGCAGATGGGGGAGGGCATTAATCATAAAGGGAAAATCAAACACAAAGTATGTTCAGAGAGAAAATAACTTGGCTTGCAAAGAGGAACAAAGAAGTTCAGAACATAGGAATCCCTCATTATAAAATTAATTTAAAAATACAGACATTAGAAAGAAAGATTCAAAACTGCTAAGATTATAGAATTCATTATCATCTAATTATGTTGAATAAACAGCAATTTTTAACATGATTACCATAGCCTCATGAACACATCTTCAGAGATCAATATTACCATAGTGGTGAACAAAATTGTTTTAATTAAGGAAACAGTAACTTTTAAGAAGGGGTCAAAGTATTACTTATTTATGAGACAAGTGCTCTACAGAGTGACATTGTTATTTTTACTTTATCTCAAGATTCAAAGTATTATTGTCTCTGAATGCAGAATGTGTTGTGGGTGCTGGCGGACAATGATGGCAGGACAAGGTGCTGCTCATGTCCCATGGTTTCACCTGTGGTCAGTCATGCACCTCTGTATCAGCCAGCTATTGCTGTATAACCACCATCCCCAACTCCAATATGTCAGAAACAGTGCTCTGTCTTTGCTCACGTTATCTGTGGGTCTTCTAAGGTTCTGCTGACCTAAACTGGGCTCATCAGCAATGGCTCTACCTCACACAGCATATCTGTGGTCCAGGTCTACCCCATACATCTGACCTCAAAGCCAAGGCTGTAGGGACAGCAGCTACTCTTGGGAAGTTCTTCTCTAGGCAATGGCAAAGATTTGAGATAGTGAAAGGATGCAATCAACCAAAACAGGGCATTTGCCAAGTCCAAAGAGAAGGGCAGGGAAATGCACTCTCTTCATGATGAGGTCATGGAAGATGTGGATGCATAGAGGGGTGAAGAATTTGGGACTGTATTGCAGTCTACCACAGCCTTGAAGGTATGGATTTGAGCATAGGCTTTGTTATTTTTATCACATATGGTTAGTTTTACGGTTTTAGTTACTGTTGTTACTGACTTAAGTGTCACAAGAGATGTTTATTATTATATAAATACTCTCTTATTGTATAATTTTAAAAACTAGTGCTGTACACCAATAAGACTAAGAATTAATGTCTTTCTTGAAGCTTATAAACTCTAACTTGTAGCTTCTCTGTCAGAATTACTTTATTGCATCAATTAGTTAATCTATTAGGACAGACATGAAGAAGCATCTAATTTGCTGCTACTGTATTTTCCTTGCATAAACCTTTAAGTTTAAGGGTATCTACTTTTTCTGAGGTTACAAAATTGTCAATGTTCCCACACTGCCAGGAAGAGATTTTTTTTGCAATTATAAGACTGGGATCCCACAGGCCATGAGGCACTGGCCACTGTTTCTGGGCAGTCTTTGCTGATAGAATTTTTACATCTGAAGAAGAGTCCCACTTTTATAATTGTAGGCTTGTTACAGCTAATTAAATGTGATTGCTGGCATGATTAAAATTACATTCTTATAGTTAGAAGAAAAATTCTTACTGACTTCATGGAAATAACATCATAAAAACAACCATTAAATGTAAAGGAATTTAGTCCTTAATTGGTGTCCCCATTTTTTAAAAAGGTTTTTAGATAGATCTATATATGCACTTATTTTCTATTGGAATCATTATACTTAAGTTTGCATATCATTTGTGAGCTTATAACCTTTATTAAGTACTTTCATAAGATTTTTTCTCAATTCTGAGGGATTAGTGGGAACAAGATACTGTTTAAAGGATGTTTCATTTTAGTTTGTACAATGATTGTCTTTTTAAATTGAGTGTTAGAGATAGATTAAGAAGAAAGAAGAGGATTTCTCATGTGCTCATTAAAAACGGAACTTTAATCAAAATTAAATCCGTTCTTTTTGTCCACTTGTCTGTAATTTTTAAATAATGTTGGGTTAACCAGATAACTTTCACATATCAGCTTTCTCGGTGAACTCTGCATCCTTGAGTCGAGTCACTGTGGTAGTAATGGTCAGGAGAACCTTGTTTAGGCATTTACGACTGTTCTCTTGCTGTTCCTTCAGAACACTGCATGGCCACTAGTTCACAGATAGCTCAGGCCTTCAGGGAAATGTAAGGGCAACAATAAGCACCAGTTGACAAGGCTCACTGATGTTGCACAACTCTGCTAAACTGATTATAACAAACAATATCAAAATGGGGGAGATTGGGGTCCTCTTTTGAAGTGCATATGTAATCAACTAGTAAGGATTCAATCTAAGGCAAACCTAAGATGATGAATCTATTGAGGTTTGTAAGGGCATTGACTCAGCTCCAGAATATTTTAATTTATCCCATCAATGTGCAGTCTGGCAGCCAACAAGAGACAAGTGCATGTAGGTATCCAAACTGCAAAACTCACAGTGGCTGAAATATCTTCATCTTAATTTAGGTATCAACTTGGTTGGATTAAGGAGAACCTAAAGAAGTGGTAAAGCCTTACTTCTGGTATGTCTGTGAGTGAGTTTCCAGAGGAGATGGGCCTGTGAGTCTGGGAACTAAATGGGGAAGCTCCTTCCTCCATGCTAGCAGACATCATTCAATCAGCTGGAGGCCTGGATCCAACAAAGAAGCAGAGAAAAGGCAAATTCCCCTCTCTCTCTCCTGGAGCTGGAACACTCTTCTTCCCCTGTCTTTGGACATCAGAACTCCACGCTCTCCAGCCTTTGGACTCCAGGACTTGGGCCAGCATCCCCATGTCCCCACCATATTTTCAGGCCTTTGGCCTTGAACTGAGAATTATACCATTGGCTTCCCTGGTTCTGAGGCTTTCTGAGACTTGCACTGAGTCACACCACTGGCATCCCTAGGTCTCCAGCTTTCAGATGGCTTGTTGGAAGACTTCTCAGCCTCTGTAATTGCATGAGCCAATTCCCTTAGTAAGCCCCTCTCTATCTATCTATCTATCTATCTATCTATCTATCTATCTATCTATCATCTATCTATCTATCTATCATCTATCTATCTATCATCTATCTATCTAATGATCTATCATCTATCTATTTATCAATCATCTGTCTATCATCTATCTCTCATCTGTCTATCATCTATCACCTATCTATCTATTTATTACCTATCTATTTTATATCTATCTGTTGAGAGACACAGCATGTGTGTGTATATATATATATGTATATGTGTGTGTGTATATCTATATATCCATATATATATCCATATATATCCATATATATATCTATATATATGTCCATATATATCTATATATATATCCATATCTATCTATCTATATATATCCATATATATCTATATATATCTATATATATCCATATATATATCTATATATATCCATATATATATATCTATATATATCTATATATATCCATATATATATCTATATATATCCATATATATATATCTATATATATCCATATATATCTATATATATCCATATATATCTATATATATCCATATATATCTATATATATCTATATATATCTATATATATATCCATATATATATCTATATATATCTATATATATCCATATATATATCTATATATATCTATATATATCCATATATATATCCATATATATATCTATATATATCCATATATATCTATATATATATCCATATATATATCTATATATATCCATATATATCTATATATATATCCATATATATATCTATATATATCCATATATATCTATATATATCCATATATATATCCATATATATATCTATATATATCCATATATATCTATATATATCCATATATATATCCATATATATATCCATATATATCCATATATATATCCATATATATCCATATATATATCCATATATATCCATATATATCCATATATATCCATATATATCCATATATATCCATATATATATATCCATATATATATCCATATATATCCATATGTATATCCATATATATATCCATATATATATCCATATATATATATCCATATATATATCCATATATATATATATCCATATATATATCCATATATATATATATCCATATATATATCCATATATATATATATCCATATATATATCCATATATATATATCCATATATATATCCATATATATATATCCATATATATATCCATATATATATATCCATATATATATATCCATATATATATATCCATATATATATATCCATATATATATATATATATATATATATATATCCTATTGGTTCTGTCTCTCTGGAGAACGCTGACTGATACAATAATGTTTTTATTTATTCCTAGTTGCCCTAGAGAGTAGATTTCACTTTTTTGATTTGCCTGTTCTCGTATTGTTGGTTCAATAGACAGTAGAGCTCCAACAATTGAGTGTAGCTAACTTAAACTTTGGAAAATTGCAAGCCAACCCAATTATTTCTAGCATTTATCTTCTTATGAATTAAAGCAGTGCACCTGTTATGGGACGCAGCTACTGTTAGGCAAGCTCATAAGATAGTTTAAGTAAAAAAGATGTCATAAAAGCTTTATTATTCCAAATTGGAATATAAATTTGAAACAGAAGCAATAAATAAGCTGAAACCATAAATATTTAAACACAAGAAATGACTATAGTCTGAGTCTGAAGAGAAAGCACAAACGCAGAGTAACAGCAGGCAACAATTACACAATTATCCAGAAATTTTAGTGTTTTTCAAATAACTTTTGTTCAAAGATAGTTCATGAGAAAAACAAAAAGCAAAACAGCTAACGGGATAGTGTAGTGATTGTAAGAAACTCTGCTATATAGGTACAGAATAACTTTTTACTATTTCCTGTAAAGAGCAAAATGTATATTCATATGCCAAAACGTCTATTTGGAAAAGCCACATTTGAGCTTTTCTATTTTATACCGTTCATGTAATAATTGGCAGACAAGTTTTTACAAATCTTTTTCTCATTTCTAAGTTATACTCATTAACATTCAGCAAACTTGGTCAAAATTTTAACACGTTTTACTGCTCCTTTCAAGTTGTTCATTTTGGGGGTAACATAAACCAAAACTCACATCCTTTCTGATTTTCCACACTTATTTTCACTCTCAAATGTTTTTTCTTACTTTCGTTCTTATTCTGGCACAAGCAGACTTTGATATTTTAAGACAAAATTATGTTGATTTCCCCTTGCTAGACAAACACAAAAGCACTCAAGTTTCTCTATAAATATCCCCTACAGTCTCATTTTATTATCTGTAGCTTTCTCCGTAGTTTACAGGAACAAACTCTCTTTAAAAGATAATCGTTGTTACAATTCAATTTATTTTAGCAAAACGTTCACATGTGATTTGAAATATCTTGTGGACAGAAAGACAGCACGATTGATCTACAAAAATATAGTCTAAGAGGCTGAGCACGGTGACTCATGCCTGTAATCCCAGTACTTTGGGAGGCCAAGATGGGCGGATCACCTGCGGTCAGGAGTTCGAGACCAGCCTGACCAACATGGGGAAACCCCATCTCTACTAAAAATACAAAAATTGGCCGGGTATGGTGGCACATGCCTGTAGTCCCAGCTACTCGGGAGGCTGAGGCAGAAGAATTGCTTGAACCCGGGAGGTGGAGATTGCAGTGAGCCGAGATGGAGCCATTGTACTCCAGCCTGGAGTAACAGTGAGACTCTATCTCAAAAAAAAAAAAAAAAAAAAAAAAAAAAAAAAAAAGTCTAAGGAATTTAAAAGCATAAATTATTGGGATTTCAATAAGAAAAAACTAGGCTTGCATAAACTAGAACACTTTGGTGACATTATGTTTTATAAGCTGATAAAATAGAAGGAAAGCTATTAAACAATATTGAAGCTGAAATTTTTAAACCAGTCTATTCAAGGCTTCATCTTGATTAAAAACAATCCCTAAATATTTTCTACTTTTATACATTTAAAAGTTCTTCAAATTTTGCTTGCTTGTACTAAAGTTTTCTCATAGTTATTTTTCCATGTTATCAATTTCTCTTTTTAAAATTATTTTGCAACTTATTCAGCAAGATCATTAACTCATGGCTAAACGTTGTCTTTATTTTCTGATTTCAGCAAATAATCTAAATATTTTTAAAGCTGGCAATTTTAAGACATTAGAAGTTCAACATTTTGCTTTTGCACTCTGCAAATGCTTGAAATTACTTAAATTTATATAAATGCTTAAAATTTTATCTAAAACAATCAACATAGGAGTGCTGAATTTAAGGAAGCTTATAACTTACCTTTTTTTTCTGAAGCTAGGAAAATATATCAATGTGTTTTCTGGGAAATGTATTTCACACAAATATAGTCAGAGAATTCAATCAAATTTTGGGCCAGCCAGGAAACTTAGGAGGTATTTATAGATACGTGTATCATTCATTATGTGCCATGTTTTTAAATACTTGTCTATCTAGACTGTAGTTTAAGTTAAAGGTGCAAATTTAGAGTTTATTCACATCGTGTTGTTAGCACTTGTGGCTCTTCCTTACAGACTGACTTGCTCATTTGTGTGTTTGCATAGGGCTTCCCTGTCTTCTTTTTAGGGAGGAGACAGATGGTCACTCATTCAGAACCCTTTGAACGTCTCAGGAAATTGCAAAGCTCCAGACATACCAGAAGCCGTCTCTCCTTCCATCACACATGTGTTCCCAGTCTGAAGGTTGTTAAATGGACTAAGGAAAACCATCCCAGGTGCCTACTCTTTGCTCTCTGAGCCGCTGTCCTTCTATTTGTACATTCTCTTCCCTTTAGGGGTAAATATATATGTTTGAAGTAAATATCCTTAGAGTGTGCACAAAATGAGAGATTTTTTTTGATGGGGTCTCACTATGTTGCCCAGGCTGGATTCAAACTTCTGGGCTCAAGTGATCCTCCAGCTTCAGGCTCTTCAGTAGCTAACTAAAATAATTCTTAGGACCAATTTACTTAAAATGGTGTGTGGCGGGGGGCGGAGGTAGGTGTGTGGAGTCAGGGAGAGTGAGAGTGAGAGAGAGATGGGCTAGCTGGCCAAAGATGCAGAGGGGGTTACAGCTGTAAGCACATCATTGTCATAACGGAGGGGGGTGTAACAAAATGCCATAATGCAGGTAGCTTATAAATAACAGAAATGTATTGCTCATAGTTTTGGAAGCTGGGAAGGCAGATTTGGTGTCTGGTGAGGACCTGTTTCCTGAGTCACAGATGGTGCCTTCTTGCTGTATTCTCACATGGTGAAGGGAACAAGCTAACTCTGTGGTATCCGTATTATAAGAGCTCCGATACCATACATGAGGGCTCCACTCTCATGACCTAATCACCTTCCAAACGCCCCATCTCCTAAGATTATCACATTGTGAATGAGGATTTCAACAGATGAATTTTGGGAGGATATAAACATTCAGATAGAGCAGAAGGAGAAATGGGTTATTTTTATTCTTTTTTTTCCCACTTATATAATCAAAAAGAGAATTAGAAGTCTCCATTGAATCATTCTAGCCATAGGTCAAAAGGAAACACAGACCACATATTAGGGTTCATACAGCTACTCACCTTCCTAGTGGAATAGTTTTTTTGGGGGAAGATTTGAAATTACAGTGGCATGCTAAAAAAGACTGTTAAAGTGAACTAAATATGGCCTGAGAAGGGCTCTGTACTTCTATATTTGAGTCCTTGTGGAGGAACTATAACCTAACTTAATAAGCAGACAAGACTGAAACCTAACTTAGGAGTATCCACCTGTAACAATAGCTGAGTCTTGGCCAATCCTAGCAGCCATGCTTCAACCAGTCGTCATGCTGAGTGTTCAAAACAGTGGTCACAACCGTACTTCCCTTCTCCACACTTTTCTTATCTCTTTTTCTTATTTTATTTTATTATTATTATACTTTAAGTTTCAGGTTATGAGGAACCAAACCAAAGGGAACTGTATTTGCAAAACAAATTTTTGATGTTGGAGCTTTCCCAAGAAAAATTCCAAGAATATGTGGTTTATAAACTGACTAATCTCTAATTTACAGTTTTCCCACTTAGTCAAAAAGTAATGTACTATAATCCCTTCTCCTGCCTTCTAACCTATCTATAATAATTATGATTGATATTTCAATAAATACGGTAATTTGTTTTAATTAAAAAAAACAAAAACAACAACAACAAAAAACTGTGATCAAATAAGGCAAACACTAACCTGTGACCATTCCAGCTGTTTCTGTACCTAACTTCTGATTTCTGTCGTCACTTTACTTTTTTTTTGTTCTATAAATCTTCTTCCACCACGTGGCTGCACTGGAGTCTCTCTGAATCTGCTGTGATTTTGGGGGCTGCCCAATTCACAAATTGTTCATTGCTCAGTTAAACTCCTTTAAATTTAATCTGGCTGAAGTTTTTCTTTCAACAAGACAAACAGTGTAGAGGATTTTATTAATTGTTAGAAGAAGAGATAGCAGACCAGTGATGTGGGAACTGACATAAGGAAGGTGGCTGGAACTTTCATCATTCTTACAAAAAAATTCCTATGACCCAGTCGCACAAATCTCAAATGTCACAAGATACTGGAGTCCCCAAGACAAATGAGCCAAAAAGTCAAATGCACATACTCAGGTGCACATACACACACACACACACACACACAGACACACACGGCTCATCAGAAAATGTCAAATGGTCAGACCATAAAATCCCCCATGTGTGCCACCAACAGGGAGTAGGCGTGGCAGCGTTCAAGTCCGAATCAGGCCCAGTTTGGTCATGCACCTGACTTAGTCTGGAAATGGAATAGGAAGAGAACCAAGGAGAGAGAGAGAGGGATGAAGAGAAGGAAACTCCTGACAGCATGTAGAACTCAAATTTGTGCTTAACAAACAAAGAAGGTAGCGAGGCTGACTTCTGCAGAGGTGCAAGTGGAATTTAGTGGGTTCCTTGATGTGCGTTCGTCTCAGCAAATCTCAGTGCAGCCTCCACTTAAAGAAGGAAGACTCAGAAAGAATTTCAGAAAAGCAACAATAAAAACATTTACCTGTAAACAGGCACAATCATTAGAAGGCTTTGCCCATTCAGTAATAATAATAAATACGAACAGACATATGAAGTACTGGAAGCGCACGCACACACACGCGCGCGCACACACACACACACACACACAGTTACTATGGCCATATCCCCAACCCCCGCCCCCTTAAAAACATATTTTCATGGTGGAAAAACACCCATGTCTTCACCAGATTATCATATCTACAGAGGTCATGGCATATCTCTGTCATTACTGATGCTAAAGTCAGGGATGGAGAGATCGCAGAGGAGTGGGCAACTGTAGGAAATATTTCTGGTTTCATTTAATCTGGGGACTAGAACTGGAAGATGACTGTATTTCTCCCAGGGATGGTGTTTTTTATCCTACCTCCTACATGGGGGCTGGGCTGAGCCTACTTCTTGACAATGGCAGCAGGAAGAAGTCCCAGCTCTGCTTCCAGAGTGGGCAAACCAGGATGCAGGCAGAGCAAAGCCCTGCAGAGCCTGAGTGCCAGGCTGGCAGGTTCACCTTGTGCTTGTTAAAGGACGGATCAGCTGGGCCAGGATAAACTCAGACTCGTCAGCTCACAGGCAGACACTACTTGACTTCTGTATTAGTCAGGGTTTTCTAAAGAGACAGAACTAAGGGAAATATGTATATGTATGTACATGTATATATACACATATATACATATATACACATATATATTACCTTAGTTTTGTCTATATATATGTCTATATATATATCTCTCTATATATATATATGTCTATATATATCTATATGTGTCTATATATATATGTCTCTCTCTACACATATATGTCTCTATATATATATATACACACACACATATATATATATATATATATATATATACACACACACACATATATATATATATATGGGGAGTTTATTAAGTATTAACTCACATGATCACAAGGTCCCACAATAGGTCATCTGCAGGCAGAGGAGCAAGGAGAGCCAGTCCGAATTCCAAAACTGAAGAACTTGGAGTCTGATGTTTGAGGGCAGGAAGCATCCAGTACAGAGAAAGATGTAGGCTGGAGGCTAGGCCAGTCTGCCTTTTGACATTTTTCTGCCTGCTTATGTTCTAGCCACACTGGCAGCTGACTACATTGTGCCCACCTAGATTAAGGGTGGGTCTGCCTTTCCCAGCCCACTGACTTAAATGTTAATATACTTTGGCAACACTTTCACAGACACTCCCAGGACCAATATTTTGTATCCTTCAATGCAATGAAATTGACACTCAGTAATTAACCATCACAATTTCCCACAAACACTGAGTTTTATCAATTCAGAAAGAATCAAAGAGTTGCCAAGTGAGAAGCTGCCAGTGGAGACAGGAATGATGTCTTCCCAAGGTCCAAGTTAACCTCCACCAAAACTGAGGGTACAGAAAAATAGCCACAGACACCTTTGTTTAACTTGGGTCTGATAACCTACAGGTCACATTCTGCAGGCTTCCAAATTAACCACCTAGGGAAGGTCTTATGATTCATAATGACATCCCGTTCCTAAGCCAAGAATCTTAAGTGAGTTTCTCAAACCTTATCCTGAGCTCCTCAAGCCGTTGATGTACTGATTAGTATGTAACCTACTGACATTGAAAAGGACCCTGATTTGTTTCTGAATCGTGAAGTTTTGCCAATTGTCTTGCACATAGAACATTTTAGCCTGTATGTTGTTGTCTGTAGCCAACGAGTGTAACCTCTGTATTGTACCCTTTAATGAAAAGGACAACTGTGACATGAGAAGTCTCCCTCCCTCTTCCTAAACTTTCTTATAAAAGTCTCCAACTTGTAGCAAACTTTGGAATTCACCCAACTTTGTTGGTGTGTCTTCCTGAGTCAGTCCTCAAATTTGACTTCCAGTAAACTTATATCTAATTATTTCTGCCTCAACAGCCTTAATTTCGGTCAACAGGTCACACCCTCCTGGCTGGGAAGAGAAGTGACTAGATCAGCAGATCTCATAGCCCCAAGATCCCTGTGGGACAATTTCTGGTAAGGGCTGGAGTTCATACCTCACTGAGGCAGTGGTGCCTGTTTCAGACGTTATCTATTTATTTATTTTCGTTGATATATAATAATTGTACATATTTATGGGATTGGTGGGATTTTTGATACATGCATTAAAAGTATAATGATCGAATCAGAGTAATTAGGATATCCATCACCTCAAATGTACTTTTTTTGTGTTGGGATGTTTCAGATGTTTAGAATGCTCAGCAGATTGTACGCTCTTCCTAAATCTATACTGATTTAAATCAACCAAGCTAACAATCAGACACTTGCTATTTACCTTTTTTCCCCAAACCAATTACACGTGTTGTTAAATTACCCCCTCCTGAAATTAGCTTATCTATGTGATATTCCATACTTCTCCATAGTTTAAAGTAGAGATTAGAAACAGTAATTTGCCAGCCCTTATGTTAAAGCAAATGACTTGGGCCTCAGTGTATTTTTGTCTTAAATTTTCAAGATGCCAAGATCTTTTCCGAGTAAGTAAATCAGGTAATTTGAAATCCCTTTATGCTTTGTGCAACACAAATATTACCTAAATCGGAGGGCTCAATATATTTGGAAAACAACATGTAGTCAGAGAAATCAGGAGTGATGACAGCATTGAGTGGATTCATTGTTTAATTCAATCAATACCATCTTCAATGGAAAAGAAAACAATCCATGTTTAAATTTAACTGATTTATGATGCTTCTCTGGCCCTAAAGAAAAAGAATGTGTGTCATTTATAGATGGTGACATCTACATCAGAGTAATTGATGTTTACAGTGTGGGGTAGCCAGGGAAGTCTGAAGACAGATTTCCCATGTATTTTCATGCAGGCTAGTATAGAAGTTGTATTAATTATGGACAAAAATGATTTTGGTAAACGCATTGCAGATCTACTAATTCATGGGTGATTACAAGGCCCAGATATACACCCCTTTTTTTTGGACCCCAGAAGATACTGTCCTATTCCTTCTGTTGCAAAATAATATTGTCACTTATAACCTGGAAGCAAGACTGTAGCAGATGAGTGTGTAAAGGGGCTCAGTGTATGCAGTATTGTCTCCAAGAGCCACTGAGACCTCTCTGATAGCCAATTATATTTTATTTATAAACCTGTCACTTTCAGTAACAAAGAAGCCTAATGGGGTGGACCACTTAAGTGTTCACCATGTGTAGGGATTGCAGGCACCACGTATTCATGCCTGCTCCTCCCCATGTTCACATCAGTGAATTCGGTTGAGTTTGCTGCCAGGTCCTGAGAGTGTGCTGGATCTGGGTCTACAATATATAAAGGGGGTTTCTGATTCCTCCCGTGGAGGTGCTGGTGCCTACCGGGCATCTGTGTAGGTTATTCCTACTGCAGACTTTTAGGTTACTCCCAAAGCCTCGCTGGTGTTACATCCAGAAGAACATAAAACAGGGAATCATGGTCATTTTCCCATCTCACTTTTATGTGGTTAGAAATTTCCATCTAGAGGCCCGTTCCTCAGTTTCTCTTCACGACTCCAAGTTCTTGGTGTTCATGTTAATCTTTCCACTGACTGAAATTCGCTGAAAAAGGGATTCCCATGGAAACACAGGGGGCCATGTCTCTACCACAGCAGAAACTGGGCTGGTGTAGAGAGGCTGAGACCCATGAAGCATCTTTGCAGGAGCTCACAAGGCCTGTGGAAGGAGGCTGTTTTGGAAGCTGGAAGGAGGCGGCCATGGTGCGAGCAAAGGGCATCTGTCAGCTATGGGCAGCTCGCGACTTGTAGCCCTGCTCAGAGCCTCCAGTGCTGAGAACCCTCCTCCTGCCATCTTTCCTTCCCTTTTACCCCCTCCCCTCCATTAAAGACATCTTCAGGGCACCAACACTGAGCTGCTGAGGGCAAACCCTGTGTTTTCAGCCCTGAATGTTTCACACCCAGCTCAGGTCACAACACAGATGAGGCTCTGGCAGTGTTTGGTGATCGAGTGAGGCACTTTCAGCCTGAAGGTGCCCTGAGGGGAGATGAACCAAGTGAAGAGAGAGAGAGGGAGGTGGGGAGAGATGAAGGGAGAGAGAGGAAGGCTGAGAGAAAGGGAGGAAGACTGAATGGGGACAAGAAGTTCTAAGATGGACACTGGCCTCCCCATGTGACACTAGGGATGGGAGGTGATCCTCAGCACCCGAGCGTGTCATGTGTCACCCGATCCTTCAATTTCCAGAACACTGAGATTCCATAGCGCATCTGAAGGCTGCTGGGAGGCTCTCCAAGAATTAAAGGCAAAGACCATAGCAGTTAGGGTCAAAAAATGCAGAAAGCTGGAGGAGGACAAATAGAAGTTTCAGCTGCCTAGTGCCCAGTGACAGCAAGGCCAGGCCACATGGCCTATGATGGAGGCAGGTGGAACTGGCAGTAGGGTGTTCTCTTCTCAGCTCAATAAAGCCCCAGCTGTTTTAATGAAAAACAAAGGAACTATTTTAGCCACTCTATTTATTTTAAAGTTTACATAAATTCTAAGGTGTTTATATAAACTGTATTACCCTAATACAATCCATATAATTTAACTGCAAAATCACTGGTTTGCGAATTTGGTGGCACATTCCAGAGCCTATGCCGTGCCTCTCACAGTATAACGTGCACAAAAATGTGACCATGCAAACTCCGATTGGCCCATATCACCCCGACGACTCCTGAGAGTCTGAATTTATGAGGCTCCCACAGATGCTCACTCTGAGTAGCTTCTTGGCAGAGGGCTTTACAGGTTCCTAGGGTTCCCACCTGGGGTCTAATCCTGATTTCTCCACTTACCAGCTCGTGGTCTTGGACCAAGATACTTAACTCCTCTGAGCACAGGGTTCTCTCCTTTGTGTAAAGTGACTGATCCTGGAGGCTACATTCTGGAGTTTGTGTGAGGGATCCAGTGATTTGATACACACAAAATGTCTTGGACATTTCTTGGCCCATGGAACAGGTTCACAATGGTACCTGTTAGCCTTGTTCTCATTGGATGCTGTTGAAATGTATCCAGAACCATTAAGGGGAGACCTGGGGATCAGAAGGCGGCAAGGCAGCCTCCCCGGCAAGCGCTCAGAGAGAGAGAGAGTCTGAAGACCACAAGCTCCCCAGTGCGGCTCAGCTCTCCTAGGCCCTGGGTATGGGTCTTCGAAACCCTGGGCTTTCTCCCAGTGCAGCGGCTAGCCACATGATTGCGTCCTCATTCATTGCTGTCCTGTGTCCAAGTTCCACATAAACTATGGAATAAAATTACACTGAAGACTCAGACAAGTGACTCCTCAATGAGGACATTAAAGCTGCCTTCAAACTGCTGACCGCCCCTTTGGGTCTTCCTGAAGATACTTTCCAAACCGAAGAAGACACCCAAACCTGTTTCATATAACTTTGAGAAGTGTACGGATCTCATCAGAAAGCCATTGATCAAACCTTCATATTCCAGACTAATTTCACAGGTGGCTAAGCTCATTATCTTATAATGATTTTTATTATAACTCTTGGAGAGTGATCTTTACCAATTTGTCTCTAAATTCTGGGAATATGTCTCTTTTTGAAGCATATACACCAACTATCCCTGGATATGAGTAATGAAATTTTGAGTAGCTATTATGTTTCTATATATTAAAATTATATCTGCAAAACTTTCTTGGAAACCTTAATAACAACCAAAATCTATATGATGTAACCATTTCCAAGTATTATTTTTACTCATGCTTCCAGGGCAGGAGCTTCACGGTATTAAAGATAGCTGTGTCCAGTGGTGGAAAAGAGGGAAGACAGCCTTAAAGATTATCTAATTCACCTTCCCTCTTTCTACCACAGATGAAAAATGGGAGCCCAGGTAACGTAAATGACTTGTCCAAGGTTACTGGATTTAGGTCTCATTTTAATATATTTTTAAATATGTATGAAAATAATTACCTGAATCAAAATGTGGGAATGAATGGGTCTAGAGGAGATTAACTTTCAAGAAATAATCTCAATAAGACATTTAATTGTATGAATTAATAATTCTAACCAGGGTAAAAAGAAGCCTGTTCTTTGTATCCAGATAATATGCAACAGAGTTGGACCATGCCACTGCCCCTTATGGTGTGGTTCAAGAACACGTGCTCTACACCTGATAGGAGTTTGGTGGGAAATGAGTACAGGAAGTGAAAGAAAGAGTTGCTGGTGATCAACAAGGCCCTCAAGGAGCCAGGGGGACATCAGGACAGCTTCGACCTCTTCCTTCTCAGCAGGACCCTCATTGTTTCATCAGGGTGGTTTCTGACCATCCCAGGAAAAAAAAAATGTCTGCAATGAAAAATGCATGTGCTACCTATCAACACAGGGCCACTAGGTTTTGGTCTTGAGTTCTAGGCACAGAGATTAAATCATCTAATGACAGTGGAGTCACTTCACAGCATCTGCCTTTTTTGAGAAAGATTAACAACTGTCTTTTTTTTTAAAATGGAGTCTTGCTCTGTCACCCAGGCTGGAGTGCAGTGGCGCGATTGTGGCTCACTGCAACCTCTGCATTCCCAGTTCAAGCGACTCTCTCTGCCTCACCCTCCCGTGTAGCTGGGATTACAGGCACCTGCCACCACGCCTGGCTAATTTTTATATGTTTTGGTAGAGACAGGGTTTCACCATGTTGGCCAGGCTGGTCTTGAAATCCTGACCTCAGGTGATCCACCCGCCTTGGCTCCCCCAAGTGCTGTAACTACAGGTGTGAGCCACCGTGCCCGGCCGCCCGCTGTAATTTTAAAAGAAAAAGTGAGTTGGCAGAGAGTGCCCCAGTCATCTACAAAAGAGACACTCGCTACCCCGATCAACCTTCCTGTTCATCCAGGATTAAATAAGCAACAAAGTAACTTTGTCCCACTCAACAAAAAGAATGTCTTTTCCGATAGAATAAAAATCCGGTAGGAGACTTTGATCCATTTTTTATTAGAAACCAGGGAGCAATGGTGTACAGAGAGGGAATGGCTTTATTGCTGCCCAAACAAGAACACTCCCCAGAATCTTTCCTCACACCATTAGTCTAAATATTTAATATACTATGGGATTAGCTGAGAGGAATCAGAAGTTTTACTAATGTCTGGGGATGTTTTACGGTCTGCCACAAATGAGTTCTAGAAGGTTTGGATCTGGATAATGTATGGATCTGGATAATGAAAAACAAATTATAAAGAAATAGCCAAGCTGAATGTAGGCAACAGGAGTAATATACAGTAATAAAATGGAAACAAGCTTGGGGTGATAAGAAACTCAAATAAGTGTCTTAGGAGAAGTCAATATAATTATAAGTCGGAGGACTCAAGATGAGTTCTTTTTGAACACTTGAAATCAGTTCAAGAAAAGGGGCATGATGGTATTTTAAGTTTTCAGAGAGCTAATTGTCATTGTTTCCGATGAAGATGAAATTTCACTGAAGTCCCTCCTTGCCCACCAAGAGGGAAAGGCCCCATTCTGACCCCAAATGTATTAATGTCCTATGCCTGGCGTAGGCACGTTTTCTTTTAAAATTACAGAGGGTGGCTGGGCACGGTGGCTCATGCCTGTAGTCACAGCACTTGGGGGAGCCAAGGCGGGTGGATCACATGAGGTCAGGAGTTCAAGACCAGCCTGGCCAACATGGTGAAACCCCATCTCTACCAAAACATATAAAAATTAGCCAGGCATGGTGGCAGGTGCCTGTAATCCCAGTTACACGGGAGGGAGAGAGTTTAAACCACAAATTGTGTGGTTTAAAAAGGTAGAAATGTATTATCTCACTGGTCTGGAGCCTGAAGTCCAATCAAGGCATCAGAGGGCCTTGTTCCCCCTGAAGGATGGAGGGGAGGGTCCTTCCTTGCCTCTTCTTCATTTCCGGCCATGGCCATTGCTCTCCGGGGTTTCCTGGCTTGCAGCTGAGTCACTCCACTGTCTGACTTTATCTTCACGTTGCCATCTTACCTCTTTTCTTCTTGTCTTCTTTGTATAAGGGCAACAGTCACATTGGATTAAGGGCTCCCCTTCATCCAGTATGACCTCATACTAACTAGTGAAAAATGCACTGACATTATTTCCAAGCGAGGCCACATTATCAGGTGCTGGGGCTTGGAGCTTCAACATATCTTTTAGGGGGACACAACTCAACCCATAGCACCAAGGAAGAACAGGACCTCCTCTGTAATTTGAACACATGCCTTCCTTTGGGCGTAACCGCTGTTAGCTTCATGTTTTATATTCTTTCCTGGTAACTACTGAGTATCTCTGCTTAAGGGAGGCCTATTCAGGAACTTTTTCAAGTATACACATGGCAGCAGACTGGCCACATTTGTAAGAATTTCACCGTCCCAGCAGTTCTCAGGGTCCAGGAAGCTCTCTTTGTTAGTGCATAACTGGGTCACAACCAGGAACTTAGAAATGAGAAGGCTGGGACTGGAGAACCGCACCAGGCTCCGGGTTCCTAGGAGTGACGACTTCTATTACTAGATTCCCTATGGGGTGTCTGTGTGTGCATGGACGCACGCTGGAGAGAGACAAGCAGATGTATTTAAATAAGTGACTTAAAATCTACCAGCATAGCTGAGCACACAGGGAAATCAGATTTACTGCAGGCTTACTCTTTGAAAATCAGTGATCCAGGGCATAAGTAGTATGCAAACATTTTTTATTTATCATTTTTCTCTTTTATCTCTCCAAATATTTCCACCCATCTTAACACAAGGTTTTACTAAGTCCCAGTATAGGAAATCTATGAAAAAAAACAACAAGAGCACTGGCTGAAGTGGATGGGGTGGCTTCCATTGCACCTCTTTTTTTCATGGATTCTCACTCAGCACAACTCGCATTGCAGCTGCAGCCGTGTGCACAGTTTGGTGCAAACTCAGACTCATCCGAAGTTAGTGGAGTGTGATGGGATGCTCAGTTTTATGTGTCAGCTTGGTTAGGCTGCAATGCCCAGTGTTAATGGTCAAACACTTGTCTAGATGTTGATGTAAAGGTATTTTTTAGCTGTGACCAAATGGCAGAGCTAAGAGCCTAGGTGGCAAAGTCAAGCCAAAAGCCTTAGGAGACGTGAATGAGTGAAACATGTCTAAGGACCAGGAAGGATCCTAAGCAAGGAGCATGCCCTTTTTCCAGTCTGGATTATCCTAGTGGGCCATAAATGTAATCACAAGTATCCCCATATGAGAGAGATCCAGGAAGGTTCAGCACAGAAGGAGGAAGAGGCACCGTGACCACAGAGGCGACGGAGACGGGAATGATGTGGCCATAAGCCAAGGGTTGCCAGCAGCCACCACAAACTGAAAAAGGCAAGGGACAGATTCTCCTCTTGAGCTTATGGAAGGGGAACAGCCCTGCTGACACCTTGATTTTGGAATACTGGCCTCCAGATATGTGTGAGAATAAATCTCTGTCATTTTAGACCATGTAATCTCTGGTGATTTGTTCTAGAAGACACACAAAACTCACAAAGAGAATGAGAATAACATGACAGGGCCCACAGAGAGATGGGCAGGCACATAGGTCTCCTCCAAGGTGCCCTGCCATGGTTAGAGCCACCCTCAGTGGGCAGCCACTCCCCTCACCACTACACCCTCCTTGGTGCGTGGCTGCCACTTAGATATAGGGTCTAGGCCTGGGCGTTGTGCAAGTAGCTGCAGGCCTGGGGTGGACACAGCTCCCAGCCAGCCTCCATCCCACTGCACAGACAATGCAGACATCTGTCCGGGTCCCTCTGCCAGCTGAGAAAACACATGATAAGGGAAGCATTTCCTTATTTGTCAACAGGGCAGTGGTGGGTTTGACACGGCTGCCAGCTCTGCCAACTCCCACAGCGCTCCTGTTCTCCTTAGATGTGAGGCCCAGAGCAGTCTGACTGGCATGACCCTGGTGTCCCACAGCCAAGTGCCAGTGCTTAGAGCTGTGTTTTCACAAAAGCTCACAACAGTCCTAAAAGAAGAGCTTGGGGAAAGAAAACCTGACCAAGGCAAAGCCAGGAAGAGCCATTCAAGGCCCCGTCTTTCCATGATTTATGAACACAGCAAACCAGAAAAACTGGGGTATTTCCTGGGGGTTGAAAGATACTATATCCAGCCTAGAATCTGTCCCTAGACTGGGCTCAGAGACTGCAGCATCCCCTCTTCCCTGTGACCGTGGCTGACAGGGCCAGGACATGGGAGGACGCCAGCAATGGTGCCGACTGCTCAAGGGTGAGGATGACAGGGTGAAGGACAAGGTGCCAGGCAGCACAGAGCAGGGAGTGCCCCCGGGCCAGGACTGTTGAAGTCTCACTGGGCTAAGAACTCCCAAATATTCTATGATTATTAGGAAATGGGAAAGAGATACACTGAATTAAGAGAACGCACAACAGAGAGGCAAACACAATAGCCACTCATGCCACTTACCTGGATTCCAGTTCCCTCCTTCTGTGGTCTGGTGGGTGGGTGGGGTTCTGTGCTGACGGCCAAGAGCAGGTGGCATTTCTGCATCCCAAGTGTATCACCTGCTCAGAGCGGGCAGAAGGTCCAGTTCTACCTGCAGCCCTCTGAAGCTCTACCCTCCCCGTTCCTGACATCCTGGAAGACCCCTGGGAGGACTGGTCTGGTTGGAACGGTTCTTCCTGGCCTTCAGGCCTTTGAGAGTGGTATAGGAGACCCGAAGCGTCTCTCCATTCAGAAATGAATCTTTCAGAGTGCAGCAGCAGAGCTCCAGTGTGGAAAATGATGACATCCGCCACCCATGTATGCCTCGCGCACCTCACTCTTCACGCATTCAGAGTTTGGGAAGTACATGATGATCTTTCACAGTGGGGAAACCTCCTATCTCGCAACCACTCCTTGTCTTTCTATTTATTTTTAAAATTAATCTCTTGATTCACTTTATGTTTGTTTTGTCTTGATGTTCTTTTGTATTCCCATCTGTTGAATTGTCTTATCCTTAATGCCTGTGAATACCTCAGGATGCTTATTTGTGAAGGCTGCTGCTCTACCCATGAGGGTGCCTGACTCAAAATAAAAGCCACACCAGGTGGCCAAGAACAGTCATACTTTTCCAGGAAGGGGCACTACACCCCACTTGGAAATCTAGGCTTTTGCTCTCCTCATGGGGCAGGTATAGTGAATTTCACTGACATACAAAATTATCTTTTTGTTTCAGAATGAGACTCCCAGACAATATCCCCTAGAGGTTTATAGAACCGCAGCCTGAAGTAACATAGGGGATATCGGACTCATTACATTAACTGTGTTTATCTAAAATTTACATAATCATTTAGGAGCCTTGAAAACCCATTCAGGGTCGACTGACTTTGAAATATATTTCCATATTAGCAAGGTACCTAAAGAAAACCACCTCCACAGTGAAAGGTATTTGTAGGACCTAGGGCTTGAGGCAACTTTTCTAGTTTCTGTTTGGCCTGGACTTGGATTGTCCATTTTGCTTGATCTGAAAGAAAGCTGACAGTAATGGTTCCCAGTGACCTCCCAAGTACAAGACACCAACAGACTTCATTTTCCTGGGGCTTATGGTGAAGCCAGCTGTGCTGGGAGGCTTCCAAGGCCAGGTCAGGTTTGGGGGAGGCTTTCAGGTTGATGGCACCCCTGGGTGGGTTAGGGGGTTAGTGGGTGGTATTTGGGTTCCACATCTGCCGTGCCCTACGGGCCCCCTCTTTCCCACCTATTTTTAGATTTGAACCTGTATCTGCTTAGTGGCAGATGTCCCAAAAACCTTTCACAATTACCTAAATAAATATGGAACGAAGGTCTCATTTCTAACCAGTGTCAGAGATAACTCCTCTCACAAGCTCATTCTTTTCCAGTCGACTCACAAACTAAAGGCTCAAAGGTACAAGTAATGCATTTTTTTTAGCTCCATCAGTGCTGTACATTGCTGTTTTATCATTCTCTAAATTCTAATTTACTTTTTTTTTTTGATCAGGGTGAAAGTTTATTAAAAAGCTTTAGAGCAGTAATGAAAGGAAGGAAAGTACACTTGGAAGAGGGCCGAGTGGGTGCCATGAGAGACCAAGTGCACCTCTAATTTACTTTTAAAGCAAATGAAAAACAATCTAAAGAGGAAAAAATGCTGGATTTGGTTTTGGGAAGCAACTGCAGTCTGCCATGGTCTGAGCATCTCAATGGTCAATAAAAACAAACAGAAAACCACTTAGAACAGCTGTCTTCGGCCTCCGTGGCCACTGGTAGGCAAAGCAAATTAAGCTTCACGTTCATTATAAAGCCAAAGGCTGTTTAAAGTCCCACAGGGTCTTCTTGTGTTCCTGGAATGTTTGCTCCTCAGTGCCTTTGCTCACACTGGCCTGGCTGTCTGGAATCCCATTTTCTCTTCTGTTTAAGCCACACACATCACTCAAGACCCATTTCAAAAGATGTCTTCTCGAGGAAACCATCTCCAGCATGAGCTCTTCTCTGCTCTCTGCCCAGACACCTCTGCTTGGAGCATCACAGAGCTCCGGATAGCTTGATTCATTGCTGGGATCCTGTCTCATGGGCTTCCATAAAAAAGGCTATGAGATGTTTCAGAGCTTCCCCTGTGCTTTTTTTTTTTTTAGTTCAGTAATAAATGACATCATTACTATTATAAGATTCACTTATCATATCTATTTCCTGCATTGGAATACGACTTGTTAAAGGTGGAGAATTGCCTTATTCAACTTTTTACTTTTTATTGTTCTCCTCCCACCGAATACTCATCCTTAGATAAAATAGGTAGTCAATTGTTTACTGGTTTTAGCCTTTCTTAAATCATATTATTCACTGTTTTGACTTTAATACAGTATATTATGTCCTGCCATCTGTGGTAGACAGAATAATCCCCTCCGCCCCTATGAAGGTGTCCATGATCTAATCCCTGGCAGCTGTAAGCATGTCACCTTGTGTGCAAAAGGGATTTTGTAGGTGGGATTAAGGTTACGGCCTTGAGATGGGGAGATTATCCTGAATTAGTCAGGTGGGCTCAATCTAGTTACATGAGTCCAACTTTTCCTGGTTCTGGTCAGAGGTAGATATGATGACAGACGCAGGTCAGAGACATGTGCTGTGAGAAGGACTCAGCCATCACCACTGATTGTGAAGGTGGCAGAGGCGACCGGGAACCATGGAAGGCAGAAGCCTCTAGGAGCTAGAAATGGCAAGGACTACATTCTCCCTGTGTTCCTTTCCTAGGGACCGTCACAACCACTTACCACAAACATGGCAGCTTAAAGCAACAGAAATTAATCTTCTTATAGTTCTGGAGGCCAGAAGACCACAGTCAAGGTGACAGCAGGGCCCTCCTATCTTGACAGACTCTAGGGGATGGCGCTTTCTTGCCTCTTCTGGCATTTGGTGGTTGCTGGTGATTCTTGATGCTCCTAGACTTGTAGACGCATCTCTCTAACCTCTGGCTTCCTTGTCCCGTGACCTCCTCCCTGAGTCTATCTGCATCTCTGTTTCTCTGTTTTATCTTCTTATAAAGACATCAGTCATTGAATTATGGCTCACTCTAATCCACTGTGGCTGCATCTTAACTTCCCTAATTACATCTGAGATTCCAGGTTGACATAAATTTGGAAGAGGCATGATTCAATCTAGTGCACTCCCTAAGAGCCTCTAGAAGAAACATAGCACCGCCAGAGCCTTCACTTCATCCCAATAAGACCCAATTCCTACTTCTTTTCTCTAGAACTGTAAAATAGTGAATTTGCATTGTTTAAGCCACCCAGCTTGTGAGAATTTGTCACAGCAACCATAGGAAACTGTCTGCCACTGAGGCTGGGGTCACCAATTTTGTCTTATTATGAACCACAAACTTTACGGGTATCTGGTGCTATGTTCATTCCTGAGGACGACATATTCATAAATATGTCAGGGAAACAATTCACTGCCAGTGATCTCCTTAATACATTCCAACAAAGGTCACTGAGAGGTTTTGTAAAGTTTCTACTGGTGTTAAAATAGAAAGGGCTGTATTATTATCTTAAGATGCATTGCTTTGAGGCCTGGCTATACCTTCACCATCCTCGGAACTTCTTGCATTTGATACCTTGTGTTGCTCAACTCCAGTTTCCACATATGTGCTTTCTTGCAGTTTTTCATTAAAACTCACCAAGTGGTGGTAAACAGAATAGCAGAAAATAGAGGGTTTTTTTCTATTTTTATAGCCAAATCTGAGAAATGCCAACAACAGCAAAAGCATCTTTCTGATTTCACACTCAAACCATTATAAATAACAGACTGGGGTAGCAGAGTGGCTTACCTGCTCCTAAACCACCACTTTCCAGGAACAGACATGCATTAGACACAGGTTTCAAAGCAAGGCTCACTCACTGATGGGCACTGCTGTGAAGAGGACACGCTCCTGCCCCCTCTTCCCCGTGATGGCCGTCCCTGTGTCTCAGTTCAAGCTGGGGCTGGAAGATCCAGCAAACAAGGCACAGCTGCAGGATGAGAGTTCAGGGGCCCCAGAATCTGGTGAAATTCTTATTTAAGGGACGCAATTCTGCAGTAATAGTTGTGCTATTCTTATGGCCCCTGTCCCAGTCATTGCCTGAGAACCCACAGAACTGGGTTCCTTAGAATATGGCCAAGCACTATAAATCAGCCTGTTTGTCTAACCACGTGTCAAAACAATTGATGAGTCTTTCTTTTTTTTTTTTTTTTTTTTTTGAGACAGCTAGGCTGGAGTGCAATAGGGCGATCTCAGCTCACTGGAACCTTTGCCTCCCAGGTTCAAGCAATTCTCCTGCCTCAGCCTTCAGAGTAGCTGGGATTACAGGCATGTGCCACCATGCCCAGCTAGTTTTTGTATTTTTTTGGTAGAGACGGGGTTTCACCAGGTTGGCCAGGCTGACCTCAGGTGATCCGCCTGCCTCGGTCTCCCAAAGTACTGAGATTACAGGCGTGAGCCACTGCTCCCAGCCCAATTGATGAGTCTTTATTATTCATTCCTCAATTTAGAATGTTTATTTCAGATTATTTTCCTGAACTTTGAGAATTATCATATAGAATTGTAATACATTTTTTCTGTAAAAATGGTTTACACTTTAAACACAGTAGCTCTCTCTAAAGGATCAGGGAAACAAACTGTGAAGAATATGGAAAGCATTATGCTGTAAGGGCTAAGTGCAATGTGGTTTCAGAATTTCTGACTTGACTCTATATATTTATATATATTGATGTCTATATATAAAAAGATGACAGCATAGCCATATATATTTCCTGACATAAATCAAGAAAATGGCATTGAATAAATTCCACATTTCTGTGTATCTGTTCAGGTTAAAAGAATTTCTATATTAAGCCCGGCAGATGAAATCAGAACTCTTTCAAATTAGCAAATGCAGGCAGTGGATAAATTTCATCCTTGACATGGTCTCTTGAGGGGCGTCTAGGCATTTTAATACAAAATGAGGAGCAAGATATTCTCTACAGTGAGCCCAATTTGCCTTTGCGTTCCTACCAAAGCATGTAATAATATTCATTCATTAGCGGTTTGGTTGGTGTTATTATGCAGAACAGAAATGAGATAAATAATAGGCACTCTCTAGGCCACTGGAGCACAATTCGGTCAGTGTCACCGTGGATGTCACTGTCTGTTTCAGCGAGCTTATTCCATAAGCCCACAGGATTCCTAACCACTAAGAGAACGAGATGATCATTGTCCTAACTGCAGCATCCAGACCATCCCTGTCCTGGAAGTCGTACTGGGATGGAGCTTTTTCTGAGGCAAGAGCAGTTATAAAAATAAACTCCAGTGTCAGCTGCAATGTACATTAGCACCAGCATCTTGAGACTGTGAGTTGAGAATCAAGTGACAAAAGTCAGTGCCCCAGTCTGGTGAGCATGCTGGAAGATTGTCAGGTTTCCCTCTGGGTAAGACTCACATGGTGCCAGCTGGCCTCTCTGACAAGAGCTCTCCGAACTTCTGCTATCAGTGAGGCCGCATTACTGGAAATGACACGGTGGAGAGGTCAGCCATGCCCTGTGTTGAAACTCTCAGGGATCTCAAATAGACGGTCTAGGCAGTTGGCTCAGAGCCTTGAGAGCTGATCGGGGCAGGGGTTTAGCCGTACGTTACAGTGGCCATGGCTGGGCCAGCAGGCTGAAGACTGGCTTCTGGTGTTTTCTGTCTTTCATGTGTGCCATTGACAAGTCCTGGGGGTCTTGTTTCTCCTCCCTAAAATAGAGATGACATTACTGCTGTAACTATTTGATAAGGTTTGAGGAACAATCACAGGAAAATATATTGACAACTGTATATTTCTCTGTCAATGTGAAATAAAGTATTCCTATCATAACATTGTATTTCAAAAACTATTATTTTTTCCTCCTCTAAGTCAGAATCTATAATCCCCACTCCTCAGGTGGAAGACTCGGGCCACAGAGAAACTGATCACCTGGCCCCAGATCCCAGAACAAGGTGCTGTGAAAGGAAGCACCATCACCCCTCTTTCCTCATTTCCAACGGTGCAGGGGGCATGGGTGAGAGGTGGCTGCTGTCAGAGTTTCAATCCGGGACAGGCCAACTTCACGTCTACTTTTTTTGACTCCCCAGGATATCTCTAATTATTTTAAAAGATATACTAAATTATCAAATGTATGTTTAGCCAAAAATCGATTTCGATTTGCTTTTGAGGAAGGTTGGCAGGTCATGCTAAAAGTGTATCCATTAGGCCAGCTCCTCAAAGAAAAAAAAAGACAGGTCTTTAAAATAACAGTCGCTAATATTAATCGCAGGTCTTGTCTCAAGAGACTCACAGCAAGATCCAGGAATTGATCTTATCGATCTGCACAAAAACCCCAGGGAAGGAGGGAGGAAAACAGGTGCAGCTTTTATTTTCTCACTGAAAGACAAGACAATTAAGGCTGGGAACCAGCGTCAAGGAGCTGCCAGGATAGGGGCCTGGGGGTCTGACTCTGGGGGTTCATCCATGAAGGTCCCCTCTGTGGTGTGAGTGTTCTCATAACAGTGTTGCATGAATATTCATGGATGCAGCCACTTAACATGGGAGCCAGCTTTATCCCATTTGGGCCATCACCATCAACAGCAACCAGGCTTTTAAATTCACCTTCAACATGTTCAGCCCTTTGATTCCTTTCCTTTTAAGATAACACTCTTTATAAAAGAGCCGTCATGTTTAAATAATTTGTCGATGAGAATGTCAAGTTGGAAGGCTCTGAATTTACGCTCACACAGTGGAAGGCATCTGTTCTCTGGAAAACAAAGGGCCATAAATATCAATATTAGACAAGAATTCCAGGCCCCCTTCCCCCACTGGTGCATTTCAGACTTAATCATTAGCAAGACCGAGCTCTGCTCATTAGTTCTACCCATGGGATAAGGCTGCTTTATTATTGTCAAGACTTAGGTCTCTAATTATTTACAGAACATTTAGTTGAGGGCAGAGAGACCACAAAAGAGACTCCTGACCTTCAGGACCTTGGTGAAGGCAACCTACAGGCTAGCAGGGGGAACCCGGGACAGAGTTGCACACAGGAAATCGTGGTGGTTTTTCTCTGAAACCACAGCACAGCATCAGATGGAAAGATTCCCCAAACCTGTCAAAGGGGAGATGCTGGGATATGAATCCCATGATTTTAGTGCTCTACTCTAATTTTTCATAATGACTGTTTCTCAATGTTACCTATATTGTTTTGACAAGTACCTATTTAAGGACACAAAGAAGACGGATATTTTAAGGTGTGGGAGCTAATGTGTGTCAGACTCCATTATTTTCAGTGAAATAGATAGATTCTCTCTGTGTGGGAGGAAATGGGGCACAAGAGACAGAGAGGCAGTTTCTCTGCATCCCCAAAGGTATTTCCAAGTTAAAACCTAGATGCCTGTGAGAAGATAGAGCAAGAAACATCGTATTGGATGTTCCAGCCAGAGGAATGACTGACGGTATGCGAAGGGGAGGGACCATCAGTGTGTCCTCATGAGCCAGGATGGGGGCAGGCTCTCTGTGAAAGACTAACTCACAGCAGATGAGGACTCAGAAGGACAGGGCTCTTTAGAGATGCCTAGACTCCGCAATCCTTGCTGTGGAACATCTGGGGCTGGCTTGTCACTCAACTGTGATTACATGTTCCTTGTGGCACATCCAGGTCAAGATGTCAAGATTCTTGCAAGTTGAGTGGCTTTTGGGGGGTCTGGTTGTAGATTTGAGCTTGACAATGTGATACTCATGCTCTTTGCATCTTAATTCAACAAATATTTATTGGATAACTCCTACTGCTGGACAGTGCTCTATGTGTTAGAACTCTTGACATAATATTGCACATATGACAAGATGGTCATAGACACAAATTGCAAGAAGATCCCACCAGATAGACCCATCTGGGTAATTTGTATCCCATATACAAATTCATCTGGGTAATTCAAAATCTCGTATGTATAAGGAACCTTCCAAATAAAGTTCGAATTCTAGAATTGCCTCCAAAAGGACTCTTTAGATAAAGGCAATAAAAAAGTATGAAACTTACAACTGCCTCACCCTCCTGTTTGTACACTCACTTTCCTTCCCCAGCCCCACCTTCTCCTGACCATCCATACCACCCCAATATCCTTAAAATTACAAACTTCATGTGAAACATCCCAGTACTTCCTAGTCCATAGACTATGCGCCTTTTCCTTTTCCATCTCTGAGCCATTGCTGAGGACTTCCGAATCCAAGGATCCCATGGAGTGAGAAACTGAAGAATTGAGACTTGTTTTAGATACAGAGCTTTCCCTGACTTCTTGCTCACATGATCTTTGAGTGAGATCAGAAAATGCAAACACTTGGCTTGAAATGGCTAGCTGGCATGACCCTGAAAGGAATTTACAGCAAATAAAGAAGAGAGCTCTCCTACTGGCAAATGATGGCAAAAGGCTGCGATGATGATGATAGCTTGGTCTAGAATTTCTGCTTAAAAGCACAGCAGGGAGGAGAAGAATATCTGAGGTCAGGCAGGGAGTCCTGAGGTACCTCTTGGTGCCTCTCTGCCCTGTGGCCACAGGGGAGAGGCAATTACAGTAACCACAGCCTACAAAGAGAAATGGAATCAAAGACCAGACTCAGACAGAAGAGATGAGGCCAATGCAAGCAGCAAATGTGGAAAAGGGAGAGACAAATGTCAGTTACAACCTGAGACAACCCCAGCAATGGAGACTGTAGCTTATTCTAGAAATTCCCTTCTTTGATGTCTTCTAAATTGTGGCAACATATGCATAACACGAAATTTACCATTGTAACCATTTTTTAAATTCACTGTTCAGTGACATTAAGTACATTCACATTGTTGTGCAACCATCACCACCACCAGAACTTTTTCATCTTTCCCAACAGAAACTCTGCACCCATTAAACACTAACCCCTATATTCCCTCCCCCAGCCCCTGGCAACCACGATACTACATTCTGTCTCTATGAACTTGACTATTCTAGGTGCCTTATATAAGTGGAATCATAGGGTATTTGTCTTTTGGTTACTGGCTTAGTTCCTTAGTTCACTTAGCATAATATCCTCAGAGTTTATTCAGGGTGTAGCGCATGTCAGAATTTCTTTTCTCTTCAATGCTGAAAATATTCCATTGTATGGAATAGTTTTATCCATTCATCCATTGATGGACCCTTGAGTTGCTCCACCTCTTGGCTGTTGAACAATGCTACTATGAATATGAATGCATAAATATCTGTTTGAGTCCCTGCTTTTAAGTTTTGGGGTATATAATCAGAAGTAAAACTGCTCGATCATTTTATGTCTTTTTAATAGTCTGTGGCCAGCCACCACCTTGACGATTAAGATAGAGTGAGTTCAGTGTGATCACGCATAGATCCAAGTGGTGCTGGGGCACGGGGAACTGCAGCTTTGGGTACCCCATGCCCTGTGGTCATGTCCCCACACAGACTTTATGTAGAGCAGGTAGGCAGTTCCTATATGGGCTGACAGCATCCCACCCCAAGAGTTTCCCTCACCTCTGCCTCAGTTTTGTGTGTATGTACGTGAGTGTGTGTGTGTGTGTATGTTTCATTCCCCCTCCTTTTTTTTTTTGGGACAGGGTATCACTTTGTCACCCAGGCTGGAGTGCAGTGGTGTGATCTCAGCTCACTGCAACCTCTACCTCCTGGGCTCCAGCAATCCTTCCACCCCAGCCTCCTGAGTAGCTGGGACCACCGGTATGCACCACCATGCCCAGCTAATTTTTTGTATTTTTGGTGGAGACGGGGTTTTGCCCTGTTTCCCAGTCTGTCATTTTATTTCATTGTTGTTTGCTTGCTTGTTTGCTAGTTTTCTGGAAAGTCAATGTAGCATTTTCAGCTTGAGGACAGGGCAGCCTGGAAATGTTTGGGAGAAACTTCCTCTGGGACAAACCTTCAACCAATGGAGAATAAAATTAGTGACTAAAACCTGCAGTGTGTCATTCTTTAGATGGGCAGTTCTGAGGCATGTCCCTGTGATGCTTGAGTGTCCCTGGCAGGATCGAGCTCCAATTCCCTCAGTGGCAAAAGCTCAATAACTCACGAATCATCACTCCCATTTCCTCCCTGTCTTACTGTCTGCACTCCCAAATAAACCACCTGTGCCCAAGCCCAAACCTCAGGTTCTCTGTTAGGATGATCCCAGAAGAAGAAGATAATAAAAGTCCTTAGTTGGCCACATGGATGGGCAATAATTGCCAAAAATTATACATACATAAAGCAAAACAGCCCCCTCTGCTCACAGATTTCCTAACCTTCCAGAGTTGAGATCTTCTGTTTTGGAGTAGGAGTCTGTCCAATCATTAGAGAAGAGAGAGCATGTTTTTCTTATCTGAAAAGAAGGAGGAGAGATTAAAAAAATTAGACAGAAATATGCCAAGAAAGCTAACAAATCAGAAATATTCATTTGTACATATTACCAGCCAAATAAAAGCAGAAGTTTATGATAGTGGTGGGTGTGGGTGTGTGGGTGTGTGTGTATGAGGTGTGTGTGTGTATGAGGTACGTGTATGTATAATGTGTGTATGTGTATACGTGTGTGTATATATACACATACTGTTTGTTATGACCATATTTTACCACTGTTTCTGAATTCATGGTATAGATATAACATTTTTTGCCCAACTCATAAATTTATAAAATATACAAAATCATGAGGGTATTTTTCAGGTTATAATTGCTCACCAGTTGATATTTCATGTGTAATTAGCTTGGTTTCTTTCTGAGAGTGTAGAAACCTCTGAGCAGGCACACACTGGAAAACTTATTTATTATGTGCATCTACATTTTGAAATGAATAGGTCATATAATAAAAAATGGTTGATCTTAATAGGCTCTGCTTAATTTCATACTTTATCATCTTTTGAAATATCCCAAGAGTGAACACCAAGGAAACTCTTAATGTTTATGATTGAGATGATTTATGTTTTAAATTACAATGATTTCTTCAGTTTTAGAAACTAAGAAGGTCAGTTCATAGTACGAGAATTTTTGAGAATTCTTGGAATTTTAAGTGAGCATGTTACATTAGTGTCTACTTGTTTTATGCTAAATCACTGTAACAAAACAAAAAGTTGATACTGAAAAAAAAGTTGAAACAGAAAAAAAAAGATGGTTCCCATCTGTTGTGTACTGAACTGTGCCTCCCCAGCCAAATTCATGTGTTGAAGCCCTAACCCTCCAGTGTGACTATATTAGAGATGGGGCCTTCAGGAAAGTAATTAAGGTCTAGTCAGGTCGTAAGGGTGGGGCCCTAATCCAATAGGACTGGTGTGTTAGTCTATTTCCACACTGCTGATAAAGACATACCAAAGACTGGGTAATTTATAAAGAAAAAGAAGTTTAATGGACTCACAGTTCCACGTGGCTGGAGAGGCCTCACAATCATGATGGAAGGTGAAAGACACATCTTACATGACAGCAGGCAAGAGAGAATGAAAACCAAGCCAAGGGGAAACCCCTTATAAAATCATCAGATCTCATGAGACTTATTCACTATCATGAGAATAGTGTGGGGAGAAACTACCCCCACGATTCAATTATCTCCCACCAGGTCCTCTCACAACAAGTAGGAATTATGGGAGCTACAATTCAAGATGAGATTTGGGTGGGGACACAGAACCGAACCTTATTAACTAGTGTCATGAGAACAGGAAGAGGCGCCAGAGGCTGCCTGTTCTCCCTTTCTCTCTCTCTGTGCATGCACAGAGAAGAGGCCAAGCAAGCTCAAAGTGAAAAGGCACTGTCTATAAGCAGGAAGAGAGGCCTCAGCAGAAACGGTTGCGTAAGCACAGGGCCTGTGATGTTCTGTGTGACAGCCCTTGCTGATGAATATGCCAGCACTCCTGCATTGGATGATCCCTAAGAATGGGTGGTTTCACTTAACTCTGTGCACCCCAAACCACTAGGGCAATATTTTAAATTTGGCAGATTATCCGTGAATTCATATTTATTGAATTCGGATCAATTCAGTAAGTGTTGATGGTGATTACACCGAAATGTGAAGTCTCTATCTTGAAGATGAACAAGTTACAGGCCTCACTTTTAGAGGTCTTGCACCCTCACGACTGGTGAGTGGGTAACTGAGCTGTTCCTGTGCATACGTCCCATAATGCACACATCAGACAAGCCAGGGCAGCATGCCCATGCAAAGACAAGACGATCTACTTATCTGTGGTGGGATTTCTCCTTGCAGTCCAAATGTCTAAACAGTAATGTCATCATCAGTCAAACAACTACAAGCAAACATCAAGCAGATCCAGTGAATCCTACAGATGGGGTCAGAGGTTACCCCCAATCTCGCTGCATCCCCCAACAAGATATCAGCCTAAGGCCCACTTCTTTCCATGGACAACCCCTTTGGTATTTGTACTCAAATCCCATAAAAAAGTTTTGGCAAAACACTTTAAATGTACTGCACTCTGTCTTTGCACCTCACTCCCATGGAAGTGCCAGAAGCTGGGCTGGGCCACCGACTTCTGCCCCTACCAGGACTCCTTCCCAAAGAAGCTGGGGGAACACATGAAAAATCCCATGACGCTGAATTCGACAGCCACCTACAAACCATAAAACATGGAAGGATGTCCCTGTGTGGCCCTGTGTGCACTGCCTTGGTCACTGGGAAAGGTCAGGTGCAGCCTGCACTTCTTCAGCGATATGGCTGCCTCCACAGCTGTCCTGGCTGGTTCCCATCCACATGCCATCTCTTCAGATGCTGACATAGGAAGGCAGCAAATTTGTGTCCCCCTTGTCAGCTGAGATGGGTTCACACTTTGATGATGTTCATCAACTTCCAAAAGCTGTGTTAAGCAGCATCAAAACATGTTTCCTAAGGAAATAATTTGGGAAAGATTGAGTGTCTAACTCATAAGCCACCTTATGTTGAAGGATATCTAGGAATAATTTTACCAACACTTTAAAGAAATTTGTGGAGCAGAAGATGGGCAGAGTCAAAGTGCCACACCCACAGCAGAGGGCTCCAGCTTTCTAGTAACACTTTGCAACTCACTCAGGACCCAGCTGAGGTAGGAGAGAAACAAAGCCCAGGAAACGAAAGGAGAGAGGGAGAATCATTACAGTACCAACAATGACATAAAAAAACTACATAAATAGAAATGAGCTGCAGCTGCTTCCCCATCCTAGGGATGGCAGGGCCCTCCTTCCAGTGGAATAAATCATTGTCTCTTGGGTCCCCATTGCAAAACTCACAGCAATATCTGGAAGGAGGAGTCAAGAGGCTGGGTTGTGCTGCAAAGTCATGAAGGGAAGTAATTTGAAGTTTCTGCAGGCAGTTCACAATCAATGTGCGGAGGGGTGTGAAAATGAAAAGGAGAGCAGAGGGACAGAAGAGAGAGGAGCCTGTGAACTGGGTGGGAGGCCTAGGCCCTTCCAAAATATACCATCAGTAAAAGAAATCCCTGGTGCTAGGAAGCGTCAATGCCTTTCTAAGGATGGAAATGCTGGCCAGGACAGCTGGAACTGTTTGCATCCCAGCAGACAAATAATTCCTCCCAGATTCATCCTTTGCTAGGCTCTAAATGTCAGTAAGATTTTCTATACATGTTAGGTTTATGTTCCACGTGCTTTAAGTTGATGAAGGAAAAGGGAACTTGTTATCTGCAGCATTTTTCCACCCTACTCCCCTCTTCTGGTAACCAATGTTAAAAACAGGTCAAGCATCCCCCACTCCTCCCCACTCACATTTTCATTTGCAAACTCATAATCAGCCTCCTCTGCTCCTGGCTTCTCTTGCATAACAAATAAGTGCTCTGTGAAAAGCCTGCTGGGTCAGTGAGGAGCTTTGGAAAGACCACATAACGTTTTCATATTTACAAACGTGTTTGCATACTTGTTTCTTTTTTTACAGCTTCCATTTCTTTGCTGAGATTTTCTATCTTTCCATTTGTTTCAACAATGTTTGCCATTACTTCTTGGCACATTTTATAATAGCTTCAACTTTTTAACATATATTTCCAAAATCTCTGCCATCTTGGCATTGAAATGTATTGAATGCCTTTTCATGGGTAATTTGAGATCTTCCTAGTTCTTTCTATGATGAATTTTGAATTATATTTTGGACACCTGAGTATTATGTTATGAGACTTTATGTCTTGTTTAAATTTTATGAAAAATGTTGACATTTTCTGTTTCAGGTGACAATCACTGGGTCCAAGCTATAAGTTATATTTAGCCTCCTGTAGGTCCACTATTCCATTTTCAAAGACTTTGCTGCACCATTATGATCTGTAGCTCTGTAGGTGACATCCAGTCTAAAACCTAGGCAGTAGAGTATATCCTTTATTCTAATTCTTAGGGTTTTTGGCATGCTGTTTTAGAAAAGCACTATGCATCTGCAATTTGAGTTGAGCCTAGGAACTGGTAAATAATTTCATGGGGTTGTTTTTTAAGTTATTCTCTCTCTATAATGCTCTCAAGTACTTTTTGGTTTTCTAGAATTCCCCTTTTTTTAATTCTATACCCAAAAAAGCTAGGGCTTTATTTAGCCTACCTACTATACACTTCCCTGACTATGCCAATCATTAGGGCCAAGGAATGGGAAGACATTAAAAAAAATGAAACAAAAATGTTTACCCCACCTTCTTAAGACAAAAGCTCCCTTGATCAGAGAAGTTTCCTTCCTTCATAGATTTAGGCACTTATGGGTCCAGCTGCCCTTGTATCTCCAGGAGACAGCTTTATTGCTCCTTGTGCTGAGCTAGAAGTTTTCTTCTGGAGCTTTCTTTGTCCACACTGATGCTTACCTCTGAGTTTCATGTTATGTTGCATCTGGGACAGGAGAAATTACAAACTTGGCCCTGGTTTGATGGTCCTCCAAATTCTGGCCATTTTCTTCAGTGCACCTGGTACTATTTAAATCCAGACTTCTCAAATAGTTGATCCCTGCATTCTGTCCGGGTCTTATAGCTTCATTCATAGAGGCACACAAGGTAACATGTGCTTACTCAATCTTACCTGGAACTAGATTCTTGCCAAATGTGTTCATCATCCTGATTTCATGTCTTGTGATTGAAATAATCACTCCCCTGTTTAAGTGGAAATGAATTTAAGTTTTTCATATGCATTGTTTAATTGATTTCTTATAAGATCCTTATTATTTCACCACTCTAACAGAAGAGGAAATTCAGACAAAGAGCCTAGAGTCACAAAGCTAATATGTGGCAGACGGGGCTCAGAACTGTACCTTTAAATGCCAAGTCTAGCACTTTCAGTGCCACTTCCTAGAATTTTTTATAAGCAACATAATCAGCTGGGACACATATTCTTACAGAACCAAGATTTTCCTTCTGGAATGAGAAATCAAAAGCTTTGCATAAAACAGAATTTTCTTCTCATAGACTTGAATTAGAGTGATGATGATGATGATAATGGTAACAACGATGGTGATTTAAGAATTTGTCATAGCTGATGTTCAAAGAAGTAATTATTTTCAGAAAAATGTGTGTGTGTATGCTCCTACAAACCTCCTCTATCAATATATCCATCAAGGATAAAGTATAACCATTATCATACTGTTCTCCCAAATTTTGATATGTATGTATTTATTCTTTATATAACCCATGTAGCGTTTCCTTAGGGACCTTCGTGATGAAGAGTATCAAGACCTCAGATTGGGTAGATCACATTTCCGTAGTAGAAAATATTGTTTTATTTTCTTGGAGCTTGATGAATAAGAAAAGAAATGAGATATATTCTCTTCCTGTTTACAGAAAAATATTACTGAGAATGGATGGCTAATAGTAATTTCAAAATTTCTGAAACAGAATATTGAAACTACTGAATATATATTTTCCAATTTGTGTGTGTATATATAGAGAGAGATTATATAGATAGCTTTATAAATCACCTCCTTTCCTATTGAGAAGTAAGAATTTTATATTTTCTACTAAAATTGAAAATGGAAATTCCAGTTATTTAAAACTCTGAAAATGAAAGCCCTCTCACAAGAATTCCCCTGATGAAACTTGCTAGAGGCATCTGGTGTCTCTGAATTTTAATAATCTCTTTTTTAAAAAAGTTTTCTTTTTTATCACACACATTGAATGTAAGCATTTGTTTTCAAGCTTTCGCCTCACCTCCATGTAATCAGAATAATAAATATGGTAACTCCGTCTTTCAGCCGGAGGCTTAGAGAAGTATGCCACTGAAAACCTTCCACATCCTTTGATAAACACTCCCTTAAGGCTTTCTGCCTGCCTTGGAAGCTTCCAGGGTGTCTGCATTTTTCCCTTTTAAAAGGATGAAACCGAAAGATATATTAGAGAAGGAAAGGAAACAAATTTGGCATACGATTCCATAACAGGAAGTCCTATTTGGCATTGAAAGGAAGAAAACTACAAAGAGATTCAGGAGAAACTTTGCTTCAAATAGACCTTTTTTATTCTAACAAAAACAAATAATAAACAATGCCTCCTTCCTTTCACTTCATCTGTTCTGGGGAAAGAATAATTTGTCACAATGACGTCACTAGAAGCAGACTGCCTCTTGGAAAGGCCTTTCTCCACTCTGCTCCCTCACAAGAGAAGCCACATCTTCAGGGGCCAAATCCCTATCCCTCCGGTTCCAAACATGCGTATGTATGCTAAGAGCCAGTGCTAGGAGTCAGAGAGAGGCTATTAATGTAAATATATTTTCTGATGGTTACAGTCTCCGTTTTAAGTTCCTGTCTCTGCTCACTAAAGAATATAGTTGTCATGACAAAATACAATGTACAAGACAATAAAGTTTCTTTTTTAAATTATTATTATTATACTTTAAGTTTTAGGGTACATGAGCACAACGTGCAGGTTAGTTGCATATGTATACATGTGCCATGTTGGTGTGCTGCACCTACTAACTCATCATTTAACATTAGGTATATCTCCAAATGCTAAAACTTCCCCCTCCCCCCACCCCACAACAGGCCCTGTGTGTGATGTTCCCCTTCCTGTGTCCAGACAATGAAGTTTCTAATTATCCAACAGATATGAATGCTGACCATTACATTTGTACCTTAATGTAAGTAAATCCAATAAAAATGTGTCTCAGTGCCAAACTACATATCCAAAGTCTCTTCTAATTTTAATAGTTTATGATTCTAGAAAACTATTAGAGTTAATATCTAATCCAAATTATAAATAGATGTATATATATATATATACTATATACATGAATACTTGCGGTGTTTGACTACCTTGTAAATTATTTTGAATAGTTGAGTCTAAGTATCTAAAATATTTAGTCTTTGAATTTCATGAAACTATTATATTGATTCCACAGTATCATTGCAAAAAAGAATCTACTCAGCAAAGAAAAATTTTAGCCTGGTCACATTATAACTTTTGAATGAACTGGAACTTAAACGCTGAAATGTAACTGCATTGTTAACCAAGTTTCATCTTAAACTGAGCAGGACTTAAGGAAAACCCTGGCTTCTGTTTAAAAATATTACTTTTTAACAGAACAATGGTTATGATAATTCAGTCATTGCTTTGAAGGAATTTATAAAGAATGTGAATTATTAAGATTGGCACCATGCCTCTCACTTGGAATGTCATTCCATGAGTGTTCAGAAAGACAAATGCATTCATTCACCAGAACTGATCACAGAGCTACTTTGTGACAGCAAGTCCATGGGAAGGCTACAGGATTAACCAAAATAGAGCTCTATTCTGCACGGGTCAGTCCATACTGACAGTCATTCATTGTTGTTATTCTGAACATTATAGGAAAGACTCATTTCTTCTTGATGATCCTAAGAAATTATCCTAATCTGTTACTAAAGAGTCTGTTACTATGGATTCATTGTAGAAAATTTGGAAGAAAAAAATTTAAATGTATGTATATCTCAATACACAGATATAACCACTGATAATAATTTGATGATACAGTGTCTTTCTTACAAGTGCTTTTCTATGCAAATACACACACACTGTATAGGTATATGTATGTGTACATGTACATGTAGAGATAGCTAGATTGATGTTTTGAAAGTGAAGTTTACCTAAGTTGGTGTTTTATGTGTGTGTTTGTTTGTCTCAACATCTGTAATGCAAGTGCTTCCCATGGGAGTGGGGTGTGGCTATCCGGCTCTGAAGTTTAGGACTGTAGCCTGAATGGGCGGTTGTGAGCCATTGAAGCCATGGCGTAGGCTCAACACCTCAGGAATCTTGTGTCTTTTGTCTGTTAAGCACCTGCTATGTGCCCCACTAGGTGGGCTTATATTTGTTTGTTTCCTTCCCATGAATCAGCCAGGTGCCTCCTGGTTTAAAGTCAGGGAGGGTGAGCAGCGAGGCTGGGTCCATTCCACAGGGATATGGATTTGCAATATGGACTCCTGATCATTTAAGTGTTGCTGCTATCAAAATTAAGCCCAGGCATATCTTCATCCTACTGCCTCATTCTTTCACATTCAGCTGGTAGCCAGTGGACAAGATATTTTTTTTTTTTGAGACTGAATATCCACCCAGGCTGGAGTGCAATGGTGCGATCTCAGCTCACTGCAACCTCTGCCTCCCAGGTTCAAGTGATTCTTCTGCCTCAGCCTCCCAGGTAGCTGGGACTACAGGCCTGCACCACTACGCCTAACTAATTTTTATATTTTTAGTAGAAACGGGGTTTCACCATATTGGCCAGGCTGGTCTTGAACTCTTGACCTCGCGATCCACATGCCTCAGCCTCCCAAAGTGCTGGGATTACAGGCATAAGCCACTGCACCCTACCTAGTGGACCAGATCTTAGGGTTCTCTAGCTGAAGGCAGAGAGCATATGCAGAGCCTGTGGGTCCAGAGACAAGTTATCCATGGCCACTGCCCAACACACTTCTGCAATCGGAAGCTGGAAATAATAAGAAGCAAGAGCAAAGGTGATTGGTTAAATCATTTTCTATTGTTAGAGAGAAACATTTCCTGATGGGACCCAAGATTGTAGAGAAAGAATACAAAAATCACTCCTGTTAATGGGACAGCAACAAATATTTTACCGTCTCCAAAAATCAAAGCTTAAAAGGCAGCAAAGAAAAAGCTGAGCCTTAGAAATTTATTTCTAAGAGAAATATATCTATTTCTCTTAGCTCTCAGGCTACCCTGATTTGTGTGCCCCTGCATGTATGGCAGATGATAAGGGCTCTTCCGCGGAGAGGAGCTCATTAAATATCCAGCAACTTAATACGATCAGCCATGGAGCCCCACCCACATGACATGCATGAGCATGTTCCAGATGAGAACTGCTAATACCAGAATGTCCTCTAGATGAGGTATCTATGTACCCTCCCACTAGCTTTCAGGGGAGTCCCAGCTTGCCACAACCTAGCCATATTGGATCTAATCAGTCATGTCCTTTCTGTGTCAATTAGATGTATGAAAGCATGTCACTGTTGCTTTAATTCTGTTTCTGTTATTGTTAGTGGATGGATGTCCTTCCACCATGCCTTCCCCTCCAGATCTCATCTTCTGCTATGGCCGTCTTTGCTCCGTGTGTGCCTTGCTCTTTTACCTATGAGGTTGCCTTTTTTCCATAAAAAATAATAGTAATAACTACATTTTCTGAACTCTTACTATGGTCCAGACATAATGCTAAGGATGTAATAGATATTACTTACTTGGGCTGGGCATGGTATCTCACATCTGTAATCCCACCACTTTGGGAGGCAGAGGCAGGTGGATCACTTGAGGTCAGAAGTTCCAGACCAGCCTGGCCAACATGGCAAAACCTCATCTCTACTGAAAAAAAAATACAAAAATTAGCCAAGTGTGGTGGTGCCCGCCTGTAGTCCCAGCTACTTGGGAGGCTGAGACAGGAGAATCGCTTGAACCCAGGAGGCGGAGGTTGCAGTGAGCCAAGATCAAGCCACTACACTCCAGCCTGGGTGACAGAGTGAAACTGTGTCTCAAAACAACAACAAAAAAGATATTACTTGAATCTTCAGAACAACCCGATGAAGTAAGTACAATCATTATCATCCCATATTACAGAAGGACAAGGTAAGGTGCCAGGGGGTTAAATGACTTGACCAAGATCACACAGGTAAGGATTACACATAGTACTGGACAGATAGTAGGTCCTCGTTAACTAGTAGCTACTATTATTACTGGTATTATTGTCTTATTTATGTATTTTTAAACAGACCTTAATTTTTAGAGCAGTTTTAGGTTCACAACAAAATTCAGGGGACAGCACAAACAGTTGCCATATAGTTCCAACCCCCTTCACACACACACAGCCTATCCTGCCATCAACCTCCCCGCCACAGTGATAAATTTGTCATGCTCAATTAACCTATGCTGACACATCATGATCACCAACGTCCCTAATTCACATTAGGGCTCACTCTTGATATTGCGCACTCTGTGGATTTGGACAAATGTATAATGACATGGACCCACTATTACAGTATCATAAAGAATCATTTCACTGCCTTAAAATCACCTGCTCTCTATTTATTTTTCCTCCCCTTGACTCCTAGCAACCACTAAATTCTTTCTTTTTTCTTTTTCTTTTTTTTTTTGAGATGGAGCCTCACACTGTTACCCAGGCTGGAGGGCAGTGGCATGATCTCAGCTCACTGCAACCTCCACCTCTAGGGTTCAGGTGATTCTCTTGCCTCAGCCTCCCCATTAGCTGAGATTGCAGGCACCTGTCACCACGCCTAGCTACTTCTCGTATTTTTAGTAGGGACGGGTTCCACCATGTTAACCAGGCTGGTCTCGAGCTCGTGACCTGAAGTGATCTGCCTGCGTCAGCCTCCCAAAGTGCTGGGATTACAGGTGTGAGCCACCTCGCCTGGCCTAACCAATGAAATTTTTAATGTCTCCATAATTTTACCCTTTACATAATATCATAGATTTGGAAGCATATAGTATGTAGCCTTTTCAGATTGGCTTCTTTGAGTCAATACACATTTAAGGTCTCCACGCATTTTTGTTGTTGTTTTGGTTGTGTGTGTGTGTGTGTGTGTGTGTGTGTGTGTGGGTATGTGTGTGTGTGTGTGGCTTGATAGCTCATTTCTTTTGGTGCTGAAAAATATTCCATGGTCTGGATGTATCACAGTTTGTTTATCTACTCATCTACTGAAGGACATCTTGGATGTCTCCAAATTTTGGCAATTATGAATAAGCTATTATAAACATTTGAGTGCAGATTTTTGTGTGGACATAAGTTTTCAACTTATTTGGGAAAATACCAAGGAGTGCAATTGCTGGATGATATTGTTAGAGTATGATGAGTTTTGTAAGAAACTGCCAAGTTGTCTTCCACAGTGCCTGTACCATGTTGCACTCCCACCAGCAATGAATGAATGCTCCTATTGCTCCACCTCCTTGCCACCATTGGGTGTTGTCAGTGTTTTGGATTTGTGACATTTAAAAGAGTACCGTAGCATCCCAGTGTTGTTTTAATTAGCTGTTCCCTAATGACGTACGATGCTCACCATCTCTGCATGTGCTCATGCCACCCTACGTCTGCCTTGGTGAAGTGTCTGTTCAAGCCTTTGCTCACTTATTAATCAGGTTGCTTATTTCCTTATTGATGAGTTTTAAGGATTCTTTATATGTTGTGGTTGACTGCCCTTTATCAGATATGCCATTTGCAAATATTTTCTCCCAGTCTGTGGCTTGCCTTCTCATTCTCTTGACAGTATTTTCCACAGAGGAGAAGCTTTAATTTTAATGAAGTCCAGCTCGTTAGTTATTCCTTTCATAAATTGTGCCTTTGGTGTTGTGTCTAAGGAGTCACCACCATGCCCAAGGTCATCTAGATTTTCTCCTGGGTTATCTTCTAAGAATTTTATAGTTTTGCATTTTCCATTTAGGTATATTATCCACTTTGTTAATTTTTATGAAGGGTATAATGTTTGGGCCTAGATTTATTTTTTTGCATGTACATGTCTAGTTGTTCCAGCATCATTTGTTTAAAAGACTACTTTTTCTCCATTGCATTCCCATTACTTCTTTATCAAAAATTGGTTTACTATACTTATATGAATCTATTGGGTTGCATTTTAAAAGGATTTTAGAAACATTCATGCATCATGAACATTAATCCCTTGTTTATTTTATATGCTTAAATCCTTTCCTTCTAGACTGTTGCTTACCTTAATTTTTTTCATGGGACAGAGATTTTAACATGCAACATTTTAACCTATTGTTTCTCTAAGCCTCTGTGTTTTCTATTTCACATAGACAGGTAGGTATATTATATTACTGATATTATTATTATATATTATTAGCATAACAAAAGGAAGATGATGAGGTGTTTAAAAGAAAATGAAGAATAGTAACATAATAATAGAAAATTTAATAAAATAATATAATATATAATATAATCATAATTTTCTGTTATATAAATATTCTATATTTCAAGTAATATATTTTCTATATATTATTTATATATAACAATATTCCATTCTGTTATATAATATAATATTCTTATTATATTTTAATATATTTTATAATTATATATTTATATGATTAATAAAATATTAAATACATATCAATTAATATATAACATTATATAACAGTAATAATATTATATATTTTGTTCTCACAGCCTCATCATCCTCTTTTTATGTTATACTAATTCATCTGACATTTATCTTTGTGTGTGACATAAAATAGAAATATATCAAACTTTATTTTTCCCAAATTGATGGCTTTTCTAAAAAATATGAGACCTATTCCATATGTTCCCCACTCTATTGAAATAGCTTTTCCACACACTTACTATAAAAAGGATAAGTTATTCTCCACTGTGTTTTTTTCATTTTGAAATTTTTATAATGCTTATCATGAACTTTACAACACTTTTTCCCTCCACACAAATTTTATGATTGGATTGTCCAGTCCCCCAAAGCATATTTTGTGACCTTGCCAGGTGTGCATTAATCCGTCTGTTTCCTTGAGAGTGGGACACAGGCTGACGCTCCACCCAGGATCCCACGTGCATCTCCTCACATTTCTTTTATGTTCTAAAGATTGTTATAGATTTCACATATATTTAGGGAATTATTTCTTTACTTTTCTATTAGTGCAGTTGTAAAATTTTAGTTATAAAATGTTCTAATTGCTTATTCTAGTACAGGGAAGGTTATTGTTTACAGTTCTGATAAGTGGCTGTTTTACTCAGTGTGCAAAGGGCTTTCCGTTTATCCTCCTGGCTTTTCTAGGCATCTAATTACACTGTTGGTAAGTTCCAGTTTCCTCTAACTTATTTATTTTTATTTTCATCACCGTGATGAGGACATTGGGCGATAGGTGCTGTTATCAGGAAGAACAGGAATCTCTGGCTTACACATGACTCTTACAGAAATGGTCCGAGTTCACAAATCTCTGGCTTACATATGACTAATGGAAATGGTCTGAGTTCACACACATGGAAGATTTAATGCAGGGTTCTAGTAGACAGCATGTATCAACTTAAAGAACTTTCCTCTTTTAGTACTTTGCCAGTTTTTTTTCTTTTTGAAAGGAATGGTGGTGAATTTTGTTACATTCTATTTCAGCATCTGAGATAATTTTCTACTTGAAAATTACCTAGTTGAAAATGCTGATGTGATTAATTTCAAAACAGATCACTTACCTTTCTAAGTCCTTTAGTGACTTAGAAAGGTAAGTATTGCTGTGCCTGTCTTTACAGATCACCACATCGATGCTCAGAGAAGCCAATTAACTTGCCCGTGGTCACAGCTATTGAGTGTTGGAGTGAAGGTTAAATTAGGTTTGTCTGGCACCAAAGCTTATGACCTCACTTGGGCTGGACCTTAGGGCTAAAGTACTCTTTTAATCCTCCCTTTAGACTGTGGGACACTTTTGAATTCTGGAGAGGGAGGAATAGCAGGGAATCATCATCAGTATAAAGTGTCCCTGTAGAAAGCTTTTGTCCTGCTGCTGTGGATGCAGTTGCACCTGGTCCCAGGGGAGCAGGGATGGAGTTATGGCAAGCACCTCCTTCAGGGATTCCTCAGCCACTACTCTCATAGGCAAGCTGTCTGCAGTGCCACCTGAGAGCCCATGGCCTCAGCACTGCTGACTGATGATGGTGGGGAGAGAGGAGGGGAGATGGTGTCTCCCTTTTGGCCAAGGATGGCAGTTTTCTCATCTACTCCTCCCTGCTCAGGGTGAGACAGACCAGTGTCTCCACTAAGCTGCAGGCCTGAGACGCTTTGTCATCATCCCCCAGTCTTTTTGTCAGATGTGGGCAATTCCATGTTGTGGCAGCACCTGTCTCCCCAGGGTTGCCCTGGGTCCTCATCCTCCTGGGCAGTTTCTTCCATTCATGAAAACAGGTGAGTCACCTGGGCCAGCCTAGACCTACCTGGACAGCCGGCCAACCTCAGTTTCACCTCAGTGGAGGTTTCCATCACCTTCCCAGCAATCTATGCCCTCCTCCCTCCTCCTGCATCCCAGGGGACATGGATGCCCAGCCTAGAAGTTGATCCCAACTGCTTCTGCCCTACGCACAGCCAGTCTCTCCAGGCTGTATTAGTCCATTTCCACACTGCTGATAAAGACATACCTGAGACTGGGCAGTTTACAAAAGAAAGAGGTTTAATTGGACTTACAGTTCCGTATGGTTGGGGAAACCTCACAATCATGGTGGAAGGCAAGGAAGAGCAAGTCCCATTTTACATGGATGGCAGCAGGCAAAGAGAGAATGAGGAAGATGCAAAAGCGGAAACCCATGATCAAACCATCAGACCTCGTGAGATTCATTCACTACCAGGAGAACAGTATGGGGGAAACCGCCCCCATGATTCAATTAGCTCCCACCAGGTCCTTCCCACAACACACTGGAATCATGGGAGTACAGTTCAAGATGAGATTTGGGTGGGGACACAGCCAAACCCTATCACAGGCTCTGTCGGTTCTGTCTCCTCAATGTTTCTTGGCTTCGTGCCCTTTTCACATCTCCATGAGAACAGTCTCAGCCACCCCACCTTCTGTAGGTATCACAGAGCTCCGTGGTCTGCCTCTACATGGCTTCTTCCAGGCCTTTCTTTATTCTGCACCATGGTGGTCCTTCCAGAAGATAAGCCCCTGAACGTCCACCTCCATGGCTGTCAATTGCTCTTAGGACAAAATCTATGCAAGGTTTTCAAAATCTGTACCATCTGGCCCCTGCTTCCTTCCACACCTCACAACCCCCTCCTCCCTTGTATTCTACTTCCCATGCCAAGTGAAATTCTTCAGCCTGGTCCCTCTTACCTCCAGGCCCACACAGACTGCCTGGTCACTCTGGGGTCTTCACACCCTGTCTCCCCAGTACAGCCCTGGCAACCTTACCTGCAACTGCAAGCAAGGCACATCTCCAACAGGGAGACAGTGGGACATCTGTGTGTCCATTGCTACAGCCAGAAGGATTCTCAAAACAGAGCCTGGAACTGAAGATGCTTGGGAAGGACCTGTTGAAATGGTGTCGTGTGAGGGCTATGGGTTGAACTGATCCCCACCCCCTACCAAATTCTTATGTTGAAGTCTTAACTTCTGCTGTTTCAGAACAGAACCTTATTTGAAGATAGGCCCTTTAATGAGGTAATTAGGCTAAATAAGGTCATATGAGTGGGCTCTAATCCAATATGGCTGATATCCTTATAGGGATTGGAGACTGGCCTGGGCAAAAAAGCAAGACCTCATCTCCAAGAAGAAGATGAAAGAGAGCAAGAGAAGAAGAGGAAGAAGAAGAAGAAGAAGAAGAAGAAGAAGAAGAAGAAGAAGAAGAAGAAGAAGAAGAAGAAGAAGCAGCAGGAGAAGGAGAAGGAGAAGGAGAAGGAGAAGGAGAAGGAGAAGGGGAGGAAGGGGAAGGGAAGGGGGAAGGAGGAGGAGAAGAAGAAGAAGGAGAAAAAGACGGAGGAGGAGGAGAAGAAAAAGAAAGAAGAGAGAAGGAAGAAGGAGAAGAAGGAGAAGGAAGAGGAGGAGGAAAGGAGGAGGAGGGGAGGTAGAGGAGAAAGGGGAGGAGGAGTGGGGAAGTAGGAGGAGAAGGAGGAGGGGGAGGGGGTGATTGGGATGCAGATAAGACACAAAGAAGGATGACCATGTGAGGTCACAACAAGAAAGCAGGCAAGAAATTGAGGTCTCACCGGAAACCAAACCTGCCGATACTGTGATCTTGAACTCCTAGTTTCCAGAAGAGTGAGAAAATAGACTTGAGATGTTTAAGCCCTCCAGTCTGTGGTGCTTTGTGATGGCATTCCTATGATACTAATGCAATGAGCACCCATGGTTTACCTAAGAGAACAACACTTTTCAAGTTCTTATAGCCACAGGGAGCAAACACACAGGCAATGGGCTTCAGTTCACATGTCCATGTCTGCTTCTTGCACTCACTGCTACTGACCTCCACTGGCTTTTGTCTTCAGTGGTAGTTTGGCATATAATCCCTCTCCTCATCAGTTTAAAATCCAAATTATACAAAAGATATTACACCTTGTCTTTAATTTAGGCATGACCAAGGTAGCATTCTATATCAATCTATAGGCTATAACAAATAAATATAAAAACTGATGCCCTCACAAGCTAAAGAATGCAGGTGGTAGAAATAAACTGCAGAAACAAATACACACATACACACATGCATAAACACACATGTAGAAACACACACATGCATAAACACACATGCACACAGAAGGGCATGCACACATACACATGTGCACAACACACAGGCATGAACATGTATATATACACATGCACACACTTATAACAAATATGCACACATACCTACAAGAGTTGTAAAATACTCAGTTACTCTGAGTTTAAGCTAACTGAGTCTGAGTGGTATTTGGACTGCCTTTAAAATTTGTCACATTAATTTTTATGCTGTCGAGAGGCTGTATTGGTGGCTGTCACTTCTCCCTGCTTTATTTTATTTTATTTTATTTTATTATTTTATTTTATTTTATTTGAGACAGAGTCTTGCTCTGTTGCCCAGGCTGGGGTGCAGTGGCACGATCTCGGATCACTGCAGCCTCTGCCTCTCGTGTTCCAGCAATTCTTCTGCCTCAGCCTCCTGGATAGCTGGGATTACAGGCACACACCACCACGCCTTGCTAATTTTTGTATTTTTAGTAGAAACAGGGTTTCACCATGTTGGCCAGGCTGGTCTTGAACTCCTGACCTCAAGTGATACCCCCACCTCGCCCTCCCAAAATGCTGGGATTACAGGCATGAGCCACTGCGCCTGGCCCTCCCTGCTTGATGTTTATTTATTGCCTTTCTACTTGGCTGCTTTTTTCCAAAGATGGCATGGTTGAGTTTAGGTCCATGATCATATTCATTGTCATGCCAGCAACCATAGCAAATGCCACCGTCTCTTCTCCCTGTGCTGTTACAATGCTGGGGAGATGCAGAAAGGACAGAGACTTATTGACATAGAGTTACTTAATTATCTTGGTAGCCTTTTGAAAAACCAGGAAGGAAGTGTTCCAGGCAGCCGCCTCACTATCTCAGGCAGCATTTTTTGGTCACTGTGTTTCTGCCTCTCACTTTCATATCCTTGCTACTTGCTCTCCTGGGCTTTCTCAAGAAAATGAAATTCCTCCGGATTCGTAGCCTTGGATATGAGCAGCCATGTCCCGTACTGCAGGCAGCTGCCACTGAACTTTCAAACCATGCCTGCCCAAACCCCAGGGCTTCAGTCTTCACCATCATAATAAAACAAGATTTCTAATGCAGTGCTGAAGCTCAAGATAGAAAGATTCCTGTTTTGCCAATGTTAGCTTTGCCAACAAAATAATGCATTTGCCTGGGCCCAGCCTTTTTATTGAGGATTCCTGGTGCTCTAAGTTTATGTCACTGACATTTATTAAAATTAAAAAAAAAAGGTCTCAGTGCAGAGCTGAAGCATGAAGCATGCAGACGAAGCCACGCAGCTCTATGAGGTCTCATCACCACCAGGGGTTCCCTCCCACTATCCCCACAGAGGGTGGGCCAGGCCGCACCCCAGCCCTGGATCCTCTCCAATGCTCTGAGATGCATGGGGTCTGCCTACAGGGGATTTCATGGAGAGAGGCCTTCAGGCCATGGCCTCAAGCAATACCTCATTCCTCATTCCTGAGCAAGAGCAGAGGCCTGCTTGCACTTGCACCCAGCTAAGGGGAGTGAGAGGAGCCATGCATTCTGTGTGGGCTTTTGCTCAGCAAAGGCATAGAAATCAGGGTGCCTGGAGGGAAGGATCTGGCAGGGTCTTTGAAAGAGGCAGAGTAAGGGACGCTGTTGCTGGAAGGTGATCATCCTCAGTTTATTTGTTACTGATCAATGGCTGCACCTGTTGGTGCCAGTGATAGTTCTGTGCGCTCCCCCTGAGTGAGCCTCCATGGGAACCCTGAACCCCACTTTGCAGAGGGCCTTGTGTATCCATCTGTAAACACCATCTCCCTGTACTACTTCTGCTTTCTCAGCTTCAAAGAAAGAGGCTGAGCTTTCTCTCTGAGTTCTCAACCCTTTGTACCAGCTAATTCTGTTTCAGATATATGGATAACCCAATTCAAATTGGCGTGAGCATAATAACAGGGCATCTATCTATTCATATTACTGAAAGCCCATGAAGTAGGACTGGCTTCTATCAGGACTTGACCCAAAAGCTCAAGTAACACTAGCAGTCTTGGTCTCCTTCCCCGACTGAGCTCTGCCTCCCTAGCCTCTCCCCTGAGTGCAGAAGTCACATTGACTTTCCTCATGATAGCAAGGTGGCTGCAGGAGCTCCAAGCGTGAAGCCGTTATACCATCTTTCAGGGGCTGAATTATAGCTCCTGCAAAGATCTCCACACTGCAATTCCCAGAACCCTTGAATGTTACCTTTTGTGGAAAAAGGAACTCTGTTGATGTGACAGAGTGAGGGTCTTGAGGTAGGGAGATTATCCTGGATTTTCCAGATGGACCCACATGTAACCCAAGGGTCCTTATGCGAGCCAGGCTGCAAGGTCAGAGACAGGGAAGGGGGCGTGATTACGCTGCATGGCTGGATTGAGGGTGAAGGAACACAGGAGCCTCTAGAAGCTGGAAAGCAAGGACATGGATCCCCACCCCAAGAGCCTGCAGAAGGGCCTAGTTCTTCCAACATCCTAACTTTAACCTAGGTAGACTGACTGGGGACACTGGCCTCCAGGACTATAAAATAATAAATCTTTATTGTTTCATGCATGCCAGTAGGTGTACACTCACTTTTCAGAGCAGCAGGAGGAAACTAATATACCACCAAACTTCTTTTTCTTTCCAGAAGCCACAGCAGATATCTCTCCTTGCCCTACTGGCTCTAACAGTGTTTTGTTATCACGCCCGGATCAATAGCACAACCAGAGGGATGGGACAGGTACTGATGGACATACACCTGGAAAATAACTATGGAGTTTTGAATATTCTATGAGTGAGGCAACATGGGAGTTTCTTTATAGGAATGCTCTTGAATCTAAAAAGAGAAAAAATAATAATAAAAACAACCTCAGGAGGTTTCAATATCCCCTACTGTCAAAACAAGAACAAATATCTTGCAAAAGGGCATTTAAGTTGCAGAGCTGGGGCTTTCTGCCTCCAAACCCCAATTTTTTCCATCTCTTTGCCTCCATGTCACGTTGCATTCCTTTTGTCACATCCCACAACCATCACCATCATCATCACTGCTGTAATATGGGCCAAAGAACCTGAAAAAAAGATGCTGCTGTATTTCACAACTTTAGCATGTGAGAGGAAGGCCTTGCTTCATCTGACAGGCCAAGAGTTGCTCCTGGGAAACAACCAATCCTGTTTAAAGCTGAGGTTAGGGCCTTGCCCAACCCACTTCCTCTGTAGTTGACACTTGAATTAGATGACATGGGGCCAAGGTCTCTGAAATTTCAATTTCTCCTGAGTCAAAGCCCCTTAAGACCAATGAAGCAATGAGGGGGCCTCATCCTTAAGGAGATGCTGCTGCTGAGCCGCTGGAGTTTGGAGGGACTGGTCCACCCAGACTGGTTCTGTTCATGTCACCCCACCCAGTCTTCCTGTTCCCTGGGGCTTGCCTTGATATCTTGCGTCTTGTTTATGCAACATCATTTCACCTCCTCGTGAGCAGAAACCTCCCTTTCCATGTGCAGAGACTTAGCAACACGAAGTACCTATTGCATTCGTGCCGTGGAGTTTGCCCTCCTGCTTCTCTGCCTTACTGTGACAAGATGGAAGCACTTCCCACCTGCAAGGCCAGATCCCCCACCCCAATCCCTCAGGCTGGTTCCTGCAGTGTTTCATGAGGTGGCCTGGGACTGAGGCCCCTGGATCCCTTCATGTTCCAGGTGACCTGATCCTTGAATCACAACAGCACCACCCTGTAATTGGATCTGCTCCGTCTTCCATCCCCATGAAGACACACGCTTCTGCAGCCGGGCTTCATGCCGCCCTGCAAAGCTGCCACCCACAGCCCCTGTTGAGGAAGCTTGGACCCCACCAAACCCTCCACACCCAGGCTGCCCTCCAGAAAGAGCCCCATTCCTGATGGGTTGTTACTTGCTATTGCAAAGTTTAAAAGCAAGCATCTCCCATAACAGTAGCTTGCATATGCTCAATCTTTTTGCTTTTCTTTCTTTTACCCTAAATGTATTCCTTAAAAAATGACAATCCATATGAGCCCATCAATCTCTATTTTTAAAGCATAGCACCTCTCCCTTCCTCTTCCTTTCCTGCTCATCTGTGCAGAGGAAGGACAAGCATTCCTGCTCCTTATGTTAGCTCTAGGAATTGCCTGGCTCTCCTCAAGGAGAAAGCTTCACTCATGTTACAGGGGAGGCTGAATTTTGCCTGTAGATAGTAATAGTTTAGGCAATGTGAGATGTAACTTGGAAGAAAGTCATATCATGTTTTTGTTTTATTCTGGATTTCTGCCTACTAAAATGCTGACTAAGCAAAGAGCATGGGGATAAATATAAGTCAGAATTTATTTATTGGGGGAGCAATCAACACAAAAAGCTTAGTGGCTTGGTGGATTTCTCTCTCTCTCTCTCTCTCTCTCGTGCTCTCTCTCTCTCTCTCTCTCTCTCTCTCTCTCTATATATATATATATATATATAGGTCTTCACCATCATAATAAAACAATAGGTATATACAGAGAGACAGAGGTGTGTATGTATATATATATATGTGTATATATATATATCTTTTTTAAAAAGTAATGTCATTTTGAACCGTTTTCTTCATTATTAATTTAAAGAAGAGTCATGAAGACAGAATTACTGGTATGAACAGGAGCCAGCATTCAGAACTGGAAAAGAGATCTTTATTTCTGCTTCCACTCACTGAGGGAGAGTCTGAGAAGCAGAAGATGAAGGGGAGACAGTAACTACAGTCACGTGCTGTATAAGGACATTTTGATCAAGGATGGACTGCCTACATGACAGTGTCTCATAAAATTGTAACCGTATTTCTATTGTGTCCTTTCTGTGTTTAGATATGATATATTCAGAGTCACAAATACTTACCATTGTGTTACAGTTGCTTACAGTATTCAGTAGAGTAACACACTGAAGGTGTTTGTAGCCAAGGAGCAATAGGCTCTACCATACAGCCGATGTGTGTAGGAGGCTGGACCATTGGCATTTGTGTGCGTACACTTTGTGATGTTCACAGGACGGAATCACCTGTGTCTTAAATTGTATCCCCACTGTTAAGAGATGCCTGACTGCATTCAAGTCACCAGCAACGGATAATAGCAGCACGCCCAGGACAGAGCCCCTGGCCCCCAGCCCAGAGCATAGCCCCATGCGGCTGTCACACAGGCCGTCAGCTTGGTTTTACGACCCTTCTTAGGTTGCAAACTTATCAATATTTTTCACCATGGAAAAATAAATTATGAGCGATTGGCTTGCAGATAATCTTTGCATGATCATTTCTGTGTAGCTGAATTCAAATATTATCAAATATTTGATAAGGCTTGGATATTTAAGGAAAAATGGTAATAATTTAATGTGCTTTTAAACATTTACACAAGTGATTAAAATCTTCACTGTATCCTTTGCTATTTGTCTGCAGGAGAACACTGCAGAGTGTCTTTGACAGACAGCAATGTCCCTCTCTTGTGTCCCTGCAAGGCCATCACTGTGGGGGCTGGAACTGACTGACCCGACCCTCAGGCCCCTGGCACGTCTGGGAGCCAGGGAGGTTCTAACATATTGGGCATAATTTACATTGTGTAGTGACATTTGGAAGTGTGAAATAAATCCTCATCTTTTGGTGTTCATTGCTTTCTGAAGGAAATCTTTATTGTTACATTTTAAATTACATCATTAATAAAATCTAGCTATTAAAAACAATTTCTTTTGGTAGACAATAATCACTCTTTACATGCATCAATTATTTTGTCTATTTGATCTAAAGTCACTTTGGGAAAGAATGTAATAAATATTTGTAGTGGGGGGGCAGAAATGCAGGGAACTGAGTTGTTTCTATGGCTGAGAGTGAGTGCCACACAAGAGCAGGATTCATGGGATTTGTGATATTAATGGACTTTAAGCAGCCATGGAAGAGTGGATGCAATGGTGCCCTTGATGATGTAGAGACTTGGGATCAATGAAGGGTGCCTGCTAGATAGGGATCAGCTGATGCCTGCCTCCCTGGCCACCTCAGTGTTAATGTTCCCATGCGTCTCTGGACATCCCCATCTACTGATGGAGAGAAGTGATGAAAGCCACCCCTGGTAGGTCTTCAGTTCTCATTAGGATGTAACGTGTGCATCAGAGCTCTGGGCGCTCTGTGCATTGCCCAGGTCACCCTGGTGACAGCCTAAGAAGCAGTGCAACAAATCACCAACAACTTTTGTCTCTTTTATGCAAAAATGGTGATTTTTTTTAACAACTTAAGACCTTAAAGCCAATTTCTATTAAAGGAAGTCACTGTTAAAAGCAACTACTGCAATGAATAAAATGTGACTACTGTAACCTCATGAAGGAGGACACCCCTTTCTTGTAACAGGAGCCATTTTACAACATTAGGGTTGGAAATGCCTTTTGTTCCTACAGGCCTGCACAGCTATGACCCTTGACACATACCGACTCTCAGAGGCACTCAGGAATCCAAAGCGCCTCTAAAAATCAGCACCTGCCATGGTCGTGAAGGTCTGAAGCTAGATCTAAGGGGCATGTTACAGGCTTTGCCCTGCTTGATCTCTGTGACCTGGTGTAAGCTATAATTATGACATCCCACAGGGTCCAAGCGGGAGAAAATAAAGCACCCTCAAAACAGCACTACAAAGTGTATCCAGTCAAGGGACTATTTACAGAGTTGTGCACAGGGCCAAGGGAAGCCAAGAAGAGGTGGCTGGGCACCCAGGACTGGAACAGTGCAGACCTGGGACCACTGCCAGATCTTTCACAGCAAATAATGAGTGTGGCAACCAGAACTCAGAAAGAGCAGCCTTTTCAGAACTGTGGCCTGTGGTGGGGGCACCCAGTCTGCAGTCTAGTGGGAACGGAGCTGGGGGAATGATACCCCAGGCTTGGCACCTGTCACCCATCCAACCTTCTGTCTGGGCCTCCCATTGGTTGCACCCAATCTAAAGGTAAAGACAGGGGAGTCCATTCATGCCATCAATATGAGGGACCCTGGGGGTCTCAGATCTGGGCACAGAAAGGTAAAGGATTTCGGGGGTGATTGGCTTCTCACTGCCTCATCTGATTTTCCCGGTCCCCCTCCCACAAACTTCGGGCTGCTTTTTCACTGTATCTCTTGTGGCAGCCTCCTCCTCTGCTCATCTGCAGAAGTGGCTCTTCCCCAGGGGTCTACCCTAGCCTTCTGTTTGTGCACCCCCACCCCAGGGAAGTGTGGCCATGCCCCTCAGGCCAACTACCATCACATAATCTCTCCACAGCTTCATCTGCCATTCAGATCTGTTCAGGGAACCCCTATCTGCTGTCTCCACTCTAAAGATGCCGCCAGCATACTGCTTTTCAAACTAGTCTGCCAGGTAGTATTTATAGCACCTGCTGCCACTAATGCCTGTCGCCTCACCATCCTAGTCTTTCCTTTTTTTTTTTTTTTTTTTTTGAGATCAAGTCTTATTCTGTTGCCCAGCCTGGAGTGCAGTGGCATGATCTCGGCTCACTGCAACCTCTGCCTCCCGGGTTCAAGTGATTCTCCTGCCTCAACCTCCTGAGTAGCTGGGACTATAGGCATGAGCCACCACGCCCGGCTAATTTTTGTATTTTTAGTAGAGACGGGGTTTCACCATGTTGGCCAGGCTGGTCTCAAACTCCTGACCTCAGGTGATCCACCTGCCTCAGCCTCCCAAAGTGCTGGGATTACAGGCATGAGCCACCACACCCGGCCAACCATCCTAGTCTTTCTAGCCCAGTTATCCTTCCCTTCTGTCTCTTGTTCCTACCTCCCATGGGTCACCAAATCCAAGCCGAGTACCTCTCAAATATGATTCACTGTATTCCTTCTGCCCAAGTTCTGGCAGGCTACATTTCTCCCTTAATTCCTGCAGGTATTTCCTAACTAGATCCCTGATCCTAGGCTTTCTTTCACACAATACAACCCTGTCTGTACACAACTCATATTTTTTTTTCCTAAGCATATCTAAAATGTTCACATTTAATCAATGGGAATTGTGAAGAGTTGAAACAATAGACAAAACAGTCTACTCTTCACAGCAAAAACATAGGAATAAAACTAAATAAACATGTAAGTCTTTATGAATCCTAAAATCCTATAACATTACAAGGTTGGATGAAAAATTAAAACCTAAATATCAATGAACTGCATATTAAGCTTTGGAAGAGGAAGGCCTATATTGAGCTAATAGCACACATTCTTTTCTAAAGAAATTGTTTAACAATTGCTTAACATTACTGTTTACTAATGACTAGCATGAAGAAGAAGGAAAAACTTAAATTAAAAAAAATAGATATCAAATGTAATAAGACCCCATGTTTTAGGACCTGCATACCCAGACTCACGAAGGGAGGGGGATAAGACATGAACTCAGGTCTCCTGGCTCCATGCTTACTGATTTTACAAATCTCTCCCTGCATTATCAGGAAGAGGAGGGGGGCAAATTAATTGCATGGTTCCTAATTTTGACCATTCAGGAAGCTTTTTCCTTACAAAGCGGTACCCCGCCCAGGGTCCTTCTCATATATTTATTGCTAATCTGGAAGGGAAAAGGCCAGTGAGTTGTCATGGAAACTACAATTGGCAGAAGAGATAACACCTCTATTTTACCCAGAAAAAAATGCATCCTGAGCCTCAAACACCAGCCAGTGCCAGTCAGTCCTGGCCGGGACCACCACCCTCACCTCCCCTTCTACACTGCCTTGGCTCCAGCCCTGATCACCTCTGTCCTGAGTCTCAGAGCAACGACTCTTGGCATCACCCACCTGTTGTCCTTCAAGAATGTGTAACAGTGCTTAAAAATGAAAACCTTCTCAAGTCCCTCCATTCAGCACAGCCTTGCCCGAGCTGCCCTGCCTACATCTCCAGCATCACCTCTCACCTGCTTACCACCCCAGCCCTGCAGGCTTTCCTTAAGCAACTCATCCACAAGCATGCTGCCTCAGGGCATTCGCACACAGGCTCACTTAACCTAGAACATCCCCAGGGGTGATTTTCTATTTTGTTCACCATTATATTCTCCATTCCCAGCAAGTTCCCAGTAATTTGGCATTAGAAGCATGAAGGCAATAAGAACACACAGGTCCATAAGAGGGCCAAAACAACCTGGCTGAAACAGACAGCTGGGAGGGTTTGGCTCAATCAGGAGGAAGAAACTGACAGCCTGGGGGTTCCTATGTATGGCAGGTTAGAGAAAGTGAGGTTTTCTAACAATCTCAGCATCTAGCAAAGGTGACATCAACTGAGGTTCAGTACATAGGGGTTCTACAGTTTTATAATCAATGACTGCATTGACTTTCTAGAAGACCTTATCTGCTTTCACGCTTTTCTCCCTCATCAGACTGAACCTGGCGGAACAAAGTTCTTATTTCCCTTTATTTTCAAAGCACAGGGTCTGGCACATAGCAGATGATTAATAATTGTTTAATTTGCTATCTTGTGATTTATGGTTTTATGTGGTCAATTCAGCAAGTCTCTAAGTATATTCTGCACTATTAGTTTAATTCAGAGTGTAGTCTTAAAAGTATACTTTAAGTGTGTAGACATACACGATTTTCATTTCTCACAGTAACTCATATATGAGAAGAGCCAAACTCATAGGGACAGCCAGACAGGGGTGCTCCACCTGCTACTTGGCCCAGGTGCTGCCGCCACAGTGCTGCCCTTGAATTCCAAAACCCAGTCAGGGCGAAATGTCCTGTGTTGAGTCATTTAGAAGGTAAATCACTAGTAGCACATATCCAATAATAACGTGATCAGGACTGTGCACAGCCAGCCTCATTAGCATATACTTTTATTCTAGTCATGACTAGCACAATTAATTACACAAGTTGTGACTCAGACTTCCAATTTCCATGGTGCTATCTATTAATTTCAAATTAATGTTCTGCCCTTTGTCAATGAGCTCAGGGTACTTTATGCTAAGAGAATAAACATAAGTACATAATGTAAGAACATTTTTGGCTTCCAAAGTTTTTTTTATTTTTTTAATGAATGAGAAATGAAGCCAGTTTCCAGCCCAAATTTAAATATGAAAGCTAAGTGGCACTAGAAACAATGATGCTCTAAGTTGCACTAGAAAGAATGATGCTAAGAAGAAACAGTCTAGGAGGGTAAGAGGGGTGGGTGTTACGAGACGCCTATCACCAGCCAGCCTCTGTCAATTACCAGCTTTTTGATCTTGAGTAAGCTGGTCCAACGCTCTACACTCCAACTTCATTCTATGTTAGTCAGAGATAAACATGAATGGCCTCCCTCTTCATGGATCTTTTGTAAGCATCTTGTGAGATAATGGATGTTCTGGAACCCTCCAATGGGAGTTGAGGAGTGCCTCATAAAATGATTATTTACAAAGCTGCAGGGAGGAGGTAGGGAATGCCCAAAGGCATGGTGCTTTGTTGTCAGGAGTGAGGGCATGGAGGATGTATTAGTCCATTTTCATACTGCTATGAAGAAATACCCAAGATTGGGTAATTTACAAAGAAAAAGAGGTTTAACAGACTCACAGTTTGACATGGCTGGGGAGGCCTCACAATCATAGTGGAAGGTGAAGGAGGAGCAAAGACACATCTTACATGGTGGCAGGCAAGACAGTGTGTACAGGGGAACTGCCCTTTATAAAACCATCAGATCTTGTGAGACTTCTTCACTACCAGGAGAACAGCACTGAAAAGACCCACCCCCATGATTCAATTACCTCCCACTGGGTCCCTCCCATGACATGTGGGGATTATGGGAGCCACAATTCAAGATGAGATTTAGGTGGGGACACAGCCAAACCATATCAGAGAAGCTGAGAACCCAGACAGAGAGAGTCATATGAAGAGGGACTCCTGGCAAGAGGTGGGATCCTCAGTGGCCAGCCACAGGTGCTGCCAGTCGTTAACCTGACCTCACCTTTCTCCCTCCTGAGGTAACTGTCACTGGTTGTTTATTACATGAACACAAATGGAAGCCAGAGAACAAGGAAGCCTGTTGGTGCAACCCATAGAGGCCAAGCCGAAGATGCTGGAAGCATCAGGAGGGGCAAGTCCAGCAAGATTGCTTCACCAAAGAAGCTCATCATGTGCTCTGAAGGAGGGCTTTTTAAAACCTCCCAGATTGAAGTGAGAGTTAAAGAACCAAATAGAGAAAGGCTATAATTTTTTAAGCAGGTATAAATTCTCAGAATCAAAGACGCTTTGCAGTCTGCAAATGTGTTATGACTGGAGCATATAGTCTTATCCATCATACACAAGGGGATTTTGGTCATAAAACTGTACTACACCTAGCTCTGGAAATAGACCAATATCAGAGCCGCTCCTAGACAAGGAAGAAAGGCAACAGAGAGTGTTCCTTTCCCTCAAGGCCCCTTCCAGGGCATATAACACAGTTCTCCTTCACTACTCAAACACACAGTAGAACAGCAGGCCAGCCCTTCCCTGTGGATAGCAAGTCAGATACCAAGAGGCCACCTCTATTCCTGGGGAGCAGGGAGTCCTCACTCTAGCTTTGGGTACTAATTCCACAGATGTGGTAGTGAAAACACTCCAGTAGATGCAGAAAATTATAAATTCTCATTTTTAAAATTATATTTTGAGAAGTTTCTTGTAAGATGAATTTTGGTTAAAAAATTCCTCATTTCTATATATTGTTATTGTTAAGTTATATCCTCAGAGAAGAAAATGGAAACTGACAATATGAAAGATTGGCTATCAAAATACCCCTGTAAACCAAAGAGTATCTGGGACAGGCTTCAATCAATTTAGAACGTTTATTTTGCCAAGGTTAAGGATACACCAGTGACACTGGCTCAGGAGATCCCGATGACATGTGCCCAAGATGGTTGGGGCGCCGCTTGGTTTCATTCACTTTAGGGAAACATGAGACATCAATCAGTATATGTAAGATGTATCTTGGTTCGGTTCAGAAAGGGGGGACTACTCAAAGTGAGGAGGGGGCTTCCAGGTCATAGGTAGATAATAGACACACAGTTGCATTCTTTTGAGTTTCTGATTAATCTTTTGCTGAAAGCACAATTTACTGGAATAGTCACTTATGCCTGAGTCGGGCTTAGCAAAACAATAGGACAAAGGCAGCAATCAGATATGCATCTGTCTCACATGAGCAGAGGGATGACTTTGAGTTCTGTCTCTCCTTCATCCACAAGGAATTTACTTGTGGGCAAACTGTGAGGGAGGTATGTAGCTTTTTAAAATATTTGTAGCTATCTTATTTAGGAGTAGAATGGGAGGCAGACAGTTCCCAGCTTGACTTTTCCCTTTGGCTTAGTGATTTGGGAGTCCTGAGATTTATTTTCCTTTCACAATCCTTAATCTTCCACCTAAGGAAAAAAATTCCAGACACTCGTCAGATGCTAAGAAAATAACCACTAAGATGAGGAAAGGGTCATTCTTTGACCATCTTTAGCTTTCCCATTATTTGGGCAAATCATGCTGCCACATCTAAACATTAGGAGAGCCAGCCCAGATCTTATTACATCTCTTTAAAGAACACACAAGGAAACCAGCATAGAAAACCCAGAACTGTGACTAAGAAAGTAGTGATGCATATTTGATTATTGAATATGTAGTTTGATTTTTTCGGATCAGAAATATACTGGCATTTCATTATAATATAGCCTATTTTTTCTATACTATACTATATGCTATACAACTTTATATACTATAAAACATGAATGACAATTTCATACAGAAACCTCCATATAGAATAATTACTGCCTCCATACATGCTTTAAGATTGCCAAATCTCTCGTCTAGTGCTCTGCATTCCCAATCACAGATAGATTCGTGCTGAATGTCCAGCAAGTGGCTGATACGCCATACGTCCTCAATCTGCTGTCCCTACACTTAAGCCCCTCTGCCTCCATTCCTTTTACCCTTCCTATATGTACAGAACAAGGAACGTGGTGCATATTTGGTGGTGGGATCACTGGGCCCTGTGAATCATTTTCAAAGGCATTCTTTCACTTCAACATATTTGAATACAGCCCAACTCTTATTTTAAGTTAATCTTTACCAAAGTACAACCAATATGTCTAAATAACTGAGTAGGAATACTAACTGAAAGCCCAGTAAAACTACAAAATTATCTCAAATACATGGCATTCTTGAACTCCTGACCTCAGGGGACCTGTCCACCTTGGCCTCCCCAAGTGCTGGGATTACAGGTGTGAGCCACCACATCCAGCCTCAAATACATGGCATACTATAACACTCTGGTTGACAGTGGCTGCCAAGTGATCAGAAAAAAGCAGACCAAGAGGATGAGAACATTCACACAAAAACCTGTTTTCTTCTTCTGTGTTTGCCTCTTAGTCACCTAGTTCTGTGTAACACATTACCACAACTCCAACAGCTAAGACAACAGAGATCTATCAGCTCAGAGTTTCTGCGGGTTAGGAATTCAGGTGCTACTGATTAAGCTGGATCCTCTACTTATGGAAGTCCCAAGGCTGCAGTCATTCAAAGTGTCACTCTGGACTGAGTTCTCATCTGAAGGCTCAGTCAGGGCATGGTCCATTCCCAAGGTCCTTCTGGCTGTTGGCAGAATTCATTTTCTTGAGGTCCTGGGATGGAAGGCCCTGGCTCCTCACTGGTTGGCAGGTGGGGGCTGCCCTTAGGCCCTTACAATGTGGTAACTGACTTCTCCAAAGTCAGCAAAGGAGGGCCTCTCTCAAACCAGGCTACTAAAACAGACTTACATAATGTGATGTAATCCCAGAAGTAACACCCCATTACCTTGGCCATATTCAATTGATAAGGATCAAGTCCCACTCATACTTCAGGATGTAACTACATTTCTCTAGGAGATAAGAAGCCAACTTGGAAGTTTGGCTTCTAGAAACCCTACACTAAAGACCTCTCCATGCAAATAATCACTATCCTCCTTCTTTGTATGATTCATTCACATGTTTTTCTGAAAGTAAAGAATATCTGTATCAGATGAGAACATATTCATTTGAAATTAATCATGTGAAAGAGGCCACACACACAACAGATTCAGCATATCATGACAAGGTGCTACAAATGTTAGATATAGTTGTAATGTTGGAACACAAGTTAGTCTTCAATTTAAAGTGACCTAAAATATATGCTTTATTTTTTTAAAATAGAGCTAAAACAGGCCACAAGTAAATTTTGTATTTCTTTTTACTAATGGTAAGTTCATGAGAGATTAAATCTTCCCATCACTAAACCAGGATTGTGTGTATAGACTCAGTAAGTCAGAATTATAATAGTAATTTTATAATAGAACTAAAGACATACACACTCTCATGCATGCACACATACAACATACATAATTATAAGCATATATACATATAGCATAAATATAAAAACATATGCATATTGATTATATAAATACGTATTCAAATAAATATGTTTATAAATATAAATCTATGCTATGCTGATAACACACATATGCTTATAACATACACACAGACATATGCTTATTACCAAAAGATAATAGATTAAGATGTTTTGAAACTTTCATCCTGGAAGCCTGTTTCCACGATGTGCAAATGGTGAAAAATGCTTAGAAAGAGCAGATTTAGCAAACTGGCAGACAAAAATTATGATCCCTTTGCAAAAGGCAAGGGCAAATCATACAATTAATAGTGCTGTAATATAAGAATTAAAGTACAATAAAAATATCACTGACATACTAATTATACTGAGTCTAGTCATAATTATCACAGCTCTTGAATTCTGAAAGAAAAATTCAAGTATAAACAATAGTTCAAACTAGAAGAAAATATTTTAAAAGAAGTGTTCTGCTGGGCTAACCTTCCTTAATAGGTTTATATTACATAACATCACATTAGCATATGTTTCTAAAAATACCACTGAAGTTATAGATTCCAAATCTCAGAATTAAAAGGGTTTTGACAAGCTAGTTACCCCATCTGTCTAACCCCACTATGTGTCCAAGGCAGCACACTCCTTTCTGCAATACCCCTTACTAGCATCCTTTACTCAACATGTATTCAGTAAGCACCTTTTATATAAAGGTTTTGTGAACAATAAGCCAAACATATTCCCCATCCTCCTCAGAGTATATTCAAGTAGGGAAGGATAGAAGAAAAGCAGTGGCAGCAAACGTGGTAAACTCTGATATAAAGCACAGAACATGGTCAGGAACGCTGGCTCACTCCTGTAATCCCAGCTCTTTGGGAAGCCAAGGCGGGAGGATCACTAGAGGTCAGGAGTTTGAGACTAGCCTGGCCAACATGGTGAAACACCATCTCTACTGAAAATACAAAAATTAGCCGGGTGTGGGTGGCACACACCTGTGATCCCAGGTGATCACACTTGTGAGGCACTCACTTGTGAGGCTGAGGCATGAGAATCGCTTGAACCCAGGAGGTGGAGGTTGTAGTGAGCCCAGATCATGCCAGTGTACTCCAGCCTGGGTGACAGAGCAAGACTCTGTCTCAAAACACACACACACACACACACACACACAGACACCACTATATAATAACTGGAGTTTCTAATCCAGGATAGGAGTAGCGTAGTGGTAGGCATGGCTTCTTGGAGGAAGTGACAACTAATCTAAGCCTTGAAGAATAAATTGGGAGTTAGCCAGGAAAAGAGAAGAAGGGTTAAGTCATATTCTAGTCTAAGGCCATCAGAGAGCAAGTGCCAAGGTCTGATAGCAAAGCCAGATATGATATATTCTGGGAACTGTGAATTCCACATGGACGTGCAGAGACTGAGGAAGGTGGTGGAGTGGAAAGAGAGGCCGCATAGGATGGTCAGGGAAATTTTAAAGGCATGTTGGGAAGGGAATTTGGACCCTATCCTAAGGGCAATCAGAATCCATTCCAGTATCTTTTAAGCAGAAGAACAGCAAGAGTAAGTTTTTTTGGAGAGGGATCATCCTGGCTATTTTGCAAAGGTTGAAATTGACTGAGGTGAGATTGGAGTCAGGTGAGTCTGTGTGAAGATCATTGCTGTAACATGGCAGGAGGTGACAGTGGCCCAGCACGTGATGACAATGATAAGGATGAAGAAATGAAATTAATTAGAAAATATGGAGAAGACAGACTCCACCAGACTTATGAAGAGCAGATATGAGGACTGAAGAAGGCGGAATCTGCAAAGATGATGTCCTGTCTACTTAGGGGAGCACTGGTGTTGCCATTCTTCTCAATAGAAAGCCAAAAGGTGGCAGAAGGTTTAGGAAGGAAAGAAGGAAGATTATAAATCCTGCTTTGAAACTATTAAGTTGCCCAAATGACATCTAAGTGAACATGGCTGATAGTCTGCTATAGATGTGGTTTGAGTATACGGATTTGGACCATGAGTCATTCTGTGCTCAGTCACAAAAATAAGAACCATTCTGGGTGAATGCAAGCAATTGGTATGTTTCTTAAACACTTCTATATCATGAAAAAAGTATTTGGGTTTATTTCCTTGTTAATTCGTATTTATTTTTTCCAATAATATAGCAACATATAATCTAGAATTTGTGATTCCATTAAAATATTTTTCCCATTTTAGAGATCTGAAACTCTCATGGTAGGGTCCAAAACTCTCCTGAAGATAAGGCACAGAGAGAATGGACAGTGGGTGTGCCTGATAGGTCCTCTGAGAAGTGGATGTGAAGATGGGATGAGAAATGCAACCAATTAATTGAAAGAAATTAATGTATACAATAAAGGACAGAGAGCAGAAGAAAAAGATGAGAAGAACCTTGAGACCGTGATGCAGATTTGCTACCTGTGAGAGAAGAAGGGATTGAATAGGAAGGGTCTGAAACCTCAACAGACCTAAGGCAGCTTCAGCCAGGCCATGGGGAGTCCTGGAGCAAAGACTTCCTGTTGGAGCCACTCATGGGCATGAATGGGGCAGTTCTTGTTCTCTGGCTATGCCAAAGCATGGGTGCAGAGCAGCCTAGGGTGAAAACAGAGGAATGGGAATAAGGCTGAAGCTAATAATCAGGCTTGCACGCCCTTCATTTTTCCTCTTGAGTTGGGGAAAGCTGATGTCCGCACACAAGAGCAGGTTGGGGGTGGACTAATCAGTAGTGCCACTCTGCATAATTTAAGAAACACTGCAACAAAATTAGGCAATTTAGTAGTGACATGGCCACAGCCTGCTTTGCTGGGGCACTACATATATTTGGACAGCAAGGACAGGCATGGAAAGAGTGTTCTGTCACACACTGAATGTGCAGAGCCCCGGACCACAAGAAGAGCACAGCGCAGTGCAGCCCCCTAGAGAGTTGTAACTGCAAATCATACTGAATCCAGCAGGGTTTATGACATTCTCATCATTATGGTTTGTGGAGCCAGGCTCTAAACCCAGCTGCTGGTTGTTAATGTAAAGCTTCTGAGTCCAACTGCAGAGCTCAACCTGGAGAGGATGAAAGCACCTTCCACACATGGAGAGACCTGGTCCTCAGTGGGCAGAACCTGTCCTCACATGGCTATAATGACTGAAACTAACAGAAGCAAGCCAATTTCACTAACCAACCAATCACATACAAAACAAAAAAACAAAAAGGACAATAACAAAAGTTACACGTTCATGAAATGATCTGAAATGGTTTAAACTGCAACAATCAGCAAAGGAAGGCATGGATTATGCAAACACACACTGCTTGTAATTGGTGAGAGAATTAGAAGCTCCACACAATAGGAACAGCAAAGAGGATGGGTGGAAAAGAAACCGTGTTTGGCCAGGCATGGAGGCTCACGCCTGTAATTCTAGCACTTTGGGGAGCTGAGGCAAGCAGGTCACTTGAGGCCAGGAGTTCAAGACCAGCCTGGGCAACATAGTGGGGCCTCATGGCTACAAAATTTTAAAAATTAGCCAGGCATAGTGGTGTGTGCTTATAGTCCCAGCTAGTCAAGAGGCCGAGGTGGGAGGATTGCTAGAGCTGGGCGGGTCAAGGCTGCAGTGAGCTGTGATCACTCAGTCCCACAAAAAAACAAAAAGGAAAGAAACAAAGAAACAGTGCAAAAAGTTTAATACTGAAAATGGGAAGGAAGTTACAGCCCTCTCAATTTCAATAACCTCAAATTGCTTGCATGTCTCACAAAACAACAGGTTAAGGTATGAAGAAAAAGTTGGGTAGCCAGGGTCTGCTGTCTGAGGAGTCAGATGCAGCCTCCAGAGAAGTGTCACTCCCGTCCATTCTCACACCCAGATGCACCAATGGGCACCTGCAGTGATTACCGTGAGGAACAGACCAGTTCATTTCTAGCCCCAAAGTCTCTGCCCACAAGCTCAATGGTGCATGAATACATTTTTATTTTAGTTTGGGGCAGAATGTATTGACATCTTTAGGAATTATTTGCATACCACACATTCTTAACATTGTCTAAGACAATTGATGAACATTTATTTAAAATAGTTCTTATTCCAAATATTGCTACTGTTATTGTTCATAAAAGTGTGACTTGAACTGACATACAGAGTAGATTTTGAGTATCTACAAGTTTTGCCACAATGAATGCTATGAACGTCACAGACTTTCCTAAGGTTAAGAGATACTTCAAATCCTATGTTCATGGAGGTTCTGAAAACAAGAGAGAAAGGCAATCCAGTACAAAGGATGAGGCCACCGAAATGCCAGAGCATTTGTTGTTATTTCACTTCTGAACTTGATGACAAGGGAGGACCTCCACCCAAGGAAACACCAGGACTCAGGCCCAACCCACATCACTCATCTTGAAAATGGAGAGTCTGTGAACATTTGAATAAAAAGATTAGCATTATAACAGCAGGGAGAAATCTCAACAGGGAAATACTCTATTTATAAGCTGAGTAGAAAATATAAATATTTCATCCTCATTTTAATGTCTCAAGTGAATGCTAATTTCCATAAATATCCCAGTGTCCTTTCAATTTTCTAACATTTACTCATTCTGTGATGTAAACAGTCTTAACACAAAGACAGGAAGCTTTCACTATGATCATTTAAAGAAGAAATACTCACTTTTCTCCTGGCATGATCTTCTCCAGTTTAACTTGAACGGGAGGAAGTTCAGGAAAACAGAGACTGTTCCTTCCTTGTAATACCTATTCAGTTTCCGGCTGGGTGCGGTGGCTCACGCCTGTAATCCCAGCACTTTGGGAGGCCGAGGCGGGTGGATCATGAGGTCAAGAGATCAAGACCATCCTGGATAACACAGTGAAACCCTGTCTCTACTAAAAATACAAACAATTAGCCGGGCATGGTGGCGGGTGCCTGAGTAGTTCCAGCTACTCGGGAGGCTGAGGCAGGAGAATCACTTGAACCTGGGAGGTGGAGGTTGCCATGAGCCGAGATTGCGCCACTGCACTCCAGCCTGGCGACAGAGTGAGACTCCATCTCAAAAACAAAACAAAACAAAACAAAAAACATATTCAGTTTCCAATGAAACTGGAAATCACTAATCACACCTATTTTTTTTTCTGCTTACAGTAGCAAACCAAACTTTCAAGTCACTGAGACAGAATGAGTCTTGTTTTTCTTAACATGTAAGTGAAGCAAACAACCAGATGAACAATTTAATTATAATTGAAGTACAGGTGCAAATGTAAGGCAGGATCCCCCAGGGCTGTCTCTATTGGGTTCAATTTCTAAAACTGATCATCTGGCTGACTCTGGCTAAGGCTGTTGCTGTTAGATGTCAGGACAGGGACCTCTGGAAAGTTAGCTTGGAATTACCTAGTTTCAAGCATGTCTTGTAAGCACCAAAGAAAGGAAGTGATTGGTCAGAAAAACACATTGAGTCAGGTGCCTTCCCCATGGGATTCTCCTTGTTCTACTTCAGGTAAAGACGAGTAGTGAATTTACAAAAATGTATTACAAGAGCATAACCTCACTAAAATGGGATACGCATTCCTGTGAAGCAGAAATGGGACCCAAACACACTGTGTTTAGTAGAGTCAAGACTCAGACCTCAGAATCAGATGGGAGACCCATTCCTGCTGAGCAGCATAGACTGGAGGAGACCTCTGTGAGCAGGGACCAGTGAGGCTCACTTACCATCGTGTGTCCCTGCAGCGACAGGGCTGAAGAGCTGATATGAACCGAGTTCTGAACTAGGCCTTAATGGGCCCCTGAAGCCTTAGTAGCACTGTAGTCTCCTTTCTCCAAGGAAGATGTGTCCCAAAGCCCCCAGTGAACACTGAAACCACAGGTTGCACCAAACCTTCTATGTACTATGTTTTCTCTTATATATGTACCTATGGTAAAGTTTAATTTATAAACTAGGCACAGAAAGAGTTAACAGCAATAACTAATAATACAACAATTATGATAATATGCCAGCATCACTACCTTTGCATTTTGGGGCCGTTCTTAAGTAAAACAAGGGTGACTTGAATATAAGGACTGTGATACCACAACAGTCAATCTGATAACTGAGATGGCTGCTATGTGACTACCAGGCAGGGAGTGTAGACAGTGTGGATCCACTGGACATAGGGAGGATTTTTGTCCTGGGCAGGATGAGAAGGATGGTGAGAGATTTCATCATGCTATTCAGAAAGAATTTAAAACTTATGATTGTTTATTTCTGGAATTTTTTATTTAATATTTCTGGGCCACCGTAGACCTATAAACAAAAAATAAAACTTTAAGGCCCCCAATCATCTGAGTGGACCTCTCCTCTTGGCCAAGGGCATTCCAGAGTTAACCTGAAAATCTAGTTCAGGCCATGATGGAAGAGGGGGTTGGACCTAACCTCATTCTACCCTTCCAGCATGAACATCAACACAGACTTTAAGTCTGATAAGAAACATGTACAACCTATTCTCTCTGAAGCCTGCTACCTGGAGGCTTCATCTGCATGATAAAACCTTGGTCTCCACAACCCCTTATCTTAACCCAGACATTCTGTTCTACTGATAATAACTCTTTCAACCAATTGCCAATTAAAATATGCTTACATCTATCTACGACCTGGAAGTCCCCCCTCCCACCTTCGAGTTGTCCCGCCCTTCCAGATCAAATCAGTGTAAATCTTACATGTATTGATTGATGTATTATGTCTCCCTAAAATGTATAAAAGCAAGCTGTACCCCAAACACCTTGGACACATGTTATCAGGACCTCCTGAGGCTGAGTCACTGGTGCGTCCTTAACCTTGGCAAAATAAACTTTCTAAATTGACTGAGATATGACTGAGTTATTTTGGGTTCACAGACCAAAGGTAACTGAAAACACAGAAGTGAAACTGCAAATAAGTGGGTGCTATTATATCTGTGTGCAGACAGGGAGGGGAAAATTAAGCACAGGTGAACATACACATGAAACAACTTGAGACAAGCCTGGAAACTAAAATTCCAAAGCACGTGAAGAAAGACAGTCCCAGTGATGGAAGTCTGAGCTCCACAAACTCACTAAAGAAAGCATTCATCCCAAAGAAAGTGCAAGTGAGAGAGCAGTCTTCCAAAAGAGAGAGTGGCATCCAAAGAGACAAAATAAGAGCAATAGAACAGAAAGCGAACACAAACCAAGTAGAAAGAGACTATTTAAAGAGCCAGTTAGAAAGTATAAAAAAATAAATTTCAACAGGGTAATTAATGTGTAATAAGAATAAGGTGTTAGGGAATTAAAATGTTGTGGTGGCAAATATCCAAGTCTCATGGCCCCAAGTATGTTACCAGTGGAAGGTATCCAAGTAACCGGCGGTGAGTCTGTAGAGCTCTGCAGCAACCTTAGTTCTTGCCTCCTCAAAAGAAAGAATTCAACTGAGGGGCATAAGGCAGAAGAGGAGACCGGGACAAGTTTCAGAGCAGGAGTGGAAGTTTATTTAAAAAGGCTTTAGAACAGGGAAGAAAACAAAGTACGCTTGGAAGAGTCCCAAGTGGGCACTGAGGTCAGGTGCAGTGTTTAACCTTGACCCCAGGACTTTGTAGGCTTGCCCCTTTCCCATGATTCTTCCCTCAGGGGGGGCATTATTTCCCAGATGCACGGTGTCCTCCTTAGCCTTGGGAAGTGAGCACAGGCAGTGTGTTTAAGAAGCTGTGCACATGCCGGTCTGAGGCTTTCTTCCCTTTTCCTGTGGAGTGCCCCGAGTGGGTCATACTCCGCCATTTTGTCTCTTCATGCACATGCCCAGGAAGTTACTTCTCCCAGGCGCCTGCATTCAATGAACACTTTACTGCAACAGCTGTGGGGTATCAGTAAATGGCCTCTCCCTGGCACACGCTGACAATTTATCACTTTTAGAGAGGCAAAGTGATCATTGTCGAACCATCACCTGACATTCCTAGTGGATGAGGGAGGGCCCTTTCCTGGCCTGCTCATGCTTGTCTAAATACCTGTAACAAAAGACAGCACCAGAGTACTCAACCTGAATTACAGAGAAATTTAGAACAAAGAAAACATAAAAATGATCGTAAAAGAGTAAGGATAAATTGAGAAGCTCCGACATTCACCTGGAGTTGGAGTTAGATGGAATGGTGAACAGGCAACATTTGAAGAGATAGTGGCTTAGAATATCCCTGAAGTAAAAAGAGACATAACTTCACAGGTGTTTCCTGGGTGTATGTGCAACAGGGTAAACTTTCAAAGTCTGTATCTAGTTACGTCATAATGAAACTGAAGAATATCAGGGGTAGAAAGAAACTTATAAAAGTTTCCAGGAGATAGAAAAAAAAACAGTTAACCCACAGAAGACTGATAATTTCTTAACTAAATATTAAAATTAACCGCTGCCTAGAAAAATCCATTAAAGGATTAAGTATATCAATTAAAAGATTTAGTTCATGCAGATAGCATAATTATTCATAATACAAATTGAAGCATCCCGTTCAAAAAAGGTAATTCCAGGCACAACCATAAACAAGAGTTTATGGTTATAATAAGAACCATAAACTCTTATCACTAGAGTATATCTTTGAGTTCTGTTCAACCTCTTCCTCTGTCTACACTTTAAAAGTCTGCAAATCTTTGGATTTGCACATGAATAACCCTCAGATCTGCCCTTTCAGTCCTGCTGCCTTTCTCCCCACGCAAATACCTGTGACCATCTCCTCCACTTCGATACTCAGCCCCACTCAAGGAACTCTTCAAGCAGTAGGATAACATCATGTGAGGTGCCTTTTTTTCTTATCTTGGTGAATGCTATCTGCACCCATTGCACAGTACTAACACACTATCTTATGATTTATCTACATGGTGCAGCAGTATGTTCCTTCAGTGTAAAGCAAAACATAATTTTTATCTGATATTGTATTTTGCAAGCAAAGCCTCAAATAGTTCATTAATTGTTAAATAATTATGTAGATGGCTTGAAGATCATTTTATAACGTGCACAAATGTTTTGCAAATTTTCCTTTATAAGTTTAAATGTTTTTTAATGATATTGGGAGGAATCAGTGGGCATTTCTGTCGGGCTGGGGACATTACAATTTTCCCAATGTAAAATAACAAAACGTAGTCTTCTGCTTTCGGAAAATTCAGAATTAGTTTAGATTTGTGTAATGAAAGTTACTTGGATTTGCAATGCAGTCATTATTGCAGTCACAACTGATTTTTCACCTTCTGGTTTAAGATCTTGTTATGCAACAATACAAGAAACTCATCTACAGAAAGCTCTGCAATGAAACCCGTATTGTAAGAGGGATTCGGTGACCCAACAGAGTGGGACTAGCACACCCGTTGCTTCGGGTCTGACCCTACCTGCCTCTTCATCTGTGCACCATTCCTCTCCCACCCCTAGGACCAGTTCATGCAACTTGAGTTTGTCTGATCAGTCATGATTTTAAGTAGGATGAGAGTTAGGTCCTGCATGTGAGGATTCAGTATTGAATTATACTTGCAGCTTGGACTAGCATGAGGGTTCTAGGTCCTTTGTTCCCTTGACAATGTTGAATTTTACCTGAGCCTTGTGATCCTGAACAATAGTGATAATTGAAGAAACCCTCCCACCCTCTTTTGTCCTGGGAAACAGTTTATTGCAAAGAATCACTCTTCTCTGTGTAACGTATACAAGACTCACAGTTGCTCCCCTGTATACCTACGGAAAAAACAGACACAGATCCTTCAAATTCCCATTCCTTGCCTCTTAAATAATGAGCTGAACTCTTTGCACTCACTCACCAATCTGAGGAAAATACCTGATCCACCAAACTTCTCTCCTTCTCCAAGGTCTCTATACTTCAATTTATCCTCCATCTGAACCAGCAGACAATCTCTCCTTAACCACCTCTCTCAGGAATCAGTTAGAGAAAAACACTCCCTGATGGATTGTGCCATCACACCACCTACTCTCCTAAAGCCAGCTCTTTCTAGCCTAATTCACTTCTTTCTATAAAAGAAGAGTCTTTTCTGCTGACCTCTGAGACAAGTGCACATGTTATGGCCAGAGCACACTCCCTACATCAGTAGTTCCCCTCCCTTCATTGAAACAGTCCCTTTGGATAAAAAGTCTTTCTTTATCTAGTTCCAGGTTTGTTCTTATTTGACACCATGTACTTAAATCTTTATATCTGAGTTCCTGGATCTAGGCTTTTATTTCTGAAATACCCCCAGGGTCAAAAATCATGTCTTTAAATTCTGAGCTTGGGAGCCAGCACTCATTCCTCTAACACCTAACAGTGAGGTCAGACACTGCCTCAGCTTGGGAAAACTGTAGTCCCTGTTTCCTGTCAGCCTCTGACTCCACGGGATGCTGCTACCTTACTTAATTCCTATAGTCTCAGTGTATTCTTCATCATGTGATAAATACTTATTAAGTCACGCAGGTGAATTCACTAGGCTAACCTAGGCTTCCTCCTGAATCTTGTCGCTGTGGGCTTTCCTACAGTGTCTACCTCAGCCCAGTGAGTGGGTATGACCTCATATTCTAGCTTCTCAGAGTCTTCTCAATTCCCCTGTATCTCAAAATTTGAAAAAAAAAATCATCGCAGCACTTCTATTTTAAAATAATGAGGGAGTACTGGGGAAGAATTTTTACAAAACTCATGGAAGCCAAGACATTTTATAGGGTTTATAACATTAAAACAAACTGTAAACAACATAATTGCCCTTCTTTAAAGAACTGTGTTTAAAAATTTCATCTATGTATATGACAAACCATTATAAAACATTTAAACAAGCAATCCAGATCTTTAAAAATCAATACAGTTAGATCTCAGAAAATATGCTGAGTTTAAACATTTTGGATTAAATTTCTCTAAGGATTACAAATATCAATTTCCAGTAGAATGGCCTATCTTCAGATATCAAACTATTCAGCAAGTAAGATATTTTGGCAGCAACTTTTCACAAAGATTTACATTTTGGAATAACTTAAAATGAACTGTGATTATCTCTATATTAGGATGTTCACTGCTTTCTACCATAGCAACCATCTCCTAAATAATCTCTGCATGCTTGGAATTTATGCATAAACTTTGCTGAAATAATTTAATTTGGAAATATAAGGCCCTCCCTGAAGTAATTTGGCACTCATGAGACATTGGCTGTTTTTCCTGGAAAATTTTTCTGATAACTAACATTAATGTAAGCTTGTGTGGCTAGATGATACCTCATCTTATACACACATATGTCAACCACAGGATTGCAGACGCAGAACTACAGGGTACAGTACTCAATAATAGCCCAATGGAATCAAAGTATCCTTGTCTCTTAGCTAGAATTGTTCTCATGCAGATTCAGCTGTTTAAGAAATATGGTTATTATACACTAGAAACTTTCAGAAGACTGCTTCCTGCCCTTCCTCTGTCACCTCAGTAAGAGCAAGTCCTCTCCAAGTTGTCCTCCATGAAAAAAGGTGTGGAGAGAGGAGAGAGCACAGATGCATGTGAGATTTGGTTGGATCAAGTTGTACCTATACCACCTTCAAGCTTTTGACCATGGCCAAGTCACCTAAACACTGGTTCTCATCTCCTTCACTGGTGAAATCATCTAAGTCTCTCTTTATAAAATTGTTATTCTGCAGTGAGATAACACATGCCAATGCACTTGGGAGGCTGAAAGCATGACTCAGTGAAAGTCACCACCAAAAACAGAGAAAACTTCCATGCCAGCTTTGATTTCAATCCCCGTGTTTCAGATAACAAGTGCCACCAACTCAAATATAATTTCAGTTAAGAGCCCCTTATACAACTGTGGTAATTTCCTTCTGCACATAAAATGCACATTATTTTATAAACCCAGAGTAAACTGCTATTAAAGACTTAAAATATAACAGTCCCCCAAATATTCTAATTATGTGTGACTAAGTCATAGGGATTACAGCAGATTTGAATCTGACTTCAACCAGAGGTAAATTGTCCTAGCAACTCAGAGACCCATGAAAGACAAACTGATGTTGTTACTGAAATTCAATGAGATTTTGGGAAAGTGTGTTATGCAGCATTGTTACAGTAAAACTTCCCTAATATAAAAATTGGTATCAGAAATGGGGTGCTGCCCTAACAAATACAGAAATTACATGGCACTGGCAGGGTGGCAAGCAATAGCTAAATGATATTGGAGACTGAAAAAAATGGTTATTTATGTTATGCAATGGCAAAATATTTGGTCAAATTATTATCTCTGATAATCTAAAGTCAGAAAATTTTCTAATGGACTGACCTGGTGGCACTGGACAAAGAGGTTATAAGTCAGATTGTGGTAGTATGAGTTTATTGTTATTATTCTATTTGACAAAGTTCTTTAAGGGGGGTTTGATTTCATAAAAGAACTACAGAGTTTCAAGCAGAATTAAAGGGAATAGGTAGCATCTAGAAATTTCAGATTCTGAAGATTTGAAAAATAAGACATTTCTCATTCATATTTACACAATACATGGGGTTCAGCATACCTTATCATCACACTGAAGGCACTTGTAAGCAATGTTGCAAGATAGATTACAGAGCATCTGAAGGTTTTAATATATCCAGGATGTATGGAATGGATGGCCTCCTGGGTATCCATTTCCCATATTGCTAGATATGTTACTTTTTTCTTTCCATATTCTCAGTGATTTTCCTTCCACTTCAAGAAGTGGCAATAAGGAGCTGCTTTGTATTAATTTATTGAGGGCTAAATCCACCTTGATTCTGGTAACCCAGTTGCCAATAGGTGTGCCATGATGGGTGTTCCTGCATAGCCTAGCTTCTCCCTGACTGAAGGTCAGACTGTGTTATCTGTCTAACCAGGCAATATGTCAAGACTTTCTTTTAGTGTTGGTCTTTTATGAAAACATATGAATGGTCTTTTGTTTTCCCTTTGAAACTTACAGAGCCAAAAATTATAAAAACTTTCAAGGCACATTACATATGCTTGGTGATGAAGTGTCAAACATAGGGTGTTGATACATATAATGATGCTTGAAGAAGAACTGAGGAAGAATTTTGACATTAAGAAGGAAATAATTGATCAGTCTATCTTGAAAAGAAAACATTACATTTAAAAATCAGGCCGGGCGCGGTGGCTCACGCCTGTAATCCCAGCACTTTGGGAGGCCGAGGCGGGAGGATCACGAGGTCAGGAGATCGAGACCATCCCGGCTAAAACGGTGAAACCCAGTCTCTACTAAAAATACAAAAAATTAGCCGGGCGTAGTGGCGGGCGCCTGTAGTCCCAGCTACTTGGGAGGCTGAGGCAGGAGAATGGCGTGAACCCAGGAGGCGGAGCTTGCAGTGAGCCGAGATCGTGCCACTGCACTCCAGCCTGGGCGACAGAGCGAGACTCCATCTCAAAAAAAAAATAAATAAATAAAAAATAAAAAGACACCACATACTCATTAAAATAGCTGAAGTCTAGAACGCTTACAATATGTGAAGCAATAGTGGCTCTCATTTATTTCTGGTGAAAATGAAAAATGATACGGCAGCTCTGAAAGGTAGATTGGCAATTTGTTACAAAGTAAACATAGTCTTCCCCTAGAATCTAGTAATGGTGTAGCTATGTATTTACCTAACCAATTTGAAAAATGATGCCCCAACAAAAACCTGAACATAAATATTTATGGCATTTCATTCATAACTGCTGAAAACTGAAAGCAATCAAGAAGTCCTTCAATAAGTGAATGGATAAATGATCTGTGATAGATTTATACAATGGAATAATAATCAGTGATAAAAAGGAAATGAGCTCTCAAGCCAAAAGAAAATGTAAATGAACCTTAACTGCATATTGCTTAGTGAAAGAAGGCAATCTGAAAAGGCTGTATGATTCCAATTATACGACATTCTGGGAAAGGCAAAACTATAATGACACTAAAAAGATCAGAGGTTTCCAGGGGTTCACAGGAAAAGGGGAAATAAGTGAAGCACAGAAGGATTTTTTTAGAGCAGTAAAACCATTCCGTATGGTACTGTAATGGTAGATACCTGACATTATACATCTGTCAAAACCCATAAAAATTTACAGCACAAAGAAAGAACTTTTACATATGCAAATTAAAAGAAGATCAATTAGGAATTTGGAGGATCTCCATGGGAATGCAGTCTGTGACAAAAGAATATAACTGTATTACAAATACATGAAACAACTTCACTAAAGGGGATGGGGGAAACTATGAAGAGGACTGGAGTTTGTAAGACTAAGGACAAAAGAAACTGCACTTAAGCACTGTACTCTGGTTGATAAAGTTGTCACATATGGAGGTACAGATTAACAATTCTGATACTATTACACATGTGTACTAGAATTGAAAAATGAACTGAACAGATTTGACTGGTAGGAGGCAGATTTATCTCTGTTGGAGGAAGAGTTTACAGATAATCAAGAGAAAGGCTAGAATAATTCAGATAGTAATGGATTACATTAGGAGATGTTGAGGCTCAGAAACCAATACCCCAAAATTTTAACATGCTGAACTAAAGAAGCCTCAAGTTTCTCTGACCTTTCCCTCTCCCACTTTCTTTCCCAAAGAAGTTAGATCTTCTTTATCTGCCTGAGATTCAGACCCACCAAGGAGGATAATTGTTTTTTCTTCCCCTCCCTGTAAGATCATGCATGTGACCAAACCTGAACAGATCCTTTTGCAAGATAATGATTGTGTCCAAGGATCCTTTGAATCCCAAAAATACCAATTTGCAAGTTAATGTATGTTCCCCATCCAATAATTCTCCATACCAATCATTTATTGCCCCTCCATGAAATTCTTCTCTTCCCATAACAAAAATCCAAGCCCCCCTTACTTCTGTAACTTCAAGATGGTATATAAGCTTCTGTAACTCATTGAAGGGATGGGTTTTCATTCTGAAGGCTCCTGTGTATACACATTAAATAAGTCTGTATACCTTTTCTCCTATTAATCAATCTACCTCAGGTCAGTGATTTTTCAGCAAACCTTGACCCTTTTAACCTCCTTGTGGCCCTTGACCCCACAGAGACATCAATATAAACTTGTAGTTAGCTTAATAGAGATGCATGGCTATGTATAGAAATGTTTATAGACATGTGTACTTCTGGTGTTAGTATACACGTATATTCCTTTGATCCATCAGGTGAGAGGACCTAGCAACAGACACTCTTGTAGAAAAGAGCACACAAGCACTCAGATCTTGGTTCCTAATACTATTCAATAAGCAAGGAACAAGGACTACTTGGAGAAAGGGCTTATGAAAAGACTGGGAAGAACATATACAAGATGAGACATCTTATAGCATCAAACAATGATGGAATGTTATGTTCTGAATGTTTGTGTGTCCCCAAAATTCATATGTTGAAATTCTAACTCCCAATGTGATGGCATTAGGATGTAGAAGGTAGGCCATTCTCTGGGAAGTGATTAAATCATGAGGATAGAGCCATCATTGAAACTGCCTTTGCAAAAGTTATAACAATAAAAGCAATCTAACCTAACTGACTGCATCTTGCTTCTAACCTCATAAGCTAACTGCATTTGTTAAATTTAAAACAAAGATAATAATAGTTCCTTCCTGAAAGTGACCCCTCCTTGCTGGGGGCCAAAACCACCTCTGTAAGGCTAATACAAGGCCATAAGTTTAGAATTACAGAAGGGGCCTGAATTCTGCTAAAATGTAGGCATAAACATTAATCAGCTATTGTTTCCTAGCTTGCCTCTTTTCAATAACTTCCCTGATTGCTCCTACAGATCACATCACTATTGTCTAAACCTAAGATTGGTCTTTGAAATATTTTTCAGACTTTGGCATTCTGGCAACCAACTGACTCCAATGGGACCCATGACTCATACCAATGAACTGACTCTACTGTGACCCCCAATCCCACAGGAACTGACTTAGCACATGAAGATGGTTTGTATACTCCTATGGTTTCATCCCCAACCAATAAGTCACACCAAGTCTCTAGACCGCTACCCTCAAATTATCCTTAACATCCTGGCCTCCAAGTTCTTGGGGCAGGGGATTTGAGAAATGTTTCACATCCTTCTGCTTGGCTGGACCTGCAATTATTAAACTCTTTCTTTGCTGCAAAACCTGCTGTCTCAGTGCATTGGCTTTTTGGGCAGCAGGCAAGAAGAACCCCTCAGGCTGTTAAAACAGTAATAGGATTAGTGCCCTTACACAAGAAACCCTAAAAAGCTCTCTCACCATTTTTTCACCATATGAATATACAATGAGAAGAAAGCAGTCAGCAGCCTGGAACAGGGCCCTCACCAGAACCCAACTATGTTGGCACCCTTAGACTTCTGAGCTTCCAAAAGTATGAGAAATAAATTTCTGTTGTTTATAAGCCACTCAGTCTATGGCAATTTGTAACAGAACCCTGAAAGAACTAAGATATGGAGGGATGTCAAATACAAATTCCAACTAGAAGAACTCCTAATGCCCAAAGTGCAAACAATTTGAACAGTAAAATAAAAGAGTATTAATCTATACAATGAATATCCATATATCTGTTCTGATCTAAAGGAAGAATTCAATAAATAAGTAAGGGAAATGGAAGCAACAAATCTCAGTTGCAAAAGAATCCCAAGTTATTTCTATAGATATTGTTCCCTGAAGATGTAGTATCGCAAATCTCCACTCCTTAGGTCTAGGCTCTCCCAAGGAGTCTAGATATGAAAAAGTGTCTAGACTTTCTAGAGTCTAGCATTCTAGAGTCTAGACAATATAGACAGGAAAAAGTGTACTTCACATTGGGGAAATCTGACAAACACTGCCCCAGCCAGGTGACCAACATCAATATCAAAAGTCATGTCGATATATGTACCCTTGATACAATGTGATGAAAATGTCACATTACCTCCATGGCCTTCCTACTGGAAGTTCATAACCCCAGGTTAATCATGAGAGAACATCAGACAAGTCCAGTTGAGGGACATTCCATAGATTATCTGACCCCATACTCATCAAATCATCAAGGTCATCCAAAACAAGGGATGTCTACAAAACTATCACAGCCATTAGGAGTCCAACGAGACATGACTACTAGATGTAACAAGATATCTTTGACGGGATCCAGGGACAGAAAGGGGACATTAGATAAAAACTGAGGAAACATGAAAAGTGTATAAACTTTAGTTAATAACAATGTATAAATAATGATCCATTCGTTATAACAATGATATTATACTAATGTAAGATATTAATAATAGGTGAAACTGGATATCAAGTATGTGGGAACTTTCTATACTATGCTTATAATTTCTCTGTAAACCTAAAACTGTTCTAAAATAGAAAATTTATTTTTTTAAAAAAGACCTCTTATTTTGTGAGCCCTTCCAAAGTTACAGTAAAGTGATAGAAGCAAAACAAATGTTCTCAGATTTTGCTAAGGAGGCTGAATTTAGTGAAATGCACAGTGAAAATGCTGAAGCACAGGGAACTTACCCCAGGAACTGACTGGCCATAACACCAATCCCTCCAGAGGACAGAGGGAAAGGAAGAAGAGAAGTCACAAATGTTTCAGGACAAATGCTTGCAAGAAACATTAAATAATGCAGATAAATGATTGCTGTTGCAAATGAGTTTGACCATGACTTGAACAAAAACATCACATTACAGATACAATTTCAAGTACAGTTGTGTTCTCAGAAATTGAACATTCACAAACAAAGGGAATGCAAACACATGCTGTTATGTATTGAATTATGTCCCTCAAAAAGATGTTGAAGTTCTGATCCACAGTACCTGTAAGTATTTGGAAACAGAGCCTTGCAAATGATTGAGTTAATATGAGGTCATTAGGATGGGCCCAGATATAATATGACTAATGTCCTTATAAAAAGGAATTTTGGATTCAGACAGACACACATACAGGGAGAATACTATGTGAAGCTCAGTTAGACTGCCCGAGCCACAGAGCTCCAGAGATTACCAGCAACCCCCAGCAGCCAGGAAATAGCCAGAAAGAAGGTTCCCCCTCACAGCCTCAGAAGGGACCAACCCTGTCAACACCTTGATTTCAGACTTCCAGGCTTCAGGGCTGTTAGACCATAAAGTGGTGTTGTTTAAGCCACTTGGTTAGTGGTACTTTGTATGGCAGCCCTGGGGAATTAGTACACATGGCTCTTTCCTTCCTTCCTTAGTTCCTCCCTCCCTCCCTCCTTTCTTTCTTTCTTTTTCTCTTTCTTTCTTTTGTCTTTCTTTCTTTCTTTTCTTTCTTTTCCTTCTTTCTTTCTTTCTTTTCTTTCATTCTTTTCTTTCTTTCCTTCCTTTCTTTTCTTTCTTTCTCTCTTTTTTCTTCTCTTTCTCTGTCTCTCTCTTTTTCTCTCTCTTTTTCTCTTTCTCTTTCTCTCTCTCTTTCTTTCTCTTCTTTCTTTCTTTCTCTCTCTTTCTTTATCTTCTTTCTTTCTTTCTCTCTCTTTCTCTCTCTCTCTCTATCTTTCTTCTTAATGTTTTGCCAATTGCATGCCTCCTGATTATTCACTTCTAGGGCATCACATATGATGAAGAGAGACCACCTACCATTTGTGTGAATTCAGATGTGGACCAGCCCCAAGTCATGGACACTCTCTCTTTCACCTGCTTACTCTTGTCGACATTCACCATCCACCAAACAGCAATAGTGACAGCAGACTCCTATCTTTCTCCAACAAACTCCAATCAACGACATGTGTATTCATAAAAAAAACTTTAGTATTTCCTTGTTTATACATTTGATTTTGCAAAGTCTTTTTGTATTAATTATGTATGTTTAATATATTGTTTTATTATTTTTGTTACATTACATGTTCATTTCAGTGTAGAAGGAAAATATAATTAACATCTTGGTCTTTACAGTATCATTGCATACTGCAAACAAATACACAATCTAATGAGTTCACTAAGTGTTAAATAACTAGGTACCTGGTATTTTCAATTATTTATATTGTGGAGAAAGTGAAAGTTTTTTTTTTTAAAAAAGTCTTTAAAATTTAAAATGGTGATAGTTTTGGTTAGCTGTGATACAGTATTTTTGTCCCATTGTGGCTACACTGCTCTCCAACATGAGTCATGAATCAGCAGATCCAATGGCACTCAAAGGATCTGTGACAAGCAAGGCTACTGAACAGGCACTAAGGTCCATTCCAACCAATGACTCAAATCACAGAACCTTAGGTTTCTAAAATAAAACTTCAGAAAAATATTCCTCTTTTGATGCACATCTTCCAACTTGCTACTGAACCCTTATAGTCTCCAAGACTAAGATTGGATGTGAGTAGCAGGAAACCCATCAAGTAGAAACACATGCAACAAATAGGGTTTCATAGAGTCCTGAAAGCACAAATGAGCAGCATGACCATTTGGCACAGATCTCAGGCAACTCACTTCTTCTCTGGATCCTGTCCCTCACCTCACACCTAGGACCTCATGCAGAGTTCCCTATGGATTAGTTGACTGAGGAAGAAGAATAATATTCAGGCTTTGTATGTAGATCATTTTTACAATATGGTGGCACTAACCAATGGTTGACAGCTACAATATTATGGCATCACACAGGGATGTCCCTAAATGACATAGGTGAGGGAAAATTATCCAGGTAGCCAGAATTTTGAGCAATATAATTTGCTGTTCACATTTTCCAGGATAAAAGACAGAATAGAAACAGCTATATATTGATTTATAAGCTATGGTTAATGAGTTGGTTTTATGGTCAGAGACTTGGAATGAACAGTCTTTTGGGGTTGAAAGGCTGGGTAACAGGTGCATAGAAAGATCTTTCAGGATAGGCGCAGGCCGTGAAGATGTTTGCAAGCCTTACGATTGCCTGTCAGAGGGCATCTCTGCAGAGGAGGAGGCTGTTAGAACCAGGTGAGCTCTCTGTTCATTGTCGTCCTTCCTCAGCCACACCAGTGCCAAACTAAAGGGCGTGATGTCTGGTATGAGACAATCCATGGGGTCAACAACATGGAATTTTTCCCACCAACATGGATCTGGCTCCTGTTGCTGTTGAATTCCATTCTGACAAGAGCTCCATGCTCTGGCATGGTCATCTTTCCTTGAGGGGCCATCCAAGTACCTTGCTCCAAGCTGATTATGTGAAACAACTTCTATGATGAAAGGCGCAATGATTTATACTCTCTGAAAAATACACATATTTTGCATATGAATATGGATATGTATTTGCTTTTCTGATCTTTAATGCTTCTGTCAGCAAAATCCTCTGTGGTATGTGGAATACCTGATTCACCATCACGCTGTCTCACCATCACAGCTCATAATAAAGCAATGAGTGTTACAGGGGAAGATGCTAATTCCCTGGAGGACTTAGTGGTGTTGCTACACAGTAAGGGCAGAAGGGACTAAGTTTAGAACCTAGGGGATCCTCAGGGGTTCATATTACTGCTCACATCCTGTGTAAAATATAAGTGGGAAACTATAGCATCCTAAACGGAAAAACAAGATCACTTTAAAAATAAAGATTTGGGTTACTTAAAAAATAAAAGTTTGGGCCACCCTAACTCACCCAGGAGTAGCTGTAGTACTACCTGAGAACAGAGGAAACGTGGACTGGAGGTACAGTTATCAACTATGTTTCCATTGCAGAAGCATGGACTCTAGCAGCTTTGCATATTTCCTTTCTAGCTTGTTATAACTTGCATGTATTTACTAATTTTTGTCCTTCCTCTTTTCCTCTATATTTTATGTAAGAATTGTTAGTTGTTATGAATTTTACAATTTAGTCTTTAATTTACAGAATGTTCACATGGGATTGTGACTGAACTACCAGAGAAATGAGCATTATCTGAAGGTAGACACAGGGACTTTTGAGAGTGGAGTCTGCCCTCTTTGTAGGTGAGACCGTCTTCATCTTGATGAGGCATAGTTGCATTTTCTAAGCAGAAGTCTGCAGTTGCTAAAATGGAAAGGGTTTTAAATACAGGGTGTACTTGGATGCTCAGCAGCCCAAGGGGTGGGCTGTTCAGTCATTTGTTATTGTTTCTCAGTTCCTGGACTGTGTGATGCTGGGACTGCAACCCTGAAACCATTTCTCATTCATTCTCACTCATTTCCTGTCAGGTTCTGAGAGTCAAGATATTGGAAGAAGAATTGAAAGGGAAAAGGCACTTTCTTCCTGGGTCCAGCTCCTCTAAGCATCTGTCTCCCACCCACAAACACATGCAGCAGAGGGCAGCTATAGTTCAAGGCTCTCCCTTCCTCTGGCATCAGCTCCCAGGACAAATGCCACAGCACAGTTTTCGGTGTTCCAAGATCCAGCCACGTGGTGATTTGCCCTCACATCTAAATACGAGCGGTTTCTCTGTTGCCCCATTCTGAGGTCTGGGCGTTATCCTTGTAGGGGTTCTCCTCTGAGCTTCAAAGCCAATAATCCAGTTCCTTCTTGTGTTTCCCCAACTGTAGAGAGGTGATGGCTGTTTCCTTCAAGTTACTAGTAAATGCATCACCTAAAGCCTGGAGGTGTTAGGTACTTCCAAAATTTACTAATTACCCGGGTTACCCTTTTCTTGCCTTTTTAGAGTCTCAAATTATATGTAAACAATTACTTGTGTCCTCTGTTAGAAATACCTGGCATGCTTTCTGCTTTCTGCATTAAATCCTAATGGATTCCGTTCATCAGGGGAAATCTGCACCTTCTGTATGTCGAATATTCGGAATCCTCATGCTGCTTGTGGCTGCAGTGCACGTCGCACATCTAGAACTGAAGCCAATCCCTTATGAGGCAGTGACCGTGACCCACAGAGAAGTGTAGCAAGGAGGGTCGGCTCTCCAAGGCCATGGCTAATTGTGAGAAAGAAAAACCAATATAACAAAAATATTGGACTTGATAAGCCTGAGTCTGACAGAAAACTACACAACATGTTACCGCACCTGGGTGGTGAAAGGACGGTCTGCAGAAGAAAAATGGCTGGTTTTGAGTTTGCAGAGTAGATTAATTTACCCCGATTTCCAGGGAATTACCTAGAAAGAAAGGAGCATGAAAGGTGAATTTTAGTCTCCTAGATTGGATTCTGGATTTCTAAAGTAAATAAAACTATTCCTAGAGAAAGAGGGGTTCCAATGCAGTTAAACGGCTCATACTTTCAGAGAACCAAGTGGGAGCAACCTCCTGGGGTCCACCAAGAACTGGATATCAATGTTGCACTCCAGAACCCAGTCTGCAGTGGTACCCCTCAAACTGCCATTGAGTTAAATAGAACCTGATGATCTGAGATTCTTGTACCAAGCAATCTTCCTTCCAGAGAAACCTAAACTTGAGCAACCAACCTACAATTATGTTCTGAAATAAACACTGTTTTTTTTTTAAGGTAGAGTCATCCAAATATAGATACTTCCCCTCTCCTTTTACTGGGAGAAACTTTCCTGAAGTTAGAATAACATGTGACATATCTAACCCACAAGAACAGAAGAGAAAACAAAGTTATAGGGGTGAAAGAATTACCCAGGTAAATCACAGCAGCCAGCCTCTGGGTGTCAAGTACAATTGTGGAGTCTGTCTTGGAAATAATGGGTGGCTGTGTCAGCAAAACCAGGCATGGCTTCCATCTCAGAAAAATAAAATCCTCATTGGACAACAATTAGTATCAGCAAGTTTTGAGTTCTTGAATATAGTTGAAAAATGTATGTGAGAATTTCTTGGTGCCTGATTTCTCATTGTCTTGGACCCACAAAAGCTACATGAGGTATTCTGGGAAGCTTATGCATGACAAGTAACACAGGATACAAGCCCTGATGAGCCAGCCTGAGCCACTTCCGACTGACTGCCTCTTGCACTGCAACTCAGGATTTCGGAATATTGACAACCAGAGGTGGCTCTGATGACACATAAATTCTTTTTCTTTACATTATTAAATCTCTGAAATAAAGACGGATAAATTTACAGTAGTGGGTGCCATGTGACATCCTTCAGCTTTAATTCAGAACCCAAATGCTATCCTATGCTGGCCAATATGCCATCTTCATGGTGTGTGGTCACCCAATGGTTCACACACTTGATTACATTAAAATGTACTTTAGTTTTCAGTATCTGATGGCACTCTCAAAGCAGTAACATTTTGGAACTATTAGAGATATTTAACATAATAACTCCATTTCTCAAAGTGGTGATGTATTCTGTAAAGGCCACGAAGCTGGTAACCATGTACCTCCTAAATGATTAAGATTTTATCAATTTGTATTTCTTAAAGTGAAGAACACTGGCATTTAAGCTTACATACACACACGCCAAAATAAAACAAACCTTTCCCAACCACTGAGTTACTGTAAAGCTCTTATTTCTAAAAAATCTAAAAGCCATAGAGTATCATGTTTAATTTTGTGAAATTCATCGGAATCTGCTTCTAGTTTTTGATTTGGGTGAGTCCGTCTTCCCTCACAGTCATCCACTCTCCCAAAGGGACTTGTTTTTTTATTCAGAGAAGCAATTTTCGAAAGTTTAGAACCCCAAGGTTTGCCAAATGTGCGCTCCGGAGGGAAGGCTGAGACCATTGCAAAGCGTTACCTGCACTGCACTGACTCATTATGAAGACGAACATGCCACTGACCCTCAAGAGTTTTAGGCAACATTCCCTTGACATCAACTCATTTCAATACGATTGCATTATAAAGGACCATCTCTGGCACTGACTGAATATTTCTAGATATACTTTTGCCATTTTACAAGTATGCCCAGAGTCAACCTTAGCTTCTTTAAGCTAAAAATTTCAGGAAAAAATAATCTAAGCTCACTTCCTCTTTTTCGTGTTTCTTGATTTAGATCTAATCATTTCCTAGTTTCCTTTGAAAATACTCCCATATTGAGACTTCAGCACCCCACTGACAGTATTAGACAGATTACCAAGGCAGGAAACAAACAAAGATATTCAGAACTTTAACTTGACCCTTGACCAAATGGACCTAATAAGTATCTACAGAACACTCCACCCATAAGCAACAGAATATTAAGTTCTTCTCATCTGCACATGGCACAAACTCTAAAATTCAACACAATCAGACATAAAACAATTATCAGCAAGTTAAAAAACAACAACAACAACAACAAAACAAATCATACCAACCACGCTCTTGGACCACAGCATGATAAAAATGGAAATAAATACTAAGAAAATGTGTCAAAACCATATAATTACACGGAAATTAAACAACCTGCTCCTGAATGACTTTTGGCTAAATAATGAAATTAAAGCAGAAATCAAGAAATTATTTTAACTTAATGAGAACAGACACAACATACCAGAATCTCTGGGACATAGCTAAGGCAGTGTTAAGAGAGAAGTTTATAGCACTATATGCCCACATCAAAAAGTTAGAAAGGTTTCAAATCAACAACCTAACACCACAACTAGAGGAAATAGAGAAACAAGAGCAAACCAACCCCAAAGCTAGCTGAACATGAGAAATAACCAAAATCAGAGGTGAAGAGAAGGAAATTAAGATGCAAACAAACAAAAAATTACAAAAGATCAACTAATCCGGGAGTTGGTTTTTTGAAAAAAAAAAAATATAAGATAGACTGCTAACTAGAATAATAAAAAAAAGGGGAGAAAAGATCCAAGTAAACACAATCAGAAATGACAAACGGAATGTTACCATTGAACTCACAGAAATACAAATAACCATCAGAGACTACTATGAACACCTCTATGCATACAGCCTAGAAAACCTAGAAGAAATGGGTAAATTCCTGGACACACAACCTCCCATGACTGAACTAGGAAGAAACTGAATCTCTGAACATAGCAATAACAAATTCTAGACTTGAATCAGTAATAAGAAGCCTATCAGCGCCCCCCCTCAAAAAAACCCAGGACCAGATGGATTCACAATCAAATTCTACCAGATGAATAAAAAAGAGCTAGTACTACTCCTACTGAAACTATTCCCAAAAAATTGAGAAGGAAGGGCTCCTCCTTAACTCATTCTATGAAACCAGCATCATCCCGATACCAAAAGTTGGCAGTGACACAACAACAATGACAACAAAACTTCAGACCAATATCCTGGATGAACAGAGATGCAAAAATCCTCAGCAAAATACTTGAAATCTAAATCCAGCATCATATCCAAAAGCTAACCCACCACAATCAAGTAGGCTTTATCCATGGGATGCAAGGTTTGTTCTACATATGCACATCAATATATGAGATTCATCACGCAAACAGAACTAAAGACAAAAAGCACATGATTATCTAAATAGACGTAGAAAAGGCTTTCAATAAAATTCAACACCTCTTTATTGTTTAAAAATCTTCAGTAAACAAGGTATTGAAAGAACATACCTCAAAATAATAAGAACCATGAATGGCAAACCCACAGCCAGCATCATGCTGAATGGGCAAAAACTGGAAGCATTTCCCTTGAAAACCAGCACAAGTCAAGGATGCCCTGTCTCACCACTCATATTCAACATAGTATTGTAAGTCCTGGCCAGAGCATTCAGGCAAGAGGAAGAAATAAAGGGAATACAAATAGGAAGAGAGAAAGTCAAACTGTCCCTGTTTGCAGACAATGTGATCCTATTCCTAGAAAACCCCAAAGTCTCTTCCCAAAAGCTCTTTGATCTGAAAAAAAACTTCAGCAAAGTTTCAGGATATAAAATCAATGTGCAACAGTCAGTAGCATTCCTGTACACCAACAAGATGCAAGCTGACAGCCAAATCACAAATACAATTTCATTCACAATTCCCACAAAAAGAATAAAATATCTAGAAAAACAGCTAATGAGGGAGGTTCTACAATGAAAGGTACAAAACACTGCCTGAAGAAATTGGGAACAATACAAACAAATGGAAAATCATTCCATACTCATGGATAGGAAAAATCAGTATTGTTAAAATGGCCATACTGCCCAAAGAAATTTACAGATGCAATGCTATTCTTATCAAACTACAAATGACATTCTTCACAGAATTAGAAAAAAAATTACAATTCATATGGAACCAAAAGGAGTCCAAATAGGCAAGGTAATCCTAAGCAAAAAGAACACAGCTGGAGGCATCACATTACCCAACTTCAAACTATACTACAAAGCTACAGTAACCAAAAGAGCATGTACTGACACAAAAACAGATATATAGACCAATTGGACAGAATAGACAACCCAGAAATAAGGCCACACACCTGCAACTATCTGATCTTTGACAAAGTTGACAAAAACAAGCAATAAGGAAAGGACTCCCTATTCGATAAATGGTGCTGGAATAACTGGTTAGCCATATGTAGAAGATTGAAACTGGACTCCTTCCTCATACCATATGCAAAAATCAGCTGAAGATGGGTTAAAGACTTAAATGTAAAACCTAAAACTATAAAAAACCCTTGAAGGTAACCTAGGAAATATCATTCTGGACATAGAGCTGGACAAAGATTTCATTATGAAGATGCCAAAAGCAATTCCAAAAAAAAAAAAAATGACCAATGGGACCTAGTTAAACTAAAGAGATTCTGTACAGCAAAAGAAACTATCAACAGAGTAAACAGACAAGCTACAGCATAGGAAAAAATATTTGCAAACTATGCATCCAACAAAGGTCTAATATCCAGAATCTATAAGGAGCTTAAATTTACAAGCAAAAAACAACCCCATTAAAAAGTGGCCAAAGCTCATGAACAGATACTTCTCAAAAAAAGATATACACATGGCCAACGAGGATATGAAAAACAGCTCAAAATCACTAATCACTAGAGAAATGCAAATCAAAACCCCAGTGAGATACCATCTCACACCAGTCAGAATGGCTATTACTACAAAGTCTAAAAAATAACAGATACTAGCGAGGTTGTAGAGAAAAGGGAATATTTACACATTGCAGATGGGACTATAAATTAGTTCAGCCATTGTGGAAAGCAGTTTGGCAATTTCTGAAGGAACTTCAAACAGAATTACCATTTGATCCAGCAATCCCATTACTGGGTATATACCCAAAGGAATTTAAATCATTCTACCATAAAGACACATGCACACATATGTTCATTGCCACACTATTCACAATAGTGAAGACATGGAATCAACCTAAATGCCCATCAATGATAGAAGGAATAAAGAAAATATGATACATATGTACCATACTATACTTTACAGCCATTAAAAAAGACGGAAATCATGCCCTTTGCAGCAATGTGGATGCAACTGGAGGCCATCATCCTAAGTAAACTGACACAGGAACAAAAAACCAAAACTGCATGCTCTCACTTATAAGTGGAAGCTAAACACTGAGTGCACATGGACAAAGAAGAAGACAGCAGACCCCAGGGTACACTGGAGGGTGGAGGGTGGAAGGAGGGTGAGGATAGAAAACCACCTATTGGGTACCACATTGATTACCCAGGTAACAAAATTATCTGTACACCAAACCCCCATGACATACAATGTACCTATATAACAAACCTGGGCCAGGCGCAGTGGCTCACACTTGTAATCCAAGCACTTTGGGAGGCCGAGGCAGGCAGATCATTTGAGGTCAGGATTTCCAGACCAGCCTGGACAACATGGTGAAACCCCATCTCTACTGAAAATACAAAAATTAGCTGGTCGTGGTGGTGCACACCTGTAATCTCAGCTACTCAGGAGGCTGAGGCAGGAGAATTGTTTGAACCCAGGAGACAGAAGTCGTAGTGAGCAGAGATCATGCCACTACACTCCAGCCTAGGAGACCGAGCAAGACTCCATCTCCAAAATAAATAAATAAAAATAAATAAATAAAAATAAATAAATAAAACAAAACAAAAGAACCTGCACATGTATCCCTGAACCTAAAATAAAAGTTGAAAAAAAAAAACAAAACAGTCGTATGTTGCTAACAGTTGTTTTGGATAAAACGTGCCTCATTCCCTGCTGCCTGTAATTTAGGTGAGAAGGCTGGAGTGGGTGATACATCCTTGTACGTGTAGAGACTAGGATATCGAAACCACAGTGATCATAAGAGCTATCTCTCTCTTTTTTTAGATGGAGTTTTGCTCTTTCACCCAGGCTGGAGTGAAGTGGCGTGATCTTGACTCATTGCAACCTCCGCCCCCCGGGTTCAAGTGATTCTCCTGCCTCAGCCTCCTGGGTAGCTGGGATTATAGGCACCCACCACCACACCCAGCTAATTTTTTTTTTTTTTTGTGACCACGCCTGGCTAATTTTTTTGTATTTTTAGTACAGATGGGGTTTCACCATGTTGGTCAGGCTGGTCTCAAACTCCTGAGCTCAGGTGATCCACCTGCCTCAGTCTCCCAAAGTGCTACAATTACAGGTGTGAGCCACTGCGCCTGGCCACGAGCTATCTCTTAATGCTGTATGAGGATGGGGTGCAGCAAAAGCAAAACCACCTGTAGCAGATTGCTGGGTTGATTGGTAGCAACTCCATTGAGAAACAAATGTGTTACGCATTTTACTAAAATGTTCACCTAAAATAATTTTAGAGTGTTTTCCTTCCCTCTCTCAAATCCGGGAATCAGTGAGTAATGAGAGTTCCCAGGAGTGGGTGCTGAGGTTCCAGCTGCCTGCCCAGGCTTGCAGTGCTGCTATCCATGCGAGATCCTCTGATCACAGACATCTCCATTGCTTCCTACAAGGGTTTAGCTGGTGCACGGCTTGCATGGATGTGTTAAGTGAAGCAAGGGGGAAGCAGCAGAGAGAAGACAACCCCAGCTGTGACGGGAATCTCCGTCAAAAGCCTTAGAGAAAACCAATCTCTATCATATGCTCTCTGTATCAACATTCTCATAGGCACACAAATGTTTCTTGCCTTGTGAAGTTTTTTAAAAAAATAAAAGGCTTGATCTTTGTATGCTTGTTGTGTAACATGCTAAGTTTTACAGCAAGTTCTCTGAAAATTTCAAGCAAAGAATAATGTAAAGTTAGAAATGTTTTATATTATAGATAACAGAGATACAATAAAATAAAACTAAGATAAAGCTATAGAAGACTTCATTATGTATGTCCCCTAAGAACACTGTTAATTTTCATCTTAGCTTGAACCTGGGTTTGTGTTTCCTTTCTCTCCCATCCACCATTTAAAATAGCTTTTATTCACAATTACCACCACTTGGAAGCAACCAATGTGTCATTCAATAGGTGAAGAGATAAACTACATGACACTCTGGAAAAGGCAAAACCATGGAGACGGCAAAAGGATCTGTGGTTGCCAGCGGGTGGGGGAGGGCAGGATGAATAGGCGGAGCACAGAGGATTTTTTTAGAGCAGTGAAAATATTCTCTATCATACTATAAATGAAAGACTATGTCTGGGCACAGTGGTTCATGCCTGTAATCCCAGCACTTTGGGAGGCCGAGGTGAGCAGATCACTTGAGGTCAGGAGTTCAAGACCAGCCTGGCTAACGTGGTGAAACCCCGTCTCTAAGAAAAATACAAAAGTTAGCTGGGCGTGGTGGCAGGCACCTGTAATCCCAGCTACTCAGGAGGTTGAGGTGGGAGAATTGCTTGAACCCAGGAGGTGGAGGTTGCAGTGGGCAGAGATTGTGACACTGCACTGTAGCCTGAGTGACAGAGTGAGTCACTGTCTCAACAATAAATAAATAAATAAGTAAATGAATAAAATATTAAGTGATATAAATAAGTGAATGATTAAGCCATAAAAAGACATGAAGAGACCATAAATGCCTATTACTCAGTGACAGAAGCCAATCTGAAAAGGCTGCATACTGTATGATTCCAACTACATGACACTCTGGAAAAGGTAAAACCATGGAGACGGCAAAAGGATCTGTGGTTGCCAGGGGGTGGGGGAAGGCAGGATGAATAGGTGGAGCACAGAGGATTTTTTAGAGCAGTGAAAATATTCTCTATCATACTATAATGATGCAAACACACCATTATACATTTGTCAGGCTCATGGAGTGTACAACCCAAGACTGAACCTTAATGGAAACTGTGGACCATAGTTAATCCATCAGTATTAGTTAATAAATTCTAGCAAATATACCACACAGTATGTAAATAATAGGGGAAACTGTGTTGGAGAAGAGAAGGGTACAGGGGAACTCTATTATAGGATAGATTTTTCCAGAAACCTAAAATTGTTTTTAAAAATCTACTAATGTGGCTGGGTGCGGTGGCTCATGCCTGTAATCCCAGCACTTTGGGAGGCCAAGGCGGGCGGATCACGAGGTCAGGAGATCGAGACCATCCTGGCTAACACGGTGAAACCCCGTCTCTACTAAAAATACAAAAAATTGGCTGGGCGTGGTAGCGGGCGCCTGTAGTCCCAGCTACTCGGGAGGCTGAGGCAGGAGAATAGCGTGAACCCAGGATGTGAAGCTTGCAGTGAGCCAAGATCACACCACTGCACTCCAGCCTGGGTGACAGAGCCAGACTCTGCCTCAAAAAAAAAAAAAAATCTACTAATGTTTGATAAAACTGATAACATTGGAGCTATAAGTATTGATGCACAAAGCTAGGAGATGAACCCCATAGAGTAACTGTGTGCAAGGAGAACCAGAGTAGAGAATGAAATCAAACAAATATCCATAAAGATGAGGATCAACCTACCAAGTCTTTATCGTTGGTTAATTTGGTCTAGTATTTCATGAAAAATGTATTTGAAACATTCATAAGGATCTACTGTGTGTTATATGCCAGGTTAGGCTTAATATAACAGAAGTAAGCAAGCTATCATCCAGCCCTGAAGATCTGACCCATGACAATCCAACCCACCACATTCAAGTGCACTGCAAGCTGCAAAAGAAGCAAAGAATTCTGAAGGTGTGGGTGAAAAGCCGTCACGAGGAACTGCGCGCATGCACCTCCTTTTCGTGTTCTGAGATGGTACGGATGACGATGGGATGCTAGTCATCCATTGGCATATTAAATGAGCTCATGGATTAGACTCTTTTCAGAGCTGCAGGTTGCTTGCATGATTCTCTCCTGGGAGGGCACTCAGGCACAGAAGCAGATCAAGTCCTGGTTTGATAAGACATAGAGAGAAGGAGAGCCTGGGGTCACCCAAAGTGAAATCAACCCAGGAACAAAGCTTTGATTCTCAGAAGAGATGGGAAATTCCACGAAGGACAAAGCATCCACATATTTTGTTAGATGTGGGTCTGAGCTCTATGGAGGGAAGAATTTGCAATGAAAAACAGAGGTCTGTTTTGCTAAAATCACTGCAAGAGGATGAAATGCAGGCCACATTTCCAGGGGACCCATCTAGCAAGGCATCCTGCATGAAGAGCCCAGGGCTCTTACCCCACACCTCATGACACAGTAATGTGAAGCTCTGCTTGCTTAAAGTCTCTGCTGTTGGTAGCAATGAACTGCAGTGCTGGGCAGAGCAGCTGTCACCCCTAGCTAGAGACTGCAGTGTTTGTGGCAGAACAATCCACAGCCAGCACTTGGCAGAAATGGGTGTGTCTGCAACAGCACCATGTCCTATGAGACATACAAGGTATCTCAAAGGGATGCCCAGAAACACTTGGGGAGGAAGCTCTGCATGGAACTGGAGGGTCCTCATCAGGTTGGAGGAAAGCTAGTGAAATAGGGTTCCCCTAGGCTATAGTGGTCATGGGGACTCTGGTCATCCTTTAATAAATCTGTACTTATTAAGACTTAAAGCCAAGAGATTTTAAATGCCATATACATTTATAATGATTGCACGAACAGGAGTTAGGTTAAAAAGTGTCAGCACCTTTCCAATAATACAAGGTGAAGACCACAGGCAGCAAGAGGGAGCTGAATGTCAGAAAGAAGGAATAGAGGGCCCAAAAGTCAGCAGGGATGATTCCAAGAGTGCAGGAAATCAAGCTCCATCTAGGTCTGGTCTTAAGGGATCAAAATCTCTCCTGATATGTCTACTGAAGGCAATTTCTGGGGCTGTCCTTGGTTATCTTTGAAAATCATTGCTTTCTGTGGCCTCGAAAATACATGATGTCTGTATGGACTAAGTGACCCTGCCACATGCCAGACCATAGGTAAAACGAGTAGAAACATATGCACGAGTGGGAAGAATACGCAGGAAATCAGGAGTTCATGGCAGACACTCAATATGACCTGGAAGTCTTACTGGGTCTGAAAAATTGTGGCAATTTAGCAATTCAGAACACTGCCACTGAAAAGAGAGAAAAATGTTTTTCAGATTTCCAGCTCCTGCTGCAAAATACGAGACAGGGTACAACATATTGTTACATTGTTATTCTAAAACATGATGTTTATTGGAAACAAAGTGAATAGTTAAATAGGAAAATAATAAAAGAAAACAATAAAACAAACAAGCTATTAATTCCCAGCCCAAGTGGATGTTATGTCTCATTGTATGGTCAGCCGTAGCAGCATTCTGTTTACCCAAAGATTAGATTTCCAGCAACTTCAATTTTGTGTTAGCAAACAGCTGTGACAAAGCCCATGAATTCAAAGCTTTTGAACCACCTTGGAATGGAAAATTGTGCATAAAATGTAAAATCTTTCCCTTTATCTTTATCTTCACTGTCTGCGTGCACTCTGTACACACGATGCTTTCCTGTGGGCCACTGAGCTGTGTGTGTGCTCTGTAGCAAATTAATCACAAATTTAGCAACTTAAGACAACACAATTTTATAATTTTACACAGTTCTGGAGGTCAGAAGTCTGACATGGGTCTCATCATACTAAAATCAAAATGTCGGCAGGACTGAGTTCCTTCCTGGAGGCTCTAAGGAAGCCCATTTCCTTCTCATCCAGGTGGTTGACAGGACAGAGCAGGACAGAGTTCCTTGTGATGGGACTGAGGCCCCTGTTCCTCACTGGCTGTCTCTTGGAGGCCACCCACACTTTGTGGCTCATGCCTGTTCCTCCATCTTTGTGGTCAGCAGCACTGGGTTGAGTCTCTCTCACACTTCAGAAGCCCCTAGCTGTTTCCTCCCTCTGGAGATTCATCCCTCTGGGGATTCTGCCTCCGTCTTCCACTTTTAAGGGCTCACGTGATTACATTGATCCCGCACACATAATCCAGGATAATCTCCCCATTTCAAGGTCTGGTACAGGCCTTAATTCCATGTCCATCTGTGATATAATGTATTCCCAGGTTCCAGGGATTAGGACATGGACATCTTTTAGGGGAGCCCAATTCTGCCTGCCACTCCCTCCAAGTGAAGGCAGGATTTGTGTGGTTCATTTATGTCAAAGTTCATGCCCCTGTCCTTCCACACTCTTCAGACACAACCTCATCATTCCTCCCTCTGCTTTTTGCTTACAGGAAACCGTTATCCCCAGGACACTAGCAAAGTCAAGACACTCTCACTCTTGCTAATGTGCCATTATTGAGAGCAGAACAAAATCCAGATAGCCCCTTTCTCCTTCAGATCCTCCACAAACTAAAAACTGCTCTGACCTCTGCCTGAATGCTCTCTTACTCCCCCTGCTTGTTGACTCTTCGCGGTTGGGCGCAGAAAATGGACAACTTCTCAGTTCAGTTGAGTGACAAGTTGTGTTGCACTTTCTACGGAACAGACTTCTGTCTCATGGACACAGGAGATGGAGGGAAGGGCTTCAACGATTTTTTATTTTTGATGACTGGAGAATTCCTTCTTTAATCTGTTTGGAGGACTCAAAGATCACAACTTTTCCTTTCTCAATTGTCAGCTACTTATTTATAAAAATCGTCATGACATCACAAGGGAAAGAGCCACATATACCACAGAGGAAAGGCTTTAGGTTGATGTTTTTGTTCATAGGGTCTTCAATGCATTTTTCATGCTCAATTATAGCTGGTTAAAGTCAATGCCAGTGACCTACAAGTGTCAAGGAAAAGGAGCATTGTCCATGTTCTAAAATAAAAAGTAAATGCAGTGCAGTGGAAAGAGTAAGGTAAATTCATCATGCATGGCTTCCATGCTTGGAGTTTACGTGAATTTATGACCTAAACAAGTAAAGGCCCCATCACCTAAGCTAAAACAGGCCTCACAGCTTCACCATTTTACCTGACCACTAAGGGAGGTAATGGGAATTGGGGGTTAAAAAAACAAAACCCAGAAAATCTTGAGACTCATTAGAGAAGGAATTGAAAGGCTTCAATAAGGAAAGACTCAGGGGAAAAAAATCAGGGGGCTCAGAAGAGACCTGGAAACAGAAGTTTCTATTAAGACAATGGTATTTTAGATGCTGCTCTTGAAAAGGCAGAATTTCAAGATCCCTACCTCCAGGGCAGTGTTCCCCTACATGGTGGGATTCAAGAAGGTCCTGGAGCTGCAGCCCATTTCCATGCCCCAGATCCCATTTCTCTCCTCCTCCCCACCTGCTGAGATAGTAGGACAGGTGTGGCTTCCTCTCCTAACAAGAACACCTTTTCCCAACACACACACACACACACACACACACACACCCTTGAGTCTCCTTGCGATGGAGAGGGTCACGTGGTGTCTCACTTTGGCATTATTCTTGTCAAAAATGCAGAACCTCAATCTAACCATGAGAAAACGTTAGGCAAACCCCAACTGAGAGAATTTCCACAAAGGGCCAGGTTACTGTAGCCACACCTTGGAAAATGTTTAGCAAGAAGCAGCAGAAGAGTGCTCCCCAAGGCAGGGGTTTGGGGCGTTGTTGCCTTCAAGCTTGCTTTTATCCTGACACAAGAATCTTGCCTTAAAGGAGCTGATAGAACAGTTTGGGAGGTAAAGACTGTTCAACTGCATGCTGCAGATATAACCACTATGTAACTCAAAGAAGAGGAGAGGGGAGGTCATCTTCAATTGTTGGGTTGGGAACATTGGGAAGACATTGTTAGATGTGCAGAAGCTTTCTGAGGGGAGAGATGAAATGAAATCTGAGTTTGGACAGAAAGATGTATTGTACTGAGTTTGGGGAAAAATAAATATTCTAAGAGATAAAAACACACAATGGTCTAGCAGTGTGGAGAACAGCCCCTGGGTTTACAGCAGAATGATTTGAATTTAGAAGACAGCAGCACCTCCTAAGCAAGTGTGGAACAAAGAACAAGCGTAGTCACCATTGAGCTAATAATTCCTGCCTCTGAGTCATGCATTCGTTCCTATGGCTGCTGTAACAAAACTCACAAATTCTGTGGATTAAAACAAGACAGGTTTGTTTATCTTAAAATTGCAGAAGTCAGAAGTCCAAAATTAGTCTTAAGGGGCTGAAAGCACAGCTCCTTCTGTTGGCTGCGGGAGACCATTGGCACTGGCCTCTCCCATGGTCTGCTTTGGTTGTCTGTCCATCATTGCCTCTCCCCCACTGGTGTCACCCCTCTCTTTTATGAAGACACTGTGATTACATTCATAGTCCACTCAGATAATCCCAGACAATCTTGAGCAGCAAGGGTGGCTTAGGTAAAAAAGTTTTAGAGGATCTCACAAGACAAGCCCTGTGAGTTAGACTTTCTATGACAACTGGACAGCAATTTAAATGGGAAAGATTTGTTTGAGAGCAAACAAATGTGTGTCTGTCACCTGCAGGTCTCTTGAAGCAAGAACAGATGGGACACCTGGACACTGTTGCAATAACCCAGGCACAAGTAGGAAGGAAGAAACAAAGGGAAAGACAAGTAAGAGGAGAGTCAGCTTGGGGAAGGGGCTTCCAAGGATGTTCATTGCCCCAGATGCTGCAGCAGGCTGGCAGCCAGCGGCCCCAGAGGCTGTAAGGAAGAGCATCTTCCCAGCACAGTTCGGGGAGGTCTGCTTCCAGGCATTGGGATCATTTGATGTATTCTTGTTCCTTTATAACTAATTTGTCATACTTTTCTAGCTCATAGTTTTTCATGTTTTAATTTGGGAACAGTGTGAAGGGCATACCACACCTCAGCATAGAAACAAGGGATTTACTCACGGATGGATCTGAGTTTGTTTTTCATTTTCACGAAATGAAGGTAGTCTTAAACCAGTGACAGTGAACATTCAAAAAGAAAGTGAAGAGCAGGGCCCACCCCCACCCACAGTACCAGTCCGTGGCCTGTTAGGAATGGGGCCTCACAATAGGAGGTGAGCAGCAGATGAGCAAGTAAAGCTCCATCTGTATGTACAACTGCTCCCCATTGCTCACATGACTGCATGAGCTCCACCTCCTGTCAAATCAGCAGCAGCATTAGATTCTCTTAGGAGCATGAACTCTATTGTGAATTGCCGTGCAAGGGATCTAGGTTGCATGCTTCTTATGAGAATCTAATGCCTGATGATCTGTCACTGTCTCCCATCACCCCCAGGAGGGACTATCTATTTGCAGAAAAAAAAGCTCAGGGCTCCCACTGATCCTACATTATAGTGAGTTGTATAACTATTGTATTATATATTACAATGTAATATATTCTAGAAATAAAGAGCACAATAAATGTAATGCACTTGACTTCTCCCCTCCAACCCCCAGTTGGTAGAAAAATATTGTCTTCCACGAACCAGTCCCTGGTGCCAAAAATGTTGGGAACTGCTGGTGTAGAGAATTGTGCCTAGAAATGCTACACATGGAAGATAATTTAAATAGGAAGTTTGACAAAGAATAGAGTTGAAACAATTGTCAAAATTAATAGGTATTCCCTAAAGCATGTTCCCTGCCCAACCTTCATATGACATTGACTTGCACGCACTGTGATCCAAGAGTGAGGTTTGTTCTCTCTTAAAAAAGTCCTGACAGAAATTTGATGTTACAAAAAAGTGAAACTTACATAATAAAAAATCAGAACATTTGTTATAAAGGCTATGAAACTAAGTAAGAGTTTTCTGAAATGTAACATCTATATTTGCACTTGCTACAATATACATTTTACTATTCTCATTTGGATAACACTCAATTCTATGCACAAGTTAGCTGGAAAAGTCAATTCCAATTCACTGTGGGATCACGTCGTAGATATTTAAGATTACCTAATTGCTTTGATTTGAATTCTTTAAAAAGAAATGTTATCACTTTCAACAGCTATTTAAATTGATCACTATTGCATATTCAGATGTTCATGCGAAAAACTAACAAGCAGAATTGCAAAAAATAATTCTTATTCAATCTCTTGGAAGTAAAACTGATAAACTCAACTTACTTTCATAGTGACACAAATTACTTAGCCAAGCTTTTTTTTCCCCATCTATCTTCTTTTCTGGGTAATATATTTAGATGTTTAGTATTTTTTCCTGAATTTTCTTTTCTTTTCTTTTCTTTTCTTTTCTTTTTTTTTTGAGACAGAGTCTCGCTCTGTCACCCAGGCTGGAGTGCAGTGGCGCAATCTCGGTTCACTGCAAGCTCCACCTTCCGGGTTCACGCCATTCTCCTGCCTCAGCCTCCCGAATAGCTGAGACTACAGGCGCCCACCACCACGCCCGGCTAAGTTTTGTATTTTTAGTAGAGACAGGGTTTCACCGTGTTAGCCAGGATAGTCTCGATCTCCTGACCTCGTGATCTGCCGGCCTCGGCCTCCCAAAGTGCTGGGATTACAGGTGTGAGCCACCGCACCCCGCCTTTTCCTCAATTTTCTTACTCTTTTCATCGTTTCAACAAATTTTCAAATACAAATAAACTTTAAAAATATATTAAGAGCCCTATTTTGGGGAATGCCAGCATGAACATTTTTACCCATGCTATTGTGTTCTTTACTTTCAATTTAAATAGAATAGTTGAGCTCGGTCAGATAAATAATAAGATTGTGAGAAACTCTTTTTGCCTGAAGTGATTAAAATGGATCCATCATTTTCCTGTCCTCCGCTCCTTCCCGTTCCCACCCCAGGAAGGGCCTTCAGGACTTTGTTCCACGACCACCTCCGCAGAGGCCAATGGAAGAGGTTCATGGAAACAGCCCTATTCTTTTCATCCATGTCAAGAACCCCGGAGCTTTAGCTCAGTAAGAAACATATTGTCTGGTACCTTGACAACCTGAAACACTTTGAAAGCTAATTCCAGTTTTTTTCTAGCTATATGTACTCCAAGTGACTCAGAACCCCCAGGGCATGTGCTAACAGCAGAATCTCTCAGAGTAGGTACAACCTGGAGCAAAATGAAACAAATAGAAACAAGAATGCAGCTCACCTTGTTCAAATAAACCTTAGTCCTCACTTAAAACAAGAAAGCAACATAAAAATGCAGCCCTAGGTAATATCAAGTGCCTACACCAAGAAATCCCAAAGGGTTCACCTCTGTCTCTTCTTGTGTTTCCTTTCCAAACCAAGAGCATTTTTCAGAAGTTAACTAATAGCAAAAGTATCTCACTCTTTTTATAAAAAAGAAACTATTTTCCAAAAATATTTAGGAAAAAGGTTAATTTTTCTGTTTTCTCCAAAAAAAAAAAGCATTTTAGAGGCATCTTTGATTTCAGTTTTGCATCATAGAGTTTAAATCAAACAGAGAAACACATCAGTCCTTGTGTCAGTCCCTTGGTGAGTGGGAGACTTCCCAGGGACCTGATGGAGGCAGCCAGTGTGGTGACACCTGCCCAAGACTGCATGTCCAGGAACTAGCCCAGTTAGCAGGACCCAGAGCCTGTAACTCCATCTTCAGAGCACTTTGGAGGAAAACCACATAGGAATGTAGAAACCTCCAAAAGGCCATTCCTGAGGTCTGGTGGGGCTGTCTGTTGGTGGTGGGAGCAGGGCTGAGTTTGAGGTATGGACCTGTGCTGTCTCACAGAGCCCTGCTAAGGACCTTGCACTCAGTTTATAGGCTGCTGTTGCCGCCCTGAAATTCTCAACAATATAATTGAGAAGGTCCTACATTTTCATCACGCATGGGCCCCATGAAGCCTTTAGCTGGTCCTGGTTAGAGTAGAAGCAGGATAGCATCAATGAAAAGCATTGGTGTGAATCCAGCTTCAGCCAGCTTTGGCATCTGGAGCAACTAATAGGATTTTCTGAGCTCCGTTTAAACCTAGGAGAATCATACTTGCTACCTCAGAGGTGAATAGGCTTACATATGTGTTAAGGCATGTAAAGCATCAAACTGTAGAAAGCATTTCATGTGTGCTGTCACTCTGAAAGCCCATTTGCTTGCTAAACTGAACTAAATATTATAAATGTGGAGTGGAGATGTTTGGAAAAATCAAGAGCTTCATTTTTAAATCACCATTAATACCTCCATATTTTTAGGCCCTGTCTCTAAACAATATTTTTACTTCCATCTTAAGAAATATTCCATCATTTAACCTAATCTAATTGCATTTTTGCTCTCAAATTCCTCTTTAAAAAAATAGGTAACTAAAATAACTTCTTAAAGTGTATGAAGAAAAGAATCAGCCAGGCACGGTGGCTCACACCTGTAATCCCAGCATTTTGGGAGGCCAACGTGGGAGGATTGCTTGAGCCCAAGAGTTGGAGACCAGCCTGGGCAACATAGTGAGACCCCATCTCTACATTTTTTTTTAAATCAGCCAGGTATGATGTTATGCCTGCAGTCCCAGCTACTAGGGAGAATGAGGTGAGAGGATCACTTAAGCTTGGGAGGTTTTCATTGCAGTCAGCTGAGATCATGTCATTGCACTCCAGCCTGGGCCACAAAGGAAGGCCCTATCTCAAAAAAAAAAAAAAAAAAAAAAGGAAAGGATCAGGGAAAACCCTAAGTAGGCCATTTCTTTCCATACAGGGCTGTAATTTATTTTCTGTTCTGCGGCACCCGGAGCAATACCAGCATAGGTGGGAGTCACAATCCATGGCTTTGTAAGACAAGAGAAAGGATGTGTGGGACAGTGGCTTTTAAGCCTTCCTTGGCCATGAGTCCAAAGTGAAGGCTGCACAGATCGCTGCCAACAGTGCACATCACACACGCTCCTGAAAGACAGGTCATATGCAGCGTGGAACCATCCTGACTCTGCCACTGTTCACTCCCCAGTCTGATGCTTCTGTTCTACTTTGATTTTTTACAGGCTGAACTGGGTTGTTGCAAAGTTCCTATGTTGAAGCCTTAACCCCCACTACCTCAGAATGTTACTGTCTTTGGAGATACAGCATTTAAAGAGGTAATTAGGTAAAAATGGGGTCACTGAGGTGGGCCCTAATCCAATACGACTGGTGTCCTCATAAGAGAGGAGACTAGCACGGAGGAGAGGCACCCAGGATGTGCAGGCACAGAGGAGAGGCCGTGGGAGGACACGGCGAGGAGGCTGCCATCTGCAAGGCCAGGAGACAGGTCTCAGAGGAAATCGCACCTGCCAACACCTTAATCTCCAACTTCCAGCCTCCAGAAATGTGCAAAAACAGATTTTGATTGTTGAGGTCACCCGGCCTGTGGCACTTTGTTATCACAGTCAGAGTAAAGAGATACCAGGCCCTTCGGATGAAGATGGCTGATTGAACAAGCTTAATCATCCTCCCCCTGAACACTCACTTACATGATGGCAAAAGGGTTAACATGCATAAACCACAAGAAGAAAGGGAATGTGAGGAAAGGCGAGAGCCACAATATTTTGGAAGCTGAAAAGCAGACAGATGAATGAAACTGCCTTAGCAACCCTAAGAAAGGTGAAACCTAAGTGGACAGAGTGGTTCCTAAGCAACCCACTATGCCACAGACCCAGACTCACTGGGGAACTGAAGCACTGTAGGCAAGCTCTTGAGTGGCTCATAGGGCACAGGAGAGCCGTCGAGAGTGGCTATGAAGCGGTGAGACTCTCGGCTGCCCAACCCAGCCCACATCAGCCCACTCCCTCCTGCTGCCTTGAGCTCATCCATGGCTAAGTCTGCAGAGCTGTCCAGAGGACCTCTGTCCTCCTATGCCAGGCACAGCTGGGCACTGGGGGCTGAATGAAAACAGGAGATCCAGGGAAAAACCAGGCTGGATGATAGGGAAGATAAAAATATACAAAAGTACAGTGCAGAAACAAGAACATTTTTTCAAAAATACATAATTAAAGTCCTCAAAAATAAGGGAAAACTTGGCATTGATTGAAAGAAGCAGCAGAATAATGTCCCATAGTATAAAGATTATTATTTATCAATTAAAAATTAGCTATGGATAAACGTTCAGATTATTGGCAGATTTTAAAAATTAGTTTTTTATTTCAAGATAATTCCAGATTCACATGTTGTTCTAAGGAACAAATTACAAAAAGGTCCCCTGTACCCTTTACCCAGTTCCCCTGATGATAATTTATTTTAAAACTATAGTACAGGCCGGGCACGGTGGCTCACACCTGTAATCCCAACACTTTGAGAGGCCAAGGCAGGCAGATCACCTGAGGTCAAGAGTTTGAGACCAGCCTGGCCAACGTGGTGAAACCCCATCTCTACTAAAAATACAAAAATTAGCCGGGAGTGGTGGTGCATGCCTGTAATCTCAGCTACTTGGGAGGCTGAGGCAAGAGAATCTCTTGAACCTGGAAGGTGGAGGTTGCAATGAGCTGAGATCACACCATTGTACTCCAGCCTGGGCAATAAGAGTGAGATTCCGTCTCAAAAACAACAACAACAACAAAAACCATAGTACAATCTTACAACAAAAATGATGACAGCAATACAATCAAGATACAAAGCAATTTTATTGTTCATTGATCTCTCTTGTTGTCTCCTTTTTCCCAGCTTTATTGTTGTATGATTAACAAATAAAAATTCCATATATTTAAGGTGTACAGTGTGATAATTCAATATATGAATACATTGTAAAATGATTGCTACAATCAAGCTAAGGAATATATTCATCAATTCCCATGTCTATGACAGCATTATTCACTATAGCCAGAAAATAGAAGTAACCTCGTTGTTCATCCAGGGACGAGTGGATAAAGAACATGTGGTATGAATACAAAATGGAATATTTCCAGTTTTGAAGATGCTCAACAATGCTTTGAAATATTACTACACCTGTCTTTTTTTAATCTAAGGTGCTTTTATTGTAATGAGATAGATTCTAAAAACATGGGTTTTCTGGGCAAAGGATATATGTATATAACATTTCGAGAAATATATTTCAAAAAGTTGTAGCAATTCTCATCTCAATCAGCAAGGGCTTGTTAGCATTGTTTCTCTTAATCCTTGTCTGTGTGGGAAGTTACTGTGCTTGTTATGGTTTGCGGATCTGCTGGGTGGAATATATTAACTTATTGTTACTTAAACTTTCATTTATCCTGTATTTTGGTGAGATTGAAGTGTCTAGCTATTTGCATTTCCTCTTCTATGAATTGTCTTTCTATATTTATTGCCCATTTTCTCACTGTGCTCTTCATCTTTTTCTTGTAGATTTATAGAAGCATTTTATACTGGCTCTATATCATTTAGCCAAGGGTGATATTCAAAATATTTGGGAGAGTGGGGATCGAAAGTGTGAAGAGTATGTGATCGCAAAACTCAGAGAAGTAATGGCTGGCTTTCAACCTGAGTGCATCAAGGAACTGATGTGGGGATTGAGCATGAAAAATAGGGTCTAACTCACCTTTCAGGAGAACCATTCTGGTTGCGGGGTGGAGAGTAAACAGAAGGGACAGAGGGGAAATAGAGATGGCTTAGAAGGCAGTTCAAGTTTTCTCTTAAATCATCATGCCTATGTGGCTTTTTCCTCTTCACAAATCCATGTGCAATTGAGTCTATGTATTTCCACCCTTTGTGAAATGGTTGTGCGTATAGGGAGTTGTCTATTTATCCTTCCACCTTGAATCCACCTCATCAAAATTTTCCCAGCACCTCAACAGAACAACCCTTATCAAGGCCACTGATGACCTCTGTTTTGCTTACCCCACACATCCACGCTTACCTAACCTTAAACCACACACAGATGCTTAACTCACCTTAACTCTCACCAGCATATGACACAATTGTGAGGCAGGTTCACTGTGCACAGGTTACCGATTTGTCTGAGTACAGTGAGACAGAACACCCATGCACACAGGTTACATGCAGCAGGTTTATTATTAATACTTCCAGATAGACTGCAGGAACACAGGAACCTGGGATGCAGGGTGAGCCAGTCTCCCCAAGGCCCAGGAAGCAGCCTGGGGCCAATGTAGTTTTGACTGTGTATGCCCCGTGTTCACTACAACTGAGGGACCAGGACCTGAGAGAGGAACTCACCCTGGGTTTTATACCCTGAGACGATGAGAACCTCTGGGCTAAAGCATCAAAGAACATCTTGTTTCCAGGGGGCACCTGGAATAGAGTCTGGGCTGTTCCAGTCAGTCTCTTCCTATTTCTGAGTGTTACATTCCCAGCACGTTCGAGTCATTCTTGAGAACTACAAGCAAAACAGTGGGAAGAAATGACCACCCACAAAACCATGAATCATCCCCTCTGCCTGGAAAGCTCTCTCGTCCCTTCAATTCTAGAATGCCAGCAATCTGGTTCCACTCCTAACCACTGGGTGCATCTCTCAGCATCCTTCTTACTCTTCCTCATCTCCTGAACTCTCCCTTTTCAAGTCCCCGAAGCCCCTTTCCTCTCTATCCATACTCACTCCTGCCAATCTCAACCTGATTCCTGATTTTTGGCAACTATCACATTTGTACCTCTAGCCCAGACCTCACCCTTGGACTTCAGAGATGAGTTTCCAACTACCTGCTCAGTATCTCCACCTACACATTTCCATCTGTTTCTTGGGGCTGCCAAAACATAACGCCACAAACACGGTGCTGTAAAAAAGTACAGAAATTTATTATCTCATAATCCTAGAGGACAGAAACCAAAATCACTAAGTTAGAGGGCCCTGCTTTCTCTGAAAGCTCTAGGGGAGGATGCATTCAACACTGCTCTCCTTGTGTCCGGGGGTTGTAGGCAACTCCCAGCATTCCATGGCTCGTGGATGCATTGCCTCAGTCTCTCCCTCCACCCTCACATCACCTCCTACCCTTCGTGTATGCATATCTGTGTCTTCACTTGGCCTTCTTAAAAGGAACCATTCACAGGATTTAGGCCCCACCCTAACCCAGCATGGATGGCTTCAATTTAGCTTAACTATCTATATCTGGAAAGATACTGTTTCCAAAGAAGGTCACATTCATAGGTACTGGGGTTTATATCTCCAGTCTATTTGAGGGGAGGCAGCATAATCCAATGCCAGTGATATCTATCCGGGATCTTACACCTGCCATGTCCAGAACCAGGTCGCCATCTTTTCCCTCAAGCCAGGATCCTCCCCGACAATATCCCCACCCCAGAAAATGTCCCTGCCATCCTCCTAGTTGTTCAGGCCAAATGCCTCCTCTTTATTCATCCCACATCCAGCCATTAGAGAGCGGGGAAGACTCCGCCTTCAAAGCACATTTCACTAGCATGAGCAGAGCTCACCTGGTCCACTGAGACCATCTGTCCCAGCTGCTGCCATTTCTGGCCTTGATTGTTGCAGTGGCTTCTTGCTTGCCCCTCCTGCCTCCATCCTGGTCCTCTTCAGTCAGATCTCCATTGAGGAGCCAAGCAATTCTTTGAAGCACAATGGCAGAAAATGACATTGGCTTACTCAAAACCTTTCGGTGTCTTCCCATCTCAAAGTAAAAACCAAAGTGTTCACAATTCACCACAATGTGCTGCAACACTGACATCCCACCCCACCCCTCTGTCATTTCCCCACCCTGCAACCCTGCCCCACCCTACACCACCCACACTATCTTCCTTGCTCTTCTGCCATGTGGTATGGTTACCTCTCTAAAGTATCTTCCAAATTTCTCCTCGATTTGAGATAAGTGAGATTGTGTGAAATAAATAGATAGCTGCTCATGGGTTTCTACCCACTGGAACATAAGTTCCCTGTGGGTGAGAATTTTTATTCATTTTGTCTCTACCCAGTCCCCAGCACTTAGAGCAATGGCTGGCACACACTTGGAGCTTCCTAAAGATGTGTTGATTGTGTGAAAGGTGCAATCAAGATATTCAGCTAGAATAAGCCGTCTTCCGTGAGAAAGCATAAAATGTGTAAGAGGAATCAAAAGCAAGTTACTATAAGGGAAGGCAAATGAATAATTAAGTTGGAGGTTTGGAGACACATATTAGAGATAAGTGAACTCATGCAAGATTTGTAGTCAAGATCCAGAAAGGTGGCTGGCATGCCTCCATGGCATCAAAAGCTCATCTACTGAAGAAAAGCCCTGAAGTATTTTACGATGCAAAGAAATTAACGCTCCCTCCTCAACTGCTGTCTGGCTTCAGGCTTCTTGGGCACAATTTAATGAAACAGTAGGAAACAAAATGGTCATGGAGGTGTGCCAGTGCAGGCTTCTCTTCATTCTGGATGGCAGGTGGCACAATGGCGTTGTGCCTGCCAATCACAAATCAAGGAGTCTTCCTGGAGAAGGGAAGACCAGCCCTGATGTGGCTTTAGGGACTTGGGTTCCTTACCGCCATCCAAGGTAAGGATTAGTCTCCTTGAGGGGTATATTAGTCCATTTTCAAACCACTATAAAGAACTACCCAAGACTGGGTAATTTAAAAAGAAAAGAGATTTAATTGACTCACAGTTCTGCATGGCCGGGGAGGCCTCAGGAAACTTGCAATCATGGTGCAAGGCGAAGGGCGAACAAGGCACGTCTTACATGGCGGCAGGAGAGAGAGAGAGAGAGAGCAAGAAGGGAAGTGCCACATTTTTAAACCATCAGATCTCGTGAGAACTCCATCACTATCATGAAAACAGCATGGGGGAAATCTGCCCCCAACATCCAATCACTTCCCACCAGGTTCCTCCCTCAACACGTGGGGTTAGAATTCGAGATGAGATTTGGGTAGGGACACAGAACCAAACCATATCAAGGGGGAACTACAAAACAGTTTTCATTCTATTTTTATTGTCCTTTAGAGTGCAATAGTATTTCTGAAACTATGTAGATGATATAATATTTTAGAACTAGAGATAAAGACTGTTGAAGTTATGAAACATGCCTATCACATATTAGCATAGATAAGAACATGCAGTCTTGATGTTGATGAAGTAGATCTTTTCCTGTTCAGTGCAACTGCTCTGAAAGTGGACAGACAGAGGGAAAGCAGAGTGCATTGCGTGCCATGCAGATGAGAAGTGTCATTCCTGAACACAACTACCTTTCTATTACTGATTACCTGAATGTACTCTGGGTCCTTATGATTGAGAAACTCACGTGCATATGCACATGCATGTGTGTATAAGTGTGTGTGTGTGTGTGTGTGTGTGTGTAAGCTATGATGAGTTTATTTAGCAGAGATATATCTTCACTTTGGGAACTATAAAAGAAGACAAAAAGCAAAGGTGAAAAAGCAAAGATAAAAGAAGACAAAAAGCAAAGATGAAAAAGCAAAGATGACTTTTAGAAGGGAACACCGCAAGCCACCAAGTGGCTCACCCCTGTGACTTGGCCAGTGCATGCTGGGTGGCTCTTTAGGCTCATCTTCATGACTTGACACCCTGGCTCTTCCTGACAGGGTCACTGGGTTGGGAATCCAGGCACAGAGGGCTCATCTCACTGCATCCACCCCGACATGCTCCTAGGTCTGGTTCAGAGTCCATCGAGTCTCAGATTCCCCAATGCTCAGTCTCAGTGTGTGCAACTGGACACAACACATCTGATACTGCACTGAGCAATAATTCACAAATTCAGATTTTCTGTGGGTACATTTCGTTCACACTTTCTCTTCTTCAATGATATTGTTTGCTTCTAAACTAAATTGTGTAGGGGGTAGGGTAGAGAAATTGGCCATAAAGATATGGGATGCCATAACTGCAAGTGTTTGCACTGTGAATGCTGGCATGCCACAGGATGCCATGTTGTTCCACCACTGTACCTAAGCCTAGTGGCACCTGTCGTACCCCAGGCACCAATGAAATCCTTAATAACTGCGTCCCTGCCCGGCCTCTGAGCCTCGACCTCAGTTCCTCCTGTCTGTGCTTCTCTCCCAACAGTGACGGCAGTGGCTGCTGCCATCATGCCAGCTGCAACAGAGAAGCGCAGCTGGGGCTGCACGCTCCATGGAGCCAGCAGGAGATCTGCCCCTTCTGAGTTGGGACGGGAGGTCCCTGTTCCACTGCAGCCACCTAAACAGCAGCTGCAGACCCAGGCCTCCTGTTCTATGGAGCATCCAGGATCCCCGATCTCCTGGGCAGAGCTATAGTCGCCTAAACTGCAACTGTGGATGGGGGCCCCCTGTGCTCTTGAGGGAGGGCCGGGAGCAGGCAGGATCTGCCTTCCTGGGTGCAGCTGTGGCCACCCTCCCGTGTGCAGGAGCTGGGTGTCTGGAGCCTGAACCCTTGGGGTCCCCAGCAAGGAGCCTCCTCATCCCTGCAGGCTTAGGGGTGTCTTCTCCTGCTGCCTGGCCTCTCTCCACTCCCAGAGCCTGCTCCAATCTCTGAGTGGGAGGTTGGGGCCCAATCTGGGGGCCACAAATGGCAGTGGGAGGCAGATTGATTCCTGGGTGGAAAGGGTCAGGTCCCCAGTAAGGCCCTACCTTCAGGGCTTGAAGGCTGGGGACCAGCTGCCAGTCCAGTGGAAGGGAGTGGGGACTTGTGGTGGCTCTTCTGGGCCCCCCATGGCCACCCATGGGCCAATTCACAAGCACTTCCTCCCCTCTGAGGAAGAGCAGAGGATGGCCAGTGGATGAAGAGGGCAGAGAGACCGCAGCACAGGACAGTCAGCTGCAGAGAGGAGAACCCTCTCCACTGAGAACTTCAGAGACCACCTGCTGGCAGAGAGAAGCTACCCTCTCTGCTGAGAACTTCAGAGACGTGCAGCACGTCTGAATGACTTGCCTGCGGAGAGGAGCCACCTTCTCCAGGGCCTCTTCTCTGCTGAGAGCTGAACAACTGAAGGGATGACCTGCCTACAGACAGGAGTTACCCACTCCTCTGAGCTGTTCTAAAGCTAAATAAAACTCTTCTTCTTCTTCACCCTTCACTTATCTGCATACCTCATTCTTCCTGGATGCAGGACAAGAGCTCAAGCAAAGGCACAGTGGCCCCAGAGGTTTCCAGCCTGAAAAATTGACACCCCAGAGAGCCCATAACAACAGCAGACACCACAACCCTCTTTTTTGCAATCTTTCTTCTCCTAAACCATCTGCAACGGAAATATATTTTAGCATATTGAATTAATTGAACCAGAAGTGATTTTCCACGACTAATGTGAAAAACAGATAAATAGGATTATTCTATTCCTGTCCTAAAGAACAAACAAAAAAAGATAAATTACCTTTCAAATTTACATGGTGAAAAAATTGTGTGTGGTGTGTGTGTGTGACCCTCAACCAAAGAGAGCTTCTTCCTTCTTATAGAATGTCTGCATGTTGGATTAAACACTTTTCAATGATAAAAGAGGCCACGTCTAAAGACCCACTTTCCCCTACAGTCTGCATTTCCTGGCCCATAGCAGGCAGTCATTTAATGTGTCCAACTGAACTGAAACATTGTTGAGGTTTCTTGTTTGTTCCAGTTAGGCTGCAAAGCCCTATTTTAAAAATTCACTTTCACAGGGAACTAGATAGAGTCTGGAATCAGAAGGAAACAAAGGGCATTCAACCTTTAAAATAGTTTTTCTTTTACATTATATAATGAGTAGAGGGCAGTCCCTCTTCACTACAGTTCAGGGTTTCAGAATAAAAACTTTCTTTAAGGAGTTATTGCATTTGGATGTGAGATACAAATCAATTACATACAAATTATATTTCCAGTGAACTTTCCCACAGGAGGAGAGATTAACAACAAGAAATCAAAGCAGAAGTTTTTCTGTCTCTAAAAATGATGGATGCTGGCAGCCACAGCACCAAATAAAAGGTTCTAATTGCTATTTCTTGATGTTTTCATACAGCTGCCCTGGAGAGAAACACTTATGTTAGAGTTGATAAAATCTATTTCCCCTAGAGTTTTTTATTTTTTTGTTGAAAGAAATGGCCTCTAGTTAATGGACCTGAGTGTTTACTGTGCAGTTTCCAGAGTCCACATGTATTCAACGAGGACAACTTCCACATTTCCCTCTTGATTAGGAAAATTACATTAACCTCGTGGAGGACAAAAAAACTGTTGTTGCATAACTTTTAAGAGCAAAAGAGAACCTAAGAGCAGTTTAATTTGTGAAAACAGAAGATAATGAAGCTCAAACAAACTAATTTATCTCTAAAGCAGGCAAAGTAATTTTAAGGTTGGTGTTTTTGTAATCAGCCAAGTGTTGGAGCTGTTTTATGATTTTCAAAGTTAAAAATCATAAAATTTGATTCTGCTTTTCAGAAGCCGAGAAGCCAGGCAAAACCTTGGTTCTGATCCAGGGGAAAACTGACTTTGCTGAAAACTGGCTGATACATCTCAGTTGCCAGACTAAAAACACTTTCTCAAAGACAAATTTTCGGGAATGCCTGTTTATTCCCATGGCCATCACATCAATCAGTGAAGACTGCCACTAGAAGGGTTCCGCCGTCCTTGTGCCTGTTCCTCCCAGGCGCAGCATGGCTCTGCTTCCAGGCAGCTGCTGGTTCTCCCTTCACTGTGTGAGGGCAATCAGATCGGAGCATTATCAGCAATTCTGGGTCCTGGAAGAGATTGGTGTCTGCTTTGGAAACTCAAGTAGCTAGAGGCATTGACAAGCTCTACAACACATTACACAGCAGCGAGATGAAGCAGGCTTCTCTCCATCATTCACTCTCTAGTTCCATCTCGGGGACTGCTGCAGGTACACGAGCCTGCCAAATAATAGAAAAATTGCTCTTTCATTACCCAGGCTCTCTAATCAAATGGCAGGCCTATATCTTCAGGGTAAGCTACACTATTTTAAAATGGAGAAATATCTACAAGAGTCATTATTTATCCCAAATATTCTGAGATTTATTTGCTTATGTGTACTTTCAACAGCATTGCCATAAATATGTAGAAACACTATAAGACTTTTCTAAACATAAACTGCAGAGCTTGATAAATTGTCAAAAAATCAAGACTCTTTCCATCCTCTACTTTGATTTTTTACAAAATAGAATGTTACAAGCTTCCTGAAAGTACTTCTTATGTCCCTTCTCAAAGCCCACCTGCCCGCCTTCTGAAAAGTTACTACAACCTGACTTCTATCACCACAGATTATTTGTGCCTGATTTTGAACTTCATATACATGGAATCATTTGGTTGGTAGTTTTTCTTAATGTGGAGTCTTTTTATCAATATTATATTTGTGAAATTCATTGATATTGTTGCATATAGTAGTAGTTGAATTTTCATTGCTTTGTGGTATTTCTTAGTATGAGTATAGCATAATTTATTTATCCATTCCACTGTTGATAGTCATTTGAGTTTATTTTAGTTGGGTTTGCTATCAATTATATTAACATTTATATTACACATGTTTCTTTTGGTATACACATGCAGGTGCATTGCTGGGCATTGTATTACTTTCTGATGCTACATGGACAAAGTATCTCCCCAAAACATAGTATGTTGAAAAAATCGACAGTAATCACTTGTTACCTCTCACAATCTTGATTGGTCAGGAATTTTGAAAGGGCACAGCTGGACAGTTTTGCTTGTGATCCCTCCTGTGTTTATGGGCAGATGTTGGCTGGGACTGGAGTCATGGCTCACATGGCTGGCAGATGGTTGTTGGCTGCTGGCTCAGGGGCTGTGTTTCTCTCCACCTGGGCTTCTCCATGTGGCTGCTTGAGTGTCCTCGTAACTGGCTTTCCCCAGAGCATGTGATCCAGAAAAGCAGGAATTTCCTATGGATCTGCTTCTGTTTTCTGTTTTGCCTGTTGGCTTTTGGTAATTTGTTTGTGCCTCCTGCTAGGCCTGGTAATTGTTTATTGAAGGTCAGACATTAAGTATGAAAAAGCTGTACCATTAACTTGAGTCTTTTGCTGCAATCATTTTCCTCTAATGAATATTTGCTTTTTAACTTGATTGATTTTCATAAATTTACAAATGAAAATTGTATATGCTTATGCTATACAACATGATGTTTTGATGTATGTATATATTTCAGAATGGCTAACTCAAGCTTAGTAACATTGTATTGTATACTTGACAATTGCTGAGAGTAGATTATAATTGTTCTCACCACAGATAAATAAATATGTGGGGTAAAGATAAGTTTTTCTTTGTTTAGAAGGCATTTGGGTGATGAGGAGGTTACTTTAATCAAGTCTGGGATTAAGCTGCTTGACACTACTAGGCTGTCATTTTCACAAAAGGGCGGTTCTATTTCTGGTTCTAGGGTTCTTCCTGGAAATCCGGAGGATTTGTGAGGGCACCCCCTTTTTTTCAGGCCCTGAACTCCAAGTTTTGTCCCTTCTGCTCTCTTCCCCTGACCGTGTCTCTCTGCCCAGAGCTGCTTACAAATCGGCAAGTGCCTGAGGGACACAGGAAGTCATGTTCACCTTCACACACTTCCTTCCTCTCTAGACTGCAGCCCCTGAAATCTTGGGTACCTTAATAACCCTTGACTCCACATGTTGTATCAACAGCCGACCTTAGCCCAGGTTCTCAAGCATTCGTCTGCTGCTTTCTGTTCAAATCCTTAGCTCTTGGGTTTTGCAATGCTCATGAATTAACAAGTGTTGTGAAGAATGAAGCCTCGGAGAATGTTGAACCTATCTCATGAGTTCTTCTAGGAAATTGTATTGTAATTTCCAGCTACTGACGCAGTTCTCTGATGCACTTAAACCCATTCAAGAGGTTTTTTTATCTCAAGATTTTCTAGTTCTCAGGAGGCTGGTTGGTCTGAAAGAGGTTGTTACATCATCATAAGAAGCAGAACTTGTACAGATTTTTAAACGAGACAAGCATTTGGGATGTAAGGCTTTCAAAGAAAGGAAATCATAAGGGTATGGTAGGTAGGCAGATTAGTGTCCCCACCCCCACGAAAAGATGTCCACCTCCTAATCTTCAGAATCTGTGACTATGTAGGTTACATGGGAAAGGGGAATCAGGATTTCTAATCAGCTAACATTAAGGGAGGGGGGCCATCTTGGATTATCTGGTAGAGCCAATGTGATCAGAAAGGTCCTTAGGAGACAGGAGAGGAGTCAAGAGTCAGAGAGAGCTTCGTAGATGCTACACTGCAGGCTTGGAGACGAAGGAAGGGGTCATGTGCCAGGGAATGCAGGCAGCGTCTAGAAGCTGGAAACAGCAAGGGGACAGATCCTTCCCTCAGCCGCCAGAAGGAGCTCAGCCCCACCACTACTTTGGTCTTAGTCCAGGAAGACTTTTGATCTCTGGAACTGTAAGATAATACATATATATATATGTATGTATAGAGAGAGAGACAGAGAGTCTTGATGTGTCACCCAGGCTGAAGTGCGATGGTGCAATCTCGGCTCACTGCAACCTCTACCTCCTGGGTTCAAGCAATTCTCCTGCCTCAGCCTCCCGAGTAGCTGGGATTACAGGCACCCACAACTATGCCCAGCTAATTTTTGTATTTTTACTAGAGATGGGGTTTCGCCATGTTAGCCAGGCTGGTCTTGAACTACTGAGCTCAGGTGATCCACCCGCCTCTGCTTCCCAAAGTGCTGGGATTACAGGCGTGAGCCATCGCGCCCGGCCATATATGTTGTTTTAAGCCACAGAGTTTGTGATTATTAATTATAGTTGCAATAGAAAACTAATACATGCATATCTTTTGATGTGTTATTAAATGTAAGGTTTGTTTTTTTTAATTCCCCCCAAAAAACAGTGTAATTCAGCTCTTATTCCATAGAAAAATGCATGACATAGCATCCAGGCTAGCAAAACTAAGGTTATATTTAGTTAGTGCTGCAGATACACTAAAAATATGAGAGGACCAAATAAGAAGTCAAGTTTCTATTAAAATATCCTAGAGGTACAGCATCATAGTGTTTCCTTTCCAAGCGGATTGGATGGAAGGCAGAAGGGGATAAAAGTACATTCATCTGAGAATTAAGGCCATCGCTTTAGGTCTTGGCTCAGACACTACTTCCATAGAGTCCAGTGGTGGCTCGTCTAAGTCCACTCAGGGTGCTGTAAAACATACTCTAATCTGGGTGGCTGGTAAACAACAAGCATTTATTTCTCACTGTTCTGGAAGCTGAGACGTCCAGGATGAAGGCACTGGCAGATCTGGAAGTTCCTAGACGGAGACTTCTTCCTGTGTCCTCTCATGGGGGCAAGGGTGAGGGTCTCTCTGGGTCCTCCTTTTAAAGACACTGAGTCCATTCATGAGGACTCTGCCCCTGTGACCCAATCACCTCCCCAAAGCCTCACCTCCTAATCACATTACTTTAGGGGTTAGGATTTCAATACATGAATTTTGGGGAGACACAAAGATTCACACCGTAAGACAGCTCGACCTGGCTCAATGTGTGGCATTTTATTGCAGTGAATCCTAAGTGAGCATTTTCCAAATCTTTTCCAGTCATTAAACTTGTAAAGGGCATCCCTTTAGAAAGGATGACATCTTAGTGACATGTTTCAACTGTGGTGAGAGCTACAGAATGGATCATCAATAAAGTTGAAGTGAATTTAATTAAGAAGAAGGGAATGGATGGAGGAATTGAAGACCTTACAAGGAAAATTGTTAGGGAAACTTAGTAACATTTTGTGTTCACCACATTAAATAATAAAGACATAAATCAAATGAAAAAGAATATTGGTTACAGTTCACTTTTAAAGAGTAAACCCTCAGCTAGTTATATTAATTATGATTATTTTTACAAAATTATCTGCACATCACTTACTGTATCTGTCTTCCAATGCCAATGCCTGGGTCTGCTTCCCAGCCCCCCTCTCCAACACAGACTGAATTGCAATTTGAAAATGTCAAAATTAAAATTCTCATAGATTCTGGAAATTACAGAGGCAGAAATTCATAAATGCTAAAATTTTTTTAAGGAGAAAGGAGCTCTTGTTTGAGGATATATATTAATATTTACTATATTAATATATATTTGGGAATAGATACCAATATTTTATATATATAGAGAGAGAATATATGTATATACTGGGAGTATATCTCCCTCTATAGATAAATATAGATATATGTATAAATATATAATATTATATATTATTATGTTTAATATATGTATAAATATATAATATGTATTGCTATATTTAATATATGATATAATATATACTTAATGTTATTATATTTAATATATTATATATAATATAATTATATATAACATTTTATATTTACATATTATATAAATTATAACATTATGTATTATATATTATAATATGTTACATATTATATGTTAAATATAACATATTTAGATATTATAAATATATGACATATAATATCATATATTAAATATAATATATCTTTATATTATAATATCTTAATACGTTTCTGTAATATATAGTATACCTATGTAATATTGTTATGGACTAAATGTTTGTTCCCTCCCAAATTCATATGTTAAGAACCTAACCCACAGTGTGATGGTATTAGGAGGTGGGACCTTTGGGATGTGATTAGGTCATAAGGGTAGAGCCCTTATTAACAAGATTAGTGCCAGAGAAAGACCCCTCATTCCTTCTGCTCTGTGAGAACAATGCAAGAAGGCACCATGTGTGAACCAGGAAATGAGCCCTCACTGAACACTGAATCTGGCAGCCTCTTGATTTCGGACTTCTAAGCCTTCCGAACTTGAGGAAAAAGTTTCTGTTGTTTAGAAGCCACCCAGTTTAAGGCATTTTGCTATAGCAGCCTGCATAGACTAAAACACTTATATTTGATATCTGTTTCATGGACCCATTTCCTACCTCAAGTTTAGGGTAATTTAGGATGAAAAGGAGGAACATTAGGCTCATAACAACAAATTACTGCAGGAATGAAATGAAACCAGAGAGGACAGTGGAGCATGAAGGTAACGTGTCCCGTGGGAAGTGGGAGTGTGGGATATTTAGCGAAGGCTGGGAATAAATTAGCCAAAGTCGGAAGTCAGATTGAGGTGAAACAGGAAATACAGAGCTAACTGGAGTTGAGACAAGTGTTAGGTAATAAGTGAGGAGGAAAACACGTTCTAGGAACATGTAAGGACAAGCCACAGCCCGGCAAGGCAGGAAATGACCGGGAGCTCCCGAGAAAGGTCAGCAAGGCAGGTGGCCTGCATGACCAAACACCCTTTTCTCTGTACGCCATGCTTGTAATGTCTCCTGCTGTGGTATAAATCAATTTTTGCAAGGCTAACATTGGCTCTGGGGAAGGAGAGTGAGCAGGTACCTGGGAATACCTAGTTGAGGCAACACGTTTGGGAGAAGAGACAGGTGCCCTGGTGACAGATCCAGGAACAGTGACCCAGGGGTGAGGGGCTGCTTCTCAGAGCACCTTGCAGAACTCACCGTGGAGACCCATGCAGGTGAAGAGTCTAAATTCTATGTTGGCATTTTTTAGGACAACGGAGATCTCAATAACAAAAATAATGTTCAAGATAAGCAGAGAGAGAACTGGCATGTAAGCAACAAAAGGACATTTCACCAAGACAAAAAGCCAGGAGCACATAAGGATTTTAGGCTAGACATAAAATAAAATGAACGGGTTCACTCTGCAATGAAACATTTAGAAATTGCATTTTAACCAAGACAGTAAAGAACTAAAAGATTATGGTAAAATACAACAGATCCGAAGTACCTGAATTTTTTTTCTAAATAAAATAGGCAGAAAGTCTGTAAAGTAAAAATTGGTGTCAGCAATATTTATAAGATAGTATTATGAGCTCTTTGATGGGAGTGTTTCTGCAGTGGCTTCACATTCATTAGTACAGTTCCATCAAAGCAGGCCACATAATCACATCAGTAGACAGACATGAAAATATTTTTCTTTCTTAGATGTCTATTCATTTTGAAATAAACTTGTGGTAAATGAAAGCAATTTGTGTTAATGCATGTTCCATCCATAATTTATTTTTGTCAGCTCGTTCTAGAATTAAACATTCATAGCAAAGTTGCCATCATTGTGTGAGCATATTAATAGGCAATTACAAACTGTTGTCACTGGAAACCAGATCTATTTCAATAATCAACCTTTTCTTGGCAAAATTTAGCTCAGCGTTACTTGCATAGCTGAAGAAAGAGACATGACACTGGATCCCCTGGTCTTTTCCCTCTTCCCTTCCCCTCCTAGTCTATCATGAAAGGCACTTGAAAAATCCGGTCTGATTCTGAATGAGACAGTCCAAGGGGCAGAGCTTTTTCTTTTCAGATGCAACTCACATTGATGATTGACAATTCTTCGGGCATGCTCTTGGCCACGTGGCAAAATTATCTCTGTGCATGGTATGCCAGGGAGACTTTGTTCTATCTGTGTTATTTCTCCACTGTGGGAATCTTATTAATCTGAAGTTAGTGATTGAGTTAGAGCTAACACTCAAATTTAATCTCGTGTTTTATTTGAAGAGCATCTATTAAATAAATGTATAGTATAAATAATATTTTAAGTAAATACTAAAACTACTTCCATGAACACAGTTTTCAAGCACTTCCAAGTGTCTAGAAGCATCTGTTTACTTGTAAACACTTGACACACTGATTGGAAGTCACTCTTGTTTCTTTATTAAGGAAATTTCCTTGTGAACCACTTTCAGATAAATTGTTTCCAATGAGGCTCTTTTTAATATCTGTACACATAAAAGTACCAAAATAAGTTTCTTCAAAAATTTGCAATTCCTTCCATAAGTTGACTTCCAACTGGATACAACTAAGGCTATTGTACAAATACGTATTAATTCATTCCATAAATATGGGCTGGTGCCTGCTGTGTATACAGGGACTCTGTGGATACAGGGACTTGGGCAGCTGTTGACTTCACTGTCTCCTGGTAACTAAGTGTATAACGTTTAAGGCTCCAGTGGTGACGCAGAGAAGGAAGTGAGAAAGTCTCTTTCCCTGAAGAAAGCTGTAATCCATGAAGAGAGAAAAAAAATCCATGTGTACAAATGATTCGAACATGGGCTCGGCCTTATTTTTTATAAACATTTTTTCCCGCACACACTATGCTCTAAGTACGTCCTACCTTCAGCTCTTACAGGCCTTCGACAAACTAGGTGAGAGCGATACTCTTAGTTTCTCATTTTCAACATCAATACCTGAGACCAGAGAGGTTAAGAAACCAGTACAAGATCACACAGCCAGTAAATTCTAGAAAAAAGCCAGAGTCCAATGCAGGTGTTTTAACCTTCATATGAAGTTGCCCATTCTTACGTGATAAATTATAGTTGCAGAGACTTTCACACATTATGTTCTCAGGACCTCTCCTTCCCTTCACACATCTTGAGGATCCCCTAACTTCATTTATGCAAATAAAACTGAGCTAAACTTTGCCAAGGGAATGCTCATGATTAAAACTGATCTAGATTTTAACTACTACTGCTAAGAATTGTTCTTTATAATGTTAGTAATTAAAGCTGTGACATTTTAAATTTATTTCATATATAAAATTAATTTAATTTATAAAAAGTAGGTATTGACACATTTTAAAATTGCAATGTAAAACTACTATCATGTTAACATAAATAACAAATTTCTGCTAAATAAAACTACATTTTCCAAAACCAACAAAAATTAGTCAAAGATGGAATTGTTTTACATTTTTGCAAATTTTTTTATTGCCTGGCTTAATAAAGTCAGCTGGATTCTCAAGAGACTTCTGTAGTTAATCGATTGAGATACAGCAAGTCATGCAGCCTCTAAAAATGCCTACTGTATACTTCTAAAAGAATGATTTTTAAAATGTAAATAGCACCTTAGCATTATTAAGAAAATGATTTTAACCTTGCAGGTCCCTTGTAAAGGCCTCAGGGCCACCATAGGGTCCTTGGGTTGCATTTTATAAACCACTCATTTATTGATTACTATAGGGCCTGATATGGTTTGAATCTGTGTCCCCACCCAAATCTCATGTGGAATTATCATCCCCAGTGCTGGAGGTGGGACTGGGCGGGAGGTGATTGGATCATGGGGGTGGTTTCTCATGTTTTGCCACCACACTTCCTTGGATGTTATTGTGATGGTGAATTCTCTCAAGATCTGGTTGTATAAAGGTGTGTAGCACCTTCCCTTCACCCCCTGCACTCTCTCTCTCTCAGTCCTGCTCCTGCCGTTTAAGATGTCTGCTCCTGCTTTGCCTTCTGCCAAGAGTAAAAGCTCCTTGAGGCCTCCACAGAAGCAGATGCTGCTGTGTTTCCTGCCTGCAGAACCATGAGCCAATTAAACCTGTTTTCTTTACAAAGTTCCCAGTCTCACGTTTTTCTTTACAGTGGGGAAAACAGACTAATACAGTGCCTTAGGCACTATGCATTGGGGGCTAAAGAGAAGTCAGGAGAGACATCAGAAATCTCAAACTCAGTGGAAGAAAAGAGCTGTAAACTTTTATTTCCCAAATTCTTATTACAAAACATTCCCCAACATACAGCAAAGTTGAATTTTATCATGAATGTCCATATGCGGACAAACCTCCTAGAGTCTATTACTAACATTTTACTGTATTTGCCTTTTTCCATATCTAGCCATCAATTCATCCCTCCCTCCATCCGTCCACCAAACCGTCTTATTTTTCATGCATTTCAAAATACACTGCACATCATCACATTTTTCCCTAAAAACTTCAGTATTTATAGGATTAATTGAAGTTTAATATTCATATACACATTTTTTCTCTTGCTATAAATTTAAATATAATGAAACATGCAAGTCTTAAGTATACATTCAATGAGTTTTGATAAATATATGAACTTGTGTTACCCAACCTCTCTCAAGGTACAGAATGTCACTATCTCCCCAGAAAGGCCTTGATATTGCTTCTCAGCCAGCCCTCACCTACATCCCAAGGATGTAACCACTATTCTGATTTTTCTATCATAGATTAGTTTTGCCTGCTATAGAAACTTCATATAAAATGTACTCTTTCATGTAAGACTTATGTTTCACTGCATAATGTTATTTGCCAATCATACATGTCTTGCATATATCAATAATTTGTTTCTTTTTTGCTGAGGAAAATTCTATTGTATGAATGTATCAGTTTGTTCACTTCTTCTTTTATTGATGATCACTTAAACCATTTCCAGTTTTTGTCTATTTTGAATATAACTGTTATGAGCATTCTTGTGCAAGTGCAAGAGGCTTTCACAGGACAGACCAGCCAGGAGGACATCCATGCAGATGAGGACGGATGAAGTGCTAAAGCCCCAGGAGTGTTCAGAGAGGAAGAAGAACAGGATTTGGTTGGAGAAGATCCTTGGAGGTAGGTCAGAAGAAATGAACATACATCTTCATTTCTTTTGGGTAAATGCCTAGTTACAGAACAGCTAAGATTGTTTAGTTTCATCAGAAAGCTGCCAGAACATTTTCTTGAGCTCCCAGCCTCAAGTGATCCTCTCACCTCAACCTCCCAAAGTGCAGGGATTACAGGAGTGAGCCACTGTGCCCAGCCTCAGGAATTTTTCTAAAGTAGATGGACCATTCTTCTTGCACATCAACAAGGTATGAGAGCTTTTGTTGCTCAACATTCTCACAGGCATTTTCTATTTGTGGTCTTTTGAATTGTGGTATTCTAACAAGTATGTAGTAGTTTCATCATAATGGTGATTTGCAACTTCCTGATGACAAGAAGCTGAGAACTTCATGTGCTTTTTTGCCATTTATCTGTAGGGAATTCTGATTTGTTGCTGCCTGAAGGGATTCTGAGAAGGCTGCATGGAATAGTGGAAGAGGCTTTCACAGGACAGACCAGCCAGGAGGACATCCATGCGGATGAGGACGGATGAAGTGCTAAAGCCCCAGGAGTGTTCAAAGAGGAAGAAGAACAGGATTTGGCTGGAGAAGAAGATCCTTGGAGGTAGGTCAGTGATCTATAGAGTCATAAACTGAATTAAATGGGAAAATTAAGAAGCATAAGTTTATTTAGTCATTCAGGATGAATTAAAATCTTGAACAAAAGAAGTACACAGCTGGATTTGTCTGTGTACAAAATAGATCGAGGGAAGAGAGACTACTGGGTGGCCAGGTAGGAAGTTAATGCAGGAGTTCAGGTGAGAGAGGTGAGGGAGAGTTTGAGTTAGATTTAAGCAGGTCTCAGCATCTGGAGTGGGAGGGAAATGATGGGTCATCTGGAGAACTTGACTCTGTTACTGGGGTATTTGGGGCAGAGATGGAAGTAAAAGAGATAAATCTGAGTCTTTTATTCCACGTGTCAGGTTCAATGGTGGTATCATTTCCTTAAACAAAGGAGCAGAATTGTTTAAAGCAGAGGACCTGATTCAAACCCTGCTCTCCCTTCTGGTTGGGTGGCCATGGGAAAGTTATTCAACCTATCAGTGCCTCAGTTTATTCACTGTAAAATGAATGCAATTAGAACAGCTACTTCATAATGTGATGGACACTAATTCATTTAGTTCATTTATTCCTTCAACAAATATTTATACTCCTGAAATGTAGAGAGGAATACATGACATGTTGTAAGCAGTCAGTAAACATCAGGTCTCATAATAATAAATAGGACATTGAGACTTGGTGTTGAGGGGAGTTCATGTATATGCTGTAGGACTTTCTCCTTATTTCAGCTAAGAGCTGGGTCCTTATCACACAGCCATGAAATACTAGGCTCACAGATACTTTGAAGGGTGAGAAAAATGGAATTTATTGGGTGAAAAGGAAAAAAAGGGGAAACAAGGACTCTAGCAGAGCACGAGTCCTGCTAGTCTGGGCGTCCTGCCTCACAGATTGAATCCCAGGTTCCACAACCAAACAGGAGAGGCTGGGTTCCTCCCCAGCCGCAAAGCGCAAACTTCCCAAGGCTCCACCCCAATGCACGCTCTTCCCAGTAAGCAGGCCAGCTGGGAGTTTGTCCAGGGATCCTTTCCCGCCTGGCTGTCTCATTCCCCCTCTAAAGAAGGACATCTGACTGCCCGTAGATTAAGGATTAGCGCAAGGATGAAGACCAGTCTTAACTGCCTTCTGCTGGTAGGGGGCGCTGTTTTGGGGGAAATGGCAGTCAGCGTTCCCTCCGAGGCTGATCGAAGGGTTCCCAGAAGAAGGCGCCATTATCAGAGGCTTTGGTTGCATGACCGTTGGAGTTCCATGGCCTGAAGGCGAGAAGGGACAAGCCGTTATTAGAAAACATGTATCAAACCAAAACAAAACAAGGGGAGGGGTAAGGACAGCTCAAAAGTCCTGAGGCCTTTTACCAGTCTGCACAGGGAGGGAGAGGCCAAAAGCTCAACTGGCAAAAAACAACAACAACAAAAAAACCTTTGCCCTTTAGCCAGCATCTTGGGCTTCTGGGTTTCCTTCCTCTTAGCCCAATCCTAAGCCAACCGGTTTAAGGTTTGGGAAATTAACTTTTTCTAGTTTGAAAGATACATCTGAGTGTAGTGTCCTGTAGTACGGGAACACAACTGCCTGTCAGTGAAAAGAGAGCCAAGGAAGAGAAAGGAAAAAAAGACGGCATTTTTCAAAGGAGCCCCAGGGTTTCAGGATGCATTTGAAAGGGGTATAGATTAAAGATGAATGGATATCCATCTAGAAAGAGGGGAGCAGTCATCCCTGGTTCCCTTCTCCTCCTAGCAGATACACGAGGGGGACAAAGAAGAGCATCCTCTTTCCCTCTTCCATCCTTGCATCCCTGAGTCTGGGTGACCTTGGCAGGCACCTCCCATGGGTGCTAAAGTGGCTTGCACCCATGAAGCAGGAGGGCCTAGAGAATAGGAATTATCTGCTCTCACCTATGTCTTTATCCCTCCTACTGCATTTATGCCATGGATACTAGCATGACCTTTATCCATGAAATGGAAGGCTTGGCTTAATCTGCAGTAATTAACCATACTCATCTGTGCTGTACATTTTAACCTCTATTATCATCTGCCTCTGGATCCCTTAGATCCAGTTTTCTTCCTAAGGCTTTGACCCAAAGCTTGGAATTGAGTTTGGGACAAAAATGTGTCTCCTGGGGGTTGCATGGACTCCTTATCATAAGCTGAATGCTAAGGTGAAGCTGTGTGATTAAATCCTCCTCCAACAAGGGAGAGAAAAGATGTCTTGTGACACACCCAGATAACTGGTGGCTACAGTTACGCTTGCTAGGATTTGGGTGCATGGTGCTTGGCTTTGGTTAGCCCCCTTGATCTTACCTCCCCAAACGGAAACCTCCAGGTGATAGGCATCCTATTTATACGCATCACTTGGCAGGATTTGCAGGAAAATTGCACAGTACTAGAATATTGATCCAGATTTTTACATTACCCATCCCTCTTTTCCTTTCTGAGCTGCAGCCAGAGATTGCTGGTAGGTTCACAGGAATAAGCAGGGTTAGTCTAAAAATGTAGGCAATACTTAAAAACAACTAGTGAGTTTAGAATTTAATGACAAATGTATAAGTTTTGAAAGATAATTTCTCTCTCTCCAGTCCCCATTTTTGCTAAAAAAAAAAAAAAAAAAGAGAGAGAAACAAATCATGATAGGACTGAGTTGTTTGCAGAATAGACTTTAGTCTTATACTTGGCCTGTTTATTTGTATAAAGTGCAGCAAGAATAACTATTTCTACATAGGCCTTTTAGATTGGCTTTGATGGAACTCTATTCCACAAGGAGTCTCAGGTAAGACCTTTTAAAGCTGAACCCAGTCATGGGTTTGTATCTTCAAATACCTGTGAGTTGAGTGATCCTCTCCTCTTAAGGTCCCAAGATAAACTTGGAGCTCCTAGGCCTGTTAGAAAGTGACATTCTTTATTGAACACAGGCCAGGAACCCTGTACAGGGACTGTGTAGGCAAGGGTATGAGGCTAGTTTCTCCTAAGGGGCTCTTATCAGGTCTACAAGTCGAGCTTGACTCCTTTAAGGGGAAGCATACACTTTCAGTCCAAGCCTTGATAAAACAACCAGTTTCTCCAATTGCATCCTGTTGCAAAAGAAAAGTGAATTCTTACTGCATTGATGCAAACAAGTATATTTCCATAAGTTATGAATACTCACAGATAGTTTCCAAATTCTGGAGAAGCCAGCCAGAGACAGAAAATATGCTACAAATTTTGTTCACAGGAGTATACCTTACTCAATTATTAATGGCCATAAATAGTTCAAAATAAGTTTCCTTGACTCTGAAAATCAAAACAAGGATCAGCAATACTCCAAGAAAAAGTCAAACAGTTTGCTTCAGCTTTCTGAGTTCAGTCCATTTAGTTAATACTTGTTTTGCTTGATATTCATGAACATTTTAGCTTTCATGAGTCCTGTACATTTTCCTTTATTCCAATGTCACAACCTCCAAAGTTATCAGAAACCTGTATTTAAGAGTACGTTTCAGAGTGCTATCACTTATTATAAACTATCTTTTGAAAAGGATTAAAACAAAACACCAATTGTCTGTGAATAACAAAATGTTCACGGTAGTCACAGTTAGAAACACAATTGACAAGTTTGCTTATCTCTGTGGCTTACAACAACTTAAAAACCTTAACTGTGTTTGATAGCATATACTCAGAGTTTAGAATTTTAGAAATCCCATACAATTTTGGAACATATATTAGCCTTATTCACAAAAATATAACCTAAAGAAGATTGAACATCATTTTGGCAATCTCATGTGCCTAACATATCAAATAATCCTGTTTACATCTCTTTTCTGGGCACTCTGGGGGCCCTTCTGGAGCTTCCAAAAAGAAGGTTTCAGGAAAGACAATTTTGAAACTGTAGTTTGATTTTGGGAAGGCTCTGAAATGTGTTAGAGGTTTAAAACACTTGATGTAATGAAATAGAATTCCAGATTGCCATAAGTTATTTATTTTGCCAAAATGATGACTCAGAAATTTTAAAGAAGCAAAAACCTTTTATAATCCTGTACAAATTTTGCTAAAGAGCAGACCAGTGCCTTAAGAAAACCTTATTGTGCTTTTATTTCAATGCTCAATTTACAGAAAAACTATATAAAACCCTTTTGAATTTAGTTAATGTTTACACACAGAATTTCTTCTGCAAGATTAATTTTTAGAAACCTTTCAGAATGTGTTTGAATCTTCGGCTTTATCCTAATTCAAAACAATTCTTAACCCTGGGTAAGAGTTTACATTTTCATGCTTTTTTATAATCTCTTACTAAAAACACATTTTACTGTTTTTACGCATTTTGCATATAAATCTATTTTCAGTAGTTTCAATTACATGTCATAATGGTAACTTTTACCAATGTTAACTTTAATGTAAAACCTGGTAAGTTGTTTTAATTGCATGCTAAGTGCAGCCAAGCTTTGACTCCTTCCAGCATAATTAAGGTTGTGGTTAGTTCCGTATGTCCCTAGGCCTTACCAATTGTGGAGCTAACAAGTTAAATAGTTCTCAAAACCCAAAAGGCAGTTTACAACCTTAAAACACTTAGCAAATCTTGCATCTGACCTGCACAATTTAAGCCCACCTGTTTACATTTTGATGGCATCTGCATTTTACCAATAATCTTTAAGGCTGTTTTTATTTCTCAGAGATTAAAGTCATGTGAACTGAAAGGAACCACAGCTCTTCCCTTTAAAAAATATTTTATCCAAGCACATGTCTTCCTTTAGGCCAAGTTAATTAGAGCTCTTTTTACAGGTATCATTATGCACAACACATGTATAACTACACAGACAGGCAGAAGAAAACCCAGTTGCTGGGTGGAGCCCTTTAAGAGAAGGGGCTAGGAAAACATGCAGATATTAAACCAGAAAGGAATCATTTCCTAAGGCAGGATATCTAAACAAAACCTTGCCATGGGGCTATAGGCCACGGCCCCAGGATGTAAAACAAGACGGATGCCTGCAGTGAAGTTTGCTGCAAGCCATATAGACATGCAAAGTACACCAGATTGGCTATAGCTTAAGACCAGCCTCACAAATCCTTTTTCACAATTAAAACTTTACAGAGGATATAACAGTGATTCTTATCATTCCTAGCCTAGTAAAACGTCTTCTAAAAGGAAAAACCTTGCTTTTTCCTTTTTAAAAGTTAACTGCTGACAGAGTGGAGAAAGGGATGAAAAAAAAAAAAAGTTTAAAAATGCCTGGGGAAGAACCTCTTATTCTTATGCAACTGGTTCCTCCACCCGGGAGAAAAGCTTAATTGCTTTGGGATGGAGCTGGCCTCCCTGGCCAGGGAAAATGGAAACTCCATGGGCACGGAGGAGAAAACACCAACCAGCAGCCTGGGGCTTCTTGGGCCATGTGTCCCAGCCCTGGCAGGGAGGGGATGGTGGTAGGGAGCTGCTGCTCACCTGGCCATTCCACAAAAGGAAGAAAAAGGACATGGACAGGCCCCCAACCCCCAGTGGAGGTGGGGGCATGGTTTCCTCTATCCTCAGATGTCCAAGGATGAAAAGACTTAGAAATGAGAGGGAAAAAGATTTCTTGGTTTACATCTCACTCACCCTTCTCAAGCCTCACATTATGAGCACCAAAAATGTTGTAGTACCTTCTCCTTAGTTCATCTAAGAGCTGGGTCCTTGTCACATGGCCGTGAAATATTGGGCTCACAAACACTGTGAAGGGTGAGAAAAAAAGAATTTATTGGGCAAAAATGGGAAAAACTGGAAACAGGGACTCAGCAGAGTGAGAGTCCTGCAAGTACAGGCTTCCCACCTCACAGATTGAGTTCCTGCTTCCATCTCTGAACAGGAGAGGCCAGGCTCCTTCCCTACGGCAAAGGGCAGGAACTTCCCGAGGCTCCACCCCAGTGCACACTCCTTCCAGTGTGCAGGTCGGTTGGAGTTTCTCTGGGGACCCCTTTACACTTGGCTGTCTCACATGCACATTCTGCCTTTAAATGCACTTTGCTGTTGACGAAACACTTCTGCACATATTATTCCATTTAATTCTCCTTCAAACTGTAAGATCTGGGTATTGTCATCCAAATTTAACTCACCCAGGGTAGAAGCAAGAAATGGACATGTGAAAATCATCTGAAACCAGGACCCAGAGGAAGCCCAGATGTTGGGAATGTTGAAGGAGAAGAAAGAACTTGGGGAGTTCTCCAGGTGAGAGTGTAGGAAGCTGGGATCTGAAGACAGAGTTCAGGCTAGAGGGATGTGCAGTTTCCTCTTGCTACACAGGGGACCCTTGCAAATTAACATTTCCCAGTTCCAGCTCCCCATCCCTGACTCGCCTAGCAAGATCCAGTCTCTCTTCACTAGACCCAAGAGTTTCTTTGTTCCTGCATTGATTTTTCCTCTTGAGATCTCCTTCTCCTTCTCCACGGGTGCCTGTGGAATGGGGACATATTGACATTCCTAGGAAGACTGTAAGATCCTGGCCATGTGATACTAACTAATAAAATAACCACATAATCCATTAAGTGAGCATGCACTAGCATTACCCAACTAGGCAGTAGATGTAAAACTGTCAAAGGTTTTATTCAATATGAAAGAACTTCAGCACTTAAAATAAATTTATGTAATCCCTTGGATTTTATAGAATGCAGTTATTAAAATAGAGGTTTCTGTAAAAAAACAAAACAAACAAACAAAAAAAAACTTTTCAAACCTTAGGTCGGAGCACACCAAAGAGGACTCTAAGAGGGATAACCACCGATAATGACTCAAATGTGCCGTTCATTATTTATGATTTCTGAAAGCCAGAATGTTATCCTCAACTCGCACTTTGAAACTGAATTCTCTGAAAAACAGAAAAACAGAAGTCCCAGTTAGCGTTTTCCAGGAAATATTGGCTGAGATTCAGATTTAGAAAAAATGGTTTTGTTCAACATTTATTTGACAATTAAATGTCTATATGTCTGTCAGGGAGAAAGTTAAATATTTGTTTATCTGTTCAGATAAATGCCTTCTACCTCAACTTGGAACACTGACATACATCCTTATTTCCTGAGTGGAAGTGATGTTTCTCCAATCTTCTGCCCTTCATGGCAGGAGGATTTACCAGGAAGCACATGACCTTTCTGTCTTTTCTCATCTGCCTTTGAGCCTTGTAATCAGCAGAATAATTATCCAGAAATAGGTTGTGTGATCTTGCATCTTTCATGCAAATAAAAAAGATTTATTTTCTCAGTAAACTTGACTTACCAAACAGAGCTGGCTTCGCCTGCCTTGGGATTCTATAAAGAGAAAATTGGCCTCAAGTTTAAAGGAAAAGCATCTTTATCAATTTCAGATACTATTATGATATCATATTTCAATATTTCAAGTTAGATTAGATTAAGGATCTTGAAAAAATTACTACTTAAATGTGTATTCAAGCAGTCTCTTAAAAATTAAGATTTTAACTTCCTAAATATTTCAATGGGATTTAGACCTTCCTTCTGGGTCCCAGAACTTGCAGCTTGAGGTCATAAATATTATTTTTCCTTGTTTTTCCACAAAAGTATTTATACAGTGGGCAATGTAGGAGGCACATTTGCAGGCTCCCAGCATTGGAACTACTTTCATAAGTGGATTTGTTACCGGTGGATGGTGTCCAGGTTCTTGGCATCTTGAACAAAGAATTGGACAAAACACACAAAGCGAAGGAATAATAGTTTTTAAAGGAAAAACTGAGAAAGATTACATACTAGTTATGAAATAATTATCCTCGGCTACAAAGATGAATAACAAGGGTGACACCAGTCTGAGGTTGGACAGGCAGTTGTTGGGTGGATGTCCTTCCAGAAGTATTGTTTGTGAGAAGTTGTGATGACCTTTGTGCAAGTTCGTGATTTTTGCAGTTTTTTTTTTTTTTTTGCAAGAAATTTTGTTATCAGGCATATAAGCATAAGAACTCTCTCTTCATGGCTTTTCTGGGCTCTATTTGTCAGGATTTTTTAAGTGATATGACTCCATTTTTATTTTTACAACATTCAGATGAGCTTACTTACCCACCTGGTACCTGCTGTGAATTTGTGTGCCCTTCTAATAAGGGCCACCTGCCCCAGACTTCAAATGGGGTGCTAGCAATACTTCTGTCTGTTATCTATTGGCATGATGATGCTGCATGGCAAACAGCCATGAAAACTCAGAAAGGCATAATAGCATTTATTAGCGCATGGGCTTGTGGGTTAGTGAATTAGAACTTCAGCTGGGAAGTTCTGATCTTGGCTGAGGTCACCCAGATGTAGAGTTAGTGAATGAGGGTCGGCTGAGGAAGAGCTGGCCAACTCCATGCTGTTCCCTGTTCTTTATCCTTGGACAGGCCAGCCCCAGCACATTGTCCTGAAGACAGCAGAGCAGCAAAAGCCAAGTGTGAATCCAAACGCACTTTTCAGCCACCTGCACACATCACATTCCCAACAAAGCCAGTTCCCCAAAAGATGGGGTCTTTCCCTGTTGGGTACTACAAAGCCAATAGACAAAAGTAAAAATGAGCATCAGCAGTGCAGGCTTTATTCAACGGCCATGGAATTGAAAAGCAGACACATGACTCACATATCAACTTCTAAGCTCATGAGAGCTGGAAAGTTACAGATATTGGGCATCTTTATTGAAGGAGTTGGGCATTAGAAGCAAGGGGAGCAAAGTTTATGTCTTTTCTGGGAACAGATAAAGAACTTCTTGAACTGAGTGTCATTCTCTTTTTTGTCCTCTCATGGTTTCTTCTTGCCATTGTAGTGGTGACTGTCAACTGTCATGGCTCTGGAGGGAGTGCCATTTTGCATGAAAATTAGATTATGATAAAGTTAGATGTTCTTTTTTTTTTTTTTTTTTGAGACGGAGTCTTACTTTGTTGCCCAGGCGGCTGGAGTGCAATGGCGCAATCTCAGCTCACTGCAAGCTCTGCCTCCCGGGTTCACGCCATTCTCCTGCCTCAGCCTCCCGAGTAGCTGGGACTACAGGCGCCCGCCACTGCTCCCGGCTAATTTTTTGTACTTTTAGTAGAAACAAGGTTTCACCATGTTAGCCAAGATGGTCTCGATCTCCTGACCTCATGATCTGCCCGCCTTGGCCTCCCAAAGTGCTGGGATTACAGGCGTGAGCCACTGTGCCCAGCCTAGATGTTCTTTAGAGGTAAAGTGAGCTGCCACTTTGGATCCCACCAGTCTTAGCTGGTTTGGTCACAAGGGGAAAACCTCTGACCTCAGGCATCCTGTTTCCTAAAGATAAGCAGAATGAAGGCAGGTTAGAAATACACCTAGGTCACATAGACATCACACTGGGTAACAACATCTGCTAACATTCCATGACCTGAACAGCTCATGGCCAAAATCCAGGGATATGGAAACAAATGAAATACATTGTACCCCTTTAGCGAGAGGAAATGCAAAGTTCCAGGATAAAGGACTTGAATACGGGGAGGGGTGTGGAACGGGAATGACTAAGGCACTCAATATCCTTAGTTCACTCTCTGATCAAAGCTATTCACATACCTCCTGTCTTATGTGGCTTTCACCAAAATAGACTCTGAGATACCAATTTGTGTTCACGAGGTTTCTGGGGAGTGCTGCCCACGTTGGGACTCAAATAGGATACCCCAATATGTGGTGCCTTGGCATGCTGAGTATTTAAATGAAGGACTTGAAAGAGCTCAGAAGAAAGGTCTCTATGACCTTCTTCTACCTCTAGCCGTTCTTTCTCCTCCTAAGCAAGCCATGACCAGAATTTCTCTTCCCCTAGGCGGGCTATACGAACTAGTGCTCCTCTACCCCACAGCAAGCCATAAAACCTAGAAAGGTCACTCTCTCCCTTTCTCCTTCTCCCTCGAAGACCCTCATTCCACAAAGACCCTGCCACAGATCTAGGAGGAAGGAAGGCTGCACAGAGAGGCCAAGAAGAATCTGAGCAGACAGGCCTGCTGGGTTTCTTCTTGGTCTGTGTCCGTCAGATCACACGCTTTTGTCGAATCACACATCTACACAGCTGTCCACTCTTCATTGAACCTGAGCATAAAAACAGACAACGTTCGCTGAATCTTTGAGTCTTCATTTCTGAAGGCTCCTGTGTCTGTCATGTCAAACTTTGATTAAATCAATACTTTATGCTTTTCTCTTGTTAACCTGTCTTTTGTTACAGGAGTGTCGGCCATGACCCTTATGATGGGTAAGGGAAGGCATCACCCTTTTCACCCACTCATCAGAAGCAGGCCCTGAAGGGGAGTGAGGGAAGTGAGGGAAGCAGGGCTAAGAGAAAGAAAATGCAAAATGCACTGCATTTTCAAAAGGGCTACCTGGGGATAGGATGACCCTTCAAAGCTGTCTCGTTTCATGGAAGGGAACCTGGCCTTTCTACCTCCTGGGTAAAAAGCTCTTTTCAGGGGAACTCCTGAAGATTAATACATGTGTGAGCCAGCATCTCACACTCCAGGAGGCTGAGTAAGGATTTCAGCCCTGATGGAGAAATCGAGGCAGTGGACACAGCATCCCCTGCAGGCTCCCTCCTGCCCTACTCAGATCACTTGGCTCTTAGAGCAACTTCACCCCCACTGAAAACAGCTCTTCCAGATTATGCTTCATCTAATTTCCCAAGGAACGTGATACAGGAGTTAAGAAGAAATTATTTAGGCAGATAGCGAGGGTAGGGAAGTCCTCGGAAAGGTTTTTCTTTTAATGAAAAGCAGCCCCCAAAATCATTTTCTTTTCTGACAAAGAGCAACCTGTAAAATCAAGCTGCAGACATAGACAAGCAAGCTGGAAGCTTGCACGGGTGAATGCTGGCACCTTTGCCAATAGGAAGAAGCGACCTGGGGTCTAGGCATGTCCAACATGATGGCTCCATCTTCCCCTTTCTTTGTCAACCACGTGCACAGTAAGGAGCAGGCAGCAAAGTGTGGGCCAAGTAAAGACCCCATTTGCATAATAATATTAGGGTGAGGTGGCCAGCTTCCTGATGCTATGAAAAGGTCACACCCGGTCCAACCAATCTTTGGGCCCTATGTTAATCAGGCATCACCTCCTCAAGCCTGTCTATAAAATCTGGTGCACTCTGCCATGGTCCAGAGGTCCCACTCAGGTGCGCCTCTCTCTCACAGGAGAGAGATCTATTCCCTTTTCTCTTTCTTTTGCCTATTAAACCTCCACTCTTAACCTCACTCCATGTGGTTCCATGTCCTTGATTTCCTTGGCACAAGGCAACGAGTCCTGGGTATTTATCCCAGACAGTGATGCAGCTTCAAAAGTAGCAAGAAAGAGGCTAGCACAACCAGCTAAACCCCAACACTGCAGCAGGTCTAAGACCACACTGATACTTTCATCTCTCTCTTCTAGTACCCATCATATAGTCCTTCTCTGGGTGGCTTCCTAGGAGTGTGGTGCAGACCCTCCTGTCCAAGGCTGTGATGTGTCATGTGGCTGTCTCAGGTTGTGGCTGCTGTAATTAATTATCTGTTACCATTAAAACCGGGCAGAGGTAGGTGCCTCTGGAAATGGCAAAGCAGTCATGTGAATTCCTCGCGGGTATCAATGGTAAAATGGAATAAAATAAATAAAACAGCACTTAAGGACACTAGAACTCACCCAAAAGCAACTGGAAGAAATGGTGGAATTGCAAGTTCATGGCTTCCTGTCCAGGAGTGCTGCCCTGGCTGCAGAAAGTGATGTGGGGAGGGACAAAGACGCAGCTGGTCAACTGAAGGTGATAGCACTTGGAGCTTAGAGCCGGGAAAGCAGCTGGAAATAGGAAGAGGAAATCCTGGCACACAAGTCACAGGAGTGAAACCCAGAATCAGAGCACAAACTTCCCAAATCCCTGGCTGACAGCTAACATACACACACACAGAAATGACCCTCCACAGGGGTAGCAGAAAATCAGGCAGTAAAGAGAAACCTGCTGTTACAAGACAGAGCAATGCCAGCCAGATCTGTGAGCCGGATGTGTTCCTTAGTGGAGCTCATCCTCCACCATTGCATTGGAGGCAGCAGGAAGCTTGAGGAGTCTGAGCGGAGCGGCCGGGAAATGAAGGGTCACCCTAGGAGCAAGGAACTTACAGACAGCATGAGCTCCCTCTCTGCCCAAATCCTTGACTGATGACCACATTTCATTTCAAAAAGGAGGCTAAAGGTGACAAGGGGTCAGGCTAAAAAAAGCAGCTCCAGGAAGTACTAAATCTATTTCAGGACACCTTACACATAGCTATTTGGAATGAGCAGACTTCTACCTCTTTTGTTGGTCAAAATAAAGCACTTTCCTTCCCAACTATTAAAAGAGCTTTTCATCACTCCTAAATCATATACCTTACACTCAACTCTGCATTGCAAAGTTTTTTTTAAAAAAAGAAATCTAGAAATATATTTGATATTTTTAGAATATTTAGTATGTACTAATCTAGTGAGTCCAGTAGAAATACAATGCTAATGATATATGTAATTTTAATTAATTAATTTTACCACATTTTACATTAATTGATAAAATTGTACATATTTACCATGTACAACATGATGTTTTGAAGTCTATATACATTGTGGAATGAATAACGTACATACATATTACCTACATTGTTACCTGCATTCCCTTGATGGATGTAATTTTAAATGTTCTAGTAGCCACATTAAAAATTTTTAAAGAAACAAGGGAAGTTATTTTCAAAAACTGATTTTATTTAACCTAACATATTCAAAATATTTTCATTTTAACACAAAATAAATATAGACATTATGCATATTTTATATACTTATTTCTGTCCTAGGTCCTCAAGATCTGTTGTGTATTTTTTACACTTGCAGTTTTCTTTAATTGAAGTGAAAATGCAGTTCCTTGGGCACACCAGCCACATTTCCTGTGCTCAACACCCGTGTGTGACTTACAGCTACCACCCTGAACACAGCGATGCCATTCTGTGATTAATATGGAGGTATCAGAGAGAGAATTAGAAAGAGTGCCTGCCCACAGGACACGTCAAATAGTGGAGCACACAGAGAAAGCAACAAAAGGTGAAATAAGCAAAGCGAGGGCTGCAAAGGGTGATGTGGGACAAGAGAGAGTGTCTTGCTCAGGTTTACAGGGAATTGAAACAGGCTCTGCAGAGGACTTGGCATTGAGGATGGGCTGTTTATGGTAGGCAAGAATGTCTGGGGCAGAGGGAACAGTGAGAGTGACAAGCTGAGAGAGACTATGGGATTTTCAACCAGTGCAAGCTGATGGTCCATGGTGTCATACAAGCCTATGACTGTGTTGATTGACTAGTAAATGCTGCATCCACCCATAATACTAGCATGCAGAGCTTGAGATCTTTGCCAAATATTTTCAGAGCTCACATCTTATACATGTCTCCAAAATCCACGTGGGAGAGGAGAAGTGAGGCTGGTTTGTCGGAATCAGCTATGTAGATGCCTGGTTAGAGATGCAATCAAACTGGGGTTTGGACATGCAGTTGGCCAAGAACAGTGAGCAACTGAGATTTTTAACACACATTTTCTTTATTACCTCTCATTGCCAAGAACAGTGAGCAACTGAGATTTTTAACACATAGTTTCTTTATTACCTCTCCAAAATGGAAGATCACTAAGTATTTAAGACAATTGTTTTATCTGCTTGAAGCATATTGCTTATAATGTCCAACATCACTGAGCACACAGTGAATATTTACATGGATTGCCCTGTAAATGTTAAGAGTTTTTCAAAGGCAGTTTGGGGGTGATAAAAGAAAAACTTTAGCCGAATTAAATTTAAAGGTGATTAATTGAGCAATGAATGATTCGCAAATCAAGCAGCCCCCAGAATCACAGCGGATTCACAGACTCCAGTGCAGCCCTGTGGTGGAAGAAGATTTCTGGACAAAAAGGGAAGTAAGGTGCAGACATCGGAAGTGAGGAACAGAAACAGCTGGATTGATTACAGGTGGCATTTGCCCTCTTTGAACACAGTTTGAACACTCAGCAGTGTATGAGTGGCTGACATATGGCTGCTAAGATTGGCCAAAACTCAGTGATTGTTACAGATGCATTCTCCTACGTTAGGTTTTCAATCTTATGTACCTATTAATTTGGGTTATGGTCTGTCCGCAAGGACTTTTTGGGGCATATTTAATTTGCTTTAATGGGGGAAAGTTGGGGTTGGCTAAAAGTGGGTGCTTGCTGCTAACTGGTTGGGGTGGAGATGAAATCATCGGGGGTCGAAGCTGTCCTCTAGAGCTGAGTTGCTCTTGGGTGGGGCCATAGGAGGGGGTTGGCAGTTCCAGGGGGAGGCATCAGGTCCAGGTGGAGTCATGGGTGTCAGACATGAAGAGAACCTGAAAAGATCTCTCAGGGGCCAGTCGGCAGCAGTGATATTATCTGCAGGAGTAATTGGAGAAGTTGCATATCTTGTGAACTGTCCATAGGGTCGCAGAATTCAGGCTCCTCTTCTCCCCCTAGCCTAGTAGTTTCTTATTAGCTTTTCAAAGGTGGTTGAGTTTTGGGGAAGAGCTATTTTTGTTTATGATCTAAATGTCTTCCAAAATTAGCTTGGCCCAAGCTCCGGAATAATTGAGACAGCTTGAAAGCTAAAGGCAAGAAGGACATTGGCTTGATCAGATCTCCCCTCCACTGCCATAATTTTCTCATTGATATAATTTTTGCAAAGGTGGTTTCAAAGTTGTGTTTTTTTAAAATCTTTATAAACATAATTGTTTTAAGAGTAGTTTGTACCTCCATTCTTTATTTCTTGCCTAAACTAAAAATCTATTTGAAACTAAAATCTTGGCCAGGGGCAAGGACAGAAGAAAGGCCCTGTTAAATAAGTAGAGGAGAAAAAGAGGCTCGGGCCCTTTAGGCTGACAAAGAGTTTTACAAAGGCATAAAGACAGTACCAGGGCAGCAGAGGCCAAGAAATGAATGGAAGAAGGGTAAGCGCAATTGTCCTTTTCCACTGGGGTCCTCATTCATTCTCTATTTTAATTTTCTCTGAAATTCTTCCTGCCTACAAAACATGAAAGGGAGAAGTGAGAGGCTCCCAAGACAGTATTATTTTACCACAAGCACATTCGTAAATCACCCTGGACCCCCATGGCCCTCACAGCCAGAAATAAGAGCCACAGCCCAGGCCCTGAACTCAGCTCCACCCAGAAGACAGTGACTGCAGTACACTGAAGTCTCATCAACACATGCTGTCATGCATCAGGATGGGACGCGGTTAGGAAACCATCTGCCATCTTGTTTCGATATCCTATGCTGTGAAACAATACTGCATTCTCCCTGGTCCTCATCCTTAATGTGTAGGGATTAATTCATTTCTCATTCAACTTTTAACTGAAATGGTAGTCCTGAGTAGATTACATGAAGAATTTAACTTCTCTCTTTCTCTGATATCTATCTCTGCTTATCTGTCTAAGTATATCCTTTTGTCCCTTGGAAATACTGTGTAGGATTTAATCATGTTCCCAGAAACATAGCACTTACATATTATTAAAAAAATGGAAGAACTTAAGGACGTATAAGCCAAATGTCAATTCTACTCTTTAAACACTGGTGTTATAAAGGGTTCCACAATATATGAAGATTGTTATTACATTGCTCCTTTTGAAGTTGCCTTTGCAAAATTATGACTGAGACAGTGCGAGAGATCTAACCTAACCGACTTATTTTGCTTCTAACCTTTAAGCTGTCCTCGTTCTTTCCTGGGTGTAGGCTCAACTAACTTTGGGAGGAACTAAGCTTATAGTTTAAAACAAAGACAATAACAGCTCTTGCCCAAAACAAACCTCCTTCTTGCCTGGGGACTAGATTGCCTTTGCAGGACTAACAAATAAGCCACAAGATTAGAAAATATGGTTTAGGAGTCATGCAGCTAGAGGCTACAAGATCCTGACCCTCCTTAAACTGCTCCTAAGATCAGTGCTTGAGATATTTTGCAGACTCTGCACTTGATGGATCAGCCAGCGTCACCCAGATCAATAAACTGGCTCATCTGATCTTGTGGCCCCCACTCAGGAACTGACTCAGCACAAGAAGACAGCCTTGACTTCCCATTATTTCATCTCTGAACCAACCAATGAGCTCTCTTGACTCCTATGTCTTCCCTTACCCATCAAGTTATCCTTAAAAACTCTGTCCCCGAATGCTCAGGGAGACTGATTTGAGTAATAATGAAACTCCAGTCTCCCACAGAACTGGCTTTGTGTGAATTACTCTTTCTCTATGGCAATTCCCCTATCTTGATAAATCGGCTCTGTCTGGACAGTGGGAAAGGTGAACCCATTGGGTGGTTACACTCTGCTCTTTGTGTTCTAACTTTCGTAATTCCAGATCCACCCTGTGATTTCCTATGTGGCTTATCACATTTGTACGCAGTGTGATGCTTGTACTTATGAGAGCCCTGTGTTCTAACCTAGACAATTAGAGACCTCAACTCAAGAAACACATGTTCAGCATGTTCCAGGCATTGTGGAAGACCTAAAATGGTACTTGGAGTTAGCAATTTAAAAACATCAGCAGAGGAGAAGGAGGTGCCAAGCAGAAGCAATACAGGCAGCAGTGAAGGTACTGTGGAGAGAAGGATGCCTGACCTTCATGGGGATTAATAAAGCTCAAGGCATTTGGAAGATGCATTGGCTCACAGGAGGCACTGACTGGTAATTCAGGAGAAGCCACTGCAAGCAGAAGAAATGTTAGAGAGAGCCAGAGAGTGGTATGGAGAAAGGTGAGCATCCCAATTAGACAGGGAACCAGGATATTTGAGGATGAGTAAGCGAAGGAAAAGTGAAGTGGGGTTGGTAACAACCAGAAGTGAGGGAGCAGAAATATGAAAAAAAAATAGTAATAATGTTTAAGCCACTATGTTTTGCAGTAAGCTACTCCAAAACATAGTGGCTTAAAATACAACTGCAAGAAAAAACCCAAAAGTCTTACTATGTCTCATGATTTTGTAAGTGATCGGGCTTGGAAGTCATCGGGTTAGGAAGTTCTTCAGCTACATGTAATTTCAGCTGGGACCACAGGCATTTGGAGACTTAACCAGGATGGGACATTCAGGATGACTCACTCACTCATGATTGTTGTCCTAGGTCACCTGCTGGGAGCTCAGGTGCACCAGTAGGGGACCTCAGTATTCTCTCACTTGGGCCTTTTCACATGGTTGCTTGGGCTTCCTCCCAGCATGGCAGCTGAGTTCCAAGAAGGAGAGTCCCAAGAGGGCAAGTCCCAATGAGTAAGTGCTTATCAAGACTTCTCTTGCATCAACCTTGGTGATGTCCCATTGGCTATATGTAGTCACATAACAATACCCAAGGTCAATGTGGGAGGGGACTACACAAGAACGTAAATACCAGAGGTTATGGTACATTGGAACTTATCAATGTAGCATCTACCTGAGGTGTGTATTAGAGGACCAAAAGCAAAAATTCTTTAAGATCTCAAGCAGTTGAAGGAAATCGAAATGAAGAGAAAAATGAATCCAATAATCTGTGAGCTATATAATGGACTAAATGCAGGGAGGAAAAGGAATGAAGGCTACAATTTGAGTGACTGAGAGGACAGTGGTGTCAACAACTTAGGTAAATCAGGGGAAGAACTGATGAGATCAAGATTTCATGAGGGTCTACTTATTCAATCCCCATTCTAATAGATGAGCATCTGGCCAGCCTGAAAAGCTTCCCCACCCAGTTGATTCACAGGAAGCGTTATGTACCTTGCTACACTCAGATTTAAAAAAATATATTTTTCCTATCATCACTGGCAATTTCCATTTTGATGGGATGGATGAAAATACGTCACTCCCTTCACCTTCCCCTTCCTAGTGTTGTGTCATGGCACCCAACTTCAAAGTACCAAGAACTACGTGCAGGATGGTGGAGACTTGTGTTCCTTGAGCATTGGCCTGCACAGATATAAGCTACCCATCACATCTCTGAATGATCCCTTCAGCCCAGCAGCTCCTAGCACTGAGGTGCCTCACTCAGGCTCTCTTCTCACCTGCCTGCCCCTGTCCAGGCCTCCTCAGCCCACGTGTCTCCTTTGCTACTGGACAGTGGAGATAACCCTCAACCATAGTTTTCTTTCATACTGATGGGCTGCATGATATTGAACAGTCATTCTACCACTTTGTTATCAATGTATTATGTGAGCAAGTTACACATAATAATTTCCAAATTTCTGTATCTAATTTTTTTTTTTGAGACAGGATCTCGCTCTGTTACCCAGGCTAGACTACAGTTGCGTGATCATGGCTCACTGCAGCCTCAACCTCATGGGATCAAGAGATCCTCTCACCTCAGCCTCCTGAGTAGCTGGAAGTACAGGTGCACCTCAATGACTGGCTCATTTTTAAATTTTTTGTAGAGATGGGGTCTCACTATGGCACCCAGGCTGGTCTCAAACTCCTAGGTTCAAGTAATCCTCTTACCTTGGCCTCCCTCTCAAAGTGCTGGGATTACAGGTGGGAGCCACTGCACCAGGCCCTCTCTATCTCTAAAATCTATGATTTACATATAATAAAACATTAAGGTAACTACCTAATGTCAGCCTCCATATTCATATAAAGTCAAACCAATAAAACTATGAACTTGACCAGAAGGACTAAATGCAATTACCCGAAATGAAAGTTTTACTATTTACAAAACTGGATCCACACTGGGCATTTCTTCTGCCCTTGCCCCTAGCCAGAGGGAGAAGAAGGCTCAGGCCCTCTAAGCTGACAAGGTGCCTCCGAAATAACGTGTTTATTCATACAGGCTTACCCAAAATGCTTGGGACCAAAAGTGTTTAGGATTCCAGATTTTCAGAATTGGGAAGCTCAACCTGTAATAGAAATTTATATATTAATCAATTTTGGTCTTTCTTCTGATTAAAATTTTAAGATGGGGTTTTTCTACATTCAAATTATTTAACCCACTGCTAAACAACACCTGTAATAATAATATCTGGAAGGTATTATTTTCATGCAAAAACCTAAAACTGCCATGTGAGATAATGATGGATGATTAAAATGTGTAGGTGGTAACATGAAGAAACGTAGAGTTTCTCACTGAGTTTCTGAGCTGCCTTTTAAAAACTGATGAAGCATATTGTACATGAGCCAAAGCATTGGGAAACTTTGGTTTTGTTCTTAGGTAAAACTAGTTAAACATTTTCTTCTCGAAACATGAAAATCATTATCTTTTTTAAACTCTTCTCTTTCCTTCACCTTGACTGTTTCATAGGCGAAGGCCAATGAGGTATAAACAACCAAAACAAACATAAACAAATAAAAACCTTTCTTTCAGGTTATGCTTCTGAGAAATGATCTTCTATGTTACTTAGACCCTAGAGAGTAGCCAGACTGTAGACTGTTGTATTACAAGTGCTTTGAAGGAAGTGGAGCCATACGAGAGAAATAGGCTTTAAGCATCTCAATGACACTTACATGTAGGCAAGAAATGGTGATCTATTCCAAAACATGCTTCACCCTCAATTTTTTTGAGACAATACCCATAATAGTCTTGTAATAATTATTTTAAGTATCTGTTTTGAATGTGACATATAATTATTAGGACTACCTAGAAAGGACGGCCAAAACAGTGCCTCAGTTTAACCAATGAAGTCTGAATCTCAAAGAATGTGAATTATACCTTCATTATTCACATTTCTCTTTATGTGTTAAGATATTTAGGATAGAAATACAAAAAATAGTAGGACAGGATCACATACAGAATTAAGTATTTTGTATTAAGCGTGGAACTGCAGATAGAATTGGTTAAAAAGATATAGTTCAAATTACTGAAGCAAATATTTGCTATCTAAATTTCATGTTCTCTCCACCTCTAATGTGAAAAAAATAACAGGGACTCAGATACAGTACTGAAGCCAAAACTAAAATGAATCCATTAATATTCTCCCTGCTGCATGCTTTTACTGTTTAAATTCTCTCCCTCCCTATAACATTTATTATGTGGCAAAATTATTAGTTCATTATAGAGTAAAGGGATATGGGAAGCAAATAAACTATTATAAACCAAGAAAATTATGTTAAAAAATCTCAGAAACAAACTCTGTATTGAAAAATTCTGATCATCAAGATTATTGACTTTAATAGCATAACAATTTACTCAATTGCCAAAGGATTGGAGACTGTGTCTGATCCCGCGAGGGGGAAAGCAGTGCAGCCGAAGTCAATACTTTCTGCTCTCTACCTGTTCCCACGCCAACACTTCCAATTCCAATAGTGCAAGGAGTGAGTTCCTAAAACACGTATTTATTAGAATTCATTGGGTTTTTAAATTATTATTTTCTAAACTGTGTGCATGCACACATGTGAGTTGAAGTCAGGGTCAGGAAAGTTCTGTTTGGAAATTCTTTTAATTTGGGACTCATCATCCCTGGTCTTCTTTATGCAGCAGCTTTAGAGTCACGAGGCAGCATCAGAAGCATGAAGGGTGCGCAGCACTGTTTGATGTGATACCAGAATTATAAGGCATAGAAACACTTACCGGATTTGAAATTCAGGCAGTCACCAACTGACCTTCTCCTAACTCACGTCCCTCACATCAGTGAGAAAGACCAAAGCCCACTTAGAAAAGAATGAAAGGGAAGACTTCTCTTTTTTCTGGCATTACAAGCTTCCACTGTCCCTGCATGTGCTATTGACTGGAGCCACACTGCCAAGTCTTAGAATGACCCTGAGACCATGAACAAATGACCTCACCTATCTACTCAGCCTGAAAGGGCTGTAATGGGAATTAAACTAAGCAGTCGGTGTCAATACTTACAGGAATGCCTGCCACAACTATGATCTGCTCTCTCTCCGACATGGTCCTTATTGCTGCCTAAGACCTTGTTGTACCCTGAGAAGCCTAGCACCTCCCTCCATGGCTGTCCTCTCCTCTGTCCACTCTCTCTGGAAAATATCTCCCATCTTGTAGTCCCTAAGTCTACATTTCTGGTTCACACCTCTCTTGGCCTTCAGAAACATTTCCTTAGCAGCTTATATGGTTTGTTTCTGTGTCCCCACCCAAATCTCCTCTCAAATTGTAATCCCTACATGTTGAGGGAGGGACTTGTTGTGAAGTGATTGGATCATGGGGGCGATTTGCTTTGTGAAGGAGGTGCGTGCTTCCCCTTTGCCTTCTGCCATGATTGTAAGTTTCCCAAGGCCTCTCCAGCCATGGGGAAGTGTGAGTCAATTAATCCTCTTCTGTTTATAAATTATCCAGAGTCAGGTAGTATCTTTATAGCAGTCTGAAAATGGACTAATACAGCCACTTAGTGGATGTCTTTGCCTACATGTCTTACAGACACTTAATGTCCCTCTGGAGATCAAGCCATACTGGATGACTCACTCATTCCACAGTGCAGGCCAGCCCCACAGCCAGCATCATCAGCAACCCCATGCGCCTTCATTCACGTTCAGCCACTTCCTGCTCTCCCTCCACTCCGTCATCATCAATCCTGAGAAGCCTCATACCAACATTTCTCAGCTGTGCCTCGTCCTGTCTGTCCCCATGGCTGCTGCCCTAATTCAGGTCCTTTAATCTCTTATCTCCCTGTTACCATCCTCCTAGTTCAGACCCCTTCCCAACCACTAGCCACAAGGATATCAATGGTTTTCCCTTGAAAAGTTGTAAGATTCAAACAAGTAGTAATAATAATAAGTGCCCATCACCCCAATTAACCCTTATTCATCATTTGGCTTCATATGTTTTATTTAATTTTATGTCCCTATTGTTTTCATCCCTCATCCTTTTCCTTTCTCTCTTTTCCCAGAAGTAGATATCATTCCAGCCCATAATTTTACATTTTTTTCCATATGACTACATCAATAGAGTAGTGTGTGACATGGCACTTAGTTTTCATATGCGTTTCTTATGTAAAATTGGCTTCTTCTTGTGATGAACCTTTGTGAGCCTTCAAATGAACACCAGTGTCTCTCCAGTGCTTACAAGAGAGGTCTGAAAAACTTAGCACATACTTACCTTGCTATCCTGTGTCCATTTCTCTCTTCACCTCATCTATACACACACAAACACACACACACCACTTACACCACACACCAATGCTCCCACAAACTTGCTGAGCAGCTTGAAATGCCCTAATCCACTGTGTTGTATTCTCACTCTCTTGCCTATGCTCACTATTTCTGCCCAGAATTCATCCCTCTCCCACCTGGAACCCAAGCCCACCTGATGAAAACAGAACCTGCTTTCAAGATATGATCCACCTACCTCCCGCCCTGCAGTGTCTAACAAATGCTGCACACTGTGCCACTTGTAGGATTGGCCTAATACACATCAGATAAGGAATGGTTGATTCTCTAAGTGGCCATCCATCTTGTACATGTTCACACAACTCTCCCTCTCTTCTAGAGCACACGCTACACATGCTAGAGCACATGGTATGACATATGCTAGAGCACATGCTACACATGCTAGAGCACATGCTATGACACAAGCTAGAGCACATACTATGATACATGATAGAGCACATGCTACATACTAGAGCACATGCTACACATGCTAGAGCACATGCTATGACACAAGCTAGAACACATACTATGATACATGGTAGAGCACATGCTACATACTAGAGCACATGTTACACATGCTAGAGCACATGCTATGACACATGCTAGAACACATGCTACACACTCTAGAGCACACACTATGACACGTGCTGGAACACATGCTACACAAGCTAGAGCACAAGCTACAACACATGCTAGAGTGCATGCTACAACACATGCTAGAGCACACACTATGACACATGCTAGAGCACATGCTACACATGCTAGAGCACAGGCTATGACACATGCTAGAGCACATGCTACACAGGCTAGAGCACACACTATGACACATGCTAGAGCACATGCTACACATGCTAGAGCACACACTATGACACATGCTAGAGCACACACTATTACAGGCTGGGGAGCTGCACCTCCACTGCTTTTCACTCCCAGTGTTTAGAAAAGAGCAGAAGACCCATGTACAGTGGTGGAAGGGTGGTTAGAAGGACCCTTAGAGAGAGAGGAATGGTATCATCCTCCCACTACAGATGAGAAAACTGAGGCTCCCAGAGTTCTGCTGCCCATTGTCTCGCCACAGCGAGGCAGATGTGTGAGACCAGGACCTAGGTCTTACTATTGGTCTACTGTTTCAAATCAGTGTGAAGATGAAGTCAAATGTGCAAAACAATGTGCAGGCTTTTCTTTCCCCCGCTGCTAAGTGTTACTTGACTGAAAACATAATGGAAATGGAAAACTTACTTTAGACACCAGAAAAAGTAGAGCAATTTGGAAATTTCAAAGATTTGCATCTTAAAAATATTTATATCTCTATACCGAAGCACACAAATATATATATTTTACTATAATTTCTAGATATAGTTTCACCCCATCATATTTTACATAAGAAACAAGTCTTTGAGGCAACCCAAAGTGTGTTGAAGACTTTCTGAGGCTAAAGTGCTTGAAGCTGTTTCAAGATCAGATGCCCCCCAAGGCCCTGGGCCTCAAGGCCTTTGTCCTTGCTGAGCCCTCTGCCCAGAAGGCTGCTCCCCCAGGCAGCCTCAGCACTCACTCCCCATGTTCTCAGGGAGGCATTCCCTGCCACCTGCATAAGACCACAATGCTTGCCATTCCCCTTCCTTGCTCATTTTCCTGCTTTGCCCTTATCATGATCCCATACTTCATATTTTATTCATCTTGCTTATTTTCCCTCTCACCCTACTCAAGTGTAAGTGCCATGAGAGCACGAAAAGTTATCTGTTTTTTTCATTTTTTTATTCCCAGCACCTTAAATTGTGCCTGACATGTAGTAAATGTTCTCCCAATATTCGTTTCAATTAATAAACCCCAAAAGAACAAAGGCTTTAGAACAGGATAGACCTGGGTTTAACTCTGTCTCTCCTTACTGCCTCTCTGAACTTAGATGCACCTCTTAACCAAGCTCCCTGAGCCTTAGTGTCCTCATTTATAAAACAAAACTAATCACACTCTCATCTGCACATCGAAAACAGGAAAAATAAGGAGGATGCATGGGTCAAGCATGGGTTGGAGAGCTGCAGTAAACATCAGCTGCTCTCCTATTTCCCAGAAGGCACCGCATGACTCACAAATATTTGCTCAACATCTGCTAATAAATGTCCAGGAACCATGATGCTAAGCAATCATGGACCTAAAAGTGCAAGATCCACAAATGAACCAGGGATGCAGCCCATGCCCAAGGTATGTTCCAGAGATGGAGACCACTCAGGGGCAACGCTTTGCCTTGCACAGGCACCAGGCCCACCCACCCAATAAAGAACTCACCTGTAGCCCAGGGGATTCTGCACTATCTTTTAGAAATCACTGTGCCTTGAAATATATACATATTTCATATGTATAGATTTCATGACATATAAATTATATTACATGTATCAGTTTATATATATGTATAATAGGAAAATACACAATACACTATGAAATGCAGGCAATGTAAGTAGCTAAACAGTACTTAACCTAAGTTAAGGCCCACAAGCTTTAACTGTGCTAGTTCTCAGAGGGACTCCCTCTGACGCCATTACCTTCTACCTGGTGCAGTTTCCTTGGCTGCATTATCTGTAAGAGGATGTTATTTAGTTCATGGCGTGGACTATCCAGTTTGGTAGAAAGACCCACAGCCCTACTCCTTCACTGAGGACCTCAGAGCCTCTGTGGGTCATGGCCTTGGATCTTGCCTAGTGGACTGTGGCTGCTTTCCCAGAACTTTCCTTCCTTGTAAATCATGGACTACAGGAAATGTTCTGATTTTAGGAGAGCAGCATTTTATTAAATTTGTCTGTCTGTTCTTATCAGCTTCATCATGTGTTAGCCTCTAGCATTCAATGTTTCCTGCACAATGAAAAATTTATTGGTATTAAATTTTATCTTAAATGCTAGCTGGCTAAAATGATCTGAAGGAATACTCCCCTAGCTAAGAGCCCAGCAGATTCTACAAAAAGAGCAAATTTTTAACCTCTTGAGTAATTGACAGTAACATGTCAGGATCCAGTGAGCTCACTTTAAAGGAAGTTTACATCCAGGCATATGCAACTTGTTAGGGAAAACAAAACAACAAAGCAAAACACCTTTAATCCAACTTACAGATCATCTGTACAAAAATTCAGAACTATATCCCATCAGAGTTATATGCCATTTCATTTATTAGAGGAGCTCAAATCATCCAACCATTCACAAAGGGTTTTCAGAAGTCTACAGCATGAAGGTCGAGTTGTATGAGCATGACCACTTGGTCTCATGCCCACGGTCTACTGGGAAGCATGTATGGAGTGTGAGACACTGTGGCTCTCCTCCTGGCCTAGCATGAGCTGGACTGCATTCGTGAGTCCTGTCATCCTCCCCATCCTTCCCATCCCTGGCCTCATATTCCACAGAGAACCTGGGTCAAAATAGAAGCTGCACAGAAATTGTCCATGGAAATTGAAACATATTTTGTTTGAATATGCCTGATATGGTTTGGCTGTGTCCCCACCCAAATTCCATCTTGAATTGTACTCTCACAATTCCCACGTGTTGTGGGAGGAACCCGGTGGGAGGTAATTGAATAATGGGGGTTTCCGTTGCTGGTCTCATGTTAGTGAATCAGTCTCATGAGATTTGATGGTTTTAATAATGGGAGTTCCCCTGCACAAGCTCTCTCATTGCGTGCCACCATCCACGTCTCCTTGCCTTCTGCCATGATTGTGAGGCCTCCCCAGCCACATGGAACTACAAGTCTAATAAACCTCTTTCTTTGTATTTTACCCAGTCTCTGGTATGTCTTTATCAGCCCCATAAAAACAGACTAATACGACACCTTACACTTTTAAACTAAGGAAAAGCAGTGGTGAGTCACAAAGCTGAGACTTCAAATGCCTGATCCATATTCTTCCGTCTTCACTGAGCATTTTAAGGGAAAGATGGAATTTTCAGTAGATGTTCTGTTGCCAGTTACTGGAATCATGAGAAATACAGGTAGATTCTTATTTCTGACCCAGTAGTTGATTTTGGAAATGACAACATATAAGAAAAATGAAAAAAAATCTTTAAAAATGTCAAATGGCTAACTATAATTTAAAAACTAAATATAGTCCTTTTTAAACTTTTTAAACTTGAATTATGTTATTATTGTTGAGTTTTGAGGGTTCTTTATATATTCTGGACACAAGGGCTTTATCAGATATTAGATTTGCAAATATTGTCTTTTAGTCTGTGGCTTTTCTTTTCTTTCTCTTCAGAGTGCCTTTCAAAAAGCAGATGTGTTTGATTTTATGACGTCCAATTCGTTAATTTGTCATTTTGCTATTATGCTTCTTCAGTTATATCTTAAAAGATCTTTGCCTAATTGATGATCATAAATGTTTATTTCCTAAAAGTGTATTGTTTTAGATTTTACATTTAGATACAATAAAGAGAGTATCATTAACTATTACTGTGGGACCACAGGTGGACTCTGGGGTATTTGCCCAGGAGAGGTTGAAGGATGAGAAGGATGAGAAAGATAATGCAGGTCAGTTATGTTCTATTGAATTCATTTTTAACAGGGTACAAGGCATAAAATGTTTTTTTGCAGTATTATTATTTCTCTACTGTGTCACCTTTGCACCTTTGTTGGAATTCGTTATCCATGTACAGGTGGGTCTGCTTGTGGACTTCATTCTGTCCCATTCACCTATTTGCCTACCTTTACACCAACATCATACTGTGTTGATTGTTGTATCTTTATAATGAGTCTTTGAGTAAGGTAGCATTTCTTCTCCAACTTTATTTAAAGAAAACAAAAACAAAAACGAAAACCTTGTATTTGCTATTCCAGATCCTTTGAAATTCCATATGAAATGTAGAATCAATCTGTCAATTCACACAATCTAAAGAGATGCATTGATTTTTATTGGAATTAAGTTGAATCTACAAAGCAATGTAGGCAGAACTGACTTCTTAATTTCTGACCTAAGGATATAGCCCAGACACCTATCAATTTATTTAGGTCTTTTAAAATTTCTGTCAACCATGTTTTGTAGTTTTAAATGCAAAGATATTTCACATCATTTTAGGATTTATCATCAATTTTTTTTGCATACTGTTTTTCTATTCTGAAATTGTATTAAATTTATGTATTTGTTCTAAAAGTTTTCTGCGGCTGGGCACGGTGGCTCATGCCTATAATCCCAGAACTTTGGGAAGCCAAGGCAGGGGGATCACTTGAGGCCAGGAGTTTGAGACCAGCCTGGCCAACATGGCAACACCCCGTATCTACTAAAAATACAAACATTAGCCTTAGCTGGGTGTGGTGGCACATGCCGGTCATCCCAGTTACTCAGGAGGCTGAGGCGTGAGAATCGCTTGAACCTGGGAGGCACAGGTTGCAGTAAGTAGCTATCGTGCCACTGCACTCCAGCCTGGGTGACAAGTGAGATTCTGTCTCAAAAATTAAATAAATAAAATAAAATAAATAAAGATTTCTGGTACATTCCACCTAATGTTTTACGTAGACATGACGTTCATGAATAAAGACATTGTACTCTTCCCTTTCTAATCACAATGCATTTTATTCATTTTTCTTGCCTTACTGCACGGTTTTAGAACCTTCAGTACAAGGTCGAATACAAATGGCAGAAGAGGACACCCCAGTCTTGTTCCTCAGTTTAGGGGGAAAATATTCAGCCTTTTTCTTCCATTAGGCATGATGCTATCTGTAGGTAGATAGATAGATAGATACATACATACAAACATACATACATATATACACATATACATACATACATAGATGTATTTTTTCAAGTAAAGAAACTTCCCTTTATTCCTAATTCACTGAAAGATTTTTTTTTAAATCAGGAATACATGTTGGATTTTGCCAAATAGGTTTTCTATATCTGTTGGGATTATCATGTATTCTTTCTTTGCTAGTTGCTTAACATGATTGATGACAAACAAGGTTTGCATTCCTGGAAATGAACATTACTTGGTTATCTGGGTAATATTGGCCTCATACAGTAAGTTGGGAGATATTTTCTTCTTCAGATATTTAACAGACACTTTCATAAAAATTATATATGTAGGTAAATAAACACACAAAAAATTGTTCAACATCATTAGTCATTAAGACAATGCAAATTAAAATCACAATGAGATACCATTTTTACTTATATTAGAATGGCTAGAAGTTAAAAAGACTGGCCACACCAAGTGCATGTGAGGATATGGAACAACTGGAACTCTTTCTCACTGCTGTTAGTGAGGCAGGATGAGTGAGGTTGGGAGGCCATACTGACTTGTCCCCTTGCATGAAGCCCCTTGGGCCCCTTTCACATGCAGCTGGCTCCTTGCACTTGCACCCTCATGGTGTGTCAGCATCTAACTGTTTTGCAATGTAAGCAGCCCTGCAGGACACCAGGTAAGCAGCCCTGTGAGACACTAAGTACACAGCCCTGCAGGACACCAGGTACACAGCCCTGCAGGACACCAGGTATGCAGCCCTGAAGGACACCAGGTAAGCAGCCCTACACGACACCAGGTAAGCAGCCTACAGGACACCAGTCAACTGCCAGATGGTTGCACATTCCTGATATCCAATAAGGGCCCAAGAAAGAGAACAAAAATCCCTTATTTCTGATTTAGCTTCCCCACTCTCTAGCCAATCAGCACAAAAAGCTCAAGGAACTTTTTGCTACAAATTCCTACCTGGGAGGAGGGTGGGGGCAGGGACTTCTCTGGGTCCCACATGTGCAGCTAGGCTCAAGGTTTAGCTTATAGTAAACTTTTCCTCATCTTAGCAGTAAAAAGCACACCCATAGGTAGGGATTTTCAATGCTAATGATACGTGTGATGCATCTTAGAGTTTGTAGTTACTGAGCACATGCACCAACCTCACGTCTACCTTTGAATACTTTGCACACTTTGTACCTCACAGGAATTTTTTGAATATATATGAACAGCTCCCATAAAAAGAATTCCTCTTAAGGCACTAGCTGCTGTCTCTCACCTTAAGCAGCCTGCTCTGTCTCTCAGCATGTACATTTGCTTTGTAATAAATTTATTGGCTTACTCTTACTTTGGACTTGCTCTAAAATTATTTTGTGTGGCAAAGTCACTGGGAAAACAAGTTAGCCATATGCCGAAAATTGAAACTGGACCCCTTCTTTACACCTTATGCAAAAATTAACTCAAAATGGATTAAAGACTTAAATGTAAAATCCAAAACTATAAAAACCCTAGAAGAAAATCTAGAAAATACCATTCAGGACATAGGCACGGGCAAAGATTTCATGACAAAAACACCAAAAGCAATTGCAACAAAAGCCAAAATTGACAAATGGGATCTAATTAAACTAAAGAGCTTCTGCACAGCAAAAGAAACTGTCATCGGAGTGAACAGGCAACCTACAGAATGGGAGAAGATTTTTGCAATCTATCCATCTGACAAAGGTCTAATATCCAGAATCTACAAGGAACTTAAACAGATTTACAAGAAATAAACAAATAACCCTATTAAAATTTGGCAGAGGACATGAACAGACACTTCTCAAAAGAAGATGTACATCCAGCCAACAAACATATGAAAAAAAAGCTCAACATCACTGATCCTTAGAGAAATACAAAGCAAAACAACATCTCACACCATTCAGAATGGCTATTATTAAAAAGTCAAGAAACAACAGATGTTGGAGGGGCTGTGGAGAAATAGGAACGCTTTTACACTGTTGGTGGGAATGTGAATTAGTTCAGCCATTGTAGAAGACAGTGTGGTGATTTCTCAGAGACCTAGAGGCAGAAATACCATTCGGCCCAGCAATTCTGTTACTGAGTATATACCCAAAGAAATATAAATCATTCTATTATAAAGATATATGCACTCGTATGTTCATTGAAGCACTATTCACAATAGCAAAGACATGGAATCAACCCAAATGCCCATCAATGATAGACTGTATAAAGAAAATGTGGTACATATACACCATGGAATATTATGTAGCAATAAAAAGGAATGAGATCATGGCCTCTGCAGGGACATGAATGAATCTGGAAGCCATTACCCTCAGCAAACTAACACAGGAACAGAAAATCAAATACCCCATGTAACTCACATGTAAGTGGGAGTTCAACAATGAGAACACATGGACACAGGGAGGGGAACAACATACACTGGGGCTTGTTGAGGGTGCAGGGGGAGGAAGAGCATTAGGATACATAGCTAATGCATGCTGGGCTTAATACCTAGGTGATGGGTTGACAGGTGCAGCAAACCACCGTGGCACACATTTTCCTATGTAACAAACCTGCACGTCCTGCACATGTATCCTGGAACTTAAATTAAATTAAAAAAAAGAATCTGAACTGGCCTACTGGCAACAGTAGAAATATAAAAAGGCGCAAGCCCTTTGGAAACAAATGTGGAAGTTTCTTGAAAGGTTTATACAACTTCCATGTGATTCAGCCCTTCCACTCCTAATATTTACCCACGAGAGCTGAAAGCATATAAAGATTAATGCACTATTATTAATGCTAGCCTCATTTGTAATGAACAAAACTTGGAAATAACTCAAATGCCCGCCAACAGGAGAAGGGACAAATAAACAGGTGTATTCATGCAATAAAACACTAGTCAGCCATAAAGAAGAATGACCTAGTAATGCATGCCACAACTTGCAATAATCTTGAAATAATTATACTGTGTGAAAGAACATAGGCAAAAGAAGCACAATACTATATGGTTCCATTTACATAAAATTGTAGACAATGCAAACTAGACTCCAGTGACAGAGCAGCAGGAAGCAGATCAGGGATTGCTCAGACATGGGGCTGGGGCTGCACAGGGAGGTAGGAGGGAGAGTGCCGAGGGGAGTGCGGACACTCAGCAGTGATGGATGCACTTGTCTTGATTGTGATGATGGTTGCTCAGGTGTATATATTGGTCAAGACTTCACCAAACTGTACTCTGTAAATATATGCAGTATAATTAATGTCAGTAATATCCTATTAAACATAAAAATACTATACATAAAGAAGTTTATTTTCTGTATAAAATCTATTGTTCTTTGCTAACCAAATTTAATGCTTACATATTATAGACTTGAAAAAAAATTAGAAAGTTCAAGAAAGAAAAATGAAAATAATCATCAAACCATCCCAAAATAATCACTTAAAAATTCTATATGTTCTTTTTTCTTTGATGGCATATGCACTTTTCCTACAACTTCCAGAATATAAAGTACATACTGTTATGTAACCTGCTTTTTTAACTAAAAAAACTACGCTAAGCATTTTACTGTGTCATTAAGTCTTCTCCTGCAATGTGATTTAATGAGTTTATAATGTACCACTAGTTATTTAATCAGCTCTGTTAGATCTATATATTGTTTCTAATTTTTGCTTTGTAAAAAATACTGTAACAATAATCTCTGTGTATACAATTTGGAATATGCCTAATTAATTTCTGAAGTAAATTCTTAAAACTTATTTCATATTTAAAGAGAAAATACATTGTTTGGTCAAAATATGTGTTAGTTTTTAAGTCTTTCCGTTCATGTTGCCAAATTTCAGGAGGATTTATTTTTAACAACTTAGTACTTTCCTGATTAAACATCCATGGATGCATGGCCATTATTTATATATACTCAGTAATAGACATGCACATAGCTCAGAAATAAATACAGAAATTTATTTTAAAAAAATAAAATTGATTTAGGTTCACTGAGATTATTTTATTATTTAATGAAAATCAAGATAATATGTTAGAAAAATCAACAACTTTGTAAAGAATTACTTACCATAGGCCCAATTGCCAAAAAATTGTTTCAACATCTAGTTATTGTTCTTACTGCTTTTTTCTTTATTTTTTACTTGACATATAATAATTGTACATCAACAACTTATTATATACTGTTTTTCTTTAATGCTGTAAAGCACTCAAAAGGCTCAGCGCTGTCCATGCGACTTTGTGAAAGTGTGCCCTGACTGGTGGATGCGGGCTGTAACCTCATTTCCTCCAGTCCGCTGTGATTTTCTCAGGACCAGGAGAAAGTGATAATTGGTCCTTCCGGGGAGCACACAAAGGGACAGCCTGGGATCGCACAAGTAAATTAATGCCAAGGCCACAGGCCGAGGTGCTAACTGACGTGGGGGCTCTTTCTTCTACACTGGTGCCTCACACCTGACCTCGCTGGACTGGAAACTCTCAGAGTCCCTTATGTCCTCGAAGGAGAAGGGAGAGAGTTAGGCTGCCCGCTCTTCTCCTTGAAGAGGTAAATTTAAGTTGGCGTCTTTGATTTGCCAAGAGGCAGAGGAAGCCCAGCAGGTGATTGGAGACAGAAAAGGCTAGTGTGCTGCCTGGATGTGGTCACCTGCTCCACTGTAGCCTTGCTCATGGTCTCCAAGATGTGTGAGTCTTGGAGGTGGAGCCTGGGACTCCCCGGCCAGTAGCCTCCTGGAGGAGGCACTCACAGCAGGTCCTCTCCCTGCCCGGCCAGCCTCCTCATGCCAGCAGCCTCGCCCCAACAAAGTTGCCCATGAGAGCCCACCAATGATCTCAAAACCTTCACCAGTCTCCTCTATGGTTCTCTTCACTCCCCCAGAACATTCCTCACCAGAACTTGGGCTGCAGGCACGGTGGTCCAGTGTGCGTTGGTTTCATCTGAACGTTCTGAGCAGGGAGCAGGACCATGGTATTTCATCATCCACATCCAGAAATAACTTGTGTCCATTTGTGCCTAGTGCACAATCCAGTTTACACTGATGCCTACAGCTGTCATAGGCAGAAGGCACTGAGGAAGCAAAGGCACAGCAAGGGCCTTTGTGGGGTGAAATGAAAGGTGTCCAAAGTTAACCCTGAGGTGACAAGAGAGACTTGCTCTGCTTCTGTTGCCTGGGCGTGGGAAGCAAAAGTGAAGGCCAGTTTGGGAGCCCAGGGAGGTCTCTACAGGAGCTCAGGGAGGGTGCCCTAGCCTTCAGCACCATGGATGTTTCCTCAAGAAAGTCCACACACCAGGCAGGAAGATGGCATTGCCGGTCCTCCATGCAGCACTGCCTCCCCAAGGCTGGGTCTCCATAGCCAGGCAGCAGGCCCCTTGTTGCTTTGCAGTTGTAAAGGAAAATAAAAAATCTTCAAGACTCCCAAACTTCAAAAGGGAAGCTTGAGCCCGGAGGCTGAGTCATGCAACCCTTTCTTCCAAATGCATGGCTGTTACTAACATCATGCTTCAGCCAAATCCCCATGGAAAGGAAAAGGCCTCGGGCATCTGGAAGGGCTGCCCCACCAATCATTCATAAGTAAATGCTTTGCTGGCCTCCCATAAACAGGGCATACCAAGTGTAACTTTAGGCCTATAATCTAAGTCCAGATCATAAGAGTAAAGTCTGTTGATTCCACACTGATACTGTTGATTACAAGCTTATTTTTCCAGGTGCAGAGAAAAGACAGGATGTGATCAGTCATTCCTCCACCTACCCAGAGACATCTGCATAATCACCTCTTTCTTTATCCCCTTTTTCTCTTCAGACATTCACCTTATGTAAAATTCACTGGGCAGTAACTAAAGTCTCAGAGGAGTGTTTTACTGCCTACCTGCCTCTCTTCTTACATTCCTTTCCCCCGTTTAAGGAAATGTACAAATAAATACTAACTCTCCTGAAAACCTCTTCAGAGAAACAGCCACAGATGTGTCTGTAGCTCTTGTTTTTCCCAGACGCACCCTAAAGCAGGTGTCTTCATAAACCTCGATAATTGAGACTTACGTCTCAGTCACTTATTTTGGTTGTCACAGTCAATGGAGAAAAGACCAAGCAGAGTTTCTGCATTTTCTCCTGGCTAGACTCAGGCGATTGCAGCCTCCAGACACAGATGTTAGGCTTACGGTGCCATGTGCAGATTTTCATCTCCCAGGAATGATCATTTCCCCGATGTTGGTGCAGAGATGTGCATTTCTATTTCCCGTTCTCTGCAGTCCCATGGGGGTGCCGACACAGGATGCAGCCTGCAATTAGGCAGAAGAACACAAGCCCTCTTTGCCCCTTTCCTTCAAGCTGTCTGGCTAGCCTTTCTATTGAGCACTCAGAAAAAGCTCTGATTTTTTTTTTTTCATTTTGGATCATCCTGCTCTGTTGAGCTCATTTAACAACTTTATCTGACTCTTTTATAGAAGGTGAATGAGATTGGATACTTACGCAACTGTAATAGCCTTGAATCAAGTTTTTTTTTTTTAATTTACACTTGAAAAGATGTACAGACATTCCTGGCAGTTCTATAGAAGCTTTCCATTGTATGAGTTGTGCAATTACAACAGGAGATGATTTGAGACGGAACCCAAAGACAGCAGTAAAGAAAGACCTTATGTCTGAAAAAACAAGAAGAAAAGAGGTATTGGGTAATTTAAACACAAGAAGCTTCAGTTCCATATTTATATGGTGTAACAAAAAGCTTAGACACATTGAAATGGAATAAAGTAGGCCAACTACTGCCCTTAGGTATGCGTGCTCTGCTGCCGTTAACTTTCTAGAAATCCTGTTTTCTTCACTCAGGCAAATGCAAGGTGAATTGCTTGGGTCTGAACTGGAGCACACTGGCAGAGAGTCAGCAACCAGACCCTGGTGCTTGACCTAGATGGCTTCTCAGTCATCATCACGCTCAGCAGCTGTGGCAATCTCAGTCCAGCGTGGTCCCTCACCCCTCAACGGGACCAAAACAACTGAACTGAAACAGACCCGACACTTGGCGCTGTCATACTCATAGGCTTGGAAATTCCTTATCGTCAGCTCCTGCCTTGGTCCCTCCACCTCCTGCAGCTCCTCGCAGCTGGGTGCAACCGCAGGCTAACCTTCCTCCCTCCTTGCTGTCTGAGTCAGACCTGGGTGTGGATGAAAACACATCAGCAGCCTAAACCTCAGTATCAATTTAGGCCCTGCAGAGCTTCAACTGGATTGCCTGCAAATGAAATTTAACACACAAGTGACAGGGAGAGTCACTTAAGTTCTCATCCCATAGATTTTGCCTGTTCTCCTAACCCAACTCTCTGGTCCTAGATTTGCATGTTTAAATTTAAAGGCCTGCATGCCTGCACTCCTGGCTCCTTGCTGAAGCTCTGAAGCTGGAGGCTCTCTCTAGAGCCCCACCCACTAGGAGATACAACATTCCCGCACACCTCCCAGGTTGGACTCTGGGTCGCAGGTATCTTTAATCCAGGCTTTGCTTATGGGCTGGACCTCCCAGAGCTGGCAACAACTTCATCATCACTCCCGCTGCCCACTGCAAGGGCAGCCTCCAAGCCATGGGCCCCCATCCCTGCCATCTCAGGCCTCTGCCTACCTTCTACTGGCCTTGTCAACATCAACAGGGGCTTGGCGATGACTGTACCTGGATGACAGGATTTACCCTAGGACCTCCGGGCGACCCGGATGAATGCAACCTTGGGAATGGCAAAGCCAGGCTTTGTAAATTTTGGCATCAAGTTAAGGGTGACCACTAGAAAACAATCTCAAGTGAAAGGGTGTTTTCTGGTCCACTGGTGGACCCAGCCTCGGGCTGCCTGGCTCAATTTTAGCAAGAATCCCACTAAGGCAGATTAGAGAGAATCCCCATGCCCTTGATATCTGATCAAGTTCCTCATCTCCCACCCTTGATGCCTAAGTCCTTGGTCCACCTTTAGCAAGAATCCCTGCTGTTGAGGTCTCCTCTTAGTAATTTGCCACCCACTGACCCCTCCCTCTTCTCCTTGGCCATCAGTCTTTAGCTGGCTTCGCTGTATCTCGAGGTAAGCTCAGTTTAACGGAAGCCTCTCTCCCTACTGCCATGACACCAAGTGAAATTTGTCTTTACTGCCTTTAACTAGCATGCAGCTCTACTCCTCTCCAACAGTAGCTATCTCACCCTTTCTGCCTTCAGAGTCTCTCTGCCGGGACAGAGGCAGCCTGGGGGACAGGCCAGGGAAGAGGAAGAGGCAGCACCCCTTCCAGCCCCAGTTGCTTCCTCCCAGGAGGCTGACCTTTCTTGTTCTGAATCTGCTTCTCCTTGGAGACAGAATTCCATGTTCCTGATAACAGCCTGGTGCCCACTCCTACTCCCAGTAGTTCCCATACGCCTTTGCCAATCCCTCTGGTCTCTGGCCTGTACTAACTATTCGATGAAGCTGAAGCTCAAATTGTAATTATTCATTGCCTCCTACTGAGTACAATTATATTTTCCTCTTCCCTAATTAAACTGTATCTTATACTTCTGTAGTTTTAGTTTTCAGAAAAAAAGTCTAAAATAGTCTCATTAAGGGACTTATACTTGGTCACCAATTGATTTTATTTTTGTTACAGTGGCTCGATGTCCCTAGATTTTTAAAAAATGGAGTCTCAAGAAGGATGAAAAATAAAATTGTTTTAGAAGCTACAAAAAGAAAGTAACCTGATTCCTAATCTTTGCAAGAGAACCAGCTAAGCCTGTCATTATATTAAAAAATAATACTGTATTTTAAAGGTATCTGTAATCCTAATGCTTAAAATATATAGCATATTAATGGAAGAGAACAAATGTTTCTCCTTTAGCATATATTATGGTAAACCCTATTCACTTTCAATGCAGGATATGAGTGGAATGCAGACGACCATCAAAAAGTATTTAAAAGGTACAAATAAGAAAAGAAGGCTAAAAAGTGACACAGTCCATGAGGATGGCCAAGTTAGCTTACCAATGTCGGGATGGTCCACATTAGGAAGAATTAACATGCTTTATTACCGGCAGAAGTTGAAAACCTGACATGGAACAGGAAAAAGAATTAAGGAATTCAGAAACAACATAAGGAGAAGAAAAGTATAAAAATAATAAAATTCCATGCTGGGTGTGGTGGCTCACACCTGTAATCCCAGCACTTTGGGAGACCGAGGCAGGCAGATCACCTGAGGTAGAGAGTTCAAGACCAGCCTGGCCAACATGGTGAAATCCCCTCTCTACTAAAAATACAAAAATTAGCCGGGCATGGTAACACACACATGTAATCCCAGCTACTGCTTGGGAGGCTGAACAGAGTGAGACTCTGTCTCTAAATAAATAAGTAAATAAATAATAATGAAATTCCTGTTCCAAATGCATTACCAGGAGAATTTTACTGAAAAGAGAAATTCAAGAGATTCCAAACACCAAATTGCTTAGCACACATAAAAATAAAAGTAGTAACATTTTATATTACAACTGTAGTCTACACAATATGCACAATATGGAAAGTATTTATTCAAGAGAAGGATACTTTAGAACATGGTCATAACAACTGTTTAGTTTTACTTTTATAACAGGTTGAATAAAATATTAACAAAGAGTCAAGCACATAGGTGTAAAAACAATAGTTTATGAAACACACACCAAGAGCCTGTGAATTTATATACAAACGCATATAATACAACTGACTAAAACAGCATTCTCTATGCTTTAATAACATGCAGAGCTGGTTTGAAACGTAATTTGTAACTGTGCAGAACTCACGGCTTTTTTTTTTTTTTTTTTTTTGCAGCTGAGACAGCGTCAGGCTTTGTAAGATTTTCTAACTGAATAGTTAAGATTCACCCACAAAAGCATTTACTAAGCACAAGTGATACACCAGTTTCTACAGTTATTCTAAAGAACTGGAAATCATAGTTTCTCCCCTCCTGGAGTTTACAGTGTAATAGCACGGTCATCATCATAGAAGGACATCAGAAGTGAAATAACCACTTGGTTTACGTAGGGCCGTAAAGGAGCAGGGCTGTGGTGGTTTGACAGCAGTGGGTGGGTGCTGAAAGGTAATTCTGCCCACAGGACAGGTCAGTAGGAATTTCTGTTAAGGGGTCAGTGAGGGAACGAGTGTGGAACAGCAGTGCAGGGATTCAGTTGGAGGAGGAAATGAACTGTGTGCATTGTGTAGATGTGTGCACATGCCCTCTGTCTGTCTTCTTCAGGGTTGTGCTCCTGGGTGGAGGCTGAGCTGACTCCAGATTGAGACAGCAGAGTAGAATGAGATAAGGGGGACTGGGAAAGGGGAGATAATATTTTTTAGTGGACTGTCAAAAGATTTCATGACCCCAGTGTTTCAATAGGCCAAAAGGATGGGCACTCTACGTACCCAGGTGAAAAGTAGAAAAGGAGTCTAACTGTAAAATTAAAACAGAAGGAGGAGGCCAATAACAATAATAATTTGGAAGCTAAACCAACATCCTTCAAAGCAGCAGGTCCTTCAATCTGGGCTAGAATTTGGGAGACAAAAACAAAACGCATTAATCTTGTTCTATAGGTCCATCCAGTCAAACGTTGTTGAATAGAGCAAGGAGGTTGAGGTAGAGCAAAGACCTGGGCCATCCCAGAAAGGAGCAAGGGAACCTCCAGTAAACAGTTGGGTGGTTCAGTAAAGTACCAGTGCCAAGCTATGACCCTGTAGATGGAGGCAGGCAGCCAGGTGCAACAGGCCGACGCAGCTCCAGAAATCCTAATGGCGCAGGGAGTCATGCCTTTCTACCTGAACACAGTGGCTGGGGTCATTGGCATTGGATGGTATCACACCTGAAAACAAAAATGGAGGATAGGACTTCTGGAGAAACAAACACAGCACACAGGAAGGCAAGGGGAGATTGGGATCATCAGGAAACCAATTCTGGAACAAGCATTTTGCTAAACCCAGGTCAGAAAACAAGCTGTCAGTTGGAAGGGGTTGAAGAATGTCACTGTGACACATGCCTGAGGTTGGATCTGGGTCCTGCCATTGGCCGGGGTTAAATTTCTGCAAGTTACATAACTTCCGAGCTTCCATTTCCTTGGCTATAAAGCTTTATAAGCCTGGGAAATTATTATACCCCATTTATATAGAGGCTAATAATTCTGCCCATAGTGTTATTGTGAGAATTAAATGCCTGTTTGCACAACACCTAGCCTATAATGAATGTTCTATAAATTCAGTTCTTAAAGAAACTATGGCATAGGAAGAGAATCAGATCATCAGCAGGAAAGAAAATGCCCAGGAACTCAGAATCCATTCCAACTCACCCAGGTAACGTCCACCTCCCAGGCTTGGTGCTGGCCTCCCCTGCACAGCCAGCACGCTCCCCTCCTGCAGGGACAGCTACAAAATTTGTGAGGCTCAATGCAAAATGAAATCACAAGGCTCCTTATTTAAAAGTATTTTCAATTTTAAGATGACAGAGAAGCAAGTCCAGATATTTGAATAGAGTTAAAATAAATGGACTAAACCCAACAGTGAAAATTAAAGATCACCAGATTAGATTTTTTAAAAAATCCAATTGTATGCTATATGTAAGAGATACATTTGCACTTACAGGCACAAAGAGCATTAAAGTAAAAAAGAAAAAAAAAGAAAAGTACATTTGGCAAATGCTAATCAAAAGAAAACTGAGATCACTGTATTAATATCAGTTAAAAAACTTTAAGGCACAAAGAATTTTAATCATAGAGAGTCACTAAAAAATGATTTCTAAAAATAATTCAATAATAGAATTTAACAATTTTAAACCTCTGGGAAGTCTGTCAACAGTTACTAAATACCTGAATTAAATATTGACAGATATATAGGGAGAAAATGAACAATGTATCATCCTAGTGTGATCTTTCAACACCTTCTCAATTACGGTATGTCAAACAGGAAAAATTATCAAAGCTATAGAAGTTTTGAGCCACATCATCAGCATGATTTAATGGACATATATAGAATTCTGCATCCAACAATTGTGGAATCACATTGGTCTCAGAAACACACACGAGACATTTACCAAAATTGGCCATGTTGGAAAATGTAAGACAAGTCTCAACGATTTCAAATAATTTGTATCCTACAGATTATATTGTGTGACTATGATGGAATTAAGTTAGAGATCAGTAAGAGAAAGGAAAGTGAAAGTCCTCTACCTATTTGAAAATAAAAGACCCACTTTTAAATTATTCATAAGACAAAGAAGAAATTGAAATGGAAATTTAGAAATATTTAATGATAATGAAAATACTACATTAAAACTTGTGAGATGCAAATAAACTAACACTTACAGGGACTATTTTAGCCTTACACTCTTTTATTTAAAAGAAGAAACTCTAAATATTAATGAGTTAAGCATACAGCTTAAAAAGTTAGAAAGTGAATCATTGCATAGACCCAAATAAAGTAAATGTAAGGAGATAATAAAGGGGACTGGAAATCAATTAAATAAATATTCAGTAGAGAAATAGAACCAAAACTTGGCACTTTGAAAAGGTTAATGCAATAGACAAATGTCTAGTAAAATTGATCAGGAGAATAAAAGGGCAAAATAAGCAATACTAGGAATGGAAGTAGACGTGACTGCAGATAAAGCAAAAGTGAAAATATGACACGAATAACGTTTTGCTAGTCAATCTGAAAACTTAAACAAAATGAAGACATTCTAGAAAATATAACTTAGCAAAACTGAATCTACAGAAAATTGTGAATAACATTAGAACTAGCAAATATTTTGAGGCATCAGTTAAAAATCTTCCTACAGAGAAAAATACCAAGCTGTCATGGTTTTATAGGACACTTATACCAAAGTTTTAACCTTATACAAATTCTCCCAGTGCATAGGAAGGAAAAATATTCCAAACCTTTCTATGAGATCAGTATGCCTCGATACTCAAGCCAAACAAAAATAGCACATGAAAGAAAAGCAAACAACAAAAGGAAAAAAATATTACAGGTCAGACTCACTCCTGAACACTGTTTCAATATCCTTTAAATAAAATATTGGCAAACTGAATCCAACAGTGTATATAAAAAATGGTAATCCCAGTGTCTACATTGCACTTATTGCAGGAATAGAAATAGGATTTAATATTAGAAAGTCTATACACGTTATTCTCAGCATTAACAGGTTAAAGGACAAAAGCCCAACGATTTTCTCAATAAATTGTAGAAACCACTCTGTTTTCTCATAAGAGCTATGCAAAGAAATTCACCTTTTTAAATACATATTTTTAAGGTTCTGTTAGATTTAAAATATAAACAACTGCTGTGGGAATAGGGGTAAGGATCATTTGCACTCCTTTTGTGTTGATGTTATCGATTTACAAGATTTTAATAAAAGCAATGCCTAGTGCAAAGAAGATAATTAATACTAATTGATTCCCTGTCTTGGAGATACACGTGCTCTGTGTATGGGTGCTGGAGAGCCCAGGGCCAAGCCTGAAGTGGTCCATGCAGTCCTGTACCCCTGCACCCATCCCTTCCCTGCACCCACCCAGTCACTGAGTCCCTGGCACCTGCACCCCATTGCCCTGTGCATATTCTCATGTCCTGCACTCTCTGCATATCAGCCCTGCCTCTGACAGCATGACCCTTGGCACCTGCCAGTAGCTGAAATAAATGAAATCTCAGCTCCCTATACAGTTTCTTCTGCCTCTCTTGCATCCATAATGAGGATGGTCACCAAGCAACCAAAGGCCCTCAGCTGTGCCTTTCTGTCCCAGGACGGATGGGGGAAACCCTACCTCCCTGGCTCCAGGGTATCACTTCAGAGAGTCTCCCAGCCCTCCTGAATCACAGAATTGGTTTCTCTGCAGAACTACCCACAATGGAATGTCACCAGCCACAGCCTATGTACAGTTTATTGGATAAGACCACAACCAGGGCAGAAATAATCAATATCTACTTATTGTTAGGCTGATAGATAAAATTAAGGGTAATGACTAAGAGAATAGAAAGGCATAGCTACAATAATACTATGATAATACTACCAAAGAATAGAAAGGCATAGCTACAATAATACTAACAAAAAAGCATTACCCATCAAGCACAATGGTTTTTCTTGCCAAGAAGGCTGGGAAATGATAGTTCAGCAAGATTGCTATATAAAATATAAACATATAAAAATCAGTTGCATTTTTGCTTTTGCCAGTAATAACCAATTACAAAATGAAATAGAGAAATTACATTCACAACTACTAAAACCATAGCATGTCTATGACATAATCTAGCTGATAGCGTGCCAGGCTTCCCTGGGTTCGGGAGAGGCTGCCTTCCCAACAACACTGTGATTCAGAGGCACTGGCAGGATCTCAGATCTCTCAAGTATTTCTGGAATTGGTGACGGGATATTACATGTGTTCAGAACTCAGACAGGACAGCAAGACTAAGCCACTCCATGCCTGCTCAGGGTTTTGCTTTTGCTTTTGTTTTCTTCCTTAGCTTCATGTTGAGCTTCAGTCTTTTTCTTCTGGTCACCTGCACAGAGCTCTTCTGCTCCTATCTTCTCCTCTGACGTTCTTGAAGCTTCTGGGTCAAAGCTACAGGGTGTCTTCTACAGGGAATGGGAGGGAAATTGTTTCTTTTAGCATTCTCCTCAGCTAGCTAGCAATATCAAGACAAGCAATAAAGAGACTTTTTTTTTTTTTGTAGAGCTGCCCTTTTCACTGGTGGAACAGAAGAGCATTTTACACTGTCAAACAGAATACACAATATTAGCACCTGAATATCCAAAATGAAACTCAAGTGTAAAATTGCCCTTTCTAATGAAGGAGTCATCAGTTTATGAAATGACAGCGGGACTCCTTTGCAAACATTTATTTTGAGATCTCTAAATAGAGCAAGATATTAAAAGCCAAATATTCCAAACTGCTCTTGTTCAAGTATTATTCAAGTTCAATAAAGAATTACGGTGAAACAAAAAGTTAGTTACAATAAGAAGGAACACGACTCTCTAGGGTTTGGTTTGGTTTTGTTTTTCCTCATTTTCATTTCATCGGCATGAGTCTAAAATACCAGACTTTCTGCTTCAAAGTAGAGGTACCTGATAATGCAGTCGGATGATTTTATTTTTACTTTCATCATCAGCCATGTCCTCCACAGGGTTCAAACGAAGCGAATTGGTTTTAGCTGCATCAGAAGAAAAAAATCAGGTGACAGATTCTGATGCAGGACAGGTAAGCCCCCACACTGAGGCATAGCCCAGGAAGGTTCTTGGCTTCACCAGGGAAAGGAATTCAAGGGTGAGCCGGTGACATTAGACAGCAATCTTATTGAATGGCACTGCTCCTCGCACAGCAGGGCTAACACATAGTCACTATTCCCACAGTCAGCAGTGTATGGGCTCTTGGCAACTGTATTTATACCCACTTATACCCATTTTCAACTACATGCAATTTAAGGGTGGGGTTATTGCAAATTGAGGGGTGGGTTATTTAGAATTAGCTAGGAAAAGAACAGTAACTTCCTGGTCGTTGCCATGGCACCTGTAAACTGTCATGGTGCTGATATGAGTGTCCTATGCTAATGAACAATGAGGGCTACTAGGGATAGCTTTCATTGCTACCTGCTTATTTCTGCTGGTTTTTTCACTTTATCCCATAGGGACCAGGAAATTAGTCTTACCAGTCTCTTACCTCAACACCAGAGTTCTCAAAATGATCTAACCTCTGTGACTATAGTGCCCTGGCATTGGGTTGAGCCAATTAGATTAATCTGGAAGTGTTAGATTAACTCTCTTTTCTCTTGGGAAGAGCTCCCACTCACAGGCTCCTCAGGTCCTCCTGCAAATGGCCTCTTTACAAGTTCTCAGGGGAGGATGAAATATCTTCACCGTAAATTTTGTCAGCCCTCTTCTGAGCCAGTGTTGTCAGAAACCCAGGTAGGCTGATCAGATGGCCATGATCTTAGATGCCATCAAAATCCACTAAGAAGAGCATGGCAGCATGATCTATTTTTATTCTATCCTTGCTGTCTCTTGAGTCTTCTAACTAAAATAAATACTTTTAGAGGCTGTAATACTAGGTTCTGTATAACATTTACTGGCAATGCAAACATAAATAAGACACAGGAATTTGTCTCATATTCATCATATAGAAAAAATAAGATGCCTAGATTGCAATACTATGTTACAACAGAGGCATGTTCCAGAAACACGAGGGCCCTGCAACAAAGGGCTTTGGCTACGTGAGAGACCTGCGGGGCACTCAGGAAAGATAAGTAGTTGGGAAAAGAGAGAATGATCTTCTAGGCGGGGTGTCCACACATTCATTCACTCAGTTAGTCATCATCCCTTCAAAACACGTATTAAGAGCCAGGCACTGTTCTGGGTACTGGGAATGAGGGTGTGTGGACAGGAAAGGGCTAGGGCTTTGGCTCCTAGACCGATGCCTCATAGGTGTTTCCACCTCACAGTATCTTCTGCTGATCTATTGGTTCTTCCACAAGGATAGAAACCCTCCAAAGGACACAGTAGCCAACTTAAAGGGGGTCTTGCTGGCCAACCCTGGGACATTTCGTCAAAATAAATACTACTAGTTACAGATTGTAGCCCTTTGGATAAAATAGAAATCCATCAGTCTATAGCTTCTAGGCAGATGGAATAGCAATGCAAAACCAAAGACTAGAATGAGTTTGATGTGTCTGAGAAAAACTTAGAGAAAAAAGTACTATATCTGACGAAAAAAGCAAAGGTCAGGATCACCAATATATCAAGACTTCACCCAGGTCTCTAGAAAGAAAGCAGGATAATCCCCCCAAAATATAAATAAAAATAGGTCATCACAGAGGAGAAAATAAAACAGGAAGATGAAACATAAAAGGATGTTCAGTAAAAATAGTAACAGAAACAATCAAATCAAAGCAAATTTTTACAAACAAATTAGCATTTGGGGTTCTATTTTAATTAAATAGTTATTTTGACATCAGAAGCTTTTTAGATAATTTCAACTTTTTAGAGGCTGAAAGGTACATATGCAGGTTTTTTGAGGTTGAAAGGTACATATGAAAGGTACATATGCAGGTTTGTTACAGGAGTACATTGCATGATGTTGAGGTTTGGGGTATGGATCCTATCACCCAGGTGGTGAACAAAGTACCCAATAGGTAGTTCAACCCACAACCCCTTCCATCTCTCCCACCTCTAGCATTTTCCAGGGTCTCTTTTTTCCACCATTATATCCATGAGCACTCAATGTTCAGCTCCCACATATAAGTGAGAATGTGTGGTATTTGGTTTTCTGTTCCTGCATTAATTCACTTAGGATTCTGTCTTCCAGCTACATCCATGTTGCTGCAAGGGACGTGTTTTCATTTTTTTATGGTTGCATAGTATTCCATGGTGTATATGTACCAATTTTCTTTATCCAATCCACCATTCATAGACACCTAGGTTGACTCCATGTCTTTGCTATTGTGATGAACACACAAGTGCATGGGTCTTTTTGGTAGAAAGATTTATCTGAGAAGGAGGGCATATACCCAGTAATGGGATGTGTCCTTTTGGTACAACGATTTATCTGAGGGGGAGGGCATACACCCAGTAATGGGATTGCTGCATTGAATGGTAGTTCTGTTTTTAGAAATCTTTGAGAAATCTTCAAACCGCTTTCCACAGTAGCTGAATTAATTTCCACTCCCACTGACAGTGTATAAGCATTCCTTTTTTCCTGCAGCCTCACCAGCATCTGTTATTATTTGGCTTTTCAATAATAGCCATTCTGACTGGTGCTAGACGCTATCATTGTAGTTTTGATTTGCATTTCCCTGATGATTAGTGGTGACGAGCATTTTTCATACGTTTCTTGGCCACTTGTAAGTCTCCTTTTGAGAACATGAAAACCTAAAAAAACCAATAACAAGTCCTGAAATGGAATCAGTAATAATAAATTAAAAAACCCTACCAAATAAGAAAAGCCCTGAACCAGAAGAATTCACAGCTGAATTCTAGCAATGTACTGAAACTATTCCAAAAACTCAAGGAGGAGGGGTTCCTCCCTAAATCATTCTATGAAGCCAGCATCAGCCTGATACCAAAGTCTGGCAGAGACACAACAAGAAAAGAAAACTTCAGGCCAATAATCCTGATAAACATAGATGCAAAAATCCTCAACAAAAGACTAACAAACCGAATCCAGCAGTATGTCAAAAAGTTAATACACTATGATCAAGTAGGCTTTATTTCTGGGGGAAAAGCTGGTTTGACATATGCAAAGTAATAAATGTGATTCACCACATAAACAGAATTAAAAGCAAAAAACACATGATCATCTCGATAGATCCAGAAAAATCCAATATTCCTTCATGAGAAAAACCCTCAACAAACTAGGCATCAAAGGAATATATCTCAAAACAATAAGAGCCATCTCGCAAAAACCCACAGCCAATATCATACTGAATAGGCGAAAGCTAGAACCATTGCCCTTGAGAACTGGGACAATAAAAGGATGGCCACTCTCGCCACCTCCTATCAGTGTAGCACTGGAAGTCCTAGGCAGAGCAATCAACCAACAGAAAAAATTAAAGTCAGCCAAATAGAAAAAAAAGAAGTCAAATGATCTGTCTTCACTGATGATATTTTATAAATGGAAGTATTAATATATTAAGAATATATGATGAACTTCCAGATACCTTGTGCTTGAACTGTGCCACATTTGCAGAGAGAAAGAGAGAGGCAGAGGCAAGGGCAGGGAGAAAGGGAATTTACAAATATTATACTATTATTGGCAAGAATTTTAATGAATTGAAAGACAGAACTGTCAAAAGACTGAAAATGCATTGTTAAATACTTTATGAAATATAAATTATTAAAATTGTTTGTCAATTTGGGAATATTTATCAAATTTTCAGATACAAATACACATCCTTCAGCAATTCCACATCTAGGATTCTATCCTAAAACAATGCTCACAAATCATCCCCAATATCAAATGTACCAAGATTTCATTACACTAATGTGCTAACAGCCAAAGTCTGGAGACAACCTGAATGCTCTCCAGGAATCTGCTGGTTAAAATCCACGATGATACCAACATCATCATGAGATACCCCTTCACACTCACTAGAATATTTTTAAAACAATGAAAGATAATATGTGTTAGCAAAGATGGGGAGAAATTGGCCAGGCATGGTGGCTCACGCCTGTAATCCTAGCACTTTGGAAGGCCAAGGCAGGTGGATACCCTGAGGTCAGGAATTTGAGACCAGCCTGGCCAACATGGCAAACCGCATCTCTACTAAAAATACAAAAATTAGCCGGATGCAGTAGCAGGCACCTATAATCCCAGCTACTTGGGAGGCTGAGGCAGGAGAATCGCTTGAACCTGGGAGGCGGAGGTTTCAGTGAGCTGAGATTGCAGCATTGCACTCCAGCCTGGGTGACAGAGCAAGACTCTGTCTCAAAAGAAGAATAAAAGAAAAAAAAAAAAAAGAAGGAGAAATCGGAACCCTCAGACATTTCTGGTAGGATGGTAAAACAGTGCATATAGAGTTGGCAAGTGATCCAGTAATCCCACCCCTAGGCATATACCCCTAAAGAAGTGAAAACAAGTACTCAAACAAATACTGCTACCCAAATGTTCATAGCAACATGATGCACCGTAGCTCAAAGGTGAAGATAACCTAAATGTGCATCAGCTGATGAATGGATCAACACAAAGTGGTATATCCTTTATGTCATAATACATTTTGCCTCCCTCGAAGACACTCCTATGTTAAAGTCCTACTCCCCAGTACCTTGGCATGTGACCTTATGTGGAAATAGGGTATTTGCAGATGTCATTAATTAAATGAGATCATGCCAGAGGAGCATGAGTTTCTAATGCAATATGACTGGCGCTCTTACAACAAGAGAAACCTGGAGACAGACGCACACACAGGGAGAGCGTCGTGTGGAGACCCACCTTGTGCTGCCACAGGCCGCTTCCAGCAGACCCCGAAGCTGGAGGGAGGCTTGGGATGGAATCCTCAGAAGAAACCCACCCTGCTGGCACCTTGATATGGGGCTTCTGGCCTCCAGAACCATGAGTCAATAGATTTCTGTTGTCTAAGACACCAGTTTCTGGCAGCTCCAGAAAACACGCAAAATACACGTACAACAGACCAGTATCCCGTCATAAGGCAAATGAAGTACTGATACATGCAACGGTAATGACCTCGAAAACATCAGCACTCTCCAGCTTTTTTGGCACCCGGGACTGGTTTCGTGGAAGACAATGTTTCCGTGGGCTGGGGTGCGAGGTGTGCTGTAGGGATAAAACTGTTCTACCTCAGATCATCAGGCATTAGTTAGATTCTCATAAGGAACACACAACCCAGATCCCTCACATGCACAGTTCGCGCTCCCAGGAGAACCTAAGGCTGCGGCTGAGCTGATGGGAGGGCGGAGCTCAGGCTCTAATGCTGGCTCACCACTGCCCACATCCTGCTGTGCGGCCGGGTTTCTAAACGGCCTCAGACCGGTACCATTGGCGGCCCAGGGGTTGTGGACCCCTGTAAACATTATGCTGAGTGAAAGAAGCCAGACACAAAAGGTCACGTATATTATGATTCCATTTGTATGAAAGAAATATCCAGAGGAGGCTAATCCTTAGAGAACGAAAACAGATTGGTGGTGGCTATAGCTACGGGGAATGGGAAGTAACTATTTAATGGATGTGAGACTTTCTATCGGGAGAGTGTGAAAGACACTACGATGAAATCACTTTTCTCACATCCAGGCAAAATCAGGCCAGGAAGGCAGGAGGGAGGGGCTCACGCTTGCGTGTCTGGGATCAGAACTGTTTCCAAGCACGTTCTAATACACCACAAGAAAGCATCTCGCGTCCTTCACACATCTCCTGCGGTGTATGGCTTGCACGTTTTACACACATAGACATATTATCACTAGACATTCTTGAGGACTGCAGTCACTCAGATAAGATGCTCTCAAAAGAACACGTGCCCAGGAAGGGCAACTCCACCCATGAACCAAAAGTGACTCTGGCTTTGGGCCTCCGGAATGAACTGTGTTCCAAAGCAGCTTGGCAGAACTTTTCCTTTTTGCCAATAAAAGCTCCCCTTTCTGGATCACGAGGTCAGGAGATCAAGACCATCCTGGCTAACACGATGAAACCCCATCTCTACTAAAAAAATAGAAAAAATTAGCCAGGCGTGGTGGTGAGCACCTTTAGTCCCAGCACTTTGGGAGGCCGAGGCGGGTGGATCACGAGGTCAGGAGATCGAGACCATCCTGGCTAACACGGTGAAACCCCGTCTCTACTAAAAATAGAAAAAATTAGCTGGGCATGGTAGCGGGCGCCTGTAGTCCCAGCTACTCAGGAGGCTGAGGCAGGAGAATGGCGTGAACCCGGGAGGCGGAGCTTGCAGTGAGCCGAGATAGCGCCACTGCACTCCATCCTGGGCAACACAGCCAGACTCTGTCTCAAAAAATAAATTAAAAAAAAAAAAATCTCCTCTTTCCCTTTCTGCCACTAGCGCACTTGTCACTTGCCACTATGTGCATCCTGAATTATGAACCTCTTTCCTCATTCCCAGATAAATTCCACATATTTGGAGACATTTCTTTCTAATATCTTTTTTGTTATATTGATAGGGGATGAAAATGTGTTGAAACTAGGCAGAGGGGTGGGTGATGCAATATTGTGAAGGTACTAAATACCGCTGAATTGTTCACTTTAAAATGGCTAATTTTGTGTTATGTGAATTCAATCTAAAAAAAAAAAAAGACTCACATTATAAGAGCCTCCCAATTTCCTAAAGTAGTGGCCAGTTAGATAAGAGAATGGAATGTCTGGATGTATACATATGGAGAATACACAGCCTGCTTTCAAGATCAGCTTAAACCAACTGCATGGTGTGATACCGTTTATAAAGGATGCATGTTTGTGTGTGCGTGCGTACATGTACACATATTTACTTAAAACATCTATATATGAGCAAACACACCAGACTTTTAAGAAGTCGTTACCTTGGAAAATGGCCAACAGGAATATTAGAGGAATACAGAGGGGACTTCCCCATTTTATCTGTTTGATGTCTGTGATGTTTTTTACATCATATTTTATTGTGGTTTTAAAACTAATTTTAAAAATTAAAAACTCAAAATCCAAAACCTAAACAGCAGCATTTGACATTAAAAATGTAATTCACCTATAGTATACATAAAAACATGTATAATTTTCGGTAAATATTGCTTACCATGTGGAATGGGCCTAATTCTCTTGCTCCCCCTTGTCTGTCAGTAGCAAATAGAGAACATTCTCAGCATTGAGAACAGTTCCTCCTCCGTATACCACAACTACCATGTGACCTTCTATTGCATGCCAGGAATGTATCTGTGTTTATTTGCATCACTCTCGCCCTAGGCATTTAGATACCTGAGGGCAGCATCCATTCCTTATTCACGGTTGTATTTTCAGGTTTGGTACAGAGCCTGATATCTATCACAAGCCCGGCAGCATACACAAAATAAACAGGCAAATGCATAAGTAAGTGGATAACATTTCTTAAAAGTGAACAGTATAGAGTTAGAGTTGACCAGCTGTGACTCTCCAGTTTAATATGCTTACAATACAATATGCCAATTTCTAAATTGCTACCAAACGGAGTAAATTTATATGTTATAGTATTTTTAAGAGTCACAGCTGTCATTCTAAATAAAACTGGAACCTGTAAGTATTGTCCATAGAACTTTGTAGCAGAACTTGATTACTCCTGCAGGAGAGGCTTTTAAAAGAATCTTGAGTCAGCACCCCCTATCATCCTATTATTCAAAATATGCCTTTTATTATTGCTTTGGTAAACAAATGAACAGCACATAAACAAGCATCTGAAAAGTCGAGGTCTGCATTTACCACTGGCCACAGCAGAGCTGGTGCCTGACAACTCTTGCCTGCAGCGGCCAAGTCCTTATCCTCACTGCGGTGGCTTCTTCGTGATGCCCCAGGAAAGCTCTGCCCCTAGAGATTAGAGGCTGCCAGGCACTCTGGAGCCCTGTCTGAGAGAAGGAATGTGATGTGAACTGCTCCTTTCATTTGGCCCTTTTTCTCTCCAGCAGCCAACAACGTGAGCCATACTCTAGGGCTGACAAAGAAGCCACAGTGAAGCACTTCTGTTTCCCAGAGTTCATTGTCCAACAGAAATAAAGCTCTTAATCTCTGCCGAACCAGGTGATGCCAAGGGAGGTGACTATTAGGACCTCTGGCCAAATTCAGCAGTAGAGGCCGCCAGTCACAGCTGGGGCACCAGGGGTTTTCATGGAGCCCTCCTCTGGCTTGGCAATGGCCTGGGTACTGAATGCATCCTTGTGCCACATTCAGTATTGGGTTTATCGTTCTCATTTTACAGACGGAGAGACGGAGCCTAACAGAGTCCATGTAACTTTCCCAAAGTCATCTATGTAATCAGCAGTCCATGGAACTGAAACCCTGAGCCCAAGAGCTCTGAACACCATGTATTATCTTCCTGCTACTTGGTGTTGAGCCCAATAGGGTGCCAGATACCTTTTCACGAACTGTTGTTTGCTGGGAACCACTCTAGCTCTTTCTAGAACTTTCTGGTCTGCCATAATTGCTTTCTGTGTGAATAATAATACTAATCATGGCTTATCGATCCCTCCCTACGTGTGTGACCCATTGTGAGGTGGGAAGCATTAATGATAGGGGGTGGAGCAATCTATAATGAAGAAAGAGAGAAACAATATTCAGTTAATGAGTAGAAATGAAAGAAGTTAATAAACTAGGACTAAACTGCTTAAGTCAGCTAGATCTTGAGATGAGAGACAAAAACGGGGAGAAAAGACTCATTTACGAACAAGACTGAGTGTGGACACGAAGATAGCAGGAGTGTAATTAAATGGAAATAAAGGTCTGAGATAAAGCTGACCTCTGCATTTTCCACTCCCAAAAGTCCCATCAGCGGGACTTGGGGCAGAGTGGCTGTAATGAGATATCACACACACAGCATGGAGGGAAGCGGTGATGGTGGGCAGGCCGTGCGTGGTGTCATTGACTCTGCCCAGACAAGGTCAAGGAGGCACTCTAGAGCCCTTTGCACCCAAGATAATGAGTGATGGCAGAACAAGGAAACACGAAGCTTCTGTGTGCTGGGAGAGCCCTGGGTACTGCAACCTCGGGCTTATTCTGCTGAGGCTGCTCCATGCCTGGCCTGAGTTTTGAGCCCTGCAAATCATCAGCACCTACCGTGCCCCACCCTGCTGCGCAGGTCTCTCAGGTCAGGAGCCCTGGACTTGAAGGAGAGGCTACTCATGTTCTGGGGGCTTTGAAAGAGCAATAGCCCTAGTGAGCCACTGCCTGGCCACCACTCAGCTCAGAGGGCCTGGGTGGGAAAGTAGGGCATCTCCAGGCGTGTGACCTCAGACTACAATGTCATTACACCCTTTACAGATGAGGAAGCCCAGGGAGGTTAACTCCACCCATGTCACAAGAAAGGAAATGGCAGCGCCAGGAACCACAGTTTGTGCTCTTAATACCCAGGTGGTAATAGTAACAGCAACAACAACAGGCAATATCACCATGGCTTACTCCGTGCCAGGCACTGTTCTGAGTACCCTCCCGTGTTACCGCACTTCACAGCAAGCGTCTGCAGTGAGCCTTGTGGTTATTAGCACTCACAACCATGTCATAGACCCGAGACCTGAGGCATAGAGGAATTGGCCTGCCTGGGGTCCACACAGGTAGTGGTCAAGCCAGCATCTGAGCCCCAGAAGGGTGACTCCAGAACCCATGCCCTTGACCACCATGCCTGCTGCGCCTCATCGGCGAGGCAGAAAAGTGGCTGTTACAAGGCATTTCCTTGGCTTTTGTTGTTCAGATAGGGTTCCTGACCCACTAAACCCTTCCATCCACACATAAGGGTCTTCAGAGAGTGAAGCTCATCTCCACCCAGCAGGAGAAACAGAGGCTCAGGAACATGAAATTGTTTGAGCAAGATCACCTCACCAGTCTGCCAGCAGCACTGGGCCTTAGACCCACACATTCTGATTTCAGATCCTGAGTACTTTCTGTCATCATTTTGTCTAATTTTTAATTTCAGGTGCAATGTGTGTCCCACGTGCCCAAGGGCTGTGGCAGAGACCAGCAGGAGTCCTGGGCCATGTAATTCCTACCTTGAGCCATGCAGAGTCTAATGTAGCACAGAGACTGAGCTTGGCCAAAAGCTAAGTATGCAGTTGCAGAAAGGCACAAGAGAGTCTATCGAGTCCATAAATGGGACACCGAGAGCTGACTGGTTGCGAGGAGGTCAAGAAAAGCTCATCAGAAAGGAATAATCCTTGGCTCAATCCTGGAGGATGAATAGATATTGGCCAGGGAATAAAGAAAGGGAAGTGTATGTCAAATAGAACAATACCCTTACTCAAAAGCATGGATAAGAGAGAACACCGGAGGATGCAGAGAAGGTGATGAGCATGAGTTCAGTAGAAGGATTAGGCTGGGTGAATGAGGGGAGGAAGAAGAGGCATGGTCAGTCCATTCTTAGAGCATTTGTAGAGTATGTTAAGAAATCCGAACTTGATAGGTAGGCTATATTGAAGAATTTCAAAGAATGGTGTAGGGTGGTCTAGGGAAAGTTGGTATGAATAAGAATAAAGACTTCAGGTGAGCTAAGAGGTTGTTGTAACAATGCAGGCAAGTAAGGGACAACTTTGCCAGAACTAAATTGAGAGATGGATGAATTGGAGAGATGTGAAGAAGGTGTGTGCAATGGTTAATTTTACGTTCAACTTGACTGAGCCATGGCTCCCCAGATATTCGTTCAAACTTTGTCCTGCGTGTTTCTGTAAGGGTGTTTTTGGATAAGATTAGCACTTAAATTAATAGAGTCAGGAGGATCATCCTCTATAATATGAGTGGCCCTTATCCAATTAGTCTAAGGTCTGAATAGAATAAAAGTTTGATCCTTTCCCAAGTAGGAGAGAAATCTTCCTGTCTACCAGATTTAGGATTCAAACTGAGACATCAATTCTGCAAACTTTGGACTTGTCAACCTCCATAATCATGTGAGCCAATTCCTTATAATAGATCCTATTGGTCTGATTCCCTGTAAAACCCTGAGAAAACAGTGCAATTGACAGACGGAGATTTGGTTTCTCGTGAGATGGTGGGAAGACGAAGGGAGGGTGGAGGTGGTTCTGATGGTTTGGATACTGTTCAGGCAACTGAGCTGACAGCCAGCTTGGTCGTTCTTTGTGATGGGCAGCTTGAGAAGAGGAGGACATGGGTACCAAGTGAAAGATGATTTCAACTTTGTCAGGAAGCTTGCAACTGCTGAATGTCCTCACATGCTTCCTTTACTTGTAGGGCCCCAGAAATTTGCTAGGTGACTGCAATGATATCAGACAGTATATTTGGTTAAAGCACAAAATTATTTGTTCCATATACAGGCTGTTATTTGGCTCCATGTGGAAAAACACTTTCTCCTGGGCTACCAGATAAACCTATCCACAGTCAATACAAGATAGAAAACAAGAAGCAAGATTTACAGCCTAGGACAAATCTATTTATTCCACAGGGAAATGCCCCTAATCAAAATGACTCAATAAAATGAGTTTCAAAGAGCTGCCCTGAGGCCTTCCTTAGAGAAAAGCTTTGGCACCAGAAGACAGAACCTTCCAGCTCTGCCAGGAAGGCAGGTATCGATGGCTTTGTGAGTCACTTTCTGGCCCACAAAGTCTACCCAGCGAGGTCTTCTGTTACTGCGGGGCAGGCAGCCCTGCCACAGGCATCCTGACCCTTCAGTTTACAATGATCCTTGGGTTCACCTCCTGCCCCTGGCAGAAGGAATCCTCAATACAAAGGAAGCATTTGAAAATCCCCTTGCACCTGTTTGGTCCTCTCGCTCACAACCCTGGCATGATCACGCCACCTGGATTGGGTCAGGACAGAGGTCATTCACAATGGTGCCCTTTGCCTTCCTCTTCCCCCAAAATCTTCAACGTCATTCTCAGCTCCGTTAGCAGGAAAGAAGCCTTCTCTTCCTCTGCTGGTCAACCTCTGTCCTCTCCACACCTCTATTTAGGTATAGCATCTTTGGGATGTTCAGTGAGGAGTACCCTCTTATTCCTTCTCACCACAGGTGCCCATCTGGCCTGTCCCTCAGGGCGACTGCACTTCTGCATAGGACTTACAATAGCAATTGCCTGGGCAGGGCAGAGAGTCAGCTCGGGGGCTACTCCTGTCTGTGCTCCCACCCACTGCAGTTGACACGCTCTCTTATCAAGATAGAAAAGATGTTCTCACTTCATTGGCCCCACATCTCCACTGACTGCCCAGCTCTCAGCCAAAGGCCTGCAAGTCATTATCAACATTTGCTTGGTAACCTTGCCCAGTCTTAAATTAGAGGGCCTGTGGGTATAAACAGCTGTTGGTAGGAATTTGACTGATTATCTTCTTATCTCATAGAGTCAATGAATTATAATCTCACCATCTCTGCACCCTGCTTTCCTTTTTGCCAGGAATGATCTTACAGCAAATTACTCATAATCTGCTTTAATTATTTGTAAAATAGGAGAAATAAATTATAACATGGAGAACACATAGGGAATGATTTCTTCCTCCTTCTAAGAGTTCATTAGATGTTTAGTTTCTGCCTTTTAAGAAAGATTTCCTTATCCAATAAAGATATTAACATAATCTCATTACATTTATTGCTCCCAAGGATAAACTAACAGGGGAAGAAAACCTCTCTAGCAGATGCCCAGTGATAGAAGCTCCTGCCAAGAAAAGAAACATAAATATTTTCATCACTTTTCCAGGGGCAGGAGCCATTCTGAAAGGCGGGTAGCCATTCTCCCCATAGTCAAATATTGGAAGAATTTTTGGTGGCTATTTGTTGACGGTTTTTACTGTGATCTCTCAATTTTCTATAGAGTCTCCTCAAAGCATCTTTAAAAAATCAATCTCTGTGACTAAGACTATAGTTTGTGTTGGCAGGGAGGGGCTGCCTCTCACTTTGTACCTGATTCAAAAAGGAAAGTCTGGTACTCAACCCTAGGAGCTTCTCATCTGTATTCCAAAAGGTCAAAATGTCACATGGCCAGGGAGTTAGGAGACAGCCCTGCATGCCACAATAGAAGCATGGGCTGTCTTTGCACAAACGAGGCAGAGTCCCGTATTCTGTCCCCAGCTGTATCCCCAAAGAGCATTGTGACTTTGAGATACAAAAGATGCCAAGTGACTGACATCATGTCTGCCATCTGGAATCGTGGGGTAACAATATTTGTCACCTACACTCCTCCTGGGGATTTGGGGAGGAATTAACAAGGCAGTGTTTATGTGAGAAGTTTCTTCCATGGCTTAGGACTGTGCTACTTAAAATAGAAGAGCCGAGCACTGCTGCCAAATGTTTGCAGGCGCCCATTCCCCATTCTTGCCCTGTCTGCTCTGTTTTCCAGCCCTAACAGATGAGCCATGGTGCTCATCTCTTGGAACCTAGGGGGAGCTGAGCCCATTTTTATCCATCTTAATGGGAAGCCATTTGCATAAGATCGAGCGTGGTTTGCCTGAAGAAAAACAGTACCAGGATGCAGCAAATAACTCTCCAAAAGGGTTGTGTTCTGGAAAAAGGCTGATTGGGCTTGGTCTTCCCTGTCATGTGCTTGTCCCATGCTCTACACCAAAACTAAGGGCAATAAGAACAGAGAGAAGCAGAAGAGGACTTTAGCCCACACAGTCCCCTCGATGTTCACAGGCGATCATAATAAGCACAAAATCTAGGTAAAAACATTACGCTCACAGCTTCACAAGGTCTCTTATCCTCTCTCCTACCCTTCCACCAAGACAAGCCTCTATTATACAGAAAATCTGGAGGTGCCACAAGGAAAGGAGTTGATTATTAGACTATCCAGCTGTTTGGGAGTTTGCGGGGAGGAAGATATGTCAATGCGGGGAGGAAGTAATTAATATGGTTAATTACTAGAAAACTCCTTCCCTATGGAAAGGGTGACTCCGAGTGGGTCAGGAGGCTGGGATAGCAGAGCGGGAATGAGTGTATCCTCATCATCCAGAAGGGGCCACGTGTCATCCACATTCTGTTCTCTGTCCTCAGTGCCACACAGTCTGTCACCTTTGGAGAGAAGGAGCATTAGAAAGAAACCCTGGGGAGGTGCCATATCAACTCTGTGCCCTGATTTTTCCAACTGGAGCACATATTCACACCTCCACCCACAGAAAAGACAATTTACAAGTCAGTAGCTCCTGCTGAGGGAAACCACACAAAACTCTGGGCACAGAAAGCCAGATGATAATATGCTCATTCTCTCTGGTCTTATGCCATATCTAATAATACTGGTGTCTAATTACTGAGAGCATTCTCAAGGTTATGTGCCATGTAGATGTGCATGAGACAATGTGAAAATTAATTAAATTAAAGTTCACATTGTCTCATGCACATCTCATAGAGACCCAGACAGGTGAAGAAATGTGCACAAAGATGTATAGTTTTTGTGAGCCAGGGTTTTGGATTCTAAAAACCAAATAAACCCTTCCATATTTCCTTTAGGCCAATGAGGTGTCACTCAGATGAAATTGTTCCCTATGAGATCAAAAACTATAGTTCCTTTCTCCATCTTAAGGTTTTGTTCTCTGTCCGTTTCCACATTGGCTTTGAATGTTTGCACTTTATATTTCTGGTTCTTGAATCAACCTCTTGTTTTTATAATCAAGCCTGGAGATTGCTCTACCACTCTCTGAGGTCATATTTCCACCAAAGTTGCTAAGCTCATGTTTCCTTATGAGTGCTGGGCTGTTCCGTGTTTATTAACATTATTTTCTCCCTCAGGAAGAACTTCATGATGATCTCTACTCATTTAATTTAGACGCTGACTTCCTATTACTTAATCAAAATCAGTTCCCAGCTTGACTATTCCTTTCAGCTTAGTTATTTGGGGGTCCTAAGATTTATTTTCCTTTCACATTATTTACTCATATAATTCACCCTTTCCATTCTTCTGCATTTCTTTCTCTACTTCCAGGCTTCCATCTGTGATCAGCATTCTTCTCTATGAAGAATTTCCTTTAGAATTTTCTTTAGCCTGTTGTCCCAGCTACTCAAGAGGCTGAAGTGGGAGGATCACTTGAGCCCAGGAGTTTGAGGTCGAGGCTGCAGTGAGCCATGTTGCACCACTGCACTCCAGCCTGGGCAACAGAGCGAGACCTCAACTCAAAGGGATGTCTTTTAGGGAGGATCTTCTGGTAATTATTTCTCTTCATTTTTGCTTTTCTGAACATATATTTATTTTGCTTTGTTGTTGAAGGGTGTGATCACTTGGTCTATAAATCTAGATTAGGAATAATCTTCTTTAATCTATTTAAAGGTAAAGTTGTTATTCCATTATTTCTTGCTTCAATTATCCCTGTTAAAAATCAGCTTTACTGTTGCGCTTTTGAAAGTAACGTTTTTTGTTTTTTTTTCTTTTTTCCCCCTTTGGTTGTTTGTTATATGCTATATTTTTTCTTTTTTTTTTTCGATGATGTTATATCTAGATGTTTGTTTTGATTGTTTTTTTTTTCTATTGGTATAGTTAGAGACAATCTCTCTCCCTCTCTCTTTCTCTTTCCTTTTTTTTTTTTTTAAACTGGGAGGAGGCATTGGTTTATCTCATTATTTTTTCTTGTTTTTTTTTGTGTGTGTGTTTTTGTGCAGATAATTGAATCTGTTGATTAATGTGTTACATCAGCTTTAGAAAAATTTTTGCCTGGATCTTTTCAGATAATGCTTCTCTGCCCTATTCATGGCCTGCTCTTCTTCGGGGAATCTCAATTATATATTTGATAAACATTTTTACTATGTTCACTTCTCCTATGCTCTCTTCTTTATTTTGTAAGCTTTTTTCTCTCTTTTACTCAGTCATTTTTAAATGCTTGTTGTTGTTGTTCTTGTTGTTGTTGGTACCAGATCAGAGATAACAGCTGAATGCAGACGTGCATGCAGTGTTTAGATGTAATTCAAGCACACACTCTTCTGTTGGTATAGTCAGATGCTATCTATCATCTGTCTGTCTGTCTATCTATTTATTTCTTGCTACAGGGAGGCGTGGTGCTGCTAATGTTGTAGTGCTTCTCTTGTGTTTCTGTAAGACCTTGATTTCACCTCTTGCTTTCCTTTTTTCTTCGCAATCAGGTCTGAATTCTGTCCCCTTACTTCTTTGAAAGTAGTTTTCGGTATTTTCCCACCCAGGGTGGGCTTTCTTTCCTAGACTTCCTCTCTCCTCCCTGCTTTCCTACACACCCTCACCGGATTGCTTCTTCAAGGATGAGCTCAAGTTCATGTCCTGAATCTGGCTGTGTACATGAAGCACAGAGTATTCCTACCTCCTAATTATACTATAGATGTGTATTATGGGTAACGGTATTTGCTCTTCTAGTTTAACTGTATCATTTTGTCAGAAAATGCGTAAGGAGATTTGAATTTCAATGGCCACCAACATTCTATGGACTTTCTTCAACCAAGTACTCAAGGTGGCTATTAGAAATTATTTTGAATGGAAATATTCCTACCTTATTTGCACATAAGTGTTCTTATGACGGATTGCCGTTTTCATTGTTCTGATTATAATTATAATCTCAAGAGAACATACATGTTACTCCTTCCAAACTCCGTACTCAGGACAAGTCACTGGTCGACAACACTTCTGTTTTATGTGTCTTTGTCTCAGATGCCACTTTCCTTGTATAACCCAGTAGCTCACACCCTGGCATGGACACTAATCTCAGTGTACTGAAAAGCTTTTTTAAGTGCCAAGTCTAGGAATTTATTTCCAGAGATTCTGAATCAGGGAGGCTATTGGAGAACCCAGACTGTCTGCATTTCTAATGGGCATCCCACATGATCCTGACACAGGTGCCACTGGGACTGCTTTTCCAAAATTGCTGACATAGACTTGTGTCTTGGGCCCATCCTCAGGGAAGGAGGATGCCAGCTATGAGGGATTTGTGTTAGGACTGTAGAATGACCTCATGGCAGTCAGGAGTCAGGGCACCCAACAGACAGGAGGGCTAGGTACATCAAACAGGAGAGCTCTGACTTCTAAGAAGCTGATCAAAGTAACGCAGACCCCAAGTTCTTGAAGGACTAAAATCCTGGGAGGGCCATTTGTAAACACTTTTATAATATATCACCTCTTCTTCTCATGTCAGAGCCAGGTATAATGACCATAACAGATGAAGGCATTGACGCAGGAGAAACAACAGGAGGCAGATTACTAGACTGGAGACTCAAGATTCTAACAGTATTACATCAAGTCTAATAAAATTATTCTGATGAAGAGGACCAACCTCAAAGTCAGAGATGTCCCTGAGCCCCAGGTCAAAAGAGGTTTCTTCTGTGTCTAGTGGACAGAGGAAAGACCTGAGGAGGACATAATATTAGTTTCCTCTCCATTCCATGGGAATTTTAACCCATTTTGTTTGCAAAGGGATAACTTCATTTATGACCTCCTGAGATTGTTATTAAGCTCTAATATCTTAATGATTGCAAATGTTCACCTGGTGGTAGGAAGTGCCAGAAAAAAAAGAAAATGGATCAGTCATGCTGAGAGGTAAAGGCCTTTGAGTAAAACTTCCCTTCCTTGAAAACAAAAACAAAAACAAAAACAAAAAACAGTAAGATCCTGTCTTTCTTCTGTTCCAAAGACATGAAACCTATGTTGGTCAAGCAGCTATTCCAAGTTCCCAAATCCACACACTGTTTCTTGCTCTTGAACATGAGCCAACACTATCAAGGGAGCACGTCTGAAGCTCCTTGTGCATGCTCACCTTCTGTTGGTATACACACTGACTTCACTCACCCTTCGGACACTGCCAAGCATTGTGTAAGGAAGACCAAGGCCTTTGTTTTTAGACCTGGGATAGAATGGTTTAGCAATTTTGTGATGGTTCCTAAAACCAATTTTTCAATTGCTTTGAAAAGTCAATGCTACTATCTAGGACAAAAATTACAAAATGTATCTTCATTAGCAGTTGATGGAACGCTCTTCAGCTTTTTCTGTTGATGTTTAATGTGAAGTGTGCCTGCAGAATCAGCAAGGATCCTTTTAAAGAGAGAACAAAGAATGATGCTCACAGTACTTGAGCAAGTTTGAGTAGCTGCTCATGAACTTCTGTTTATCCATTTATTTTACCAAGAAATTATATTTTACATATCTCTTAGACTATGGGAACAGTTTTTATTTTAAACTGAAGTTTCCAGGCCCGGCGCGGTGGCTCACGCCTGTAATCCCAGCACTTTGGGAGGCCACCACGAGGTCAGGAGATCGAGACCATCCTGGCTAACACGGTGAAACCCCGTCTCTACTAAAAATACAAAAAATTAGCCGGGCGTGGTGGTGGGCACTAGGTGGTAGTCCCAGCTAGTCAGGAGGCTGAGGCAGGAGAATGGTGTGAACCTGGGAGGGAGCTAGCAAGTGACCCAAGATCGCTCCACTGCACTCTAGCCTGGGTGACAGAGCGAGAATCCGTCTAAAAAAAAAAAAAAAAAAAAAAGAACTGAAGTTTCCAAAGCTCCATGCACAACTTTGGAATCACTTCAATTAGCTTTCATTAAATTACAGCGTCAACTTTGGTCTCTTCTTTGTCTCTGCCAAGAAATGGTTATTTCTGGGATTTGATTCACTTTCTTTATGAAGGGGCCTTTCTCTAAAAATGAGGGCCAAAGGCCTAGAGCATTGGGAACATATCAACTATATTTAATTGCAATACTGTTACTGTTATAGCATGGTGATCGAATTTTAAAAAGCAGAGTTATTCATAATGTAAAACTTTCAGCACAGTTTAAATATTTCAGTAAGTGAATTCCTGTTTGTGTCATTATAAGGTTGTATTTTCTCTTTTTGATCTTCTAAATAGAGATAAAGGCATTGTGACCCAGAAAGAACAAGAAATTTGACTTCAAACTGTAGAGTTGCATTTATAATGCTTTTTCTTCTAGTCTTTGGATAAACCTACTCACATCATTGATTCTTGGAGGACATAACAGCTCTGAATATTTTTCACTGCTCCATGGCCGAACTTGGTCCCAATTTCAGCTATAAAAAGCTGACAGCAAGCACTATTTGTATGTGATTAACTAGTAATTTTAGCAATGCTGCTTTTCGTTACTATTCAAGGTGCTGTAATTAATACCATTCCAGTATATCAGTTTTAACTCATATTTCCCTCCAAGAAAAAACTTGGCAGCCAAGGTAAGGGCATAAAAATAAGCAAAGGGATAGGTTATTTTTAGAATACCAAGGAGTTTGTGAAGTACATTCCAAAACGATTATGTAAAATACACGGCAGCAGTCATGACCACCAGATCCTGTGCTCGGGAGATGTATCCTGAGTGCTTGAACTCAGAGGCCACAGCCAGTGAAAATAACCCAGGACAACAGAGCAAAGGCTGAACTTATCTCCCAGGGACACAATCTTCACAGATAAGCATGGAGGAGCTCCCTGAAAGGCCATGATTACCAGTAAATGCGGCCTGTGTAGTAAGCAGGAGCATGCCAATTAAGTAATAAGTAATTTACTGTGTCATTTATATTGTGTTAGATGGAGGAATTGGAGCATGGAGAGGTAGAATGAATTACTAAAGGATATACAGGGAGAGAAGTGGTAGGATGGGATGGACAACCCTAAAAGGATCCTTGGCACATGGTAGGCACTGGGAGACTCGAATTGAATGATCAGATGGAAATGAATTGGGAAAGGTCTGGAAAGACTTGCTCGGCTTGGATGCTTTCTGGAATCCAGCAAGAGGCCACCCTTAATGAATCGGTCGGGGGTAAGGGTAGGTTCTAAGGACAGCTCAGGGTCCAGTGGAGTCCAGATGCTATTTAGAGGGACCCCAAATCCAGGCACAATACAAAATCCATACCACCTTCAAGGTAAGTATCCCCTTGGGTTCTTGCCAACATCGATTTCTAGTCCTTTAAATATGAAAAAACTAAAACCAAGCTTAGGAATGAAGCAGAAAGAGAGAGAGAAGGAGAGAGAGAAAGAAAGAAAGAGAGGGAATTATCCATCTGGCCCTTAGCCTCACTCTAGCCAGCTACATGAGGTATTGCTGTATACCTGGCTGTCATTCTCAAGTAACCTATATGTCCTAAATATGGCATATGCTAAAATGGAGAAAAAATAAGAAAGCAAGGCATTTTAATTTATTAAACCTAAGTCCTCTTTTCTTCTTGAAAATGTCTTTAATAAACATTTTTTAATAAAAATTGAGATTTTAAAATCCTTTAAGCACTCTTAAGATGTAGACATTTCTTTCTATCCATGGCAAAATATGGCTCACCTACAGAACAGCTCAGCTTCATGTTTCTCTCGGCCAGATGGATTTTATGAAGCATCTGTGGGTAATTCTGTTAGTAGATATCCACCCCTCCATCTGGATAAAGCTTCATTATTACCAAATCTAGTTACACAATGATATAGAGACAAGGAGGAAAGGCGGGAAAAAGGGATATTTTATATCAAACATTTTGAATTTCATTCTTTTTTCAGCAATGATATGTTTAGGTGAGCAAATAAAACTAGATTAAAACCAGGTGGCCAAAGTGAAAAAGATTCTTGAAACTAAACATGAAATTATTTCTTCTTTCAAAGAATAAGATGTTATCTTTGAAGTGCATGAAGCATTTGGCTAAAATTTTCACATCTTACATGTCTGTCCAGATTTCATACCGCCCTTTACTGAAAAGCAGGCTAGAAGGTATTTATTTTAAATATGAGCATAAGTTTTATCTTCTTGTTATTTTTTCTAAATCAAGTATAAGTCCCTAAACTTCTAAATCATGTCTATCCATGTAAAAAGTTTTCTTTACATGCACACACACACACACACACACACACACACACATCATTTATTACATTTAATCAACCTTGGTAGCATTGACATTTGGGGCTGGATAATTCTCTGTTATGTGGGCTGTCCCAGGCATCATAGTATGTCTGTCAGCACCCCTGATGTCTACCCACTAGATACCAGTAGCTCCCTCCAGTTATGACAACCAAAAATGTCTCCAAACATTGCTAAATGCCCACGGTTAGCAAAATCGACCTTAGTGAAGAGCCCTTGCTCTAAATCAATGTCCCTAATAAGAGATCCTTTGGATTTGAGAATTAAAATAATACTAAGTTCCCCAACTGACTGAGCAAATGCCCTAGGGACCAAGGGGAACCCAGAGAAACCTTGAAGACGGAGTTCCTGGCCATGACGGGAGGAGAGGTTAGATACGCCTCCTTACACCCCATCCCTTCTGTGGTTTAGACAAAACTGACCAGCATTAATGTTAAAATAGAGATCATAAGACTAGCGGAATAAACTCTTTTGTGGCAATAATATATCAAACTATACACAAGACCCAAGGCCATGCCAGGCAAGGGTTAAGTCACGCACCCCTACACTTAGAGAATAAACTATGTTCTAACTGCACAAGGTTTCTTTTCTCTAGCAGCTAAACAAGAATCTGTTCTGCATGAAGCTCCTGCCCCAACCCCTCCTCCTTCAAAGTGCCTTCCTTCTGGGCTCTGCCAGAGGCTACAATTCTCAGCCTCTCCGAATGGTGACCTTGCAGGCTGCAGCCCTTTATAAGAAGTGAAATCACCTATCCTAATGTATGAAGACGGTGGTTTTTCAGTTGACAGATTGAAGCTCTCATTCCGCTCTGGGGAAAGCTGAAGGCCACAGCCTGTGTCCCGTGTCCTCAGCTAGTGGCAGAAGCCTCTATCCATTATTGGGCTTTCTGGTTCATGAACTCATCAACTGTATTATTACCGTAACAATTCAGGACCTGGTTCCTCACCTGTTTCCCCTCCCTCCCCATTCTCAAAAATAAAACTCCAAAAGTCAGTATTTTATGAGAAGAAATTAAAAATCAATAAAGTAGCCATACTTGAATTGATGTGATAAGCAGTGTCATTCACAAAGTGCCCTCTACGATGACTCGGGCACAGTGTGGGGGCCTCACATTTATTTATATATGGTGTCTTTAATCCCCACAGCTCTGCCTTGCGTGTTGTATTGTCCCCAAATGGTAAAGAGAGAAACTGAGGTTCAGAAAGGGGAATAACTGACTCCAAACAGCACAGATCACAATGGTCTAAGCCAGAATTTGAAGTCACTCTCAGGTGTCAAAGCCCCTGCCTTTTGCTGAGCATCATATCATGGCCATTGAGCTCCATGACTTTCTCCAAGCCCTCAGTCATGGTCGCTGGAGGTTTATAGGAAACACAGGTACTTCAGCATGGCCCTCAGCTTTAAACTCAACTTGAGAGCTTAAATCGATCCTATTTTCTGTGCTTTAATTTCTGTGTTCTCCTTTTGGCTTATACTTCTATTTTCTCTGAAAAGGCTGATTTGGTTTAGGAAATACTCTTTTCCCATTCATCTGTCCTCCTTGAAAGATTTTTAAATGCTAAATAGTGGACATGTGGAATTCCTTAAGAGTCTTCTGCAGGTATCTCTGGAACACCCAGTGGCATGAGCTCCCCACCTCGCTCTCCAGTAAAAAGGTAAATGAGCCCAGTTCCACATGCCCAGCCTTTGAAGCTGGAACTCAGGGTCAATGGGAAGGTTCAGGGAAAGGTAAGGCTTTCTTATAAGCATTCAGTCTGTGTCCCTGCAGCCTCTGTCTTATCCCGTTTTTCCGGCAGCTAAGAAAAAAGAAAAGAAAACCCACTTTGCTGTTGTTTCCTAGCTCTCTCTCAAGAGGAACGATGCCAGGCAGTTCCAAGCACTCTATCTGGTGAAAAATAAACACCCACATAGAAGCATATGCTGTGCATGCCTGCGATGGCTGCAGGCTTTTGTCTTAACAGTGTCTGTACACTGACAGAGAGCAGGACAAAGCAGTGTGGGTTCCCAGATGACTTTCTCAAAGTCCTTGGACAATCACTGTTTTGCTTATGCCCTCCCTTGGATGGTAGGAAGGATCTGCTAATTCCTGCAGTGTTAGACAGGGGCGTGTCAACCTCTCACCATTACAGTGGTCCTCAAAGTATATTTCAAGGTGTTCTTTCTCATGCTCTCTTCTCTCTCTCTCTCTCTGTCTCACACACATACACACACACACACACACACACACAAAACCCTAGATGCTATATTATGACATACTCTGCCCTTTGCCTTTCCATGTGAAACTTTGAATAAAATGACTAAATAGCAAAGAATACAAAACAGGCAGAGGTTTTGTACCAAGCCACACAGGACTAATAAAAAAAGGAGCCAAGAACCAACGTGAATGGCAGCCATGCAGGTCTTCCAAAATTATAAGGTGGACCCAGAGCCACAGCTCGCATGGTCCTGAGAGCTGGGAAGGAGGTTGGTGATAAACCCTTTCACATAGGGAAGCCACCCTGATACTGTGTCTGAACAGCACTGTGCAGGACCTGAGGAAGCTCTGGGTCTCCAATGACAGAGTTAACAAGATAACAGGAACTGCTCACCGGGAATTTACCTTCATTTGACTTTAATATTCCTATTACAACTTTTAATTCTTTTGATCAATAGCAAAAAAAAAAAAAAAAAAAGTCTCTTGTTTAGGTGTCAGCATGAACTGAAAATGAGAGAGAAGGGCAAATATCAAGTCCAGGACCAACACATTGATGTCTAAAATGACTGTCATCATTCACAAAAATCTGGAGATAACCCTAGGTCCAAGGTCCAAATTTAAAAATTGGAGTTAAAAAAATATTTTCTCTTCACCATTCTCTAAAATATCAAGGTGAAATCTCTTCTAACACTTGGAGGCTTGCTTACATAAAATGACAAAGCCAGGGTGATAAGTGTGGGTGGGTGGGAAACACAATGGGAGGTTAAACATAAAGTGTGATGAAATTATAATGTAAATTGGAAATATATCTAAGTTTAATTCAGGAAAAGAATTCAATTTACACGCACGTTTCCAAGTACTTCCAATTTTAGACTTTCTCCACTACAAAGTCAAGCTCCTTGGATCTCCCAAGCATCTTGAGATGCAAATATTTGCACAGTGCTGGGGAAGTCACCTTGACCTGTCGCCTAATTGCCCTAGAAGTACTTCTCAAGGCTTGCTCACCACTCAATGGAATTTGCTGAATAAAAAAACTTAAAATGATGATAAATAGTTGGCATAAAGGGAGCGGTAGACCTTTGATGTGAAACAATGTTTTAAAAAAAAAAAGTGTATGTGACATCTGTGCCTGCCCTCTGGTGGATTAAGTCTCTGTGTCACCAGTGTCATCCACACTTGACACCTGAGACATCCTATTTGGAGCTCCAAAGCTTTTCTGTAGCTATCCCTTGTTTTATGACAAATACCTACCTGAGCAGCCCAGTGCTGCTCAGCAACCTTTAATCTACCAAATACTGAGTTTCTGGGAGATGTGTTCCATTAGCTGTTGCTTATGCTACTCTGTTTCTATTTACTGTGATCCCATCCCCAATCCCTTCATTCTCAAATAGTCTTAATTTATACTTCTTCGGAACAGGATTAGGAATTTCCCTGCTTCTCCCCACTTGTTAAACTCATTGTTATTCTCATCCTCCCTTCACTCATATCCTTTCTCCTTTTTCCAAAGAAAGAACAGTTCACCTCTTTTCTATGTTGAGTTTATCTTTATAGGACTTAATCCAACCAATCATCCTCTCTTTTTAGTATTCTTCATTCTCTCTCTCTTTCTATGGAATTGACTCTCTTATTTGGTAAATATGCTAAATCTTCACATCCCTTAAATTAAATAGAAAACTTATCTCATCTTTGCCATAGTTCTTGAGTTTTATCTGAAATAATGTTCTCACCAATTTTTTTAAATCCTTTTAGATTTCCTCAACCATATTTCTAGGCGATGCTTATCTTCATCCCGACATTTATTTACAAGAACACTGGGTCATTCAGAATCCAGTCAACAAAACAGAAAGCATGCCAGTTATTTTAACAGTGAGAATTGAGTATAGGGAATTGATTGACTAGGAATTAGAGGGCTAAAAAGACATAGAGACACAGAGGTGATAGCTGCAGAATCAGTTAGCCTTCAAGGGCTGAGGAGACAAAGGGAAGAGGTTGGATTTGTTTGAACAGAAAACTTGGGTGAGAGGCCCTGCTGAGCTGAGACCCAGGTCTCTGAGGAAAGGGGGCTGTTCTGTAGATGCTGGTGCCACAAAATCTTGGAAGGGATCCCATAAGGCTCAGGTTATGGGAAAAACTGGAAACTGGGATCAACTCATGCTGAGAGTAGGTCATAGACACTGATGGGAAACATAAACAAAAGGGAGGAGCGAGTAGTCCCTTCTCCCCCTCCAGCCTTCTCACCTGTCTCTTGTCCTTTGGGTGGAGACTGAACAGGAGCATATGGCAAAGGTAAAAATGTCATTTGCAGAGTACAGAACCTGAGCAGAGCAGCTTCATCACAGACCATTCTTAAGCCGCTACTCAACATCTCTTCATATCTTTCAAAGTACATGTGAACTGGGATAAACAACACTAACAACTTCATGTCTTTACCCAACAAAAAAGAGAGGAATCAAGAGTTTTTTGACCCTAAGTTCCTCAAAATGGAAAAGATAAAAGATCATCTTCAAGGTCTAGAAAATAATGATGAGTAGAATTTCACAGCTAAAAATATAATAACAAAAAATGTAAGCATGCAGCCTTAGGATCCAGCCTGTTGTACTTTCTTTTTCAGCTAAAAATCTCACAGATGACTTCACATTCTGCAAAGATGGAATATTCTGGATGACATTCTAGGTCGGTGGCAAGTGTAAGCATCAACCTGAAAGACATATCGTGCAATCTCAATAGAGCGTGAAGAGCATGAAAGAAGAGGAGGTCTGAAGGAAAAACAATTTAACCCATTTGGGGACCTATTCTTGTGGGGAGAGGGTGTCGTGAAGGTGGATGAGGCTCTGGCACTGCCCTAAATGCTGTGTCCTTGTAGGAAAGTGCCGGATAATGAGTCCAGCTACCTGCTCAAGGGCTCTATAGCACCCTCCTTCAATCCTCTTCTTACTAGAAAATCCTGGGAATCATTTAGGAAGGGTATTTGCTCATGGGAGCAAAACAGTGATTTAGAACAAACATCAGGAGACACTGTGATGACAATAGCGATGCCACTAAAATACCTGCCTGGGGAAATTGTGAGAGATCTTCTTCCACAGGCATTAAAGCAACATCAGAGCAAATACAACCTGTGCCAATTTAAGCAAAGTCTAGCCTCGGGCATGGCATCCAAATGAGCTGTCTTGGTCCATTTCAAGCCTAGGCTCCAGACGAAGGTCGTGCTTTCAAATGAACAAATCATGTGGAGTCATCTGTTGGAGTTTCCTCCATCCTATATCTAAACAGTGAGGCCAGCCTTCTCACACTGCACCCTTAACCAGCAGGGCTCAGAGAGGCCAGAAGTGGGTGTGGCAAAGAGCTCTTCAAGGTGAGCCATCTTTGGTTCTTGAACAAAGTGATCTCCTATTTTTATAGATGTGATTGAGAATGCCACATTATGCCACAAAGACTCAGGAAATGAATGTAAAATTCATTATTTGTTATTAAAGGGAGCCCATGAAGATTCATGTGTCTGTGCCCACAATTAAGTCAGAGCAGGCCTAGGAGTTAGGCCAAGGTCTAGACAAACCTGCCCTTACACCACGTAAATGCACCCACACACAGGCATGCACACAGCAATGTAGACATATGCACACTCACACACGCAAGCACAAAGACATGAATACACACAGACATGCACATACTCGCGAACACATACACATCCCCACATACTCACAACACACAATGCATGCACACATACATATCACACACACATGCACACATATATACCACACATGCAGGCCCATATATACAGAAATACACACACCGCTCACCCAAGTGAGCACACGAAGCCACATACATGTGTACACATACAGGCACTACTATGCTCAGGATGTCAGTTGGTTTAAATGACCAGGAGGCAAGGGCACCTCCAGTTCCCTCTCATGCACCCGAGGAGCTTTGCACACCCCTCAGCCCTGCACTGTCACAGGACACTCGTTGGGTCCCCTTACAGGACTGTCTCCTGACCAGCCTGTGTGGCCCTGGAGGGCAAGGCCTGCCTTTACCTCTGCACCCCTAGCTCTGGCCAAGGCTGCCCTGGCTCTTGTAGCGCTGTCTTGTGTTGGAGACCCCCTGCAGGTGGATATCACCAGACCCCTGGGAACTCCCTTCCTTCTCAAGAAAGCACAGTAAAAGTGACTCAACAGCTGCTCCTGTGCATAAGGTCGGAGGTGGAGGCAGCCCAGGGCTTCGGCTGTGGCAACTAGAAAAGACAGACCAAGTTTTAAAAAGTGTATTTGTGGGGCTGAGAGAGCTGAGTTGGTTTAAATGTCCAGCATCTTTGTTAAGAGAAAGAGACATGAGCATTGTTATTTTTTAATAACTGAGGAAATGCCCTTCTCCAGTCCTGATTGCCTTTTTTTTGGTGTCCTCATCTGCTAGGTTGGGTAGAACTCCCTGAGCTCTTGCCTCTAAACCTCACTCCCACGCAAGGTTCAGCCACTGCTCCTGGGTGCACGTTCTGACCTGCGAAGAGCTCTGTGTTGCTTTGGATGGCCTTGCTCTTTCCTTCCTCTGGCTGCTCCCTGCCATTGTGTAAAGATTTTTTCAGCTTGTCTGGCCTCCCTGGATGTTGAGGACACCAGAAGCCTGATGGGACCTCAGAATCAACACTGTAATAAAATGTATCATCGCTGTCCCTGAAGCAAAGCAAAATCAAGCCCCAGCTTCCACCGGCATCTGGAGCTGAGGTCAGCCAAAGATGCTAAGTGATTTCACCTTTGCTGTCTCCTTCTCTGCAATGTTTGCATTTGTTGGGTGCCTCTGGGGCCTCAAGAATGTCTCTGGTGAGGCGCTGGATCATTTTAATCAATGCGCTAAGTGACGATTCCTGTGGCACCGGCCCACATTGCAACAACCAGCCATATCAACAGCAATTGAAGCTGCCTGGCTAGAAATGTGTGACTCAACCTCATGCATTTCCTGTACAGAAGATGTTGCCTTACACATCCATCCTCCTCAGCCAGCCACATGTTTGTCTTTGTGCTCTCTCGTGGCTGGTTAGGAGAGGGCAACAGAAGGAAGGGAGAGAGCTTGCACAGAATGTATCCCCACAGCTTGGGAGAGCTGCAACTTTATTTGAAATATACAACACTAGAATGCTTAATTTTCATTGTCATCATAAAGACTTATACTCATGATACCCAGATTAAATTTCCTCATAATCAGAAGACATTTGACTGGCAGGATGCAATACATATTCAGAAAGAGACCATGGGGTGCCAGAGTGGATCTCATGTGTACATTTGCATGTCTGTGTATGCTAGGATGAGACACTATGTTGTAACAAAGGATGACTCGGGCACACTGCTGGAGGAAAAGGTCCCCAAAGTCCAGGGTTGCGGAGTCCTAATGGGTCTCTGAAAGGCCTTGAGTGTCTGTGCAAGCTCCTCCAGCTTTGTAATTGCACATTCTGACGGGCATAGAAATGAGTGTAAGAATGAATGAAGTCACAGAATTGGTGTCTGTGAGAAAATTCACACCTGAACTGAAAACCACCACTCTCAGGTGATCACAGTGAAGCATGTGTTTGACTGTCCTAGAGAGGCAGAGGAAGCCCAGGCACCGTCGGAGTTGTGAGTGTCAAGAGTCAGCTCACAGGCTCATGCTCCACTGCCAGGAAAAATGCAGGAGCAGCCGTGTGCGCTTGCTCTAATCCTGTGCTCCTCTGCCCAGCCCAGCACTGTATCCCGGATTGGCCGTCACCCCATGCAAAGAGCCTCTGGCAAGAGTCTGGGAGATATTTGGGGATCAGAAGGACTCTCCACCCAACGACTGGGTGGCCTTTTCATTCACCATGCATGAAACATGAATTCAAAGTGTTAAAAGCAGGGATGAGGGGAGAATGGAAAGGCAAGAGGGAGGAAGAGAAAGCTGAGGGAAGGACAAGGAGATGGTAAGGGTGGGCAGAAAGAAGGCCCCATTTCCCACATGGGGCCTCAGTCCCTCCTTGGACCACCCCTCCCTCCCTTGCTCCCTCACACAGGCTGTGGAGACACAGGTTCACCTGGACTGAATCTCCTCCTGTTTATGCTCAACATTTTGGCTTGAAAATAATCCTGAAGGATGGCGGAGGAAGCATTTTTGGAAACACAGATGTGTTCTAGAGGCTGGACACAGGCTCAGGCTGTGTCTGTGCAGAAAAGTCCCTCTTGTCCCTGGGCAAGGCAGAAAAATGGTCCAGGCCTCACACATGTCCATCTTTCCCTCTTTCCTCCTCTGGCCTCATCTCCCTGCATACCCACCGCCTGGATTCTCCTGTGAATTAGCCCTCATCACTACCTCCTCCTCCTCGCAACCAGCTGCTCAGTCTTAGGGCACAAGGACTTGTGAGTAAACAATTGCAGTGGAGGGCTGCAGCAGTGCCACACAGAGGCAGAGTCCTCGGGCACGCCGGGGAAGGGAGGTCTCCCGTGGGGGTCTGCAGAGGTCTTGGCTGTGCCACCCCACGGCCTTCCACTCTCCTCAGTCCCTTCTGCTCCCTCCTCTGAGCCTCCAGAATGCCTTTTTGTTTTTTTTCTTTTTAATTTTACATAGACTTTATTTTGTAGAGCAGTTTTAGGTTCAAAACAAAATTGAGAGAAAGGCCCAGAGAGTTCCTATTTACCTCCTGCCCCTCCAGGCCCTCCACTATCAGCATCCCCTACAATGTGTGCCTTTGTCATGAACAGTGGACCTGCACAGACATATCGCTATCCCCTGGAGGCTGTAGTTTACACTAGGCTCACTCGTGGGGCCGCACATTCTGTGGGTTTGGACAGATAGATAGTGACATGGATCCACCATGAGGGTATCATAGAGAGTAGTTCCCAAATCCCTTGCACTCTGTCCACTCACCCCTCCCTCCCCACTCACATCCGGCAACCACGGACCTTTCTCCTGTCTCCATAGTTTTTCCTTTTCCAGAAGGTTATATATTGGAATCATAGACGTAGCCTTTTCAGACTGTCTTCTGTCACTTAGTAATGGGCATTTAAGGTTCTTATCTTTTCATGACTTCTTAGCTCACTTTGTTTGAGTATGTTATTTTGTTAAATAACATAATGTTGAAATGTGAATAATATTCCATTGTCTGGATGTACCGCAGTTATCCACTCACCTACTGAAGGGCATACTACGAAGGTTGATTCACAGTGACTTTTAACAAACCCAGATTTGTCTTTTGCTCTCCAAGTCCTTAAAAAGCATTCAGGTCTCTGCCCTTCAGCGCCCTCCTGTTCCTGCCCCTCCGTGGCTGCAGCCACACTGACCTCCAGTCCCCCATCTTCTTCCAGCAGCCTAGAAATGACCCCCACCTTGTAGGTAGCAGAGGCCTTTAAGTCTCAGCTCGAATGGGCTTTCTTAGCAAGGCCTTCCCCAACTACCCAAAGGAAAGTCTTCCTCAGTTTCTCAAGTACCTTTTTTGTTCCCTTCACCGCACCCTTCAGGGCTTGTATTCACATACTTGATTCCCGCTTGCTGCTTTCACGCATCTCTCCCTGTGCCATGACTCTGTGTAGGCAGGTAAGGACCTCGCCCCATGCCGATTACGATTCCTCACACCCAGAAGCTGCCAATAAATAATCGTGGAATGTGGAGTGAGTCTAAGTTATCATAGATAAAGGGAGTCAGTATGGCCAGGAGACTGCATTTTCAATAGGGATTGTTGATGAAAAGGATAAGAAGACTCATCTAGTACAATGCACACATCATTATTTTATAATATAAAATATTAGCAAAATCTGTATGAAGGTACATAGGTATACAGTTGTATAATGTATTTCTGACATAATGAAAGAAGAAAGAACTCTCCCCATTAGATTTTCATATAAAGTATACCCATTTTTATTTGTTACCATATTTTATCATACCTAAGATGTATTCTAACTTCAGAATTGCTAAAATATTTAAATTTTTAAAAAGACACAATTGATTGTAAGACTCACGTTGATCCAGAGCTGTTGTTCCATTTATCCAGCCTGCATAACAAACCACCCAACACTCAGGGGTATAAAATAACCACCATTCATTTTGATCTTGGATTGTGTAAGTCAGAAATTTGAACAGGGCACAGCAGGGAAGGTTTGTTTCTGCTCCACAATGCCTGGGGCCTCAGCCAGAGGACATGAGATTCTGGAGGTGACTTCAACAGCTGGAGGCTAGACTAACATGGAAAATTTTTTATTTGCCTGGAGCTCTCTACTGTGTGGTTTTAGGCTTTTCAAAGCCATGGAAGCTGGGCTCTGAGAGGGATCACTCCAAAAGGAAGTGTCTTAATCTATCCAAGCTACTATAATGAAAATACCATAGACTTGGGGGCTTAAATAACACTAATTTATTTATCACAGTTCTGGAAGGTGAAGTTCAAAACCAAGAAGCCAGCAGATCAGTGTCTGTTGAAGGTCCTCTTCCTGGTTTGCAGATGGCCATCTTCTGGTTGTGTCCTCACAAAGTGGAGAGCAGAGAGAGAGCTCTGTAAGGGCACTAATCCCATCATGAAGGCCCCATCCTCATGGTCAAGTCACCTCCCAAAGGCCCCTCCTCTTATCACTTTGGGGTGAGGACTTCAACAAACGAGTTCTGGGGGACACAAACAGGCAGAGTTCTGACTTATCCTTAGAAGTGATCCAGCATCACTTAGGCCATCTCTGTTGGATACAAGTGAGTCTCTAATGCCAGCCCAGATTCAAGGTTTGGGCAAGGAAATCAGCCCAGTTCATGATAAAGGTGAGGAGAGGGGCAAAGTCACTGCAGAGGAGCACGTGGAATGGGAAGTAGTTTTGCAGCCATTCTTGGTAGATTCAATCTGCCACAAATGTTAAAATGTGAAATAATGGTAGCATAAAATTGATTAAACAGGGATTTTACACAATGGCTATTTCAAGTGTGTGTGCGTGTGTGTGCATGAACACATGCGTTTATGTATAATTATTTATTTATAATATACTTGAAGCCTACTGTGGCAGATGCATTGACTGTGCACCAAATGTGAGTGTGCTTTGCCACATTTCCCGGGCTCCTGCCAGGTACTCTGGGCCATGAAATGATTTCTGGCAAGTAGGGTATGAGCAAAAGTGACTGCTTTAATTTCAGGTTGATGCACTCAAGGGCTGTTGCACAGAACTCCAGATCTCTTTTCTCCTGCTGTGGCTACTTTTTCCACATGTGCACCTACAAATTAGTAGATTCCAACTCAACAGGTGACCCCCACACACTCTTTCCACCTCACCATCTCACTGTTTTTCCCAGTGAATGTTGTGTAAGCAGGACATCAAGTCTCATGTTATTAAATCAGTGCAACTTGAGGATTTATCTGTTACCACAGCAGAGGATCATGTGATTAGAATAATAATAAATACTGTGCAAAGTTGGTGAAGTCCTACTGAAATAAAAACCCAAAACATATGGCATCGATTCAGTGAAAGAGTGTGCCAAGAGGACTGATCTCAGAAGCTAAAACAATGCAGATCCATATTGTAAAATGGCAAAGCAGTAGTGTGTACAGGTTATTTCTGGGATTCAGAAAGGTATTGCAAGAAAGACAGATGGGCAGAAAGCACTGGCCAGTCTGCAAGCACAGATGAGCGAGAACAGAGAGAGCCCAGATTGTGGAGCCCTTGCAGTGTTAGACAAACTGATTATCTCTAGACCCCAAATAACACATGGGATGTTAAAATACTTGGAGTGATGAAAATCCAGTAAAACCTCAAAGCAGCCAGCACTAAGGAAAGAGAGATTTATGAGAATGATAAAGAAATATAGCACACCTGAGAACCATGCCTTGCCAAGAATCTCCTCCTTGGCCAAACTTTAGTCAGACTCCTCTGAGCCCCCTTGTCCTGAGTCTGCAGAGTCAAGTTTTAGCAAGAATCCTAGGCCAGGTTAGCACAAATGCCCTTACCCTTAATATCTAATCAATGTCCTCTTCCCCAACACTGGTATCTCATTAGTTCCTCTTAGTAATTTCTATCCACTGACCCCCTCACTCTGATACTTGGCTATAAATCCCCAGCTGTCCTTGCTGTATTCAAACTTGAGTTCAACCTCTCTCCTCTACTGCAGTAGTCTCAACTCTATTGCAATTGTTTTGAATAAAATTATTCTTTTCTGTTACATTCTGTCTGATGTAGTTTTCTGTGATAGCCTAGAAAGGAATTGTGTACACTCTATTTACAGAAAACAGACAAATAGTCTAAGTTTTCACAGGAATTATGTTGCCATATGAATTGTGAACTAGCTCTTTTAAACAACCAGATCTCATGCGAACTAACTTAGCGATAACTCATTTATCACCAAAGGAATGATGCTAAACCATTCATGAGGGATCCACCCCCATGATCAAATCACCTCCCACCAGGCTCCACCTCCAATAATGTGAATCACATTTTAAAATGAGTTTTGAAGAGGACAACATCTAAGCCACATTGTTCCACCCCTGGCTCCCCAAATCTCATGTTGTCCTTCTTGCATTTCAAAATATAATCACACCTTAGCAATAGTCTCCCAAAGTCTTAATTCATTCCAGTATTAACTCAAAAGTCCCAAGTCCCAAGTCTCATCTGGAGCTGAGTTCTCTCCACCTATGAGCCTCTGAGACCAAAAACAAGTTATTTACTCCCAAGACACAATGGTGGTATAGGCATTGGGTATACATTCCCATTCCAAAAGAAAGAACTTAGCCAAAAGAAAGGGGCAGTAAGTCCAACACAAATCTGAAACCCAGCAAGGAAGCCATTAAATCTTAAAGCTGCAAAGCAAGCTCCTTTGATTCCATGTCTTGCATCCAGGACATGCTAGTCCAAGGGGTGGTCCCCCAAGGCCTTGTGCAGCTTTGCCCCTGTGGCTTTGTAGGATGCAGCCTTGTGGCTCTTTTCATGGTTTTGAGTTCAGTGTTTGCAACTTTTCCAGGCAGAGGGTGCGATATGATGGTGAATCTACCATTCTGGAGTCTGGACAGTGGTGGCTCCCTTCCCACAGCTCCATTAGACAGTGCCCTGGTGGGGACTCTGCATAGGGCTCCAACCTCACATTTCTCTTCTGCACTGCCTTAGTAAAATTTCTCTGTGGGGGCTCCACCCCTGTGGCAGACTTCTGCCTGGGCATCTTTGCTTTTCCATACATCTTCTGAAATCTAGATGAAAACCACCAAGGCCCTCCTTCACTCTTACATTATGTGCACCTGCAGACTTAACACCATGTAGAAGCCACGAAGGCTTATGGCTTGCACCCTCAGGAACTGCAACCTGAACTGTACCTGGGTCCCTTTGAGCAAAGGCCAAAGCCTGAGCAGCCTGGATGCAGGAAGCAGTGTCCCAAGGCTGCACGGGGTGGTGGCACTCTGGGCCTGGCTCCTGAAACCATTCTTTCCTCCTAGGCCTCTAGGCCTATGATGGGAGAGACTCTCCCAAAGACTTCTGAAATGCCTCTGAGGTCTTTTTCCCATTGTCTTGGATATTAGTACTTGACTCCCTTTTAGTCAGGCTACTGTCTCTAGCAAGTGGTTGCTCCATAGCCTGCTGGGATTCCTTCTCTAACAGGGCCAGGATGCAAATTTTCCAAACTTTTATGTTCTATTTCCCTTTTAAATATAAGTACCAACTTTAAGTCATTTCTTTGCAGGAACAGCCTTCTGATAATAGGCTCTTAGAAGCAACCAGACTATATCTTTAACACTTTGCTGCTTAAAAGTTTCTCTGGCCAAATCCCCTAGGTCATCACTTTTAACTTCAAACTTCCACAGATCCCTAGGGCATGGAAACAATGCAGCCAAGCTCTTTTCTAGGCATAACTGGGGTAACCTTTACTCCAGTTCCCAATAACTTCCTCATTTCTATATAAGACCTTGTCAGCCTGGACTTCACCATCCATATTTCTATCAGCATTTTGATGATCACCATTTAACCAGCCTCTAAGAAGTTTCAAGCTTTCCCTCATCTTTCTGTCTTCTTCTGAGCCCTCCAAAGTCTTCTAACCTCTGCCCATTACCCAGTTCCAGAGCTGCTTCCACATCTTCAGGTATCTTTATAGCAATGCCCCACTCCTCAGTATTAATTTTCTATAGTTGGCCCTTCTTGTATTGTTATTAAAAAACACCTGAGGCTGGAAAATGTATAAAGAAATTTTAGTTTTATGTTTATTTTCACTCACAGTTTTGCTGGCTGTTCAAGAAGTGTGGTGCCATCATCTGCTTCTGGTGAGGGCCTCGGGAAGCTTGCAATTATGATAGGAGATGAAGAGGAGCAGCATGTCACACAGTGAGAGAAGGAGCAAAAGAGAGAGAATGAGGAGATCCCAGGTTCTCTAAAACAATCAGATCTCATGTGAACTCAGTGAGAACTCACTTATCACCGAGAAGATGGTGCTATACCCATCATGAGAGATCCATCTTCATGATCCAATCACCTCCCATCAGGTTCCACCTCCAACATTGGGAATCACATTTCAACATGAGATTTGGAGGGGACAAACATCAGAACTATATCCCTGGCCTAAACAAGCATGCAAAACTTGAGGTACAAACATTTTGTAAGCAGAAAGTGACCTGACAAAGCTATATAACTCTCAAAATAGATACATTCCACAAAACCCACATCTGATCTAGTCAAACAGAGTAGTGTACAAGAAGGTCTTTCCAGAAGATGGATTTAAGAATGAGAGAAAAAAAGGAACAAGAAAAGTTCTCCCAGAGATCAGGATCCAGAGCTAATGAACAAATAGTAACACTTCCATCTCCAGAATAACGGTGTTTGCAATGAGACTGTCAAACATTACCGCACAATTGACAGGAACCATTAACTTCTGTGTTTCTCTCATCAATTTTTAAATAGGATTGTTTACTGTTGTTAACTTGTGGTTCCATTATTGTTCATTGAGTGTGGACAACCTCCCTTTGTAGTTCTTAATGTGGGCTAAGAGGAGCCATGTCTTGACCTGATATAGGATGCACTGTGTATCCTGCTGAGATTCTGGACTTAGAACTGACATCAGCACTTGGATGGGACTTGTGGTTGTCTTTCTTGGGGAGGGGTTGGTGTAGTTCTATGTATGAGAACAGAGGAACTATGTCAATTAGAGCCCCAGCATGAAACCTATGGAACACACAAAGGGGCAATTGTAAAAGGTCAATTAAAATGAACAAAGGCATGGGCAATGTTAAATAATCCTACCAGAGATGGCTATCAAGGAAAAAATAGCAACAGTGGAAATCCATGACCTACTCTAAGGCTTTAGAGGTCAGAGGATATCCTAAGGAGAGTTGTAGCCATAATGAGAGGATTCCCACATGACTTGGTCAAACCAGGACTTGCTAGAGAAAATGTTGAGTGAGTTAATCCCCAGCTTTGTGATCTTGAGGGTGCTTTTTTGGTCAACTCCAGCTGGAAACCAAAAGGCAGAGAGTACAGATGACACAGGCCATGTGCTGCCCTTCCTCTCTCTAGCTTGGCTAATGAGTTGGAAGCAAAATGAAATGTGACTCTGCTGGACAAAACATTCGAGAGCAGGCACATGACCCTTAAGCTGCAGCAAATGAGAACGATGCAGATATAAGATGTTGTCATTCTTGTAAGCCTTGTTCCCTGAGTTACTATGTGGAGTATAATGTCCTGCCATCATGTATTAGATATGTAACTTTGGTAGAAATAAACTATTGTTACACTGTCTTTGAAATTTCATAGCTAATTTGTTCCTGTAGCACTTTACCTAAACAAATATATATTTCTTTCTTTCTTTTTTTTTTTTTTTTTTTTTGAGATGGAGTGTCGCTTTGTTGCCCAGGCTGGAGTGCAGTGGCGAGATCTCGGCTCACTGCAACCTCCACCTCCTGGGTTCATGCCTTTCTCCTGCCTCAGCCTCTGGAGTAGGTGGGACTACAGGCGCCTGCCACCACTCCCGGCTAATTTTTTTGTATTTTTAGTAGAGACGGGGTTTCAGCATGTTAGCCAGGAAGGTCTCGATCTCCTCACCTCGTGATCCACCCACCTTGGCCTCCCAAAGTGCTGGGATTACAGGCGTGAGCCACCGCACCTGGCCATATATTTCTATATGTGTATATTTATTTCTACATATGCAAATTTAAAAGAGTTATATATAAATTTATTGATTTCTATATTTCTGGAATGTTATCATGCTATCAATTGGCCTGTGTTTGTGTGTGTGTTTGTGTGCCTGTTTCTGTGTCTTGGGATGTAGGAGGGAAGTAGACTGCGGATTTAGATTATCCTTGGAACAAGCTTCCCCTAGAACCTGATACTCAGCACTACTCAAGCACTGTGATCACAGAATAAAAAGTGGAAATGGAGTCATGAAAAAGATGGTGTTATAAAAGATATCAGACAGGAAATACATTTCTTGATCATTGGAATACATCTGCAAGTTCATCTTGCCTCTACACTCAAAGTGTATTGCATGCAGCCCTCCAAAGGAGGTGCTCCCTGAGGGCCCAGAGAGCCAGTGTTCTCCCTCTGTACCCCGTCCTGCTCACCCACCCTCTGATTAATTCATCAAATATGCTCTTAGCACCTTCCATATGGCAGGCGCTCTGCTGGATAACAGGGACCGAAAGATGAGTCAAATCCAATACAATCATTGCCTGTGAAGCCTCAGTCTAGGAACAATGACAAGCCTAAATCAAATGCTCATTGAAGGTCTCAATATATTGCTCACAAGTGTTTCTGTAATGGGGCTAAGGAGGTCAGCGGGGGAGGGGGAGCATAGCCTGCCAAGTCTTGTGGGTGGGGTCCCAGTTGGAAAGGAAAGGTCCTGATTATGCCCGTAGCTCTGGATTCCCATTTGACTTAATATTTGTCTCAGATTTTCTCCATTTTTAGCAAAGTATCTTTATTGCCAGTTGCACCAAAAAAAGGCAAAATGAGTTCAGTAGTGCTCTTTTTCATAGTTCCAGCTAAGGGCATGATCTTGTCTAACAGCGCATGAGTTTGGCATGACCTTGCTTACGAGGACAGCATGCAGGGCGTTGCTGATAAAAATGCTTAGGCCAAAGGAGCTACAAGTAGCTAAGTCCTTTTCTCTCAAGTACTAATGAGAACATTTTTAAATCAGCTGCCCCTGCCATCTGTTGATTTGCTAGCAAATTTTGCCACAATACTTGCTGAAGCCTGAAAGATACATTGTATCATCATGCTACAATCAGCAAGGTTAGTGGCAAATGTGGGAAAGCACAGACTTGGAGTGCAGGAAATAGAGGCAGAATAAAATGACTCAGAGCATCTGAATGCTTTTGCTACTGCCGCTCCCAAATACATTATTTTGTAAAAATTAAAATTTTTATTTATTTGACATCTTTTCATTAAACACATTCAGCAGCAATGAGCTAGTTAATGAAAGTGCATGTTTAATGAAAAATTATTTCTATTTTTCCAGAATGATGATGATAAATGTGTAACATGTAGAAGATATCAATTAATTTTACTATCCATCCACCAAGCACATATAGGACATTGTGACATCACAGAGCTCATTCAAGTCAAAAGAAATGAACCTTCTTTGGAAATATCAGTGATTTTTACTGTGATGATGATGGCTGAAGATGACAATATAACACAAGTCGCTGCAGAAGGTGAAGTTGCTTTCTATTCTGAGTAGCTTGACTTTGAATGAAATGACTATTTCTTTTCTTCTTTTTCTTTCTTTTTTTTTTTTTTTTTTTTTTTTGAGATGGAGTTTCACTCTTGTTGCCCAGGCTGGAGTGCAATGGCGTGATCTTGGCTCACCGCAACCTCTGCCTCCCAGGTTCAAGCAATTCTTCCACCCTAGCCTCCCCAGTAGCTGGGATTACAGGCATGTGCCACCATGCCCGGCTAATTTTTTGTATTTTTAGTAGAGATGGTGTTTCTTCATGTTGGTCAGGCTGGTCTCGAACTCCTGACCTCAGGTGATCTGTCTGCCACGGCCTCCTAAAGTGCTGGGATTACAGGCATGAGCCACTGCATCCGGCCGAAATAACTATTTTCTAAATTATAGTGGCCTATTTTAAATTTCAAGGTTTCTTGTGCATGTACAAAAAGTGAAGAAATAGCTATTAATAAATGGCTTCATAACAGAAAATCTTTGCAAACAGATGATGCAGATCAATACCATTGGTTGCTTCAAATAGAAAACCAGATCATTATAATTGTTGAATACTTTATGTAATTAATGGAGCCAAAGAAAAGCATTTGGAAGCTTATTTTAATGAAGGTGGAGAAACAGTTTTGTTAATTTCCCTATCGTTAATTGTATATTCAGCTAAAAATTCCACATGGAATATAGAATTATTTGTTTTGTGTAATGATGTGAATACAAATTTCGGTGGAACAAAATATCATGGCAAAAGCAATATTCTTGCTGAATTAAAAATCTATGAATCGGAATCTTACTTGGAATTGGCTATGGTACTTCCATAATTCTTGGTTATATTCAAACCAGCTGAGGTATTCCACTAGTCAAAATAGAAACTTTATTATTTTATGTACAAATTTTTAACATATGCCCAGGCATGGAATAACTAAACCACAGTTTTTGGCTGAAAATGATGTTAAATGCAAAAAGGTATTGATACAACAAACAGTGCTGGGACAATTAGATATTCATGGAGATAAAAACAAACCTTAACCTCTACATTATACTCTATAAAAAAGTTAAGACAGCTTGTAGACTTGAATGGAAGCTGAAACCATAAAGCTTCTAGAACAAAATATGCACTTTCATCTTCAACATAACTCTTAGGACACTAAATAAAGCACTAACCAAAAAAAAAAAAAGCAAAATGATAAATTGAACTTTAGCAAAATTATAAACTCACGCTCTTCAGAAGACATAGCTAAGAAAACAAGAAGGCAAGAGAAGGCAGGGGAAAATATTCACAATATGTATATCTGACAAAGAATATGTATCCAGGGATGAAAATCCAAAAAAAACAAATAGTAAAAACAATCTAATCTTAAAAAGAGGCAAAAGATTTGAAGGAAAACTCACAACAGAAAATATGTGCTGGCCAATAAACCATAGAAAGGAGCTCAGCAATCATGGGTTAGCAGGAAGATGTGTTAGAATCACAATGAAATATCACTTTACACCCACTGCAATGGCTGCCATTAACATGACTGGCAACATCAAGTGTCATCAAGAATTTGGAGCAACTGGATCTCTCATACATTGCTGGTGGGAATGCAAAATATAGGACAATCACTTTGAAAAAGTGATTGGCTGTTTCTCAAAAGGTTAAGTATACTTTCACCATCAACTTAGCAACCTCATTCTGAGGCACATATCTGAAAAAAATCAAAGGATACAACCAGAAATGACTTGTAAAATAATATTTGTATCAGTTTTATTCATTATAGCCAAAAAACTGGAACCCCTCCAATGTCCACCAACAGGAGACTGGATGGAACATTATGCTAAGCAAACAAAGCCAGACATCAAAGAATACATACTTATGATTTATTATTTCATTTGTAAGAAGTTCAATAACAGGCAAAACTAATTTATGGTGATAGAAATCAGAACAGCAGCTGTCTCTGGAGGTGGAGGCAGGACTAGCTAGAGACTAACACAGGGAACTTTCTGAGAAGAGGGAAATACTCTGTCTGATTGGGCTGTGGGTTACACAGGTGTCTCTATCTTTGCCAGGTCTCATCAAATGTATGCTTATGACTTGTATAATTTGATTTAAGTCATACCTCAACAAGAAAGCAAAAGTAGATCAATTTAATAAATGAGGTGTACTGGTTTTCTGCTTTTCTATTTTTGGTGTAATAAATTTTCACAAATTTAATGGCTTGAAACAAAACAAATTTATTCTTTTACAGTTCCAGAGGTCAAAAGTCCAAAATGGGCATTCCTGGCTAAAAATCAAGGTGATGTCAGGGCTGCCTTCCTTTCTGGAGGCTTTGGAAGAGAATGCATTTTCTTATTTTTCTAGCTTTTAGACACTGCCTGTACTTCCTGGCTCCCGGCATTCTTCTTATCTTCAAAGCCAGTCGCAGCCAGTCGAGTCTTTTTCATAGGGTATTACTGCAACTCTGACTCTCCCTCCGTCTTCCGTCTTTAAAGACCTTTGTGATTACACTGGTCCCCGCAGATAATCCTGGATAATCTCCCTCTTACAGTCAGCTGATTAGCAATTTCATCTGCTACCTTAATTCCTCTTTCCACTTAACATAACATATTCACAGGTTCCAGAGATTAGGACATGGACATCCTTGGGGACATTATTCTGCCCACCATGTGGGGTTTGAGGTCAAATAGCGGAAAGCCATCATGGGAGTTTTCACCACAAGGGGCATATCCTGGGAAGGAACTCAAAAATACACTAAATCTTTAAGTTGTGTTTATATGGATATGTTACCTTTAAAAATTAATTAAGGTTAAGCTGCATAGATTAAATGTATGCACTTTAAGTAAAAATATGTCAATAATAATTTTTCAAAACAAAGGTAAGTGCCTGTGATCACTATATTTGTAAATCAGTGAGTGTCCTGAGAAAAGATTGAATGTTTTGACGTCCTCTGAATAATACTGAAAAACTCTAAATCCAAATATTCAGTGAGGCAGGAAAAGAAAACCTCAGCTTTGGAAACTTTTGACAAATTTCAATTATCTAAAACAAAGCTAGCAAATAGATAATGAAATTTGTCCCTAAAGAGCTATTAAAGAACTAAACAAATTAAAAGATGAGAGCTTATATGGAGCTTAGAATATAATTTTGAAGTTTTATGTCTCAGCTTTTGTGCAGATTTTTAGTGGAATTTTACCTTTTAATTATGTAAGTATATATTTGGCATGAGAATAGGGTAAATTGAGGAGACCATGATTTCCAAAATCAAAATTTCCCTTTCCTCAGAAGTTCTGTTTGTTGCTCTCTAGTTAGTCCTGCTTCCGCCTCCAGAGACAGCCACTGTTCTGATTTCTATCACCATAAATTAGCTTTGCCTGATATTGAACTTTGCACAAATGAAATAATAAATCATAAGTATGTATTCTTTGATGTCTGGCATTGTTTGCCTAGCATAATGTTTTATCCAATCTCCTGTTGGTGGACACTGGAGGGGTTCCAAGTTTTGGCTATAATGAATAAAACTGCTATAAATATTATTTTACAAGTCATTTCTGGTTGTATCCTTTGATTTCTTTCAGATATGTGCCTCAGAATGAGGTTGCTAAGTTGATGGTGAAAGTATACTTAACCTTCTAGGAAACTGCCAATCACTTTTTCAAAGTGACTGCCCTATATTTTGCATTCCCACCAGCAAAGTGTGAGAGATACAGTTCATAAATAGATAATTTATTTAATAAATTTTATCTTTCAAAAATATTTATCAAAGATGGATACTCTGAATGGAGGTTAAAAGTCAGAAAGTGTGAAGAGATTTGGCCTAAAACATGTATGTATTTCAATATAAAAATTAGAATTGAGGGGCTCCTTCTTTAGGAATTTAGGAATCAGCACCTGTTAAGAATATTCTCTCAGTTAAAAATGCTATGATTGTACAGAAGAGTAAACTAAAGGCATCAGTAACTTCAAATTTGTTAGCTATGAAATTCAACTTTGTGGAATATTACAGCTAATTGTGGAAAATATTATAAAAAATAAGACCTTATTAAAAACATACTCTATGGGCCGGGCAAGGTGGCTCATGCCTGTAATCCCAGCACTTTGGGAGGCCAAGGTGGGCGAATCACCTGAGGTCGGGAGTTTGAGACCAGCCTGACCAACATGGAGAAACCACGTCTCTACTAAAAATACAAAATTAGCCAGATGGGGTGGCGCATGCTTGTAATCGCAGCTACTTGGGAAGCTGAGGCAGGAGAATTGCTTGAACCCAGGAGGCGGAGGTTGCAGTGAGCCGAGATCATGCCATTCCACTCCAGCCTGGGCAACAAAAGCGAAACTCTGTCTCAAAAACAAAAAAAAAAAACTCTATGGAAAAATACCAGTGACTTAATAGTAGATATAAATATGCTAAATACCTGATAAAGTTTATAAACATGTAGCCTAAATGACCATTCTGCTTATTTTATTTTAATATTCAGATTAGTAATATGAAGATTAAATGTTGCTTTAATGTATGTGTTATTTTCATGTTTTAGGCCATCTTTTAATTACTTTTATTCAACTATTTTAGAGGTCTACCAATGTAATAATATCAACCTGTCATTCAGCAAATAAACATTTCAAAAATTGTATAAGATGAAATAATTGTTGTTCTCTCTTGTGTTTCCTAAATTGTCCTAATATGGCTGGCAAATCTGATGGTCAGACTACATATCAACCACATGAAGGAGGCTACTCTTTGTCCCTAAGAACAAAGTTAAAGCCACGGAGGATTCCAAGAAGGGATATGATCGAACTAGCATTTGGCAAGTATCACTCAAGCTACATTTTAGAAAGAGGTAAGGGTCAGATTTTTTGAGATGTAGACTCCAAGCTGAAAGTAGGGTGAGTCCTGTGAGGCCCATTTGTTGCTGCAGGCTGGGTTCCCAGGGAGCCAGTTCTGAGGTAAAGATTAGCACATAAACAATTTCTTAGCTAGTGCTCCTGCAATCACAACTCATAGGAGGGATTGGGCTGAGAAAGAAACTGGGTTATGCTGCAGTGTCTCTAGAAGCCCCAGCCCACCTGTGGGGAGTCCTGAAGCTGGGATGAGCCTTCAGCATTTTTCCAAGTTGGGACACTTATCAGTCCTTGAATACAGGTCACAGCAATAGGGGCAGGACCTCCCTCAGTTGAGGCAGTCTCCAGGGAGACTGGCAGCTGGGCACTCTATCCCAGCAGCATCCCCAGCACCTGAGGAAGGAGGTGCTTCATTCCTGAAAGTGGCTCTGGGCGATGCATCACAACATCCAGCTTTCCTGTGCTGGGTCTTGTGCTGGGCATACACTTGCCTACAGATGGGCAAGTGTGTGCCAAGCCTAGGACCAGGTTCTAACGCAGGGGAGATTGTTTCTCATTTACATACAGGCACCACATCGACCAGAGGCAAACCTATTTCTATTCAAGAAGAAGGTAGGAGAAACAATAACTGCACTGCCTTCCCAGTGTAGCCATGCTTCCTAGCTTCTTGATCTGGGAGGGCACCCAGATGAGAGCCTCCTAGGAGGAGCTAACAGCACCTAGGACTTGTATGGGTACTGCTAGGCTAGGAGCACTGTCAGGAATCTAGCTCACCCCAAGAAGACAGGAGGGTCTTCAGTCTGCCTGTGTCTCTTTTGAGCTCTGCCTTCCTTGGTACTGGAGTCTTTACAGACATTGGAGGGGAAGTGAAAGCTGGCGACCCACGCAGGTGCACAACACAGCCACCTCCTGGATGGACGTTAGCCAAGAGCCAACTAATGCCAACTAATTAGGACTACCAACAAATGTTAGCAAGTTAGTGGTCAAAAAAAACTTCTAGCTCTTCATAATGCACCTGCCTCTTGAATAATAAAAATGTTTGGTGGGTTATAATTCAGAAAATTCATTTTGTAATCACATTGGAGGCCAGCAATTTACCAAAATGCTATTTAACAAAATGCTGCGCACATTAGAAAAAAAAAAAAAGAAGAAAAATGATGAATTATCCTCACAAAGGGAACCAACCAAATTCCCAAAATAGTCTTCGCTGTAAAAGCTTCTTTCTGCTTTAGGTGCTTCCTCTGCTGATTCATTCTATTCTCAAGGTCTGTTCTTTCAGTACGTTTTGGTGTGAAAGAAAAAAAAAAAGCCCAATTCTCTAAGGTGAAGATAATAATTTGGTAAATACCATTTTCCAAAATTCAGTACTATAAATCCTATTTATCAATCACAAGCAATCAAAAACATTTACATTTTCAAGTTCTACCCCCAACTCTAAAACTGTGTCTAGTTTTTACTTGCAGATTGTTTATTTTTAGACCAAAATTGCCAATCCTCATAAAGAGTGATTCCAGATCAGAGTCTAAGGAAGAGTTTTATATCAAAGAAAGCAGTCAGGAAAGCAATTCGTAAACTGTAAAATCTAGGGAATATACGGCATTAGTGTTCCTCTCTCAATTAACAGTAATGACGGTGGTAAGACGGTTGCCTGCCATGGTGTAAGGGCAGAGAACAACTGTAAGCAAGTCCAAGAGTGTGACATTGCACATACATGGTGTTCCATAAATGTTTAACTACATCCACCTAAGTGCATTGGTGGGAACTGAATGGAAAAGGCTCAGCTCTCCAGATCTCTGCCTAAGAAGCTCCGGCCCAGCCAAAAGAGAGGGGTAAATTGAAATGCTCTCATCTGCCTGTGAGAGAAAATCAAGGAGTCTGTTGAACCAGTAAACTGGACTGTCAGGGCTGAGGTTCCTGGTTTAAAGTGAGAGCAAACCCCTACTGCTTTTGTGCCCAAAACAAGGCCAAGAACTGCTGCCCTGCCAGCCTTGGGTGCAGGTGGTGACAACACCAAGGGGAGCCCAGCTGTGGCCACAGCCCCTGGAGACATGAGCTCTGAAATGGGCAGAATGGAAGCCACAGGATCTGGAGTTGCAGGAGCCTTGTCTTGTACTTAGTGTATGACCTCAGGCTCCTACTCAGACTCTCTTGAACCTCTGACGGGAGCTGTGTCCGTGTGCCTCCAGTGTCACTGAGGACTGAAGAATGAATTGATAGAAGGCAACCAGCCAATACTTGGCAATTAGAAGCTCTCAGTAACTCTTAATTCCTGTCTCTTCTCTCTCCTTGGTTATAAAACCTATCTAGATAGCATCTTTTCCATCATGGATACCTTGCTATCTTCCTTGTTTATTTCCTGTCTCTACACTCGCTCTCAAGTCACCCAGAGAAGCATCACCCCCTCACAATCCAGTCACATCTTCTGTTGGTCATGCTCCTCACACAAGTTCTCTCTGGACAAAAGGAAGGTTCTCAGTTAGTCCAGCGAGAGCACCATGCTTCTCCATCTGCTCAAACTCCATCAGTAAAAGCCCACACTGAAAGATAACTCAAGGAAAAGTTGGAGGGTTGGAAAATTAGTAACAGGTTCACTAGCTTAAATCCAACACAATTAAATTTCAAGCTGCTTAAGTAATTAGGATACTCTTCGGAATATGCAATAATGGGTTTGGTATACATATATATCAAATTTATATATAAATAATAATTGTCTAAATCTCATTCAGTTAGTTTAGTGAACCAGGGATTATCACTCTCTGAGCAATCATCCAGTCCATTGCTGTGCCTTAGAGTGAAAAGACATCAAAGTTCCTCAGTGTTGCAAAAATCAAACATGAGACACTGCGCTTACAAAGAATTCATTCTTACCCAGAACTTTATGCCACGCAGCCTGTCTGCACGCTGCTCCTGGCTCAGCCCACAGCTGCTGTTAAGAGCAAGTCATTGGGTCCACCTCCGTATGTGGAGGATGAAAAAGAGACTCTGCTTCAAGCTACCAGATACACGGCTGGATGTCCCCATCCAGTCAGGGCTGCCCTGGGGGGTACTCACGTCCTCCAGGAGGTGGCTGGATCCAGAAGTGGATATGATTTATTTTAAGGGACACCCCCAAGTGAGATGCTTTGTCTTCCTCCTCCAGCCTGAAGGAATATAAATATTTACCTTATTTGTGTAACACACCCTGCCATGCCAACCCCTTACAACTTGATTAGAGACACAGACCAAGCTAGACCACTAATCCAGTCATATCCCTGAGATGCTATGAATACTCGCAGCAGAGAGAAAAAGTAGCCCATGCCACGTGCCATGCGAAGCCTCCTCTTGCCTCCTGTAGGAATGTCTATTGAGAAGGCTCACCCGCAGCCCATGCCACGTGCCATGCGAAGCCTCCTCCTGCCTCCTGTAGGAATGTCTATTGAGAAGGCTCACCCGCAGCCCATGCCACGTGCCATGCGAAGCCTCCTCCTGCCTCCTGTAGGAATGTCTATTGAGAAGGCTCACCCGCAGCCCATGCCACGTGTCATGCGAAGCCTCCTCCTGCCTCCTGTAGGAATGTCTATTGAGAAGGCTCACCCGCAGCCCATGCCACGTGCCATGCGAAGCCTCCTCCTGCCTCCTGTAGGAATGTCTATTGAGAAGGCTCACCCGCAGCCCATGCCACGTGCCATGCGAAGCCTCCTCTTGCCTCCTGTAGGAATGTCTATTGAGAAGGCTCACCCGCAGCCCATGCCACGTGCCATGCGAAGCCTCCTCCTGCCTCCTGTAGGATGTGTGCTGGGAAGGCTCACCAGCAGCCCAGGCGTCTGGTAGGAATGCGTGTTGGGAAGGCTCACCCGCAGCCCATGCCATGTGCCAGGGGAAGCCTTCTCCTGCCTCTGGCAGGAATGCGTGTTGGGAAGACTCACCCACAGCCCGGGTCTCCACCTGCCAGCAGCAGCTTCCTCCCTTCTGCTATGGCAGCAACTCCCTGAAAAGGTGGGCCTGGGCCACCAATGTCAGGTTCACGGAACCCCCGGTGTAGAAATGAGATGGTTGAACTAAAGGGGGCCAGGTGGATTCAGAGCCTTGGGGGCCCAGTGCTCCCAAAATGCCAGTCCTTGCTTTTTGTGCTGTGTTCACAAAAACAGAGAGTAAACTTCAAGAATACCCTTCCCTCCATCGGTGGCGCAGGGTGCAAAATCAAATATTTTTTGCCATGGCAGCACTTTTAGAGAAATGGGTGGGAGTTCTGGGAAGAAAGGACTGTGTCTGCAGTATAGAGGCTTCCAGAAGATTGTGTGTGACTCCTGGAGCTAGGTGGTTTCCTACAACATAAACAGCAATATAACCTCATACCCGTGGAAACAATGTGTGTCCAATAACACACAGAAACGCAGCTCATCGTAAAAGCTACTCAAAGCAATACAAAGGAAGCGTGTGGGCTTCTGTAAGGAAATAGAAATGGTGATGTTAGCTAGTGTGTCCACCAGTCAGTGACCACCGTAATGAGGTGAGGGGGCCATGAGTGAGACAATGAACTGTGCCTTGCTACTCAACCAGTGCTCTGCTGGCCAGCGACGGGAAGGTGTCATAGAAATCACTACTCAGGTGTCCTAACTGCAGTAGACTCTGTATTCTCCTATGCAGAATGTTTTCAAACATGTTACTAGCACCTCTTTCTTAAGGGAAAAATGTGCCTCAGGAAACACAGCACATTTCAAGGACCACTGACCACATTGCCACCCCCGCCACTGCTGTGAGTCACGCAGATTCCCAGGTGGTATGGGGGTTCATGACCCTTCCTACATCAAAGAGATCAAGCAGAGCCTCTGAGGGCAGCAATAGAAATGAGAATGGCCAGTATTAGGATTGCAGTGATGCACCTGCTTAAATGGCAAGGAAAATCTTTGGCACCACTGTGAATAGATCTATGTGGAAAATCACTACAATACATGGACACATTGAGTGTATCATGAATTAACAGCTTCCCTTTGAAATTATCGCGGATACCCAGGAGAGTGGCCCACTGGAAGCAAAAGTGAAGGAAGGCCTCTTGGCTCATTTCCTAGTGCCTTCAGCTGCCTTCTTGTTTAAAATGCTTGCCCCTCATCCTTTGAAGTTAATTTCATAGTGGGCCTCAAAAAACAACATGAAACAAGTCTTTTAATTAGTGAATGACTGCATGATTGCATGCATACATGGCTACAAGTACTAATGATTATGTTTTTCTTTTAAAAAATGAAAGAGTAGACCCATTGTTCATAATAGGAAGCTCCTTTTCAAAAATAGAACCAGCCATGAATATTGGTCTCTTCGTTCTTGGTTTTAAAAAAACTTTAGTTCTTATTACAAAATAGTATATGTGCATTGCATAAATTTTTGCACAAGCAGACAAGATAATGAAGATGAGCTGAAGATATTACAACTCAGGGAGACTACTGTTTAATATCATTGCCTTTCTCATCTTTGTTACATTCATTTGTTTCTTTTCATTTCACCAATATTGAATTCTATTTTACCTGCTATTTGGTAGACTTTATTACTTAGCATAAAACGAACATGATATTCATATAATTAAATACTCTTATAGTGAAAAAAATTTAACTGAAGTCATCTGATTAAAACACATATAAAATCAGCCTATGAAAGTTACAAAAGTAGTTTCTGGAACAATGAGCATCATTATGGATAAGCCAACTTGGACAAGTAAAGAATATTTAATTAATTTTGGAAGGCCAAGGCAGGTGGATCACCTGAGGTCAGGAGTTTGAGATCAGCCTGGTCAACCTGGTGAAACCCTGTCCCTACTAAAAATACAAAAATTAAATGGGTGTGGTGGCACACGCTTGTAACCCCAGCTACCCAGGAGGCTAAGGCAGGAGAATCGCTTGAATCCAGGAGGTGGAGATTACCGTGAGCCAAGATGGCACCACTGCACTTCAGCCCGGGTGACAGAATGAGACTCCATCTCAAAAAAGAAATTAATTAATTAGTTCTAGGTACTTCGATTCTATTAACTCAGACTAGGAAGCTAAAATTAGAGAATACTTTCTACTTTGCAGTAACACATACACATATGCCGATTTCATTTCCAAGCAATGACATGTTCTAGAACATAAACTTTGTCTGGAAGGGAATTTGTTTGCTGCTATATAGGAATAATTCTGGAGCACAGTAGGTGCTCAGTTAAAACTTGTAAATGGACTCATTGATTGTAAAGTTGTGGACCTGCTCGGTAATTAATCAGCGATCACATGTTTCAACCACAGGAAATGCAAATAAGCTAATAAGCAGATCCAGTTCTGTGAATTTTTTGAGGACTCTGAATATTTTGGGCTTCTAAATTGCCATTGAACCATCAACTCTATGTCTATACCATCCACTCTCAAGTCCAGCATCCCTGTTGCTGCATGTGGTTGTAATTCATTCACTCATATTGCTGTGTAGTATTCTGTGGTGTGAGTATACCAGGTATGTTGATCCATTCTGCTTAAGGTTTATTGTTTCCAGGTATAGAGTATTGTAATAGTGTACATATCCTACATAGTGTTGGGGATGCATGCGGTCAGAGTAGATCTTGATGAACAGATTTGCAAAGTGGTACAAATTTGCATTCCTACCCTGAGTGTGACAGAAAATCAGTCTTCACAACTTCTGTCAAACTTGATACGGCTTCGTCTTTTAAAATTTTAGCATCATAATATTTGTTTTTCCCTTTTCATTTGAAAAAAATAACTTAATCAGATTGCATTGCATCAAACACATACATCAGTTTGGGGACTGATATGGTTAGGCTTTGTGTCCCCGCCCAAATCTCATCTTGAATTGTAATCCCCATAATCCCCATGTGTCAAGGGCAGGACCAGGTGGAGATAATTTAATCATGGGGACAGTTTCCCCCATGCTGCTCTCATGACAGTGAGTGAGTTCTCACAGGATCTGATGGTTTTATAAGCATCTGGCATTTCCCCTGCTTGCACTCACTCTGTCCTGCAGCCCTGTGAAGAAGGTACCTGGTTCTCCTTAGCCTTCTGCTATGATTGTAAGTTTCCTGAGGCCTCCGAAGCCACGTGGAACTGTAATCAATTCAGCTTTTTTCCTTTATAAATGACCCAGTCTCAGGTATTTCTTCATGGCAGTGTGTCTCACACTGCACTAATACAGGGACTATTGACACCTTTATATCTCATCCGTCCATGAAGATGGCATATGATGTTTACTTAGTTCTTTAGTTTCACTAAGTAAAGATTTACAAATATCAGTGTATACATCTGACACATCCTTTGTACTTTCTTCAACTCTGATGGTTATGTTCCTTGTCAGTAGAATATAGTTCAATCTTATTTAAAAAAAAATTTTTTTTTTGAGACAGGGTCTCACTCTATTACCCATTATGCAGTGGCATAATCACAGCTCGCTACAGCCTCGACTCACTTGAGCCTCGGGCTCAAGCAATGCTCCCACCTCAGCCTCCCCACTCACTAGGACTACTATGCCAGGTTAATTTTTGTATTTTTGGTAGAGATGAACTCTCATCATTTTGCCCAGGCTAGTCTCGAACTCCTGGGCTCAAGTGATCCACCCACCTTGGCCTCCCAAAGTGCTGGGATTACAGGCATGAGCCACCACGCCTGGCCAATGGGTTTTTTATTTAGTCTGACAAAGCAAGTCTTTTAATTGGAGTATTTAGTGCATATATATTTAAAGGAATGACTGATATATTTGATTTTATGTTGTATCATCTCACTGTTTTAAAATTTGAACACTGTATTTTATGTTTCCTGTTCTCTCCTTTATTGTCTGCTTCTGAATGAATCAAATGCTTTAAATTTTTTCTTTTTTTCTGTCTATTTGATTACCAGTTGTATACTGTTTTAGTGGCCACTGCAGAGTTTATAACATGCATCCTTGATTTATTATACTTTTAACACTACCCCACAGTGCTAGAGTCTTAACTCTTTCAACCCCTTCCCACTGGTATTGCCATCTTGCATTTAATTCAACATATATTAAATTCTATAATATAATTACTATTACTATTATTTTATTCAGTCAAAATTGATTTCTACTTGTCCAAATATTTACCTTTTCATGTGCTCATTCATTTCTACATTTGCATCATTATAATTTTAATCATTATCCTTCTGCTAGAAAAACTCTTTTAGTATTTTTAGTGCATGTTGTTGGTGATAAATTCTTCTAGTTTTTGTTTGTCTTAAAATATCATCACTTTACCTTCCTTTTTCCTAATATTTTATTACGAAAATGTTCCAACCTGCAATAAAGTTGAGAAAATATGTTAAAACAAACACTTGTATGCACATTATTAGCTTCAACTATAAACATTTATTTGGATTTTATCACATATGTAAATTTGCATGCATACATCTCACTATCAACCCATCTTATTTTTGACACATTTTAGAGTAAATTTTAGACATCAGTACAGTTGTTTTGAAATACTTTATCATTACCCCGGCACTATTTATTGAAGGGGGAGTCCTTTCCTTAGTCACAGAAGTCCTCCATGCTAAGATTAAGGGTTAAAGTCAAGGGTTGTATCCTCTGGTTCAGGCATTAGGTTGACTCCCTTCTTCACTGACGGAGCAAGAGCATTGATTACATCCAACCACGGCCAGAATCCAGCAGAACAGAGTGCCTGCCTTCAAGATTCTTCCAGACCAGCTGCGGAGACACACAAGACCATGCACAACCACAGGGCAGAGCATGAGAGGCAGCTAAGAGCAGGTACTCTATTAAGTCAGCCGAGCCAGGGAGCGGGTGTTGCCGTAAGGGTTCCCCTAGCCTTCCTGAAGAGCTGGGACTCCGGAGTTCTAAAGAACAGTTTTGAGTGAACTGACGTAGGACAAGATGGAGGCGGTGCCAGGGGATTGAGGATGGCTGAGCCCACATGTTCAAGGAGCAGGAACCAGAAGTGGCACAACATGATCACGTGGTCAGTCAGTGACATGTGTGGGAGAGGGGCCCCGTGACCCTACCAGTTAACTCTCAGAAGGACGCTCCATGAGAATACTGAAAATATGGAGGCTGAGTCACCTCCTGAAGCCGCACAGCTGTTATGTGACAGAGGGAAGCTCGGGTAGCCTGTGACAGTGACTCACAGGCTCCTTCCATGACCCGAAGGACAGTGGCCATGGATGATCCTGGCTGAGACTTTTGAGAAAAGATGCTGCTATTCTAATTCTCTACCAGAGAAAGGTCAAGGAAGTGGGGTCTTTTGCCTTCATCAACAGGATTCTTTTATCCCATCTAGATTATTTTTCATAGCATTAATAATTTAAAATGATGAGAGAAAATTGAATCTTTAAACTTTAAGTAAAAGATACATTTCTTAATGCAGGAATTCTTTGAAAGAGCACTCATTTTTTCCACCTAACATATGATTAGCGAACACATTAGTCCTCTATTTTCACAGCAACTCCTAGAAAGCAAGTGGAAATTTCACTGTTACTGTCTTCCTGCAAGAATCTGATACTAAAGACAGTTTAATTGGCTACTACATTCCTGAAATAAGATGTAAATTATATAAACAATTATAATCCTCCAATCATATGCAAATCATTTTAAATGAATTGTTGATAGTCAAAAGGTCTAGTTCCTCAGCCACGTTCCCAGTGAAGTCCACTTGAATAATCCAGGATAACCTCCTCAATCTCAAGGTCCTTAAATAAATCAAATCTGCAAAGTCTCTTTTGCCATGTAAGGTAGCATATTCACAAGTTGCAGAGATTTCAATGTGGATGTCTTTGGGGGCCCTCATTCTACCTGCTACAGAGGAAGAATTGAGTCTCATGGAATCTCAGGATTCAGTTGCCAATTTGCAGGAAATACAGAGGACAGAGGAATATGTTGAACTGCAGCAGGAGAATGCAATTCTCAAAATCCAGATAAATTGTAAGGAAGTAAAAGAGATGGTGGGGAACACTAAGATTAAGAGAAATTTAAAATACATTTCAAAAATTCTTAGTACCCGGATATGTACATGAGTAATAAGCTGGGGAGAAATGGAAGGAACTGATTCTTATAAAAAGTCAAGGAAGTAATTACTTTAGAAAGGAAGGAGAGATTGTGTTTGGAATGGAGAAGCTTTGGGGGAGAATGACAAGGATCTATTGATTGGGTGGAGATGATGGGCTATTGGTCTTATAATAATTTAAGATTTAAAAAACGCAAGCGCAGGACCCAAAACTGAGCAAAGTGTTCTAACTATGTCGTGCTTCATTTATTGCAGTTAAAGATCACTTTTGACTTTTTTCACAGTTGACTCAAGATAAAATTTCCTGTTGACTAAAAGATACAGGCTTTGTCTAAATACTTATTTTCTGCTGTCTAGAAAAATATGTCTATATTTCACATGCAAAGGAGTCAAGCATTTCCTCATTCAGAGCATACTACCTACATGATCATGGCAATTAATATGTACAGGTTTCTTGAAAAGAAAAGAGAAATTGTGTTTTCTTGTCATTTTGTCTGTAACAGAATCTACCCTTCTTCTTGAAACTTTTATTAATCAGAAATACATTGATTAATAAAAGATGAAAAGAAAAGATCAACTGTCAAAAATTCATGTTGCATTTTTTCCAGAGGCTGTGCCTGTGAGGTTCCACTGTTGGAACCTCACACAAAAGGAATGGAAACCACCAACACCTAAGGCCAAAACTAACAAACCGAAAAACTCAAGTACCATTACAATACAGCACATAAACAGAAAAGTCCATGTATATTGAAGAGCTAAGCCTTGTTTCTGGCATTTATCAATAATGTAGACTGAGGTCCAAGGCTTCCTCTTCAAAACAGCTGAGCTCACACATCTGCCTTTGTCTCTCAAAATTCTACCAAATTAAAGAGGATATATCAAAGTAAGAATAAATGCTTATCAGTAGTGGAAAATACAATGATCCCGTTAGAAGACCAGAACATTGAAGAATTTCTGGAAACTGAGCCAATTGTGATGAGATTGATGGAGAAAACCAGCAGAAATAAAGAGCTCCCTGCACAATATAAGCATCAAGAAAGACCATGAAAAAAGTGGAGTTTTCCCAGCAGTATTCCAGAATGACCACATGACCTGAGGCATCATGAATGATTATGGGGCTGTCCATGGAGAAATTAATTAAAGACGTGTTGAACAGCTGCTCCACTTCTTGGCTCTTGGACAGTTGGGCTAAAGCTGGAAGAATTATTTCCCATATGCAGGGGAGATCTGCCTTGGGAGACCCAAGAATGAAACTTGGGCTAAGGTGAGACATGGGCCATTGTCTCAGTATTCTCTGGTAGTGGACAAGGAATCCTCATAGCCAAAAGGTAAGCTTCCTAGGCACACAGAAGAGACACTTGCTCACACAAGCTGGTGTGATGACCATCTACCATCACAGCATGGGGATCAATCATTGTTACCCACTTTAAAGAAAACTCAGTATTGATAAGTCTAGAAGAACTGTGTTGGGGCAGGGACTCTTTCTTCCATAGACCCTGAAAGAAATAAGGTAGAGTTATTCCAGCTTTGCCTTCCCAACTGCAGTGCTGAAAATAATCTTATCTCTCTCAACCTCCATATCTATAAGATGAGGTCATCATACCTATCAACAAGGTTACCATGAAGAAAGCAGGCAGCTTCATGACTGCATGTGGTGCAGTCTCAATGCAGAGCTGGTAACCAGCATTTCCCTTGCTATGCTTAATTTCCCATTCACCGCCTGGGCCATCTCCAGCTGCAGCTGATTGGACCTGGGCAGGCCAATGCCTCATCATGAGCCAAGATATTGTTGGGGCAGCTGCCAATCAGATTCTGTTCTTGAGGATTTGAACTAAGAGACCCAGAGACTGAGAGAGTTAGAATTTGAATTGTATCCTCAAAGATATATAACAGACATTCCTGATGGTGAAATCCTGGAGACACCTTGATTCTCGACTTCCCTGGGACAATTTTTAAGCCATTCTTTGGATTTGATGAACTCAGAACTCTTTTCTTGCTCTGGCTTAAATGGCTTTCTGTTTCCTACAGCTGACCAGCCCCAGTTCAAGATCACACTCCTAGATGTCAGTTTCCTGCTTGTCACCATTTGATATGAAACCCACATGGGAATGGAGATGGATGTCATCATCCCAATGTCTTACAGTGTGTCTGGGATTGGTCTGGGCATGGGACCAAGTTCTTCTGTCTTATAAGCCAGACCTGTTGGTAGATCTCATATTTATCTCCTATGTTTAGCTAATGAGAAATTTCATTCAACAGGCCATTAATTATTTTACACAGCATGAGTATTGAACAATTGTATCATCTTACCAAAACAAATGAATATGGGCCATTGGAGAACTGACCTTGTCACTGTTAATTGTGCCTTTCAACCGTACTTAGTAAAACTGTATTTCTTTATCTCAAAAGATTTGTTCATACTCAGCATCTTGAAAATCACTATTAAATAGTAAATAACAACAATGCCAACAAAATAAATAATAACAATAATAATAGAAGCTAACATTATTGGAAGTTTATTATGTAGCACTTTATAGATTAGAGCACAGACATGAATTAATTTGCCCAACTTACACCACCAGTGTGTGATAGAACTAGAATTTGAACCTACAATGTGGGTGTAGTGCCTCACCCATATCCTCTCTACCAGGCTGGTACCTGCCCACCAACTACTGTGAGTGTTGGCTGCTAATGGCACCTCACCTAGGAAGTTATATGGCCCATCACCAATGGTTCACAGATATGAGGTACAAAAGACTGACCCCAGCCTCATCCAGGTATCAACTTGGTATGATCTAAGTTCCAGAGCCCTCATCACATAAACCAAGTACTACAGACTGAATGTTCATGCCCCTTCAAAATTCATATACTGAAATCTAATCTCCTGTGTGATGGTATTGGGAGCTGGGACACTTCAGGGACAATAAAGTAACAGGGGTGGTGCCCTCATGAGTGAAATTAGTTCCCTTATAAAAGAGACCCTAGAGAGATCTCTTGCCCCTTCTACCATGGGAGATTACAGTGAGAAGATGACCATCTATGAACTAGGAAGCAGTTCCTCGCAAGATACTGTATTTGCCGGCAACTTGATCTTGGACTTCCAGACTCCAAGACTGTGAGAGATAAATGTCTGTTGTTTGGAAGCCACCCCATCTATGGTATTTTGTTAGAGCAACCCAAATGCACTAAGACACCAAGAGAAGATTTCCATAAGAACATATCCTTGTCCAGCTTTCTCCTTCTCTCTCCTGAGTCACTCTCTGCTTTGCAGGTATTTCCTGAGGAGCATTGCCTCCACAGTCATGTGTACCTGAACCTCTGTCTCAGACTCTGCTTCTTAGAAACTCGACCTAAGACTGTTGGTACCAAAACTAGACCCAAGAAGCAAACATTAAGAACTGGATTCTGATGTGTGATCACTTTCCATCCAGTTGGCAACAATGACCCCATCACTGTTGGTCGGTGGATTAATGATAGTGGCACACAGAAGCAGTGAAACTGCTAAGGCTTTTCACCTGCAGTGAACTGACATGAGACACAGGTAGAGAGGGTTGTTCTGATTTGTGCAATATCTTTGCCATTGGGAAGACAATGGAGAGATTATAATTAGAAGACTATGGAATTGAGTGACTATTGCTGAGTGCCAATGATACTTTGAAAAGAGAAGATGACAGTCTAGGACCATCAGTCACTTAATGCAATGTGTGAGAGTGAGAGGGCCTTCTGGGCATCATTGCAAGGGATCTCCATCTTCTACAGCAAGAGGACAAACAGAGCTGAAGCCCAGGCACAGGACTTGATTGAAAGAATGACTGAAGGTAAAGATAGGTATAAATCCATGGACTGTGGCAAATGACTTAGCTGGTTGGCCAGGGTCCTGGAAGAAGAAATATTGGAAGACTGGGGACCAGAAGGTCAGAAAGAGACATGTGTGAGGATCTGTAAGAGTGGGGAAAGTGTGATGATCTTCATACCTGACACCAGAGACAACTGCTGAGGAGGAGACCTTCAACAGCCAGTGGGCAGGATGACTCAGGCAGTTGATGGTAGCCAGCCCATGCCCTTGTCACTTGGTGTTTGTGCAATGATGTCAAGAATGGAATAGCCATGTTGTAGAGACAGGGGCTAGTCATAGAGCCAGGCACATAAGGGCCTTCTCACTAAAGCTGATTTACCTATCACCATTGCTGAGTGTCTAACAGAGTCAGACACCGAAGCTGATTCTAATCCCCTGATATGCACCTCCCTCAAGAAGACCACCCCACCATTTTGGGGGATAGTCTAGTATATCATACCCAGTCTTCCTAGAAGGGCAGCAATTCATGCTGACTGAGTTTGACACCTACTGGGATTGGATTTGCCTTTCCTACCTGCAGGGCTTCACCCAGCACAATACCCAAGGCCTCACTATGAGTCTGATTGACTGTCATGGGATCCTGGGTAACATCATCCTAGTCCAAGGAATCCCCCTGACAGCAAAGGGGCTGTGGCAGTAGGAACAGGACCTTGGGTCCACTGACCCTACCACATACCACCACCAGGAGGTGGAAGCCTGATGAAATGGCCTCTGAAAGGGGAGCTGAGGTTCCAGCCTGGAGATGATGGCCTGTGAGGATGAAACACTATCCTTCAGACGGGATGTTCCCATTAAACCAATGGTTTTCACATGGTGTCATGTCCTCAAAGGTACAATTGCTGTGTCTGAAAAACAAGGAAAAGACTAGAAATGGCCCCACTCTCCACCACTCCAGTGACCACTAGCGGAATTAATATTTCCCATCTCCAGAATTTTTGCTCTGTGGCCAATCTTAATTAAGAGTCTAGGGGCTCTTTTACTGAGGGGCAGCGATGCTGCTGACCAGGAAAATAAAAAGAATCCTTCTCAATGTGAAGCAATGGCTGTTGCAGATCACTTGGGGCTCCTTGTGCTAGAAAATCAGCAGGCACAGCAGTAGCTAATTTATGAAGTCCGTGTCACCCTGATCGCCATGAGGTCCATGCAGCACTCCTGCTAAGTGACGCCGCCCTCAGGTAATCCACCTGGGCATCTCTTAGTGTCCAATGCCCTGTTTTAACAATAATAGATAGATAAAGAAATCAGAGCCTGCTCAGGGTTTGGTCACCAGGGTTTCAGATCCATCAAGGTTGAGAGTTGGGTCAACCACCAGGCAATCCACCCAGACCAGCCAAAACACTAGTTAAGAGTACAAGGAATTTAGCACCCGTCATAGAGGAGGGAAACATTTTCAGTGATGGCCTCAGGGCCATCTGTGACAGTGGTGCATAAAATTCCCCACCAATCCTCCTTTTATGTTTTCCTAAGGCTTGTGAGCATGGAATCATGGGCAGTGTGAAGTTAATAAAAGGAATAAGCGGATTTGAACTCCGCATTAGGTGGAGTGTCATAGACAATGTGGTGCTCCACCCAGTTTCCTTTCACAAGGCTGGCAGCCCCACCCCCAGCTGTTTTGCGTGTTGGCTGTTAGCTAAGAGGGAGGCGGAGCTACCCTCTTTCTTTGACGAATTGTCCTCTATTGATAGAAATTGCATCATCAGGAAGTGACACAGCCCTCACCTGAGTGTGACCCACAGTCAATGAGCGATTGATATGAGGAACAGAATCCAGCCCCTCTGACTCAGTGGGATACACCTCAAAGGCTGATTTATGCCCTGCGGCTTTCTCCCTGGGTTCAGACCCCAGCTAGACTGTACCTGTGACCACACGCTGGGTGAGCTCTTTCCTTTTCCTTATTCTTCTCCACTCCTGTTCTTCCATGTTTTCCTGCAGAACCCTCCCTTAATAAATCATGTGCTCCCGAGTCCCTGTTTTGCACTTTGTGCTGAAGGAACCCAACCTGAACCACTGGGTGTTAGGTTAATCCACATGTAGTTCTCACCGTCCCCATAAGAAGAAACACACAACTTTTGGTTTTGCATTTAGCTTTTATAACTCATCTCCAAATTCTGCTGGGGCTAATACAATTATGAACTATAGCCACATACAGTGCAGAAGAGTAAAAGAAATAATTATAAGGTTCCGAACGACTGAGGTGGCAGAGTTACCAGAATGATATAATTGCTTTATTAAAAAATCAGTATGTGCCTATGCATCACACTGAGTCGTCAATAAATGGCTTCCTAATTACCCAAGAGTCTATACAAATTGTCTTAATTCATTTGTGTTGTCGCTTGCTAAAAATTGTCACCTATTGACGATGTGGGATATACTTGGGTTCATCGTCTCAAAAGAAAAATGTCTCCTATTTTCTATTGACAAGACCTGTAAACCAGATCGGTTGGTTTGACTGAGATTATTTCCTTCTTGGTCTCCAAGAACTTGTCATCAAAGCTTACAAGGAGCATTTTAATTACATTTTAGATATATAATTTCTCTCTTACCAACCATAATTGTGACAACTTGTCAATTACATAGTTTCGCTTATGGTTTAGGTGCATGCACATTTTAGCAGAGCTTTCCCCCAAAGACAAGCCTTTGTTGTGTTTGTATATTCATATACCTGTTTTCACTTTACACAGATCAAAGGCTGGGTTGGTGTACCCAGGTCACAATCACTGAAACAGAAAAAAAAAATGCCAGCGTAGATGCTTAATTTAAGAAAAGAACTCCTAAAATTAACTCTGCAACATGCCGTCTCCAAGCCCAGCCCAGCCCCTGCACAGCCTTTCATTCCCTGGAGGTCTTCAGCAGGAGCAACACAATTGCCTGGAGGTGGAACTGGGATTCCAGTTATTAAAGAGAAGCAAGGCCAAGAGAAAAATGTGAAACCTCTGACCTTACACTAGACTTTTCTGAGGTTATAATTTAAAGATGGGAGAAAAGGACAAGGAGTACAAGATACACAGAATATGTGTTATACATCCCAAAGAAAGTCACGCTCCATCCAAGGACGCAGTGCCCATGACAGCCATCACCCAAGGGCCGTAATGGGGCATCTCCTGTATCCAAGGCCTGGGAAGAAGGATACAATATGAAATTGACACATTGGGCTGAAACAACTGCTGAGCCACATTTCACCATTTTTTAGATTCCAAGACCAACAACCAACATGGCCAAGGATCATGTTAATCAAACAGCTTATCTTCCCATTACAAAATGAGGAAAAAGTTAACGCAAGTTTATGTGAATTTTTAATATTTCTATTTTTTAATATTGAAATATTTAAAATACACAAAAACAAAAAAAGATAGCAAACACCTAATTAGACATCACCTTGTTACAAAATATTGAAAAGTTGACTAGTTACCATAATTATTTCAAATCTTTAAAAAATGATTTAATGCCAGCTTTTACAACTGATCTCTGATTCCATTTTTAAAAATCACTACTTTTCTGAAATTTATGTTTATCATTCCTGGCATTTAAATTTTGTATTGTATGTGTTCATGTACATAAATAATAGAGTAGTCTTGTGTGATGTTAAATTTACATGAATGGCAAATTATTCGATGTTTTCTTTAGCAACATGTTTTTCCATTTCAATAGAACAGAAAAGCAATTTTTAAAATTATTTTTAAGAAATTCATGTAGATATATGTGGATATGATTTATTCATCTTAACTACTCCATAAAAATTTCATCACATGGGTGCATCCCAATTTTTTAGCAATTTCCCTAATGATATAAAAAAATTTAGGTTGTTTCAAAACATAGAATTATTTATACTAGTATATTCACAATTTTCTAATATTTACCACCCATCTGGAATACATTCTACTGAGGATATATGTATCTATATCTCTCTATATATACACATACACACAATAATATATATTCATATGTAATATGTATTATATATATTTATCAAGTAATATATGTGTGTGCATGTATATACACATACATATGTATTTATATTTTAAATATTGTATTAGTTCATTCTCACATTTCTATAAAGAAAGACATGAAACTGGGTAATTCGTAAGGAAAAGGGGTTTAATTGGCTCACCGTTCCACAAGCTATACGGGAAACATAGCAGCATGTGCTTCTGGGGAGGCCTCAGGAAACCTACAATCACAGCAGAAGGCAAAGAGGGAGAAAGGCATCTCACATGGCTGGAACAGGAGGAAGAGAGGGTGAGGGGGAGGTGCCAAACACTTTAAAACAACCAAATCTCATGAGAACTCACTCACTATCTTGACACAGTTCCAAGGGAGAAATCCGCCCCCATGATCCAATCGACTCCCACTGGGCCTCACCTCCAATATTGGGGATTACCATTTGACATGACATTTGAGCAGGGACAGAGATTCAAAGCTTATCAAATACAGATTTTATTTAGCATTTATATTTATTTATAATTGAATCTGGTTTGCTAACATTCAGATATTTAGGTCTATGGTGTTTACTGAAACTGGCCTTTACTTTTCTTGCACATACTGTCCTTGTCCAGTTTAGAGCTGGGCTATCCTAGCCTCCTAAATGTTGAGATGTTTTCCTGCTCTTTTAATTTTCTGAAATAATGTGTACATGATAGGAGTTATCTAATTTCTGAAGGTTTGGCAAAATTGCCAGTCAAGTCTTTTGTCCTTGGTACATTTTGTGAGTAGTTTTGAGAATTAATCTAGGGCTTATATTAGGTTTTGGTTTTTCTTTGTATCAATATTGGTGATTTGTTTTAAAAAATTGCCACTGACATAAAATTTTTTCTTGATATTGGCTTATAACTTTTAAGTTCTGTTCTATCTTTAGCTATGTTTCTATTTTTATTCAATTTTAATTTATAACTGCCTTTGATTGGTTTTGCCTGAGGTTAGCCAATGTTCAAACATTCTTTACAAAGCACCAGCTACACTTGTTTCTCACCCTCTTTAAGGGTATTTATTGTAAATTTCATTAACCTCTTATCTTGTTATTGTTTTATTTCTTCCATTTAGTATGTTCCACTAATTTTTTTTTCTAATTCAGACTCAATGCTTGGTTCATTAATTTGTCATCTTTCTTCACTATGGATTTGAGACAATAAAGTTTCCTATAGGAATATGTTAAACTGAGTCATAAGTGTTTTAGTATATAACATTTATATTATAATTTGGTTCCAAAGTTCTTAAGTTTTATTATAATTTATTTTTTGACCTATGAGGTAAATAAAAGTGTGTTAACAGCTATTTCCAATCCATGACTGTTTTTATCTGCATGTTGTTTACTGATTTTCAGTTTTTATATTACAGAGGCAAAGAATGTGTTTTCTATAATATTAAAAAGTCTTCTATATTCAGAAAAGAATAGGACTAAAAATAATCACGTCATATCTTCACAGACCTTGAAGAGTGCAGGGCAACATCAGAATTTGGTAAAGGGTCAATGGAACTAACAGAACAAGCCATGTCAGGTGGTGCTCTGAGCCAGTCCCAGGACAAGACCAGGTAATCCCATCATCACTGGAAGCACTAGGAGGATGCCATCTTATAGGCAAACATTTTAAATAATTATTCTCCATGTTGTTCTTTTTTTTTTTTTTAGTTAACATATTCAACACCTCACACAGTTACCGTTTTTTGTGTGTGGTGAAAACACTTGAAATCTACTCTCTCCGCAAATGTCAATATACAGTACATTTTATTAACTATGTCACCATGCTGTACATTAGGTCTTCAGTACTTACCTCATCGCTAAACATTTGTACCTTTTTGTCTCCCCTCCTCCTCGTTCCAGACCCCAGCAACCACCATTCTACTCTCTGCTACTGAATTCAATTTTTGTTTTTTTAGATTCCATATATAAGTGAGACATGCAGTATTTTTCTTTCTCTACCTGGTATTTCACTTAGAATAATCTCCTCACATTTCATCTGAGTTGTTGTAAATGGCAAGATATCCTTTTTTAAAGCTGAATAATATTCCCTTATATATGTACACACATTCACATGTGCTCACACACACACACACACGCATATAATACAAATATACCATATTGTCTTTATCCATTTATCTGTTGATAAACACTTAGGTTGTTTGTACCCAGAAGTGGGATTTCTATTTTACATGGTGGTTCTATTTTTATTTTACTTTAAATAATCTCCACACTGTTTTCCATAATAACTGCATCAATTCACACTCCCACGACAGTGTATCAGGGTTCCTTTCCTCCATGTCCTTGCCAACACTTATCTTTCTTGATTTTTGTAATAGCCATCCTAACGCATGAGATGGTATCTCATTGTGGTTTTCTTTTGCATTTCCCTGATGATTAGTGTTGTGCATTGTTTTATATAACTGTTAGCCATTTGTATGTGTTCTTTAGAAAAATGTCAATGTAGATCCTCAGCCCATTTTTAATCAGGTTTTTTTGTTTGTTTTGCTATTGAGTTTTATAAGTTTCAAACACATTTTGAATATTAACCCCTTATGGTCTATATGGTTTACAAGTGTTTCCTCCCATTCCATAGGTTGCTTTTTCATTTTGTTGATTGTTTTCTTTGCTGTACAGAGGTTTTTTTAGTTTGCTGTAGTCTCACTCATTTATTTTTACTTCTGTTGCCTGTGCTTTTGGCATCAAATCCAAAAATTATTGCCAAGACCAACATCAAAAATACTTTCCCCTATGTTTTCTACTGGGATTTTTATGGTTTCAGGTCTTATGTTTAAGTCTTTAATCCATTTTAAGCTTATTTTTTGTGTATAGTGTAAGAAAAGGGTCTATTCTGCATGTGGGCATTCAGTTTTTCCAACACTGCTTATTGAAGTGTCTGTCTTTTCCTATTGTGTATTCTTGATGCCTTTGTTGAAAGTTAGTTGACTGTACATGCTTGGGTTTATTTCTGGACTCTCTATTCTGTTCCCTTGATGCATGTGTCTGGTTTTATTCCAGTACTATACTCTTTTTAATTATAGCTTTTTATACATATAAACTCCTTAAGAAACTGTTAGAACTAATACATTCAGTAAAGTTGCAAGATATAAAATCAACATACAAAAATCAGTTGTACTTGTATAAATTAATGTTGAACTATCTGGAAAAGAAATCAAGTAAATAATCCCATTTACAGTAGCATCAGAAAGAATGGAATACCTAGGAATAAATTTAACCAAAGAGATGAAAGACCTGTATACTGAAAACTATAAAACATTGATCAAAAAAATATAGATGACACATATAAATGGAAAAATATCTCATGTTTGTAGATTAGAAGAATTAATATTGTTAAGATGCCCATACTAGCCAAAATGATCTACAGATTCAATGCAATTCTTATCAAAATTCCAATGGCATTCTTTATAGACATAGAAAAAAAAAATCCTAAAATCCATATAGAACCACTAAAGACCCAGAATAGCTAAAGCAATCTTGAGGAAAAAAAGAAGGAAGCTGGAGGCATCTCACTTCCTGACTTCAGTGTTGTCCTTTTAAATAGCTCCAAGGCCAGCCAAGAAATTCTGAAATAAAATGCTTCATCACAATGCAGTTCCAATCGAGATAGTATTTATCTTCAAGTTCTAAAATTTTGGGTTATGTCCAATGTAAACTACACATCCATTAATAGGCAAAGCATGGTCTCCACCACATAACCAGGCAGCGGAAGGAGCCAGGCAGCGATCTGCGGGCCTCATGGGTGCTTGTGTCATGCTTGATGTTGGGACCCTTGCCCAGTATGCTGCAAGTGTTTCTGCCATGGACGGGCCCCAGGAGCTGCTCCTAAGATGGTCAAGTAGATGCCACAAAGCCACAGTCTGTGACTAAGGGAGGAGGAATCTATATTATCAGCTACTTAATAGCCAAACCAGAGCAAGGACTGTTCCTGAAAACAGAGCCCTATCCTCCCAGGAACATTGAAATCATCCTCTGGGGTAAGTCCCCTGAACTTTCTGAATTGCAGTAAAACTCTCCTGCAAAAATGGGGCTTCTGGTCCTTACTGACCTATTAGGTTTGGAGGATAACATGGTATAATGAAGGAAAGGTGGCTACACATAACAGCAGCTGATTTCCAGTCCATTTCCTTTCTTTTTCTCGCCAAGCCTCATTCTTGGCACAAATCAGGTAGAACTATATAGCGTTCCTGGGCTGCGGTCCTGGCTTATGTCTGTAATCCCAGTACTACGGGAGGCTGAGACAGGTGGATCACTTGAAGCCAGGAGTTCAAGACCAGCCAGGGCAACATGGTAAAGCCCCCGTTTCTACTAAAAATACAAAAATTAGCCAGGTGTGGTGGTACATGCCTGTCATCCCAGCTACTCAGGAGGCTGAGGCATGAGAATCTCTTGAACCCAGGAGGTGGAGGCTGTAGTGAGCTGAGATCATGCCACTGTACTCCAGCCTGGGAAACAGAGCAAGACCCTGTCAAAGAAAAAAAAAGAAGAAAAACCTGTTAAATTTAACTAAAAAAAAAAGAAAAGAAAAATAAAGAGCATTGCTGGTCTCCACTTCAAAACAAGCACAAGAGACATGGTGAATGTTTTATCGTAAGGGGAAGAAATGAGACCTAAATATGCATAAGAGGCAGAACCTTCCATTCTAAAGAAGGGAGGGATAAGACCTGGGGTTACAACAAATGCTGAGGATCTTCTTCTTTCCCTAAGCACAGGCATCTCTGGGTTAGACGCTGGGCAGAGCAGCACTCCTCCCTCGTAAAGCCTCACTCCGGGGTGCATGGGGCTCTCTGCTCTCTATTGTAACCCTTTTTGTCTAACGTTCATTAAATGGTGGTTCAGAAATTGGTTCTTGGGATAAGGTTAAAAACGTAAAATGTGATTGCTCAGGCTGGGTTGTATTTAGGAGGAAATGTTCTGAAAATATCTATACTTGAATTTTTAAATTTAAATTATAATTTGAGAGGCTGCCTGAGTTTAGAAGCAATGAGGCTTAGTAAGAAAATGAAAGGAAATGGACCTGAAATGAGCTGCTGTTACAGGCAGCTGCCTTTCTTTCATTATCGCATGTCATCCTCCAAGCCTAACAGGTCAGTAAGAACCAGGAGCCCCATTTTTGCAAGAGAGTTTTACTGCAATTCAGAACAATCAAGGGACACGCCCCAGGCACAGCCTAGATATGAACTCATCTGTCTGCCTCCAAAAGCCACTATTTTAGACCTATTCCCAAAATTCAGAAAGATGGCAGACACATCTAATTCCAGGCTGTAGAGAAATAAGACCTCCAAGGTTTCCTCTCAGCACTAAGATTCCCCAGAGGGGTGTGTAGAGAGGAGCTGCTTTACCAGGTCGCATGACTCCTTGTCCTCTCCTCCTGGCCTCCAGGCTGTTTGGCTCGCTGTGAAAACCCTGCTCGCTTTCATTTCCAATCTCCGCCAGCCTCTTGGATGCTTCTCCTCAGCTGAGAGGCTGCCTCTCTGAGAAACTAGCACCTCCTCGGTGACACCAGGGCCTCCCACGTGCAGTGGGGTTGAATGATGCCTCCTCCAAAGTCATTTCCACCTGGAAGCTCCGAACGTGCCTTTGCAGATGCAGGTAAGGCAAAGATCTGGAAGTGAGATCATCCTGGATCCGGTTGGGCCCTAAAGTCAATGGCCAGTTTTCTTATAAGAGACAGAAAAGGAGACACAGAGTCCAGGTGTGGTGGCTCAGGCCTGTAGTCCCAGCACTTTGGGAGGCCAAGGTGGGAGGATTGCTTGAGCTCAGGAGTTCAAGAGCAGCCTGGGATACAGTTGAGATGGTTTGGCTGTGTCCCCACCCAAATCTCATCTTGAATTTTAGCTCCCATAATTCCCACGTGTTGTGGGAGGGACCTGGTGGGAGGTAATTGAATCATGGGGGTGTCGTTCCCCATACTGTTCTCATGGTAGTGAGTAAGTCTCATGAGAGCTGATGGTTTTATAAGGGGTTTCCCCTTTTGCTTGGTTTTTTTTTTTCGTTCTCTCTTGTCTGATGCCATGTAAGATGTGCCTTTGACCTTCTGCCATGATCGTGAGGCCTCTCCAGCCATGTGGAACTGTGAGTCCATTAAACCTCCTTTCCTTTGGAAATTACCCAGTCTCAGACATGTCTTTATTAGCAGCATGAGAACAGACTAATACAATAGTGAAATCCTGCCTCTACAAAAAATACGAAAGTTAGCTGGACATAGTGGTGCACACCTGTAGTCCCAGCTACTCAGAAGGCTGAGGTAGGAGGATCACCTGAGCCCAAGAGGTCAAAGCTGTAGTGAGCCGTGATTGTACCACTGCACCTCCAGCCTGGGTGATGGAACCAGACCCTGTCTCCAAAAAAACAAAGAAGATACAGAGAGGAGAACACCAGGTGACGAACACGGAAAACTGCCAGCAGGACCAGAAGGCAGGGGCGGGCCTTGGACAGATTCCCCCTCACGCTGTCACCCCTGGTCATCTTTTACCACCTGGTCACACACAGCCCCCCCATGTCAGGGAGCTCCCGCACCCCGTGTTTGCCTTACCAGTGACTGTGCAGCGCACGGCACATCCTGGATGCTCAGAAAACGCCTGTCGGTGGCCACCGTCACTGGCCTGGTTTCTGCTACTTTAAACCATCCTTGCCTCTGACTTCAGGCCACAATAGTAGCCTCTCCCATTTGCCGTAAATAACTACACACCTGGAAGTTTGCAGAGTGTGTGGAATCCAAGTTACTCTGTCTCAACAGCTCATGGCAGCTAATGCTCTCCTCATTCTGCAAATGGGGAACAAGAGAGGCAGTGAGATTTTACACCCTTGTCAAAGTGTCCTGGTGCGGGGCCTGTGAGGGACTTGAGTCACATTAGCCCAATTCCTGAATAGGTCACTTCCCTTCCTCTAGTTGGAATTGAAGACAGAGTGAGTGAGTTATGTTTGTCCCCCACACTTAATCACCTTCATCTGTCACTTTGTCTTACATGGAGCTGGGCCAAGCCTCCGTGATAGGAGGAGGCAGGGCACACTCAGGAGCTGAGGAGCCATATCCAGCCTGAAACTGACACTGCCTCCTCTTGACACAGACTCTTGATGCCCCCACAGCTGCACCAATCTCTGCAAAGTCACCCAGACCCCCAGACCTGTGCAATTTGCCGGGTAGTAAGTCCAACCCACCTACATCACACGAGGGCATACCCCCCAAAGCCCTTCACACCAGGGAGCTGCTGCCCAGCATCCTTCCTGGTGCTCCTCGTAAAATCCTTCAACTATTGAAGGCCTTTTCCTTATTGTGACTCTGTCAGACCCTACCTTCTGTGTACAAATCTCAAGATGATTGATGCAACCCATTGCAGTTAAATCGATACCTTATTCACTGTTTGCACATAGTTTGCAGGGAAGCAGGCACTAAAACAAAGCATCCGCCAATATTTGTTACCAGATGAGAGCCAGAGCGGTGGGCAAGTGTCTTTTAATTTTCCTTATTTATGAGTTTCCAAGGAGACCAGGCAGATTATGAAGGCCGTGTTCTGCTGAGCAGGTGCCTTCTGCCTTTCTCAGTCAGTTTACTACCGCATCACCACTCACACACCGCTCTCTGTCTCTGTTGGCTGTGAATGCGCCCTGGATGGTGCAGCTTCTGTCATGCTGTCTGGATGCCCTGGGCTCTGGTGGTGGCTCTGGTGGTGGCAGCCACTCTGTTCTCAAAGAAAAGAAGCCAAAAAGAAAAGGGTCAGGTGAGCACTCTCAAGGAGAGTCTGAGCCCCATGTGGCCTGTCAAAATGATGGTAAATACCAATAATCTTTATTAACTCTTGCATGGAAAATCCCAATCCTAGACACCAAATACAAAATCTCCATTCATCTCAAATGTGTCAGCGAGAGTCACTATTGACCTTGGTGAGCAGGGACTGGCAAACAGCTCTCAGGCCAGACTGTACCAGCTTATAAATCACCTCACAAAGGAAGCTGACACTTGGGAAGCTGCACGGGCCAAGAGACAAAGCTGTCCCTAATCTCTTCTCCCACCTGAACATCAGGGCTCAATTCCAAACACCCATGGCCCTTCTGGGGCTGCCTGGATCCTGCAAACCCATCATGCCCAAAACACATCTTTCTGTATGGCCTCGCGTGCTTCTCAAAGTATCCAGGGATACTAGGAAACAAATGCTGGGCTGTGTCATCTGGTCTCAGAATGGGTACCTGGATTCCTCACTCTCACTACCCATCGAGGGTTGGAAACAAAACTACAGCAAATTAAAGACATCGTTACTATTTTAATGGGTTCTGCATATCTTTGGAGACCATTGACACAGTCTTTGAGTCAAACTTGTCCTGAACATAGATACTTGGCTTGGGGTTGGAAAACAGCAGAGAAGGCGATGTTTCTCTTTAACCTTCTACAGTGTTATCTCCCCAAATGGCACCTATTTTGTGCTCTTGCCTTTCAAATGCTTTTTTATTTTCTATTTTCCCTCTTCTTCCCATGTCCTATTTAACCTGTCTTCAATAAAAGAATGTCGTTTTTAGAAAGGATCATGAGGATTAACTTCTCACTCCAGCCATTGAAAGTTTCAGATGCTTCAGGGATGGCCAAATCAATACCTCCAGCCAACCCACTCCTGGCTTCTCCCAGCTGCCTGCCTTTGACTCCCTCCTCCTTCCTCCAGAGTTCATGAACCCTCGGGCTCCTTGCCCTGGCCTTAGGGCTCCCGACCCTCTATGAAAGGATGACTCTCCTGAGCTCCTGAGTCCTGCACTGTCCCCTGCCCTGTCATCTGGATGCCCATGAGGAGGCCAACACCAGCTGCACCCCTGCCCTGGTCTGTCCCCTTTCTTACCTGAATCCATGGACATTTAGAGTCATTGCTGCTTAGAGCTCAGGCCCTGGACCTCTGTGAGTAAGCCACAGGAAGGGACCTCTGGATGAGGCATTCCCAACACCAGCTGACCATGGCAGATTCTGACAGACCGCCTCTCATCTGCCTCCCACCCCAGCCCAAGCTACAGCACTCAGTCCTCCTCTGGTGGCCAGTGTAGACAGAAGGCATCTGCCTTTCCTGTGATCAGAGTAGGGATCTTCCTGTTTCCTTAATTTCCAGTGGTTCTGAGGGATCGTGGCAAGATAAGGGAGGTTGTTATGGGACTTTCAGCAGTGAGATTTTTGACTCTTTCCAATTGGGCATAATTCATAGGAGAGAAAACAAATACAACCCAAAGTACAAACGCTGGAGAGTGTCAACGGCCCTTGCCTCTGCTCTCAAAGCATGCCTTGTGTATCTTCCTCCTGGTGCCTCTTCCCATCTTCCTTTTCCATCATGTTTGTATACATCACTCTCTCCAATTTCTTCCCCTCTAGACAGCGCCCAGGCCTCCCTTTCTCTCCTTATATCAGGGATGCTCAGCCCTGCAGAGCAGAGCCACAAACCCAAGGCCTGCAAGTACAATGCATTTTTTCCTACTGGGCTTTAACTCTGTAAATTATTTGCTCACATTTAAAATCAAGGATATAAATATTTGAATTTCCAGCTCTTCTTCATAAATTAGAATATCTGGCAACCATCTATCTGCATTCCACATGACACCAACCTGCTGGAGCCAGGGGGTGGCCACTGGGTGTGTCTGGCCCTGTGTAAAGTTTGCAATCTTCTCCTCCCACCAGAGGCAGCCTCCATGGTTTGCTAACAGTTATGGACTGGAATGATCCTGCTCCCCTCAGAAAACTCCTATGTGAAATCTAATTGCCAGCGTGATGGTATTTGGAAGCAGACTTTTGGAAGCTAATTATGTCATGGAAACGGAGATCTCATTAATGAGATTAGTACCCTTATAAAAAGAAAAAAAAAGGCCAGAGAGCTTGCTTTTTCCTTCCTCCATGTGAGGACACACTGAGAAGTCATCTGTCTATAGCCTGGAAGAGGGCCCTCACCAGAAATCAGCTATTGTGACACCCCGATCTCAGACCCCCAACTTTTTGAACCGTGAGAAATAAATTTGTTCTTTATAAGCCACCGATCGATGGTACTTTGTTACAGCAGCCCAAATGGCCTAAGACACAAATGAAATCATCAACCAACTGGCAAAGTGGTGAGCTCCTTGCAGGTAGGATCCTTCATCAAAGAGAGACTGATGAGCAGTGGAGACGCCTCTCTGAAGTGCAGATCCATGGTGGACGCCCACCAGGATTAAGGTGGGAGACCATCTGGACTTGCTTTCTGATCACAACCCTGCTGACCAAAACATGATCTGGTCTGGACAGGATAAAGTAAAGAAACCGGTGAAAACCAGCAGATGGCCAGGGAGGTGATCCCCAGCTGCTCTCATTGCTCATTAGCACAAGATATTCCCAGCAGAGCCGTGACAGTCTACAAATGCCATGGCAACAACCCAGAAGTCGCCACTCCTTTCCATGGCACCCAGAAGTTACCGCCCTTTTTCTAGAAAGATCTAAATAACTTGGACCTCAATTTGCATTTACTCACCATTTAATTTGCAGGTAATTGAAAGTGGGTTTATGTGAGTATAAATACAGTTGCCAACTGCCCAAACATTGCTCTGGGCTCAATGCCTATGAGTTCGCCCCGCTCTGCATGGAGTAGCTCTGGTTCAATGAAAGATTTCTGTCTAACACCACAGGCTTGCCCTTAAATTCTTTCCTGGGTGAAGACAAGAACCATTGCAAGATTATTGCATCAGAATCTTGCAACAGAATGTTGCATCAGCATCACTTTGGACCTTATAATATTTTTGAAGCTCTACTTTAACAGGTCTGGGGTGCATTCTGGGTGTCAGGATTTTTAAGAGGTCCCTGGCTGATTCCAATGTTAGCAAGATCATGAGCCATGGCCTTAAGGATTCCTTCATTTGCTGGATAGTGGCCCATGTGCCTCTTGAATCTCTGTTTTGAAACTTCCTAATTGTCAGATTGTTTCCTTAGCCTGTTGGGCATCTCAAGAGAAAAAGAAAAGGTTAGCCTACATGGTTTTACAGAGGCCTTGAGTTTCCATTTTAGTTCAAAGGAGGCTTTCTAGAAATGGACAGAAATTATATTTCTTTTAGAACTTCTCTGGTTAAAAAAAAAAAAGTTATCAGCGAGATAAAAGCGCCAAGCTTATAGAAGTAACATTTGCATTTCAATGGCAGCACTAAATTGCTTAAGGGTGACATTTAGGAGTTAATTATTTGGTAGGGAGAACAATTTCTTATATCTTGAGCTACTGCCAAGAATGACTAGAATTTAACAAAGTTAAACAACCGGTAATAGGGGCTTAAATGTAGCTTAAAAAAAGAAAAAAAAAAAGCCATTCGTCGGACAGTGTCAATAGGCCAGTGAGTGAGGGATGAAAAGAATTAAAGGACATAACATCTCTTCAATGGCTAAGTGACAGATAAACTTCTCTATGTGGCTTATCTCATTTACCCCCACATCACCACCAAGGGGTTCTAGAATCACTCCCAAATGACAGGCAAGAAAACAAACCTTGAGAGGTTAAGTAATTAGCCCAGGGTGACATGGCCAGGAAGGGATAGAACTGAGACTCACCCTCCCAGAAGCTGGGTTTTGAACACCTGTGCTCCCCACCCGCTGAAAGATGTGAGAAGAGGGCTGGACAGGAGCCCGTGTCCCCACAAAGCTAGCATGGCTCAGTCCCACCTGCTAGCCAGGGGCTGTGTCCAGAGAGATGCATGCAAAGCTGGAGCCCACGGCACCAGAGGACAGGATCTGCAGCCAGAAAACCCGCTGAGTTCACAAGACCTGTATGCTTCTCACAACCTAGAAATATTTGCTGATTTACAGTTCTAGCAACCAAAATATCTATCCCCCTGCTCTTAGCTGGTGAGGTCTCCCAGGAGAAAAGCTCGTCCTGGTCACACTGTACTACCCTGTCCTTGCAGGCTGCTGACAGCAGGTTCCCTACAGATGGTTTTATCTTTCTGCTTTCAGCTTCACTCTGCTCCTAGGACCAAAAGTCTGAGAGGCAGCCAGCAGCCACCACACACCACCTGGACATCTCTTGGCTGGTCCTCAAATTCCAGCCATCTGCACACCCTTCATGCATCCAAAAGCACCCTTCAGTGAGTGTGGTAATGGGACTTGGTGGTCTTCTCCCTGTCTCACCCACACTGGAACAGCTCTGCAAGCCTTGTGTCTTCAGGGTCGAAATAGCTGCCACAGGATAATGGTACTTGTGCTAGAAGGTGTTGCTTCTTAGCATATGGCTGGTAAGCAGAAGACAAAGAATTTTCGAGGACACAGTTAAGCTGCCCACAGACACTGTCTGCATCTTTGCACAGTAATCACATTAGAAAGATGCAAGAAGCACACAATGAAAATACAATGAATGTAGGCACAGCTTGGCGACCTATTTATCCCTTGTGGTGGCAATTTAATGAAACAGACATTTGGGAATTTTCCATTTAACTGGTAGGAGCAAAATCTGTCCGTGGTAGGGTGACTTGAGTTTGGGGATGTTTGAAGCCCAGCATCTGCTTGGGCAGCTAATGGGAGATAAGGCGAAAAGGCCAGAGGAGCCGACATCATGCAAGCTCATCCACATGGTCTCCCATTTTCTGACTTCTTGGTCTTCTCCTCCATTTGCATGAATGGCTCTGAGAACATTCTTGAGTGGGAAAACTGGCTCTGAAAACATTACGGGGAGCTCAGTTTTCCAAAAGGGGATGGATCTTGACCCACCTTCTTACTCAGAAAACGAACAGAGTATTGGAAATCTTCCCATAGGGGCTTTTAAAAGTTTATAATGTGGATATCCTATTCAAGGTCACAAAATTCAACTTTAGGGGGGAAAAACACCATCACCATTGAAAAAGCAAAATAATATCCATGAACAATTGGCAGCTAGAGAACGGGGCAGCACCTCAGACAGTTCCAGCTTCTCATTCCTTCTCATCAACAAGGCTCCATCTGACTTTCTTCTCATCCACAAGCACTGCATTGAGGGTGACCCTGCAGCTCAGCTCTCAAGTCCACTTCTGACCAGCCCATGGCTTGTGCTTAGTCTTCATTTCACCTCTTCTCTCTGTAGTCTTTGGCATCACTCAGCACTGCCTCCCTTCTCACACAGTTCTTTCCTACTGGGTTCCCTCTACCAACTATACTGTTGATGTGGAATTCTCAGTCTCTGCACTTCTCACTCTTCCCTTTTGTAGTTCTCATTCGTTCACATGGCTTCAACCATCCAGTTCAAACAGACAACTCTAAATCAGAAGGTCCTGGCTTGGAGCCTCTCTAATCACTGACCACCCCAAGTTTATCTCCACCGATGTTGCACTATTGTCTGACTCAATAAGCTGAAAGTAGAACTTAGCATTTCCCCAATTAACTCCGCCTCCAAATATTCCTATTTCCACTCTTTTTCAGTCTCCTAATTGAAATAATTTCCTCGATAACTTTATTTCATTCTTTTTCTAGTTAATTTTTTTAGTGTTTTTTTTAAGTCATTTCTATCTGCATTTTGTTTCTATTTTCATCACCATATTTATTCCTCATGCCTGGACTTTTGCAATTATATCCTCACTGTTGCTACCCTTATTCTCCTCCAGTTCACTTTTTTTATACTATTGCAAAAGTAATCATCATAAAACCGTTCTTTGAACAAGTTTGCCACTGCTAAACCACCAATGGCTGCTCATTGCCTATTGGATGTGTGTTATCTCTTAGCCTGACATTCACATATCTCCTACTGCTCTCCTAATATTTGTTATTTTATTTTCATTACTCCCTTACATTTCTTTAGTGTCTACTATATGCCAAGCACTGGGCTAAGTGCTGACCATTTACTGTTTCACTGTGTTGTGAATTATCAGGACAACCTGCAAGGGTAGATGCTAATGTTCCATTTTGTGGATGAGGGGAATGAGAAATAAAAAAAAAGTAAGGAATCAATCTGCGGCTGTCTCATGCATCTGACTCCATGGTTGTGGTCTTATCCACATATGGTGACATGTCACCATCTATGTCATCAATAACTCCGTCCTTGTGGCTAAGCAAGGGTTCAATGGATCTAATATATTTAGATTAGCTACACACTCTCAACTCCAGTTAACACCAACTTTGCAACAATGCTCAGAGCAATAGCTTTGCTAAGCTCATTAAATCACCATGTCAAGATTTTCTTCTTTTAAATGCTAATTAAGTCCACTCAAGTCCCTCATATCCTGTCATTAAAGAGACTCTCGGGTAATATACAACAGTGAGAACCGCAGCTTCGTATTTCTTTGTTAAATCAGGTACCAGCTGAGGGAGAACCCCAGGTCATGGTCAGGACCCATACTGAGCATTGTCAGAGAATGTCAAGGGCAGAGAAGGAGAACAGGCTCCAAATGCTACAGCAGAATGGGAAGGCCACTGAGGAGATGCTGGCTGTCAGGGAGAAAACACAAGGAACCATTTGTTTTTCATTTTTGTCTTATTCTGAACCCCAGAAAGGCAGTGGCTGAAAGAAATCAGTGGACCTTGTTGGTTCTCAGCACAAACATACATACCACCTCTTAACAAAAAGTACCTTCTAACAATAGATTGCATGTCCTCAAAAGGACCCTCCCGCAATAGACCGCTTGTCCTCAAAAGGACCTTCCCACAATAAACTGCATATCCTCAAAAGGACCTTTCTGCAGTAGACTACATATCCTCCACCTGTTCATTGTACTTTTATTTTTTCTGTGTAACTCAGTGTCTGATCTTGGGAACTGAGAGATAATTAGTAGGCCTATGACCTAAGTTGTGCATTTACCTAATTATTTCTCTCAGTGTTACTCATCAAGGAACTCCTTGGGTGAAGAAATGCCTCCCTTCAGTCGTGCAAACACAGTGAGATGCAGCCTCTACTTTTTTTTTTTTTGAGATGGAGTTTCACTCTTGTTGCCCAGGCTAGAGTGCAATGGCGTGACCTCTGCTCACCACAACCTCTGCCTCCTAAATTCAAGCAATTCTCCTGCCTCAGCCTCCCGAGTAGCTGGGATTACAGGCATGCACAGCCTCTACTTTTGAGTAACTTACTTCTAAGAAGATAAGAGAATCTTTGCGATACCAAGTGATGTTGAGAAGTAATATGGGCAGGACATGGCAGGGACGATGACATGAGAGTTGGTTGGGAAGACCATAGATTAGTTTTTAGATATGTCTTCCAAGCACATTGACTACCAGGAAGGATTTGGGCATACAGATGGAATGGAAGAAGCTCTAGGCAGAAAGGGAAAACGAGCCAGATTTCAGAGGTGGCAAACCACGTGGCATGCAGAGAACAGCAGGTTGTTTAATTTGACCAGAGCATGGGGTAAGTGGAAACAAAAGGTGAGAGGAGTGGGCAGAGGAGCTGACACCTGAGGCCAGGGTGTCTGGAATGTAGTGGTCAGCTGTGAAGTGGAGACTTTTAATCATGAAGTAACATAATCAGGAATCTGATAGAATTCTCTGGCACTTGGACTTAATTAAGAAGCTGTAGATGTCATGCTTGCAAGCACAAGCTTGAAAAACAGAAAACCCAAGCACTTAGCCCAGTGCCTACATCGTAATAGGCATTCAACAGCGGCATAATAATTATAAATGTAACTGGTAACCATCTGGAAGACTGGGGGATGATTGCATTGACATTAACAGATGAGAAATTAGGTAGAGTGGGTCTGAGAAAAATAGTAGATAATGCATTCTTTCTTGGTGGATGAGGTTTAAGATGCTGGTGGTTGCAGATGGAAGTGTTCACTACATAAGATAAATGCAGACCTGGAGTTGAGGAGAAAGACTGGGGCCAGAATCCAGATGAAAGATGCATCCACACAGTTGAGAGCTGACTGCGCTGGATGAAATGAGCTTTCCAAAGGCAGCAAGCACAGACAGAAAGCCTCAGACAAGACCTCACCAAAAAAAAAAAAAAAAAAAGGAAAAATACACCTGAGAAGGATTAGTCAAGATGGATGTATTAGTCTGTTCTCACGCTGATAATAAAGACATACCCAAGACTAGATAATTTATAAAGGAAAGAGGTTGAATGGACTCACAGCTCCACATGGTTAGGGAGGCCTCACAATCATGGAGGAAGGCAAGGAGGAGCAAGTCCCATCTTAAGTGGATGGCAGCAGGCAAAGAGGGAGAACTTGTGCAGGGGAACTCCTCTTTATAAAACCATCAGATCTCATGAGATTTATTCACTATCACAAGAATAACACGGAAGGACCTGCCCCCATGATTCAATTACCTCCCACGGCGTCCCTCCCACGACACATGGGAATTGTGGGAGCTACAGTTCAAGATGAGATTTGGGTGGGGACAAAGCCAAACCATATCAGTAAGGAAGAAAAACCCCCAGAGTTCAGGGAATGGAAACAAAGAATTACACAGTTGTCAAGAAGGGGCTACTGATTTCTCTACTGCCACACAGGGGTGGAGCCCCAAGAGAGCTGAGAAGGAGCCAATGCTTGCCGCTTACCATAGTCCAGACCAAGCCAAAAAGAATTTGGAAACATTTATTGCTTCTATAAAGAGTACAGATAAAATAAATATGTGAGAACATAAAAAATGTAAATATTTAAAGTAATGGACAACCTCTCCTAACTGAAGGAGGCTAGAAAAATAAAAGTTTAATGCATTAAATATTCCTGAGCCAATAAATTCCTTTGACCAAAACAGTGCCCCTTATTAAGCAAAGAATACCTGTTTAATAAAAAAAAAATATGGGCACTTTAAGGAATGGGGAGAAACTACACTTGCTAATCCCTTCTTTTGGAGTGAAATTTGCTGGAAGATTCCCAAGGTGATGAGGTGTTTGCAGAGAAGGTTTTATAAAATGATTCTACAAACTCATTGATCCCCTTCCCAGTGCCAGCACTTCGTATCTTATTCATGTGACCACAAATTAAGGATGTGATTTTATAGCAGATGTGAAAAGGAGAGAAAAATCTATTCTTACTTTACTATCTTCATTTAAGAGCTACATTTAATGAGGATTAAACTGAAGGGGAAGCTAATTTTGCAAAATGTCTTTTGCGCTCCTATTTCCTGCGCCTCATTCTACTCATTGCCACCCTCCATTCCCTCCTCTGCCCACACACGGGTTAGATCACCCCATCATGGAACTGATATAGATTAAGGCTAGCCTGTGTGGCCAGCTTAGAGAAAAGTTAGTGGTATTTCCAAACTCCGGGACCCATTAAGGTTTGGTTTGTTTGTTTGTTTGTTTATGAAGGAATAGCCTTGAGCACCTTGAATACTGCAAACTAAGTTTTAAGGAAAATAAAATGTTACCAGGATACTTTTCCAGTCTCTAGTTAGTGTTTCATGAGAAAGTTGAAAAGGATTGCTAAATATCTGACTTTCCTGCATTCACATCTTTCTGTACTGTTTGACTTCTCAACAGTTAAGGAGCCACCATCAGTGGGCAAAAAATACCAACTGCATGGTCCAGGCAGCATTACGCTACTTCAACCCCTCTGTCCCCAGACCCATGGCACTGCCTTCTGGGGTTGCAACACAGCCTGTATGGTCCCAGCCTCTCGATCCTGAGAATCACTGGCACCCTGGTATGAAACATGCTCAAGATGTTGATAGTGTTAGAGACGTAGAGACCAACTTCAGTCCCAGTTCTTTGAGTGTGTATTTTGTCTAACATGCTCCTGTCTTCTGTCTGACGACATCACTAAACACAAATAATGTTAAAACAGAGTCTATAGTTTTACATGTAACTATGTGAACAGTGTTCTCCACAACAAATGGCTCTCGGTTTCAATCGTAAACCCTCAATTTTAGAATCTGATGTTGGTTAAATTAAATAGATATTATTTTGAAAGATTGTTTTCTAACTGCAAAATAAATAGGTATTTTCACAGTAGAAAATTTGGAAAACATGACAAAACACAAAGACTAAATTTAAAATCATTTTTATTCCCATATCCAAAGAGAATCACTGCTAACGTTTTATTATTTAGTCTCCTAGTATTTACATTTCTATATAAAATGTTGTATTTTTTCAGTACATATGTATGCATACATGTACTATACCTTTGTCTAAAAATAGAATCATTCATTCATGCTTTGTTTAATTTACTGTGAGCATTTTTCCGTTCAGCAAACAGTCAACATCACTCTAACTGCAAGTTAATGCCCCATCCCTATGGCACTCTGTCAGTAACCAGTCATCTCAGCAGCAGTAATTAGATAATAGTGCTGAAGGCATCCTTTGGGGTAGACATTGTCCTCAGTACTTCACAGGCTTTGTCTCATTTAAACCTCAAAGCAAACCTGTGAAGTTGCAACCGGGGAAACTGAGGCACCAAGTGGTCACATACCCAACATTACATAGATAGTATGTGTTAGGCTTTCTCTGATTTTTTTTACTAAAGATTATACAATGACTATCTTCCTGGCCAAATATTTATGCATATCTGTGATTCTTTTTGTAGCATAACATTTTTCTAAGTGCCACGTTTATTTTAAAGACCTTTGATGTGTGTTTTCCCAAATTGTGCTCCATCTGTTTTTGTTTGTTTGTTTGTTTTTGAAACAGAGTCTCGCTCTGTCGCCCAGGCTGGAGTGCAGTGGCACGATCTTGAATCACTGCAACCTCTGCCTCCCAGGTTCAAGCGATTCTTCTGCCTCAGCCTCACGTGTAGCTGGGATTACAGGCGCCCTCCACCACGCCTGGCTAATTTTTTGTGTTTTAGTAGAGACAGGTTTCACTATGTTGACCAGGCTGGTCTCAAACTCCTGACCTTGTGATCTGCCTGCCTCAGCCTCCCAAAGTGCTGGGATTACAGGCATGAGCCACCGCACCCGGCCCTCCATCTGTTTTTTAATGTTGTGGCCTGGTGAGAGGTAGCAGGGGATACCGTCATTTTTGCTTTTACAAATCTCATTCTGTAGGATGGTAAACTAATTTTCAAACAACTGGGAGCTCCCACCCAGAGAGGCATGATTCTTTCTCTTCTTGAGTTTCTCAGGGTGGGCCGAGCTGACTTCACATTGCTGCTGATAAACAGTGGGGAGTGTTTGGTAAAGCTAGGGCACTGTGCCCTCAGAAATCTAAAACTGGACCTTCATCAATACCGCGTGCAAACACACTCATTTGGAAGATCCGTCAGCTTGTTCAAAGGACCTCCCCATGGAGGTCTATCAACGCCTTTGTTTGAAGACAGCCCTTGCCTCAGCATGGCTGTAGATGGAAGATATAAACCCAGATCAATATGTGAACAGACACGCAGTCTATTTTCATTCACGCTCCAGGATAGAGGCACCTTTTCAATTTATGTTCCTGCTCGCCATCTCTTTTCTTTCATTTTTCGTTTACTAGAAGCTTCCAAGTAGAAGCTTCCAAGCACAATGTGTTCCATGTTGAATTAAATCAATATCCACATTAACATCCTTTCAAAGGCTACAGCCATCAGCCAAAGTTCTCCTTTTCTGTGACCTTGCTCTACACTCAGGCCTGGATGCACTTAGCACTGACTTTGCGTTTCCTCTGCCGTCACCGGGTGGGTGTCATCTCCCCGATAATCTGCAGGTTAATTAACCTTTAGGTGAAAATGTGGGATCCCTGTGACACTCGCTTCCTTCATGCTCATTATGTTCAGCCTGAAAAGCAGCAAGGAGCTGCAATAAATGCATCAATTAGGAAAATGATTAAATGCAGTTGCTTTATTACCTTGGCAGTTAATCTTCTCTGTGAGATGCCTGAAAAGTCACCCTCATCATGGGGGAGTCAGTGCAGGATAAAGGCAGCTGCACAAAGTTCTGGCACCTCCCATCTCTCCAGAAGGTGAGAAGGGACCTCTGCCGAGCCATTGCCATAAATGCAAAGGAGGGCACCCACAGGGAGCATGCTTACCTGCTGTTTTTAGAAGGCTCTGGGCATCTGGTGCCTTGCCCACAAACAGAAAGCTCAAACCACCTCACCTGTAGATGGGGATGCTTGCTCAGTGGCTGATGCTCACATAAGATGCTCAGGCATCTTATGATGTTGGCATAAAAAGTTCCATGAATGGCTTGAATGAAAGTTAATAATAATATTCAGGGCTTATAGGATAGGGCAACATTTCCAAGTATAAACAAAAACATGCTTAGTTGACATATCCCTTTATCAAAGAAATGTGATTCAAGCTAAGCAATACTCTACATGGATGACTTCTGCCATTTTACTTCCTGTTTCTCACCTTGGATGGGAACTTTGGAATGGGATATACCTTGGCCAACCTGGAACATTGTCTAGGGATGAGTTACATTGCATTCAGAGAATCAATCAGAGCACTCATCTCCTTCTTCTCTGCTTTGGATTATCCTAGTGAGCTCCTGGGATGATCTTCTTTCCCTCATTTCCCTTCAAATTCCCAAGGTGGAAACTTCCTGACACCTCCAGGCTCCCCTCTCAACCTCACAGGGATTATTCACTCCTCTCCTTGTCTCCCACCTTCCCAGGAAGTCTACTGGTACACTCTTCCCAATACATGGAAATCTATTCACTTATATGGCATGCATGCTCGCATCCTCAGGACCCAAGGATGTTGCCTAGCACATAGTAGGTGCTTAAGAAATGCTTATAAAATCTAATTTAGAAGCAGAATATATAAAATATTTGGAAAGATTGGAGGAAAAAATGGGCTATGCTACAGTTTCTTGATGTGAAGGTAATATTAATGAAAATGTTAATATTAACTATATCTATACTAAGGCCATCTAAACCCAAGTCTCCATGGAGCACAGGGCATGGAGCAAGGATATGGGGAACCAACAGCCGTTCCACATCACAGGCTTAGGGCACTTCTCAGGACAGCCGTGAGTATTCTTAGTTCAACAAGGGTAAATTCTACACTGAATAACCCTTTGCCCAGCTCCCCACAAAGCCCCACCTCTTTCTGACTTTCTATTTTGTCCTCTGTATGCCTCACTGAAAAATATAATCAAATCTCATTGCAGGCAGAGTCCACAAATCAGGGACTTGGACATTTTTCATTTTCTAAGAGGAAATAATTACAAAGTTATTGAAAACAACCCAAGGTAATTAAAAGCCTCTCTTCCCCCAATTAGTTCTAAGTACTTGCCATTGTTAGACCAATTCCAAGCCCCCCACAGCTGTTCCTTCCTGTTTTCACCAAACCCCCTTCCCATATCTAACCAGGGCTCCTGTCACATGGGGTGGGGAGCAGGGCTGATTCCAGGCTAAAAAAATAAAAGTATAGTCCATTTCTCAAGGAAATCTGTGAAAAGAACTCCAACTTCTAAAGGCTAGGCTTCCCTTTAATTAGTCTGAATGAATGGGGTACTGAGGCACTTGACTATTTTTGGAGTAATTTGCTACTCGATTTGGAGAACAATCACAAGTCCCAGAATCCCTCAATCAGCTCCTTAAAATTTCAAGTTATTTCATGCTCAGAAAGCTAATCTATGTTGTACTTCATTCTTACTCTGATGGAAATTAAAAGTGATGTCATTTCTCTCTACTGAGACCAGTCCAGCCATTGTAGCCCCATCCCGTCCTGTTACATTTTGGGTAAGAAATGCCATGCCCTGAAAGTCAGTCTTGGCTTGCCATGGGTTAAATTATGTCCCCTGAAAATTCATATGTGGAAGCCCTAATCCCAGTACTTCAAATGTAACTTTATTTGGAAATAGGGTCATTGCAGATATAACTGATAAAGATGAAGTCATTTTGAAGTAGGGCAGGCCCTACTTCCATAAGACCAGAATCTTTATAAAAGGGGTAAAATTTGTAGACAGATACATATAGGGAGACACATATAAGGAGAACATCATGGGGAGATGAAGGCAGAGATCATGGTTTCTACACACCAAGGAGCACTAAGATTGTCAGCCTCACCAGACACCAGGGAATAGGCACCTCACAGCCTCAGAAGGAACCATCCCTGCCAACACCTTGCTCTGGGACTTCACTGAAGATTGTCAGCATCACCAGACACCAGGGAAGAGGCACCTCACATCCTCGGAAGGAACCAGCCCTGCCAACACCTTAACACCTTGCTCTGGGACTTCCAGCCTCCAGAGCTGCAAGACAATACATTTCTGCTGTTTAAGCTGCCAGGCTGTGGTACTCTGTGACAGCAGTCCTAGCAAACTCTTACATGGTCCTTCCTGAGATTCCTAAACCTGGCTTCTCTTACTGATTTTGGCCCACGCTTGGCTTCCCAAAGAAGGCAGGAGACAGTCCTTGCTGCAGGTGGTTCACAGCAGGGCTAAGATGAGGAATCCCCGCAGCCTCCCTGTGGGGTTTAGACAGAAAGGGCATTGAGGGCTAGAAGCCTGGAAGGATAGAAAGCCTGTGTCCTTGCCTGCCCCCTGCACAGTGATTGAGGATGGAAACCCAGGACACATGTTGGTGCAGGGCACAGAGCAGAGCCGGCTGGGGCAGCAGGCCCCGTCAATACCCAAGCTCAGCCATCCCTGCACAGCCTCACCCACCCTGACCAGGACTCCGCTGGGCAGCCCAGTGCTCATGCCTCATCTCGCTTAGGAGTTCTGGCAGCTCCCACCCGCTTTGGGAAATTCAAACACCTGCGAGAGCAGAAACACAGCTCAGATCCCAGCATACCTGCCGTCAAGAGTCTCCCAAGCAGCCAGGTGGGGACGCCGCATCTGCAAAGACGGGAGGTGAGCACAGCTGCCTGGCCACCTTGTCCCTGTGTGGCTCTGCCCTAAGGAGCAGGGTCCTGCGGCTGCCCATCTCGCATGAGAGCAGCAGCGGGGGCTTCCCCCACCTGGCAGACCCCTAAGTGGGACCTGGACGCAGGCCAGTCCTGAAGCCATTCCTCTCTTCCTCAACAACAATCACTGTCTAACCTCCGTGGAGGTCTTCTCCTTCCTCTGGGACCCACTCATCAGCAGCCTGAGCCCCTCACGCCCATGTTTGCTATAAATTCTGAGAGCCAGAGCGTGGGAGGAGGAGGAGAAAGCAGAGTGGAATCTCTCCACAGGGAAGACATCCTCGGACGCTCTGGGCCAGCAGCCAGGCTCCAGCCCGGAGGGAGAGGACTGCCCTTTGTGCCTGGATCGGGCCTCCCACTCAGAGCCAGAGTGAGTTAGACCGGTATCCTCCGGATGCCTGAATCTCAGCACTCAGGCATCTCCTCAGGAAATATTTTCACCTGGGGACCCACCACACAAGGACTGTGTCACATGGTCAGGCTGCTGGAAATAATTCAAAAGAATGTGATTTTTGAATGCATAGAAAATGTTCACAAGTGCACTTCCGCAGCCTTTGAGGGCCTCTGTGGATTCTCCAAGGAGCTGGCCTGGAGCGCCCACAGAGCTGCTGTGGGGCTGTACATCAACCTCACACAAAGGGACAGGAACCCTACAGGCCCCCGCGGGGGCACTGGCCTCGGGGTCTCTGCCGCTGCACCCAGGGCTTCACTGCCCCCTCCCTCCCGACCTCAGCTGGAAGCGCAGTGTGGGCTGCGAGGTATGGAAATGAGCTTTCCTTCTCCCTTTCATCTCAGCCAACGTCACTGTGATGCTGCTCTGACGTTCCTACCTTGAGTTAACCTTGGCGCCATCTGCACAGAAGTTCCCTTAGTCTTTGTCCTTCCATGTGAGGGACACCTCTGCCTCACAGTCCCCTGCCACATCTTCCTGGTATTCACACCTATGTATTTTCAACATTCGAAAATACATATGCATCATCATTTCCAAAAGAGGCATCTCACTCTTCCTAATCCCTCGCGTAAACTGACCCCTGTTGAGAGCACACCCCTGGAAAGGGGCAGAATGGGGCTGTAAATTTAGTTTGCTGTCACCTCTGCCGTCACGACGGCCTCCTGGGCTTGGTAACTGTCTGGGACTCATATGTTCTCACGCCTCGTTTTTGTTGTGGCTGCTTTTAATTATAGGCACTTCCACTAAAATAAATCACTGTTCGAAATCCCAGCCGGGAATGCAATTTTTTTCTCTGTAGCTAGACTGAGCCGAACCACATTTGGGCAAGAAAGGCAGAGGCTCCAAACGAATCCGCTACGAGGGAGTGGCCACTGCTCGCTGCCATCAGCTTTCATCTGTTCACTGGGGAGGGCGGGGGCTGGGGTTCTGGGCGGAGTCACCAGCCTCATTCTTCTGCAATTTCGCAGAAACAGGCTGCTGAAGCCCATGACGCTTGTCCATATCAGGGGCCCAAGCCCCCCTTCACTTTGCGTGGGGCTGCCTCTCTTTTTAGAGTCGGCAGTGCCCTTCACACTTTTTCCTATGTTATTCCGCAATTAATATCAACAAGTAAGTCTTCTTAAGACAGCGTGAGCGGTGTGCAAATCAGCCACCATAACTCGTGCCTCGCCCTTCTCTCCACATCAGGCAAGCCACTGTCTGAGTGGACGTGCTATGGCTCATGGGTCATAGTGACAGATACTGATTCCTGACTCCAGGAGCGCTCTCAGGGCTTGGGCTCCCAAGGCAGACACCGGAGGGGACACTGAAGGGGAGAAGAAGGACATTGTGATCGCCAGGAAGGGGATGAAAATGGAGATAGACAGGGGAAAGCTTTGGACAGAGAACCAGGAGAAGAAGCATGGGGAAAAGGCAGGCCTGCATGAGACCCCTGCCATTAAAAAGTACTCCACACGGCCGGCGCGGTGGCTCACGCCTGTAATCCCAGCACTTTGGGAGACCAAGGTGGGCGGATCACGAGTTCAGGAGATCGAGACCATCCTGGCTAACATGGTGAAACCCCGTCGCTACTAAAAATACAAAAAATTAGCTGGGCGTGGTGGCTGGCGCATGTAGTCCCAGCTACTCGGGAGGCTGAGGCAGGAGAATGGCGTGAACCAGTGAGCTGAGATCGCGCCACTGCACTCCAGCCTGGGCGACAGAGCGAGACTCCGTCTCAAAAAAAAAAAAAAAAAAAAAAAAGTACTCCACACATGTGGTTTCATTCACCCAACACAAACCAGGAGTGCTGAGGGACACAGGCAGAAGGGATTCCATCCGAGACAGGGAATGGCTTGTCTCCTATGGCCCGGGGCTCTCCAACGCGCTGGCCTCCACTCCTGCCAGGTTCCTGGGCTTTTATTTTCCAATGCTGGGTTGTAGCTCCATCTCTCCTGCAGGCTACTGTGGTTGACGATTTCTCCCTGGAAGCTGAGCAAAAGCCAATGAGGCTGTCCTATTTCCTGATGTGCGGGCTCCCAGCTGGCCTGGAGGCAGGAATCATGGGCATCCTCCCTCGACTGATGGAGACCTGAGGCTCAGAGTGGGCTGTGCCCCTCGGATGCCCCACCGGGAAGAGCCGGCACACATCCTGCTTCCCGGTCCTGGGCTCTCTGGGCATCAGGGCCTAGCTGCTCCCATCCACGTGGGAGTCAGGTGCTGTTCTAAGTGTCCCCACTTTATGGATGAGGAGACTGAGGCCCCAGAGGGTTTGTGGAACTTCCCCGGGTCCCACAGTGAGTGGGTGTCAGGTAGGTGGTGGACGCCCTCCCACTCCTCACTCTCAGCCCCTCCGCCTCCCCTCACCATGGAAGTGGAGGATTCTCACTCTAAAGTGAAAGGGCCCAGCTGTGGCTCAGGCGTGACCCGATGGCAGGTCCTTCCATCACTTTCTGCACTGCCCTGGTGGTCTTCCTGGCGCAGCCAAGCCGATGCGAAGCTGGCATCAACCCTGGAGAGACACTTGGCTTCAAGACTCCTGGAAGCTCCTGGCAACTCCCACTCCTGCTGAGTCATTTGTGCCCCTCCAAGCACCCACTGAGGCAGGGCCGGTCGGACACTGGTCAGGGTGTCTGGGCAGGGCTAGGGCAGCTGATGAGACCTCAATTTGCATCTCTAGCAGGCCCAGGCCAAGCAGCTGAGTCACTGGAGAAGCCGGGTGCATCACAGAGCAGGTGCCTGTGTGGGGACACAGGGTCCCAGTCCTGTGTCATTGGCTGAGATGCAGGCCAGTGTGTCTCTGGAGGGACAACTGGGCCATTTCTCAACAAGAAGGGGCTCTCTGCTTCCCAACATGTTGCAGTTCCTGAGGAGCTTTCCAGTTTCCTGGCATTCTCCTCCCATCCTTGGTAGCACAACAGTCCCACCTGCCCTTGGCCCTGCCCCGCACATGCTCCCTCTGTCCCTCCTTGAGCCATGTAAGTCTTTCCAGGAGGAAAAGGCTATGGAGTCTTAATAGGGCCTGTGCCTACCAGAGCCAGTGCACGCTGCTTCTGGAACTTTCTGTAGAGTTCAGAGCCCCAGAATCCCTCTTTCAAATAGCCCTGGGTCCTTCCAGTCTTTTTCCCTAGCTGGGTGGTCCCAGCCGAACTTCCCCACCAGCAGTATGCCCTCTAGCCCCTGAGGTAATAGCGTGGACGGCATGAAGGCCGGCAGGTGGGGCAGCCCCACTCAAGAGCACAGGCTCCAGGCTGGGGTGGGCCACAAAGCTGGCCCAGCTGCCAGCTGCCACCCCAGCCCACTTCCCCATTCTGGGAAGTCACAGAATCCCACCTTCACATTGGCCTCTGGTTCTCAGGAAGGAGAGACCACATCATATTCAGCAGTTGCTCACTCTAGTTGTCAACTTCACTGACTTAGGACCCTGGCACATGGTCCCAGAACCTCAGCTGTGCTTGGGGCCCCAGGGCCCACAAGCACAGGCCTGCCCTGTCAACCCCAGCCAGACTCTCACAGCATTCCGTGAAGTTTGTAAAGCAGCGAAAACTCCAGTATCCACTCAGAATGGACATTCTGCAATTGACTACACCGGAGGCAGCTCATTGCTCGGGAATACACATTCCCAGCCCCGAGGGGTCCTTGCAGGAACCCCAGTGCCCCATGGTGACCTCCTTTCAGTGTTCTGGTTTTCTTTCAAACTCAGAAAGACCTGGCTTGTTTAATATGGTTCAAAGGGGTGATTTTTTTTTCTTTCTCTCAAAATCCCATTTGGAGGGTTAGTCAAGAGAAAAGGCACCATTTGGCTTTTTAAGGACAGTGTGATTTTTCCACAGTCATGGGTCCACACAGAAAGCAGAGCCTGGCTCACTGTCCACCTCTTGGGATGATGTTGGTTTGCACACTCCTCCTGCATGCTGGCCATCTGCCCTCCAGGCTGGGGGTGCAGAGAGTGCCAGGGTCCCCAGGAGCCACAGAGACCGGGGAGAGCAGGGCCACAGCAGGCCCTGGAGGGCAGCCGAGGCTCCACTGGCAGAGGGAGGAGTTGTTGTGGCTTCCAAGGAATGTGAAGTTGGGCTGTGAGGAGGCGGCCCAGAGAGCACTGGGATTAAGGCAGATAGGAAGGAGCAGGGCCTGGGATGTTCGGGAGATAGCAGATGAGACAGGACATGATCATGGGGACCAGCCAGGGTGGCTTTGAACCCCTGAAGATGTTTGGACTCAGAAAGCTGTGATGCGGGTGCAACACGCAGGGTAGATATCATCGCAGGGATGGCTTCTTACACGGTGTGGGCTGACATGAAGCAGGACCAATAGGGGCAGGGTGAGGAGAGAAAGGCATGAAGGAGATCCCCAGGCGCAACATGAGCGTGTCCAAGGCCCCCAGAGCCAGACACTCCAGGAGGCCCTTCCTGGGGCCCCTTCCTGCATCCTCACAACTCTAAAAGCTATGTGCTTGACCATCATGTTAGAGACCAGGACACAGATATATAAAAGTCAAGTAAAACAGAGACATATAGAGGCCAGAGAAAACTCAGAATTTGTGCATGGGTCTGTCTGACCCCAAAGATGATGTCCCATCCATTATTGCATAGTAAGGTATTAGAAATGGAAAAGAGAAAAAAAAAACGTAAATCTACAGTAAGTTCTCACTTAACCTCGTCCATAGGTTATTGGAAATTGGGACTTTAAGCAAAATGACATATAACAAAATCAATTTTACAATAAGTAATTGATGTAAACAAGAGTTGAGATGGCATACTTCTGATCACAAAAAAACTACCAAACTGCTAACTAAAGACCCAAAACATGTCTAACGTTAAGCACTGGCATAAATGTGAGCTACGCATACGTTTAAGAAAGATTAATGAAAACAAGTAGGAGAATTATTTACTCAATTTTTGGTGAACCGGTGAGTGGCGGCAGCCATAGTCCTGCTGCGGTAGATCCAGCAATGAGTGTTTGCAAAGAGAACAGCGCCAGGAACCCCCTGCCATCGTGCAGCTCAAACACAAACAGTCACAGACGTGGGGGCTCACCCAGCGCCCTCTCGTACTGCATGGTATATTGTTGCACATTTGAATGATTATCGTAGAGTTTATGGGTTTTTATTTTACAATAATTTTCATTCATTCATTCATTCATTCAATTTTCCAACCCACTTACTGCAATTTAGGGTGGTGGGTGGCAAGAACCTATTCCAGCAGCTCAGGGTGCAAAGCGGGCACCAGCCTGGACAGGACGTTGTCCCATCACAGGGCAGCTCAGATGCAGCCATGTAGAGACCAGACGGAGACTAGAGAGTCATGCCAGTTCGCCCAACGGGCACAGCTTTCTATGTGGAAGGAAACCAGAGTACATGGGGAAACCCCACACAGACCTGGGGAGAGTGTGCCAACTCTGCCGGTGGTGGCCCCGGCCAGAACTGAGTTTTCCCTCGACAACATTATTGCAAAACGTTGAACTAAATGTCGTTCCTCAAGGACCTGCTGTATAAGACTGGGTGGTAAATTAATCTGGAGGGCAAGAAAAAGAAGGAAAATAAAAATGACTATAGCTTAGAAAATCAATGTATAAAAACAGGGATGTTAAGGGGTGAGGGTTCCTCCGGGAAAAGATGAGAAGTGGAGCAGCTGAGCCGGGCTGGGCAGGGGATGCCGCAGGTGCCTCTCCATGGGTCAGGAAATGTGGCACGTGGGGTCAGGGGCTGCAGGTGAGAATTGAGATCACAAACCAAAGGTACCGGAGAAGTGTCTCAGAGTCTGGGACACAAGATACACTTTCCAGAAGGAGGAAGCAGTCATAGTATCTATCCAACACCTCAGATGTCAGGAAAATGAAAATAAAAAATCCCTAATTGGGTGATTTTTCTTTAACCTGAGTAAAAAGACTCCAGGATTATCCAAAAAAAGTTAATTAAAACTGGACTTGTACATCATGGAGAAAACCAACAAAGCAAGTGTTGATTCTGAATATCACCCTTGTAGACGCTTCCCCTCTGGGATCGGTGGGCCTCCTCCAACCCACCAATCTTTTTGATTATGAGCTGGACTTAGTGACTCACTTCCAAATAACAGTATGGAAGGGAAAAATCAGGGTTTAAGGGTCTTAATTTCACTACCTCTCTTGTCTCCTTATCCTTGGGGAGGTCTTCATTCCACATATGAGCCGGCAACCACCCACATTTGATAGGTGAGCTGAGGCTATTTCATGTGACAAGCTGTTTCAATGTCTCATCCCTTACCAATGAGCAGGTCCCAGGACCAATGAGCTTACCTGGGAAGCAGGTCCCAGGACCAGGTGTTTCTAGGAACCGATCGATATGTGGAGCAGTATAGCTGGAGCTCAGCTTCACTGAACTAAGACCAACCAAGCAAATGCATTCCAATAAAAACACAGGATCACAGAGTGACGCCCAGCTGCTGGAGAAATTCCGACCCCCAGAGCAGGAACTAAGCCAAATAAAGTGTCTTGGTGGCATCCCCAGTATGCCAAGAAAGTCTATCTACTGATGGATCAGCACAGCGTTTGATCCTGTCATTGTCCACTTCAGTGATGTTAGAAACAACCACAGATGGACGCGAGACTGTCACTTGCTACGGCATCTCCAGCTGTTCACTGGGTTCAACTACAAATTCCAGTGACATTTTAGCAAATGGCTTTAAAATACATCCTTCACAACTGAATTGCATCTTTCTTTTCTGACGGCTGCATATAATCCGAGCATCCAGCATCCTAAATATTAAGTCGCTAAAGAAATGCTTCCCAGTCTGCTTTTCACAGATGCTCTGTTTCTCTTTGCACCAGGAAAGTAGGCTTCCAGGTAGATATTAATCAAGTATAATAAACTGGAATGGAATCAGGCAAGCTTATAGGGCAGTAGACTCATGTGGGCATGTTTTCCAGTAACTGTGTCTTGAATAAAATTATACACTTTGAGCACACCCCTTTCTGATGCCGTTTCTTCATCCAAGAGCAAATGATGTCTTGAGTTTTGAGTTTTGCCAGGTTCTCTACTTCTTTGGGGTGTGGCAGAGTGCAGAAGAGGCATTATTAGAGACTAAACCTTTGTTTCCTTTAGTTCAAGCTCCTTGGAGAAACCAAGCAGGAAGATGGAAGGCATAGCTCCAGCCTCCATATCCATGATTGGATTCCCTTGCAAGCAGCAACTTCTAAAGTTCTAAAATAGCTTGCTAGTTGCACTGTTTATTTAAGCAAGCATTTCCTAGACTTGTCTGATCATGAAAATCACCTGAGAATATTTTCAGATTCAGAATCGCAGGCCTTGTATGACAGACGCTGACTTAGAGTTTTAGCATCAGCTGGAACCTGTGATCACATGAGTTTGGAAATTTAAGTTATGGCTTTTGTATTTGGAGGAAGAGCTACCATGCTGAAGAGCAGATACCCAAGAACTTACTAAAGATTATTTCCACATATTGTTGTGCTGGAAGTCTAGTAGGTATAAAAAGCACTAAGGAACAAAATAGAATCAAACCATCTTCTGTTGTTCTTTATGTATAAAAGATACCGTGTGGCCCAGTGACACTTCACCAGCATCCCAGAGAACAGGTAGGGTGTACAGTGAAAAGCAGTGACCAGGATGGAAAAGAGAACCAAACAAAAGCAGATGGAGTACGGAAAAGGGGGCCTGTGTTTCCCCAAGTGATTGTAAGATTCTGTGCTGATCCCCCACAACGGCACCAGCACTAACGTCCATACTGCTTACCCTCCTGTGGGACTGTCCTGTGAAGAATAGTCTAATGGAATCAATGGAAATGGAAGCCGATTGTCTGATAATGATTATTGAACTATACCTATCTGGTCATTCTGATTATTCAAAAAATATTTACAACACCCTTCCCGTATGCCAGGCTTCCTACTAGGAACTGGGGAAATACAGTGAACAAAATATCCAGCACACTTGCCTCGTGGAGAGCCATTCATTGAATATACCTGATGCATTTGTTCTTGATAAATAATGAAGATCTGTTATAACAGCTGGGAAGGGAAAGTGGGAATTGCTAAGAGATAATGTACCAGGGGACCCTAATTAAGGAGGCTCCAAAATCCCAGCATGGATCTGTGGGATGGGCAGGAGGAGGCACAGAGTAGGGAGGGTGGGGCCTTCCAGACAAGGAAGCCCCATTAGAGAGTCTTTATTTAATAGCTGTAATTTCTCAGCATTTAACATTGCACATTCATACTAAAAGCTTGTGTGCGTGGATTGAGAGAAGCTCTGTTTTCAATTCTCTTCTTTATATCACATCACACTGACTCCATAGCCCCTCTCTATCTCTGCCCTGGTTTTGCAGAGCTGAGGGCTCCACCACAGAGGTATTTTTTTTAAGTAGCTGATGCAATATCCCATATTTGTTCAAAATACATACCTTCCTCCAGTCACACACAGGGGCGTCTGAATCCGTTCCTCTCTTAAAGTCTGCATTTCTGCTAGATATTGCAATAAAACCTTTTTGATTGTCAAGAATTTAGAAAATGCAAATAAACTAAGACAAGTCAAAATGCCTTTAAAAATAATAATAGCTAACCGTTACTGATATGTGCTGAGTGCTGCATTATCTCATTTAACCCTCATGTCAAGTCTGCAAAGCAGAGAGGACAAGTAGCTTGCCCAGGGTCACACAGCTAGAAGTGACTGAGCCACTCTGAACCAGGCTCCAGCACTGGGGTTGTGCCCTCCTGTGCTACCTGGACATGACCACCATTAGCACATTTTTAAACGAGTGCTGCTCTTCCAGCCTTTTCCCGTATGTATTTTTCACAAAAAAATGAGATATTACATATGCTGCTTTTTGAGGTGAACTTTGCGTAACATAAAATTAACCATTTTAAAGTGAAAAATTCAGTGGCATTTAGTACATTTTTTATGCAACCCACACCTCTATTTCCAAAACATTTTCATCACTTCCAAGTAAAATCCCTTACCCATTAAGTAGTTTCTCCCCATTCTTCCCCCACACTAGCCTCTGGCCTCCACCAATCTGCAATCTGTCTCCACGGACCTACCTATTCTGGCTATTTCGCATAAAGAGAATCATACAATAAGTGACATTTTATGTCTTACTTCTTTCCCTTAGCATAATGTCGTGTAGATTCATTCATGCTGTAGCATGGATCAGTACTTTATTCCATTTTATAGCTAACTAATATACCATTTTATGACCATACCACAGTTTATCTGTTCATGGACATTTCGGCTGTTGCTGTCTTTTGGTTATTACACATGAACTTATGGTTATAGACATGTACTTGTTGAGTGTTTATTTTCGGTTATTTTAAATCTACACCTAGGAGTGAAATTGTAGGGTCATATGGTAATTTTATGTTTAACTTTTGAAGAATCACCAAACTGTTTTCCAAAGAGGCTAAACCATTTTATAGTCCCACTAACAATGTGCAAGGGTTACAATTTCTCCACATTCTCACCAACACTTGTTATTTTCCTTTAAAAAAAAATATGATCATGCTAGAGGGTATATAGTGATAACTCGTTCTGGTTCCGATTTGCATTTCCCCGATGAAAAATGATGTTGGCTATCCTTCCATGTGGTTTTGGCATGTGTATGTTTTCTTTGGAGAAATGTCTGTTTGAGTCCTTCTCCATTTTTTTTTAATTGGTTTGTTTGTCTTCTTGTTGTTGACTTCTAAGTGTTCTTTATATATTCTGGATGCTAGGTCCTTATCAAATAGATGATTTGTAAATAGTTGCCTCCATTCCATACATTGCCTTTTCACTCTTTCATAATGTGCTTTGATACACGGTTTTTACTTTTGATAAAGTTCAATTTATCTATCTTTCTTGTTGTTCATGCCAAATCTAAAATTATGAAGATTTACCCTTAAGTTTTCTTCTAAGATTTTTATGGTTTTAGCTTTGATATTTAGGTAACTGATCCATTTTGAGTTAGTTTTTGTATACGGAGTGAAGTAGGGGTCCAGCTACATTCTTTTGCTTGTGGATATCCAGTTGTCCCAGCCCAACTTATTGAAGAAACTGCTATTTCTCCATTGAATGTTCTTGGAACCTTTGTTGAAAATCAATCAGCCATAGACATATGGCTTTGTTTCTGGACTCTCAATCCTATTCCATTGGTCTATATGTCTATTTTTATACCAATATCACTCTGTTTTGATTACTAAAGCTGCATATACTGCTTTTGAAACTTTTTTGTTTTACTTAATAAGTGAAACAACTTCTGCAAGACTTAACATCCCAATAAGCGAGACGTTTTATGTTTAGCTTTTCCATATTTCTTTGTTATCAACAGCACCATTGTAAACACATTTGTAGCTTAATGAATTAGCTGACCTACAATTATTCCTCAGATAACTTCCTAGAAGTGGAATCACTGGATCAAAATATATCCAAAATTCCCAGACTTTTGTAGCTGCTGCCAAATTCCCTTCCAGAACAGCTCTGGCAAGTTTATCCTCTCTCCAGCCTGGAAGAGCCTGCCCGGTTCCTGCACTCCCTTCTCTCTTTACCCAAGTTGTACCCCATGAATAATTGTGTCTACTCTCCTTCTATCTACAACTTTGTTGAATATCAACTCTCCTTCTTTTCACTGTTTTAAAATTAATTGAACATCAGAAATTGTAATGCTATCATTTTTCCTTCTTCATCCCAAAGATTAAAAAAGGTTAGCTCAGACCGGGTGTGGTGGCTCATGCCTGTAATCCCAGCACTTTGGGAGGCCAAGGCAGGTGGATCACCTGAGGTCAGGAGTTCGAGACCAGCCTGGACAGCATGGCAAAACCCCGTCTCTACTAAAAATACAAAAATTAACCGGGCATGGTGGTGCGTGCCTGTAATCCCAGCTACTCAGGAGGCAGAGGCAGGAGAATCGCTTGAACCCAGGAGGTGGAGGTTGCAGTGAGCTGGGATTGCACCACTGCACTCCAGCCTGAATGACAGCAAGACTACATCTTCCCCACCCCCAACAGAAAAAAAAGATAAGCTCTGTTGAAAAAACCTGAAAACCCTGTTCCTAATGTGAGGATGCAGTCAGGACTCTGCTGCGTGGTGAGTGTGTGGCTTTTGGCCGTTAACTCCATGGGGTCCTGCACCCTGATAGAGCAATATAACAACATACTCTCTTGGCAATTACCTTTAGCATAGAGATGGTGCAGTGGTGAAGACTGGCAACAGATATCCAATGTAAACAAAGCTACTAGTCTCCAAACTAAGTCATGCTGGTTAGCAAAGGCCCTCCAGGCCCACTGGGTAGGAATGACAGGACAGAGAGAAGGAATGCTTCATTTGACTTGGGAGACAGCCCTTCCTCCCTGCACCCTTGAAACAAAACCATTCTGAAAATTTCTCCACTGTGGCTGACATGTCATCGAAGCCACATAGACTGTGAAGTTTCACTGAGATGGAAACGTCTTCCTTTGCCTGTGAACTCAGCGTGGGGACTCGCAAACAGCACAAGAGGGAATCGAAGGCAGGGCCCTTGCCATGCAGAATGCGGAAAACAATAGAATCTCCCCACTTGAAACGTCTCTGACTCTGAGACGGGTGTTGCAGCTCAGGAGCTACCAACAGAGTTTTCTCACCAAGGGCCTTTCGCCAAACAGAAGCATGCTAAAATACTTCTTTTTCTAGGGTCAAAGGACAGAAAAGTAAAGGGTACCAGGAAGCCAGTTTTGTAGTTGAGTCATGAACAACCCCTAAGAAGAAACCAACCGAAGTTGGACTGAGGGGAGTCTGGAATCTGGCATTACTGCTCCCACTCCCCACCCTACACGGTGCAGAGCCCATTCGCCTTCTTAGGGAACCCTGCGCGCGGTACTCCAGGCAGCTGCCCCTGCCATTCCCAGAGGGCAGGAGAGGAGCCCAGTACGTCCTGTCTGGGCTGAATGCTGCCGTCTCCAGGCCAGGCAGGGTTGAGTCTCTCCTTTATGGCTTCTTGTCTCTCTCTCCTCTGACCACTTTCCCAAAAACGGACACATGAGAATGAGAAAGCAGAGGTTGAAAGAAGTGCTGGGAAGTCTTGGTCTATTTCTTTGCATGATGATCCCACTGGGGAGAAGGTGAGAAGAGGCCAGGTAGGTAGGAGAGTTTCCCACCCAGAAGGGAGGCTGCATATTTGAGTCAAGCAGACACTTACTTGCTGGAGGAGCCCTGGTTCCAGCTGAGCCATCAGTACCAGAGGCATCTCAGAGGAAAGAGACCCTGAAACGTACATATACTTTCATACCCATTAAAGGACCATAATTCATTCCTTTTTATGGCTGAGTAGTATTCCATTGTGTATATATATGTGTGTGTGTGTGTGTATATATATATATATATATATATATATATATATATCTCACAGTTTTTTTATCCACATTTGCAGTGACCTGGATGAGATTGGAGACTATTATTCTAAGTATAACTCAGGAATGGAAAAACCAAACGTTGTATGTTCTCACTGATATGTGGGAGCTAAGCTATGAGGACGCAAAGGCATAAGAATGATACAATGGACTTTGGGGACTTAGGGGGAAGTGAGAGAGGGGGGCAAGGGATAGAAGACTACAAATTGGGTGCAGTGTATACTGCTTGGGTGATGGATGCACCAAGATCTCTCAAATCACCACCAAAGAACTTACTCATCCATCCAAATAGCACCTGCACCCCAATAACTTACGGAAAAATAAAATTAAAAACTGGAAAAAAGAAAACACATATAAAGTGCTGACAGCAAGGACTGGCCTGTGGGAGGGACTGGTGATGTGCCTCCTTTGCCAAGAGATGGTTAATTTTGCGGGGGGGAGGGGGGAGGGAAGGACATTACCCGGAGCGCATGAGAAACTGGAAACAAGGAGAAATGTAAAAGATGCCAGGATCGAACAGGATTAAAAAATATGCTAGAGAGAGTGATAGAAGGAGAAGTCTGTGATGAAGTCAGCAAATAAGGTAAGTAGAAATAAATAGAGACACAACTTTCCATTTTTACTTTAACTTTACCAGGCATTTTAAATATGATCATCTCATAATCTCCTAAGTATACCACAGGGAAAGACAGCATCTGGTATGCTTTTATAATGAAACAGTGTGGTAGAGCCACCCATGGCCTGAGCAAGGACACAGAGCTCTTTAGTGGTAGAAGGTAGACTTAACCCAGGTCTCCTCACTCTTGCTGGCTCATGGGCTAATGTGAAAAAGACAAGGACACACAAACATTTAAGAGCCCGGATGTGAAGCAGAGCAGAGGGAGGTGGCTGAGTGACTTGCAGCAGAGGCAGTGTTTACACATCACAGAAGGAAATGAATGGGAAAGACTCTCCTGGAAAGGAGTCAAAACAGGAAAGTTTGGGGTGGGAAAACAGAGCTGGATTTCACAGCAGTTCCCAGGCTGCATGGGGGTGAGGAAAGATAACAGCTGATGAAGGGGAACATAGTTCAGAATGAGTTGGTTGAAAGCACAGATATCAAAAGTCAAAAGGAGAACAGCACACACAGCAGGTAATAAGGAAAACTGCCAAAGCGACCACGTGAAGGAGAGATAGCTTTATGGAAGAGAACTGTGCAGAACCCCCACCCCCACCCCCACCCTCACAGACTCATCATGCAAAACACCACCGCAGAGGAAAACGTTAATTGCACATTGAAACGTGTAATGGCACCCTTAGCATTACCTGGCAGAGGCAACGCTCACATCAAAGACTTTGATTAAAATTGTATAATGCTGGGTTAAATGATTCTGCTGGTAGCCCTTATTTTCCTATTTGAACTTCCTGCCAGGGAGGTTTGGAAAAAGGGCATGGAAAGATTTCTACATAGACAGTCAACCTAAAATGGAAAGATTTCTACATAGACAGTCAACCTAAAATGAGTACCAGACCAACTTTCCAAGCAGAAAGTTTATTTGGAAATAGTGGAGGGAGCCACAACTTGGGATGTGCATTCTACGATGATCACAGTCCTAGCAAGGGGGCCGGGACAAAGGGGAAGCTTTTATGGACAAAAGGAAGCCCACACAAGCTGTTTTGAAACAAAGTCCACAGGTCACAGAGGCTCAGTGTAGGAATCGGTGCTGTTCATTGCTCACTGTTCCTTTCTTGGTGGAGACACCGCTGCTGGGGTCAGTGTCCTTCAGCAGGTGGCCTGTCCAGAGTCCTGAAGTCTTCAGGAGGCTCTTGAGAAAGGTTCTGCTAAAAGGCATGGGCCACATGTGGCGTGTGGGACGGCAGGCTTTTCTTGTGATGAGGCAGGTTCCAGGCAGGTGCCTGGGAGCTCCCTCTTGCACCCTCTCTCCACTCCAGTTTGTTATAAGCAGCTCTATTTTGGTAGGGGAAACTTTCCTGAGCCTGTCTGATTGGAGAGGGCCTGCTACTCCCCATATCTTTATTTCGGAGTTTTGCGTTCAGAAAACATGATGATTCGTTTTCCTTGGAGAAATGTTGAAACCGAATGGCTTTTAGCAGCCATTAATCCCTGTGACCTCATTCACTCTTCTCTTCAAAGAGGGCAACAACCAGAAACAGATTTCAAATGAAAACTCCTCTAATGAGCAGTGACAGACGGGTAATTTGGGAGTAATGAGCCCTGAGCCTGTAATCAGCCACTCGGTCCCCAGATAAGAAAATCCCAAACCCAAGCAAACACGCATCTTACCTGGCACGTTTTCCTGCTCCAGATAACCCTCTTACTCCTGTAATTTCCTTGGGCGTTATCTGTCCCCACATTCCCATCAAGCACCAGGCTTAGAGTCTGAGGAATAGAAAGTCTGTTTAATTTTATCTGATCCAGTGGTTCTCAAGCAAGAATGATTTTTGCCCCTCGCCAAGGGACATTTGGCAATGCCCGGAGAAAGACTTTAGATTATCATGATGGGGAGAGAAAGGCAGAGTGGTGCTATCGGCATCCAGTGAGTGCAGGCCAGCATGCTGCAAACATCCTATAAAGCACAGGGGAACACCCAGGACAATTATCTGGTCCAAAATGTCAATAGAGCAGCAGTTAAGAAACCGTGATTAACTGAGGGACAGGCATGAATCAGACTATTGGACACCACCTCTGCAATGAGAGGTATTTCTCACCTCAATCCTAAGCCTGTCTTCCTTCTCACAAACACAGGCTCCCAGCTTCTGCACATCTAAACATGGGTGTGTAAGGATGCCTGCTGTGGCCTTGATCTCTGCTGAGTCACAGTCTTCATGCTCATGGTGGATAAGTCAGGCCACAATTACACAGCAACATGTAGCAGGGGAGACTTCCAGAACTTCGTGCATGCGTGAGGGATAGGCGTGCTGCAAAGAATTAACCTCAGCAGAGTCACACAAGTCCATCTGGGGACAAGAATTGGAAAGGCCTACATTCGCCTCTGTACGATGTGCTCCATAACTTGATAGAAGTCAGTTACCTTCTGGCTGCCTTATCCCAATTGTCAAAAAGGATATTAAGAAAATAAAGGCCATTATTTAATCCTGGACAAGAATCTACCGAGAACATGTATTCCGGGATGTGTTCAGAAGAATGAGTTGTCTATTTTCGAAGATGTGTGGCAAAAATAACAAAAGAAAGGTATTTAATGTATCGCTATAACCAAATGGTGGAAACAGTCCCAAAGTACATCAAGCAATGATGGATAAACAAAATGCAGTAGATCCAGCTAACGGGACTTATTTTGCCATTAAAAGGAATGAAGTATTAATACATGCTGCAGCATGAAAGAAGCTTGAAGTTGCTGCGCTGAGTGAAAGAAACCCCACATCAGGGCCACGTACTGTATGATTGCACTTCCGTGAAATGTCCAGAATTCACAAGTCAATTGAGACAGGAATAGATTAGCGCTTGCCAGGGACTGGGTGGGAGAAGGAAGAGTGTCTACTGATGGGCGCATTGTTTCATTTTCGTGGGGGGTGAAATGTTCGGGATCTAGGTAGAGGTGATAGTGCACAGCGCATAGGGAAAGTATTAAAATCCAGTAGATTGTATACTGTAAGGTTGCTAACATGGTAAATTTTATGTTACATGAATTTTACCTCAATTTAAAAACATGTCTTGGCAGAAAGACAAACTTTGCATGTTCTCACTTATTTGTGGGTGATAAAAACTAAAACCACTGAACTCATGGAGATAGAGAGTAGAAGGATGGTTACCAGAGGCTGGGAAGGATGGTGGGAGAAGTGGTAGGGGGACGGTTAATGGGTACAAAAAGATAGTAAGAAAGAATGAATAAGACCTAGCATATGGGGGCACAACAGGATGACTGTAGTCAAAAATAATTGTATGTTTTAAAATTACTGATAGAGTGTAATTGGATTGTTTGTAACACAAAGGATAAATGCTTGAGCTGATGGACTCACTGTTTACCTGATAAGGTCATTATGCATTGTATGCGTATATCAAAACATCTCATGTACCCCATAAATATATATATATACCTACTATGTACCCACAAAAATTTAAAATGAATATTTTTTAAAGTTTTTTGGAAAACTTCACTTTAGAAGTCCTGATTAAATGAATTCTTTTGAATAAAAGGGAAGGGGAACTGACTTCTATTCTGGATCTACTGACTAGGAAAAACAAAGTTAAGCAAGCAGCAACAATTATCAGTACACCAGGTGTTTGTGGATGGTAAGTTCAGTAGCTTCCTTGCCTTGCAGCTCGGTGGCACCATTTTAAAATGGGATAAATGAATGTGTGCCGTTGAACAAATGCCACTCCCTGTCATTAACCAGGCACGCTCCTGCCATTCTCACTTGTTATGTCTCTGTGTAGCTTCCTCTCATTGTGACTCAGTGAGACTTGGTGTGATCATGGCCAACACCAACCTGCGGCACAGATGACCGCCTACTCCCTGGAAATCCAAGACCTTCCTCCTCGAAGTATACATCCACTTCTGGTAGTGATGTTTCCTCCAGCCCTGGAGTCAAAACCGTGTCTCTAGAGAGCCCTGGTGAAGAAGCAGAGCACAATGTCACCTGCTAGATCAGCACGTAGCATGGTGGACAGCACATGGAGCAAGTAACAGCAACTGACTTACCCAAACCTTAGTGTGCTTCCTGCAAACGCTCAGGTCAAGCTGGGAGCCGGAGTCCGTGCATGATCAGAAGACAAGAATGAAAAGGCACAGCCATTCAGAAAAGGAGGTGGTTTAAACAAAAGGAAGGTAGGAATGGGCTAGGATATTTCCAAACAAGAGATGATACACCTGGGATGATTCATTTCATTGGTTCCACCCATCTTCAGGCCCCTCCTGGATTCTTTATCCCTGGCTACATACACAGTCCTCCATCACCTGTGTTGAGAGCTGACTTTTGCCTGTACACCAACATCTCCCCTTGCTTTCTGATGCTGCCAGGAAGGGCAGGCTTCAGGCTTCCCAAATGCTCCAGCTTTCTTTGCCAGCCCCACCATTAAATTCAAAGAATCAGGGTAACCACTGACATGTGGAACATGTTTCCACCAACATGTTCTTTGCAAAAGCGGACAGACATGCCAATGGAATCTGACTTTAACACAGTTTCTCTCATTCAGTCTTGTGCCTCCAATGCACATGGACATGGTCTTGGGTTTTGGAAGGATGGGTTATTTTCTTCTTTGTTTGGACACAGGATATAAAAATCATCATAGCCAACTTGAAGCTATCCAACTATGAAGAAAAGTAATTTCCATCTTAAGATGACTCTAGATGCTCGAGTGCATTTTGTCATAAATGTTCACATACAGCTGAAGCCTTCACTGAAACTGAAAAGGAAAATAAAACTATTAAAATATAAAGGTCCAAATAACATATACCTCCTCCTAGGCTTCTCTGGTCTACATGCTTACCTGGATACACACACAGAGTTATAGACGGCTGTACACTGCACCTGGGCTGTGCTGATCACACTGTCACGTAAGCAGAGGCAGTCTATTAATGCTGAACTTATATGCTTGTGAACAGCAGTCCCCAGCCTTTTTGGCATAAGGGACCAGTTTCATGAGAGACAATTTTTCCATGGACAGAGAAGGGGGAATGGTTTCAAGATAAAACTATCCCACAAGGAGTGTGCAACCTAGATCCTTCATGCACATTTCACAGTGGGGTTTGAGCTCCTGTAAGAATGTAATGCCACCACTGATCTGACAGGAGGTGGAGCTCAGGCAGTAATGCTCACTCACCTGCCACTCACCTCCTGCTGTGTGGCCTGGTTCCTTACAGGCCATGGCCCAGTACTGGTCCATGGCCCAGGGGTTGGGACCCCTGATTAAGAGCACACAACAGGGATTATTTGCATCGAGTACACCCATCAATGGTGGAATGGATAAAGAAAATGTGGTACATATATATCATGGGATACTATGCAGCCATAAAAAAGAACAAAATCATGTCTTTTGCAGGAACATTGGTGGAGCTGGAGGCCATTATCCTTAGAAATATAATGCAGGAACAGAAAACCAAATACAGCACATTTTCACTTATAAGTAGGAGCTAAATGACGAGAACACATGGACACATGGAGGGGAACAACACACACTGGGCCTACTGGAGGATGGAAGTTGGGAGGAGGGAGAGAATAGAAATTGTTCCCGCTCGAAATTGTTCCTGTTCCTGATGTTACTTCCTCCTTAGGAACCTGAATATTTTTAAGACTGGGATCAAATATTCACTTCTTAACTGGTGGAGACAGTGTTCAGCAGAGTTCCCAAAGACTCTGCACAGGACAATGTACATACCCAGAAGTCCGCTTATGTCCCACCAGGGCTCTTCAGATATGACCAAAGGATGGGAAGCAGACCATTGAGAAGTAGCAGCAGGGCACCTTCAGCATCAGATGGGAACAGAAAAAGAGGGGCAAGTGTGTCAGCTGGGGTTGTGATATGGTTTGGCTCTGTTTCCCCACCCAAATCTTATCTTGTAGCTACCATAATTTCCACATGTTGTAGGAGGGACTCACATGTGTGAGATGATTGAATCATGGGGGCAGGTCTTTCCCATGCTGTTCTCATGATAGTGAATAAGTCTCATGAGATCTGATGGTTTTAAAAATGGGAGTTTCCCTGCACAAGCTCCCTCTTTGCCTGCCACCATCCATGTAAGATGTGATTTGCTCCTCCTTGCCTTCCACCATGACTGTGAGGTCTTCCCAGCCATTTCAAACTGTAAGTCCAATAAACTTGTTTTGTTTTTCGTTTTTTTGTTTTTTTGTTTTGTTTTTGTTTTTGTAAATTGTCCAGTCTTGGATATGTCTTTATCAGCAGCGTGAAAATGGACTACTACAGGTTGCCTATAATCCCAGACTGCTCTTGGGCCTGTGAAGAGGGAAGGCTACAAGGACTTTGGAGTATGGGTAGGGGCGTGACTGATCTTCTTTATATATTTGGAAGACACATTCAATGTGTGTGTACATGTATGCTGCACACACACATGTCTATAACATGTATATAAAGATGGGTATATAATATACAGAGCACCCTGGACAAGTTTGCCAGGGCTGTCTTAGCAGAGCACCTTGGTGGGAGTGTCACTGTTGTGTCTGCCTTCATGTTCACACAGCATTCTCCCTGTATCCATGTACTCGTGTCCAGATTCCCCATTTATCAGGGTGCCAGTCATATTGGTTAAGAGCCCACCCTACTCCAGTAAGGCTTCATCTTAACTAACACACCTGCAATGACCCTGCTTCCAGATAATGACACAGTCTGAGGTACTGGGGGTTAGAATTCCAACATATGAATTTGGGGGGAAACAATTTAATCTGTAATACCTGCACAACTACAGAATGTATGCTAATGCATGCATGTACCCAGACATATAGCCCCATAACCTTCCTGCTTTCCTTTTTTTTTTGAGACGGAGGCTTGCTCTGTCACCCAGGCTGGAGTGCAGTGGCGCGATCTCGGCTCACTGCAAGCTCTGCCTCCCAAGTTCACACCATTCTCCTGCCTCAGCCTCCCGAGTAGCTGGGACTACAGGCGCCCACCACCATGCCTAGCTAATTTTTTTTTTTATATTTTTAGTAGAGGTGGGGTTTCACGGTGTTAACCAGGATGGTCTCGATCTCCTGACCTCCTGATCTGCCCACCTCAGCCTCCCAAAGTGGTGGGATTACAGGCGTGAGCCACTGTGTGCAGCCTCTGCTTTCCTTTTAAAAGCCAACTCCGGCCAGGTGCGGTGGCTCCCACCTGTAATCCCAGCACTTTGAGAGGCTGAGGCGGGTAGATCACGAGGTCAGGAGATCGAGACCATCCTGGCTAACACAGTGAAAGCCTGTCTCTACTAAAAATACAAAAAATTAGGCGGGTGTGGTGGCGGGCGCCTGTAGTCCCAGCTACTCGGGAGGCTGAGGCAGGAGAATGGCGAGAACCCAGGAGGCAGAGCTTGCAGTGAGCTGAGATTGCACCACTGAACTACAGCCTGGGCGACAGCGAGACTCTGTCAAAAAAAAATAATAATAATAAAAATGAAATAAAAGCCAACCCCAACCAACACCAATCTCGAGTCTAACTCTGTGCATTGTGCATCACCGAGTCAGTGTTAGTGCATAACTTTATTTACTCTCTTGTTCCTAATATTGCTATTTATAGAAATCTTCTGACGAGCTCCTAAACCAAAGACAGATGTCTCCTTCAAAATGGAAGTCATTGAAAGGTGAATGTTTCCCCATGATTTACAATGTCCTTCCAAAGCTTCTTGAATGTGTGGCTTGTGAATAGGAAAGAGTTATCACACTGCCACTGCTGCCATTAAAAAGAAGCCAGGTGCAGTGTCATCCCAGCAATTTGGGAGGCCGAAGCTGGCAGATCACTTAAGGTTAAGAGTTCGAGACCAGCCTGGCCAACATGGTGAAACCCTGTTTCTACTAAAAATACAGGCTAAAAAAAAGTAGCCAGGCATGGTGGCATTTATAATCCCAGCTACTTGGGAGGCTGAGGCATGAGAATGGATTGAACCCAGGAGGCGGAAGTTGCAGTGAGCTGAGATCGCGCCACTGCACTCCAGCCTAGGCAACAAAGTAAAACTCCACCTCAAAAAAATAAAATAAAATAAAATAATAAAATAAAATAAAGAATCCATACCTCAACAAGTCCACACCTCACATCTGAGAATTCCAGCTGTAGAGAGCAAAGTCAGACCAACCAGGAGCTTGCAGACAGCTGGAAAGGTAGGCTTTTCCCCCAAGCAGGGGTGCATGCATCCTCTCCCTGATGAATGTTGATCGCCTTCCAGGGCAGTGGCTGGTTCTGCACAGCGGCGTCTACACTAACCTCTAAGCCTCCTTTTGTCACTGAGAACAATGCATGCATAAGGGCTCCACGTGAGGGGCAACCCATCCTGTTTTGCTTCAAAGGACCATCATGACACTGAGGGTAGGGAAATCCAAGCTGGATAAAACATGATATTGGAAGCTTGCTGGTTTTCTCACATCCAAACAGTGAAATAGCATTGTTCTTCTATTAATCTCTTTCTTGTCTGACTCCAAAGACAAACAGCAGCCAAACTAAGGTAAATGCTCCTTATTATGGATGCCCAAAGGCCAACACATGAAGGTGCCTAAAACATTGATTTCATAGTCTGCTTCCCTGATGGTGCTGATGGTGGCCCCACTCCCTCTTCACCCAGCCCTTTAAAGAGATAAAAAAAAAAAAAGAGAGAGATGCTGTAGAAGATCAAGTGCTTCATCCTGTCCATCTGGTTGTTTCAATACTGCTTCCATCCCTATCTGTCGTGTCCCCTGGGCAGCCTGTCTAATTCTGCTGCACATTCTGTATTGCCAAATGAGGCATCTCCCAGCCCGTCATGACGGCTGCAATGGTTGTCAGTCAGAAAAGCACTTACTCCCGATCCTTGTCCAACATTCAGTGAGAATTCTGCCCTAGAGAATTCACACTGAACATCTGAAAGACAAATTACTTTGAAAATAAAGATACTTGGAACCCTACTAGAATGACTTCATATTCTAAGAAGTCCAATGCAATGCTGATGCCTCAACTGAAGGGAAAAGTGATATTGTTTGGCTGTGTGTCCCCACCCAAATCTCATCTCGAATTGTAATCCGCATGTTTCAAGGGTGGAACCTGGTGGGAGGTGACTGAATCACAGGAACAGTTTCCGCCATTGCTGTTCTTATGACCGTGAGTGAGTTCTCACCAGAGCTCGTGGTTTATAAGTGGTTGGCAGCTCCCCCTTCTCCCTCTCTCTCCTGACACCATGTGAAGAAGGTGCTTGCTTGCTTCTCCTTCACCTTCCACCACAACTGTAAGTTTCCTGAGGTCTCCCCAGGCATGCAGAACTGTGAGTCAATTAAACCTCTTTTATTTATAACTTACCCAGTCTCAGGTAGTATCTTTATAGCAATGTGAGAACAGACTAATAATAGAGAATTGGTACCAGCAGAGTGGGGCACTGCTATAAAGATAACCTGAAAATATGGAAGTGACTTTGGAACTGGATGTCCAGGCAGAAGTTTGTTGTAGGGGCAGAACCCTCATGGAGAACCTCTGCTAGGGCAGTGCAGAAGGGAAATGTGGGGTTGGAGCTGCTACACAGAGTCCCCACTGGGGCACTGCCTAGTGGAGCTGTGAAAAGAGGGCCACCAACCTTAAGACGCCAGAAAGGTACATCCACTGACAGCTTGCAGGTAGTATCTTTATGGCAGTGTAAGAATGGACTAATACAAAAGAGCAATCTGTTCAATGTAAGACTTAAGTGAGTAAAAGCATCATATTCTCAACCGTAAACACAGTGTTGGCTGGACACTAACAATGTCATTATTAATGAGCTGGAGTTTATCCAACATTCACAGGTACATAATATATATTCACACAGTGATGGATAAAAGCCCATCAGCTAAGTCAACCATCCTCAAGGACAAGGTGATAGATCCGGGTCAGCAAACTGCAGCCAGTAAACCAAATTCATCCCACCTCCTGTTCTTATAAATAAGGTTTTACTGGAACACAGCCAAGTTCATTCATTGATATATTGCTTATATAATACAAGGCTGCCTTCTTGTTACAATGGCAGCATTGGATAGTTGAGCAGACACTGTATAGTCCACAAAGCCTAAACACTGTGCTGTCTTGTCCTTTACATGAGAAGTGTCCCTACCCCTGTGATAGTGAAGAGATGGTAGATGGCCTACTTTTAGCATGCCTAAAGTTGAGTGGGAATGAGCTACCTTCACCAGCTCGAAAAACCTGGCTGAATTCCTTAAACCAGTTGAGCTTAATTTTCACAATCTCTAAGCAGGTATAATAATACCTATTTCTTTGAGTTTTTGTGAAAATGACATGCAATCATTAATATAGAGTGCGTAACCCAGGCGAGATATCCAGTAACAGTGAGTTTCCTCCTTATCCAGGGGCTTTTTCTCATCTCCAGGAATTCCTTGTGTTCAGAATTCTAACAGAATTTTTGTTCATTATAAGTGCACACACTAATTATTCATCTACAGATGGCTATTTTCCCAATAGTGGTTTTCATGTATCTAAATCATAGTTAAATATCATGGCATAAATTCCAAATCATGCTCTTTTTTATGATTAGGTATTTAGTGTGAGGAGCTAAATTTTAAATGTTGCTTAATGTTATACCCTCAATCCATAGTGATGTGACTGAAGGATCCAGAACCACCCTCGTCCACTCACCCAACCCCTGGTCTTCACTACAGCCTACAGCAGTGGGTGGCCACCATCTGTGGGCTGGTCCTCCATACTCCTGAAGCCAGCAGAGCCCCTGCAGCCCCTGCAGGCCCTGTTCAGGGAGCTTTGCAGCTCTGGGCAGCTTCCATCACACAGAAGGCCTTCAGGCCCACAGACTACTTTGGGAGCGTCAGAAATGAAGTCCCCTGCAGAGAGGTCTTGAGTAAGTCCCAAGCCCTAATTGGTTCCCCATTTTCTCAGTTCCAAATGAGAGGGATTGGTGCCAGAACCTAAGTTTTTCTCTTCACTTAAAGTTTTCATGATTCCATGAGTTCATGTAGTTCTTCTACATTGCTTCGGAAACCATTCTATTATACAGCATTCTTGCATGTGCTCCACAGAGTGTTTTTGACCATTTAAAAATAATACTATGCATTGAGATTTTGGAAAACCATTCCAGTGTTCAATAGTGGGCTACTAGAACACTGTTTCTAATGGCCCACAGAAAATCATGCTCTGCTCACAGAGATTTTCCCCAGGACATGAGCGGCATTAAATGTGAATATGTCTACAAAGGCTTGAGACTCAATAATCTACTCACAAATGAAATACTCATTCACACAAATACATTAGGCAGGGTTCTCCACAGAAACAGACCAATAGGATGTGTAATGTGTGTATACACACACACACACACACACACACACACACATATAGAGATAGAAATAGAGATAGAGGTAGAGATTTATTTTAAGGAGGAATTGCCTCACTCATTTGTAAGTGCTGGCAAGTCTGAAATGTGCAGGGCAGGCCAGTAAGCAGGGGATCCAGGGAGGAGGTGATGTTGCAGCTCAAGTCCAAAGGCAATAGAGAGGTAGAATTCCCTCTTTTTCTGAGAGAGGTCAGTCTTTTCCAACTAAGGCCTCCACTGATTGGATAAGCCCCACCCCTATTATAGCGGGTAATTTACTTCTCTCAGTCTACTGATTTAATGCTTTTTATTAGTTTTTTAATGAGAAAAATCATAATTATATACATTTGTGGGGTGCAATATGATGTTTTGATTTACATATATCATGGAATGATTCGGTCAAACTAATAAACATATTCAACATCTCACTTATCATTTTTATGGTAAGATGTTTGAAATTTACTCTTAGCTATTTTGAAATACACAGTACATTCTTATTGACAATAGTCACCTTGCTGGGCGATAGATCTGGAAAACTTATTCCAAACTTTGCACCCTTTCACCAACATCTCCCCATTCACTTTCCTGCCACTGAGGCTCTGGTGACCACTGTCCTACACTCTCTTTCTATGAGTTTAGCTGTTTTAGATCCCACATATAAGTGAGATCACATAGTACTTGCCTTTCGCTGCCTGGCTTATTTCACTGAGCCTAATGTCCTCCAGGTTCATCCATTTTGTTGCAAATGACAGAATTACCTTCTTCCTTTTTTAAGGCTGAATAATATTCCATTGTGTATGTGCACCACATTGTCTTTCTTCTTGGTCTAATGGAAACTTACATTCATTCAAGAATGAATTAATTCATTCATTCTTGGCTATTGTAAATAAGGCTGCAGTGAACACGGGAGTGCAGATGTCTCTTTTAGATCCTGATTTCAAGTCCTTTGGATAGATACACAGAAGTGGGATTGCTAAATCACATGGTAGTTCTATTTTTAGTTTTTTGAGGCAGTTCCATACTATTTTCCATAATGGCTGCACTCATTTACTCCCCCAGTGACAGTGTACCAGGATTCTCTTTTCTCTGAGTTCTCACCAGTACTTGTGATCTTTCATCTTTTTGATTATAGCCATACTAACATGGGTCAGGTGATATTTCCTCGTGGCTTTAATTTGCATCCCCTTGATGACTGGTGATGTTGAGCATTTTTCATGAATCTATTGGACATCTGTATGTCTTCTTTGGAGAAATGTCTGTTCAGGTCCTTTGCCAACTTTTTAATAGGGTTTTTTGTCATCTTACTGTTGAGGTGTTGAATTCCTTGTATATTTTGGATATTAACTCTTTATCATATGTACGGTTTACAAACATTTTCTACCACACCATACTGTGGGTTGCCTCTTTGTTAATTGTTTCCTTTGCTGTGCAGGGACTTCTACTTTGATCTAATCCTATTTATCTATTTTTTACTTTTGTTGTCTGGGCTTTTGCAGTCATATCCAGAAAATCATTGCCCAGAACAATCTTGTGGAGCTTTCCCCTATTTTCTTCTAGCAGTTTTACAGTTTCAGGAATACTGATTAAATGTGACTCACATCTGAAAAACAGGCTCATAGCAACATTTTGAGGTTGACCAAAAACTGGTTGCCATGATCTAGCCAAATTGACACATAAAATTACCCATCACATACACAGTCATGTGTCACTTGACAACTGGGATATGTTCTGAGACATGGGTCATTTGGTGATTTCATTGTTGTGTGAACATCATACAGTGGACTTACACAAACCTTGATGGTACAGCCCACTACACACCTAGGCTACAGGGAACAGTGTATCACTCCTGGGCTACAAACCTGTACAGCAGGTGACTATACTGAATACTGTAAGCAATTGCAACCCAGTGATAAGCATTTGTGTATTTAAACATATCCAAACATAGAAAAGGTATAGTAAAAATATCGTGTTATAATCTTATGAGCTCATCCTCATGTATGTGGTTTGTTGTTGACTGGAATGTCATTCTGTGGTACATGACATTTATACACATATACAGAGGGAAAACTTATCCAGGGAGTTTGAAATTATCCATCTTCAAGCAAAAAGAAATCCAAAAAAAACCCAAAAACAAATAAAAAGCAGTAAAGAAAGTCTATAAAATGTACTACTTGTCTACCTGCAGGTGATAATAAGTTTGGGTTTCCTTGATTAAAGTGCTATTAAATAAAATCAAAGTAGATAGTGTTGAACATTGCTCATACATGGGGATGAGTCCCTCTCTGCCCCTAAATTGTCTTTTCTAGAAACTGAGGTGATTTTCTTTGCACAAAGTGCTTAAACAAAGCAGTAAGGCGCAAGGCTCAGAAGCACAGGTTTTGGAGTCAGCCCAGCCAGAGTCCACTCCTGGGATCCTCCACAGTCTTCCTGTATAATCTTGGGCAATCAAACTAATCTCCTGGGGCTATTTCCTAATCTGTAAAGTGGACATAGAAAGATGAAATTGCTGAATGATGTGAGAAGTAATCGAGACCTATAAGGAGAGCACTTAATGGCAGTGTCAGGCACACGGTAATGGTCCAGCAAATGACAGCCGTAACAGTGAACCAGCATGGTTTCCAATCATCAGCTGCCATGTGCACTGCAACCAAGGCAGACTTGGATGAGGGCTGTGATGAAACCTGAGCATGAAAGCCATCTTCAAGGAGGAAGGGGTGGTGGTGGCCAGGACTGCAGTTTCTAGGGCAGGTGGGATCACAGGTGGAACCTCCAGGTGGTCCACGCAGTGTCTGAGGCATGACAGTCTCCATGCTGATCTCATAGGCAGTTAATAACAGAAAAACATCAAAGCGGGCAGATGTCCCAATGCTGTGAACATTTCAGAGCAAAAGGATGGCATTGTTATGCGGGCACTATCTTTTTTAGCACGATCACAACCAGGGAGGAGAGGGCTGGTGGGAGAGGGGCAGGGTCTCGGGAGCTTAGCTACATGGGTGGGTCCTAATACTTTCCCGTGCATATGTACAACATTCTTGTGAAATAGATTTATCTAATATGCGGTTAAGATATCGCTATATAGATGACTTCCACCTCTGCTAATATCAGATGAATCCTCCTCAATGTGAACAAGAAGAAAATCTGAGAAAATATTGTTCAAATGTATTTAAAGGTGTCAGAAAGCTAATGTAGTAATAAAAATTTACCCAGCCAAGGTTTGAGAGAAAAATAAAACATAGACAGGTGTTTCTGGCATGTGGGCCAATTTTACCCCTAAAAGCTTCTCTTTATTCTGAAATAAGCTGCAGAACAAGTAAAGATGAACAGAGCCCTTGACAGATTCCCAGAGACAGAGACAGAAACTGGAATTTAAGGCACTTCAGGTACAGACGGTGGCTATGGTAAGCACCTATGATTTAGGCTGGGACATCAAAGAGTTATATTATAGAATTAAGAGCAACCAGAAACACACTGACTCTCAGACAAAATCAGTATCCAAGCTTTGAGCCATGCCGATCCCTGAGGAGTCAAAGTAATCCTGGCCTTCGAACTCCCTAGCCTAGTTACCCTCTGGTAGCCAATTGAAACCCTCTGTGTAGAAAGATGGCATCATCCAGAGACTCAAATTAGCTCTACAAGTTTTCAAATACAATGCCTATGCCCAGTCTAAAATTATTATGCATAAGGAGATAAGAAAAAATTATTTAAAATAAAGAGAAATAGTACACCCATAAGTGAGTCAGATAATGGCATTATCAGATACAGACTTCAAAATAGCAAGGGTTAATACATTTAAGGAAATAAAGGCTACACTGAGAATTCCTGTAGAGAACCAGAAACTGTTTTTCTAAATCCAAGTGGATGTTCTAGGACTGCAATAACAGCATGCTAATGGATTTAAGAGAAAATTATAAAAAGCTAAAGATGAAATTATTAAACTGAGATAGGTCAGAAAGAATTATCCAGACAATGTAATGAGAATTACAGAAAGAACAGAAGAGATGCAGAGATGTGGTAAGATGGTCTACATTACTTATAACTGAATTTCCAGAAACACAAGAGAAAAATAAAGAAGCAAAAAATAATAATTTTCCAAAATTGATGGAAGCCCTCAAGCCACATATTCAAGAAGTTCTACAAACCCCAAACAAGATAAATGCAAAACACCACACCTAGACACAGGATGGAAAAATCCCTAAAAACAAAAGAAAAAGCAAGCAGAGAAAAAAAGAAAATTACTTTCGAAGTGGTCTCCATAAGACTTAAAACAAATGTCTCACTCGAAATGATATAAAAACCAGAAGAGAATAAAAAGATATCTTCAAATTCAAAAAAAAAAACAACAAGATTTTAAATTTAGTTAGGTTCTAGAAAAATATATCTCAAAGACAAAAGTAAAATTAAGACACATTGGGACAAACAAAATTGACAGAATGTGTCAGCATTGGAACCACACTGAAGAAAATGCTCAAGGAAATGTATTCATCTGCTGCTAAAACCTGAAGAAGGAAGAGAGGTGAAGCTTGAAATATGTGAGTAAATCTAAACAGAATTGTTGATTAAAACGACAATAATGCAGAATTAAAATAAATGGCCATAATAATACATAAGGTGGGAGGAAGCTAAATGGAGTTAGGGCAGCCTGAATTTCCTGCACTGAGTGCAAAGGAGTGAACCTGCTTATGTATATTTGACTTGGTAGGTCAAGGACACCTGTTATGTTCTCTTAGCAGGATCACTGGTTTTAGAAGAGTGTATAACGACCGAGTAATGAACCGAATGTCTGTGTCCAAAAAATGTCTGTGTTGAAATCTGAACCCTCAGTGATCTCTAATGAGATGGTACTAGGAGGCGGGCCCTCTGAGAGGTGATTAGATCAGGAGGGTGGAGCCCTCGTGATAAGTGTTCTTATATAAGGAGCACGTCTCTCTCTTCCCCAGCCGCCCAATCTCTCCCTCTGTGAGGGCAGTGCCATGTGAGGGCACTGTAAGAAAGTAGCCATCTGTGAGCCTAGAATAAGACCCTCACCCCAAACCCAACCATGCTGGCAGCCTGATCTCAGACCTCCAGGCCCCAGAACTGTGAGAATTAAATGTTTGCTATTTAAGCCACCCAGTCAATGGTAAGCTTGCTACAGCAGCCTGAACCAACTAAGACTAAGAAATTAAATAATTAGGCAGGGCGCAGTGGCTCGCACGTATAATCCCAGCACTTTGGGAGGCCGAGGAGGGCAGATCATGGGGTCAGGAGTTCGAGACCAGCCTGGCCAACATAGTGAAACCCCATCTCTACTAAAAATACAAAAAAATAGCCGGGTGTGGTGGTAGGCACCTGTAATCCCAGCTACTGGGGAGGCTGAGGCAGGAGAATTGTTTGAACCCGGGAGGCGGAGGTTGCAGTGAGTGCCATTGCACTCCAGCCCGGGTGACAGTGCGAGATTGTCTCAAAAAAAAAAAAAAAGAAGAAGAAATGAAATAATTATTATAAAAAAATACTTAACCAATTCAATAAAAAGGGGCAATGTTAAGGAGAAAAACAAGGAAGAAGAACATCTCTTCCAGATATCAAGACTTACTAGACCATAATTAAGACACTTTGGTACTGACATAAGGACGAACAATCTTATAAAAATGGAATAACCTCTTTGGAAAACTGGCATAAGCAACTACATATGGTCATTTGCTGCACCACGAAGGTGGCCCTGAAACACAATGAGGATATAATGGTCTCTCCAGTAAATGGTGCTGACACCCATAGGGAAGTAAATGAATCACAGGACATAAAATCAATTCCAGGTGGATTAAAGACCTAACTGTGAAACATAAAGCAAAAAGAGTTCTAGAGAATGACAGAATATCTTCATGACCTTGGAAAAGACATAAATGAAAAGACTAACAGAGCTGTGTTAAATTTAAGAAAGTGCGTTCATCAAAAAAGACATTAATAAGGGAGTGACAAGGCGAGCCTCGGAGTAACAAAAGATCTTTGCATCACAGACAACCTCCAAAGGACTAGCATGCAGAAACCCTAGTAATCAACAAGAAAAAGAGAACCCTATAGAGAAAAGCAGGCAAGAGACTTGCAGGGAGAGCAGAATATGGACCCTAATATATGAAGAATTGTTGAGCTGAAGGCGATTAAGAAGCAGCAGAAACAGAGAAGTTCTCCGTGCTCTATTTGCCTAAAAGCCAGACATAGATTTACAAAGACAAAGGGAATCCTGCCCACCCCTTCTACCAGGAAGAAAAAAGTTACCCACTGACAACAACATAGGTCCTTATCTGCCTGGCGATGGTCCCAGAGGACTCTGCATGAGCAAGCCTCACCAGCTCGCCTTTATCTGACAGTTATCTGCCTCCCTTCAAGTTGTAGTCTCTGGAGACCAATGGACTGTCCCCTTGTCTTGTCACTGCTCTAAAAATTTACTGTCCTTTGTTGCAGATGCCACATAAGCTGGAATTCAAAGCCACATCTTTGAGAACTGCTCATTCCCTGGGTACTTCCCAGGTACATATGAAATGCACTTCTGTTTGTTTTTCTCTTCTTAACCTGCCTTTTGTTACAGGGTCCATTCCAACTAAGGACCTATGGGAATTATTCTTCCCCTACAACTTGAATAGGTATTTCACAAAAGAGCACATCTAAATAAATGGTTAATGAACACAAAAAATGTGTTTAATTTTTTAGGCATCTAGGGAAATATTTTATAAAGACCACAATAGAGTACCATGACACACCATCCAAAATGGATAAATTGAAAGACTGATGGTAACAAGCAATAGCACAACAGCTTTGAAAATTGTTTGATATTATCTACTGATTTTGAATGAATGCCTACCTTACAACCCAAAAATTATACTGTTTGGTCTATACCCAAAGGAAATGCATGCACAAATACACCAAGAGACATGGATGAGAATATTTATGGCAGCATTATTCAAAATAGCCAACAGCTGAAAATAATTATAATGTTCATCCACAGTGGAATGCGAAATAAATGGTAGAAAACTAACACAACTATCATGAAGCAACGAAAATGAACTGACCATAGCTATGTGCTACAACGTGGCTGAATCTCACAAGTGGAGCTGAATGAAAAAAGCCAGTAATGAGGGGATTATACTACCTGATTCCACTTTTGCAAAATTCAAAATGAGCAAAGCTGATCTAAGATGGTGAAAGTCACGTGGTGGGTCACAGTGACTGGGGGCGGCCTGAGCCACACTCTGGGGTCCTGACGATGTTCTGTACCTTGGTCTAAGTATTGGTAATAAGGATATTTAAGTGCCAACATTTGATTGGCTGTAACTAGTGATTTGTGTATTTTGTGTACCTGTATTATATTTCACCCTGAAAAGAAAAAATGGTGTACTTTTAAATGTCAAACTTGAAAGCATAAGAACTTTAAAATTTGGTAGCTGAAGTTGGAAATAAGTTTCTTGAGAACCTCGAACTTAGCCTCTGGGCCAGATTTTGATATGTTTGGTTAAAATAGATTCTGTTTATGGTACCTGTGCTTGGTGTTCTAAAAGATACAAAAGTTTATGGAATAAATAAACGGAACGTTGAGCATAAAAAAGAATACTGCTATTCTATGGGAGTAAGGGCAGGCCAACTGTGAAGAAAGAGGCCCTTCTTGTCATTCACCAACGGCCTGCCACATATTAATCATAGACCAGGTATGTCTTTTGGCCCAGAAGCCAGCACCTGATAAGGGAATACCAGGTACTTCAAAAAGGTGGACTCTTGACCTCTGCCAGAGAAGGGCCATGTTGAACTATATATAAAGGCAGCTCCCAAGAAGTAGAAAAAATAACATGGAATTTGAAGTCAAAATATCTATAGTTTAGACCGAGGTCAACCATTAAACTATGTTGTATTAGCAGATATTTTAAACTGGAAGATAAAATATAGACTATTTTATCATTCTTAAAAGCATAAAATATTACAGTTATAGAATTTTATTAATATAAATTTGAAATAAAATGTAGGTGGTTGTATGTGCAGAACTCCCATTGGGAATGGGAGTGGAGGAACCATGGAAAAACAGGTATCTGATGAGAAATCAGGTGGTCCACACACTTTCTTAGAAGATATCCAACATTCGGCACTTCTGAGATTTTGAGTAACTGAGGATGTCTTCAGAGAGTTGACGTAAGGTGACAGAATGCATCTCACGGCTCTAGGCTGAGAGCAAATATGTAGCGCTGGGTCTGCCGAGGTCTTCTGGAGAATCACTGACCTGAGCGTGTGCTTCTTTCTTTCTTTTTGGCCTGTCAGTAGAAGCTCTGCTCAGTTCAGAAAACAGTACAGTTATGATCAGCAATGATATTCTTGCATCAATCTTTACCAGTAACTCTGAGAATGCCCATTTACTTTGGTTGCATAAGGCACTGTCATGCCTCTGGCAAAGGCTGGGACATTAAGCCCTTTTAAAAAAATATCTACTCTCACCCACTCCTAAACATGTTTGTCTTCACTCTCTACTTCTGTACCTCATGGGATCATATGACTCGGATGGAGTCCTGAGTTCACCACTACACATGCAAGGAGAGGAACATGGCAGGCCCTTCCAAGAGGCCATATGATGGCTTTACGAAAAGAACTGTCCCAAACAAGAAGAGCGAGACTCCACCAAGGAGAGTTCCCAGGTCTTCAAATCATACTAATAATAGTAAGTGCATCCCAGGACTTGAGGCTTACATTACATTAAATAAGAGGGAGGCGTCTCAAACAGAGTAAACTCTATAAATAATAGTTATAACCGTCACCATTACCATTACCATCATCATCATCATCATCATCACTATCACCATCATCATCATTACCATCACTGTCTGTATTACTGTCACCATGATTCTCTTCATCATCATCATCATCACCATCATCGTTACCATCAACATCATCATCACCACTATCATCACTATCACTGTCTTCACTACCATAATCATCATCACCACCACCATCATCATCATCATCCTCTCCACCACCACTACCAATATTGTCATCACCATCAACACCAACATTATCATCACCACCACCATTAACATCATTCTGAAACGGGTAGGTTGCTTCTGTCTCTTTTTAAAAAAAATTTTAACTCCCACACCCCTGAGTGTTCCACCTGAGACCTTTGGAACAGAATGCACCTGACCATGCCCATCATAGAGGTTCTGGCAAAGTGGCATGTTCTCTCTCTCTGACCACATGAAATGGCAGGGATGCATGTCAACAGCAGCTGTGCACTGCATGATCCAGACTCACCATGGACAAGGCTGGATGCGTGGCTATATGCTCAAGGGATACAGAGCATGACAGCCTCCTTGTCCCCGGAGGCAGTCTGACCAGATGGCTGAGAATAAAGATGTTAAGAAATTGGCTGCCTGTGATCTTGAACATGCAACCCACTCACACCCCACAGGGATCCTTTTTGAGACTCTTTTGCCTTGATGTTTTGAATGAAGCTCATTGTGATGCATGCCTTTTCCGCTCATTGATAGTGATGAGTGAGATGAAACCCAGGTGAGTTATTTGGCAGCAGGGAATGCTGCTGTTTTTAATCAAAGCAAATAAAAAGACAATCTTTTTATTGAAAAGATGTATCCTCAAGGCCTTTTACAGACTGCAGATGTGTGCACCTTAATCTTACGTTCCTTTGAAAAGAGAATATTCTTGAAAAAAAGCAAGCTATATGTTCCTAATTTTACAATAAAATACTTGAATAGTTCTGTTTTTTTGAATCAGTACAGAAAAGAAAGGCAAGGACAAAGCCTGCTGGGATGCAGGAACCGCCACTGTCACACAGCCCCTGGAAAGCGATGCTGGGGGATGTTGAATGCAAGACCACCAAGCTCTAAGGCTGCCAAGGAAAGATTTGGTCCTGCATTATAAACACGAGAACATGTCTGTAGGAGAAATATAAACAAAACAATTATTAAAACGTGAAAACACAGCAAGATGAATAGAACAGCAAAACCCATCATCTGCGGAAGTGATATGGTAGGTTTTCCTTCTGTCAGAGAAGACGTTCTAGCCACACTTAAAGGCTTAAGTGGCCGGCGCCTAGTAGATCCAACACAACAGCAATGGATGTTAGATGCAAATGGATAATGGTGCTTAAAAAACAATAAGGAACACGCCAGCCTCTGTGAGTGCTCTCAGGGAGAAACCTGAAAGACAAATGCCCACAGAGAAACTCCATTCCAGGCGGAAGCAGAGCACAGCCAGCCATCTTTCATACCAAGCCGGGGAGAGAGGTTATGTGTTCAATGAGGTTGCTAAGAAAAAACATTCAAGTTCCTAAAATATTCAGTTTTCATGACTTTTTTTTTTCTCTACTCCTGTGACAGATGAGGTTTCATGACTCTATAAAAGATAGGTAATATATAGAAAACATATATTGTCACTGGGTTTCTAATGTGATCTCTATACCCAATTAGACCCCAAAAAACCCCCATATTTCCAAGTTACTGATTGCTCATGAATAATTTTATTTTTTCAAAACTGGTTTGCGTGGGTGCAGACATAACTTTGCCATCTCTTTAGTTGTTTTGCCATTCTCTCTTTTTTTTCCACTTCTAGGTATATACTCACATTTTACCATTCTCAAATGACTCTTACCACAAAAGCCATTCACGCCTTATGGAAGTATTTTTTTTTTACAAGTGAAATGCAATTTTTAATTCAGCTTTTGTCCTTGGTAGGAAAGGTGGACATGGAACTGGATAGTACAGAAGAAACCCCTTTTACAAGGCCTCTGCTAGAGCAGACACTTAAGAATGTCTTAATTACAAAATGGGCAAATGAGACCAGCAAGGTGAGCGGAGCAGAGGGGTGTCAGGACTCAGGACGTGAACGAAGTTAAATACTTATGAGGTCTCTTCCAGGCTGAAGAGTGTCTCCCTGAAATTCTTGTCCACCATGAACCTCAGAGTATAATCTTGTTTTAAAATAGGGTCTTTGCAGATGTAATTAGTTAAGATGGGGTCATGTTGCATTAGGCTGGGTCCTAACCCAAACACTGGTGTTCTAATAAAAAGGGAAAACGGACACAGAGACACACAGAGAAGAATGTCACGTGTGGACAGAGACAGAGATTGGAGTGATGTGTCTACAAGCCAAGGAATGCCATGAGCCACCAGTGACCCCCCAAAACAAGAGGAGGCAAGAAGCCCCTCCTTGGAGCTCTCAGAGATAGTATGGCCCTGCCCACACCTTGATTTGGACTTCCAACCTCCAGAACTGTAAAAGAATCCCATTTCCTTGGTTTTAAACCATAAAGTTTGTGGCACTTTGTTATATCAGTCCTAGGAAACTAGTCCAAAGCCCCTTAGTCATCTAGAGAATGGATTCCACAGACTCAGCTCCCTTCCAGGAACTCACAGTCACAGAGCAGCTGAGTACCCTCTGAATCTGTGAATGGAAGAAGCTGTGGCAGTGGATTAAACAACACATCCTCAAGGGAGGTCACTGGGGCATCGGAACTGACAGACACTGACTCCTTCTGCTGTGCAGCTCCATGCGTTCTGTCAACCTTGACACGGATGCCTTCCTTTCATTCTCAAGAGGGCTTCCAGAAAGCCGCGTGTCTTTCATCATCCAGCCTGGATTTTCAAAGGCCGGGGATGTCCTTCACTGACGGTAAATGGCATTTAGTGGAGATTCTGGAATTTTCACCTCATGTCTAAGGCCACCGCTGCCTCTGTTATCACTTCCATCCATCTCCCTCTTCTCCCCACAGCTTCTCTCTCACTCACGGCCCTCTCCACTCAGCCTTGAACGCAGCCCTGCTGTATTTCCCTGTGCGTGAGGCTTCCTGGAACCCCCACACCTTCCTCCTTTCATGCCTTTTCTTTGCTGTTCCAAGCTAAATGTATTAGTTCCCTGTTGCTGCTGGAATAAAGTTCCACAAACTGAGAGGCTAAAATTACAGAAATTTATCTTCTTGCAGTTCTGGAGGCCAGAACTATGCCATCCAGGTGCTGTCAGTGTCCCTAAAGGCCCTGGGGAAGAGCCCTTGGCTCCTGGCTTCCAGTGCTCCCAGCCATCCTGGCCTTCCTTGGCTTGCGGCTGCATCATGCAGATCGCTGCCTGCTGTCCCCTGTCATTCTCCCTGTGCCTCCTGCTCCCTTTGCATCTCTCCTTATGAGAGACCAGTTCTTGGATTAAGGCCCACGCTAATCCAGTACGGCCTCATTTTTAACTTGATCCCATCTGCAAAGATCTATTTCCAAACAAGGTTGCATTCACAGGTACTGGGAGTTAGGACTTCAACAGATCTTTCTGGAAGACCCAGTTCCACTGACAGCACCCACCTGTGGAAGCAGCGAGCCAGCTTAAGTCGGCCTCCTCGTCCTCCTGGGCACTGCCCTGGTTCTATGCCCATCCCCCCACAGTGGTCTGGTGAGTATCACACCCATTTCTCCACCTTCTCTCCCTTTCATAGAGCCTGGCCTTGGCTGAGGCCCTGATGGGCCCCTTGGCCTCCCTTCTTTGCTGTCCATTGTCTGTCCTCTGCAATGCAGCTGGAGGGTCCTCTCAAAGCAGAGACCTGCTCACCTCCCTCGCCTGCTCGGGAGTGGAGGCTCCTCTGCAGCTGGAGAGTCTGAGCCTCTGAGCCTGATTCTCACCGTTCTCCCAAATCAGGCCCTGCCTACCACCTCTCGCCTCATCTGGAACATCCAAAATCACACTAATGATCCTGGACATGTGGAGACCCAAGCCCAGGGCAGCATGTTTCATTTGGTGTGCTTTTGATCCTTTGTCTTTATTTCGAGAGTGAGGGCTGGAATGCTCTTGCTTGTGCTCTTGCTTCAGTGTCATCAGACCACATGCAGGGCTGATTGCAGAAAGCCTCTCGTCGCTCCTGCCCTGACCTAGGCTGGGTCATGTGGCTTCCTCGGGGTTCCCAGAACCAGGGCACCTTTCATCACAGCCCACGGCACAGCCAGGTAGAAATGTCTGTCTGTCTGCTCCTCCCCTCGGCTGTCGGTGCCTGCAGAGCTTCTGCCGCATCTTGGCACTCCTAGCTGCTAACAAGACCCTCACACTGACTGTGCACAGAGCACAAAGGTGTGTAAATGGCAGCATCTCTTCCCCTCCCTGGCCCTCCACCCTCACACACCGTCACAAGGGTCAGTGACCAAACAATTTCACAGAGGAGGCAATGTTTCCATGTTTGGAGGCTGAGATTCTCAGAGAAAAGTGTCTACTATTTCTGATGGTATCTTTCGTTTTTCCAAGTGCGAAGATTGACTATCCAGAACAGTTAAGAAACCGCAGCCAGTCCTGGCCACATACTCTTAGCCCCCTTCCCCTCGGAAGACAGAGGTGCCCATCTGCACCTGGAGCTGCAGTGTTCTCGGTCAGGGTTCCCCGGAGCCCTCAGACTGAGGTGCCACAGAGCGGCTAAAGGAGATTCTGCCACAGGCTAAACAGTGCCTGGCTTTAGACTTCTGGGAGGAACAAATCTATATTTCAAAACAAAATAGTTATCTAAGATGGAGGAACTCCCTGGGTGAGAGCTGTGCCAGTGCAGGCTATGTCGTGGCCACGCCTACCCCACCTCCCCCAGTCCGTACCCACCACAGCCTCCACCTCGAGTGAGTGTGGACAGTGGAGGGAGGCCCTTGGCACCTCGGAGCTCTTCACAAAGGAAGTAGACTTGGTTTGGGATGAACAGCTTTAGTCTGAGTGAAGCCATGGGTGACCCCTTCATGCACTCTACATAAGAGATGGCGTCTTCCATCAGCTTCCCCAGCCCCTAGCCTCCCTGCCTCCCACCACCCCAGTCTCCCAACATCCTGAAGAAGGAGTCTCCAGGCTCAGGCAGAAGGCTGCCCCTGAGGCTGCCCCTGTCCACAGTCCAAATTTTGTACAGTATTCAGGTGATCATACAACATGAACAGCCATTCAGGACAAGCCCTGTTTGCTCCTTTGTGAATCAGGAAGGCTGCCCTCCTCTCTCTTTTCTCTTTTCCCCCAGTTTGTGCTTCTACAGTGTTTCCAATATGCACATAATTCCCGGAAGAACAACTGAAGAGAAAGCAGGACCTGGCATTTGTCAAGGAGAAACAGAGCTGGACACAGTCTACGGGGCTAAAGACAGATTCTATTCAGTGCTGCTGCAACCAGGGAAAGGAGATTTCAGTATGGAGCTGAGCTCCGCTCCAAATACAAAACCAGGTTGGGCTCTGTGGCCAAGGAGCAGTGCCAGGGGCTCAGTCCGTGGATGGAAATTAGTAAGAGGAGACATCAGGGTAGGGAGTACCTGCTAAGCCAGCTTACCTGGATCCTTGCTGAATGCAGGGGTGTGGGGGGGGATCAGGTATCACCGTGGGGGCTGGCTTAGCAGGGTTCTTTGTTAAGACACCCTGAGGACAGGGCTGGTGGAAAAGAATGCTCAGAGGCACCTGTCTAAAGTTTGGTCAAAGAGAGAGTCTTTGCCAATGTGCAATAATAGATATCAAAATCAGCTTCCAGTGATTACGTGTTCATGACTGCAGGGTAATGTCACAATGTCACAAAGGCCTGAGCACACACCTTGGTCAGGTTAGTGAAACCTCACGACAGCCCAGAGGTGGGTCTGTCATTACCTGTTGCAAATGAGGAAACTGTGGCTGAGCAAGGTGGAGTGACACCTTGATACGATGAGGAAGTCAAGGGCAGAGCTGAGGTCTTCAGCCAACTGTTTGATCCTGCAGTGTTCACACAATGCCCTCTACACCTGAATCCCCTAAACATGGCCAGCTTTGGGCACACCCCATCAGCATTGTTTCCAACAGCCACAATATCCACTTAGTAACAGAGCTGCCATTTCAGCTGCAGACCCCTCCCCTCTCCCCACGCATGGAGAGCTTGATGCTGGCCAAGCACTCTCTAAGGCAGGAAAGGCTGCCACAGAAGCTGGCGCCAACGGAGGGAGTTGGATCCAGCCTGCCCTGGAGCTGTAGGTGGGGGCCCAGGACCACAGCTGGAGCTCCTGGCTCACTGGGCTGCCTGATTGCTGGCCCCAGGTGCCAGTGACCACGTGGTCTCAGCATGCTGAGCCTCAAACACCTGCCAGTTCAGGCGGGCTGGGGAGGCGGCTCCTGTGGCAGGTGCAGTAGTGCGGGAGTTGCCATCAGCTTCCCAAGGAGCTGCATCTCACACCAACTACACTGCATGCACCTGCTTTCTAGAAAGATCAGGGAGACAGCCAGGAGCAGCACCCGAAGGACATGGAACGGGAGTCAGTTGCTCGGGCATTGAAGCCAAGCTCTATGGGTCCTCTTCGCACTGGGCACATTGTCACCTCTCTGGGCCTCAGTTTCCTGCAGGTGAAATGAAAAGGCTAGACCATGTTTAACTGTGGGACCTTGAGGCTCTATTAAATTTTTAACTAGAAAATGTCCATGTAGACCAAAGCAGGCTTTGCTTCCAATGTGGACAAACAAAGGCCCACAGTGTGCAGGGGTCAAGGGGTCAGCTGCAATCCTGGGCACAGAGTGGAGGAAGGATTTTCTCCTGCAGAGGGCACCGGCCCATGCCCATAGGTCACATCAGGTGGGTTCCATGGCCCCAACCACTCTGATGTTTCTGGAGGTAAGCCCTCGACATCATAGCCCAGGTCTCTGGCTTGGGTGAGCAGAACGGTGCTGACAGTGAGGAGCCCCTGCTCAACAGCCCAAGGGAAACACGTTTCATTTCTCAGTTTGCCAATTTGGCCATTAGAGTCCCAGCTCGGCCACTGAGTGTCTGCTGACACTGCGCCCCCGACCTCCCCACAGAGCCACTGCTGCCATGACACAGGCTGGACACTGGTGCTTGCCACACTTCCTACTGGGGTCGGGATGGGGGAAGCGCTGAGTCAGGACCATCAGTCACTGTAGCCCACCATACTCAGCTCCTGTGGATATGCTGTGAGCAGAGATGGAGAGTGGAGAGGAGGGAACCCCATGGGTGCCTTCTAAGGCCAGGACTTTGCAGCCACACTTCATCCCTCAACACACACTCCCCGAGCAGCTGCTGTGTGCTGCACTTTCCCTGGAATTCCAGCCTGCAGCCAACCAGAGGAAACGCCCACCCTGACAAATTTCTTGTTTTAGCAGGAGAGGGGAGATGATAAACAACATAAATTTAAACCTCCATCATGTATTACATGTGAAGGTGGGCAGGAGAAAAGTAAAGCAGGGAAAGAGAACCAGTAGGCAGGGAAGTATCACTGGGAGGGGAGGTCATGTGGAGACGGAAGGAGAAGCGGGTAGAGGCGGCCTTGATGCCGTCCTTGGGGGGCATCCCGGACAGATGGGCGAGTGGAGCCCAGGTCCCAAGGCACGAGCAGAGCTGGCAGGGCTGAGGACCAGCAGGGAGACTCAGGGCTGGAGAAGCTGGAGCAGAGTCAGTCAGGGAAGGGTCACAGAGAATGAAGTCAGGGAGGGCATGGGTACTGCAGAGCATCGTGGTTCAACGTTAGAACATCTGTGTTCATTCCAAGTGAGACAGGAAATTCAAAGGTGCAACAGCCAAGGAAGGGGGTGACCTGGTTTATGTTTTAACACCCTCCTGGCTGCTGGGCTGAAATGGGTGAGGAGCAAGGAGCAGAAGGAAGACCAGGCAGGCACTGCACAAGCCTAAGTGACAGAAATGCTTGCTCAGCCCAGGGCTGTAGAGGTGGGCCTGGGGAGGTGGGGCTGGATTCGGGATACGGGTTGGGGTACAGCTCTCAGGATATACTGAGAACCAGGATAGAGAGGGTGAGAGAAAGCACTGAGCAATCACTCCATGGTCTTGACCCTGGGCGGCTGGAAGGATGGAGCTGTCATTGACTGTGATAACAAGAGCAAGTGGAACAGGTTGCAAGAGGATGATCAGGAGTTTTGTTCCGGACATAGCAAATTTTAGATCAGACATAGCAAATTTCAGACACCTGTTAGGCTTAAAATTGAAGATGCTGTATGGGAAGTTAGATACAGTAGTCTGGAGTTCAGGATGTTGATCATGGCTAGATATATAAATTGAGAAGCAACAGCAAATCTAGGGTGTTTAAAACCAAGAGACTTAAAGCATCGATAGAGAAAGAAAGACATTCAAGGATAGAACCTGAGGCATATCAAGGTTTAAAGAAAACAGAAGGAACCCTGCAAAGGAGACTAAAGGGGAAAAGCCAGTTGTGTGTTCTGGAAGCCAAGTAAAGAGGATGCTTCACAAAAAAGGAGGACCAGCTTTGGGCATTGCTGCTGGGGGAAGGAGGAACACTTAGAATTAACCCCTGGATATAACCTTGGGCCTATCACCTGTGACCTTGACCAGAGATCCCAGGAGCGGTAGGAACAAAGGTCTGATTTGAGTCACATTGAGAGCAAAACGAGGGCAGCTGCTGCAACGAAAAGTGGAAAGAAAGGAAGGTCATTTTGCAACACGGAAAGAAATAATGGCATGTTCATTTGCTGATGGAAATGACCCAATAGGGAGGGAGAAATTGATCACGAAGGAGAGAGAGGAGAATTACCAGAGTGATGTCCTTGAGAAGCCGAGAGGGGATAGGATTTATCCTTAGTAACAGGAGAGGAAATGGAGGAGTCGGCACAGCTGGGGGAGGTGGGTGGATGACGGGGAGGGAGCTGGCAGCAATTCTTTTCTGATCACTCTGATTTCCTCCATGAAACTAAAGAAGCAAAGAAATCAGCTGATACAAGGATGAAGGAAGAGTTGACGCAGGTTTTGAGAGAGGAGAAGGTGTCAGACAGTGATCTATACATGTAACATGATGGCCAGGCAGCTCTCAGGGCTGTCAGTGGCCACAAATTTAACAAGAGCAGGGTCAGCACAATGGTGTTCTTCTGTCCAGCCTCCCACAGCACAAGGGAAGGGACAGCATGGCCAGAGGACTGGGGCCTTGCCAAGGAAGTGAGATGCAGACAGAGAGGAACAAGGGAGTTCAGTTTATGGATTGAGAAGTATTCATCTTTCTTTAAGATAAGAAATTGGTTAAGTTACTTGCCCAAGGTCACAGAGCTAGTGAGATACCTACTTGGGATTTAAATCTCAATCTAGCTGACTTGAAAGCCATTAATCTTTCCACTACTTGATAAAGAGTTGCATTTTAGGCCAGGCACTGTGGCTTATGCCTGTAATCCCAGCAATTTGGGAGGCTGAAACTGGGAGATTACTTGAGGCCAGGAGTTTAAAACAAGACTGCTCAACACAGCAAGACCCTCATCTCTACAAAATTAAAAAAAAAAATTAACCAGGCATGGTGGCACTTGCCTGTCTGTAGTCTCAGCTACTCTGGAGGCTTAGGCAGAGGATTGCTTAAGCCCAGGAATTTGAGGCTGCAGTGAGCCATGATCACACCACTGCAGTCCAGCCTGGATGATGGAGCAAGATCCTGTCTCAAAAAAAAAAAAAAAAAGCATTTGACATACAGCCATTATATCTTACATCTGCCCTAGAGTTTCTATGCCACTGTATCATGCATACCACTTTGAATCATTTTGCTTTTATTATTCACCATTAGTTATTTCTTTTTCCAGTGCTTTGCAGTTGTTTATTTTTAATAATTTATTATGGCATGACCTACACACAGGAAAATCAGAGTTGAGGGGTATACAGCTTGATAAATATCACAACGTGATAATTGCTAAGGAGCTTCTTGTGTCTGGGAATTGATGTCTTGGCATTGGTTTTTGAAAATTCTCAGCCATTTTTCAATAACCAAGACAGCAAGGTCCTGGTACAAAAAAAGAAACATAGACCAATGGAACAAAATAGAGAGCCCAGAAATAAGGTCCCACACCTATAACTATCTGATCTTCAACAAAGCTGGCATAAACAAGCAATGGAGAAAGGACTCCCTATTCAATAAATGGTGCTGGAATAACTGGTTAGCCATATGCAGAAGATTGAAACTAGACCCCTTCCTTACACCATATACAAAAATTAACTCAAGATGGATTAAAGACTTAAATGTAAAACCTAAAACCATAAAAGCCCTGGAAGGCAACCTAGGCAATACCATTCTGGATATAGGAACTGGCAAAGATTTCATGATGAAGGCACCAAAAGCAATCACAACAAAAGCAAAAATTGACAGATGAGATCTAATTAAACTTAAGAGCTTCTGCACAGCAAAAGAAACTATCAAAAAAGTAAACAGACAACCTACAGGATGGGAGGAAATATTTGCAAACAAAAGTCTAATATCTAGCACCTATAAGGAACTTAAATTTACATGAAAAAAACTCATTAAAAAGTGGGCAAAGGACATGAATGGATATTTTTCAAACGAAGACATACGAGTGACTAACAAGTATATGAAAAAAAAAGGCTCAACATCACTGATCATTAAAGAAATGCAAATCAAAACCACAATGAGATAATTATCTCATACCAGTCAGAATGGTTATTACTAAAAAGTCAAGGCTGGGCGCGGTGGCTCACTCTGGTAATCCCAGCACTTTGGGAGGCCAGGGCGGGTGGATCATGAGGTCAGGAGATTGAGACCATCCTGGCTAACACGGTGAAACCCCGTCTCTACTAAAAATACAAAAAATTAGCCAGGCATGGTAGCGGGTGCCTGTAGTCCCAGCTACTCGGAAGGCTGAGGCAGGAGAATGGCAGGAACCCGGAAGGGGAGATTGCAGTGAGCCAAGATCGCACCACTGCACTCCAGCCTGGGCGACAGAGCTAGACTCCATCTCAAAAAAAAAATAAAACATTAAAAAATTAAAAATAATTTTAAAAAATCAAAAAATAACAAATGCTGGTGAGGTTGTGGAGAAAAGGGAATGCTTATACACTGTTGGTAAGAGTGCAAATTATTTCAACTATTGTGAAAAGCAGTATGATGATTCCTCAAAGAGCTAAAAACAGAACTATTATTTGACCCAGCAATCCTATTACTGGGTATATACTCAAAGAACACAAATAGTTCTCATAAAGACACATGCATGCATATGTTCATTGCAGCACTATTCTACATAGCAAAGACATGAAAGCAACCAAAATGCCCATCAATGGCAGATTGGATAAAGAAAATATGGTATATATACACCATGGAATACTATGCAGGCATAAAAAAGAACAAGAGCATGTCCTTTGCAGGAACATGGTTGGAGCTGGAGGCCATTACCCTTAGCAAACTATTTCAGGAACAGAAAAACCAAATATTGCATGTTCTCACTTATAAATGGGAGATAAATGATGAGAACACATGGACACAAAGAAGGGAGCAACACACACTGGGGCTTACCTAAGAGTGGAGGGTGGGAAGAGGGAGAGGCTCAGAAAAAATAATTCTTCGGTACTAGTCTTAGTGCCTTGGTGATTAAAGAATCTATACAACAACCCCCATGAAATGAGTTTACCTATATAACAAAACTGCACATGTACCCCTGAACCAAAAATAAAAGTTTTTAAAATAAAATAAAATAAAATAAACATGTAGGTAAATATTTTTTTAAAAAGAAAATCTTCAGCCATTATCTCTTTTAAGACTGCTGTTGACTCTGTTTGCTCACCTTTGGGAACTCAATTCTATGAATGTTAGACCTTTCATTTTTGTGAATATTTCTCTTTATTCTTTGCCACATTTTTCATCATTTATTTTTTCTATGGTTCATTCTTTTCATTGTCTTTCACCTATTCTCTTTTTCTCTGGTGAAATTCTCCAACTTGACTTTTAATTCTTGAGCATATTAATCATAGTTACTTTAAAGTCTATTTCTGATAATTTTGATATCTGGATTTCCTGCGCTTCTGTTCCTGTTGTCTAGTATTTTCTGTTTGGTTTTGGTCTATTCTTATCTGTTTTTATCTGTTATTTTTAACTTTATTTAGTACATTATGTATGGAAAATTAGAAATCATGTGAGGGACTGATCTATGCTATCATTCTCTGGGGAACACTTACTTTTGCTTTAGAAGGGGAGTCAGGGTAGGGCTAGATGACCTTAATCCAAAAGAGGACTGAGCTGATTCCCAGCTGGGCTTCAGTCTCTCTGGGGCCTGTTCCATTTATGGTTAATCCTTACTCTTACATGTTATTCTGCAAGATTTCCAACTGAAAGCATGGGGTATTTCCCAGAACCTCTTTTTCACAGTGGTCTCTGATATCTGATATTTGTTTTTCCAGGTCTGGGAGCCTGCTGAGAGCTCTGTTCAGATTCTCAAAATTTGGTTACTACAAATGCCCTGAAGGAAAAAGTGGCACCTAATGTCAGGGTTTCTTCACTGTAATCGCCTTCCCATAATCTTGGGGTATTAGTCCATTCTCACACTTCTGTGAAGAAATACCCAAGATTGGGCAATTTATAAAGGAAAGAGTTTTAATTGACTCCAGTTGTGCAGTGCTGGGGAGACCTCAGGAAACTTACAATCATGGTGGAAGGGGAAGCAAATACGTTCTTCTTCACATGGCTGCAGCAAGAAGTGCCAAGTGAAAGGGGGGGATCCCCTTATAAAACCATCAGATCTCATGAAAAATCACTCACTATCATGAGAACAACATGAAAGTAACTGCCCCCATGATTAAATTACCTCCCACTGGGTCCCTCCCATGACACAAGGGGATTATGGGAACTGCAATTCAAGGTGAGATTTGGGTGGGGACACAGAGCTAAACCATATCATTCCACCATGGCCCTGCCCAAATCTCATGTTCTCCCATTTCAAACCACAATCATTCCTTTCCAACAGTCCCCCAAAGTCTTAACTCATTCTAGCATTAACCCAAAAGTCCAAGTCCAAAGTCTCATCTGAGACAAGGCAAGTACCTCCTGCCTATGAGCCTGTAAAATCAAAGCAAGTTAGTTACTTCCTAGATGCAATGGGGGTACAGGCATTAGGTAAATACACCCATTCCAAATGGGAGAAATTGGCCAAAACAAAGGGGCTACAGGCCCCATCAAGTCTGAAATACAGTGGGGCAGCCAAACCTTAAAGCTCCAAAATGATCTACTTTGATTCCTTGTCACATCCAGACCATGCTGATGCAAGAGATGGGCTCCCACAACCTTGAGTAGCTCCAGCCCTGTTGCTTTGCAGGGTACACCCCCCCACACACACACCTGGCTGCCTCCTCAGGCTGGTGTTGAGTGCTTACAGCTTTTCCAGGTGCATGGTGCAAGCTGTTGGTGGATCTACCATTCTGGGTCCTGAAGGACAGTGGCCCTCTTCTCCCAGCTCCACTAGGCAGTGCCTCAGTGAGGACTCTGAGTGGGGGCTCCAACCCCACATTTCCCTTCTGCACTGCACTAACAGAGGTTTTCCATGAGGGCTATGTCCCTGCAGCAAACTTCTGCCTAGATATCCAGGGGTTGCCATACATCCTCTGAAATCTAAGCAGAGGTTCCCAAACTTCAATTCTTGACTTCCATGCACCCACAGGCTCAACAACACTGGTAGCTGCCAAGGCTTGGGGTTTGCACCCTCTGAAACCATGTCCTGAACTGTACCTTGGTCACCTGTTAGCCATGGCTGGAGCTGCTGGGATGCAGGGCACCAAGTCCCTAGGCTGCACACAGCAGAGGGGGCCCTGGGTCCAGCCCGCAAAACCATTTTTTCCTCATAGGCCTCCAGTCTTGTGATGGGAGGAGTTGCCGCAAAGGTCTCTGACATGCCCTGAAGACATTTTCTCCAATGTCTTAGTGATTAACATTCGGTTCCTCATTACTCATGCAAATTTCTACAGTTGGCTTGAATTTCTCTCCAGAAAATTGATTTTTCTTTTCTATCACATCATCTGGCTGCAAATTTTCAAAACTTCTAAGCTCTGCTTCCTCTTAAATGCTTTGCTGCTTAGAAATTTCTTCTGCCAGATACCCTAGATCATCTCTCTCAAGTTCAAAGTTTCGCAGATCTCTAGGGCAGGGGCAAAATGCCACCAGTCTCTTTGCTAAAACATAGCAAGAGTCACCTTTATTCCAGTTCCCAACAAGTTCTTCATCTCCATCTGAGCCCACCTCAGCCAGGGCTTCACTGCTGATATCACTATCAGTATTTTGGTCAAAGACATTCAACAAATCTCTAGGAAGTGTCACACTTTTCTTCTGAGTCCTCCAAATTGTTCCTGTTTTCTTCTGAGCCCTCCAAATTGTTACAACCTCTGCCTGTTACCCAGTTCCAAAGTCACTTCCACATTTTTGGCTGTCTTTACAGCAGCTCCCCACTACCTCGGTACCAATTTACTGTATTAGTATGTTCTCCTGCTGCTAAGAAGAAATATCTGAGATTGGGCAAGATATAAAGGAAAGAGGTTTAATGGACTCCAGTTCTGCAGAGCTGGAGAAGCCTCAGGAAACTTACAACCTTGGTGGAAGGGGAAACAAATATGTCCTTCTTCACATGGTGGCAGCAAGAAATGCCAAGCAAAAGGGGGAGAAGCTCCTTATAAAACCATCAGATCTCATGAGAACTCACTCACTATCATGAGAATGCATGAGGGTAACTGCCCCCATGATTAAATTACCTCCCACTGGGTGCCTCCCATGACACATGGGGATTATGGGAACTACAATTCAAAGTGAGATTTAGGTGGGGACACAGCACCAAACCACATCAGTTGGCCTTCGAGTTCTTGCTGTCTTGGAAGTTCTCCAAAGTTTTAAACAGATAGATGAGCTTTTTTTTTTTTTCTTTATGTTGTGTTCAGTTTTTCTAATTGTTCCTGGTAGGAAGACTAGTCTTCATTATCTAGTCTCCCATTAGCAGAATTAGAAGTCTCTTCTTAATTGCTTACAGCAATTTTGCAGAGGTTCTCTTATTTGCTTCCAAAGCCCAGCAGTCTGTGGCAAAGATGTAGCAGAAAGACTATCGGAAAAGACATAGGAGAAAAAACTCATTTCACTGGGCAAATGGCAAATGACTTAGTGCATTGTGTTAGTACATTCTCTTAAGAATGTTACTCTTGTGTTAATTTCCTTAACAAACTTTTCTTTGGTTTTGAAACTTCTACCTCTTTCTGGCCAGGTGCTGTGGCTCATGCCTGTAATCCCAGCAGTTTGGGAGGCTGAGGCAGGTGGATCACCTGAGGTCAGGAGTTCGAGACCAGCCTGGCCAACATGGAGAAATCCCATCTTTACTAAAAACACAAAATTAGCCAGACATGGTGGCTCATGCCTGTAATCCCAGCTACTCGGGAGGCTGAGGCAGGAGAATCACTTGAACCCGGGAGGCGGAGGTTGCAGTGAGCCAAGATTGCGCCATTGCACTCCAGCCTGGGCAACAAGAGTGAAACTCCATCTCAAAAAAAAAAAAAAAAAAGAAAGAAATTCTACCCCTTTCTGTCACAGAGGGCCTATAGAGTTAATTTTTTTTTAACTAGGAAATCTCTCTCAGGATACATCCACCAACACATTGTGTTCTTAGAAAATTTCCACTTCTTATGAAAGCATGCCAGGTTACTTAATTATAAGTTTCCAAGTAGTGGTTGGGGCAGAATAAAGGGTTTCAAGATGTACAACCTAACCACAAATGTAATAATGTGTTTTCAGGGGGAAAAAAAAGAATTTTAATTTAAAAAGCAAAATGACAGATTAGAGAAATGTAATCAAGCAAGTCAATCTTACAGACATTTATTTATAATCCATTTCCTCTGGAGATTCAGCTAGGAGCATGAGTAGGAGATGAAACCTTGTTCAGAAGCCACCTGTGCTTGCTCCCTCTGACCCCAGGCTGTGTCTGTGCTCTGGACTCCATCAGTGAGCCTGAGAGGGAAGGTTGGGTCTCAGGGCAAGGAGAAAGGGCAAGAAGGGGAAGCTTTTTGTAAAAAGCAGACAGCGAGGTTGAGGGACTGGCCTCTGTGTGAGTGAACAGAGATGTGCTTGTAGACGTGTGTGGGCAAGGGCGGGGAAGAAGCCAGGGACCCAGTACTTTTTGCAAATACCCTCTGCATAGAGTATTTCAGCTCAATCATATTGAACATCTCTTGGGTCGCCTAAAACATGCTTTCTAAAGCAAATTTACATCCTGTGCCAAATTTAATCTCTTGGTACTGTGTTGAGAAAGCTTCTGAGGCTGAATCAAGGTCCAGGAGAAGGTCACTGTGAAGAATGGGGTCAGCCACAGCCACAGCACAGGGCTTGTGCGTTTGCCACTTCTCTCCTTAGAAGAAGCGTATCATCATAATCATTCCAGAATGTGCTTGGGCATGTCAAAGTACATCGTTACTTTTTCACTTTTTCCCAAAACAACTTCATGATGTAGATAAGACAGGTATTATAAATCCCACTTAACAGGTGAGAAAGCGGCAGCAGGGAATGTAACAGGATTTGTCCACATCATCCACAGGTCCTCAGTAACCGTGTTACAGGAAAGGTTTCTGATCCAGACCCCAAGAGAGGGTTCTTGGATCTCACGCAAGAAAGAATTCAGGGCTATTCCACAGTGCAAAGTCAAAGCAAGTTTATTAGGAAAGTAAAGTGGTGAAAGGACAGCTACTCCATTGAGTAGGATGTTCCTGAAAGTAAGAGGAGGAACACATCCACCCTAGGTACAATGCTTGTATCTATGGGGAGGTGTGCTCTGCTACAAGGATTTGTGATAAAGGATTAATTTTCTTAACTACTGTATTTTGCAAGATTCAATACTCTTATCTTTAAAGCAAAATTAGGAATGCCTTTGATGTCCAGATATCAGGATATCTGGACACTCCCAAGTTTGGGTTTGTTTAGTAAACATTATTAATTTGTCCCCTTAACCTTAAACATCTAGAGCCTCGGAATGCCTAACTTTCTGAGAATGCAGCCTAGCAAGTCTCAGTTTCATTTTCTAGCCCTCACTCAAAATAAAGTCCAGTTTCATTTTCCAGCCCTCACTCAAAATGGAGTCTCAGTTTCATTTTCCAGCCCTCACTCAAAATGGAGTCGCAGTTTCATTTTCCTAGCCCTCACTCAAAATGGAGTCTCAGTTTCCATTTCCTAGCCCTCACCCAAAATGGAGTCACTCTGGTTCTAACACCTATGACAACCGCTGCTGCGATTCCTGCTCAACTTTCCAACGGTTGGAAGAAGGACAAGTCGGTGCCCAGTAATCAGAGAATCATGTTAAACAAATGAACTAGACAAAAATATTTATAGCATTGCTCTCAAAAAAACACAATGAATGCTCCCAACAGAAATGATCCTGTCCACTCATGATAAAAAATTAAACATGTCATTCAGAATATTTTATAAAACATAAGTAAAAGATAAAGTTATGAATGGTTATGAATATAGATTAACTTAATATTAGAAGTGGACTTAACATAAGTAGTTAATGTTGCAAGCATATGAAGAAATAAAAGATGCCATCATCATTGAAAACTTTAGCTGCTAATCATTGTGCCTATCGAAAAAGAAGGCAGGAAAAAGGGAGTTTAATTCAGTTAAACAAACATTTGCTTGAGCCCTATACTAACTGTATAGAATATCATTTAAGCATATTTGAGCTAGCACATAATGAGTTAGATAAGTGGACAAAAACAATAATCCAAGACAGGATAAGATACACACTATTGGAAAGACTCAAAGAAAATATTGAAACTGCCTTTCCAAAATTAGAATCAGCAAGAAGGTTGTGACAATGGGGGAGATCTGTTCTAGCTCAACCCCGCTCCTAGCTTTAGTCTCTTCACCACCCCCAGCTGCCTTTGATTATTCCTGGGCTAGCTTTGGGAGACATTTAGTTCATAGTTTAAATGATAATAGCCCTCCCCAGCTAATGAGAGGTTGGCAGGCTAGAAGGAGCAGAGGAACCTTAACCCTGCTAAGGTGCAGGCAGAAACGATTGTCAGCCACATACAACTGACCTAACTGCTCCTGCAAATAATATCAGTATCCTAGAACCTAAGATTGGCCTTTTGAGATATCTTTTCAGTTTTTTTTTTTTTTACATGTCTGACACCCATGGCTCCACTTGGACCCACCAACCCCACTCCTGTGGCCCCACCCAGAAGCAATTCAGCCTGCAGGAGGACAGCTTCCACCCCCTATGATTTCATCTCTGCCCCAATCAATCAGCAGTAAGCACCTGTTACCTGGCCACCCCAACCTATTCTCCCAAACTGCCTATGAAAAACCCCTAAACTAGGAGGTTTGAGGAGACTGATTTGAGTAATAATAAAACTTCGGTCTCCCAAACAGCTGGCTCTGTATGAATTACTCTTTCTCTATTGGTTTTCTGTTCCTGCATCTGCTTAGGATTATGGCCCCCTCTCTTGATGAATCGGCTCTGTCTAGGCAGCGGGCAAGGTGAACCCACTGGGCAGTTACAATATCATGGGAGAACATGGAATCAAGAGATTTGGAAATAAACATTCTGAATGATTACTGAATGAGCATGAATTTCATTTCTAAAATACTTATAATTTGCTCTCAAATTCAAAGAGGCAAAAAAGGGAGAAATATTTCTTTCAAAATTTCATGTATTGACTGATCCTTCATATTATTTTTTTCCTGGAATCCTCAGATAGATACCAACAAACTGTGTCTATAATATATGCAGGTCCATTTCCTGGACCCTTTCAGGGATTGTATATAATGAGCATTCGATAGTAAAACAATTCATCTCAGGAATCGTGGCATGGATTTTAATCTCTGGTTATAAATCTTCAAAGATCAGGAAAAGAGAAAATGACTTCTATGAATGAATCATAGAAACCAAGAGTCTGATGCAAATTCATCCAACTTTAAATGGAAATATTTTCAGACTATCCAAGATGGGCTGTTTTACTCAATAGCTGTCCTGGAATCAAGGTCTTGTTTTTCCCAAAATTAAAATGTTTCTTTTCATTGTTTATTTATTTTCTATTTTGTAACCTTTATTTAGGTTCAGGGGTACATGTACTGGTTTGTTATACAGGTAAATTGTGTATCATAAGGGTTTGGTGGACAGATTATTTCATCACGCAGGTACTAAGCATAGTATCCAAAGGTAGTTTTTTGATCCTCTTCCTCCTCCCACCCTCCAGGAGGCCCCAGTGTCTGTCCTTCCATTCTTTGTGTCCGTGTAGACTCAGTGTTTCGCTCCCATTTATAAGTGAGAACATGTGGTATTTGTTTCATGCGCATCCGTGTGAAGAGACCACCAAACAGGCTTTGTGTGAGCAACATGGCTGTTTATTTCACCTGGGTGCAGGCGGGCTGAGTCCGAAAAGAGAGTCAGTGAAGGGAGATAACGGTGGGGCTGTTTTATAGGATTTGGGTAGGTAAAGGAAAATTACAGTCAAAGGGGGTTTGTTCTCTGGTGGGCAGGAGTGGGGGGTCGCAAGGTGCTCAGTGGGGGAGCTTTTTGAGCCAGGATGAGTCAGGAAAAGGACTTTCACAAGGTAATATCATCATTTAAGGCAAGGACTGGCCATTTACACTTCTTTTGTGGTGGAATGTCATCAGTTAAGCTGGGGCAGGGCATATTCACTTCTTTTGTGATTCTTCAGTTACTTCAGGCCATCTGGGCATGTACCTGCAAGTCACAGGGGATGCGATGGCTTGGCTTGGGCTCAGAGGCCTGACATTCCTGCCTTCTTATATTAATAAGAAAAATAAAACAAAATAGTGTTGAAGTGTTGGGGCGGCGAAAATTTTTGGGGGGTGGTATGGAGAGAGAATGGGCGATGTTTCTCAGGGCTGCTTCAAGCAGGATTAGGGGCAGTGTGGGAACCTAGAGTGGGAGAGATTAAGCTGAAGGGAGGTCTTGTGGTAAGGGGAGATATTGTGGGACTGTTAGAAGAAACATTTGTCGTATAGAATGATTGGTGATGGCCTGGATATGGTTTTGGATGAATTGAGAAATGAAATGGAATAAGAGAAGGAGAAAAACAGGTATAAAAGGTAGATATCAGCTGTGATGGCTTGGAGAAACAGTGTAAACCAGCAGTGTAAACAAGAGCAGGGCATGTATGAGTAGTTGAGAATGGTGATTAGGAGTATGACTAGACAAAAGATAGGAGGGATGACAAGTTTTTTGGGGCACAGTCTAAGTTGGTCTGGTGTCTAGAATGAGACTGGGGCCTAATAAAAAGGAGCGTCTACACAGGAGCTTAAATGGGCTGTACCCTGTAGCATTCTGAGGACAGGTCTGACTTCTGAGAAGGGAAAGTGGTAAAAGTATTGTCCAGTCCTTTTTAAGTTGGTGGCTGAGCTTGGGGAGGTGTGTTTTTAAAAGACCTTTAGTCCGTTCTACTTTTCCTGAAGGCGGAGGACCGTAAGGGATATAAAGGTTTCACTGAATACTAAGAGCCTGAAAAACTGCTTGGCTGATTTGACTAATAAAGGCTGGTCTGTTATCAGACTGTATAGAGGTGGGAAGGCTAAACTGAGGAATTATGTCTGACAGAAGGAAAGAAATGACTGCGGTGGCCTTCTCAGACCCTGTAGGAAAGGCCTGTATCTATCCAGTGAAAGTGTCTACCTAGACTAAGAGGTATTTTAGTTATCTGACTCAGGGCATGTTGAGTAAAGCTAATTTGCCAGTCCTGGGTGAGGGCAAATCCTCGAGCTTGATGTGTAGGGAAGGGAGGGGGCCTGAATAATCCCTGAGTAGTAGTAGAATAGCAGATGGAACACTGAGAAGTTATTTCCTTGAGGATAGATTTCCACGATGGAAAGGAAATGAGAGGTTCTGAGAGGCGGGCTAGTGGCTTGTACTATAGCATAACCTGCCTTTGCCGGTGTGTGGTGATTAGGCCTGGTGGAACTGCCATCAATAAATGAAGCGTGACCAGGGTGAGGAAGAGGAAAGAAGGAAATATGGGGAAATGGGGTGAATATCAGGTGGATCAGAGAGATACAGTCATGGGGGTCAGGTGTGGTATCAGGAATAATGTGGGAGGCTGGATTGAAGTCCGGCCCAGGAACAATGCTAATTGTGGGACTTAAAGAGTGAGTACAGCTGAAGGAGCCGGGGAGCAGAAAGTATATGCATCAGGTATGAGGAAGAAAATAGATTTTGGAAGTTATGAGAAATGTAGAGAGTGAGTTGAGCATAGTTTGTGATTTTTAGGGCCTCTAACAGTATTAAAGCAGCGGCAGCCACTGCACACAGACATGAGGGCTAGGCTAAAACAGTAAGGTCAAGTTGTTTGGACAGAAAGGCTACACGGTGTGGTCCTGGCTCTTGTGTAAGAATTCTGACTGCACTAACCATGCCTAGGAAGGAAAGGAGTTGTTGTTTTGTGAGGAATTGAGGTTTGGGAGATTAATAGGACACGATCAGCAGGGAGAGCACCTGTGTTTTTATGAGAATTATGCTGAGATAGGTAACAGATGAGGTTGAAATTTGGGCTTGACTGAAGTAATGGGGACTGTCTCTGAAGCCTTGCGGCAGTACAGCCCAAGTAATTTGCTGAGTCTAATGGGTGTCAGGGTCAGTCTAAGTGAAAGCAAAGAGAGGCTGGGATGAAGGGTGCAAAGGAATAGTAAATAAAGCATGTTTGAGATCTAGAACAGAATAACGGGTAGTAGAGGGAGGTATTGAGGATAGGAGAGTATATGGGTTTGGCACCATGGGGTAGATAGGCAAAACAATTTGGTTGATAAGGCGCAGATGCTGAACTAACTTGTAAGCCTTGTCTGGTTTTAGGACAGGTAAAATGGGGGAATGGTAAGGAGAGTTTATAGGTTTTAGAAGCCCATGCTGTAGCAGGCGAGTGATAACAGGCTTTAATCCTTTTAAAGCATGCTGTGGGGTGGGATATTGGCGTTGAGCGGGATAAGGGCGATTCAGTTTTAATGAGATGGTAAGGGGTGCATGATCGGTCACCAAGGAGGGAGTAGAGGTATCTTATACTTGTGGGTTAAGGTGGGGGAATACAAGAGGAGGATGCAAAGGAGGCTTTGGATTGGGAAGAAGGGCAGCAATGAGATGTGGCTATAGTCCAGGAATAGTCAGGGAAGCAGATAATTTGGTTAAAATATCTCAGCCTAATAAGGGAACTGGGCAGGTGGGGATAACTAAAAGACAGTGCATAAAAGAGTATTGTCTAAGTTGGCACCAGAGTTGGGGAGTTTAAGAGGTTTAGAAGCCTGGCTGTCAATACCCACAACAGTTATGGAGGCAAGGGAAACAGGCCCTTGAAAAGAAGGTAATGTGGAGTGGGTAGCCTCCGTATTGATTAAGAAGGGGACGGACTTACCTTCCACTGTGAGAGTTACCTAAAGCTCGGCATCCGTGATGGTCTACGGTGCTTCCGAGTGATCAGGCAGCATCAGTTTCAGCCGCTAAGCCAAGAAGAAGTCAGTCAGAGAGCCTTGGGCCAGAGTTCCAGGGGCTCTGGGAGTGGCTGCCAGGTGAGTTGAACAGTCCGATTTCCAGCGGGGTCCCGCACAGATGGGACATGGCTTAGGAGGAATCCTGGGCTTCAGGCATTCCTTGGCCTGGTGGTCAGATTTCGGGCACTTGTAGCAAGCTCCTGTGGGAGGAGGTTCTGGAGGAACGCCTGGCTGCTGTGGTTCAGGCGTTTGGAAGTTCTTGTGTGCTGGAGATGTGGCTGGGGTTTGTCTCACAGTGGAGGCAAGGAATTGCAACTTTTTTTTTTATTATTGTACACATTGAAGGTGAGGTTAATTAAGTCCTGTTGTGGGGTTTGAGGGCCAGATGCTAATTTTTGGAGTTTTATTTAATGTCAGGAGCATATTGGGTAATAAAATGTATATTGAGAATAAGATGGCCTTTTGACCTTTTAGGGTCTAGGGCTGTAAAGCATCTCAGGGTTGCTGCCGAACGAGCCATGAACTGGGCTGGCTTTTTATATTTGATAAAAAAGCCTAAACGCTTCTGATTTGGGATAAAGAAAAAGGAGCATTAACCTTGACTATGCCTTTGGCTCCAGCCACCTTTTTAAGAGTAAATGCTGGGCAGGTGGGGGAGGGCTAGTCACAGAATGAAACTGTAAGCCAGAGCAGGTGTGAGGAGGGGAGGTGATAAAAAGATTACAGGGTGGAGGAGCGGAGGCTGAGGAAGAATTGGGACCTAGCTTGGCCTGGCGAGGAGGGGAGAGGTCAGATGGGTCTGTAGAAAAGGAAGATTAGAAACCCTCAGCGACACTTGGGGTTGGGACTGAGGGGATAGGCGGGAGGGAAAGAAGGAAGATTTTGGACGAGTTGCACTGGGCACAGAGATGAGGAAGGGACTGATGTGTAAAAGAATGCCTGGACGTCAGGCACCTCAGACCATTTGCCTATTTTACGACAAGAATTATTTAGATCTTGTAGGATGGAAAAATTGAAAGTGTCATTTTCCAGCTATTCAGAACTACTGTCGAGTTTGTATTGGGGTCAAGCGGCATTGCAGAAGAACATAAGGCATTTAGGTTTTAGGTAGGTGTGAGTTGAAGAGGTTTCAAGTTTTTGAGAACACAGGCCAAGGGAGAAGGAGGAGAAATGGAGGGTGGAAGGTTGCCTACAGTGAAGGAAGCAAGCCTAGAGAAAACAGAGAGTAGAGACACGGAGGGAAGGGGTTCAGGGGTTCTTACCTTCCAGAAAAGCAGGAAAGGGGTTGGGGAGTGGAAATAAGGGGTTGGGGTGCAGAAATAAGGGATGGGGCACAGAGATAAGAGGTCGGGGCATGGAAATAAGGGATTGGCGGTTCTTGCCCCCTAGAAAAGGACTTGCCACTAAGCGTGAAGGAGAAGGGGTTGAGGGGTACTTGCCCCTCTCCCAGAAAAGCGGGACTTGCCGCTAAGGGTGAAGGAGAAGGGGTTGAGGGGTACATGCCCCTCTCCCAGAAAAGCAGAGAAGGGGTAGAGACAAGGAGAGAAGGGGTTGGGGTACTTGCCCCTTCCCCAGAAAAGCGGTACTTGCTGCTAAGGGTGAAGGACCAAGGCAGGCATCCCTGTGTGGTCTGACATCTTTGAAACATGGGTGAATAATCAGAGAGGCGTCCCTGCAATGGTTAAACACCAAGGGAAGGCTGCCTTCCCAGTCCGTGACCGGCGCCGGAGTTTTGGGTCCACAGATAAAACGTGTCTCCTTTGTCTCTACCAGAAAATGAAAGGAATTGAAATTAAGAGAAGGGAGATATTGAAGTGTGGCGCCAAGATTGAAAGGAGAAAGAGGTTGAGGGATAGTGAGGGAAGCTGGAGAAGAGAGTAAAAAGAGGCCGCTTACCGGATTTGAAATTGGTGAGATGTTTCTTGGGCTGGTCGGTCTGAGGACCTGAGGTCGTAGGTGGATCTTTCTCATGGAGCAAAGAGCAGGAGGACAGGGGATTGATCTCCCAAGGGAGGTCCCCCGATCCGAGTCACGGCACCAAATTTCATGCACGTCTGTGTGAAGAGACCACCAAACAGGGTTTGTGTGAGCAACATGGCTGTTTATTTCACCTGGGTGCAGGCGGGCTGAGTCTGAAAAGAGAGTCAGCGAAGGGAGATAAGGGTGGGGCTGTTTTATAGGATTTGGGTAGGTAAAGGAAAATTACAGTCAAAGGGGGTTTGTTCTCTGGCGGGCAGGAGTGGGGGTCGCAAGGTGCTCAGTGGGGGAGCTTTTTGAGCCAGGATGAGCCAGGAAAAGACTTTCACAAGGTAATATCATCATTTAAGGCAAGGACTGGCCATTTACACTTCTTTTATGGTGGAATGTCATCAATTAAGGTGGGGCAGGGCATGTTCACTTCTTTTGTGATTCTTCAGTTACTTCAGGCCATCTGGGCATATACATGCAAGTCACAGGGGATGCAATGGCTTGGCTTGGGCTCAGAGGCCTGACAATTTGATTTTCTGTTCCTGCATCTGCCTAGGATTATGGTCTCCAGCTCCATTCATGTTGCTGCAAAAAGCACATGATCTTGTTCTGTTTTACACCTGCGTAGTATTCCATGGTGTATATGTAACATATTTTCTTTATTCAGTCTACTGTCGCTAGGCATTCAGGTTGATTCCATATATTTGCTATTGTAAATAGTGCTGCAATGAACATACAAGTGCGTGTGTCTCTGTGGTAGAAAAATTTATATTCATTGGGGTATACAGCCAGTAATGAGATTGCTTGGTAGAATGATAATTCTGTTTTAAGTTATTTGAGAGATCGCCACACTACTTTCCATGATGGCTGAACTCATTTACACTCCCACCAAGAGTGTAGAAGTGCTCCCTTTTCAACAGTCAAATAATAGCAGATGCTGGTGAGGTTGTGGAGAAAAGGAATGAAGATCTGAGAGCGCACTGAATCAAGCGTTTGACATTAAAGCCCCTTTGTGTCATGAGTTCTCCTCTTACTGAACACATGGGCACTGGGCAGAGGAAAAGAGACTTTAGCTCCATGATGAATTTCTAAAGTTTCCTGATCCATGGGCACTCTCATTGGTGATGTCTCCTCCATCCACCTGGGCCTTGGTGCTTAGGTCTTCATAGATAAAAGCCAAATTGAATGTTACCCCTTTCCCAATGTGGGGCTTCAAATAAAAAAGTCACAACTTCTTTAACACTCCTCCCTTCAAGGGACTGGGTCCATGTCCTCTCCCCTTAAATCAATCAAGCAATGCAGTGGGTGGCGCTGATGATGCCCTAGGGCTCCTGAAGTGAAGCCATACACAGCCACGCAGCCTCCACATGGCCTCGAGCAGCAGTGGCTTTTGGAGCACTCCTCGAGACCCAGCCCAGGTCACTTGGAGATGCCATGTGCTCACACTTGCTCAGCCATGGGAGTGGAGGCTGGTACCGAGTCATCCCAGCCCAGGCACCACACATCTGAGTGAAGAAGCTTCCAGATGGTTCCAGGGCCCAGTCTCAGGTCACTCCAGCCATTCGTCTTTCTGAATGAGGCCCCTGTGCTCCCGCTGTGCTCTGTATAATTTCCTGGCCCACATGGTTTGGGAGCATAATAAGACGCCTGCTGCCCTGCACCACTCAGGCTCAGGCCACTTCCACAGCCCTTAGTAAGCACAACCCTCTACACCACTGTCAGCCACGTTCCTCGAACTTGTCCAGAGCCCCCACTCTCCATCCATTTCCAGACAGACCCCTCAATCCCAAGGAAGTCCTTACACAAGTCTTCCATTTTACCAGTCACTCAATTTGACACAAATATTTTTCTCATTATAATATTTTGGTTTATTTACTGCCATTTTAAAGATTATTTCACTATTACAGGACATTTTACTATTATGGGATGTTTAGATTATTTTGCATTTGGGACAATTATGAATAATGCTATTATAAATATCTTTGTGTGTGATTTTATGCTCCAGTTGGAGATTTGTTGCACATGATAGATTTTCAGAAGTTCAGTTACTGGGTTAAAGAGGATTAATGACTTAAGGCTCTTGAGGCATATTGCCACATCTCTTTTCAAAAAGTTATAACAACTCATGGTAACACCAATAATATATGAGCCTGCTTGTATCACTGTACCCTCTCCAGCTAAACTTAAACAGACAATTAAGAAAAATATTGACTTGAAGTATAAAACTCATAGCTTTATTTATCTCACAAATTCAGGTAGATGTGGAGTGACAAGAAGGGTTGCTGGAATAAGAGGTTCATCATAACACCAGATACAAAAACAGATAAATTATTCCTTAGAAGAAAAGGGAAATGCAAAGGAATGGTTGTCAAGCCTTGGGGAGGGAAAGAGTGAGGCAGAGCAAAAGAGAGATGGAGCAATGCCGGGAAAGGGAGACACGGAGCCCATGGCAAGGCCCACATGCATGAAGGCTGGGAGGAGAGCCAAAAGCAGAGGAGAAACTCCAAGCAAATGCAGGGATCTCAGAATTAGACCAGGGTATTGGAAAGACCAGACGAGAGTCATTAAGAAAGAGAAAAAATAAGCCAGGCATGGCGGCTCACACCTGTAATCCCAGCACTTTGGGAGGCCAAGGTGGGCAGATCACCTGAGGTCAGGAGTTCAAGACCAGCCTGGCCAACATGGAGAAACCCCATCTGTACTAAAAGTACAAAAATTAGCCATGCGTGGTGGTGTGCACCTGTAGTCCCAGCCACTCCGGAGGCTGAGACAGGACAACTGCTTGAACCCAGGAGGCGGAGGTAGCAGTGAGCCACTGCACTCCAGCCTGGGCAACAGAGTGAGACTCTGCTCCCATCCCCTAAAAAAGAAAATTTAAAAAAAAAGAAAGTGGGTAAAACAGTCTTGACCAGTGGCATCAATATGATGGAATTCCACCTTGTTTATCACCCGTGGTTCCCTCAGAGGATGGCTAGAGGTTAGAACACAAGCTTTAGATCAATAGCGTTAGAAAAAAATATTATTAAAAAATCTGGAGTAAGAATGAATTTGGCCAAACAGATTCAAATATCCTTACCATTATTTTCCAAAATAACTACCATTTCCACTTGTTTAGGCAAATGTAGCTCCTAAAACTAAGAAATTTATGGGAATATTCAAAACAACGTTATAAAGATGGTTTTCCTTGAAATTCCCTCTGTTTAATGGCCAGCATGCTGTACTGTCCTATTTTTTTTTTCTCCAGATACCAAAGGCTCGTGATAAAAACATCTGGTTTATGTGAGCCTTGGTTTTGGCAGTAGCACATTAATGTAAGTAAATATCTGATTAAAAATGCGTCACACGGTTGAAACTGATATCATCAGCTACTTGGTTTTTCCAAGAACAATACAGGATAAAGCACCAATTAAGTCTCCTAAACAAGAGGACCAGAGAGTAACAGATGATAAAATAGTTCATTTAATTCAGGCTGTCTTCTGCATTGGCATTGGGAGCCTATGTCATTCACGATTCTTGAAGTTACTGGACTTGCAGAAAGAAATCTAATTTGCCCCCACATCGCATTCAAGTACTTGTTACTCACATCTCGCAATTTTATATTCTGCTTCGCCAGGAATTGGACACACGGAGTATTCTAAGTTTATAGAATAAGCAACATCGATACCTCAGGTGTGGTTTGTCCATTACCCAAACTCACTTTTATTTGTCTACTCATCTACCATGTGCATGGTGATTTCCTATGTGTGATTCTACTTCATGAGCACAACAATATAACAGAAAATGATTCATCTCTCCACTTTCAAAGCACTGGCCCCAGGTAAATCCAGCCACTCATGAGGGTAGCCTGATGTGGAGAGAAGGAGAGAAGCCACACAAATGCCACATGACACTGTCTCAGAGCATTGTTCTCCCACGGCCGCTGGCCCTCCGGCCACGGGGTCCACGCCCTGCCTCACCTCCTGTGTCCCTGCTCTCCAGGATTCTGTGCAGTGCTGAGGGCAGCCAGAGGGCCAGCTATGGGCCTGCGACCCGGGGCCATCGCTTCCTTGTAACTATCATGTGCCCCTGTGTGAATTCTTCCACCTTCAGTTCTCGTAGTAAATCTAACTCAGTCACGTGAAAAATATAACATTTTGTAAGATCTCAGGGGATCTGGGGACAACTTTCCACACCATTTTCTGAAGAATTCTCTTGTTTACATCGAGACTACAAAGGAACAGAAAGTGACCTCTCATGTCCAGGTGCCCTTTGAAAAGATTGCTGGTGTTTTCCAACATGCTTTCCTTCCACAGAGACAAACACTCCCCATTTGGAAAGCCCTGGTTTCTGCTGAGGGCCTTTGAAAACAACTGAAAACACCATGGTGGCTTTTAATACCATTTGGCTGGAACCACAGAAGGTGTTTGCCTGGTGCAAGCGTCCTGGGCTGACCCCACAAGGGATCTAAGTAGTGGGTCCCACTCTGCAGCTCCGCAGATGTTTGCCCTTAAGGATGGGACCTGTGTAGCGAAGGGGGCAGTTCAAGCAGAGGACAGAACAGCAAAGTAGGGTTTAATTCCAGGGCCCCCACTTGGAGCTGGGCAGCCTTGCCCAGGCTTTGCCTTCTGGGGAGTGCAGGATGGGTTTCAAGCACTCAGCTCTATCTCATGGGCTTGTGAGAATCAAGCATAGAGAAGCCAGCATTTATTGCCCATTTCCTGTATCCTTGATATCGTGCTGTGCACTTTTACGTTCAATATCTCCAATTCTTCGTTTACCTGTGAGGGCGGTTCTGTTGTCCTCCTTGTTTCACAGAAGAGAAGAGTGAGGCAGAGAGACTTGAAGAGGTTTCTCTTCAAGGTCAAATTATGGGTGAGGCCCTTAGGGGCTGCAGAGTGGGACCTGGCCCACTGCATACTCAGCGACCTGGCCCCAGGACAACCTCCCTTTCCTTACTACGACCCTGCACAATCCATCAGGTCACAAGAACAGAGAGAGCACAGGCAAGTGGTGAATAAACAGTGGCTTCCCTTGCTCTCCATCTGTGTTTACAATCGTGATAGAATATTGGCGTTTTAAATGTAAACATAATTTTGTAACACGTGATCATCCCTAAATGTAAGTTTCTAGCTGCGGAGGGAATCCTTCCATGCAAGCACCTGTGAGCACTTTGCCGTGTGTGCAATGGAGGCTCAGGAACAGCAAAATGAATGAACGGTTGACTGTTGACCAAACACCACTAAATTATTTCACAAGATCCCTAAACATGCGTAAGTGCCCATCCTGATAAATAGTTATTCTTGGAAGCTGCTGTTGCTTCTGAAATTACTTGCAACATATTGATTTTATTCTAGTACTGAAAAGTTATTCAGTTCTATTATATTTGATTCTTTTTACCTACCCGTATTACAAGCAACTTTCCGATCTCAGGAAAACAGATAGCAATTACCATCCATGCTGACTGTTTGAACTGAGCCGTACATCAGCTCAGAGTCATTCCGCTTTTCCCCCTCAGCTCAGGGCCATGCATCTGTGGCCTCTCACACATCTGTGCTTGGCACTTCCCTTTCAGTCATAGAGAAGAGTATTATTGTTCATTAGAAATTAGCCATGGTTTGCTATTTTCAGATAATTTGGAATTGTTATTGGAGAAACTGCCATTCACTATTTTGTGTGGTTTTTGGAAAGTTCTTAGGCAAAAGCCCAGTCCAGGAGGGTCCAGGTGATAGCCGACCGGAAGGAGCAGAAGTCAATGAAGGAAGTGTGTAGGGTCTTCACGCAGAACTGAGGGGCGCAGCACCTGCCAGGGTGGAGGGGGAAGGTAGACAGCGAGCCTCCCTAAGAAAGGGCGAGAGGAAAGCTGAAAAGAGGGGCGGGTCCTAGGCTGTGTGGGGAAAGCTCAGTGCTTATCCAAGAGAAAGAGAAGGAAATCCCTGGCTCTGGAATTCTGCAAAGTCCTAGGGGTGGAACAGCAAGGGTGCGCCCAGAGGCGCTGGACCCAGTGGGGGGTATTCACAGGCAGAGTGGGAGAGTGGGGGGTGTCTTCCCCAAGGGCCCTGACGAACAGGCAACCCAGAGCAACGGGTAAAATCCAGGTGGTCATGTGCTTTGTAGAGACAGTGACATAAACGCACTCCGGATCAGATCAGCAGAGGACATGGATTCACGGCTAGTATGAGGCTGCAGGCTTTCGTGGTGTCAGCGCTGACAGTGAGGGGTGTTAGGAAATGGATGAGCCTTCCTGGCGCCACCCAGACTCCTCACCTCTCTGTGACTTTGAAAAGGAGGGAAGAAGAGACAAGGGGAGTGGAAAAAGCAGGGGCAAAGTGATGGAGGACAGATGAAGGTGGGTTCATCACAGTCCACAGCAGGACAATTGAACGTCCCTCAGAAGAATGAGAGAGCTGCTCCTCCTGCCCTCTTCCCCCTCAACTCCCACTCTGATGTCCCTTCTGTTCCAGAACCTGTAGCTTGTCCCATTCTGGATGTGGTTCTCTTCATTCAACCCCATGGTCTGACACACTGAGGGTGGCTGGCTGCAGCTGGAGCCACGTGGGGTTCTGCAAACAGTTCCGCACTTTCCTTGAAAGAATGAGGACAGGGACCTTAGAAGAGGCCATGGTATGACTACTGAGAGGAATTTCTGATTTGGGGACACAGAAGCAAGAGCTTAATAAATCCTGGGGCAGGGAAGGGAGGGGAGGAGCAGCCCTGAGTGTGAGTGGGACCACAAGCTTGGGCTTGTGTTGGTGTGGACTAAGCCCTCCTACCTCAGTTCACTCTGGGCTTCCAGTCACAACCAAGGAATGAATCCGAACATGACTTTGGGAACTTGACCTTCCGTCACTGCTCAGCTCACAGTGGAGTAATCAACAACATAATTGCCCTTGAAAAGAAAGAGGGCCCGTGTGATTAAAAAGCCCACATACCCTGAGATGGAGAGAGATTGCAGTTTCACAATTTGCAGCCAACCACTATTTTTCGTTGAGAAAATAATGAACAGGTACATCATAAAGACTTATGTGATGAGCAATACAGCATCCCATTTTAGGGAATCTGGACTCAGAAATATGAATGCCCCTGTCCCCAAATATGCCAGCTGAAAGGCACACTCATCAGTCACTTCAGGAATGTTTCCTTTCAGATAAATGACCTTTCACACTGGGCCACCTGCTTCCTCCAAATCGGGATGCTGCGTGGGTGCAGAGGAAAGCAGAGCTGGTGTGCACTAGTCATGGTTCTCCAGAGACACAGAGCCAGGAGGATGGATCCCCACATGGGTTCGGTGTGTCCGTGTCTCTGGAGAACCCTGACTAATACAATACAGATGATGGATGCATGGATGGATGGATAGACAGACAGATAGACAGACAAAGAGAGAAATTTTAAGGAATTGTCTTACATGTTTGTGGAGGTTGGCAAGTCTGCAATCCATAGGGCAGGCATCAGAATCTGGAAATTTAGGGAAGAGTTGATATTGCCATCTTGAGTCCAAATTCCACAGAGCAGCAGGCTGGAAACTCAAGTTTCCATATTGCAGTCTTCAGACAGAATTTCTTCTTCTTTGGGAAACCTCCATCTTTGCACTTCAGGCCTTCCACTGATTGGATGGAGCTCACCCACATCCTTGAGGGTCATCTCAGTTAGAGTGAACTGATTATAGATGTTAATCACATCTGGACAAGATCTTCAGAGCAACATGTAAACTGGTGTTAGACCAAACTACCATACACCAAAGGCCAGGCAATTTGATACATAAAATTAATCATCCGAGCTGGCATAGATTGTCTTCTTTCTAGAACTTCCACAGGGCAAGAACAGTGATTTTCCCCCAAAAAGCGGCCAGTCCTTGGGGTCCATCAGCTGCTGTCCTGGAACCACAAGAGCTCCCAGCATGGGGAACTGCAGAGGGAAGAGGGAGGGACAGACAGCTGGTGGTTCTTGCGCTGCTCTCAGATTCTGCCCTTTTTCCTCCTAGACGGTTTTGTTGAGGAATCTCCAAGGACCATGGTGGTTCCTACCATGCTCTCTCAGCCTCAGGGGTGACATAATTATGCAGATGCACCCAAGGGAAACTTTAATTTTAGTGCAATTTATACACGGAAGTGCTCAGATCTCAAGTATACCTTACGGTGCCTGTCAAGACACAGAGCATCTTCCCCGTCCCAGAAAGGCACCTAATTCTCCTTCCCGTGAGTCCTCCACTGCAAAACCTGCACTGATCAGATTTCTGTCACCCTCAGTCTCTTGTGCTTATTTCTTCAAGTTTGTATGGATTAAATCACCTGGGATGTACACTTCTGTGTTTGCTGTACTCCTCTTAGCCTGTTACTCTTGAGACTCATGCATATTGTGTGCTGACTGCTATCCAAGTGCATGAGCAAAGCATAATTTACCCACGTGTTGATTAAACAATCCAGGTTTGACTATTATAAAAGTCTTTTTTGTAAAGGAACTTTTATGAATATATTGCATTTATTTTTGACAAATACCTGGGAATGACATCACTGGGTCATAGGATGGAAGTATATTATTTTAGGAGAAGACAGACAGTTTGCCAAAGTGGCTGTACCATTTTCCACCCCTGCCAGCAGCAGATAAGCATCCCAGGGCTCCGCATTCCTCCCAGCACCTGCTGCAGTCAGCCTTGGGCATTGCAGGTCTTCTAGGGCAGCATGCGGTAGGAGCTCCTGGGGTGTCTAGTTTGTATTTTCTTGATGGTTGATGAAGTTGAGCAGGTTTTCATGTGCTTATTTGCCATTTTTATGTCTTCTTTTGTGAACAGCCTCTTTGCTTTTTTTCTCCTTTAAATTGTGTTCTTTGTCTTATTATCATTGAGTTTTAGAAGTTCTTCATGTAATTTGGATACAAATCCTCTTTCTTATGAATACATTCTCACAGTCTGTGACTTAACTGTTTATTTTGTTGATAATGTTTTGTGATGAAGATTTTATTTTTTTTGAGACAGGGTCTCATTCTGTCACCCATGCTGGAGTGCAGTGGTATGATCTTGGCTTACTGCAACCTCTGCTTTCTGGGCTCAAGAGATCCTCCCAGCTCAATCCCCCAAGCAGCTGAGAGTACAGGAGCGATCCACATGCCTGGCTAATTTTCGTATTTGTTGAGCTCAAGCAATCCACCCACCCCGGCCTCCCAAAGTGCTAAGATTACAGGCATGAGCCGCTGTGCCTGGCCGGATTGTTTTATCTTGATGAAGTATAATTAATCGTTTTTTAATTTTATCAGCATGTTTTTTGTCTCCTAAAAAATCTTTGCTTGCCCCAAGATCACAGACGTAATCTTCTGTGTTTTCTTCTAGAAGTTTTATGATTGTTTTAGCTTTTACATTTGGGTCCATAATTCATCTCAAATTGACTTTGTATGCAGTATATTAGTGATCAAGTTCTTTTTATAGTGGATCTCACATAAGGCACATTTTAAAATATAATTACAAAATATTGATTACAGTTGACTCTTGAACATTGAACAATGTGGGGTTAAGGGCACCAACCCTCTACACAGTCCAAAATTTTTTGACTCCCCCCAAATTTAGCTACTAATAGCCTGTTGACTGAAAGCCTTACCAATAACAGAGTTAATTAATACGGGTTTTCTATATTGTGTGTATTATATACTGTATTGTTACAATAAAGTAATCTAGAAAACAGAAAATGTTATTAAGAAAATCATAAGGAAGAGAAAATGTATTTACTTTTCATTAAGTGGAAGCAGATCTTCCCAAAGGTCTTCATCCTGGTTGTATTTTCTTGAGTATGCTGAGGAGGAGGAGGGAGAAGATAAATTGTTCTGATTGTCTTAGGGGTGGCAGAAGCAAAAGAAAGTCTGCAGGGTTCAAACCCATATTGTTCAGGAGCAACTGTAATAGAGTAGCAATATAGACTTGCTTCCATTTGGCTGTTAACACGGGATTTGAAAACTGGCTTTAGTACACCTGAGAGGGTTAGAGAAACTCATGTAATTCACCGCCTCCTCTTGCTTTTCCACTTCCTCTACTTGGGACTACTTTGACTTACTAACCACATTTATTTATCACTGTCGGTTTCCTTGCTGTCAAAATAGAAGTTTATTTTCATCCCCCCTGTGTGTAGCACAGCACATGTGACAGACATTCTCCAGATGGTATTGCCTCCCTTGATATTTTTCTCTCTTTCCTTTTTTTAAATTATGAAATTTACCATTCATGGATATATATGCACAGTTTAAAGAATAAACATACTCTCTTTTTCTCCCTCATACACAAATTTATAAGGTTTTTTATAATTATACAAATATGTACCCTTTTTTGGTGCTTTTCATTGCTTCTTACAGGTTCAGGGTTAAATCTGTTATAATTTTTCTTCAGCCTGAGACAATTATCGTAGTATTTCTTTTTTTTTTTTTTTTTTCCTTTTGAGACAGGGTCTCCCTCTGTCGCTCAGGCTGGAATGCAGTGGCATGATTGTGACTCACTGCAACCTCTGCCTCCTGGGTTCAAGTGATTCTCATGCTGCAGCCTCCCGAGTAGCTGGGACTACAGCTACACACCACCAGGCCCAGCTAATTTTTGTATTTTTTTGTGGAGACACGGTTTCACCATGTTAGCCAGGCTGATCTTGAACTCCTGACCTCAAGTGATCTACCTGCTTCAGCCTCCCAAAGTGCTGAGATTTACAGGCATGAGCCACTGCACACAGCCAATTGTGGTATTTCTTAAAGAGAAGGTCTGATGGAGAGAAATTCTCTTAGCTTTTATCTCTTGAAAATGTATTTATTTTCCCTTCATTTTAAAATTAATCTCCTTTTTGAGATAATAGTAGATTCAGATACAATTGTAAGAAATGCAGAGAGATCCCACATATTTTTTACTGAGTCTCCTCCAATGATGACAACTTACAAAATTATAGTACAATATCATAATCAGGTATAGACATTGATACAGTCAAGATGTAGAACAGTTCCATCACCTACAGGATCTCTCATGTTGCCCTTTTTTAGAAACACTTAACTGTCTCTTCCCTACATCCATCCATGACCCCGGTAACCATGAATCTGTCTTCTCTTTCTATAATTTTCTCATTTCAAAAATGAAATTACACAGTATTTGATATTTTGAAATCGGCTTATCTTCATTTTTGAAGGCTATTTCTGCAAGATGTGGAATTCTAGGTTGGTAGTTATTTGTACATATGTGTGTGCATGCATGCTCTCATGTATCCTTTCAGCTCTTTGAGGATATCTGTCTGTTGTTTCTATTAAGTCTGGTGAGAAGTCAGTGACTGCACTTATCTTTGTTCTCCTGTACATAATGCGCATCTTTTATCTGGCTCATTTTAAAAATCTGCTCTTTAGTTTTGGTGGTCACCAATTAGCTATGATGTGCTTAGGTACTTTGTATTTCTCCTGATTGGTGTTTTCTCATTGTTTTAGATTTGTGAGTTTATGTCTTTTATCAATTTTAGACTATTCTCAGCAAATATCATATTAAATATTTATTCTTCTTCATTTTCTCTTCTTCTTGGGTCCCAATTATATGTATGTTGGGTCATTTGATATTGTCTCACAAAGAAAGGCATCATAACCTATTCTGGATTTTGTGGGTTTTTTTTTTTTTGGTCTTTTTATGTTTATTTTTTATTTGTCAATTTTTAATTTGTATTTCAGCTTGGATACTTTCTAATAACTTGTCCTGAAGTTCACTGATTATTTCCTCTGCTAAGTCACTCTATTACAAAATCCAATAAGGTACTTATTTCTGATATTATATTTCTCATGTGTAGCACTTCCACTCCATTCTCTTCCACAGCTTCCATATCTCTGGTGATATTCGGCATCTCTTCCTACATGCTGTACACTTTTTCCAAAATATTATTTAGCACACTTTTAGTTAAAGCCCCCATCAAATAATTTCAACATCTGGCCCATCTGTATGTCTAGTTATGAACTGTTCTATTCTTTATTGTAAGATATCAGAACAGCAGAGCTCAAAGTGCACACGATTTCCCTTCTTATGTCAGGCACTGGTTTCATGTCACTCAATAGACGTATTCTGCAGTTAAGCTGTGTCTGAGCTATTTGGCAAGTTAAGCTTGCTTCAGTTTACTACTAGGTTCAAATGTTTTGAAAGTGGGCTCAGGATTTTCCATTCTGCAGTGTGTGGGTTTCTGAGCACTAGCGAAATTCCCCAAAGTTTTTCATGTCACCCAAATCACCAGTTTTTCAAATCATGAGAGATCTCTCTCTGATTTAAAACTCAAATGATGGTTTGTACATTGTTGGAGAATCTTCTTTGCTCTCCAGTCCAGCCCAGGCTTTTGGATCCACATAGAGCTCCTGCTCTGTCTGGAATGCCCTGGAGGAGTTTCTTTCATCTTTTCTGCCCCACCCGTAGCTATTGTCAGTTGAAAGCCTGAGGTTTTTTTGGTTTTGTTTTGTTTTTGTTTTGTTTTGTTTTTGTTTTTGTTTTTTTTACCATTACAATAGACATTTATTTAAAGTAAAATATCTGCAGACCAAATAATTCTTAAAATTGTTTATTTCAAGTTTAACCATCTTCATTAACAGTTGCATCCACAGACTTCAACCATGTGATTACTTCTTTGCCCATTCTTCTCTTTCTTTTCTTTCCCAAATAACATCTTTCAGATACAGTTCAAGGCAGAAATTTTCCTCTTCATAGTTGGTCCACTGCTTTTGTTTTTTAAGAGAGGAGGATTCCCTCAGGTCTCTTGTTTATGCCCGGCTCTTGGGAACTAAAAATGGTGAGTGCCTTGGGTTGATTTATCACAGATCTCACGCTCTGCTTCTCTCCTCCTTCAGTAGGTGTTGCCTTGGTCTGGGAGAAGGTGCCTTGGACTTCAGGGGAATCTCCAGGTCTCTATCTGGTCTCCACCGCAGGCTCTGGTATACTGTATTAGTCAGGATTCTCCAGATGGATGGAACTAACAGGATATATGTACATATAAAAGGGGGAGTGTTTTTTTGTTTTGGTTTGGTTTTTTCTTTTGTTTTTTTTTTTTTTTGTTTGTTTGTTTGTTTTTATAGGGAGAATTGGCTCACACGATCACAAGGCAAAGTCCCACAACAGGCCGTCTGCAAGCTGGGGAAGAGAGAAGCTGGTAGTGGCTCAGTCCAAGTCCTAAAGCCTCAAAACCAGGAAAGCCAACAGTGCAGCCTTCAGTCTGTGCATGAGGGTCTGAGAGTCGTTGCCAAGCCACTAGTGCAAGTCCCAGAGTTCAAAGGCTGAAGAACCTGGAGTCTGATGTCCAAGGGCAGGAGGAGCAGAAGGAAGCATCCAGCACAGGAAAAAGAAGGAAACCAGAACATCCAGCAAGCCAGCCTATCCCACCTTCCTCCTCCTGCTTGGTTCCAGCCATGCTGGCAGCCAATGGGATGGTGCCCACCTACATGGAGGGAGGGTCTTCCTCTCCCAGTCCACTGACTCAAGACACACCCTCACAGACACACCCAGATACAATACTTTACCAGCCATCTAGGCATCCTTCAATCCAGTCAAACTGACACCTAACATTAACCATCACACATACTGTTCCTGAGCATTTGAGGAAAGCCTGTGGGGGAAGCATATTCTATTATTGAGGAGCCTCAGAATTCTAATCTGTCAGCCATATATGCCATTGCACCTTTACTAAAGTTCATCCTAATTCATCTTTATCCCCATCTATGGCAGATTTCTTTTTCTCTTGTGTTTACAAGAAGAATGAGAATCTCTTCCCTTCCCAGAAAAGGAAGAGATTTTATCTTAGGCCATTAGATGCTTCATGAGGACATTGGAATCAGCAGGCAGATTTAGAGAATCTACTCAGGGCTTTTTACAAGTCTGTATTTTCATTGAAGTTAAGGGCACTTAGCCTACCTGTGCCTCAGCTTTAGAAGCAGACATAATGATAATAATATCTGATTTTCAAGCATGTTCTAATGAAGACAGAGATAAAATATATCTGTCTTCTCTGCTATTTTCTAGAATTTAATCATGTATGGGTTCTTTTTTTTTAATCATCAGCTCTCTGATTAGAAAGACTATGATTTTGTTGCTTCTTACATCTTGCTTGGGTTATTTCATTAAAATAATAGTTTCTTGTTATTTTCTACATTCTAAACATAAGAGAAATCTTCCATCCTCTTACTTTCTATTGTCTATCACTGTGTCTTCCTGTGCTGTTTTCTGGGTATTTTCAGACAAATCATACATAAATTATCTCATCATTTGTAACTAATCTGCTTTTATCCTTGTTTCCTGGCTTTATACTTTGAAATATTTATGTTCGTGTGGTCTTGTTGTTAAAAGCTCCATTTTGCTCTTGTTCAAATTTGGTAAATTTTTGTAATCTCTTATTCTTTTGTCATACTTTTGCATTCCTCTCTTATTTCTTAAACATATTAAACACACATATTTTAGACATTCTAAATGTGGTAAATAAAATATACACAAATTTTGTAAGTCTGCCTCTAAGCACAGTTTGTTGTTCCTGGAAATTCTCTCATGATGTTTTATTTGTTCTTTTATTTCTCATCTGCTTAGGATTGTGTGGGTAGGAGTATGAATTCATGATCCTTGGAACTTCATGTGTGGGGATCTTTTAAGGACTGGAATCAAAATAACTTCCCTGTAGTGAAGATTTGCAACTGCCTTTGCAGGTCCTCGATGGTACTTCTAACCTGGGATCACTGAAAACACATTTTGGGGGAATTGAGCCCACTAGCAGTATATATTCCTGTCCCAAATTCATGAGTGCAGGCCTTTGGGTAGAAATTCTTCTGGGAGATATTGCTGTTTGTGTGTGCTTTTTTCTCTGATCCACCCACAGTTAGGTTAACAGTAGGTTAGCATCCCTATCTTCTTCCTCTTTGGGGGCTTTTTTTTTTTTTTGGCTTACCCCCAAGATATCTCCCTATGTGAGACTTGGCTTTTGGGGGTGGGGTTGTCGCTGATATGACATCCCCTAATTTTGGCCCCAGACTTTGTCTCCATTGCCCTTCTATGTGGCCTGTAACCTTCCATCTGCATCCCACCCGAGACTGTCTACATCCCACCCTGTTCAAATCTAGGGCAAATGGTTTCAGTGCTCCTTTCTCCTGGGGAGTTAAGCTTTCTTGTCCTTTCTCACTTTGAAGAGATTCCTTTATTTGCTGCTAGCTCAACTGTGCATTAAAAATATTTTAGTACATGCCTGTAATCCCAGCACTTTGGGAGGCCGAGGTGGGCAGATCACAAGGTCTGGAGTTCGAGACCAGCCTGGCCAATGTGGTGAAACCCCGTCTCTACTGAAAAATACAAAAATTAGCTAGGCATGGTGGCAGGCACCTGTAGTCCCAGCTACTCAGGAGACTGAGGCAGGGGAATCGCTTGAACCCGGGAAGCAGAGATTGCAGTGAGCTGAGATCGCACCACTGCACTCCAGCCTGGGTGACAGAGTGAGACTTCATCTCAAAATATAAAAGTTAAATATATATATATTTTAGTCAGCATCTTAATCATGCTATTAGTCTACAATTCTGCAGAAACCCCCTCTTTATTTTTGACTTCTACTGGGCTCTACTGACAATGAGTGGGCAGGTTTGTGGTTTCCAGGAGTACCCAGGGATTATGGATTTAAAGCACATTTCAGGCTTCATCTAAGAGAGGTGAAGATGTTTGCCCTTCTTAGACAAGGGAGCCAGGCAGTCCTCTGCAGGTCTACCTTGCAGAGCATCAACAGGGGAAGCCTGCTCCTTCCTCAGGACGCTGGTCCATTGCAACTGTAAAAATATTCTGTTTTAAAAATATTCTCTTAAAATGATTTTTATATTAGTCTTTATTTTGGTCACTGTAAATGTTGACCTGAATATGGATATGACTAAATTTAAAAGTAAATGTATCATTCCTGCAAACTGACTTCTACCCAAATTAAACTTCAAACTAGTCCTAATTATTTTCTCAAAATGCTTAGCAATTATTTCTAATTTTAAATGAATCAATAGGTAGAAATATATATATTACTATCTTTTTACATGACCACTAGAAATTGTGTGTGTTAACTGTTCTTTGAGGTTTTTGTGAGAAAACATTTTGGTTGACTAAGTCCATGCAAGTTTCAGAACTGAGAAGGGAAGTGTTTAATCAAATCTGGAATTATATAAAAAGGTTGTGAAATTATCTGGGGTAAAATCTATTGAATAAGGTGGATATAATCTTGAAATCCTTAATGTGTTTTGTTCTTTTTTCTTGCAGAAAAAGAAGAACCTCACATATGAATGCATACAATATGGCAGTGAGAAGGGGCAATGCACCCAGGAAAAAGGCAGGCTCCAGAGAACAGGCAGAGAGACCTAGTTTGCAACTTCTGTCTGCCACTCACCGGCTCTTGCAGCATGGCTCTTATGCCATAGGCTGTGCACGGTGAAATCTGCCTCGGGATGGCTGCTCTGAGCACTGTGCCTGGTGCCCAGGTCCCCAGGCAGCCGAAAACACACTGCTTTTGCTTTCCACGCACAAATGTGCCTCATGTGGTCAATTCCCGGGACCTGCTCTACAGGCCCAAGGTAACCAGCATCTTTCTTCTTCCAAGAGATGATGGAAATGACTATAAACCAAGTCTAATCTTTCTGCCACTTTTTGTCGTTTCTTTCCCCAGCTTAAGATGGTGAAAACACAGGGTCTGGGGGAGAGGAAACACATTTTATCTTAGGCCATTGGGTACTTCATGAGGATATTGGAATCAGCAGGCAGGTTTAGAGAATCTGCTTCGTGCTTTTCACAAGTCCACATTTTCATTGATGTTAAGGTCACTTAGCCTGCCTGTGCCTCAGCTTTAGAAGCAGATACAATGATAGTAATATCTGATTTTCAAGCATGTTCTAAGGAAGACAGAGATTGAGTATTCCTTGGTTTAAAAGAAAAACCAAGTTAGTTCTGAAAAACTCTTTATCAAGCAAAGATTTTTGTAATGCCTAATTAGTTAAAATTAGTGGCATGAAATTACTTCAATAATTAACAATATTGTAATATCTATGTTTAAACTTGAAAATTTCATGTAAATCCCTGCCCATTCCATCCCCATAAAACAAAATGAAAATCAAAGATAAAGGCAAAAGAAAGCGATCAAAATTACTTCATCTCAATAGTGAAAGACTGCTAATTCTATAAACTAACAAACCACCAGGACCTTGCCAGAATAACAAAATGCAGTGCGGTTTTGTTAATGCAAAGAAATGTCTTTTTTCTGTGTGTGTTTTGCTTGTTTGTTGTTTTTTTGAGACAGAGTCTTGCTGTGTTGCCCAGGCTGGAGTGCAGTGGCATAATCTTGGCTCACTGCAACCTCCACCTCCCAGGTTCAAGCAATTCTCCTGCCTCAGCCCCCTGAGTAGCTGAGGTTACAGGCATGCACCACCACGCCTGGCTACTTTTTCATATTTTTAGTAGAGACGGGTTTCACCATGTTGGTCAGGCTGGTCTCAAACTCCTGACCTCAGGTGATCCTGCCTCAGCCTCCCAAAGTGCTGGGATTACAGGCGTGAGCCACCGCACCCAGCCCAAGAAATGTCTTTTGAGCGGAAATGTCTTGTGAGGTCAAATTCTCATTATCTGAATGGACATTTCTTGGGGGCACTGTATTTTGTGTCGAAAAAAAGTTTTAAGCCCTACCAAAAATTTGGGGATGACTCTTATAAAAATATGATTTATGATACACTTGTCTTGTTTCATAATTGCTACACCAAGACAAAAGACAATTACCAGGGGTGCAAGGAGCCCCATGAAGCCATGAGAAACTATAGGTGCTCCCCTTTCCACCTCGATCTGAAAGACATGCAAGTATTCCTAACCCTTTTTAACAACAACAATTCCAGGCAAGTTATATTGCGATTATTTTTTAATAATCACTATCACAATAATACAGACATTCCTGTAGGCTAAATGCCTTTTAATAAAGGACTCTATCATCTTTCCCCAGAGACTTTTTTTTTTTTTTTTTTAACCAAAGGAAACGTAGTGGTCAGAAAACACAGGGCAACAGGCCAGGAAGGGCTTTCTCCTCACAGCTGCACACTTTCACTCGCACAACCAAGTCTTCCTGAGCAGGGGGTGCGCAGGGCTCTCCTTTCTGGAGGTCAGATTCGGGTTGTCCAAACATTTGCCAATGTGACTGTGGTTTTCCATTAAGATATAGTGAGTCTTGGATTATCTGCGAGTGGTCAGGGTGGGAGCAGGTTCCTTGGCAGGTGGGAGAGGTGCCCTGGGGCGGGCAGAGCGCTGGGCATGTGCAGTTTGGCCATCCCACAGGGTCAGTGACTCTGCAACCCTCCTTCAAAACACGGTGGGGCACAGCAGGATGCAAAGACACAGAGACAGATTACTTCATCGCAAACATGCTTTTGCCTCTGAACTCCAACTCCTGAAACATTCCAAGGTGTTATTTTCTTACAAAACTGTTGCAATATTCGAAAAGTATCTAATTTCTCAATGCTGTCTGTAAAGCTCTTTATTGGAAGTTCCCTCTCAAGCGCTTTAGAAGCGTTGCCGCCACTGGCTCATGCAGTCTTTGCTTCTGTGGAAACGGCCCCTTTGAAATATACATGAGGAACATGTTTGAAAAAAGATGGCATTGGGTGGATTTGAAATACGCCTTTTGTTTCTTTTCTTTCCTAAGCCTGTTCTTGGTCTGAAGAAGGAGAGCTTCCATATGAAAGAACCGTTTTGAGAGCCAGGGTTCATGATCAAAGCGCAGAGCTCTCCCTGCTGGGGAGGACAGGCGGCTGCAGGGCTCACGTGGGCACCAGAGCCGGGGAACTGAATCAACATTATTTCCCACTAAAAACACTTGTATGGGGTTAGTAATAACAGTAACCAAAAAATCAGCTTGGGAAGCCAGGCATAGCATGTTTTTTGTTTGTTTGTTTGTTTTAGTTTGAAGATTTCTGTCTCCCTGACTCCTTTCTCTTTGCTCACTCGGGCATATTGTGGAATTTAAATGAAAAGAATTGTCAGATGAAAGACAAAATGAACCTCAACCTGTGAATAATAATAATAAAAAAAACCCTTCACAATTGCATAGCTTTTTTCTTAAGTGCATTAAAAAATAGATACGTAGAGCTAAAGAAAGCCAGAAATAAGGAAAGTAAGCTTATAGTTCCTAGAATTATATTCACGTTACTTTAGTTTATCCAATGCCAGTGCTTCTATTTAGAAATTAACATGCTGCACTTCAAAACTGCGTCAAAATCCAGAAAACTTACTTTCTCATCTCGAAGCAAGTTTTACAAACACAAAGATGCATTTAAAACATTATTCCGGATGATTGCCAATGTGATAGGGGTTAAATTTCTGTCTCTTAAAAAATACGAAATAGAAAAGGTCAGGAGAGAGTGCTTTAAAAATTCTATTTTCTGCTCCACTGCAGACTTAACAAACAGATTTTCAACATGCAAATAAAGGATGGCCCTCCGTTACAGAAATTCAGAACAAAAGTTGTTGGAACCCTCGGCTTCGACTGCAAGTCACAATTTCCCTCCTTCCATGAAGGTGCAGCAACCACAATGCAGATGGCTCTCCTGGACAACGGAATATGTTTCCCGTTTCTCAAGCAGGAAGAATAAGTATGTAATTGGCATTCTGGAGAATGACCTGCAAGAGAAGCTCATTGTTTCATAAAGCACTTTCGCATTTTAAGGTAGGCACAGGGTCCTGTTTGGTTTTCTCCTCCTTGGCGAACACATGTCTCCTGGAACACAGCGACACAGCTCTAAAGAGCATCGCTGCTGCCAGGGCATTGTGAGCTCAATTCTGCATTTACAGATGTGTTTCCACACTAACAAGGCCCTGGATTAAGTAAACATCCTACAATTTGTAGGTTCTTCCGCCTTGTAGACCATTTCCCCTTCTTCCCGGGACACGAGGGGTGATTTGAAAGAGAAGCTTATGAACAGCTTCTGAGTGACTAATGGGAGCGTCCTGGAATGGCTGGGGTGGCTCAGGATCACCTGTTCGATAGGCTCAGGACCCTGGAGCTTTCCCCATACACCTTTTTTATGTCTGAGGCAGCTGTAGGGCTGACAGAGAACCTCATTTAGCAGAAGACATTCCTGTAGGCTAAATGCCTTTTAATAAAGGACTCTATCATCTTTCTCCAGAGACTTTTTTTTTTTTTTTAACCAAAGGAAACGTAGTGGTCAGAAAATACAGGGCAACAGGCCAGGAAGGGCTTTCTCCTCACAGCTGCACACTTTCACTCGCACAGCCAAGTCTTCCTGAGCAGGGGGTGCGCGGGGCTCTCCTTTCTGGAGGTCAGATTCGGGTTGTCCAAACATTTGCCAATGTGACTGTGGTTTTCCATTAAGATATAGTGAGTCTTGGATTATCTGCGAGTGGTCAGGGTGGGAGCAGGTTCCTTGGCAGGTGGGAGAGGTGCCCTGGGGCGGGCAGAGCGCTGGGCATGTGCAGTTTGGCCATCCCACAGGGTCAGTGACTCTGCAACCCTCTTTCAAAACACGGTGGGGCACAGCAGGATGCAAAGACACCGAGACAGGTTACCTCATCGCAAACATGCTTTTGCCTCTGAAGTCCAACTCCTGAAACATTTCAAGGTGTTATTTTCTTACAAAACTGTTGCAATATTCTAAATGTGACTATTATTCAAAAATCAAAATGTTTACTTTATTTGAGGTTTTGCTACATTTTTACCAAGGATAGTTTTAAGAATCTCGCTGGTGTTGGCTTGGACTCGGGGATCCCGGCACACACGTCCAGCAAGTGTGGGGTTCCAGCACAGCCGCCGTGGAGGATCTGGGGCACAGGGGCCTCAGGCCTGACAGCGCCCGGTCCCTGGCGGCGAGCCAGGAGGCGCACCCCTAGAGGAAGCTCCTGCATCCCAAATCCTAAGCCCCGCGCCAGCGAGCCTTCCCGCAGCCTGCCCAGCAGCTTCGCTTCCAAGGGTCACGAGCTTCCCCAAGTAACCCGAAGCCCACGGAGGCCTCGACCCTTCCACCCCAGGGGACAACTTCCCCAGTGGAAGCGCACGCACAGGGCCGGAGTATGCACTGGCAGGAATAAGTAGCTGAAGAGGGCAGAAGGAGGCACCTCAAGTTTTATCCACCTCTGCGACGACTGTAAGTGACCAACGCGCAGGGAGTGCAGCACGGCGAGGTCACTGTTAGGCACCTGCCGGCAGGCCTGCGGGGCGGGGTTGCAGAGTCGGAGGCGGGGCTGTGGGTTCGGAGGTGGGGCTGCGGGGGCGGGGCTGCAGAGACTGGGCTGCAGAGATGGCGCTGCGGAGGCTGGGCCTGCGCTGCGGGTTCGCAGCTTCGGGTACCAGGATTGCAGGGGCGGGGCTGCGGGGGCGGAGCTGCGGGGGCGGGGCCGCTGGGCCTCAGGGCCTCAGGCTACGGGCGGGGCCGCCAGGGCGGGGCTACGAAGGCGGTGTCCTCAGCCCTGAGACCTCCATCTGCCCGGGCATCTCTGCGAGGGCAGCCAAAGACCCGCCAGTCAGTGCAGCCCCGGGAGAACAGGGCCTGGGCGACAGGGAGAGGGCATTCCAGTGCCGACCCGTTTCAATGTTTAATTTGCTATATGCATACAATAATACACAGGCAAGAGGAGGCTATTCAAGAATAGTATATATTGCATTACAAGTGAAACTATTAAAATGGATATAGTATAACAATAATTAATACAGAGAAACAATACCTAGGAGGGTCCGTTTATGGCTGTGGAAGGTCTGGTAGTTGAGGGTTTACATTCTCAGCTCCTCGCCTTCCCTTTTGAGTTTTTCAGTTGTGTACTCGTAATTTAGGGTGAGGTTATCTCAGAGCAGCAATTGATGACTGTTAAGGAAAAAGTAATATTCTTAAAGACTATGGGAAAAATTAAAAACAAAACCAGCTAGGGACTGGATTCAGTTCAAGGTGGTGGAAGGCAGTGAACAGCTTACCTTCTCCTCTTTCCAAATTTCCATGGAAATGGATCAAGGGATGGGACGGTGGGGAAAGCCATCTAGAGACCAGAGCTGTGACCCTCTGAAGACAGAAAGCAGCTGAGAAGGCAGAGGCCGCTCAGGCAGGGGGAGGGTGAGCAGACCTCGGGTGCAGAACAGAGCAGGCCGCAATGCTCAGAGAACTTACTGGGCAGTGTCTACCCAACTGCTGGGGGCATCCATGTCACCGGGAGGCACCCCCGGAGTTTCAAACTCAAGGGTTTTGGGTGAAGCTCTAGAATCTCCAGTCCTAAGAAGCCAGGTGTGATTTAGGCTCCCCACTGCCGACAGGCCCCGCGAAAGGTGCAGTTAAGAGAATGGCTGATGAGAGCTGGGCTCCAGGGTGAACGCTGGCACCTTGACACCCTGATGAGACACATCTTGTGTGCTTTGGAAGACAAGGTGGCCTGAGCCAAGGCATTCCAAGGTACTAACGTCCTTCACAAAAACACAAAGTTCTTCATGAAAGCAAGCAAAAGCATTCATTTTCATAGAAAACTGAATTATATCATTTTTATGGCTCTTCACTCACACTTCTGTTTTTGCCTCTGTCATCAGAACCTATTTCGTTGTGCAAAACAAACTGACTACAATACAGTGAGGGCGCTTTAATTCCTCAAAATTCCCCTTGGAGGGGCAAGAAAATGAACTTCTTGTTTCACAATTATGCACTCTGAATTTCCTTGAGAAAGCGTCAGGTAGATGGAAGCAAGCAAGAGAGGAAAGCATTTACAAGTTTATAGATCTGACTTTTTCAACTTTCTCCTAAATTTTTAAAACACCCCTCATTGAAACATTGTTGCATCCTAAGTCTTAATGAGGGCGGTTGATTAGATTTCCAGGTGTGAGCTCTATTCGCACTATAAATTCTTTGTAATATGGTTCTACACAAGATAATGCGTCAGGGATGCTTGAAAAAAGTAATGTTCAATGTGGGCAGGATGACTTAATTGACTAGTTTCTTTGCCTGCCAGTTCATCAGAGGAGAGTGACACAACCTGCCATTCACTTCACTGCCACTACCAATTACTCACCTGGTCACTTGCTTGTCTTTCTCCTTCCTTCCTTCCCTTCCTTCCTTCCTTCCTTCCTTCCTTCCTTCCCTCCCTCCCTCCCTCCCTCCCTCCTTCCTTCCTTCCTTCCTTCCTTCCTTCCTTCCTTCCTTCCCTCCCTCCTTCCTTCTCTTTCCTTTCTCTTTTTTTCTTTCTCTTTTTCTTTCCTCTTTCCTTCCTTTCTTTTTCTCTTTCTCTTTCTTTTCTTCTTTCTCCCTTCCTTCCCTTTCTTCTTGTTGTTTTTTGATCAAAGGACTTAAGTATTTGCTTTTTTCTTTTTTGAAATGTGCTCTTAAACACGAACTTTACATGTTATTCTATCCACACATTTTCCCCATTTACTTATTAATAATGGCCCTAGGAAGTGCAAGGAACACCCCAAACGTGAATGGAAATGCTTCCCTGATAGAAAGGCTCTCAGAGCGCCAAATTCTGCACCCAGACGACCTCTCCAGTTAAGGTTCCCTGTCTCTTCCGGATGGTTTGTTCATGGGTGAGTCTACAGTGCCCTCTAATGGCTACAGTGCAGTTCTTTCCAAGTCCAGGTATGAATTTATTTCTATTTCATGTTCCTTAAATATTGAACTTGCTGAATTACACTGCCACATCCTATTTTAAAAAACAAACAATGTAACAGAGTACTTTCTCTGTGAAAAATGACACTCCGAAGTGTGTAATCATCTTGCTGTCCGTCCACACTCTGTTGACCATTTTCACCCTCTTCACTGCTGCCCTGGCTTCCCACGCAAATACCATCATGTGCAGACGCTCCGAGAATCTCTGCCTTTGCCCAGCGCAGCCTGATTCAGTGTCTCCTGCTTACCTCTGCACTGAAAGGCTTATCAAGCTGCAGGGGAACCAGCTTGAGCCGCCAAGCACCAGTTGAAAGCCTCATCTAACTCCAGGCTGAAAAGTGTTCATTTTTGTGTTTACAGTTTTAGTCTTTTTTTTTGGTTCAAGTAATAAAACGTTAAAATAATGTTCTGTTTCGGTACTAGAAATTAATAACAGCTTAAAACCTTTCCACTCTCTGGGGATAACACAGTACAGTGGGCAACTTCAAGCCTATTATTTGTCGTCATCAGTTCATATGGAGTGGATGCTGCCAAGTAAACTCAAGGAACAAGTATGGCAAGCAAAAGTCAGCACGGGTGCTAATAAACGACAGTGCCCCTCCTCTCCATTAATTAAAAACACATACGACTGCTGAGGTTTAACATGTTTGAACCACCTGACAAATCCACTCACTAAGCACAATTTCCACAAACTCAGTGGACCACGCCCTGCTCTTCTCTCTTCCTTACTTCCCACTCCCTGTGCCACCCATTCCAAGCCCATCAGTATGTGGGAGATGCTCACCAAGGTCACTCACCTCACCTGACCTTGCAGCTTCCAGCCACATCGGTAGCCAAGTGCCTGGACAATACATGACTGACAAGTTTCCTCCCAAAACACCTCCTGCCCCGTCTTTCATCTTCTCCCTCTCCCATGGCACTTCAAATTATAGGAGGGACTGGGGGGAAGTTATTTTTCTCCCTAGGTGAACGCAGAAATACACACACAGAGCTTTAAGTAGTCTCCATATGCTATCAACTTCCAAAGCTCTGTCACATCCCTTCTATATAGTTTTTCCTGTAAAGGTTCCCTGCCACCTCTCCTTGGAGGTCTTATGGTTCCCATGTCCCAAATGGAAAGCTCGAGTCGTGATTCCTACCACCTGTAATTCCTAAACCTGTGTGCATCTATCCCCAACTCCAGGTGCTCAACTCAGTAACCTGGACGTCTTCCCTGATTCTTCCCCGGAACTTCATGAACACAGCATCAATTCTACCCCAATAGATGTGAAGTCCATCTGCCCTTTGTCATCTGCACCCTCACAACCGTCAGCTCCCAGCTCCACCTGTTGCAGTCGCCTCCTAACAGGTCTCTCCACTTCACCTCTTGCCCTTCTCACATCCCTTTTCATCAGAACAGCTCCAGTGAACTATCGCACGTGACACCTCCACTCAATCTCCCTGGAGCCTCAGATGCCACTCAGCATGAAAGTGCTCCCAGCTGTCTTGAGTGACTGGCAGTTATCTAACCTGATCCCATGGACACGTGACAGGTGTTTTGGCTCCAGCAGACTCCTTCTGGCACTCATGGGATTGTTGCCTTGCAGGGCTGCCCCAGCAGGGACATTCCTCCTGCCTGCTTTCAAGTCTGGGTCCCTCCATCCAGGTCCTTGTAATGTTACCTCCTCAGAGAGATCCTCTTCGACCACGATGTGGAAAGAGGCATCTACCCTGCTACTCTATACGCAAAGCTCCAGGTTTTCTTTGTTGCTATTTCCCCAATTTATGATTGTTGTATATACTGGGTGACCACTCGTTTAGGATTTTCCTCTACCCAAATGCCATGTGACTAGCTCCTCCCAGCAAGGCACCTGGCAGAGTATGTTCAACATATTGGTAGTAAGAATGACTATCAACACAAAGCTTCCGAAAGGACAACCAAGTGATTTAAAAATTTCAGTTCTGCCTGTTATAATTACTTAAGGAAGGAGTAACAAAATTGCTGCCAAATGCAATTGTTAAAGGGCAGCAGCTGTAATTAAACAAAAAATCCAATCATGAGGGCCTGTAAACACTTAATTATCTGGCATCTGGTATCACTAAAGAGCATCTCCGTAAATACTCAAAGCTGGGTAAGTACTGGCAATGCAATGTTTCTATCACCAGAAGGCAGGTCTCTTTAGGAATGACCATTTTCTTCTATCTTTGGTTAGATGTCTTCTTCACCCTTGGTAGAGCAGAAGTAACACCCAGTTTCACTCTAATAATCAGAACAGTAATATCCATGGCTTACTTTTATTTTTTATTATAAAAACACATACAAGAGTTTTAAGAAATAACGAATATAAGACAAATCAAAACCATGGTGAGTTATTAAACCCATTTTCTATATACAAATACTAAAATTCCCAAAGTGGAATATCATCCAATGTGAGACACATCATAGCACGGTCCATATGTACACGGCACACAGAGCTCTGCCTGCGCTCATCTGTGAATTGCTCATTACATGTCACTGATAAAAAAATCTGCAAGGGAACTTCTACTCTTCAGTTCTCCTCTTCCTGATGCATTGTCACATATTTTTAAGGAACTTTAGGGATATGAAGAAAATGCATTAAAGTGGGTTTCTGCTAAGGGCTCTGCATGTTTTGCTCTGATCAATTACGCACTACATCTTGAGAAAAACTTTTGCAACTCATTTCCAGCAAAGATAGCAGAAAACTCTAGGTTTTTGCCAATTTATTTTTTCCTAGTCACTCATTGGAACACAAGTCCAACAACAACAGCTCAGGAACCAAATCATGTTTTTATATTGGTAAGTTCATTATAAAATGCCACTCAATTTTAAGAAGCCACTAAAAGGACACTTTCTGCAGCAAAAAAAGGGCTAAGTTCAAGTTTTTGTTGTTTGACAAAGACACAATAATATAACCCATATGTCACAGATCACAACAGCCTTAAGTGAAACGTATTAGATTTAGGGAAAAACGACTATGCGACTGCTTGTTTCTCCTGTCTCCTTGCCAAACAATAAGGAGAGCCTCTGGTCTGTTTTATCTATTTTATGTCTTTTTGTTTTGAAACCTCCCTTTGTATTCTGAAAGCTGATCAAACTATTTGTGTTCAAAATGTGTCAAGGCACTTCTCAAGCCTCAGTGGCATCCCAGGTCAGCCAAGCTCCTCTGTGCTCAGGGCACTGACTTCCTCTAGGCAGCTGACAATCGCAGACGGAACGCTTTTGGAGGCCTCTCTCCGCCAAGCTTCCAGGATCTTGGAAATTTCTGCTGGATTGCTGGGACTCAAGTCACAAAGAGCATACACGGCTGCTAACTGTATACCCCATGGTATATCTGAAAAGAAATTTCAGATCAGTCATAAAACAAGAAAATATCTGTTATTCAAAATTTTAGTGATGTAACCTACTGGAATACTATTCAAATACAGAATGCTTTCTGCCAGCAATGAAAATTAAATATAAAAAAACCCACAGTAAAAAAATTCATTTAAGACCTGTCCACAAATAAAAAAGAAGAAAAGCCAGACAGTAGCTGTCTGTAGTTTCCTGGCCCCAGCAGTGTTCTGAGGACTGTTTGTGTGTTTTTAAAAAGGAGAGGGCCTCCAAGATCCCAGTCACCCACGGCCACGACTGAGCTTCCCAAAACAGTTCTGGAAGGATCACACTCCCATATTTAAGTTTTAATAAAACGTGATCCTAAAACCTTCATTAAACATATGACTCTATGAGATATCCACGGGAAGCATTTATAAATGGACTTTGGAAATGAGAAAACATAATAAGAGATATAATGAAAAACTTTTTGTAGCGTACCATACTTTCAAAAACTACAGTGTATGATTCTGGATTACAGCTAAGTTATACATTACAGTGTATTATCACAGTTCTCTTTTAAGGTAAGTTTATTTCAGAGTTATGAAAATTTCATTTACTTAGATAATTTAGGTTAAACAATTTAGGAGTTAAAGTTGGAGGTTGCACTGTATTCCTACTCCAAAAATCTGAAATCCAAAATGCTCCGAAGCTGAAACTTCTGGAGCATCAACATGACCCACAAAGGAAATACTCACTGGAGCATTCTGATTTTCTGATTAGGGATGCTCTCAACTCATAAATATAAAGGAAACACTCCAAAATCCAAGAAAATCTGAAGTCTAAAACACTTCTGGTCCCAAGCATTTCAAATAAAATATACTCAATGTGTACCTCAGTTTTCTCCAACAAGGTAAACTAGCACTATTTCAAATAATACAAAAGCCCACACATTCAAACATGAATGCTGACAAGCAGGCACAACTGCAGCTCTTAATATTACTCCCCCCCATAAACCACAAGCAATGAGAAAGCACAGAGCACGGGGCACACAGTAAGGCCATGACTCAAACAAATAAAAAAGTGTAACAGTAAGAGAAACACAAGAGGTTAAAAATAATTTTAATAAATAACAGCATGTGGCACTATTTAAAGAGCTAGCTCTGGAGAGGGACAGACCTGGGCAAACAGCAGGGATGGCACTTCCTAGCCTCACCTTCAGCAAATCACTCTTCTCTCTGAGCTTTGGTTTCCTCCTGTATACAAGAAGGACAATGCCATCCACTCAGATGGCTGTCTTGGGGATCCCGTTAGGCTGTGGGGCAGTGCCATGCACAAGGTCTAATCTATAGCAGGCCCCAACATCAGCTCCTCCTTCTCCCTCATGGGGACGAGGATTACCACAGCTTCTAGGTTACACCCACTGTAGTATCAGAGTAAACTGCATCTGCTGGCAAAACAACTCATTAGCCATTATTCTGGCTACTTTCTTTTATGTCAATATACAACCTCAATTGTAAAAAAGTACACTGTAATATGGAAGAAATGTGTACCACTTCAGCAGCTATCCTAAAGTTAAAGAAGGTATTTCAGATAAAGCAGCTTAAATGAGAAACACTGTTCTCATTAAGCTAAATATACAGTCTCCCACTGAAAGCTGAAGACAACCTACCATGTTAAGATCATCTTGGGTGTTATACAGTATTTAAAATGTAACTCTGTGCATTTCTGATGGCATGTTGCTTAACTGTATTATTCCTTGATTATACAATATTCAAAATAAAAACTAGATTCATCCCTTATAAGAGTTACTTTGAGTTAAGCTTCTCCCACAAGAGATAAAATTACATGCTATGCAATACGTAAATGATAATAGAAATCCCCACTACGAAGCCTTGCTCACAAGGTCTCCAGGTTTCCAAGCTCTCCCCCCTTGATGCTAAGTACTCTGTGATACCTGGCATCTCACTGTACATCACGGATTTCATTCCGTCAAGACACAGCTCCACCCAGGAGGCCTCGCAGAGAGCCCAGGTTAAGTCACTTGTCAGGGATCACACAGTACAGAGTTTTAGAGGCAGAATGTTAGCCGCAGGAAGAGAAGAGACTTTCTTCTTCCTTAGGAAAGCAGTGCCCAACAAGGCAAACGACTTTTATTTAAGTAATCAAATACCACCACAAAATCCACACACACATTCCAATATTAATGCTGGAATGTTTTGCAAATATTCCCTAATCTATGAGGCAGCAAGCAAAGCACAGAGCACAGCACACAGCAAGGACCCCAAAAAAGGTTTAACTATGAGAAACACAAGTTACTTAAAAGTAATTTTAATAGATGTAAGTTTTACCTTCATCGTGAGCATGCTGTATAAACATACCAATAACCGAACTAATATTTTTCACAGCAGATGGAAATCCTTCTTTCAAACCCAATTGGCCTAAACGACCTAGGGGAAACAAACCAAAATGTAAACAGTCCAGTTAAATGTTGATTAACTTTTCCTAAGAATTTAAAGGTCCACTTCTCTTACAAGAGGTGATCAAAATGCCTCATCATTTCGTCTTGCAATCACCTATACCAGATGATATACAATGTGTTGCTTTCCAAGTTACAATGGAATAAATAGAATTTAGAAGAAAGAATGGTTTCAGTAGGGCCAATGTGAAACGCCTGACTTCTGTTAAGTTAACAGATCAAAGATAAGACTATGGTCCCACCAAAATATGTATTTTTGGTCTGACACTTTGGCAACTGCTATTATACCACAGAGCAGTAATTCTCAAGTGTAGTCTACAGAAACCTTAGTGTCCTCTAAGTCAAACTACTTCACAACAATGCTAAGAAGTTAAGTGCCTTCCTCCCAGTGCTGACATGTGGTCTGATGGTGCAAAAGCCACAGCAGATCAAACTACCGGACTGTGAGTGCAAGTCAAGACAGTGGCACCTCGCTAAATGGGAGTTATTCTCCACTGCCAGGTGCTCACACTCAAAAAGCCAATTTTACTTAGTCACAATTACTCTCACTAAACCTGGACCCCTAAGCACAGAACTCTGTAACATGCTGTAGACGGCACAGGAAGCACTCCCCCATACACTGAGTACACTGGTTGTTGTGAAGAAATGCACTTATCCAATTGTTTGTCTTGTGAGTGAAATTAGGCGCTTTTTTCTCATAGGACACCACCTTTGATTGAAAGAACTGACAAACTATGGCTAACTGGAACAACGCAGATTTTTTTCAACAATAAACAAAGTGAACCTGTAACTTAAATGAACTTTATCCTCGTGGTCAATAACATCTGAGCTTTTAAGCAAAATTAAAAGTTTGGAACAATTTTCATCAGCTATCCTGAGCTTGACAGCTTTACAATATTTAAGACTTTTCTGTGATGAGATTGGTGATATTAAATGTGATTTTTGGGTATTGTTGGCATTTCGAAGATCTATGTCAATCAATTATTTTCCAAGTGAATAATGCAGGTTACAAAATCATAAGTGGGCAAAAGGATCCCTTCAACATTTAAGCTAGCTCAATGGATTTTAGTGTAACAAGGTATAAAAAGCTCACTGACAGCATTTCAGATTTCACACTTCAAGTACCCTTTAAGAAATTACTACTTGTTGAGTTTTATTGTAGCATCAAAAAAGAATATCCGTATTTGAAAAGGCTAGTAAAAGATTCTGCCCTCCATTAACTGTGTATTTGTATGAGAATGGGTTTTCTTCATATATTCAGTCTTACGGATATGAAAAACACACGAGAATGAATGCAGAACAGATAATGAAAAATCAGCCATCTGATATCAAACCAGACAGTACAAAGGTCTGCAACAAGGCAATGCGATTCTCATTATTTTTTGTTTGTTTTGGAAATATAGTTATCTTTCATTAAAAACGTCATTTATGGGTTCATTACTGTTCATTTTAAATGAATAACTAAATAAACAATTTCTGAGTTTTTAATTACTAACAAAGTAAATACAGATAGATGTAACCTGGAGTAACAAAAGTTCTTTGAGGGTTCTCAATAATAACTAACAGGTATGAGAACCAAAGATCCAAGGATGGAGATCACAGGGCAACCAAATTCCCCAAAGGCTAAAGCAAGCAGGATGGCATCATTCCCCCCATTCCCCTACACTCGCAGCCTTCCCTTACTCCAGGAGCTCTCCTATGGATGAGAACTTGCTTCAAAGTGGAATCCTGTTCCCTCCATCCAGGCAAATCCTCATCTTCTTTTGACTCCTAAGTAGGAGAATTGCGAACATATCTTGGATGTGCTTTTACAACAGTATCATATTGTATGCTCAGCGTTCTGTGTTCACATTCTCTCTCAATACTACAAGTGTCCCACAGGTCTATATGTGGATCCAGCATATGAGTTTCATCTCTATTTTAAATGTGGAGAAGCTGAGGCATGGGACGCTTAAGTAATTTGCATTACTTTGTATCCTCTACAGGAACTAGCTTAGTGCTAGGTACGTGCAGCCTGAATATTGAGATACACAGCAGATGCTCAGTACATAATTACTGATCAAAGAATATCAGGATAACTCCCAATGTAAGATGATATTGTAAATATCTGAATAATTTCTAGGGAGCCTAGGAAACTGAAAAGTAATTTACTTCAGAAATCAGAAATTTCAGGTCACTGACCACTTTCAAATATCTCTTTGCAATCAGATTAAACTGCTACCAGCATACCACTGGATCTGTCCTCTGGAACAATCTACCACGGATATTAACTGTATGACTAACAGCAGAGAAAGGGATGCACATCTAGCACAGCTATGGTATTACTCAATCATGGGATGTGCATGCGTTCCCAGGAAATATATCATCATGTTATAAGGGCTCCCTTTCAATTAAAAGCACTTAATGAAATTCAGTTTTATAAGTGATTTAAATTAATGGAGCTAAGGAGTAAAATAAGAGGAAATCATGAGTCTAGTAGATGATTTGGGGAAAAAGACTCAATATACGATGACCTGACAGAGATGACAGATTGGCCATGATGGAGGAAGAGCTCCCCACAGAAGGTATGTGAGGACACTCCAGGGCCATCCAGCCGTATTAGAATACAAATAAGAAATGAGGAGCTAATCTCAACGTCCATGACAATGCAATCCCCAGCACTGTCAAGGGAGCCCCAGCAGAGCTGAGGCCTGCACAGAAAGTAAGTCTACAGGCAGACCCTTCTAATAAACACTAATTAGAAGATAAAGACAGCAGGGTTTTCATTTAAGATTCTGGATGCAAGTTTGCAAAGGAAAGGTGAGCTGACACAATTTCAAAGGAAAGCTGACAGATTTGCCAAGAGAACAGATAGAAATCACTGAATAATGGCTACTTCGGTCTGACCTGCAGAAACCTGACATGTGACACAGTGTTTTTCTAGCTCTAGGTTCCAGTTAATACAAGGAGGGGCAAATTATTCAGGATTTTATAAGCTCTTTGGGGCAGAAAGGTGGTATTCTACAGATTTACACTCCACTGAATCCAGTGGTAGGCAAATTTCTGTCCCAACTTTGCTACCTTTCCACTGGATGGCCTCAGAGAAGGGCTTAATCTTTCTAGGCTTCAGCTCTGCCAAGAACTGAGCACTGCAGTGAGATCAGTTTCTATTCTCCACCACATTTCTGTGACTCTAGAGCAATTCAAGCATTCCACAAAATGCTCTTTAATAGTTAATCATTAAGGTAGGTTGGAGTAAACCCCGTGTACTAATCCTGTGACCATTTGCTGTTAGCAATGCTCACACCTGAATCCAACATTAGATAACGCAAGTCTCACTGACCTAAAGCTTGTTTTACTGTCCACGGAGTAAAAATCTCAATAGGATGTGCAAATTTTGAATTAAGAATAGACAGTGGCCGGGCATGGTGGCTCACACCTGTAATCCCAGCACTTTGGGAGGCCAAGGCAGGAGGATCACCTGAGGCCGGGAGTTTGAGACCAGCCTGACCAACATGGAGAAACTCTGTCTCTACTAAAAAAAACAACAAAAAATTAGCCGAGCATGGTGGCGCATGCCTGTAATCCCAGCTACTCGGGAGGCTGAGACAGGAGAATCGCTTGAACCTGGGAGGTGGAGGTTGCAGTGAGCTGAGATCACGCCATTGCACTCCAGCTTGGGCAACAAGAGCGAAACTCCGTCTCAAAAAAAACAAAAAAAGAATAAAGACAATTCCTTTATTTTATGAAGATTAGTGTGTGACTTAAGTTATTATTATTAAATCACAGCCTACCAACTTGATTTTTTACTCAATTTTTCAGTCAAGGTCAGATTCAGAAATGGCAAGAAAGTTCACTAACAGTTTCTCCTTAGTAACAATTCAAACTCTCATCCAGATGAGTGTGTGTGTGTGTGTGTGTGTGTGTGTGTGTGTGTTGGGGGGTGGGGGTGTTAATGTCACCTCTGAGAAATCTGCCAGGCCTAAACAGCAGGCTTCACTCACTTTCACCCTTTGCCCTCAGCCCACACTACTGTCCTTGTCACCCAGCAACTGCCTCGCTCTGAGTCCCATCTCCTGCGTATAGTGCCACGGCACGAAAAGGACAGGCAGGACCAGGCTCTGCTGCTCCTCTCCTGTGCTGGTGCACCTGTGCACACGTGGCAGCCCACTAGGCTGTGCTCCAGCCTCCCCACACCCATCTTGCTCATGCACACGACTTCATCAGCAGACCTGAGAAGGGCTTATTCTTCCTGACTTTGCTCCTACTTTGACATTACGCTTTCTAATTATCCATCCTCTGAACTGCTTTTATATGTTTATAAGCATTTTAGTACATGGTATTGTCAATTATATATTATGTTAATTACACATTATTCTTATTCTCTATAACATATAATTGTATTGTATATCAGTCTTAATTGTATAAGTATGCATATATTACTCTAAATAATACATATTATTAAATAGTCATAAATTATTTGGCTCTCAACAGCCAGAATTTTAGATTCAAAGAATAAACTAGACTTGATTTGAACAAAATTACAAGCCATATTTTATCCCTACAATTACACATCCTTCTTTTTAAATAAACTATTAACATATTCTTAATTCACATATTTTAAGGTACATATTTGAAAGTATATAATCTTAAATAGTTTTCTTTAAAAGAGTTTTGTGACATCTAAATGAAAGGTAAAGTACAGTCACAGGTCGCTTAGTCAGGAGACCACATTTTAAGAAATTCATCTTTGAGGAGATTCTGTCCTTGGACAAACATCATCCTAGAGTACACTTGCACAAACATGGATGCAGTAGCCACTACACACCTAGGCTATATGGGGTAGCCTACTGATAGGCTACAAATCTGTACAGCATGTTCCTGTACCGAATACTGGAGGCAACTATAACACTTGAGTAAGCATTTGTGTATCTAAACATAGAAAGGGTACAGGAAAACAAGGTATTATCATCTTCTGAGATCACCTTCTGGTATGTGCTCCACTGCTGATGAAAACATTGTTATGTGGTGAATGACCGTGTATACTATTTTATTTATGGCAATCATTCTTTTCCGAACCCATTATTTCATTAGCATGCCTATAGAGCTTTGCAGACACTACTCTAACACTATCAGAACCTTGGAAGATGGAACCTGAGAATCTATGTTTTTTAAGAAGCTTCTCTGGCAATTTGGATGGCCAGCCAAATTTGGTAATCCCAGAAGATAAACACTAGTTAGAAGAGACACTGGAGAAGACACCAAGATAAATCACAGGTACAGCTGACCCTCCTCTATAAACGCAAAGAGGCTGCTTCCGCTGTCGTATAAGGCTGCTGACCACAAAAAACAGTCTTCACTCTTATTTCCTCTCCAGATTAACCAATACAGAAACACAACCAGTAAAACAAGAACAAAAAAATCACCATATTTTAAAGTGTGACTTAAAAAAATACCATATTGTTTTGAAAATTCCACAGATTATCTAGGATAACATATTTATTTACACCTTAAAACATCTCTTCTAATTTTTTTTAACTCTCAAAAAAGATTTCACAATTTAGAATGAGTCAAAAGCATGAGCATTTTTTCCTGAATTCATAAGAGAAGCTGCTACTGAAATCAGCATTTCCAGATATATAGATGTCACCTAACTATGGGGAATGCCATCACTGACCCTCCTGTGTTCCCTAGCGCTCCACAGCTAGAATGAAAATTGTTCTTGAGGGTATCTTGAACTAAGGAATTCAGCAAAACAGTTTTGAACCTGTACACCACATGGCATAGTTTCATTTCCACTTCTGTGCCTCTGCTTATCTTCTGATGTATCTCTACCAAATTCATAGTCTTTGGCAATCATTTGGTTCTCCTACACTCTTGTTTGGTAACTTATCTCCAAGTGTATTATTGGTTATTTCCAGTGAAATTTGGTGTCTACTTTGTAACCAGGTTTTTGTCTAGAACCATTTTATTTACTTAGGGCAATGTTGCTATATTTGCATGCAAAGTACACACAGAGGAGGAATGCAAATTTGCCGATACAGTAACAAAATTCACAGGGTATTTCCTACTGTGATCTATTTTTAGACTGACTTATATAACCGATTCTCAAACACTAACCTTATTTCAAATGATGCTATCTGTGAGTTTTCATTAAGAAAAATCCGGCTGGGCGCGGTGGCTCCACCTGTAATCCCAGCACTTTGGGAGGCCGAGGTGGGTGGATCACGAGGTCAGGAGATCGAGACCATCCTGGCTAACATGATGAAACCCCGTCTCTACTAAAAATACAAAAATTAGCCGGGCGTGGTGGCGGGCGCCTGTAGTCCCAGCTACTAGGGAAGCTGAGGCAGGAGAATGGCGCAAACCCGGGAGGCGGAGCTTGCAGTGAGCCGAGATGGTGCCACTGCACTCCAGCCTGGGCAACAGAGCCAGACTCCATCTCAAAAAAAAAAAAAAAAAAGAAAAAGAAAAATCCAAAGATACTTAAAAGTCATAATTATCTTCAAAGTATCTAAGGGCTATAATGCAGAAATTGGATGAAGCTTGTTTTATATTCCCCAGGGGCAAAGAATACATGCTGCAGATAGAGAAGTCAGGTCAAAACTAAGAGAGCTTTCTTTTTTCAGTTGTGGAATACACATGCAGAACGTACAGGTTTGTTACATAGGTATACATGTGCCATGATGGTTTGCTGCACCTATCAACCCATCATCTAGGTTTTAAGTCCCACAGGTATTTGTCCTAATGCTCTCCCTCCCCTTACCCCCCATGCCCCGACAGGCCCCAGTGTGTGATGTTCCCCTGTGTCCATGTGTTCTCACTGTTCAACTCCCACTTATGAGTGAGAACATGCAGTGCTTGGGTTTCTGTTCCTGTGTTAGTTTGCTGAGAATGATGGCTTCCAGCTTCATCCATGTCCCTGCAAAGGACATAACTCATTTTTATGGCTGCATAGTATTCCATGGTATATTATGTGCCACATTTTCTTTATCCAGTCTCTCACTGATGGACACTTGGGTTGGTTCCAAGTCTTTGCTATTGTAAATAGTGCTGCAATAAACATATGTGTGCATGAGTCTTTATAGTGGAATGATTTATAATTCTTTGGGTATATACCCACTAGTGTGAGATTGCTGGGTCAAATGGTATTTCTGTTTCTAGATCCTTGAGAATCACCACACTGTCTTCCACAATGCTTGAACTAATTTCCACTCCCACCAGCAGTGTAGAAGCATTCCTATTTCTCCACAGCCTCACCAGCATCTGTTGTTTCCTGACTTTTTAATGATCACCATCCTAACTAGTGTGAGATGGTACCTCATAGTGGTTTTGATTTGCGTTTCTCTAATAACCAGTGAATGATGAGCTTTTTTTCATGTTTGTTGGCCGCATAAATGTCTTCTTTTGAGAAGTGTCTGTTCGTATCCTTTGCCCACTTTTTGATAGGGTTGTTTTTTCTTGTAAATTTGTTTACATTCCTTGTAGATTCTGGATATTGGACCTTTGTCAGATGGATAGATTGCAAAAAATTTCTCCCATTCTGTAGGATGCCTGTTCATTCTGACGGTAGTTTCTTTTGCTGTGCAGAAGCTCTTTAGTTTAATGAGATCCCATTTGTCAATTCAGGTTTTTGTTGCAATTGCTTTTGGCGTTTTAGTCATGAAGTCTTTGCCCATGCCTATGTCCTGAATGGTATTGCCTAGTTTTTCTTTTAGGGTTTTTATGGTTTTGGGTTTTACATTTAAGTCTTTAATCCATCTTAAGTTAATTTTTGTATAAGGTGTAAGGAAGGGGTCCAATTTCAGTTTTATGCATACGGCTAGCCAGTTTTCCCAGCACCATTTAATAAATAGGGAATCCTTTTCCCGTTGCTTGTTTTTATCAGGTTTGTCAAAGATCATGATGATGGCTGTAGATGTGTAGTTATTTCTGAGGTCTCTGTTCTGTTCCATTGGTCTATATGTCTGTTTTGGTATCAGTATCATGCTATTTTGGCTTCTATAGCCTTTTAGTATAGTTTGAAGTCTACTGTGACACTTCCAGCTTTGTTCTTTTTGCTTACAACTGTGTTGGCTATATGGGTTTTTTGGCTCCATATGAAATTTAAAGTAGTTTTTTCTAATTCTGCGAAGAAAGTCAGTGGTAGCTTGATGGAAATAGCATTGAATCTATAAATTACTTTGGGCAGTGTGGTTATTTTCACGATATTGATTCTTCCTATCCATGAGCATGAAATGTTTTTCCATTTGTGTCCTTTTTCCTTGAGCAGTGGTTTGTAGTTCTCCTTGAAGAGGTCCTTCACATCCCTTGTAAGTTTTATTACTAGGCATTTTATTCTCTTTGTAGCAATTATGAATGGGAGTTCACACATGATTTAGCTCTATGCTTGTCTATTACTGATATATAGGAATGCTTGTGATTTTTGCACATTGATTTTGTATCCTGAGACTTTGCTGAAGCTGCTTATCAGCTTAAGGAGTGTTTGGGCTGAGACGATGGGGTTTTCTAAATATACAATCATGTCATCTGCAAAGACAGTTTGACTTCCTCTCTTCCTATTTATTTCTTTCTCTTGCCTGATTGGCCTGGCCAGAACTTCCAATACGATGTTGAACAGGAGTGGTAAGAGAGGGCATCCTTGCCTTGTGCCAGTTTTCAAAGGGAATGCTTCCAGCTTTTGCCCATTCAGTATGATACTGGCTGTAGATTTGTCATAAATAGCTCTAATTATGTTATGTTCCATCAATACCTAGTTTGAGAGTTTTTAGCATGAAGGGATGTTGAATTTTACTGAAGGCCTTTTCGGTATCTATTGAGATAATCATGTGGTTTTTGTCACTGGTTCTGTTTATGTGATGGATTAGGCTTATTGCTTTGCATATGTTGAACCAGCCTTGCATCCCAGGGTTGAAGCTGACTTGATCGTGGTGGATAAGTTTTTGATATGCTGCTGGATTTGGTTTGCCGGTATTTTATTGAGGATTTTCGCATCGATGTTCACTGGAGACGTTGGCCTGAAATTTTTTCTGTTTTGTCTCTGCCAGGTTTTGGTATCAGGATGATGCTGGCCTCATAAAATGAGTTAGGGAGGATTCCTTCTTTTTCTACTGTTTGGAATAGCTTCAGAAGGAATGGTACCAGCTCCTCTTTGTACCTCTGGTAAAATTTGGCTGTGAATCTGTCTGGTTCTGGGCTTTTTTGGTTTGTAGGCTGTTAATCACTGCCTCAATTTCAGAACTTGTTATTGGTCTATTCAGGGATTCAACTTCTTTCTGGTTTAGTCTTGGGAGAGTGTGTGTGTCCAGGAATTTATCCATTTCTTCTAGATTTTCTAGTTTATTTGCATAGAGGTGTTTACAGTATTCTCTGATGGCAGTTTATATTTCTGTGGAATCAGTGGTGATAACCCCTTTATCATTTTTTATTGTGTCTATTTGATTCTTGTCTCTTTTCTTCTTTATTAGTCTGGCTAGTGGTCTATTTTGTTAATCTTTTCAAAAACCCAGCTCCTGGATTCATTGATTTTTTTGAAGGGTTTTTTCTGTCTAAGAGATCTTTCTAATTAATAGATTTTATCACTGATAATTCTGCAGGGCTTGGACAGCAGCTTGTTGAAGACAAGACAGAGGAAAAAAATAAGTAAAAATAAAAATAAAAATAAAGATTCATAGGAGATAAGTAAAAATAAAAACTAACGATTTGTAGCAAATAAGGAAGCAGAACCAAATGGCCATTGAGGTCCTCTTTAAATATGAGATTAAGAAGGATCCATGTCTCATTTAAAATATTTTTAAACAATCATTTCATTTCTGTAATTCGCTTAAGTGACCCTTATCAAGCAAGTATGAAAAAATTGGGCAGGTGGTGTGAAGATATCCTCGATACAGTTTGTTTATCTGTCCCCGCCCAAATCTCACGTTGAATTGTAATCCCCAGTGCTGGAGGTGGGGCCTGGTGGGAGGTGTCTGGATCATGGGAGCGGATCCCTCATGAATGCCTTGGGCCATCCGTGTGGTGAGCAAGCTCTTGCTCTGAGTTCACAGGAGATTTGGTCATTTGAAAGTGTGTGACCCCTCCCCGCTACCCCTCACTTGCTCCTGCTTTCCATATGTGATGTATCTGTTCCCCCATTACCTGCAACCATGACTGAAAGCTCCCTAAGGCTTCCCCACGAGCCAAGCAGGTGCCAGCATTCTACTTCCTGTAAAGCCTGCAGAACTGGAAGCCAATGAAACCTCTTTATAAATTATCCCATCTCAGGTAGTTTTATATAGCAATGCAAGAATGGCTTAATACAATCCTTATTTTAGAAACCAAATGAAACTACAGTATAATTTATAGCGACTTATATATCCTAGTCTTTATGTATATTAGTATTAGCATCTAAAAAGAGCTCAATTGTAACTAAAATGTACTAATATGAAAAATCTTAATCTCTGAAAAAGATGAATAAAACACTAATTTACAAGGAGAGAGAAAGGAGAATGACTTAAGTACAAAAGTATCTACTCTGATGGTTGTAAAATCAGAAATTTTCAAAGTCAGCATATTTTATTATACAGTTAACCCCCCAGCCTTCCACCAAGATATCAATAACAAGAAAAAAACAATAATAAAACAGACAACTTACCAATCAGCCTCAGTATTGAGGCTATAATAATATCAGGAGTATACGCAATGTTTGCATGTCCTTTTCTGTATTTTATCCATTTATCCATCACAGGCCACAGCTCCTTACTATAAAAAAACAACATGAAAAGATGTATGCTCATCATCACTCAAATAATACTAATATCTTATAAATGATCCTTAAGCAATAAGTGAAAGAGGATAACTGCTGAGGATCTAACATTGTAAGTTCAAGTGAGAACAGATACTGGATGCTCACATCTTCTCCAACAGCATAGTTGTGCCCATGCTAGCTTAAACGTGGCTGCAAATTCAGTGCTTGCATCTTGTTCTAATTCTTCTGAACAAGGCTTTGGACAGAGAAGCTGAAGAGCATCCCCAGTGTCCCAGAACTACGAAGTGGTAGAGCCTGAGTTTTCACTTGGACTCTCCAGGTGCAAAAGCAGCCCCTGTGTTTTAGAAGCCAAGTTATCCGGCAGGATCACAGACAAATAAAGCTGTGCATGTAAACCAAAAGGAGCTAAGCCAGAGGAAAACTGTAACTTCAGTAATCAAATAACACTTTAGATGGATAAAAGAAAGTTTCCACTGACTGAAAACAGTGCCAATTCCTCTTTGTCATCTGTTTTTTCAAAAATCTATCTACTTCTTTCATGGTATTCATAAAGTATCACTAGAAAAGTTTAATGTAGACAAAAGAAAAATGATAATTAAAAGCACTCCAAACTCAGTCTCAGATCATTATTACTCTTCTAATTCTGGCTTTTCTTCTAGATACTCCCTACTATCTATGGATGTAAACAACCTGGAGAGAGCCACCAGTGCTGAGGAAGGGAGCAGGGTCGGCAGTTGCTCAGGTGGAGATCCTCATGTTTGATGATGTCTTCATCACGAGTGCAGGGATCGTGGACGAAGCATCTTTGACGGGCACCAGCCCTGGTCTCTTCATGCATAACTGGGGCCAGCAGGGCCCTGCCTCATGGGTTCCCATGAGGATTCAGAAAGCTGAGGCCCACAGCAGGCCCTGACACATCATTATACAGACTGGCACTGGACAGACTGTTCTGTCATTTTCTTATTTAGTAACAGACTGGGAAATACTTTTCCATGTCAATACATAGTAATCCATTCATAGCTATGTGTTTTAATATAGCTATCATCTCATACAGGAGTGCCATGATTTGATTCCTTACTGTTTGACATTCAGATGTCTAATCTTCCCTTAGTGTCAAGATGATGAACAAGAGTAACAGACATCCTTGGACACACATGGATCCATGGACAAGGTAATTTCCACAGCTTCAAGTATCTCAAGGATATGGATTATCAAACCTTTGATGCATCCTTTTTAATGTCACCAACTCCCTTAAACCAGCCTTTCTCAGCCAGGGTTCCACAAGAAAATTAAGACCTACAGAAAAATTATTTGAGTGACAATTTTCTCCATTCTCTCAGAGATGGTACAAAGCTAGTGCCAGAATTATAGATGCACAGAGAAAAGTTAATTTACTACATACAATGAATGTCAGAGAGCTTAATTTTCTCCCAGGTGACAGAAGCTGCTAATTTATAATTTTGAATATTTCTCTTCCCTTTAGGTTTTGTGAGTATCTGTATGTTACGATAATGATAATTAATTTCATTCAACATACATTCGCCAGGTGCTCCCCTTGTGTGGGCACTGTTCCGCATGCTAGGGATACGCCACAAGCCAACCAAGGCCACCCTCCGCCCCTCCAGAGTCATTTCTACTGGGGAGAGAGATGACAATAGCAGAATTGAACAAAAACTAGTGACAGGTACTAAAGAAAAATAAAGCAAGAAAATGTGATAGGGATGAAGGTAGCATTTTTTTTCTTTTTTTTTTTTTTGAGATGAAGTCTTACTCTGTCACCCAGGCTGGAGTGCAGTGGCACAATCTCCGCTCACTGCAAGCTCTGCCTCCCGGGCTCACACCATTCTCCTGCCTCAGCCTCCCGAGTAACTGGGACTACAGGCGCCCACCACCACGCCCAGCTAATTTTTTGTATTTTTAGTAGAGACGGGGTTTCATCATGTTAGCCAGGGTGGTCTCGATCTCCTGACCTCGTGATCTGCCCACCTCGGCCTCCCAAAGTGCTGGGATTACAGGCGTGAGCCACCATGCCCGGCCGTGATGAAGGTATCTTAAGGGTAGTTTTATTAACTCTTATAAAATAAAAACAGTGTAATTTGTAAATGTTTCATCTGCCTTACACACTTAAACGACAAAAATGATTCAAGCCACAATTCAGTGTTCAACAATTCAACCTTACAATAACATATCTTTATTTAAATTAGTAAAATAACTAACCTTATGATGTTATCATGCGTCCAGATCCATTTCTGATGGCAGCAGAGCAGATCAATGGCAAATATGTATTCCCAAGTGTTATCACTTAGGTCTTCACCAAATTTTTCACTAGGTTGAAATTCTGTTTTTGGACATAACTGTATGGTCAAAAGCAGCTTAGAAACCATGAAGCCAACATCTACCGGGGCATTCTAGCAAATGAAAAGAAATAAAATAAAATCTGGAGTTTCAAATAGAATGCATCTTACCTTAGTTATCTAAAAGACTATAATAAGCATTCGATGACTAATCATTTAATCTGAAATAGCTTTTTAAAACAGTTTGACTAAGGAACCATGTTTATCTTAGTCACAGAATGATTACACAATGGTAGCTGGATGAGCCAGATTAAAAAGCAATATAGGCAGGATGCAGGATCCAATCAGGTAGAAAAGAGCTTACCTGTAATCCAGATAGGAAAGCACAGTTTCATCAACTCAAATTAGAGAATTAAAGTTAGAAAGCTAGTTATAATTATAAAAATAAACCTTTAAAAATTCTTTAAATTCTATTATTTTTCTGACATTGAGTATCAGTCTGCCTTTTCGAGAAATTCATAAAACTGAATCAGACAGTAATGAATTCTTATTTCTGGCTTTTTTCACACCTGTGTATAATGTGTTATGATATTTATCCATAGTGTTGCATGAAAGAGTAGTTTGAACTTCTTTTTACTGCTGAGTAATAACCAATTATATGGACATATTACTGTTTATCAATTCACTTTTGACTACTGTTAATGCTGCTATGAATATTCACGTGCAAGCCTTTGTGAGGATGTAAATTTCACTTCTCTTGAAAATACCTAAGAGTGGAACTCCTGGGCCTCTGGCTAAGAAATGGCTTAACTTTATAAGATGGTGCCCAACAATTTTGCAAAGTAGTCATGCCTTTTCACGTTTCCACCAGCACTGCATGAGTTTCATTATAAAAATAATACACATATAATACTCAATATACTTAATACAAGAAAAGGCTTGGGCTTGGAAATTTGCTTTATTACTAGAAGGACTCCACAAGTGAACCTGTAGCTTGGCCATATATATCCTGAAAGGTTCTAAGTCTCAAGGTTTCTATAAGATAATCCATAGCCAAATCATGGTTCAAAATAATACACCTGATAACCAAAACTCAGCCAGAATGGTAAATATTTCCCACTTAGAAAAATCAGTGACTTCGCAACCTGAGCAGATGCAGAAATAAATTTTGACATGAAAGAAATCAAATCCATATATTCACTTTTTTGAGTACCTATTTTACATTTGGCAGTAATTGTGAACATGGGATAATCTGCATGTATACAATACACGCTCCATAAAGTGCTGAGAATCTCCTATGTTTCAGGTGTGGCTGTAATTGAAGTATTTGGTATTAGAATCATAATTTTAATTAGACATGTTTAACAGAATGTAATTAAGTTTGTAAACATTGAATATTTATTACAACTCATGTTCTACATTCAAGAGTTGCTTAAGTGCTTAAAAGATTATGCTTATTAGATTTGAAGGCCTACTTTAAGTGTTTTTGAAGAATACATCTTAAGTTTATGAATATGTTTAAAGTTTTAAGATAATCTGAAATTTGTAAATAAGATTATTTAGGAAATGTGAATCTGTTAAATACATGAGTTAACTAACATTCATCAATGGCCAAAGTAAACACATTCTTACTTTGTTAACAATTAATTGATTTATAAATGAATCATGACTCATGAATTTAAATGCTTTTTTAAAAGGTTTATAAATTTACAACTTTAAAATTCAGCAGTAATTTAAACCAGGAAGTCACTTCTACATATAGAGCATCCTTAAAGATTTTATCACCTCCACCAGAAAAAGTTGGAGGAGGAACCACCTTGAAGAACCCAACCCAGGGAAATACTTCCCACCATGGTTACAGCAGGAATCCCTAACTCATGATTTTAAAAACTGAAATAATTTCAAAATTTACACTGAAGACAATACTACTGATTTCTTGTTAACTAGTAGTATCATATTTAATAAGTTTCCTTCATTTCCTAGTCTAGGAATAATCCCATGGGGGTTTCTTCTTTAATTTAGTAATGTATTGATTTTCTGATTCTGAATTCTCCTTGTTTTATCAGGATAAACTCTATTTAGTTATAAAGTATTATTCTTTGAATACATACTGAAATCTCCTGTTTAGTGACACTTTTTACATCTAAGTGACTCACTAAAAACTGGCTTTTTTCTCTTTCTTATAGCATTTTTAATTGGGTTTTATTACTAGAAATGAACAGAAGGCTTTCAATTTTTCCTCATGCTTAAAATAGATTATAGTTACTTGGTTCTTTAAAGATTAGATTAAAACTCAGGTGGAATCTACACATGTCTTTGTACAGAAAAGTTTTAATCATCTTTTCAACCAGTCTTTTCAAGTTTTCTACCCCAAAGCCAATATTCATCATTTTTATTTTGCCAGGAAATCACCCTGTTTCCAAATCTGCTGCTATAGGACTGCAGGTAGTAGTCTTCTCATTCTGTGTCCTATATGTCTACTTTCCCATTTCAAATCTTCACTATTTTTGCTTTTCTCTGTTTTTGCTGATCTGCACTGTCAGCTATCTATGTTGCTGGCATTTTTTAAAGGTAGTATTTTTGTCTTCTATGTGTTTCTGTTTCTTTTCCACTTAGTTACTACTATCTCTTAAAATTTATTCTTTTTCTCTGGTTCCCTTGTCATATTTCTAATGTTGAAGATGAGTAACAGTTAACTTCATTTATTTTCTGCTAAACAACTAAGACATTTAAGATACTTTAATGAGTACATGTTTTCCAAAAAAGCTAGAGATATTTGATTCTGAGTTTACCTTTTCATTGACTTTTAAGACTGTGATTTTACTTTGCATATTTTATTTGTTCCCAGATTGTCTAAGAATGTATATCTCAATTTCAAAGTAAATGTAAATATTTTGAATTTTTTTTCTGTTAAATTTTACTGAATTATTACCAGGGAATTTTGAGTGTCAAATCTTTGCTTTTAGAAATGAATGTTTTCATGTGGCCAATTCATCATTCATTTGTGCAAATGTGTCATAGATATATAAAAAATACATATTCTTCATACACATTTACTTTTTAAATTAATGAACTGTACTATGTCCTCATTTTTGTTTACCAGATGTTTAATTCTGTAAGTGAGTATTTGGAAATCCTGTAATATAATGGGGTTTTATTCCCCAAGTATTTCTCACCTTTCTTAAAGCTCTATGTATTTTTATTTGATACAATATTTAGCAAATACATTTACTAAAATGTTATGTTCTTCATAAGTAATGTCTTTTTAACCATATCCTGCTTAATTCTGAACAGGTGAAAGGAGATGGGCTCTAGTGTGCAAGTGGAAAGACCAAGTGAGAGCAGAAGCAGGCTGGACAGATAACATTCTGAAGGCGGGTAACCCTCTGAAGGCAAGTAACTCTCCAGACACAGTAACTCTCTAGGAACAGGTAACCCCCTGTAGGCAGGTAACCCTCTGGGAACGGGTAACTCTCTGGAGGCAAGTAATCCTCTGGAGGCAAGTAACTCTCTGTGAACAGGTAACCCTCTGGGAACAGTTAACTCTCTTGGGGCAGGTAATGCTCGAGGCAGGTAACTCTCTGGGAACAGGTAACCCTCCAGAGGCAGGTAATTCTCTGGGAACAGGTAACCCTCGGAAGGCAGTAACCCTCAAAGCAGGTAAGTCTCTGGAGGCAGGTAACCTTCCAGAAGCAGGTAACTCTCCGGAAGCTGGCAGCCCTCTGGAGCAGATATATATGTGGTTGCTGGTATCCATTAGTAGGAGTCAGGATGTCTCTCCTGACACAAAATGACCAACTAGAATTTATGACAATACCTCACATGAATCTACTCTGTTGTGTCTAGATAGATTGATGAAGAGATCATTACAAACTTGCTTTTTAATATTTACCTAACTTTTGACCACCAAAAGCTCTTTCCTTTACGTTTTATAAAAAATAAAAGCCTAACAAATACTAACATCAAAAGTAATAATAAAAAAAGGCAAAACAGCATATAAAATTCTGCTCCACACATAAGCCCAGGGGAGTTTTTAGAAGAGGAAATACATGCTCATTAAAAACAGAAAATAAAATTAAAAAATCAATATCACTGGCTTCAGTACCTCTTCTTGAAGTTCGCTACCGGTAGTTAGACTCTCATTAGGTAAAATGAATGAATGAAAGAAAATGATGAAAGAACACCCATCTAGACACTTACTTTAACATATCAATAACTGAAAATAATAATAAAAGATAACACGGGAACAAACTAGTCAGCATAAAAACAAATTCTATCAACTGGAAAGAAAAATTAAGCATATTAGATTTTAAAAATCCTAATAGGAAAAAACTGAAATATATATATTTTTACCTAAGTATCTATTGAAGAACCAAATAATTTTGTAGCTTCTCTGAGACTTTTAAACATATACACCTATGCGTGGGTTTCATCAGTCACAAATTAGTGTATAACACAAACTGTTAATTAACACAATCCTTTGGTCTACAATTCTTCCTTGAATGTCTCATGCATTCTTAATTAACAAAATGGATAAGCTTAGGCTAAACTGATTAAATTTTAAAAGATCTAGAAAGAAGAAAATGCCTATGAACTAATATAAAACTAAATACACAACAAAATAATTAACATTTATATAATATCTAAAAGTAAGATACTGTAAGAAACAGAAATATGGCTCACCTTTTCCCAATTAAGAAAAGCTCTCAAGCAGTTCAGAACCTCTCCTTTAGCACGTTGCCTGGCAACTAACTGCATTGCTTTATTAATCACCGATTGAGAGAGAAATATATCATGCCACATGTTTGCAATAAACAAAGTTAATTTTTCAGACTCCGGAAAATCTATCAGAAATAAAATAATACAATAACTCTTTGATGTATGATCGAGTAAATAAATTGCAAATTAAGAACAAATTGTATTAATTTCACTGGTGCCTTGCAGGCATCCTGCAATGGAGGAAGCTGTAAATGGGGAGCCCAGATGAGGCTCCAGTCACAGTCATTTCCAAAATCCGTTCTCCAACTTCCTCAGTCTCAGAATTCTCCCATTTGGTATGTGTCATTACAGGCAATTTTTATGCATTACATAGGTTTTGCATTACATAGGTTTTGTATTACATTACATAGGTTTTTATGCATTACATTTACTCATTGAACACATAAAGCTTCTGATTTGAAGAATTTTTTAAAATAAATTCTAGATGACAATTCTTTTGTTGTAAATACTTTCTCCTACACTCTTTGTCTCTTTTTTAAAAATTAATTGAAGTGTAGTCTACAGACAATAAAATAAACTCTTTTAAAGTATAAAGTTCAATGAATTTGGATAAATGATTAAATCCACGAAACCACCACCACAACAGTCAATACCATCATTTCAAAACTTCTCTCGCTCTCGTGCTCTGCAGTATATCACCTCACCCCAGATACAGAGAAGCCCTGATCTATTGTCACTATACATTAGTTTGCCTTTTCTCAAATATTTATTCATGGATTTGTGAAGTAGGTACTTTCTTCTGTCTGGCTTCCCCACTCAGCATGTTGGTTTTGACATTCATCCGTGTTGTTGCATGCATTGGTAGTCTATTCCTTTGTATAGCCAAGTAGTATTTAACTGCTTGATATATCAAAATGTTTTCCATTCACCTGCTGATGGACATTTGTTTCCAGTTATGGGCTCCTATGAGTCAAGATGTTACATCCGCGTGCTAGTTTATGTAATGATGTCATGATCTAACTCTGTGTTTCTGCTGCGTAAGTGCCTGAGTGGAATTTCTGAGCCATAGGATAAATGAATGTTTTAATTTCATAAGAAACTGTCAAAGAGCCTTCCAAAGTAAAGATTTTTATCCTGTTTGCTGTACAATCACATCTTTTTAGTTTTCTTTGTTCTACTTTATCTATCACTGACACATCTAAGAATAGATAGCTCAAAGCATAAACTCACTGCACTAAACTTCATCTGTTAATTTTTGAATCCTATGTTTATCTGGTGACACTTCAGAGTAGAAACAAGACAAATAAATTCTCTCCTTACAGAGTATACAAGCTAGAGGAGCAGAGAGACAGCAAACAAAATATTTAATCTTTAAGAAGTGGTAAGTGCCAGGAAGGCAAATAAAGAAAAATAAGGGATCCAGGATGACTAGGAAGGTATGTGAAATTAATGGAGTGAAACACAAGAGTTGAGGGAAACAGAGCAAGAAAGCTGTCAGCACAAAAGCTTGAGCTAAGAATGGGCTTGCTGTGGTTGAGGAAGAAGAAGAAATCCATCGTGGTCCTGGCCGAGCCCACACCCGTTCCGTCCCACCACCCACCAACTGCTGAACTTCATGTGTGTTTTTGTGATATGACTATGGCCTGTCAGTCCCACTGGACAAGTGTACCTCCATCTGATTTTAATCACCACAGAAATCCCAACATTCACTCCATAATGATTTGTTGAATGAATGACTGAGAGAGTAAACAAAGAAATGAAGTGGGCAAATGAAACACTTCACAGCTTCGTTCACAACAGTAAAAGTGATGGATATACTCAATTATCCTGATTTATAAGCCCCATAAACATGGTAGTCAAAGATGGTAAATGTTTACCACTGAGATAAGACTGATACGATACTAGGTTTCATTTGTATATCATATGATTTAAAAATACTGATGATTTGATACAGCAAAGAATGATTCCCAGTCTGATCCACTAGTAGGGATGGAAGAAATAGTAAAGAGAAAAGAGAATCAAAGGACAACCCTCATGTCACCGTCTCCTTTCAGCTTTCTCTCATCTACTTCTTTTCATCAGCTTACAATTCCATCTTAAAGTTGCTGCCCTTTCCACCTAGTGGTACAGCAGTTTGGCTTGTCACTTACTTTAAAGTATCCCATACTTTAAGGCAACTATATCTAATTCTAAAGCAGCTGCACAGAGCATAGAACAAATACACAGTAATGAGAGATACTCATTTATTTACAAGTGGAAATATAGTGCTGATATAAGTAAGCCCTACTAAAGACCAGGTGCAGCTGGGTATAGCTAAAGCTATTCAATGGACAAAACATAACATTATTTTAAAAGACACACAGTAATCAGAGCTGAAAATATAGACTCCAGTATAAGGGAAAAAGGCAATCGTATATTTTCAATACAAAATTGTCACAATCTAAGCATACCTTCTTTAAGTAGGCTGTAGCAAAACAAACGAGCTCTTTCCAAGTCTCCGAGTTGCCGACAAATACCCACATACACCCTGCAGAGGGCGTGAATGTAATTGTGGTCCATAGATATCTTCTGAATTTTTAGTTCTGAGAGAATAGAGTGAAGCAAGCACTCTGCTAAATGCTGGATTGAAAAAAAAATTAAAAAGGCAATGTACACTCATACTTATCTTCAGCCTACCAAAGATTATCTAAAAGTTACAAAACTTAAGTATCTATTGAAAAAATAAAACTTGCGCTACATCAGAAGGTAGAGCATAGTAACTGGTAAGAACTTACCTAGCATGGTAAATCATGAGAATCGAGGTCGGGGGTACTGAAGAAATCCCCACGCCTGTCTGTTTCCTATGGCTGGTAAATGCTGCAGATGCCAGAATGCAAGTCTCAAAAGACCTAGCTGCATACTGTCACTACCACTAGTCAAATAATCATAATTTCTTGGGTTTTGCCTTATGTAATCTGTGTGAGTATATGAAATACAGTATGTAATTCTACTCTCATTCTTGTTTTCTAAACTCTAATTTACTCTATATACTGTTTAAATTTAAAATACTAAGTAACATTTTTTGTCCTAAGAGGAGCATTACATAATTTGATATATGCATTCACTTCCTTTCAAAGTGACTTACGGAGCTCCTTATGCTTTCTGCAAGGAAGCAATCTAAAAAAATAAATATTTATGCCAAAATGACTCCAAGTGTCTGCAGATAAGCACTAAGTGTGATCCGTCTAGCACTAGAAGTCATCCAAGCAAGGTACCAGTGGATATTTAGAAAATATAGAACTATAAAAGTCCTAATAAACTACATATTTAAATTTAAACCATCCCTTTTTTCCCTCTCTTGACACTAAGCATTTGCTCCTGTTTGATTTGTAACAAAAACTCAAGGAAAAGAAAAATTATGTGATAATTTGAAGCTTTGAAGAAAATAATTTTAAGCCTCTAAACATGCCAGGATCAAGTGGATATATGTAATTTTAGTCCTGACAGATACTTTAAAAAAATTTAAGTAATTTAATGAATAGAAATGACCAAATCTCCAGTGTCTTATCATATTTTAAATCTGTAAAATGCTGGCTAGAAATATAGTCGTAATGTTTACATGGATAACTCTCATCCTTGAAGTAAAACTTTTGTTCATGGTCATCTACACATTTTGCTGACAGTAAACAGCATCTGTCTTTGAGGACATGTAATCCCTAATGCACTTAGAAAAGAGCAGCCACATACCTTTTTTGTTGTGCTAAATTCATAAACAACTTCCTTCTCTTGATCTCTCATTACGGGCTTTTTGGAGATATTTCCCACATACACATGACTACGAATGACAGGTAACAGATCAAAAGAAAACTCTGCAATTTTCTTCAGGGCATTAGCTATGGCTTTATCATGGGACTCCACAGTTTCTTTTGGGCTTAAAGGCAACTGTGAAACTGCACTGACGGCTGGACTAGAACAACTTCTTTCCTCATTTGTTGTTGCAACTTCAGCTGGAGGGAGGTTCCCTGGGAGGTTTTTGTGGATTCCTTCTGCAGTGACTCCCCTGGTTTCTGGTTCTGGGGACCCAGTGTCCAGGCGCAGTCTTTTAGCACTTCTCAGTGTAGACGTTGACAGTGTTCTTTTCCCGCTTGAATCCTGCTGAGTCCCCAAATCTCTTGACTTGTCTTGGTTACAGTCACCACCAGAGCTGCTCCCAGTTTTGACAAAAGCAGTTGCTGCTGAAGTGATCGTTTTGAATCCTATCATAGCACTGGCAGGTCCCGGTAAATTCTTACAGTCAGCAGGCGGACCTCGTGTGAGTTGAATATTCCCTTTGAGGATGTTGAGGGTCCGGGCCCTGGCAGATAACTCTGGATACATGGTGTCAAGGATTTTCACAGAATTCTCCTGAGGCCCTCCCACAGCAGCGTGGCCAGATGCACAGGGTGGGAGTCGGCCAGGCACAGGAAGTGCGTGCTTCGGCGTGGCCGCACAGAACTGCAGAGGAGACGGCACTACCCTCTCACTGGCTGAAGCTGCAGATGGAGATGGAGAAGGATCTGGAGGAGAGGCACGTCTGGGGTCCTCTGGCCATGGAGACATGGCAGGAGGCACTGGGGTTTCACGGAAGGGAGAAACCTGGCCAACAGGAGAGGCTGGTGAGGAAGGACTAGAACTCGATATCAGTGGAGACAGTGGCTGTGAAGTCCTTGGAGGTGTAGCTATCAGAGGAGCAAGCAGAGGCGGCAAAGGAGGCCCCACCTCTTGCCGTATTTTACTCAGTGTGTCAGGAGAACAATCTGTAGGAGTGGATGTATCAGCATTTGCTAAAATGGTCTGAGTTTGGCTTCTTTGAGTTTTTGTATTAGCTTTTTCCCCTGAAAATGACTGAGCAACTTCACTCTGATGAGTTTCAACTCTGCTCGACGCTGAAGTTTTTACTGGTTTGTTTGACTGATCTTTGTTTGAAATCTTTGATCGATTCTTATTTTTGCCAGATGGCTCTAGTTTTGAGTTATAATATGTGTGATCAGACGCAACAATCTGAGTCTCGAAGTTTTGATCATAGATTTGAGAACTAATCCATATACTAGGCTTAACGGGTCTATTTCGCAAACGACTCTTATCAAAGTTGGTGCTCTGACCACTGCTTGAAACATCCTCTTGGGGACATGAAAGATTATTGCCACATGGAGCCTCCTGAAATGCAGGGCCAGTGTGACTGGCCTCTGGGGACTTCTCAGCAGAAGTCACTGGGATGCAACCAGCTTCCAGCTCTCCTTGATCCTGAGAAATAGGGATGTCTCCAGGAATGTCACACAGTGTGACCTGGTCCACATGTGGCAAGACAGCTACACCACTGATGATTGTCCAGTTGTCCCCCTTTTCAATGACTAGATTCTGATCCTTATTTATAAGTACGTTTATAACTTCTGAGGTCACTGTTGCTATCTGACACTGAAATGTTGTTTCGGCCTCGCAGTTAGAACTTTGCTCTATGGATGGCTCCATCACAGAGTCAGAGCACAAGGCTGATGGCTCCACAGGTTCTGGCAGGTCTTCTTCCCCACCATCGGTTTGCCTGCCTGCATCTGAACGGGCCTCTGGTCTGCTCTGAGGGTTTTCATTCTGAGGCATACCGCTGATGGGAGAGCTGCCCTCAGTGTCCAAGGCAGCTGCTTGTGGGGTTGGTTCTGAAGCATGTGATGAGGAGCCAGTCGTTTCCCGAAATGGACTTTTCTCTTTTAAATTCTCAGTGGTCATGTTGTTATTTACATTTAAGAGCAATAAACTGCCAGTATCTTTACCATTGCAATCTTCAGAATTTGTTTGAAGTTCTTGCCTAATCTTGGTCAGAACCTCAGACAGAGTTTCCAAAGAACACTGAGTGAGCTGACTTGTATTTTTTAACGAATAATCATCTTCCTCTGATTCAATCCACTCTTCACAGGTTCCAAGTGTTTCTTCCTCACAGGGTTGCTTTCTGTATTTTTCTCCTATTTCACTTGCCTTTAATTCTTTGTTCATTTCTTTACTTAGGGTTCCTTTACTAGAACATTCAGAAACAGAGTCCCCTGAACTATAATCCCCTAACTGACAGCTCTCAAGAAACATCACAACCTCTGATGTGGAAAGTCTATCCAGCTCAGAAAAAGTACTTATGTTAAAATCTTGCAGAGCTGACGTCAAATAACCTACCTCTAAGGAAGGTCTCACCTCGGCTACAGCAGCATCTGTGTCTCCTAAATTTTTCTGTGAGTCATCAGGAGCATCTTGCTGTTCGCTCCCCTCACTGCAGCTAAATGCCTCACTCTCTACCTCAGTGTCGTCTCCCCCCTCTCGAATGCCTGTGTAACAATGTAAGGTACCAGGCAGGCTACTTTGGGAGGTATCCTGTGTCTCTCCATGTTTTCTGCAAAATGCTGAAGAAAAAGTAGTGTCTGTGGTGCCAAAACACTCAGGCAAAGCACCACCGGGAGTTGTAGATTTCAATTTCCAAAGTCCATTAGCATTTTGTGGTGTGCTGGTAGAATCATTTGCAACAGCCAGGGCCTCACCACCAGATCTCCCTGTGTCTCCACAGCTGGTTTCTTCAACAGAAAACCCTCCTGACACAGTCACTTCTGTGGCTGGAAGCATCTCACTGCCATGTGTCCCACTGGAGTCCAGATCTGTGGCCTGAGGCTGCCTTTGCTTCTGCCCATCTCCCTGCACTGCAGCTTCTCTCACAATGTCTTGGTTTTGGATGAGGATATTTTCAGGAGAGAAAGATAATCTGCTATTTGTGGAACAATCAGAATTTTCTACTGGTGAAGAACCACCTGGAGAATTAAAATCTAATTTTCTCCTAGAGGCAGAAACTTCTGGTGAAATGCTTTTCACAGCAGCCACCTCCGTGATGTTTTGTGTTGTATCATCTCTTTCCCCATCACATTTTGCTACAGTTGACATACCGGTTTTGTTGCCACTATTTTCTGTTACTAAGGTAGGCTCAACCCTATGTGGCCTCAAGTGTTCCAATTTGGCACTCTGAACCTTTTCAGGTCTTGTCTGTTTTGTGATAACTGATACTTGATTAGGCAACACCGATGCAGTGGTCTTGAATTCTACAGGATTGTTATTTTCTCTAAGAAGATCAGGCTTGGGTGTTGGTCCTCTATTTTGTAGGAATGGCATTGCCTTTTGTAACTGATGGCTAGTCTTCTGTTCATGTTCTGATTTGGCTCTCAGACTTTCTTCGCCACCTTTCCTTAATAAATCACTATGGTGCCATGAAGTACTTTTAACAAAACCCAAACCACTCTTGATCAAGGCAGCCTGAGAACCTATTAATGATGTGAAATCTGGCTTATTTAGTGTGAGCTCAATTCTTGGATCTTGACTTTCACATTGCCCATCTTTTGTAGCTTTCATAAATACTGACCGAGGAAGTGAATGTATTTTGGTCAAGCCTTTTACTACTTTTGTATATTCTATCCCACTGCTCTTCTGATCATTAAAATTAGATGCTCCCAATTCAGGGCTCAAGGCACACAAGCTATTCTCCAAGTTGTTTCCTCCTATAGAACACTCCGGTGGCTCAGACTGCAGATGTAATGTGTTTAAAGTTTTAGTTTGCAATTTATGTTCTGAATGATGCGGTTCAGTAGAGAATACTTTAGTAGTAATATCTGTATCATTACCACAGTCTAACCCAGAAGAAGACTGGGGATTACTGCCAACAGACAATGCTACCAAGGTAGAAGAGGAAGAAAAACTGGTTTCAATGTCAAGCCCTGCTACATCCATTCCATCACCTGAGTCATCATCTTCTGATTCAGGTGATTCTCCTAAAGTGAACCCTTGAGTATCTTCTTTTTCCTTTTCCAATTCTCTAGATAGTCTGTGAAAATGGCCAGAAACTGTGATACGGTCTGGTTCAGAAGTGATTTCATTAATTCGTGTCCACTTAGTAAACTCTGATTTGGGCGATCCCATCATTTTAGACAATACGGTTTTTCCTTCAGATTCCATGAGTTCATTTAATGGCCTTTTGCCAAGGGGAGAAGAACACAACTCAGACTTCCCAGGGGCAGCTTCCTTCTCTTGTGCAGGGCTGGCAGACAATCTCTCAATGCATAGACCTCGAGTGAGTTTATGAATGGTCTTCTCAGTTTGTACTGACTTATCCATCTCCCTAACCTCCATTTGTGTTTTTGTCTCATGTAAAATGTCTCTTTTTCTATCACTCATGGATCGAGATGCTGTGGTCCAGTGTTTTTCACCAACTAAGGAGTGTGTGGCAGAAGATTCTCTCAGTGTTGCTGTGAAAGTCTCGAGTCCAGAAGTTGTCACTTTATTTACTTCCCATGTATTCAGAGCTTGGATAGCTTCATGTGATTTGGGCTTTTCCTCCCATGTGCCACTTCCTTTATTTTTTCTCAATGAGCCAAAATAATTCTGTGATTCAGTTGTATCATCTTCTGAAACACACTCAGCAGAATTTCTAAGCTGGACTGAGTCATTATCGCTGGAATCTGTGTATTCTCCAAAGTAGGTTTCCTTAAAAAATATGAATTACACTTGTCAAACACTAATTCAACAGATTAACATGACTATCAATTAAATGCATTATTTTTTAAAAGTACACGTTTCCTGAAGAATCTTTACAATCACGTTTGAGCAGGGGCAGGCTAGGAATCTCTGTGGTGGGTGGGGAGTTCTCCAGCTTTGGTCCAACACTGTTCTGCTCTCTCCTTAAGGGTGCCCAGCACCCCGCAGAGACACCTCCCCCAATAACAGACATGCTTCCAAGTGTCACACCCCACTCTACACAGGGTTATGTTTCTCTTAACTTTCAAACATTCCTACTTGCACACTGTTACTTCCCCATCATCTAGTAACAAAGGCTCTGACCCAGGTTGCTGGCCTCTGGCTTCACGGCCCTCTATTTCCTCTCTCTCTGGTGTGTCTGACTTGTGCCCGGTACAGCCTTGTGCAGGGGGGGAGGGACGCTGTCTTGTGGGTATCTCCCACCACATATCTCCTCCCCAACATGTCCTCACAGAGTGCTGCAGCCTGACTGATGTCATCAACCCACCTGTGCTACCCTTACAAAGCTTTCTCCCTCCCAGCCCGTTCTCCAGCCACCTCTGCTCCAGAACCTTTCCCTGACCCCCAACTCGTCTCCTCTTGAGTTAACTGCCTAGAGCATGTGGCCCACTTGGCGTGCACTGACAGCATCAACCACCTTGTCTCTATTCTGTTAGAGAACAGTGGACTGGTGAAGATGAACAGCTGCTGACATCAACTTGCTCCTAGTGAAAGAATTCTTTCCTCTTTTGAACTCCAGAGTACCATCATCTCCTGGCTTTCGTCTATTCTGCCCTTCTTTTCAATCTCCTTTCCTCACACTTCTTCTACTTGTCACTTACATAGGGACGGTTCCCCAGGGTCCTGACTGGGACTCCATCTTCTCCTCTTCCATACTCTTACTGGATGACATCAGAGCTGCATGACTTCCACTGCACTCAAGTGCTGGCAGGTCCTGAACGTCTGTGCACCACCACAGCCTCCCTCCAGTATCTCACCTGTGTACATGCATACCTCATACCTAACATTCTATACATTATTCTCCCAAACAGGGTCACTTCTTATATTTGCTATTTTTCAACATCTTTGACTCCTCCATCTCCCCTAACTGCCACATTAAAAATGTCACCAAATGCTGCTCATTTGACCTCATAACATTTTTCAAACCAGTTCCCACCTCTTTAACACCAATGCCACAACTTAGGTTCAGGTATCAAAAATTAAGTGAGCTGTGGCCAGGCGCGGTGGCTCACGCCTGTAATCCTAGCACTTTGGGAGGCCGAGGCAGGCAGATCACGAGGTCAGGAGAGCGAGACCATCCTGGCTAACACGGTGAAACCCCATCTCTACTGAAAATGCAAAAAAATTAGCCAGGCATGGTGGCGGGCGCCTGTAGTCCCAGCTACTCAGGAGGCTGAAGCAGGAGAATGGCGTGAACCCAGGAGGTGGAGCTTGCAGTGAGCCGAGATCGCGCCACTGTGCTCCAGTCTGGGCAACAGAGTGAGACTCTGTCTCAAAAAAAAAGAAAAAATATTTTAAGCGAGCTGCTTATTAAGCCGCTACCCTGCCTGTGGTCTTGTCTATTTTCTGACTATCCCCCCACTCCCTACTCATTCATATTGAAATGAAACTTTCAAATAAAAATCTATCTTTCAGTCTATGTCTTTGGATTCATCAAAGATTTCCCCCTTCAGGATAAAGTAGGAACTCCTTGGGAGGATGCACATGGCCTTTCCCAGTGTCACCTGCATGAATCTACCACACACAGAGCTCACCCTTGCTTCTACATTCTTGTGAGAACAGCTCCTCCACCTGAAGCAACCCCACTCACACCTTAAAACTCAGTGTGGGGATTGAATCTTCAGAAGAATCCTGCCTGCCCCGCAACCTGCCCTGGCCTCCATTCAGGACTGAGCTGCTTTTCTTTATGCTCCCAAGCAGCGTGTTTTCCACCACTGCAGGGCTCTACACAGCAATGAATCTGTTTGCTCCTTTACTGCTCCCACCTCCACACAATGAAGCCCACTGAGAGGCAATGGCATCTTTCGTCACCTCTGCACACCCAGTGTCTAGCCTGGTCCCTGGAACATAACAGGCACACATGGTGTTTTCATAAAGAAAGAAACTGATTCCAGGAGCAAAACACATATCTGTTCCTTAAGCCAAAAATATATACATCTGCTTCATAAAGACTAACTTCCTAAGAAACTACTGTAAACCATTCCGCAAACACACAAGATGATGAATTCATCAAATAAAGGTAGAAAACTCGGCTACACCAGGTTAAGGGGCATGGATGCTATATACATGGATTTTCCTGTCACTATATAACTCCATGTATACAAATATGTGTTTAATTCAGTCATTCCATATCAAGAGATAAAAACAATTAAGACACAGCCTTCCTATAGAAAACTTGTAATTTGGCTGTGGATAAAGACTAACAAAAATGCAACCCTAACACAAAGTGAAAAAGTACATATTATATATGTTGATCCAAAGGGTAGTGGCATGCTTTTTAAAAACCTCATGTTACCCCCTAACAAAATTGGCTAAAATGAATAATCTGTGCAAGAATATCACTAATATCCTTTGAGCATCAAGGACATATTAGGATAGACAATGTACCCACTTGGTAATTCAAATTCAGAGAGCAAAACTCACAGGTGCAAATGAAGACGGTAAGGAACCCGGGTGAGGTGATGACATCGGAGGGGGCGAGGGCACTGGTGACAGAAGAGGAGGGGGAAGTTTGAAGAAGTCAATTGCAGCTTGAAGATCTTCATCAAAAAAATGATCATGATCAACAAATTCAGTACTACCACCGTCACGATGACTTTGTACTAAAACCTCAAGATTTCCATTCTCATTAAAAACATGGTCAGAACTACAATTTGTTCCACTGGAGCTCTGTTTTTCCACATTTTGACATAAAAAGTCCTCCTTTATCTCCATGGACAGTTTTGTGAGGCATGTCTGCACATTTGAGGTCCTGAGAGGGCTGCCCTGTGTTGGAGGTAGCGTACCATCTTCCCCAGGCACTCTGGAGCTGGTGATTGCTTTGGCAGGTTTTTCTATGTGGGGGAACAAAAGTAGGTATCAGGTATTTACAATATCAAGAAAACTTAAAAAAAAAAAAGAAAGAAAGAAACCTTATTACAACAGTTCAAAATGCTTGAAATATTAAGTCCAAGTAATTTTTTAAAAGGCAACCAATCGCTTTCTAAACATTATCCTAGAAAATCAATACATTTCATACAAGTATGCTAGCCTTGCAGTAAGAAAAGTGAGACAGACAGGTGAGATGGACCGGTGGGTGGATGGATGACACAGCTGGAAAGGCATCCACAGCCATGAAAACGGGCCTTGCTGGCTCACTCGGTCTCTGGATGAATCCTCCCATACAAACAGCAGAATCTGGCAGAGAAACAACTTTGTGCCTATAGGTTGATACAGAACACTATTTTCTGTCCAAAAAGTGATTTGAAATCAACTAATATCAAGCCTACCCACGGCCAAATCTGTACAATGCTCTCTAACTGAAAGATCTGACGAGGTCTATGAATACTCAGTATGATAATGCAACAGAAAAGTTCCTATAAAAACCTAATCCTGGTCTTGATTTTGGTGAACTTCAGTGGTACTATTAACAAAAACATTTGATTCCATAACCATTTATTATATTTGCCAGCTTTAAAAATAAGTTTTATAGAGGATCCAGGGCTCCTTGGATAGGCGGTTGATTATCGGGCTGGGAAGCGAAAATCCAAGCAGAGATGGAAACATCTTGCGGTACCAGAAGTAAACAACTCAAAAAAAAATGGAGTATTTATGAAGGACCCAGAGCCAATCTGAACAAGCTCCCACCAAAGCTAAAAGGATAGCAATGAATTATTATTTACGAATAAAATAAATATCTATGAGACTATACTGATGTAAACAAGTAATAAATGGTAGATAAGGAACAGCTCTTCCTTACGTAAGAATTCCAATTAATGAATGCAGATGGAATGAGACAAATAAAAAATCACTATTTGGCAAACACTAAAGCAGTAATTATAGCAGGCAAGATCTACTGCTGTAGGCCAAAATCAGCAGGTGACAACTGGAAAGAAACAGAATATTTGCACAATGTTAAAGAATCTTTCTCAAGTTGATTCATTAGGAAAAAAAGAGTAACTTTACAACATAAAAACTTGCAGATACCACCTTACCCAAGTGCTCAAGGTTAGAGCCCAGTGATAATACATATCCACATCACCTATCCCTAGAACAACTCCCTGAGCAAAGAGAAACAGCACCACTGTGACGTTCTTGCCACAAATATACAACCTCAATCTGACATGAGAAAACATCACATAAGCCAAAACAATGGGCTTTCTACAAAATTATTCTACAAAATAATATTCTCCCAAAGTGTAAAAGACATGAGAGATTAAAAAAAAAACAGGAACTTTTGGACTGGAGGAGGTGAAAGCAAGATGACTACTAAAGGCAACGTGGGTTCCTGTACTGCATCCTGGAAAGAAAGGAGGATTCCTGGGGAAAACTGTGGAATTCACAGTTTAGTTAATAGGGCTGTACCAAACGTCCTGGTTTTGACCATTGGTAACTGAAAATGTTAAAAATCCTGCAATCTGCTAAGGGATCCATGGGGATTCTCTGAACTATTTTTGTAACCATCCTCATATGAAAATAAAAAGTTAAAACAAAAGAATATGTCTTATGGTATAATAAGATTCCAAAGATACCATGTTTTCCCTTCTACTTTGGAAAAATTAACGTAATATATTTACCCCTCAAAAGCATATTTTTAAATACAAACATTAGATTATGAAATGAAGAACAGCTCTTTTAATAACAGCTTGACAACATAAAATCAAATGCTTAAAATAGAATGCTGATTGATATAGAAGGCCAAAAAGCATCCCTTGGTTGCTTCTGCCTAAACAGATGAATTGATAAATTATGAACTGAGGTGACTAATTTAAGAGTTGCGGGCACCATGTGGTTAATACCAATGGGTACCTGGCAGGTGAACTGAGGGAAACATCTACTTAAAGAAACCCCATCAAATATGCCTCCGTACACTCGACAAGTTCTGAGTCCACCATAAGTAAGAATCAGTAACTTGTCCCTTAACATTTTTTCCAACTGTCTTTAGAAGCCTGAGAGGAAAATAAGGTGGAGGTTTCCATAGATTTAGAACCTCAATGACCTGTGAATTTACAGCAGCTAATCAAAAGAAATTAGTAAAATGACAAAAAGCTAAATAAGAAGCACTTTAATCTTATACAAGACAGCTATCTGCTCCCCTTCTACTCAGGACAGCTAAATCGACTATAACTGTGAATGTGCTAGAATGCCCCCATGATACTCTGAGAGTCAAGATGTTCAACCAAAGGAACTGATAAATTACACTAAAAATAAACGAAGCTAAAGTGCTCACAGATTGATCAAATTCATGAAATGATTCAGAAGAAACTGCATCCTTCAAGTATCCCCTCTCCACCTGCCAGATATGCCTCTGCTACTTGACCTTCTCGTTTTTTTTTGAAGGTTCTCTGATGAAAGCTAAATGTATTTACTGGGATTAACATTCACACTGAAGGGAAACGAGTTTTGTATAATTAAAAGTACCCATTCTAGTTTACTTCATTCTTTCAATGTTAGAATCAGGAGCTATTAAAAAGTAACGGCTGCTATGCCTATGGTTAAGCTCTGTACTTTCACATATGAAATCGGTTTCTGTAAGCTTCTCTCTCACCTGGGACACACCTGCTGCCTTCACCAGGTAGTCTGTGTGTTGTGTTTACACAGAGCCAGAGTTCCTTCAGAAGCAGTTTCACTTTTCCTGTGAAACAGAGCAAAGCATTAAAGTCACGTCATTTGGCTCACCGTACACAAGGCCAGAACATACTTCTGTGAAATCAGGGTTTATTAGGGACTTAGAAAATTACATATACATCTTCCCCAAACTCAACCATTGTGCACAATACAGTCAGTTACTGATAAAAAGGTCTGCAATACTTAAGCTAAAAATTGAAGGCTGAAGGTACTTTTGTTTGCTTTTTTAAAAAAAAAATTGGTGGCAGAGGCAGGGGATTCAAAAGACCATGTGTACTTGCTGTGAAAGGCTTTTATTACCTCTTTATGTATGCATGGGACAAATGAATCTTTGGCCCACATATTTTCACCAGAGAGTGCTTTGAGATGGGGGAAGGAAGCACAGTTAATAACTGATAAGGGATCTGGGCTCTATGTATTTTACAAGGAGTAGAGAAGCATCCCTAAGTTATAAGAGGTTATCAGAAAAGTCACTAGACTTAACCATGCTGTAATTAACCTGGGGAGTTCAGGGATTACAGGTAATCCATCAATGGACTTGAGGGGAGACGGTACGGGAATGTGTGCGTATGAACATATGGGTAGGAACCGATCATCACACACACGAGCAGACAGAGAAGCACATACTTTTATAAGGAAAGTAAAACCTTTGGAATTTTTACACATTTTCAAAGAGATGTAAATTCCTAAAATAGTTAAGAACCAGTAATTCAAATTGAAAGGCCAAGGGATGCTGTAACTAAGACAGCCCTAATGAAATAAATGTAACATTAAGAATATTATACTATGGTTTTAAAGCTTTTCTACATTAATACAAATTTCAAAACCTTCTAAAGCAAAAAGTATTTATGAAAATATAACTATGAATAGCTTGTGGTGAAATGTGCATAAAAAGACAACCCACACGAATTAAAATTCAACTAAAAGTAGCTTAAGTATATGTATACAACTTTCAGGCCACCTAAAAAGTTTTATTAGAGTTTCCTTGAACTTAAGTTTTTTAATTAACCTTAAGCATTTACTGATATTAGTGAAATCTTTACTCCAGTTCAAGAGAAGCTTAAAAGACCAAACTTTAAAAACCCAAATGTCTCAGGGAATCACAGATTTTGTAAGAGATTAGCTCTACTTAAGCTGGCAGACTGCATCACTTCAAAAAATGAAGTCCACAGAAAGGGGCAGGACAACTGTGGAGGACAGTTCACGGGTAAGTGTGAAAGGCTGGACACTGCCAACTCTCCTGAGCCAAAACAACCTTCTGATTGCCACTGTGTGTGAGCCATATCCATTTTTCAGTTCCAAAATTCTGTGATCGAGTAGCTTATCTACATTGTGATATAACCTACCCAAAAGCCTGCTTCCAAATACTGTAATCCCCTTTGCTTAAATGACCTGACCAGGATCCCTGCTTATTACGTATACCCAAAGCAGCAAACAAGGAACCTTAAAAAAAAAGAAAAAAAGTTACTTTTCCATTCTTATGGAGGCTATCATCCAGAGCTATGCCTTTGTAACTGAGCATTCATTACTGCTAATCTGACCCAAAAAATAAATAAATAAAAGCACTCTATTCCCAACAAAGCAGAAAAACATCTTCAGCGTTAACTTCACACTTAGTTGTGAAGACAACACCTCCTTCAAGTGAATTGCACAACTTTCCCTGATCCTTTAAAATTCTGCCTTTATCAAACTCTAAGGCATGTATGAATATTTAAGGACTTACATATTTATTTATTTAATTTATTTTCTACTTCATTGCTTTGTCATTTTCTGTATCCATACCACACTTCTTTAATCAGGGTAGGTTACTGAATATCTGTTAGAGCGTAATCATTATTCAGTTTTCTCCTGTTGAAAAATTGTATTATTCTGAACATACACTTTTCCCTATAAACCATCTGCTTGTGCTCTTCCATAGAAAACATCTATGGGACTTTGAATATTTCTGTATATTTATAAATACATTTGGGGAAATTTTACATCTTTATGCTTTGAATCTTCTCATCCAGGAACATGTTTATGTACTCAGGTCTTCCTTAACGCTTTTAAGGAATGTTTCAGTTTTCCTCAGAAACACTGTATACTGCTTTCAGGTCTTTTCTTAGACATCTGCTGGTTCAGGTGCCACTTGAGAATGGGTTGTTCTTATTCCATTCCTTTTCTAACAGGTTAATAACGGTACAATGTATATGTTCATTGTATATGCCAGCACTTTACCAAGCTCTATTACTTCTAATTCCAACTCTGAGTCTTTTAAATTCTCTACATTAGTAGTATCATCTGAAATAATGACAATTTCAACTTTTCTTTATTAGTATTCACAGATCCTACTCTTCTGCATTTATTCTGTTGCACTGGTTCAGGCCTCCAGTACAAAAAAAAAAAAAAAAAAAAATGGAACAAACAAAAAGCATGCTTGCCTTGTTTTTGACAGTAATAACTATACTTTGAATGTTTCACCTTTCTCAAGTTAAAATTTTTTTTCCATTACCTCATCAATTTTTTGAAATTGGGACTACGTGCTGAATTGAGATGATCACAACATTCTCTGACCCAGCTGTAGTATTCCTGAGATAAATCTTCAAGCATAATTTGTCTGTACTCTAAATTTGTGGATTTAATTTCTTAAAATTTTATTTGGTATTTTTGCAGCTATATTAACAACACAAGAGTCCTGAATCTTGAGAACATGTGTGCATGCTATTTGATTTTGGTACAGCATTATGCTAGCCTAAGAGAATAAAATGGAAACATTCCTTATTTTCTAAGTTCTGAAACAAAAAAATTAATAACAGAGACACTAGTTTTTCACTGAACGTTTACAAAGCTCACCTATAAATTATCCGGATTTATTATGGTGTTAGATCTTTAACTATTGTTAAAAATTTCTTCCTATTTTTTGTTCAGGTTTGTAGCAATTGTTCTGAGTCAATTTGAGCATGTTTTCCTTGAAAATGGACCATTCTACTTACATTTTCACATCTGAATATGAACTTGTGAATTATGAAATTTCTTGACTGTAGTTTTACCTGTTTCTCAATCCTGGTGCTGTTTTTCCTTCTGTTTGTTTGTTTAATCAAAGTTTACCAAAGAGTTGTTGGTTTCACTAGCATTACAAAGAACCAGCTATCAGATTTAATTGTCCTAAATCAATTGCTTTGTTTCCTATTTCATTAAGTTTGCATTTTCATCAATTTTTTCTTTCAGTTAAACACTTCATTCTCCGTATTTATTTCTAAAGTGACAATGTATCACGTAAGGCCTTAACATATTCCTTTGAATAGTGAAGGAATTGGCTATATCTTAAAGATTTTAATAAATATTGCCCTACTGTTTACTTTCAAAACAGTTTAGTATTTCAATTCTTATTTTCTCTGTTACCAAAGAGAGGTTTTTTGTGTGTCTTATGTGAGTTTAGTTATTAGGTAAGTTTTGCAGGTTTTGTTTTTGCAGAGGGAGGGGGATTTTTATTAAAAGCTCATATTAAATTGTAGGTATTTTTTATTGTTCACTTACTAGTCAACTTTTATACATTTGAAAAGTATTTTAACAAACTCCAGGTGTGTGGTTTACAAACAGTTGTATATAAATTATCCATTTGGAACTGTGATTCCAATTCCATCCCTTGTCTGCTTTTGCTCTCTCTTTCTAAAAAACATTGTGAAGTCTCTCACGACGAAAATAGATTTGGCCAGTCCCCCTAGATTTCCAAGAGTATTGCTTGACATCGTTTCACACTCTTAGGTACATACTAGCAGTATCTTCATGGCAAACTATACTTTTAATCAACATTTCAATAATGTAAATTCATTTCTAAGCTTTTATTATTTTTTACCTTACATGACTGCTTTAATGTCAGCATTGCTTGGAATATTTTTATCCATCCCTCTAATATTCAGTCTGTTTCATTTGATTTTAGGTATATTTCCTACGAAGGTGTCAGAGACGGAGACTGTACACAAAAATCACGCTCAACACTTGGTGGCCCCTATGAATATGAATATTCCATGTGTTCTCTGCTCAGGAAAGTTCCCTTCTGTCATGTCTTGATCACCTTCTCTCCTTCTGTTTCTGTTCTCCCCTCTGAGAAGTCCTAGGAGACGCATATTGAGACATCTGGCTCTATCCTCCAAATCTTGTTATTTTCTCTAATATCTTTAATTTGTTTGTCCCTTTGTATGATGCTCTCAACCGCCTAGGATTCAGTCTCTAGGATCAACTTAATTGATCTTTTATTTGTTCATCCAGTATTTCCACCTTTCTACTGGGTTTATTTATACAATTGGATTTTTAATTTTCAAGATCCCTATCTGGTTCAATTTCATAGCAGCAGCCTATGGACATGTTCTTAGACTTTCTCTAAAGGAAATGCAATCAGTTTTCAGCATTTCCTTCTCATTCATAATTAAAGACTGTTTCTCTCAGTCTTCTTGCGTCTGTTGCTTTTCTCTTTTTTCTCACTGCTTTTTCTCTAAGTTTTAGATGAGAGTTTAGGCAGAACATCTTTGGCAGACAAAGTGTATTTCTTCAGCCTACATTTTTAGTGCTATTCCTTCAGCAGTAAATGTAGATTCTCATTTCATAAATCTGTGGGACCCTGCCTTGCAGGGGAAGCAGTGGAAAGTGGACGCAGTTGTGAGGGTTTACATGGAGTATATAAACATCTTGTTTTCTGGGAAGAGGAGGGGCTAGCCCTTAAAGTGGCCATAATTACCCAATTTTCTGATATCCACGCCCACTCTGAGGAGCTCCATTGTCATAGCTAAAACTTTAGAAAATGAAACTGGGGCCACAGTTTATGAGCAAAGGCCAGAAACAGTTTTTGAAACCAGAAGCTTGGCATTCCTTTCACCCTTTAATCAATTACCTGGCAAAATGCTAATGTCCTGCTCCTTCTCCCACTCCCTGCCATCTCTGATTTGGGGAAACTCGCAGCTTCTGCAATGAAAACTTACTTTGTGAGAGCTGCTATTTTCTCTGCAATTGCGGGTTTCATCACCAATTGATACTATCTGCTGTGCATCTTCCTCATTTCTTCTACTGATGGTAATCTTTGTAACTATCCAGGAGTTGCTGCTGTTTTTGTTTTTTTTTTTTCCGGTCGAAAATTTTTGTTGGAATTTTAAAGAAAAGAAAGGCAAAGTAGCACTCAGATGGCCTTTTTTTGTAAAGTGAAGTCAACCTAATACTCTGGTGCTTACTTTGCAAATCTTTTCCATAAGTCAAGTATTAGTGTTAACAATACACTTAAGAAGTAAGGATAAACCCATCAAGGTCCACAGCTAAATAACCAGCAGATTCCCAGAAACTTTATGTATTTGGGAAAAGTAAAATATACAACAGACATATCCCTGCCCTGATTAAGAGGGTAGATAAAAACAAAACATAAAACAATTTTACTTGAGATAGTAATAAGTTATTTGAAAAAAATACAACAGAATATAGGGAGAGAGAGCAACTACAGAAAGAAGACAGAAGGGTTCTGCTTTGAATAGTAAGGCTTGGGAATAGCTGAATTGTAAAACAAATCTGTCAGTCCAAAAACGAAGATAATTCCATTCAACCGCTGACTACTGAATGGGAAAGCAAACGTTGTCACGTCTTCTATTTCTCTCAGCAGTAACTATTACTTAAAGTCTCACTTTCCATACACAAGAGACAAAGAATCTAGTCAAAAGCACATGGAATCATATCTAGTCATAGTGGTAGGTGAGCAATCAATGCCCAGGCAGCTGAAAGGTGGGAACTGTTAAAGCCTTACACCAAGGAAAACATAAACTTGTACTCTGAATTTTAAAAAAAAATTAAAGAAAAAAAGGTAAAGGTGACTTCTAAAAGAGACACCATATACCTGCACACAATTTAAATGTTTTTAATCATTTCCACTTGGAGAAAAAAATAACACATTAGTGAGATGAAATACCATTATTTACTAATTAAACATTTTAAATGCATCCCCACAAAAAACCTGTGAGATAGAGCAGAAATTCAAATTCATATTTCCATTTTTAAAAGGAAAATGAAAATACAAAAAAAGGAAAGTAAATGGCAGAGTCACACAACAAATGGAAGGATGGAAGTGAAAATTCTCATTTCTCACCTTCTAGAGTTATGCTTCTCACCTATGAGACGTGGCGCTCAGTAACGCAGTGTGTGTCCACATTTGTATGACATTCCCTTGTTCCGTGACCACCACTTTTCTTTGCAATTGTGGGCCTTCCCTAAACTTTTCTGTCTATACTATATAGGGCTTTACTATATAATATACTATAAGGCTTTAATTCTATAGTTTTCCTGCCTGACTTTAACATTTTCTTATATACTTGGTACCCAGGAAATTTAATAAATTAATTTGATAAATTATAATCCAGAGAAAAAAATCTGTATTCATTAATTGAAAAAAGCAGATGTTATATCTCCAACTAGTTTTCCTATCCCAAACAATATTGATTTTTGACTCTTTTATTCACTGTATTATTTTATAAGACAATAAGCTGATTATATTTGGATCTAATGAAGACACAATAATATATGACTTCTACTAAAACGAAACATCTACTAAGCCCTGGCACTTTCACAATTATATGTAGGAGCAAAACACAGTCTCACAACCCACTAAGAGCAATACACAACATTAAAACAAAAGTTGCAATATACTCACTTTTATCTATGCTTCCATATGAATCACTTGAAATTTGTGTTCCAATATGTCTCAACTCTAAAAGCATGGGGAAAAAACGGTTAATAAAATACTACATATCAAAAATAAATTTATGTAAGCATTAACTGAATACTCACCCTTTTCATTTTTCTGTTTAGAAAATTCGTCAAGCCTTTCCTGTGAAAACAAAATATTAATAGTGTTTATGCTGAATAAGAAGTGCAGCCATTCTAGACCAAATGTAAAACAGGTGCAACTTAACAGGCAGCTGGGACTGTTTTTGCCAGGGGGCCTCATGTTGACTCCTACGTGAGTTACAACACAGAGACACTACAGAGACCCTGGAGCCACGTATTTAAGGTGTGTGTATGCTGCTTTTATCTAGTACCTGTGTCTTCTTAAATTCCTTTTCAAGTATTTTCTTTTCATTTCTCAGTTGCTTGAAGTCCTGAGTTTGCTTGACAGCAGCCTCTTTAAGTCCAATGAAGCAATAGGGAGAGAAAAATAATTTACTAACTTTACTACTGTGGTTAATGAAATACTCAAAATCTTATCTATTACAAGTTTTTCTCATTTCTTAAAAGTTTGAAATAAATTTCGTAAAAAGCCATTGCTCCTTCAATATTTTATCGTCAGGGCTGAATGCAATGTACTTTTTTCTTTAACTGTCATTTAAACCACAGAACTAGCGCAGGCCTTAAGAATTCTTTCCAAACCAGGCACAGCAATCCCAACCCCTAGTTAAGGAAGAATTCAAGGCATAAAAGGGAGTTGCCGTCCCATTTCAATCACTGGCAACCTTAAAGTCCTAGAAATTTTAGAAATGTGATTTTATCTCAGAATATAGCCTCTTTATTAGGGAGGGGAGAGGCGATTTTCTCAATGCTTATTATAGATATGGTTATTCTTCCCTGGAATTCTCTTCAACAAGTTAGCTAAACATAATCCCTAGGACCTTTATTAGAGATCTATTTTAGGTAATCCTTCATTTTCATTTTTGTTTCTGAAGCCTCAAATGGTCCAGACATACTATTAAGAATCTGACCAGTACTGACTTTACATAACTATGCTCATATACAATTACTAACTAAAACTCCATGAAACACCTCAGTAACAATCCTCTCCTGACTCCTCTAACAAGTTTGGATATTTTTTTTCTCAGTAATCTTTATTAAGTCACACCGATAAATTTTTTTTACTAGAAAAACTACTTTTTATACACGAAAAATAAAGGCGGCATTTTGCTTCACAGAAAGTCTGTTCTAAAACCTGTATATATAGTCTCACTGGCACTTCAGATTTCTTTAAAGATGTTTCCTTGCAGTGGCTCACGACTGTGATCCCAGCACTTTGGGAGGATGAGCAGGTTTCTTGAGCCCAGGAGTTCAAGACCAGCCTGGGCAACATAGTGGAACTCTGTCTCTACAAAAATTAGTCGAAATTAGTCGGGTGTCGTGGTGCACACCTGTAGTTCCCAGCTACTCAGGAGGTGGAATAATCACCTGAGTCTGGGAGGCTGAGGCTGCAGTAAGCCATGACTGCACCACTGTACTCCAGCCTAGGTGACGGAGTGAGACCCTGTCTCAAAAAAATAATTTCCTTGGCTGGGCACAGTGGCTCACACCTGTAGTATCAGCACTTTGGGAGACTGAGGCAGGAGAATCACTCAAGCCAAGGAGTTCAAGACCAGCCTGGGCAACCCTATCTCTACAAAAAATTTAAAAGGCAGGTGTGGTAGCACACACCTATAGTCCCATCTACTCTGGAGGCTGAGGCTGGAGGATCACCTGAAGGCAGAGTTACCATGAGCTATGATTTTGCCACTGCACTCCAGCCTAGGCAACAGAGTGAGACCTGTCTCTAAAAAATAAAAGCAGTGGGCCAGGCGCGGTGACTCACGCCTGTAATCCCAGCACTTTGGGAGGCTGAGGCAGGCGGATCACCTGAGGTTAGGAGTTCAAGACCAGCCTGGCCAACATAACCCCATCTCTACTAAAAATATAAAAAAGTTAGCCAGGTGTGGTGGCACATGACACATAGGCCCAGCTACTCAGGAGGCTGAAGCAGAACCCGGGAGACAGAGGTTGTAGAGAGCCGAGATCACGCCACTGCACTCCAGTCTAGGCGACAGAGCGAGACTTCCTCTCAAAAAAAAAAAAAAATTCTTTTTTAAATAAAAAATGTGGCTGGGTGCAGTGGCTCACACCTGTAATCCTAGCACTTTAGGAAGCTGAGGCGGGCAGATCACTTGAGGTCAGGAGTTCGAGACCAGTCTGGCCAACATGGTGAAAGCCAAAAATTAGCTAGGTTTGGTGGTGCGTGCCTGTAGTCCCAGATGCTCGGGAGGCTGAGGTGGGAGAAACTCTTAAATCCAGAAGGCAGGGGTTGCAGTGAGCCGAGATCGCACCACCTGTCCAGCCTGAGTGACAGAGAGAGACCCTGTCTCAAAAAATAAAATATGATAAATAAAAAATTTAAAAAGTTTAAAAATTAAAAAAATTTTGTTTAAATACAATAGACACTTATCTCCATATTCTTACAAGAGACACCAATACTTAGAACACAAAATATCATTCTTACTGCCATATTGTCAGTATTCATGCAATAATCAAACCAGAGGAAAAATTGTTACCGAAATATTTAGAGTTCCAGTCCAAAAAATTTGGTTCAATCAAGAAAAATTAGTGACTAGAAATACTTTCCGCAACTATTATTCTATGTGCCCGGATGTAACTAAATTCAAACTCTAACTTCACGCTCTAAATGAACATAAACCATCTCTGAAGTAGAGCACTAGCAAGATAATGGGTCAGAAACCCATAGCAGGTAAGATGCCCGCTGCAGTCCAGGCTGGAATGACAGGAAGATCGTGTGCAGGATGGATCTGGCAGAGCCCCTTTGTCTCTACTTGGTATTAGGTCTGTGTCCCACCCACACAATGAAGGGAGGAAAAAGCAAATAAAAAGATCTTGAGTTCAATTCCTACCAGTTCCTGAAAGGTTATTAGCTGAAATGTGAGGACTTAGATTCTCGCATGGTCCCTCTGCACTCGTACCTACTCACTGTAGGCTAGAACCCCTAACAAGAGGGTGAGGCACGGGTGAGGATCAGGTACAAACTGGACAATCCCTAATGTACAAAATTTCATCGAAATCTCTGTATGTGTGTTATAACTATCTAAATACATGTTTCTTGGTACTAAAAGTAGCCACCCTTTCCACCAGCTACTTATTTCATTAAGAAAAAAAGAAAAAGCCCTATGAGATTCAACTTTCCAAATTAAATTCTTTCATTAATTACTGCTTTTTATAGCAAAAGTATGGGCTGCGATTACTTTGAGTGCAGTAACATTTCGGAGATTTGCCACATTCCATCTCTATGTTACCATTTGGTAACTGAGAGGAGAGTAGTATTCACACTTCTTTCTAATAGACCCCTTGATGCAGTCATCCATGGATGTACCATCAAAAACCATAACAATTCAACTATTTGATCAAGAAGTACCTCCTCATACAGTTACCAGTGATTTTTGTACTGACCGAAAACTTCAGGTAACAATAGTGCCACTTACCTTGCAGCTTCTTCACCTTAGCTTCTAGTTTCTTCTTCCTAATAACGAAATTGTGTAAGTTAAATGGCAAGAAAGAGAGAATAGGAAAAAATATGCCTTATAATTTGTGGCACATATTTTTTAAATTACAAATATTTGTATAACAAATGTTCAGTCTGAACTAGTATCCTAAGAGAGAATAATATACTATTTAGTATGAAATATCTTTACAGTGGATTAAAAAATTCTGTTCTTTCCACTTGAAACACATGCCATGGGCCTGTCAAATTTCTGCCATGAGTACATCTGGGACCCTTCCTGAACTGCAGTGGCATCATTCATGAGACTAGCTGAAGTTTCTAGATGGTCTCTAAGAGTCAGTCCAGAGTCTAATGAGTTAAGGTTACTCTTCAGGAGCATGCATAGCGTTAACAGTGGTCACAGCACCACCGTATGGAAAGCAGTGGTTGAAGAGCTACACTTGCTTTAAGATGGATTTCTGAGAGTCTGAAAAGGTGGATAACTCTCTGAGTCACTGCTTCATTACATCTACATTCAACTGTTTTATGTATAGCTCACATTTGTTGTGAATAACATGACTATAGTATGAACCTCAATGATCAAGGGGATGCTTCTGAACAGCCCTTTTTATGAATAGTAGCAAAGATACCCATTCCACATGCTATCGGTTAAAGCACTGGCACAAAGCAAGGGGTCAGTCATTATGTTCTGACACACAGACACAAGTGAATGAGTACATAATGCATTATATACACAGACAAACACCTTTAGACACACACAGACACATGTGCATGCAAATATAATGCATATACATACAGAGACAAACACCTTTATGGAGTTCTTTGTGCAGCCCTTTAACATATGACAATTTATTTAATGTTCCTTATGACCCTTCAAAGTAGATATAACTTCCAGTTTACAGATGTGGAAACCAAGGTTGAGAGACTAACTAGTTCAAGACCATGCAGCTAATTATGGCCAAGAAATCCAAAGACTGTAAAAAAAAAAACACTACCGACTTAAGAATTACGTATTTTCAAAACTGAAAACCGTATTTCTATAGTAATTTAGTAACTACTTACTGAGCATCACTCTTCAAGCATTCTTCCTTTACACGAGCATATTCCTGATGAGTATCCTGATACAACTTTAAAGAACTCTTTAAAAAAAGAAAAAAAACAGATATTGTCAAAATGAAAGTCACTGACCATTGGTCATAACTTGCTTTGCCTTTGATAAGCTATTAACCAAATAAACAGACATTAGGCAGAAAAAATAGTCACTGAATATTTTAATAGAGGTAACCAGATTCTTAATAGATGAAATATGACTAACAATATAATCCAACAAAAACTATAAAACTTAAAAACAATATACTAATTTTATTGCAATTCTAAACCTTCATAATTGGTTTAAATATCAAACAGCTAATATTTTTGCCTCAACTAATTAAAATTCAACATATCCTGAAAAAATATTAGAGCATAATAAATATGAGCTAACGGTATTGCTAGGGAAAATTTAAAACAAATCATTATACTTAATGATAACTGGGGAAAATGTGTGAACACTGATATATACACCCTAGCAGCTACTATAAAATGGGAAAGACACTGTTATTGAGAGTTCTAGCAGGGTATGATAACTATACATTTCTTTAATCTCAACAGCTCTGAGAGAGTTCTTTAATCTCAACAGTTTCATTATTCCTTTTTTACAAATGAGGAATCTCAGGGTTTGACAGGATGACTTGCTCTTCCAAAGACAGTAACTGAACAACTAATGAGGGTTATCATTAAGGTCTAACTCCAATGTTCATGCTTCTTCTCAAATATGGCTGAAAAGATTATATAACCAAATAGAGATCATTGAACACTGTGATTGTTTCTGTTTAACTTTGACAGCATAGTTATACATATAGTAAGAATTTCTATAAAGAGGAAAATAAGTATGTACTATTAAAGCACGTAAGACCTCAGACAGCTACGTGTCACCACTAAAATAGCACAATTTGAGGAAGACTGAGAGGCACAAACACTACCGTGAGAAGCGCCTAGAGAGAAGAGGTTAAGAAAGGAGGATCATTCCAGGTGGCTGCTACTTGGCTCATGCAAACCACTTAAATCTATGGACTTTAATGTTTTTATCTGTAAAAGCTATGAATTCTAAGATTCATGTAGGGAGTAAACAACAATTTACATAGAAAAGGGAGTTTACAGCATTTTAAACAAACTGTTTTACTGCAACTTGACTTTGAAAAGAAGAAGAGCTTCCATGAAAAGACATACGTATTTTCATATCTGAAGTGGGCATCTTCTCCCAATGCTCCATCTCAGCTTAATAAGTATCACCCAAAAAGATCGAACATGCCCTAAAAGAAATAACCCCTAACCTGAACGCTTACTTATAAAAGCATTATTGAAAGACTCATTTTTGTGTACCTCTCACAGACAATGAGAAACCACAAGAGACTATACATGACTGCCAAAAAAAGAAATGAAAAGAGATTTTTTAAAAAGGGATCAAACAAAGCAGTTAGGGTTACAGAGGTAAAGTATACAGACATTGCTTAAAATATTGACTAGTTTATGAATTATGAGAGTAGGTTCTTTAAAGGACATCTTAACTCATACCAGAGCAGAAGCCCTACACGCTTCATTCACCACTGGGCTCTCCAAAGATAGGCCAGAGCCACTGAAGAAATAAAATTCTCTCCTGCTCCCTCTCTCTTATGTACAACGATTCCTCTACATTTAAAGTTTGAATTTTTGCATGTTATTTTACATTTAAGCAAAAAACAAAGGTATAAAAATCAATTAATGCAGAACACATAAAACCACACAAATTCATAGTGAGAAGCATTTTCTGCTGACCCTCTCAAAAAGCATAAGCAACTGACACAGTATTGCAGAGCTAATAATCACTGTAAAGACTAAGCTACTAAGCAGTTAGTTCAATGTTCTCTAAAGCTAATAATACACTGAGAGTCTTGACTAGCCTTTATTTCCTTTAACACATCAAAAGCCCCCTCGTCCCAATTATACCGAATAAGCTCATCCTAATTTATTGACCGTAAATCTTTACAGAAAATTATTGTTCATACCTTTTTCTCTTCTAGCTCTGCTTTTAAAGATCCCAGTTCTTCCTGACATTTCTGTAGAGGAGAAATTTTTTGAAGCATCTCTTCCACTTGGTGATGCAGATTACTATTCTCTCTAAAGACAATGAATTAACATTATTACAGAAAAGGATCTATAACGAAGTATTAAATATATGTGCTTATAATTTCAGATTTTATTGCTAACTTGGAACAAAAAAAAGGATGAAAAAGTCTTTTTAAATGCACTTCTCTCTACACCAACATGATCTTCACATTGCCTTTATTTCTTAGGCATAGTATTTTTTTTTTCTTTTCTTTCTTTTTGTTAGTCAGGGTCTCACTCTGTCTCCTGGGCTGGAATATAATGGCTGGAGTATAGTGGCACCACCACGGCTCACTGCAGCCTCAATCTCCCAGGCTCAAGTGATCTTCCTGCCTCAGCCTCTCAAGCAGCTGGGACTACAGGTATGTGCCACCACACCTGGCTAATTTAAAAAAAGTTTTTACCATTAAGTAGTACTATTTACTATTTGAGTGCCACCACAGCTGGCTAATTAAAAAAAATTTTAATAGTATAAAAATTTTACTATTAAATAGTACTATTTGCTATTAAATAGTACTATTACTATTATAATTTGGCCTCCCAAAGTGGTGGGATTATGGGCATGAGCCATTGCGGCCAGCCTAGTAATCTATTTCTGATAAAAGTCTACCAAAAAGCTCTGTGAGAAACAAGTAGATTCTTAATTTGCTGAAGAATACTTTACAGTAAAATCACTCAAACAGCCTGGCTGAGAATCCGGCTGTTCCAATCTTGAGTCCTGAGCTCATACCCATTTATTCAATTTAAGTGACAGGCAATTTTATGGCTTAGTTTATAACCACGTTTCGCCTTCATCTGGGTGATGAATCCAATCAGAGAATGAAACATTGCCAAAATTTTATGTAGGCCTATTTTCAACTGTTTAAAGTAACAGAAGATAAACCACCACATTAAAGTGTGAACCATGTAAACAACAGTTAATTTGACAACAATAAGCTTCACTTCAATGGCAATGCAGTCAGTACAAGTTACTCAAAAGTGAAACACCCAGTTGTAATTCAAGACCTTAGTAACAAATTCATTTGAAAAATTTAATAGTAGGAGAACTTGAGTCCTATTTTATTATGAGCATCAAAGCAGCATTCTATATTATGAGTAATCCTATGTACATTTTGCTCAAAGCTGCTTAAAAATCTGCTCCAATAAATGTCTATCTCAGATCAACTACTCATATAGGTGGTATCATAAACTATGAAACAGGTTGGCTCACCTTCTTGCAAACTGCAGCTGTAAAACTTATTAAAGAAAACTCTGAGAATTTTATCTTCTGATACTTCTCTGGAGATAAAACTCACTTTACAATTATCTTTAATAATTTGTGTTCAACATATATACAGGCAAGATCATAAATACTAGAAAACTATATTCAAAATGCAATCTAAAACACAGTGGTAAGTCTTTTTACTGAGTTATTTCCATTTACCATAATAACATGTACCAAGTCAAAATATCTGTTTCTCTAAATAGAGTTCTGTGAATAAATGTATGATCAGAATTAAAAGAAAGACAAAGCAATATGCAACTAATAGAAAATACCTTGATTTCTCTACATAGCGGAATCCCCAAACAACCTGTCCTTCATTTTTCAAATAGTGCAGAGAATAATTCCAGCAAACAAAAGTTATGTACTTACAAAAACCATATATAAGCATGTTTTGTAGAAAACAGATCATAAAATCTACAAAACTCTCATTTTTTACAATTTATGTAATTTGATAACCTTATTTTACCATCTCATACTGCTAGTAAAATATTCTAAGATAGCAAAAAACAATTCCTTTATGTTTCATCTCCTAGGAATTCCTGTATTTTTATCACAATATAGGACATGTACGTTCATAAAAACGTGTGCATCCTCCATTAGAATGTAAGTTTCTGAAGGTTTCTGAAGAACAAGAACTATATTTTATTCATCCTAAATTAATCTTTGCAAAATAGGAAAGTTCAAAAAATACCTGATGAAATAAAATACATTTCTTGCCATTTAGAAAGAGGTGATAATAAAGTGGTCAGAATTACACAAAAAAGAGCTGAAATACTGAATTATCATAGTGCAGTTATGGAAGAAATAACTTTCCCATCTTGAAAAAAATGGGAAAATGCACTGCTACTTTAGTAGCAAAAGGAATCAAATTATATTTTTAAAAGCCATGTTAAATCTGTGACATCGGCACTTCAAGTTGCAGAGCAAACAACTGCATATTTGAGGTACAACAAATGCATACTTGGAGCAAATGTGAAACATATTTTTTTAAAGGTATGTATCTATCTGTAGCTGACAATGAAGCCAAATATCATATTACAGAATGAACTTCTGAAATCCAGGAATAATCAAAAGTGTTATCCGTTAATAAAGGATTCTGATAATTTTTGTTTTAAAATTTTTCTGGCCAACCTTTAGAAAAGTAAAACAATTATTTCTCTGCTAGGTTACATGTATAAGTTAACTCAAAGAGTGTGCATATTTTTTCCAAGAATGATACAATGAACACATACTCTCCTAATACTGGAACTGCCCATCTATTTCCCTATTTAGCCTTCTAAAAGTTGTGATAATTGTTTCCATACACCTTTCACTAACAATTGAAGATATCATTTCTGCCATAATATGCACGTATAGTTAAATGGACTGATGGTTTTAACAGATGAGGCACATAAGAAGATTTCCAATGACCTTTATTTTTGAATGTAAAAATTCAGATAGTAAAAATAAATCTAAAGGATATCTCTTAATTTTACGATTTTCACAGAAATTAGAAATGATGATATGGTCTGGCTGTGTCCCCACCCAAAATCTCATCTTGAATTGTAAACCAAGTTGTGATTCCCAGGTGCTGGGGTGGAACCTTGTGGGAGGTGATCAGATCACGGGGGCAGTCCCCCAGTGCTGTTCTCCTGATAATGAGTGAGTTCCCACGAGATCTGATGGTTTTATAAGGGGCTTTTCCCCGCTTCGCTCTGCACTTCTCTCTCCTGCCACCATGTGAAGGATGTGTTTGCTTCCCCTTCTGCCATGATTATAAGTTTCCTGGGGCCTCCCAGCCATGCAGAACTCTGAGTCAATTAAACCTCTTTCCTTTATACATTACCCAGTCTCGGGTAGTCCTTTATAGCAGCGTGAGAATCAACTAGTACAGATGGTACCAACACAAATAAATAACTGATGATGACATGTAAGTTCAGGTATGACATAAATCATATTGAAGCAGGCCTCAAGTTATTGCCAAAGCTGAACAGCTGAATCTGTCCTGACATCGAACATGAAGCTAAATTTCAGGGACTCCCTAAAGGAGTATACGTATGTTTACTTTTATGAGAGAAACTTTAAGTTTTTACAGGAGAGATTTAAATCAAGGTATTACCACAGCAAGACATGGAAGGATCAATTATACACATCTTTTTCCCACTGCTAAAAAAATAGCTGACCAGACACTAACTCCACAACCGAGCTCATTAAATGGCTACCGAACAAGTGGTGACTGTAAGGCCAAGAATTGTCTTCTGACTGCCCACAGCGTTCATGAATATACAGCAACGCTATTTCTATGATTTTGGAGATATATATATACACACACATTTCCCTGTAAATCACAAAAATAATTAATGAAAGTCAATTGCCCAACATTTTGAATTTCCCATACTGTACTTCTTGCAGATTCAAAAATAACATTCAGCAAGTATCACATTCAGTTTCACATTATTCGTAAACCTAAAAAACATGCCACATCCTCAGTACAAATTAAGAGAAACCCACCCACTAAAAAGCTTATGAGACGTTAAGAAAATCACAATCAACAAGAAAAGTAATCTCATTTTTAAAACTCATCATTAAACATGGATTAAGAATAAAAGGACTGTCTGTTTACTGTGCTTGTGAGACATGCTCCCTACTGAAGCCTGTTAAGTACTATCTTCCAGAAGGCCTATGAGGAACAATTCTCACATCTCTTTCAGGAATTAAACATAAGTTAGTTCCAAAACTCAACAGAAAAAGCCAGTAAAAGGATATCATCACATTTCTTCTGATATTCTGTTAACAAATTACTGCAAAAAAGAAAAGAAAAATTAGGTTACTTTTTAATTTAGAAAATATACTATGTTAAAATTATGTTTCAATCCATGCAAGGCACCCTCTAGACTTCCTAGATTTCCTGAAACAAATGCATGCTAAATTAATGACTATATCACCTTAAATTTCTCAAAAGCATCACGTTGATATACAAGCCTTTTATTTAGAAACCTTTAGATCTGAGTAGTATCTTGGCTCATACATTCATGAGACTATTACAAAGCTGAAAACAAAAAAAATAGGAAATCTCACACCATGGCTATAAAATACTGTTAGGAGGTTTGAGGTCCAGCAGTAAAGCTAAGAAGGCTTTGAAGACAGAAAACAGATTTTTTAAGAAGTCCAGTTTGGTAAAAACAACTTCCTACTAACCCACGAGCTTTGTTTTAAAGGCCTGTGAACCTGTAACAAAAGGTTCAAGTCCCAAAGCTCACGGGGAATTATAATCAGTACCATGCAGGCCTCCAAAGGAGAAACTCTAGTGTTCATTCCAGCCCTGGGGGCCTAAAAGCACCGCCTGCTTCAGCCAGTTTGTCAGGTTTACAAAGTTCTGCCAAACGACATGCAAATATACTTACTCTGTATTGATAATTTTTTGTTTCAAGGTAATTAATGCTTCAACATATTCATTCAAATTCTGAAAGAAAAAAAGCCACAGTCAGCTTTTTTATCAATTACTTTAAATATAATTATTGTCTGTAACATTATTTATCATATCTAAGAATTTTAATAATTATATAAACATAGAAATGTTAATGCATTACTTATATTGTGTAGAGCACAATCTGAGCCTATGGTGCCTCTCTCCAAACCTGTTTATCTGAATGATAGTACTCCTTTAACAGCAAGGTAGTTAGTTGTAAATATGCTTTTACTGTGTGCAATTAGCCACAGAGCTCAATAAATATTAACTATTTTTAGTTTGCTATTAATCATCAATCTTTACCCTGCATTGTTTCTGAGAGGATTTAAGGCTACCCCAAAAGACACATAAATCATAAAAAATAACAACAAAAAAGAAACCATGGGGGAGATGAATAGAAATATTAAAATGGACTAAGATTAAGTGAAAAAATATATAAGGATCTAGGCCGGGTGCGGTGACTCATGCCTATAATCCCAGCACTTTGGGAGGCTGAGGCGGATTACCTGAGGTCAGGAGTTCAAGACCAGCCTGACCAACATGGTGAAACCCTGTCTCTACTAAAAATACAAAATTTAGCCAGGTGTGTTGGTGGGCACCTGTAATCCTAGCTACTCAGGAGGCTGAGGCAGGAGAATCACTTGAACCTGAGAGGCGGAGGTTGCAGTGAGCCGAGATCGTGCCATTGCACTCCAGTGACAGTGAGATTCCATCTCGAAAAAAAAAACAAAAACAAAACAAAAAAAAAAAAAAACACAAATTTGGCTCTAAATTACCGCTATCAACCCAAAAGGAAAAACATCCTTAGTTACACTGTTGAAATGTTCCTAAGATTTTAAAATGAGCTAATTTTTTCTTTTCATTAACTTCTTTCCTTTAATGTCTCCTTTTTCCATCACTAAATACTTCAGAAATAAGGACTTACTTTTAAACATAACCACAATAGCCCTTCACAAGTAATAATTACACCAAGTAATAATTTGAAATTATCCAAACTATGTTCAATTTTCACTGATTATCCCAATAGTTTTCCAGATAATCCAAATGATTTTGATAGTTACAGTAATATTTCCCTTTATGATAATGTCTGCCTTTTCTTCTCAGTTATGTTACATATCTGTTAAAACATCTACACATTAAAATAAAGTCAAATGCATAGTTTCTCTTGTAATCTCACCATCTGTCAAAAATCACTCAGCGTGTTTTTAACTTTCAACTTTCAGAACTGCCACCACATATATAAAATATATTTTTGGATGTACTCCATCTATCAAATTGTTGTTGAGGGAGGTTTAGGTCCTTTTCCAGTCTTTACAGACAGCATGCCATGAATTTCCTTGCCCATTCCTTTGTCAAACAGTTCTATTTTTCCTGAGAATAAAGCCCAAATACTGGTACTGCTGGACCAGACTTATGCATTTCAGAGGTTTACACTGAAAAAGGTAAAGGATATAAACTGTCAATTCACAGATTAAGAATTTGGAATAGTCAATAGACATTTTTTAAAAAACGTATTCCACCTTTTTCATATCAGGAAATGCAAAACTAAAATAACAAAAATTTACTTTTCATCCACTAGGCTAGACTAAAATAAACATATTGGTAAGGATGTAAGGAAAATACAATTCATACTATGGGTGGTAGTATTTGAAGAGCATTTTGGCAGCATATAATGAAATCAAAACACACACAGTGATAATTTTTTCTATTTTTCCTCTACGCATTCCTGAAGGATGTTTTCTACATCCTGGTTAGCTTTTACACCCTAGCTTAATTTGTTTTTACCACTAGCATGAGTACTATCTTTATGTTGCTGTTTTTGCTATATTACATTTCCTAATTGGTTCTTAAGGGTATGCAAAAATATTACTAATTTTTGTTTGTTGATTACAGTAAGACCAGCTCATTTTACAACAATGTCACTTATAAACATACACACAAAAGATCTAAATAAAATATATGCAAAGTAAATCCAGCAGTGAATAATTTATCTGCAGATTCTCTTGGGTGTGTTATGTGAATAGTTGTAACATTCACTGATAATTTTATCCTACCTTTACTCATGCCTACATTTCATTTGCCCTCCTTCCTGAACTGACTAAGGCTTCAGCACAATATTGAATAGTAAGGGTAATAACAGGTGTCTTTGTCTTAAAAGTTGGAATTAGTTAATTAAATTTGCTCTGTTCCAGGTTATTGGTTGATATCCTTTAATCATGTTATGAAACTTCTACACACAGTCTGCTAAAAGATTTTCATGTATAGGTATCAATCTTCATCAAATAAATTTCTGTATTTAGTTTGAATATGTATTTTTCTCCCTTTATTTATTAATTTCAGTGAACTACAATAGATTTTCTAATGATAAAGCAGCCTTACATTCCTGGGGATAAAAGTAATTGAACACTATGTTAACATTATTTAAACACACTGAGGATTCAATTCCCCAATATCCTACTTAGGTTTTTTTTTTTCATCTATGTTCATAAGTGATATGCCTATACCATTTTTGCACTAAAATTACTAGGATGCCTTTCCCTTGCTAAAAACTGTAAGGAGGGAGTAAACTAGGAACACCTCTCATGCATGAATAAGACTTTGCTAGGTACAGAATTGTTGGGTCACCATCTGTTAAGCGTTAAATCATGACCTGTCCCACAAAAGACATGCTTAAGTCCTAACTCCCAGTATTTTAGAATGACCTTATTTAGAAATAGGGTCTTTACAGATATGATCAGGTTAAGATGAGGTCATACTGGACTAGAGTGGGCCCTAATCCAGATTTCTGGGCAGAGAGGGTGGATGCATGCATTTGCTTTTATTTCCCTCCCTAAAACCAGCTAAAAATACAGTCAAAAACTTTTTTTTCAAAAGGCAAAACCAACAAGGATGACAAGAGGATAAAAGACAAACGGAAACTGGAAAGCAGACTCAAGAGTACTGATTTAGCACCCAAGAAAGCCAGCAGTGGGGAAAAGTGAGAACCAGCTCCATTTATACTGCAAAACTTCAACAAGCTTGAGAATCAGTAACATGGATTCTTTTGAGAAGGTGAAGGGGAATGGAACTAAAACAAGCACTAGTTGCAAACTTTCTCATAAGCATTTAATCCCAATCCCCAACCATCCACCATGCCTCAGAGAAATCACTCCTCCCCCATCCAGCAGAAAGAGGTTTGCTTTTTGAAGGTCTCTGTAACACCAGGGACCCTTGGGGCAGGTGTACTATGTCAAAAGCATAAAGATTAAATAAACCTAAGCACAGTGGTCTAAGACTGGCTGCCTGTCTCTCTTCATTAGGCTTCCAAACAGTGTAGTCCTTCTGTCTTCCAGGAAGAAGAAGGGAAATACCTTCTTACAGATAATATCTAAAGGTAATGACACTAGACATTCTTCAATCAATAAATGGCCCAACCAGACTGTCCTGCCTTGACACTCAGGGTCCAGAAGCCCCACATCCTCAGTGTATCTGCTACTCGCTCTTTGCAAGGACTTCCAAACATGAGACAGACCTGCAGTGTGAAAGAGGCTAAAACAAGCAAAAGCAACCTGAAGTAAACAAAAACTGAAAAGAAAACTTAAAAAATGTTTATTAATAGGATGAGATAAATAATATTATATTTGCGAAACAAGTTATTTTTGAAAGGAATATTCAGAGCTCTTAAAATTGAAAAAACTTAAAAATTAAAAATGAACACTCTAGAATAACTAAAATTAAAAGACAGACAATAGCAAGTGTTGATGATGATGTGGAGAAACTGAATACATTCCTCATACATTGCTGGTGGGAATATAAAATGGGGCAGCTGCTGAGCAAACTAGTTTTGCAGTTCCTCAAAATGTTAAATAGTTACCCAACGATCCAACAGTCCCATTCCTAGGTATGAACTGAAAATAGAGTCCACGGCAAACTTACACACTGATATTTATAGCAGCACTATTTCAAACTAGCCAAAAAGTGAACATAAATTAAATGTCCATCAAAGGATGAACTGATTCACAAAATGTCACATATCCATACAACAGGAATTATTTGACAATGAAAATGAACGAATGATACATGCTACAACATGGACCAACCTTGAAACATTATGCTAAGTGAAAAAAGCCAGTTACAAAAGTCCACGTGTATTCTAGAGTCCATTCATATGAATTTTCCTTAACAGAGCCAAAAGTAATCCAGTGGCTGCCAGAGACTGGAGGAAGAGTACAGAGACAGGAAATGACTAGTAACTAGTATAGGGTTTCTTTGGGGAAGGTGGAGGATGAAAATGTTTTAGGACTATGTAGTGGTGATGTCTGCACAACTCTGTGAATTGAACTGAATTGTATACAATAAAAGGCAGAATTTTATATGTAAATTATATTTCAATAATGCTGTTATAGCTAACAAAGACTCAAAATATTTGACCATAAAGTTAAAAAAAAAGGATGCAGAAAATAAAAACCCAGACACGAGAAAGAAGGAAAATAAATAAAAACAAATAGGGTATCAACACAAGAGGCCCCACATACCCAACAATAAGAGTTCCACATAAAGAATAAGGCGAAGATGGAGACCTAATTAAAAAAAAAATACTGGTATTCAAGAAAAGTTCCCAGAAGCAAATCTAGAAATTTCTAATTGAAAGGGCCTGGAATATGGACTTCAATAGGATTCAAACCATGAAACAAGAACACAAAATTTCAGACCACTGGAGACAAAGCAAAGACCCTACCAGAATCCCAAGAGCAAAATAAAAGGCATCAAGTGATACACAAAGAATCGGGGATAGAATGGCTTCAGACTTCAACACCAACACGAAAAACTAGACCTAGAAAGCAAGCCTTCGAAATGGCAAAGGGCAAGTAATTCCAAGATAAAATTCTACACAATAAATATTTTCAAATCTGCAAAGTCTCTACAAACTTACTTCCCAGACATTCTTTCTCAGGGGGTACTGAAAGATGTGAACATGGTCCTTCGGAATGGAGATGGGGGTGAAGAGAGCCCTCAGAATGCTGCTGCGTACCAGATGACAGTAGGCCCCAAAGCTCGAAGGGAGAAGAAAATGAAAGACTGAAAACATTCGAGTATTTATACCAAACTGGCAGAGACTTGCAAGGGAATGCAGTTATTTTTGGACATGCATTTAAACTATTATTTTTTCTAAAATAAAAGTGATTCTTCCTCTTTTTTCTCCCATTCTCTTTTGAGTTCTTTGGTACCCTAGCTCATCTTTCCCATGCTTCTAGATGTCATTTTGAGTTGCCAAGTACTTAGGCAGAGACCCCGAAGAAACCTCAGGCTCCAGAGTCACAGAGTCAGATTCACATTCCTATTCCACCCCCACTTTCTGCTAAGTGACCTTGGGCAAATTTATTTAACCTCTCCCCTGCCTCGAAACTATTTCATCAGTTTTACAGATGGAGAAACTGAAGCAAAAAGAGTTTAAATAACTGGCATACTATCAGGATTAAATAAGATGCACCATATAAAGTGTTCAATCCAGTCCCTGGCATAGCAGTAAGCACTCACTAATATCTTCAGGATGAAAAATTGAATTAAAGATACAATCATTATCAGGGAAAACAAGAAACCATGCAGAAAACACCACAGCTTAGCTTCAAATAACAGTCCTAATAATGTCAACTTCAAATACTGATCTAACTGAAATCATAACTATACTGAACAAATGGAGAAAGAAGAGATATGCTTAGGCATGGTGGAGTATGGGGCAGTAAGAGAGCTGAATCCTCACCTCCCAAAGTCAGCAATGAGTCTACTATTTAACAACAGGAAAATTCATTGTAAAATACACAGTGGAAGCAATTAAAAATGGTTCTGTCTTGGAAAGCAGGGATGAGTGGGGCTGGGGGCTGCTGACTTGTTGTCTTAACAACTCTTGTATATCTGTCTAGCTGCCTTTTTATATTTAACTGTGATTAAACAAAAAACAAGATCACAAAACAGTATAATGAGAAAACAAAAGATTTCTCAGTTATCCGATAGCATTCTAGTCTCTGACTAACATTATTTCCCAAGGCCCTGCTGCATATCAGCTCAAATCTGGTCAGATACTGTATTATCTGTGGTCAGATATTGTAATACTCTGATAAAACATTTTTTTTTCCTCCAATCAGATTCAGATGTCATTTATGTTGGCTGAAACCAAGGCCTCTAAATAATGAACCTCGCAATTGTGAAAGTGAGCAGGGTGTGCCTGGGTGAAGGGCGATCAGGCTCCTCTGACCCACATTCATTCCTGCACAGGTCCAGCTGCTATGGAAGAAGTGAGGTTCAAGGTGTTCTTCCTCTCCAGGAGATACTAAGGGTTGTTTCCTCGATTATCGCTTTCTCTTAGCAGCCCTGCTCTCCTCTTCTAGAGCTTCTATTATATAGTCTATTGGAAAGTTCAGGCTTATTTTCAATTCTCTCCTCTTTTCTCTCATAACTACCATCTTTTCTTTGCCTTCTGGGTGATTTCTTAAGCTATACTAATTCACTAACACAATTCCCAGAGCAGCCCACTCTCTTACTCAAGACTTTTTGTTTCCCATTTACTTCTCCCCTCTACCAGACAATTTTAACTTTATCCATACAATACCCTCCTGAATTGTCACTGTGAATGCTGATGCCCATGCTTCCTTCCTTTCTTGGGGAAGTAGAATCACACCTGGCTGAGCACACAGGGCAAGGAGCAAGCTAGCAGGCATACCAGCTGAGAGGACATGACAGAAGACATGGCCAGTGTAGCCAGGAAAATGGTTATGCTAAGGTAGTAAGTATATAGATAATATAGCAAACAAATAAATACAGATGATAATGGGATATGTAGTCTGCTCAAACAAATCAGTAAATATGTAAGAGAAGACAGTTTCTTAACTTCAGCACTACTGACATCTTGGGCTAGAAGGAAGACGGGATGTTCGGCAGAATCCCTGGCCTCTACCAGCTGGCTGTAGCACTCCCCAAGCTCCAAGGTGTGTGTGCAGCAAACAATTAACCCAGCAGGCCTGAGAACACGATCCTTAGCAAGACCTGCTTGCAAGGTGGGCCATTGGCTGTCACCTGAGGACTCGGATTTCTGGAGAGTTCCTTCCCATCATTCCCCAAACTGATGAAAATGGCTCATCATGTATGGTTTATGCTCAACACCTGCTTTCCTTGTGGGGGTCTGGAATCTTGGTGCTTGCTAGGCAGAGGGTGCCTACAAGACCAGCCCCCAGTAAAAAAAACTCAGGCACTAGGTCCCTAATGAGATTCCCCGGCAGATAACACTTCACAAGTACTGTTACAACACGATACTGGAGCAATTAGGCATGTGCTGTGTGACTCTACTGGGAAACACTCTCAGAAGCTTGTGCCTGATTTCCCCAGACTTTGCCCCATATGCCTTTTCCCTTTACTGACTTCACTCTGTATGCTTTCCCTGTAAGAAACCACAGCCATGAGTATAACTATATGCTAAGTCCTATGAGTACTGAACATGAGCATGGTCTTAGGGACTCCAACACTGACAATCAAAAATGTCTTCAGAAGTAGTAAAACGTTCGCTGAGGAATGCAAGGCTCTGCTGTTTAAACTTTCACAAACATGAAAGACAAAGACTAAATGAAGGAGGCTGAAGAGACATTACAATAAAATATAACACATATTCCTGACATGACTTTGAGTAAGAAAGCAAAAAGCCACTCCCAGGCCAGCAAGCAAAATCTGAATAGGTCTACAGCTGCACCAATGTTACTATCCTGATTTGGAGGGGTGTAGGGTAATTATGTTGGAAAACGTTCATATCTGGAGGAAGTATACCCTGGAACATGTACAGGAGACAAAGTGTATGTGTGCAGACAATGATGAAGCAAATGCAATAACATGTTAACAATTTGTGAATTTGAGAACATCAGGGTTATTTGTATTATTGTGGCAACTTTATTGTAAGTCTGAAATTATTTCAAAATAAATTATTTTTAAAAATCACACTACTCACATTTATTGCTTTGCTGGGAGAGATCTGGCTAATTGTTCAGCATGACTCCTCTCTGATAAACCACTTATTCCTGGTGTGCTTGCTGTTTACTAACTGCTCTTATTTAAAATCAAAGCCTACACTGATATCTAGCAGAGATGAGTGTGTCTTCTCACCTGTTAAAACCTCTGGCACAGCGTGGACTGGAACAGGGCAACAAGGCAGGAATGTCCACCTCTCTCTAACTGTGCCCCAACCACACCCACCCACCAAAACCAAGCAGAGTGGCTTCTGGGTGCTGGGAAGGCAAACCCCAGTCTCTCCAGCCCCACCTCAGTTATCCCCACCTTTACTCTGTGCTTCATCTATCGTCAACTACTTTCTCCCCTCCAGGCCTTGGCACAACTTGTTCTGTCTACAACACTCTCCCTCCATCTTTTCCCTCTTAGTTAACTGCAAATCATCTTTCAGACCTCAATTTAGATTCACTTTTATGAAGCCTTCAGAGAGGTGGCACAATTCCTATATAACTGTCCCTCCTACATGCTCCCAGAGTACCTCATATGTCCCTTACCATAATATTTATATTATACCTATACTGTGGTTGCTTTTCTACTTAACTGTAACCTCAACAAGAATGAGCTCCATGCCTCTTCTGTTCATCATTGTATTCTGAAACACAGGATAGCATCATATATACATCGAAGCTCAATAAATGTGTTTGGCAAATGAATGAATTACAATTTTGTAAGCATTCCTTGTAAAAGAACCATTTCTAAATCAATAGGTCTGGAATAAAATGTTTCAAGTTCCAAACGATGACACTTAAATCACTAGCGATTATCAATGGGAGTCCAGCACAAGTTTATGGACAGGCTCAAATCTGTTCCAAGGACAACCATACATCAAACTCACTGAATCTAATCTAGATACATGAGATGAACAATATAATCATGTGTTTCAAACTCTCATCTGGATCCCCAGGAGAATCCAACTGTTTTGCACTGCAGTGAAGTCAGCAAATATGGGCCTCTCCTTCATCAGAATAAAGAGACTATGTCAGCTTCACTAGCTTGACTTAAACACACACAACTTAAGACTTTACTTAACCATACATAATACATAATATGACTAGAGTGAGGACCCACACTGTTATATCTGACTGCCAAAGTTCTGCAACCCAGAACTTTGGGCATTGGGCTATGGATCAGCAATGAACTACTGTAATCAATGAGCGTAACAAAACAGATATGAAGTGATTTGTGAGACTACGAGCAAAAGACACAGAAAATGTAGTCAATCTGCACACTTCTGAATCAAATAATGATCTCTGCAAAGGTACTGTTATCTCTTCAACAACTAAAGAAAAAAAGGACAGGGAGGATTAAGAAATGAAAGGAAGATTTTCAGTGCAAGCAAACCACTATTCAAGACAGAGAGGCAAGTTAGCCTAACATTACAGTTCAGAATGAAGTCACAACACCAATATGGTTGCCTACCATTGGAAAGACTGACTCCTATGTTACACTTGTAAATTCTCTGCATGATCAAAAAGTTAAAACTATAGCACAGAATATCTTCTCTCTGTACCTCTTTAGTTTCTCTCTCACACGAAAGTTTAATTGAAATATGGAACTTCACGTAGTTATAATACATGCGAAAATTATTTCCAAAAAGCGGTTATCTACTAATTGACCAAAAGAATTGCTTTTCCTTAATTCTCATTCTTTCCGATCTTGGTTCCCTCTGGAACTCTTGATTCCCTCTGGAACGCACTCCCTGTTTAACCCTCTAACATACTTTATCTGTTTCTCCTTTCCTCACCATTCCATGTTCCCCTTCATCAAAGGCCACACATCAGCTAGTTGGTTTTCCGTCACTGACTCTAATGATAGCATGTAATCCCATGAATTGGCCTCATGGTTTCAAAGATTCCTTTAAGTGACAGAACATAATGCCCCATTTTCCTATCCTCACACCTCCCTTCTGTCAAATAAGCTTTTTTTTTTTTTTTTTGAGACGGAGTCTTGCTCTGTCACCCAGGCTGGAGTGCAGTGGTGGCACCATCTCGGCTCACTGCAACCTCGGCCTCCCAGGTTCAAGCAATTCTCCTGCCTCAGCCTCCTGAGTAGCTGGGATTACAGGCGCATGCCACCATGCCCGGCTAATTTTTGTATTTTTCGTAGAGACGGGGTTTCACCATCTTGGCCAAGCTGTTCTTGAACTCCTGACCTCGTGATCCACTGCCTTGGCCTCCCAAAGTGTTGGGATTACAGGCATGAGCCACCGCTCCCAGCCCAGATAAAATTCTTACACTGAACACAGTGCACATCTAACCTGGCCTGCTATTTCCTTGAGGGATATTAGGGCACCTTGGAAGCACTGTGTTCCACAAACATTAAATCTGAAAATGGCTGAACACTCCTAGTTCTGATGTCATTCCAACTTCAGTCCCTTCCACCTTGATTTCCTCTTCCTCCTGTATCTACCACAGTTCTCATGGTCATTTGAGTTTTAAACCTCGGGACCTTCCATTTCCTGACATGAGACCTGCCCATTCTTTACACTGTCTCATATTCAGAACCTTTTTCTTCTTTATTCCCCTTCCCAGGAACCTTCAATTACTTCAGACTTTTGTTATCACTATTATGTATTAGTAAAATAATTTACCATACCTAGTTGCACCCCCCTTCAATCCATCCTGCATACCACCGTTACTTCTACTACAAGCACTGTCCTAACGTAACTATGCAAAAACCTTCACCATCCCATAACACTGACAGAAATAAGTACAAGAATTTATGATGGTTACCATTCAAGGTTCTCTATAAACTGCCAGGAACCTATTTTTCTAGACTCACTTTGCACAACTACAGAATTCCTCCAGAGACTCTACTCGTAACTTTCCCCTAAAAAGGTAATCCAATTCCAGGCCACAGAAAATCCAAATGCAATAGTGTCCTGACCTAGAGAAGAACTCTGTAAACTAAGGCCCTACTCCAGTGTTTATAATGTTTCAATGGAACACAGGCATACTCATTTCTTTGTGAATTGTCTACAGCTGCTTTCACATGAAAATGGCAGAGCTGAGCAGTTCTGAGCAAGTCCCCAAAGCCTAAATACTTGTGATCTTGCTCCTTACAGAAAAAGTTTGCAGACCTCTGGATCTAGGATTACTCTTATTGATGTTTTGAGAACCCACAGCAGGAAATGTGGCAAGGGTAGAAGGAAGGAGATTCAATTTCTAGGCCATACATTAGAGTAGTTCACACCACGGTGGAAGCAGTGGAGATGTTGAAAAGTGGGTGAATAATGAAGGCAGAGCGGACACAATCTGATAAACTGGATACAGGTTATGAGAAAAAAAGAGCTGCACCAAGGATGCCATCTAGTTTCTGGCCTAAGCAACCAGAAGAATACAGTTGCTAAATTTAACCATAACAGATCCATGACTGAAAAGCACAGTTCACATCAGTAGTTCTTCTGCACAAAAGCCTCCAATGACTCACCATTTCCATCGCCCAAACCCCAACAATGGTCTACAGGAGCCCACACAATCAGGCCCTCCTCCTACCTTCCTGACTCCCAGCATTCACTCCGCTCCAGCTTCACTGGCCTTCTTGCTCTTCCCAAGCACACCAAGCCAGCTCCTGCTACAGTTCTTCACATCTGATGTTTCCACTGTATGGGAGACTTTTCTTCCAAGATTTCTACAGAGCTTATTATTCTCTCACCTTTGCTCCAATATAAACGTTCCAGGACTCCCTACTTAAATTCCAACAGCCACTGGCCTAGTCCTCACCCATTCATTCCCTCCCCATCTCTGTTCAATTCATCAACAACGTTTTCATTACCCTCTAACATAACTCATTTGTTTCATTTATCCTGCCACCCTCCTAGAACGGAAGCTCCAAGAGATCAAGAATTTTTGTCTTTTTCTCCCCTAATGCCATAATTGCAGTGTCTAAAATACGGCAGGTGATCAATAAATGTTTGTTGAGTGAATTGGCTCGAATAATAAATACAATGTATTAAAGATTCGGGAGAACTCCAATCACGTTCCTGGGGTGGTGGTGGCGGGGGCGGGGGGGCGTTATAAGATACCTACACAATGCAGCTCAGTGAAGGCAATGATCTGTTAGTTCTCCTTCTACTCACAAAAGCAGCACATTTCCTTCCTCCCCTTCCTTCAACACTTAAAATGTTTGCAATCAGTTCACAGATATTGCACTTAAAATGCAAACCAAGTTTCTCGGCATGGCCTACCTAGCCTGCACTCCCGTCTGGTCTCATCAACCATCTTCCGTGTGCACTATGCTCATGCCAACCATACCATGTTCTGCTCATCAAAGACACCCTGCTCCTTCTCACCAAAGGAACCTTTCCACCTGTTAATCCCTCTATCCAGGAAGCTCTTCCCACATCTCTTCTGACAGCCCGATCCTTCCCATTATTCAAATATCTGAAAGTTACTGACTCAAAAATTCCCTACCTGACTACTCTAGCTAAGAGACAAGACCAATATTCCAACATCCTCCTTTATTTTCTAACACCTAAAATCTTCTGAGGCCTTATTCACACATATGCATCTTACTTATGAGAGATCCTATTTTGTTCACCACAATGTCTGTAGTTCCTAGAACACTAGGCAGAGTAGGTAATGAGGTGCTGGTGAGTTCCGTTTTATCACTGAAACCGCGATAGTAGGAAGTTAAAAGAGACCCCCGACATCAGGCAGCTAGGAGAGTCGTGGGAAATGAGGGGCACTATTGCCCAAGTACCACCCCATAAGATCTGGAGCCATACTCTAGCAATTCTCCCTTATGTCACTCTAAAGAAGAGCCCACGCCGCTGTTAGAAACCTCCAGTCTCTGCATGCCTTTCATAAACTACTTTTATCAAACAACTGACAAGCTACTTGACCAATTACTTGGCTTGCTTTTTAAAAAATTAGCCTCGGGATGGCACATCTGCTATAAGCTGAAACGCCTCCCTAGACTCTTCGAGTCTAAGACTCAGACAACCCACATGTCACGTAAGATTCTGCCTCCAAACAACAAATACTCAGGATGGGCCAGAAGACCAAAGCGTTATCCTCAGGGAGATAACTGCCCTCGGCGTTTCACCTGTCCCTCACTGACCTACGGAGTCTGCCCTAGGGAGCTCCGAGGCCGGGTAGGGAAGGTGGGGGGCCCTCCAAACCTCGCTTACTCCACCCCCACCGTTACACCAGCGCATTCCAGTCAATGAACTCTGGGTTTCAAGCTTAAATAAAGCAAAGAAAGCCGTCCCCAAAACTCATGTAGGAAAAAGAGAGCAGAGAGACGAGCGAGCAAGAGCTACGGTTGGGAAGGGAGAGCAGCGCACTGAGGCACAGCCCGCGCGGCCGGACCCCACATCCCTGCGCTCCCGGCCGGCCGAGCCGAGTCCCCCCCCGCGCCCGGGGCCCCGGGAGGTGCTGCACCTGCTGCAGAGAGGCGCAGCCCTGACATCGCGACAGGTCCGCCGCCGTCCCGGGCGCCGCCGAATGGGTCTCGCCCGGCATCATGGTGCCGCCGCCGGGCCCGGTGGGCACGCACGCCTCAGGGGCCCGCGGCGTCGGCCCCGTCCTGTCTCTGCTGATGCCGCCGGGGCCGCCGCCTGCCAGGCCGCTTCCCGCCAGGTCCGGGCGGGTCCATCCGTGCACAGAGGTCCCCGTGGGGCTAGCAAAAGGCTCTCCGAGCCAGAGCTGCCTCAGGCACTAAAAAGAAACGCTACCCGGCGCGGCCCCCGAGCGCGACGCAGTCCAGTCAGGGCCCCGCCCCGCCCTGGCTCGCCCCGCCCCGCCCTGGCTCGCCCCGCCCCTCCCCTGGGCGCGGGGCTGCCTAAGGCGCTGCCTGAGCAACACCGGGAGAGGAGCTGTGCTATGCGGCGGGGGAGACGCCCACAGAGGAGCAGCCAATAGGAGTAGAAGGATCGAAGGTGCATTCCTACCACTGTTAAGGGTCGATCCTTTATTGCCACCTTGCTGTACGACAGGCTTTCCATAGACACCTAAAGGCCTCCGCTATGTGGGCGGTGACCCGCCCGTGACGTAAGCTCCAGACGCCTGAGAAGTGGAAGGACCCGGCGTCCAGGACAGGAAAGTGCGTGATTTACAGCTAGAGGGATAGGCGCTGTCCCGGAGCCCGTCCTGGGCCAGGGAGCAGGAGAGGGAGGGACTACAGTTCCCGACGCGCTGCGGGGCGGGCGGAGATCGTGCGCTTCGGCGCCAGTTGCACGGCCTTAGCAGCCAGTGGCGGCTCCCCTGCTCCTGTAACAGTCCCCTTGTCTTCTGACCTTTCGCTCCTCGGTCATGTGTCCTCGCCGGTCGCCGCGGCAGCCAGTGATGCCCGAGCGGCGGGTTCCCAGGCCCAGGTGTGGGCGCCACCGCCCACCATGCGCCAAGCCCAGAGCCTGGTTGAATCGTTCGCCACCTTGTCTACCCATTTTGGCCATTATCCTGCCACCTCCAAATCCTGTTTTTGACACTTCTCGGGAGAGAGAGAAAACGGAAAGATAAAGGAATAAACTCCTCGTGGTCGTAGTTAGTGGGTAAATTCAGATCTCGTTTGAACCGAGGTTTTTCTTATCTCCAGCCACCGTATCCACCACCACCAGAATCGTCTTTTTAGTCATCACAGCTGGTCGCCGTCAGTACCTTGTTCAGAAGCCTCTCGCAGCTTCCATCGTGTGGTTATACAATCCAAATTCCTTATAAAGTCCAAATTCAAGAGGAGGAATGCACGTTTAGTTAAGTTAATGTCTAGACCTTACCAGCCAATTTCTAGCTCCTCAGTATGGAAATTGCAACTGAAAACACCCCTTCCAAAAAAAGCAGTCTGCATTTTTCTCTGAGTTTTCTTCTCCAAATTTCGCACCCCTGACCTTGCTTACACACTCTGGATACCACCTGCTGTGGAGTGGCGGAAGCAGACATCCAGCGATAGCTAAGTTTCCTGTCGTTGACACCCAAGCAAGACAGGCGTGTACCTAACTGAGGACCTGCCGGTGATAGAAGTCTCAGCTTTTCTCAGAGACAGGTGGGCAGAAAACAAGGGTAAAGTTAAAAAAGAAAAGGGAAGTGAGCAGATCCATAGCGGGACGCAGCTATACAGTGGAAGACAGACCATGTGACCCATTAGGGAAAGGGGCAGCAGGTATTAGAGAAAGACCTGTAGGGATCATGATCGTCCCGGTGCTAGCGTCTGATCCCAGACAAATTTATCTTCACCATTACTTCCCTTTTATGTACAGTTACTTAAATGTGTGTTTTTCCAAAGTACCTTACTGGAGAAGACACCAGCTCTCTCTCCCTCTACACCATCCACCCGCAGCCATGACGCACTTTTATGATTAGGGGCACTTGGAGTTCTCACTGCTGCCTCCCTGTCTGTGCACCCTTGCTAGTGTTTTCCCCTTACCTGGAACACGCTTCCTTCTAGCTCTAGGTGTAGAAATCCTACCTGCTCTTCCAGGCTCCGGGGTTTACCTCCACAACCCCAAGGATCTGCCACCTAAGGGGCAAAAAATCCCCTTAGCACGGAGTAATTTTTAGTAACATCACATTTTGAGTTGGATGATGGTGGTTTTTATGTCTTACAGATGAGTCTTCCCTTTAAATGCTGCAAAGTGCTGCATAGTAGATGTTAAATGAAAGTCAGAAAGAATCAAATGTGCTGCAAATAATTGAAGGTAAGAAACAACAAATATTTCCCTTCAAAAATGTTAATAAAAGTGTATTTTCTCCTACCTTTCTCAAAGCCAGTTCTCAAGACATCTAATGAAAACGAGTCTTGTTTACGTAATGCAGGGATAGGCAGACTCTGAAGAGCCACATGGTAAATATTTAAGCTTTGTAGGTCACACAGGTCTGTGCCACCTATTTGTCACCTTCTGTTTATTTAAGAAACTTCAAAATGTGAAAGTCATTCTTAACATGCAGGGTGTAAAAAAACAGGTGTGATTATTGGTCATAATGAAAATGTAGTAGGCCACTAATTGAGGAATGGTCAGAATTACATTTTTTCTCTTTCCTGCATGATGGGCCACACCTGTTTTTTCATCACGATGGAAACAAACAAGCAAGTGTGTATACTGCAAGTGGTGAACTATGGCTTTGGAACCACACATCTGTCTTTAAATTCTTACGCAAATGACCTATTTGTGCTGGTGTTTCCTTACAGAGGACCAACGGTAATTTAAGTAAAAAGTGACAAGGATGGGACCCACTCTATAGGATTCACTAGACAAATAGTTATTAATAATTTATTGATGGTGGTATCCATTTTGGAAAGGAGATAAATATATCTTCAACTGACTCATAGGAAAAAGATGGTTTGCTTTTTCTTTAAAAGCATTTTTCCTGTCAAACTTCCAAGATAAACTTGTTGTTTTTCTGCCAGAGAAGCCCTAAGACCCGGAGGAATGTCTGCATTCCAGTCTCTGGTCTTGGGATTCCCTGTGCCTGTCGAATCCAGCCAGCTGTTCAGAGGATCCAACTCAAAAAGTCTCACTTCTCACCCCACACGCTCATTACCTCTCAGATACTTGGTGTCTGCTTAAAACGAAAGCTCTGGAATTAGCATCATTGAGAGGTAACTGTTGATTTAGTTTATTAACATATACTTCCACTGAAATGGCTAATAGATATGGTCTAGAAACCAAGGAGAACTCAAAATGGAAAGCTGTCTATTCTTTGGAAGTTCAAGGCTGTGCTTTTAATTGATGCATTTAACTGTAAGAAAAATGAACTATATGTTCATTTGTTTCTTTTAATTGGAGAGATGTTTGATGGAATTGTTTGTGACTAACAGTGTGTTATTCAATGATATGACCCCCTGATTATTAGGTATTAATTTCCAGACCTGTGATGTAATGCTACCATATGCCCACAAGATGTCTGTCTTTCCCTGTGTGTTTTCCACATAAATAGAATTTCCGACGGTATTAGGACTTAACCGAACCTTCTTGCTGAGGGGAAAGGCCATCCTCTGGGGCATCCTAGGGTGGAAGGCGTCTTGTGGGAACCACTTTGCTATCCGCCCACACACGTTCCACCAGGCTTAGTCCTAAGCTGTCTTTGCTCCAGTTTTTCTCAACACTCAGGGTTATAGTGGTGGGGTTTCGACTTGTCCTCAGACATCAGCAATTTGCTCACAGCCTCAGCTCTTACCCTCAAAGTGATTTGAAGCCAGAGAGTAAACATGTTGCTTCTTCCTGAAACACTGATGTTACTTAGAAACCGGACAAATAAAATTTAGTTTTGAAACAATTAGTTTGAAATAGAAAGCAAAACTGATATGATTATTAAGCAAAATTTTCTTCAACCTGAGAAAGCTGATTGAGAAAAGTAAAAAAAAAAAAAGCAACATTTGAAAGGACTTTCACAACTCTCACATTGCAGTCGCCCTCTGTAAAGGAGGACAAGCCCACTCTGCCTTGCGGGTTTGTGAACACCTGGCGGCTGTAAGAGTTGGTCACACGAGAAGCTTCTTGTAGCTTCCGGGATCGGAGGAAGAAGGCGGCAGGTGCTCAGAGGTGACAGGTGTTGAGGAGGGGATTCTCTGTAGAGCAGCTGGCAAGGGCATGTCCCACCTAACTCTGAGGAGGGATAGGAAAGGGAGGGACATGTTTCCCCTTCACCTGAGGCCAGTGGGGGGTCTCCTTGGTTTCTAGACCACATCTAGCAGCCATTTCAGTGGATGTATATGTTAATAAATTAAATCAACAGTTGCCTCTCGATGATGCTATATTCCAGAGCTTTGTTTTAATCAGTGCCCCCACGAAGTGAAGCACTCAGAGTCAGATGCTACATGCCCTAGAGTGGTTCCAAGGGAACCGTGGGACAGCTCCAGGAGATGGGTTGGAGGTGACTGAGCCGCATGCTCACCCGCACTGGGATGAGCAGGAGTTCTGCATACTGGATACGGTGGGCATTTCAGTGGGAGCTGCGAGGAAAGCGAGGCTGAGGCAAAGTGAGCAGCCAGAAATAAAACTTTGCTCTTCCATCCCCCATTCAAAGAACTGTAGCTGGATGTCCACAGCTGGAAAGTCCTCACTTTGAACTGTATCCACACAGCACCAGTGGCAGCCACTCACCAAAACTTGTTTCTATTCTGTCTAGTTATTCCCCAGCCTCCCTGCACCTGACATGTGATTAAGTTCTACCAGCCAAACATCAGCAAAAGGGGCCTGGCCCCTAGGGCCTTCCTGTGCTCTTTGTCACTTCCTGCTGACTGGAAGAGGGATGAATCCCAGGACCCTGAGCTGGTGGTTAAGTTACTGTCTCTCGGCCCCACACCTTCCCTTTTATACTCTGCCTTGTGACGTAGGGACTGGGGAGCCACGTGCCACCTCTCCTGCCAGAGTTCTGTTCAGCTGTGCCAACAGATATACACAAGGAAACCAGAAGATAAGAGGTAGGAGAGGGGCCTGTGCCTCCCATTCTGTCCTGTCCGACTCCTGGTCCTGCTAGCGTCTTGCTATCCTTGCTTTCGCACCTGGCAGTGGCAGTTCATGAACAGAGCGGCATACGAATTGGGTCTGCAGTTTCTCTGACACACGCAGAGCCAGCCTCATAGCATCCCCTCGGAGATACCAGCAAAGTTGGTTTCCCAGCTCCACAGAGCCCTGAGTCCAAGAGCAGAGGCCTCAGCACCAGCCCAGAAGGTCCCTTCTTCATATGTCTGAGTGTGATTTCTGGGTGGCAGCTCCTCCACATTTCTGAGTTTTGCTCACTCCTTCCTCCTTCTTTTATTCTCTCCAGCCCAAGGTGTCAGCTGCTTCTTGCGGTGGCTCCTCCTGTGATATTTTAGTGTTTTGCTTTTACCTTTTCTCTCTTAAAATAATCTGGGTGTAATGTGGGTCTCCTGGCTGAGCTCTGCCCCAGTCCTGTGCGGAAGATGCTCTTCCGTCCCAAGGAGCTCGCTGCAGGAGAGAAGCCCACCCCACCAGCCTGTTCTTTGTTCTTGGACTATGACTCAAGCACTTTGGGAAGCCAGGTTACAAAGACTGCATCTTTTTCTCCTGATCCCTTCTCCTACCCCAAGCTTGGAGGGGTCACAAACAAGCTGGTGAATAAGGAAAATGTTGGAACAGAGGAAAAGCCTGTCTTGCCCCATTCCCACCCACCCACACCCATCTTGCTAGCGTCTAAGAACGGCCACCAGCTCCATGGGTAAGAAGCTAAGTTGAAGACAGGAAATAAGTGACAGCACATCACACTGGACTGTGTTGTCTCCGAGTGACTGGAAAGGCTAGGGTGTGTGCCCAAGACTGCATCTGGGGTAAGAAGGAGCCCAGAGGACAAATCCCACAGACAGCAATGATTTAAAAACCAAGACATGGAGGAAGTGACTTTATGATCATCTTCTGCTCAGTACTGCCCTTGCTGAGGCATGTGCAGCCCCTTCTCCTCCTCCTCCTCCTCCCCCTCCTTCCCCCTCCCTCCCCGTCCTCCTTCCCCTCTCCCTCCTCCTCACCCTCCTCCTCCTCTTCCTCTTCATCCTCCTCCTCCTTCTGACTCACCTCCCAATGAATTCCTCAGTTGTTGTGTGTGCCCAGCTCTCATCCTTCACAGTGCACAGCTCCAATCAGCCCCTCTGCAATATTGGGCTTGGCGTGCAAGTGGCACCCCCTTCCATCCTAGGCAGTAAATCCAACCAGTTCTCTAAGGTCCATTCAAGTCCAGTTTCTATGGGAAATGTCCTTGATAGAGTTTTGAATATCAAACTTTTTTGGTTTTTTTTTTTGGTATCATTCTTGGTCCTTCCCTTTTTTTCCTTTGTCTCCTCGCCACATATAAGCAGCATGAGTTCTGTTGGTAAGATAGCTGTCTGCCTGTCCCACCACAGCCATCATGGTCGCTGCCATCCCTGGCAGCCGGTTCTGTCCTGGGTCCTGCGAGGAGCATCTCCCTGCAGCACGATGCCTGCATGTGCCCCTGTTCTCCCACTTGCTAGGACCGAAAACTGAGGAGTTTGTCTGACTCCTCTTTACTCCCACGCCCTGTCACGGGGTCAGCCAGCCATAGTCAGCATGTGTGTGACTCCCAGCACCTCTCACTGTGTGCATCATCCTCTCCAGTCCTTGTGCCCTGACATCCGTGCCAGTGGGCAGAACCCACTCTACTTACTGTCATGTCCCCAACACCCAGACCGTGTCTCCTAAACATCAGTTACCAAGAAATGATTGCTGAATCAGTAAGCTGAGTGAATTAATACATTAATATGTTAAACAGCTGATATCTGGGTAAAAGTATAATCCAGTGAGGTTAAAAAGCAAAAGCTGCAGCAATCATGCTCCTTGGTCTTTACCGAGATGAGTTGAAACTTAACATCACACACAATCCTGCACATGAGTTGAAACTTAACATCACACACAGTCCTGCACATGAATATTTAAGCAGCTTTATTCAGAATTGTCAAAACATGGAAGAAAGCAAGATGTTCCTTTAGTAGGTGAATGGATAAATCAACTGGGATGCATGCAGACTGAATTAGTCTGTTCTCACACTACTATAAAGAACTGCCCAAGACTGGGTAATTTATAAAGGAAAGAGGTGTAATTGACTCACAGTTCCACAGGGCTGGGGAGGCCTCAGGAAACTTACAATCATGGAGGAAGGGGGAAGCAAACATGCCCTTCACATGGCAGTAGGAAAGAGAAGTGTCAAACAAATACGGGAAAAGCCCCTTATAAAACCCTCAGATCGTGTGTGAACTCACTATCATGAGAATAGCAACATGGGGGTAATCACCCTCGTGATTCAATTACCTCCCGCTGGGTCTCTCCCACAACACATGGGGATTATGTGAGCTACAATTCAAGATGAGGTTTGGGTGGGGACACATCCAAACCATATCACAAACCATGGAATATTATACAGTGCTAAAAAATAAATGAGCTCTCAAGCCATGAAAAGGCATGGGGAAACCTTAAATGAACATTACTAAGGGAAAGAAGTCAACCTGAAAAGGCTACATGCTGTGTCCTTCCAACTATATGGCATTCTAGAAAAGGGAAATGATAGAGACATTTTTAAAAAAAAAAAAAAGTGGTTTCCTTGGTTTGAGATAGGGGAGGAAGGGATGAACAGGCAGAAGGATTTTTAGGGCAGTGAAAGAATTCTGTATATCATAGCGGTGGATACATGTGTTACATTTGTCAAAACTCCTAAAATGTCCAACACTGAGTGAACCCCAATGTAGACTATGAACTTTGGCGTGACACGTAACAATGTGTCAGTGTAAACTCACTGGTTATAACAAACGTACCACTATGAGTGTGGTGTTGATAGTGGAGGAGGCTGTGCATGCATGGGGGCAGGTGGTATATGAGAACTCTGTCCTTTTTGCTTGATTTTGCCGTGAAAGTAAAACTGCTCTAAAAAATAAAGTCTCTTTGGAGAAAAAAAGACAACAAAAACCAAGAGCAAACTTCCAGGCAGTGGGAGTAATGACAGGAAGTCTCCCTATCTGGAGTGAATGTGGCATGTTAAAGCATCAGAAGTCAGCTCAGGTAACCCAGACTATAGTGAACAAGGAGCCACTTGGTATTGATTTACTTAAGAGGAGGGATGGGGCACAGGCCAGATCATGTAGAGTCTTGTAAGCCAGGGTAGAAAAGTTTTAGATCTTTGAAGAGGTTAAAGAAATGGAGTGGCATAATCTGACTTTACTTTAAACATATTTCATACTGCCTCTCATGGGAGATGGACTGGGACAAGGCAGCAGAAGAAGCCAGGACACCAGGGACCAGGCTGTGATCCAGGACACAGAGAATGGAGGCATGGCTGCAGTCCTGGCAGTGGAGTTAGATGGAAATAGAAGGAGCGAGGATCCCAAAGTGTATTCCAAAGAGGCTGTACTACATCCTACCAGCAGTATATATGAGTGTCCAATTCCTCCCCTTCCTTGCCAACACTAGATATAATCAGTCTCTTAATTTTAGCCAATTTAATATGAGTGTGGTAGTAATTCCTCTTGTGTATTTCCTTAATGCACACTTCCTCAATTTGCTTTTCTTTTTAATTAATTAATTAATTTTATTTTACTTTAAGTTCCAGGATACATGTGCAGAACGTGCAGGTTTGTTACACAGGTATACTTGGGCCATGGTGGTTTTGCTGCACCTATCAACCCATCATCTAGGTTTTAAGCCCCACATGTATTAGGTATTTGTTCTAATGGTCTCTGTCCCCTTGCCCCCCATCCCCGACAGGCTGTGGTGTGTGTTGTTCCCCTCCCTGTGTACATATAGTCTCATTGTTCAACTCCCACTTAGGAATGAGAACATGCGGTATTTGGTTTTCTGTTCCTGTGTTAGTTTGCTGAGGATGATGGCTTCCAACTTCATCCGTGCCCCTGCAAAGGACATGAACTCATTCTTTTTTATGGCTGCATAGTATTCCATAGTGTATGTGTACCACATTTCTTCATCCAGTCTGTCATTAATGGGCATTTGGGTTGGTTCCATGCCTTTGCTATCGTAAATAGTGCTGCAATAAACATACGAGTGCATGTGTCTTTATAGTAGAATGATTTATATTCCTTTGGGTATATACCCAGTAATGGGATTGCTGGGTCAAATGGTATTCGTGGTTCTAGATCCTCAATGAATCACACCACACTGTCTTCCACAGTGGTTGAACTAATTTACATTCCCACCAGCAGTGTAAAAGCATTCCTATTTCTCCACAGCCTCACCAGCATCTATTGTTTCTTGACTATTTAATACTCACCATTCTGACTGGCGTGAGATGGTATCTCATAGTGCTTTTGATTTGCATTTCTGTAATGATCAGTAATGATGAGCTTTTTTTCATATGTTTGTTGGCCACATAAATGTCTTCTTTTGAGAAGTGTCTGTTCATATCCTTTGCCCACTTTTTTATGGGTTTTTTTTTTTTCTTGTAAATTTGTTTAAGTTCCTTGTAGATTCTGGATATTAGACCTTTGTCAGATGGGTAGATTGCAAAAATTTCTCCCTTTCTGTAGATTGCCTGTTCACTATGATGCTAATTTCTTTTGCTGTACAGATGCTCTTTAATTTAATTAGATCCCATTTGGCAATTTTGGCTTTTGTTGCAATTGCTTTTGGTGTTTTCATCATGAAGTCTTTGCCCATGCCTATGTCTGGAATGGTATTGCCTACATTTTCTTCTAGGGTTTTTATGGTTTTGGGTTTTACATTTAAGTCTTTAATCCATCTTGAATTAATTTTTGTATAAGGTGTAAGGAAGGGGTCCAATTTCAGTTTTCTGCGTATAGCTAGCCAGTTTACCATTTATTAAACATTGCTTGTTTTTGTCAGATTTGTCGACGATCAGATGGTTGTAGATGCATGGTGTTATTTTCTGAGGTCTCTGTTCTGTTCTGTTGATCTATATGTCTGTTTTGGTACCAGTAGCTGCTGTTTTGGTTACTGTAGTCTTGTAGTATAGTTTGAAGTCAAGTAGCATGATGCCTCCAGCTTTGTTCTTATTGCTTAGGATTGTCTTTGCTATATGGGCTCTTTTTTGGTTCCATATGAAATTTAAAGTAGTTTTTTTTTCTAATTCTGTGAAGAATGTCAATGGTAGCTTGATGGGAATAGCATTGAATCTGTAAATTAATTTGGGCAGTATGGCCATTTTCACAATATTGATTCTTCCTATTCATGAGGATGGAATGTTTTTCCACTTGTTTGTGTCCTCTCTTATTTCCTTGAGCAGTGATTTTTAGCTCTCCTTGAAGGGGTCCTTCATGTCCCTTGTAAGCTGCATTCCTAGGTATTTTATTTTCTTTGTAGCAATTGTGAATGGGGGTTCATTCATGATTTTGCTCTCTGCTTGTCTATTGTTGGTGTATAGGAATGCTTGGGAGTTTTGTAAATGTTTAACATACATGTATTATATGATGCAAACATCCCACTTCTACATATTGACCCAAGATAAATGAAGACATTTGACTATATAAGATTCGTACTGGCTGGGCATGGTGGCTCATGCCTGTAATCCCAGCACTTTGGGAGGCCAAAGTGGGTGGATCATCGCAGATCAGGAGTTTAAGCCAGCCTGGCTAACATGGGAAAACCTCATCTCTACTAAAAATACAGAAATTAGAGGGGTGTGGTGGTGTGCACCTGTAGTCTCATTTACTCTGGAGGTTGAGGCAGGAGAACTGCTTGAACCCAGGAGGCAGAAGTTGCAGTAAGCTGAGATCGCACCACTGCACTCCAGCCTGGGTGACAGAGCGAGACTCCATCTCAAAAAAAAAAAAAAAATTAATACTCATGGGAACTTTATATGTAATAGCCAGAACTTGAAATCAAGCCAAATGTTAACTGGTGAATGGCTAAACAAACTGGTGAATGGCTAAACAAACAAATGTTAATGGGCAAATGGCTAAGCAAACTGTGACATTCATATTTTATTGTGGAATTGTATTGCATTCTATTGATAGTATGCAAACAGTTTCCCAATAAAGAATGAATGAATTATTGATATATGCTACAAAATTATTGAATCTTATGCTGCATGAAAGAAGCCAATAAAAAAGAGTACATACCATGTGATTTCATTTACGTAAAATTCTAAAAAATGCAAACTAATATATAGTGACAGGAAGCATATCAGTGGTAGCCTGGGGATAGTAGGGAGAAGCAAGAAAGAGGGGTTACAGAAAGTCCCAAGGAAACTTTTGCAGATGATGATATGTTCATTATCTTAATTATGGTGCTCATTTCACGGGCATATACATATGTCAAAACTTATCAAGTTGTGCACTTTAAATATGTGGGGTTTATTATATGTCAATTATACTTTAATAAAGATGTTAAATAGAAAGTAAATGCAAGGTAATGACAGGGAATTTCAAATAAAATAACTGAAAAAAAAAAGAAGAAGGAGTGAGGATTCATGCAGTTATTGCCAGCAAGGCAGTCATGGGGATTACATGTAGAATTAAGGAAAATCATCATGAGCGACTCCTGAGATTCCAGCTTGAACCACTAGAAAGTAAGAGTACAGAAGGGGTGGGAAGTTGTCATCCTGAACTGGGAATGAAGAGTCAGCTTTAGGCAGGAAATTGAGATGTGTTACTTCAAAGATACCTGTAACTCAGAGGAGATTGTTTACTTTCTTTCTAGATTTAACAAAGAAAGATCACACAGCTCTTACAGACGTGGAGACTTGGAAGTTCAAGGTTTAGGGGCTACATCTGGTGAGGGCCTTCTTGCTGGTAGAGACACACTGTAGAGGTCCAAGGCAGTGCAGAACATCACATGGTAGGGACTCAGCAGAGATGGCGAAATTGGCTCTTAGTATAGATCTGTTCTTCTGAAAACCAACCCGTGCCCTCTATAACCCATTAATCCAGGACTAGATTACTCCACTCACCTCTTAAAGACTCCACCTCTTTTTCTCTTTTTTTTTTTGTTTTTGTTTTTGTTTTTGACTTGGAGTTTCGCTCTTGTCGTCCAGGCTGGATTCCAATGGTGCAATCTGGGCTCACTGCAACCTCCGCCTCCTAGGTTCAAGTGATTCCCCTGCCTCAGACTCATGAGTAGCTGGGACTACAGGCATGCACCACTATGTCCAGCTAATTTTTGTATTTTTTTTTTTTGTTAGTAGAGACAGGGCTTCACCATGTTGGCCAGGATGGTCTTCACCTCCTGACCTCAAGTGATCCACCCACCTCAGCCTCCCAAAGTGCTGGGATTATAGACATGAGCCACTGTGCTGGCCCTTCACCTCTTAGTACTGTGATACTGGGAATTAAGTTTCAACATGGGTTTCAGAGAGAATAAACATTTAATAACAACATGTTTGGCCAGAAATTTTCTTGTGGCCTCATCTTCCAGCCCTGACATAAAGAAAAACAGTGCTACACTTGAACAACACATTCCAGATATGTGCTGAAAGTTTCAAGACTTTTACACGTTATTCAACTTACACCATAGTGAAAAAGAGTCTTCACGGCAAAAAAAAAAAAAAAAAAAAAAAAAGATAGGAAAGTATGAACCCCAAATGTCTCTTGAATATATCCTCTTTATTTATATTATAAATTTCTATTAAAAGATTTCCTGTCTAGTAAGGGGCTTTATGAGTGTTAAGAAGAAAACTTAAATATCTGTTGAAGTACAGGTTGAGACCTCTTCGAAAGTTCAGAAATAAGATACGAGAAGGACTTTTGCAAAGACATATAATCAGACTCTGAAAAACACATTGCAGGTTGTCAGACTCATCCTTGCTTTCAAGAACTGGCTAAGAAACTCAAAGGTGTTGGAAAGGAAGAGGAAAGGAAAAATGCAGACGATGTTTCCTTTTTCCCCCCCAGAAGTATAAACAATCATGGAGACTTTTGATCAGGCAAAGTTATCTGAGATTCTGCCAAAGTCAGGTAGTTCTATCACTTAGAAACACTTCAGTTGTAAGAAACAGAAAGTTCAACTTCATTTTATGTTACAGAAATGTATTGGCTCATGTAACTTGTCAGATCCAGAGTTCAGTGGATCTGACCTTGGGATTCTATTTCAAGGATCAGACAAGCCCCCTCTTCATAATCACCTGATGGGTTATAGCCACTCCTTGGTCTGCATCCCTCTGGGTTCTCATCCGCTAGGAAAGAACATCTATGCCAGCCACTAGCAAACAAAATCCCATGTTTCACTATGTTTGGCTCACTTGGGTCAGGTGCTCATACTGGACCTCACACCAGTCCTGCAGCTGAGAGAAGCCTGGGTCTCAGTCCTGTGCCCTGCCCTACTGCAGTGAAGTCAGCTCCCCCTGCCCCATGGGCCGCACAAACAGACAAGGGCAGATACCTACATGGGGTCATGCTCAGAGTCAGGTTCCAGCCCCAGATGAGGGCTGAGAGGAGCAGGTGGATGTGGGGCAGGGAGCTGGAAGAACACTCAACACTCAAGAGACATCAGGTAGATGAGGCATGCCTTTATTCAGCAGCTCCCTCACAGGGTCAGTGTTACTTTTATACATTACACAATAGTGGCTGAGAGCCAGGTGGTGAGCTTCTTTATGTTATGTCCACATGGCTGTGATTATATAAATCATGGGACTGTGCGCCTGCACCACAAACCTGCTGAGTCATCCAGGCTGTTTACCTCAGCCTATGCCTGCTGCCCCATGCCTGATTAGCGGCAGCACAGCCATGTTCCTTACACATGGTATCAGGCATGACTACCATGGAAAGGTGCTGGGTACTGGCCATTCCTGTCATGCAAGTGGCCGCTACAGAAGACTCTGTCAGTGATAATGCCACCCACTTTCCAGCCCCACTTTGTGAAGAAGACAGAAACAGCCTTTTGGGTGGTCAATGCCTACCTTTATTCCTAAGATGACTGACTGTAATAGAGACTTAAATAGTAGGAAACCAGATTTGGGAAGGTATCTATGAAGGCAAACTCCATTAATTTGTCCATTCATTGAACATGTTTTATAGAGCTGCTGGCCTGCTTCATGCCAGGCCCTGTTTCATGTGCTGGGACATGGAGGTGAACAAACTCAGTGGGCCTCCTCCCCAGGAACTTGCCTACTGGTAGAGATGTAGCAGTGAGCCCCAACTAAGCCACAGCTAAGCTGTGAAGGTTCAGACTCTTCTGAGTCTAATAACTGAGAGTTAGGAGCAAAGTGCGCCTGCCATCGAAACCATAAAAGAAAAAAACAGAAGTCTTAAGAAACCTAATGATAAAATATCACAGGAAAAATTATTGCTTTAAGTCTGGACAACACATTACCTCATCTCTAATTAGCTGGGTATGGTGATGTGTGTCTGCAGTCCCAGCTACTCAGGAGGCTGAGGCAAGAGGATCACTTGAGCCCAGGAAGTTGAGGCTGCAGGAAGCTGTGATTGCACCACTGAACTCCATCCTGGGTAACAGAGCAAGACCCTGTTACATATATATAGTTTTACATCTGCATATTTATTTAAAGAGCTTTCTGTGGGCTGGGCACGGTGGCTCACGCCTGTAATCCTAGCACTTTGGGAGGCCGAGGCAGGCGGATCACCTGAGGTCGGTAGTTCAAGACCAGCCTGACCAACATGGAGAAACTCCATCTCTACTAAAAATACAAAATTAGCCAGGCGTGGTGCCTCATGCCTGTAATCCTAGCTATTCGGGAGGCTGAGGCAGGAGAATTGCTTGAACCTGGGAGATGGAGGTTGCGGTGAGCTGAGATTGTGCCATTGCACTCTAGCCTGGGCAACAAGAGTGAAACTCCATCTCAAAGAAAAAAAAAAGAGCTTTCTGTGAATATCATATAAAAAGCAAAACATTTGACCCGAGGAGAGTAGTTATTTTAAAGAAGTGAGCAAAAATGCTTGCTCAGCACTCATTTAGTTAACTCCCCAGCTGAAGATTAGTTGTTTGGATTAAGTAGCTGTCATAGGACCCTAAAACTTAAGTAACGGAAATGAAAACAAATTGTAGAAAAACAATTAGAAAAGAAAACCACAAACTTCTCCAGTGGTACTGAGGTTGCAACAAATGACGCATATGATAAATCACAGCGAAGGAAATGATTGCATTAAGTTATGGTAGATATCATCTTAAACATGGCTTAATGTGGTAGATAGAGGTGGTCGGCAACAGCATCCTTAATCTTCCCTCTGGTAGGTCTTTTGTGGATTGGAGGGTCTAGACAGCTAACCCTACATGTTCATGGTTAGAGTTTTGGATGTGAGTTAGAGCCTGCCGATTAGATGCACTCACAGAAGTTGTGGAAGGAAGAAGCAAGGGAAAGAACAGCTTCTGCTGCTCTGGCTGTATAGGAGAGCTTGCCCTGCCATCCCCATAGTGTTCCAGGATGTCCTCACTCGTCTTGTAGGCATCAAGACCCTTTGCAGCAGAGATGGCTGGAACCTTCTTGTTTCGCTAGGAAAGGAGGACCTGCAGACACAGGTGCACGCTCTCCTGACTCTGTGCCTTCCTCACTCAGCAGAGGTAGCAGCCTTCGGTCTACTTTGGCTTGCAGTGCTCTGGGGTCCTTTCTGAAGGCCCAGGATGGAACCAGTTTTCCAACCCGGTGTACAGCAATATTGTGGACACTCCATTTTAAATTCCTCTCTACTTAAAATGGTTAGGGTGGGATTAAAAAATTATATATTTTAAATTAACAAGTGTGTATATTATGGGGTACAATGTACTGTTTTGATTTATAGATACATTGTAGAAAAATTAAATCAAGCAAATTAATATGTCCATCCCCTCACTAACTTATTGTTTTGTGTGTGTGGAAAGAGAATGTTACAAATCTATTCTTTTGGCAGTTTTGAAATATGCAATACATTATGATTAACTGTGGTCACCATGCAGTGCAGTAGATCACCAAAACTTATTCCTCTAGGCTAATTGAAATTTTGTGTCTTGCTTAAAACATTTGTACAAATTTAGGGGTATAAGTGCAATTTTTTATTACATGGATATATTGTGTAGTGGTGACATAGGCTGGGCTTTTAGTATAACCATTACTGGAGTAGTGTACATTATACTCATTAAGTAATTTCTTATCCCTCACCCCTCCCACCTTCTCACCCTTCCTAATCTCCATGTCTATTATTCCACTCTCTATGTCCATGCGTACACATTGTTTAGCTCCCAACATCTCCCCTGACCCTACCCTTCAGCCCCCCTCTCTGGTAACTACCTTTCTACTCTCTGTTTTTACGAGATCAACTTCTTAAGATTCCACATGTAAGTGAGATCATGCAGTATTCTTCTTTTTGTGCCTGTTTTTATTTCTTGCAATTTAATGCTTACTAATATGGAATTTGGTAGAAAAAGTAGTTGTAGGCAACAGTTCCTCAAGAACAAGACCATACAACTGCTTATCAGCCTTGGTTGGATTTGAAGGCAGTAAGAACCTAATTACCACTAGTAAATGAGAACTTGGACATATGACACACTAAGAAACAGCTGCTTAAATTATCACCTGTGGTCCCTGGGAATACAAAGCCTGTTGAAGGCAGAGGGAGGACCCAGTGACTGCAGCAACATCATAGTGAGAATGAGGACTCTAAGGAGGGCGGGGGCCAGCTGCTCATGACCAAACTGAAGCGTTCAAAGAAAGAAAATTCCAGCTCAGGGGTTTACATTCTCAGTTCAAGGTATGTCCAGTGACAAGCCTCTAAGTCCTAAATGATTGCTTATCTCTTGTAGCTGCTGGCCAGATTTCGCCAAAACTCCCAAATGGAGGCCAATCATGCACATGACTGAATTACAGTGTAAGTTGATTCAGAACTTCGTTCACCAGGTCTTCTTTAGCAAATATAGGAAATGTTTTGGTTAGGAGTGAGAATAGGAGACAAGGGAATGAGGACTTCAGAGCTTCTCCTGCTAACAGAGGCTCCTCCTTTGATGAGGCCAAACCTACCGACACCTAATGTAGTTACCTTGGAAGAAAGGACGGTTCTTCTCATACCAATTTCTACCTCCCCCACAGCCTCTACACCTATAGTTATAATCAGATCCCCGCATACCCCAGAGGCACAGTACAGAATCTGACTCAGGAAGAAAGGAGTTACTCGTCAATGTACTTACAATGCGTTACAATTTGTTTATATTTATTTATATTAATTTACATTTATTCATATTGAATTACAGAAGATGCTAGGTAATATGTCTTGTCATATATTATAAAGATGTTAAGCCAGGGTAAAAGGAACATGAGTTTGGGCAAAATGTATCAGATATTCTGGAGTCTTTTACTTTCGCTAGATACCAGCATTCTTATTCTCTATCACAATTTAGCCCTAAGGAACTTGATTACCTTCCCATTCAACAGGGCAGTATATTGGTTCAATTTCTTGATGACATCATACTTATTGAACTAGGTAAGCCAGAAATATCCTGGCAATCACATGTAAGATAGAGCAGGGGAGATGAAAGCCCAATGAAAATTTGCAAGGGCCACCAAAACTTTGGAGTTTCTGCTAGGCCAGATGTAACCCAACTGTGGGGAGTGAAAGTCAGTTGTTGTTATTTGACACCCTATAACTAAAAAATAAGCATTAAACTTTCATTCCATCTGATATTGAAATGAAACTCAATGCTCCTTTTTTATTTGGTCAGCCTTTTTTTTTTTAATCTGATGTTGGAGGCAGGGTATACCTCCTTTAGGTATGCTGTGCTGACCCACTTATTGAGTACCTTGAAAATACAGTTTTAAGGAGAGCTTGAAGCAAGAGAGGGCAATGAGATCTGCTATCTGGTATCCCAGCTGATGCAAGAGGAAGGACGAGATGCTTCATGGAAACTATTGCAAGCCTAGTGTCTTAGTCCATTCTCACACTGCTATAAAGAACTACCTGAGACTGGGTAATTGATAAAGAAAAGAGGTTTAATTGGCTCATGGTTCCCCAGGCTGCACAGGAAGCATGGCTATGGAGGCCTCAGGAAACTTACAATCATGGCAGAAGGCAGCGGGCAAGCAGGCCCATCTTACATGGGCTAGAGCAGGAGGGAAAAAGAGAAGGAGGAGGCGCTGCACACTCTTAAACAACCAGATCTTGCAAGAACTCACTATCAGGAGAACAGCAAGCGGGAGATCTGCCCCCATGATCCAGTCACCTCCTACCAGACCCTCCTCCAACGCTGGAGATTACCATTTGACATGAGGTTTGGCCGGGGGACACAAATCCAAACCATATCACCTAGTAATGCTTTTTTGGAAAATAATTACAACATTTTTTTTTTTCTGAAATGGCTCTTTGTTGCTCCTGGGCCCTGGTAGAGACCAGATGCCTAACTATGGGACATTAAGTGACCATAAGATCTAAATCATGAGTCACACAATTTGACTTTTATAACAGCACGGGGTGGAATGAAAGTGGCATATGTGAGGCTGAGCGTAAGCGTGATCCAGAGACTCATCTCTCAGCATGCCCACCAATGACGCACAGGTGTCTCTCTTTTAACCAGCCCTCAACTGTGGCCTCCCTTGATTGCCTGAGGAAAACAAATGTTGATGCTAGTTTACAGAAGGTTCTGCATGGTATGCTGGTAACAGCTCATGAGGGATTTCTGCAGCTCTTCCCAGGTTTGCTCCGACAGAAGAGTAGTAAAGGGAATTTCTCCCAAGGGAAGAAATCGAGCAGAATATGAAATGTCTTATTTTTTTTTTGGAAGGATACACGTCCAGATGTATAGCTCACAACTGATTCATAGGAAGTCGATGGCAGGTTGGATACTTGAAGACCTGAAAGAAATAACCCTGGAGAATCAGTGACAAAAAGTTCTCTAGAAGAGGCATAAGCACAGAATATAGGATACTTGTGTTCTTTATGATTCTTTATGTTTTTTATGATTCTTAACCAAAGGACATCAATTTCAGATAAGTGTTTCAGGAACCACGTGGGGAGATGACCAGCCTGTGAAGGTCAGGCAGCCTTTTCTTATGCCATCTGTGTTTTCCCAGTGAGTTCAGGAATAAGACGGCCATGGTGTCAGGGATGAAGATTAAACATGAGTTCCACAACATGGGCTTTGCCTCTTTAAGGCTGAGTTGGCCCATCCCTGCTGTGTGCGCTTCCTGTTAAGAGTAGCTTAATGCAGAGAATGCATTAAGCTATTAATGCAGAGCTATTTAAGATAGCTAGTGATTCCTGCTTCTTGCTTCTTAGCCTGAGTATGGCTTGGATACTTTCTTCCAGTGCTTTGGAAGAAGACACAAAAACTACATATGAACTCTCGATTTTTCCCAAGCTGGTTTCTCAGTTTATCTTCCTCCTTTCTATCAATGATAGCTCATTCTCCCTGTCAGCTCTCTGCTGACTGTTTTCTTCATGCCTTCTCTGAAATTCTCTTTCTTCTCCTCCCTACTGCCTCACTCCCAGCACAGGCAGGCTCCATGACCACACAGGTATACCCAGCATCACCTACTCATCTATGATGTGGCTTCACTCATCCCATTCCGCATTCTTTTAGAGCTTTTAGAGCTTTGACACATTCATTTTCTTAAAAAAAAAAAAAGAGAACTGGACACAGTGGCTCACATCTGTAATCCCAGCACTTTGGGAAGCTAAGGCAGGGAGATTGCTCTATGCCAGCAGTTTGAGGCCAGACTGGACAACACGGTGAGACCCCCATCTCTACAAAAAATACAAAAAATAATCAACTGGGCATGGTAGCACACACGTCTAGTCCCAGCTACTTGGGAAGCTGAGGCAGGAGGATCACTTGAGCCCAGGAGTTTGAGGCTGCAGTGAGCTATGATGGTGCCACTCTACTCCTGCTTGGGCAAGAGAGTGAGACCCTGTCTCAAGACAAAGCAAAACAACAAAACAAAAATAAGCATGTTATTTTATTGTTTTAAAAACCCAGTCACTAAGGTAAACTACAAGACAAAGCCCCCAACACCATAGTATGGAGTTAGCAGCCTCCCCTCTGCTTCCCGCACGTCTTTGAAGCCTTATTACTGATTGGTACATTATACCAACTCTCAGCCCCCTGTCATGCAGCAGATCATTCTAGCTGTGCCCTCATTCCAAACATCTCCCTCCTGGAGAGTGCTGACTGGCTACCTTCATCTGCCCAAATTCTGCCACCTTTGACTTCCTGCTCAGGACCCACCTTTCCCATGATTTGCCCCTCATTTATCTAGCTCAGAATAACCACTCTGTCCTGTGAACGCCTGCAGGATTTAGAAAAGAACTGAGCCATGCATTCAATCTCACACTGCCTTGTGCTATCTCTTGGATGTTTTTGTTTTTATGTGTTTTTTTGTTTTGTTTTGTTTTTGGTTTGTTAGCTCTTAAACTGTTCTATATTCTTTTAATGTGTAGGTTATAAATCCTGAGAACTCAGATTATCACTGTGTCATACACAATGCATATTACAAATCGATTCGTAAAGCAGGGTTTAATCCATAATTATTCAACTGAAGGGACATTTGGGAATCATGGATGGGGAAACAGCTCACGCAATCAACCCTGGAGGGTGATGGTAAATACTGTGTGTTCTAATATCAGCTCAGTTATGCGTGTCTTCTGTGCATAAAATGTTTTTTCACTTGTATCTGAGATTTCCTGCCCCCCAAATGGGAGTAAATCTGTTGACTCATTTATCAGGAGTCCTGTGAAGTGCAGCATTGTTTGTAAAGCGTCTCTTTCCTCTGATAAACAGCAACATGAAGAGACCAGTGTAACTTTCCTCATGAAGTATGTTTAAGTCACGGATCTAAAATTTGAGAGAAGCAAAAGAAATCCGATAAATTTTGAACTTGACAAAGGTGACCTTTTGTCCTTGAACCAAGTGGTACTAATTTAGAAAAGAAGAAAAAAATCCTTGTTTCTGCCAGAGTTTATGTTTTCAATTCACTTATCCAAAGTTTTACTATTTTTTGTTGTTGTTGTTTTTGAGGGGAAACTCCTATATCCCACTAGATTGATGAAACTCCCGTATGTTATAGGAATAAAGTACATGATTTCCTCATCTAAACATCTTCCCAGAAAAGTAAGGGTTTGTGTTAGAAATCAACACATTCCTATTCGATCCTAATTTATCGAACAAGCTAAACATCTGCTCCAGGCCAGGCACTGCTCTGGGGAAGTAGAGGTGGCGAAGATATACTCCCTGTCCTCAGGGTGTTCACATACTGGCCAGGTGAGCCCCTTGCGAGTTATGATGCTCTCCCCTGAGCACAATGACAGAGGCGCAGGGGTAGCAGGGCAGGGTCAGGGCAGGACTTTTCACCGGACATCCAGGCATACTTCACAGAGGAGATAGGCCTTGAATTCAGAGCTGGAGGCTAAGACAGGATTGCCAAGAACTGAGCCATTAGAGTTAGCGCATTCCCAGGGGAGACGGAACAATTTTGGCAAGGGCACCTGGCATAAAAATATTGGCTTAATGAAGGGAGGTGTGTATCAGCATATGGCTGCAAGGAAGATTGTCTAGGGAGTAATAAGGAAAGATTATGTAAAAGTGGGTTTCAGGGGTCTTTAAGTTGCAGGGAAGGAATTTGGGAAGCAAGAATATTGAGCTTTTTGGGAAGTCAGGGAAGGGCATGGAAGAGATTTGTATAACAATTTGGACTTCCAAGGAAGAAACCTTTCTAGGGATGGATTTCTTTTTTTCTATGAGACAGAAATAAAAACGCACAGACTACAGTGGATGATTCATGCCAGCGTGTGGATTTGTATGTACATACTGTGCAAACGCAGCACAGTGTAACAGTAAGCGGAGCAGAAGCTAAGGGGCTTGCCTTCTAGAAATACTTGACTTCTAGAAATGTGCAAGGCGTGATGCAAAGACGGAGACTCTTAGGACACAACCTCTTACTGTGTGGCCGTGGCCACATAACCTTTGAAGAGGGTCTTTATTCACACGTCATAAAATGAGGGCAACAAGACTTTCCCCTGTGTTGAGGTCATTGCATATATAATGTATCTGGCTGACAAATTGGTTCCCAGTAAGTAACAGAAGTTAAAATATGAAGACATAGTCAAAATCTCAGTACTTGTTAATTTCTGTCTCCCCCATTGCTGCAGACTGAACTTTCATTGAAAGTAGGTCCACGTGGTTAACAAAATGGCCTCCTTGTTTTTTCAAATTTTTTCTTTTAAAAAGGCTCACATTGTGCCCACTTTTAAAATTAACCCCAGCACACAGTAACTGGCATGCTCTTTCTTCCAGTGTGGAAATGCACTCCTACGTGGCTAGTGGGTGTGCAGATCAGAATTCTGTGGGCTAATCGCTTGCAGCACACGCGGTTGTCCCTTAAGGAATTCTTCTCCATTTCCTTTTGAACACACCCGTGGAAGTCATTCTGGGTGTGGCCTTTGGAAGTCTTGTGAAGAAAATGTCCTGTCCGACAGCTGCCTTCTCTGTAGGTCACCCAGAGTCTCCGCTCCCAACTCGCCACTGCTCTCTCAATGTCTTGGGGTGACTTCTGGGTTTTCTATGAAGTGGGGGCCTCCCAGAGGCAACAGCCTCACACTGCGACACGATTTTCTTTCCTCTGATTCACCCAGGCATTTTTGGTGGGCTGAGTGTTGAGAATCAAAACATCTACACCCACATTAGTTTACTGTCTACACTAACGTCCATTTATTCTTCCACTGTCTTAACCAACCTGACATTGCTACTGCAGCTAACTCTTGCCCAGGAAGATTAAACTTATCAAACAACATTTTTGCTAATTTCAGTGACTTCTCCAAAATTAACTTAAATCGACATTCAGCTAGTCAGTATACAATAAAGACATTGGATCTTCTATAACAGATTATACCTTAGGAGATGTACACACCCCTCCCAAATGAGTGTATCATGAACACTAACCGATCCTAACCACCCTCCCCTTTTGAAAACCTGCTGTAAACTAGACAATGAAAACCTCATAAATGTCCCTCCTTTGTCCCACCCTTTCCAAGATGAACCTAAGACAATCCAGATGGTGTTCCCCTGACTTTGGTAAACAACAAGCTCATTTTTGCTTTATCACCAGCCTGCTCTGGTAGGACTTTTGGGGAGCAGCATTTGGTAGCAGAAATGCCATCATGGCCAGGTCATTGTAGTTGCTTGGTGTCCTGTGCTCACTGTTGAGTGCACGTCTCTTTGAGGACCATGCAAGGCCATGTGCAAGGTGGTTAAAAGTGTCTGCCATTGATCTAGATGCCAACACTGACCAGCACCATCATCTGGGGTAAGCCCTGTCTCTGTGTCTGCGGGTGGTGGGCTGAATAATGGCTCCAGAGTTACCCACTGCCAACCCCTTCTATCTTGTACGGCAAAAGGGACTTTGCAGATATAATTAGGCTTAGAGATCCTGGGGTGGAGAGATTGTTCTTGATTATCCAGAAGAGCCCTAAATGTAATCACAAGTATCCTTATGAGAGAAGGCAGAGGGGAGTTTGATAGAGAGGAGAGGCAATGTGCAGACAGAAGGAGAGACTGGAGTGAAGCACTTTGAAGACAGAGGAAGGGGCTACAAGCCAAGGAATGCATGTAGCCAACAGAGGCTGAAAAGGCAAAGAAATGTGTTTTCCTCTCAAGCCTCTAGAAGGAGCCAGCCCACACCTTGACTTCAGACACTGGAATGAGACTGACTTCAGACTTCTGACCTCCAGAACTGTAGGTCACACCCAACACATTCCTGTTATTTCAAGCCAGCAACTTTATGGCAATTTGCTACAGCAGAAATTGGAAACAAATTAACTCATTTTTTTTATAACTTTAAACTTCATTATAGACACAGAACCTATTTCCTAGGGTTTGTACGAAGGCTAAATGAGTTAATTTATGTAAAGCACTTATATCAGTGTCCAAGATATAGTAAGCAGACAATAAGTACTGAGAATTGTTATTATAGGTCTCATATCTCTCTAATACTGAGTGTTATATTATGTCTATGAGGCTGCATATGGGCAGGGTGTCTGTCTGTCCCAACTCTGGGAGGCAGTGGTTGGCACGGTGCCGAATACCCCACAGGGCCTCCATGACTATTTGCTGACAGTCAGGTCAATGGATGATGCACAGCTTTCTCTACCATGCCAGAGATTCATCCCTTAAAATGCCTTGTCAGTGAAAGAAACCAGTTGAAGAGGTGATTCTAAACAGTACAAAGCCCTGAAGTTATTTCTGTTTGGCTTTGAAATAAACTATATAGTGTTAATGGCAGTAGAATTATCTTCCTCATCGTGTCTTAGGCATACATAATTCATTTTCACTTGATAAGCAACCCAAAGATGGAAGAAATAGCCTGGGTTTGTACTGAGTGGAAGGGGCCAAAAGAAGTAAGGAAGGGAAAGTCAGCAATGGACACTTAGCAGAAGACAACGGAACAGTGCAGGCACTCAGATATTCTATCCTTAGACGGGAAGTGACCTGCAGGCCCTGTGTCATTCAGGGTTCTCCAGAAAAAACAGAGCCAACTGGAGACAGATGGATAAAGGGAGAGAGAGATTTATTTGTTCATTTACTTATTTATTGATTGGAATTTGTTCATATGATTGGAGGGGCCAGTGAGCCCTAAATTTGCAGGGCAGGTGAGAAGTCTTGAAATTCAGGTAAGAGTTGATCTTGCAGCCGTGAGTCTGAGTTCCACAGGGCAGCAGGCTGGCACCTTGGCAGGGTTTCTGTGCTGCAGTCTTGAGACAGAATTGCTTGCTCTTTGGAACATGTCAGTCTTGGCTTTTGAGGCCTTCAACTGATTGGATGACCCACCCACATTAATTTATGAGTCACATTTTAAAAATAGCTTCACAGCAGCATTTATACTAGTGTTTGATCAAACAACTGGGCACCATAGCCCAGCCAAATTGACACATGAAGTTAATCATCATAGCCTCCAAAATGCCTAAGAGGAGCTCACGCATTTTTATATTCATCATTCTCCTTATGGCCCCATGAAAACCCACTAGAAAAAAATGAAAGACATAAACTTGGGGAAGCCAGATAGAATTTTCTCTTCTTATTTGTTTATTTATTATTATTATTTTTAGACAAAGTCTTGCTCTGTCGCCCAGGCTGAAGTGCAAATGAGCAATCACAGCTCACTGTACCCTCGACCTCCTGGGCTCAGGAGATCCTCCCACCTCAGCCTCCTGATTAGCTAAGACTACAGGTGCATACGACCACACCCAGCTAATTTTTGTGTTTTTTTGTCGAGACAAGGTCTTGCCATGTTGCCCAGGCTGGCCTTGAACTCCTGGCCTCAAGCCATCCTCCTGCCTCGGTCTCCCAAAATGTCGGGATTGCAGGCATGAGCACCCATGCCTGGCCAGATTGAATTTCCAAAACAATTCACCACAAGTTCCCCTTACATATCTTATAGACAGCCAGCAAGTCCATCTTAAATATGGCCTAATTTATATTTTCAGATTTTTAGGACGTGCCTAAGGATGTCCACATGATGAATACAGTGTGGCTGTTCTAAGCCAGCTTTGAGGGTGATACGCACCTTTGCCCCCACACATTAGTGAGGCTCACAGCAAGTTAGGTAGATGGGATCTGAGTCTTGATCAGCCATCAGCATGTGGACAGTGGCTATTTGTAAGATTATGCTGGGTCAGTCTCAGTGGTTTAGCTGGAATTTTCTGTTCTTACTGTCCTCTTCTGTGTGATACCTTGTTCCTCAGTTGTGTCCAAAACATGTTAATAGTTATAAATAATGTCTGACCATGCACACAAACATGGGCTTTTCTTGCAGTATTTTTTTTCTGTCAATATTTTCTACTTTATTTCAGGAAAGTTCTCTTCCAGCTCTTTTTTAGTGAGGCATTTCATGAAAGTCTCATTTTGATCCTATATCTCTTTTCTCAATTTTTGGAAAATTCTGATAAGATTTTCTGAAGATCCAAACTATGCCAGGCTACAGTGCTTTGCCCTTGTTTCTTAGGATGTTTAATTAAGGAAAGATAGTCCCCAAGGCAGGTTTCCAGAATTCTGCCTTCACGTGGTGTTGTAAGGAAATCTATTTCTCCTTTGCACAATAAGAGAAGCTTCCCATGACTGACTATAATCCCTATAGGAACAGCTGGGAGGCTTGACCGGCATTGTACTAGCCAACTCATCACTGGATATTGTATTACATGACACATAGTATGTTGTAGCCCACTTCCATTACATCTTATCAATAGGAGCTGTATTTGCTATTATAGGGGGCTTTATTCACTGATTCTGTCTATTTTCAGGCTATATACTCAACCAAGCCTATGCTAAAGCTCATTTTGCTATTATATTTATAGGCGTCAATTTAACATTTTTCCCACAGCATTTCCTCGGCCTATCTGACATGCCTCAACGCTACTCCGGTTATCCCGACACATACACCACATGAAATACTATCTCATCCATAGGCTCATTTATTTCCCTGACAGCAGTAATTCTAATAATTTTCATGATCTGAGAAGCCTTTGCTTCAAAACGAAAAGTTCTAATAATTGAACGACCATCTACCAACTTAGAATGACTATGTGGCTGTCCCCCACCCTATCACACATTCGAAGAACCAACCTACATGAAAACCTAAATGAAAAAGGAAGGAATTGAACCCCCAAAGACTGGTTTCAAGCCAATCCCATAACCTCCATGACTTCTTCGATAAGATATTAGTAAAATTATTTCATAACTTTGTCAAAGTTAAGTTATAGGTTAAGCCCTATATATCTTAATGGCCCATCCAGCTAAATTAGGCCTTCAGGATACCACATCCCCTATTATAGAAGAACCACTTATCTTCCATGACCATACCCTTATAATTATTTTTCTAATCAGTTCCTTACTTCTATACATTATTTCTGTAATATTCACAACAAAACTAATACTAACACCATAGATGCCCAAGAACTAGAAACCATCTGAACTATCTTGCCTGCCATCATCTTAGTCTTGATCGCCCTCCCATCTCTATGCATCTTATATATAACAGACAAAATCAAGAACCCTTCTCTCACCATTAAAACAATTGGGCATCAATGGTATTGAAGCTATGAATATACAGATTATGAAGAATTAAGCTTTGACTCTCATATACTTCCAGCAACAGACAGAGGTGATCCTATCTTCTGTCAACATTTATTCTGATTCTTTGGTCACCCTGAAGTCTACATCCTCCTCCAACCAGGCTTCAAGATAATTTGCCATATCATAACATAGTATTCTGGAAAAAAATAACCATTTGGATATAGGGGCATGATGTGAGCTATAATATCAATTGTTTTCTTAGAGTTTATCGTATGGGCTCACCATATATTTACAGTAGGCATAGATGTAGATACACAAGCCTACTTCACCTCTGCTACGATAATTATTGCTATTCCCACTGGCGTCAAAGTTTTTAGCTGACTAGCTACACTTCATGGCGGCAATACTAAATGATCCCCTGCAATGCTCTGAGCCTTGGGGTTTATTTTCCTTTTTGCAGTAGGAGGCTTGACCGGCATTGTACTAGCCAACTCATCATTGGATATTGTAATTACATGACACATATTATGTTGTAGCCCATTTACATTACGTCTTATCAATAGGAGCCGTATTTGCTATTATAGGGGGTTTTATTCACTGATTCTCTCTATTTTCAGGCTATATACTCAATCAAGCCTAGGCTAAAGCTCATTTTGCTATTATGTATTTTCTACACTGACTGAACATGTGGTTTGAAACCATCTTTATTTATTTATTTATTTATTTATTTATTTATTTATTTATTTATTTAGATGGAGTCTTGCTCCTGTTGCCCAGGCTGGAGTGCAATGGCACGATCTCGGTTCACTGCAACCTCCGCCTCCTGGGTTCAAGCGATTCTCCTGCCTCAGCCTCCTGAATAGCTGGGATTACAGGCACCCACCACCACGCCCGGCTAATTGGTGCATTTTTAGTGGAGATGGGGTTTCGCCATGTTGCCCAGGCTGGCCTCAAACTCCTGACCTCGTGATCCGCCTGCCTCAGCCTCCCAAAGTGCTGGAATTACAGGCGTAAGCCACCATGCCTGGCCTTGAAACCATCTTTCAAAATGTGGTCTTTTTGCAGTACAGCTGGGATGTCTCTGCCTTCCCCACCATGCACCTTTGTAAAGGGGCAGCTTCTGTCTCGCCGGTGTAACAGATTTCTTCCCTGTGTCCCCTTTCTCTTCTGTCAATGAATCATGGGTGGCTGTCAGCTGGGGACCACTCTCAGTGTCTCATGCACTGAATGCAACATGGACACAAACTTATGATAGGGCCAGGTGGGGGACAGCAAGAGGTGAGCACCGGAAATTGCATGAGCTAGGAGTCACTGGCTGGTAGTGGGTGAGGGACACGTGGTAGGGACAGTTTAGCAGCTGGATCAGGGTGGAAATCCAAACCCTGACAGCTGAGAAGTGGCACAGACCTGCTTCTGTGGGGATAAGTGTCCACTGGCCCTGGCCAACTGGCCTCCAGGGGGCATTGTTGGAATATGCGATCATCCCAAAGCACTTCAGCTTGAAGAAGATCTAGGACACAGTTTGTTGTTACCACCTCAGAGCATTTAGATGGGACGTGATGGATGGAATTGAAGTTAAAAACCCATCCACCATTTCTAGTTAGTACAGTAGGCTCCTGATTTACAGAAATGCTTGTGAAATTGAGAATCATGATAAAATCCTCATACCTCCTCGTTTGACCAAATCTTTCTAAAATGCACAATTATAATTTCTTATCTTTTAGTACATAGTAATTATGTTATATGTGTTATATACACTATGTAAATATAGTTAATTAAATCATTCTTTGGTGCTTGAAGACTTTCTAATTCATTACTTCATTCCAGACATCAATGACAACAGCACATACCGAGCAGGTACACATATGAGCTAGCTACTAATATGCCCTGATTTTGATTGTATTTTGTGAAAACCTTGGCATGGGTTATTTTTAAATGAATGTTTTCCCAAATTTTAAGCTGAAACTAGGATGCATCAAAATTATCTTGGTCATAATCTTGTCAATGATGTCATCTAAAGGCCACCAGGAACACACCTGTAGCTCAGCAAAGTTGAAGCCATCGACTGGCTCATCACAACAAGGAAGGCTGTGCACCACCAGGACCCAGCAGCAGCTCAGCAGCAGCAGTGAGAGGGCCTTGGGAAAGACTTGGAGGGTTTGGCTTATACAAGGTGATCTTGGGGAGGGCCAAGGAAACAGGCTGTGATGGTTAATATTGAGTGTCAACTTGATTGGATTGAAGGATGCAAAGGATTATTCCTGGGTGTATATGTGAGAGTGTGGCCAAAGGAGATTAACTTTTTAATCAGTGGACTGGGAGAGGCACACCCACCCTCAATCTGGGTGGGCATCATCTAATCAGCTGCCACAGCAGCTAAAATAAAGCAGGCAGAAGTTGGAATGAGCAGACTTGCTGAGTGTTCCAGCCTTCGTCTTTCTCCCATGCTGGATGCTTCCTGCCCTCGAACATCAGACTCCAAGTTCTTCAGCTTTTTTTTTTTTTTTGGACTCTTGGACTTATACCATTGGTTTGCCAGGGGCTCCCAGGCCTCTAGCCGCAGACTGAAGGCTGCACTGTGAGCCTCCCTACCTTTGAAGTTTGGGACTCAGACTGGCTTCTTGGCTCCTCAGCTTGCAGTCGGCCTATTGTGAGACTTCCCCTTGTGATCATGTGAGCCAATTCTCCTAATAAACTCCCCTTCATATATACATCTATCCTATTAGTTCTGTCCCTTTAGAGAACCCTGACTAATACACAGGCCATGCTCAGATGGAGTGCTGTCTGGAAGTGGGAGTAATTCTGTGGTTGAATGTCTTAATTGTCCTGGAAGGTGGGAGAAATGGAGTGAGGCTGGTGCTACAATTGATGTAAAAGCAGCAGCTGCTCACATAAGCCGGGGTGGGGGATGCCTAGGCGTATTTGTGGTATTGACCACGTTCTTGTTTTTGTTTGTGACCAGACCAGATTACAGAGGGGTATTGATTTGCCTTTCCCCCGCCCCCACCATCACAGTGTGTCCCTGTCCAGTGTTGGTGCTCTGTGGCATTGCTTGTGTCCATAGGAGTCCATCAAGGCAGAGCGGCAAGAGCCAGGTGAGCTTCCAGCTCTTCCAGGCTGCATGTCCCCCTCAATATCCTGTAAGTTCTGATCCGGCAGATACTGAATACTCAAGGGTTCACATTCTCTTAGCCTAGAGGTGGCTGCAGTAATGAAAGGCATTTGGCTGATGTGTTTTCAAAGGAGAGGGAAGCTGTCTGTGTTTGTTACCTGAGGCTGCATAACAAATGACCACAGCCTAGTGACTCGAAACATCACACACCAGTTACCTCCACTCTCAGTAGGTCAGAAGTTCAGGCATAGACCAGCTGTGGCCTCCACTCTGAGTCTCAGTAGGCTACAATCAGGGCTCAGTCAGGGCTGTGGTCCTGTCAGAGGCTCTCTCAGGTTGGTGGTGGTTGTAGGACTGAAGTTCCTGTTTTTGGGGGGTAGTCAGCTGGTGTATTAGTCTATTTTCACACTAGTGATCAAGACATACCTGAGACCAGGTACTTTATTTAAAAAAAAAAAAAAAAAAAGAGGTTTAATGGACTCACAGTTCCATGTGGCTATGGAGGCCTCACCATCATGGTGGAAGGCAAAAGGCATGTCTTACATGGCAGCAGGCAAGAGAGAATGAGCGCCAAGCAAAAGGGGTTTCCCCTTATAAAACCATCAGATCTCATGAGACTTATTCACTACCATGAGAACAGTATGGGGGAAACTGCCCCCATGAATCAATTATCTCCACCAGGTCCCTCCCACAACATGTGGGAAATATGGGAGCTACAATTCAAGATGAGATTTGGGTGGAGACACAGCCAAACCTATCAGCTGGGGACCACTCTCAGCATCCAGGGGCTGCCATGGTTCCTGCCACGTGGCCTCTCACAGTCCTTCCTACAGGACGGCAGCCCTTCTTACACAAGTCAGCAAGAGGGAGTCTCTCTTGCCCCCACTTGCTAAGGCAGAATCTCACATCAGATGTAACCATCACATTTGCTGTATTCTATTATCTAGAATTATGTCACAAGCCCCTTTATGCTCAGGGGAGTGGATTATCCAAAACATAGATCACCGGGGAGGGGTGACATTAGGGTGTGTTGGCCACATCACCTGAGAGTACATGAAACATCTCTCTCATTTCTTCCATTTCTTGAGCTTTTAAAAAATTACTAAATGAATAAACATAGACAATTTAGATTGCATGAATGAATACAAAGAACATATTATCATTCCTAATTATCACAATTTCTACCACAAAGATGATCAGTTGTAACACTTGCATGTAGGTACTGGACCAGTTTTTATAAACCATCCCAGCTATGGTCTACTGCTCAATGGGACTGTTGACTCTTCAGAAGTATGGTCTGGGATCAACCACATTCTTGCAGGCCACCAAGAGGAGGCATCCATCTCCACAGAAGAGAGACGAGCTCTGGGCTTCTTCTGCACCTTCACAGTGAAGGCTTAACGGGGCACATGGATCCTTATGTTGCCCTAGATATGACATTTTTACATTTTTGACTTTTCACCCTGTAGTGGGGGTTAAGGGCAGAGCTACAGGCATCTGGTAGGTATAGCCTAGGGACATTGCTAAATACCCTTCCACAGGGAGGACAGTCTCTGACCACAAAGAATTGTCCAGCCTAAAACGTCAATAGTGCCAGGGTTAAGAACACTGGCTCCAACCTTGTACAAGTCTGTGAAGTTCAAGACATTGTGGAGGTTTTTCTTGTTTTGTTTTGTTTTTTTGCTATTTACAAAGGTGTTCTTTTCTCTCCCCATCATACTTCACAGTTCAACCCAATGGAAATAGATTAAAAGAGTGAAAGTCACTGGTCTCAAAGAATCTACGGAATTCAGCATTTTGGAAATCACATAGCAATTTTGGGTAGGTATTCACATGCACTAAAAAACCAGGCAAACATCCGACTCCCAGGATAAAGTGACTGAGAGCAGTAGAAGACTTGTTGAGCCGTAAGGAATAAGAGGAAAATTATGTTATGAAGTGCAGGAACAGCACAGACCCAGACGAGGGGATGCAGCCCAGAGCCAGTAACCCGGTGCCTCCTCCTCCCCAGGAAGCAGCGCTGGCTGATCCCCAGATACCATGATCACACCGTCCCAGGTCCTGAGAGCGCCTCATAGGTAGACAGTTCTTTGGGACTTTTGGGACGCAGCACTTGAAGAGAGGTCTACCTAAACTTTCCTCCTGGGAGCCTGTGATCATTTGAAAGTAACAGAAGAAAGTTGTCAGGCTGAGGAAAGTTTCAACAGGCACTTGGTGAGAATGGGAAGCATCCATTCATTGCGAAATCGCGGGGACAGAGGAGGAATTCACGGGATCAGAGCACTGAGAAACTCCAGAGGCTTCTGGTTCACCGCCCTGATTCCACAGATGTGGGTCAGAGGCAGAGATGGAAGTTGGAATGGACAAGCCTGCCCTCTCATCGGCTCTCCATGGCTCTGTCCTCAGGCTGTTTCTGCAATTTGACATGAGGCCTGGCCCCAGGGAAACCAGTGGGGCCTCATCTCCTCCCTGTGCTGCTCTGAGATGGAGTCTTCTCAGGGTCAGTCCAGCTCTGGAGCCCCTCTCCAGCTCGGTCACCAAAGCTGTCTGGTCCCAGGGCGGTGCTGAGTGACAGGCACACCAGCCAGTCCAATTGGCCATTTCATACCCAATGCATGTGACTGATAAAGAGATAACACCCTGTCTCCAAGACACAGGCTTTACATAAACAGCTTTAATGACCTCTTCACCTAGAGACAAGACTCCTTAGTGGTGGAACCTCAGGCATCCGTGCAGGATGTAAGAAAGCTCCCGTATATACATGAACTGAGAAGTGTGTAGAAGAATAAATACTGTAATAGGTAATAAAATGTATGTATTTTTATTTATATGCTACTTTCTCTTTCTCCCTCTCTGTGTATATACACATATATACAAAAATGTATTCATTCTGTGGAAAACATGAAAGATGTAATATTCTTTACATATGAAATTTTAATGTATTAATTTTTTCTGATCATATGAACACCACAAATATAACTTTATAATTTTTTTACCTAACAATAAGTCTTAAACATAAATATACACGGACAATATCGTAGTTTTTTTTTTTTAATCATAATTAAAATGGTTGTGAAACATTCCACTTTAATTTGTTCCTCCTAATCCCTAGGGTGGTACATTAAGTGAGGGTTTCTGAGCCTTGGTACCATGGGCAGTTTGGGTTAGCCCATCCTTTTCAGAGACCCTGCCCTGGACACTGCAGGATGTGGCTTCACATTCTGGTCTCTGCCCACTGGGTGCCAGAAACATCCCTTCACCTTAGCTGTGGCAATCAACACTGTCACTAGACATTGCCAAATGTCCCCTGGAGGACAAAATCACCCTAGGTTGAGAACCAATGGCATTTTTTTTAAAACTATCATTGTGAGACAAAGCCACCTGAACTTCCTTGCTGATGTCTCTTCACTTCTTTTTTTTTTTTTTTTTTGAGACAGAGTCTTGCTCTGTTGCCCAGGCTGGAGTGCAGTGGCATGATCTCAGCTCACTGCAAGCTCCGCCTCCCAGGTTCACACCATTCTCCTGCCTCAGCCTCCTGAGTAGCTGGGACTACAGGCGCCTGCCACCACTCCTGGCTAATTTTTTTGTATTTTTAGTAGAGACGGGGTTTCACCATGTTAGCCAGGATAGTCTCGATCTCCTGACCTCATGATCTGCCCACCTTGGCCTCCCAAAGTGCTGGGATTACAGGCATGAGCCACCACACCTGGCCTCAACTTCTATCTAATTCTATTCAGAGGGAAAATTTCCAGAAGCGACATTCCTGTTGCAGAGAAGAGATATTCACTTGAGAACCTTGATATATATTTGCCAAATTTCTGTCCAAGTATCATTTTTAAAAAGTTAAAAACATGACTTTCATACAAACACATACAGAGCATATGTCAAAGGTGTATTTCTCTAATGCAATGAGACAGCCAGCAGGACAGTGAGGCTGCAGCAGCATGGCAACAGAGTGCAGAAAGAGGTCGCAGAAGCCTTGGAAGAAGGTCATTCAGTCATACAAGGACACCCTGATGCTTGGGCTGCGGTCCTTTCCAAGTCCACGGGGCGTTGTTCCTTTGTGTCAACACCAGACAAGACTCATGGGCACTGCTGTCAGTGTTCTGTGTGTTATAATACCAGGGACCCTCACATGGCTGTGGTGATTCTAACCAATAGAAAATAATAAGTCGAAGCAAAGACCGTTACCCCTAATGAGAACACGGACAGAGCCATCCTTTTGACTATTTCCAAGTTTTGATTTTTTTTTTCTTACGTTCCCTTCCTGAAATTTTAAAATTTACCCTCCCTTCAACTGACTCCGTTCCCATAACCAAACCAGCAGGAAGGATTATCACTCATTTTTATTATACCCTATTGGACAGATAACTCATTATTTTGTTTCCATTTATTTCATTAACAGTGAGGTCAAATATATTTTCACATATTTATTGGCCATTTGTGTTTTAATTTACTTTGCCTATTCATGTCCTTTGTCCATTTTCCTTTTGGGGAATTCAACTTTTTCTTATTCATTTACATCTGTATAACACCATTTGTCTTTCATAAGTGTTGCAAATATTTTTCTCCATTTTTCCTTTGCCTTTTCATTTATGTTTTTCTTTAATATAGAAATTTATATGTAGTCTCAATTATTTTTGTGCTTTCACTTCTGGGATTATGTAGAAAAGTTCTTTCTTAACTCTGAGATTAAATATTTATGTATCCTTTTTTTTTTAGTATATTTAGAGGTTATACTTAAATTCGTTTGAAATTTATTTTAAAATAAGATGAGAGTTGGTGACTAACTTTGTTTTTTCTTTTTACCAAAGAATTAGCAAGTTTTATTGACTTTGTTATTGAGTAATTCATCTTTTTAAGTCATATTGCTCATGTGTTAGTCCCTGTGTGTGAGAGGCCGTTTCTGGACTGTCTACTCTGTTCCCTTGATCTGCCTATTGTCTTGGCCCAAGGCCATACAATATAAATTCCTGTTGATTTATAATATACTTCTTTATCTGGCATAGCAGGTCTTGTTTTAAATGCCTTATCTTTTATTTGCAAGTAGATAGAGTGTTTATTTTTATGGAATTTGGATAAGTTAAAAGGTGGGTTTTTTTTTTTAAAGACAGTGATTTTTCATTCTCTTATCTAGCCAAATATTTTCCCATTAAAAATGCCTTTAACTTCTTAGTGAACATGTTGAGGATGTACATTTCCCCGTGTATTGAAGGGCGGTGCCCCTCACCTTAAATATTGTTACCAGAGCTCATTTTCCTTTGCCCAGAGTGCCTGGAACATTGAGGCCCAAGGTCAAAGGGATGGGGGTGTCTGAAAGCTGGCAGAGAGCCCTGGGCACTAGATGGGGTACAGGCACTCTCACAGCCTGACATGATGGAAGGAACAGATCACCTGCTACAGAGAGTCAGCAGATCTTCATTTGTTTGTTTGTTTTTATTAGCTTCTCAACCAGCTCCTCAAAGTGGGTTCCATGGACCACTGCATTTCCATGAGATTCAGCTGAGTGGCTGGAGGAGCGTGCTTGTTGAGTCAGTGAGGAAAAATGTGCCAGGTTAGATAATACTGAGCAAGTTCCTCTGCTGCAGGACTTCTCAGGACCTTTAATCTCTGATACCCTGTCCGAGAATGTGATGATTATTAGACCTTGGCACCCTTCTTCAAGAAACAACCACCAACATCTCAATGAATGCTTGCCTTCTGAGCACTGCTGCCTGGGAAAGGCTATTTTCCTGATACTATTGTGTTTTCTAAAAACATTGTGAAAAAAAAAATGAAATGTCTCCAACAGTGAAAATAAGAACAACTGTAATTATTTATACTCATTGACAACAAGAATAGGATTTATTCTACCTTTGGTGGCAGCTTCTATTTTTATGAGAGATTTCTACACATTTTCTTGGCAGTCCTCACCCCTTCCCAACGAGGCATGACAGACAGGCATTACCACGCCAGTATGGTGAGGAAATCAAGGCTGAGCAGGGACACCATGTAGCCATGGCATCTTCTTAGCAATCTTTATCTGTTGGTTCCAAAACAGATTTTGTAGTTTTCCTTTGCTGTGCAAAAGTTACCACAAACTTAATTACTGAAACCAATAGCCGTTTATTAGCTCACAGATCTTATAGGTCAGAAGTCAGGGTGCAGTGAGGCTGGATTTCGTGCTAGGGGTTTTGTGCAGTGAATTTGGGTGCTGGCAGGGCACTTTTCATTTCTGGAGGCTCTGGGAAGAATCTATTTCTGCCTCATGCAGAGGCCTCATGTTGGCAGAATTCAGTTCCTCCTAGCTGTAGGACTGAGAACTCCAGCTCTTAGAGGCTCCCCACATTCCTTGCCACATGGACCCCTCCATCTTCAAACCAGCAACAGAGAATCTCCCTCCCAGTCACCCTCAAATATCTTTCTTCAGGAAGAGCCTCGTCACCTGATTAGATCAGGCCCACCCAGGATAATCTCTGTATCTTGAAGTCAGTTCATTGGATTCATCTTCAAGACTTTGATTTTATCTGCAAGATCTCTTCACAGCAGAACCTAGATTAGTAATTGATTTAATAACTGGGTGACAATTTGTGTATACTGGGGCCGGGGATGAACAGGGACTTTCAGGGGTCATCTTAGAACTTTGCCTCCCTCATTCACTTCGTTCTCATTGGGGCATCAGGACTGTACTTGCTTTAGATCCTTCCTGTGCTACTAGGATGATCCACATGTGATTGGGGAAATCAATGAGTCAGAACAGATTTGTTTTAGTGTGAGTAGAATGCATCCGAAGATGCCAATGAGGACAACCTGGAAAAGTCTTTATGTCTGACAAAATGCGTTCCCTCCTGCCTGCCTCCCGTTCTAGAGATCAAAAGAATCGGCATAGTTGTTAGAAAGTTGCCGTTTTATGCATGATTTTAAAAGTATCCATTTTAGGCTTCGCTGTTGTCTGCAGTTGATATGGTGCTCGATATATTTGGGGCAATGAAATGACAAACAATCATGGCACTGCTATTCTTGACAAGATGTTAATATAATTCACGTTTTGTTTGCCCTCAATGATAAATCAAAAGCAATGACCCACTGCAAATCCTCACACTGAGACATTTGGATATGAATATCACATCCTTGCATTGTATTCACCAGGCTTCTGGTGAATTCACCTTCTGAATTCTTGATGTCAAATTTGTAAAACTTCCTCCATTTGTAAAGTTTTCAGTGAGATCCCAGCAAGTAAAAACATTAGCCCTAACAGGCTGCCTGGGGTGTGGGTGAGTTGGTTGCAGCTCTCCATATTCAGGCAGAGTTGGGAAAGAGGTGCTGGAGAGATGCTGAGGGATTATCCGCTCAGCCTCCACCAGCCTCATCTCTGCGGGAACCGTCGGCTGTCCATTCTGACCCAAGGAAGCTGGATTTCCTGTTTCCACGTGAGGCGAGCGAAGCTACCCTGGGGGCTAGAGAGGAGTCCCACTGCTTGGTTTCCTCTGCTGGGGGGCCCAGTCACCAACAGCCTCCCCTTCCCAGCTGTTCCCTCTGAGCTCTGAGGTCATAGACGAAGCCAAGCCCAGAGACAAGGGGCTGAAGCTCATTTTCTTGAACAGACCATATTAATATCATTAAGCTGCCTGGTTTTAATTTTCGACCACTTCCCAACTGTCTATTTAGGAGTGCTTAAAGCCAAACCCATTCATTCTTTCCACCATTTACTGGAGATCGGAGCCGTTTAATGACTGTCCTGTGAGGAGGAAGGGTTACAGATCAGGAACAACCAGAGAGTGATGAGAAAGGAGAATTAGAAGTTGGAAGAGAAAAGCAAGATAATAAAAGTGTAATTTAAAACATCATATTTGCACAATTACCATGGTGCGTTGCTTAACTGGGAATCTAAATTTATCTCATTGCTGAGAGTCCACTGTGAGAAATAAAATTTAAGAAAATCTGGGGGGCATCCCAGTTCTTCTCAACAACTATATCTAAGGGTTCAGTCCATGGGAAATAGAGCTCCGGGGCGATTTAAAGTGCCGCAGCCATCCTGCGCACCCCAGTAGGTCACCAGCCCTGTGCCAAGCTTTTGGGATCCGAGCTCAGTCGCTGGGCGGACCTTCTCCTGTAATCTTTGAGAGAGAGAAAGAGGCATGTGACTGGTCTGCTCCCATCACAGTGTATTCTTGTGTTAACAGGCTTTACATCTCAGAGCAAAGGGTGGTGGTGGCTGCTGAGGTCAGCTCTTCTGGATGTCTCCCTGCTTGCTTTCACCTACCACATGCCCACATAGATGCCCACATAGATGTCCCTTGGGGATCGCCAACATTTCTTCCCTGCATCCACCTTGGCAATCCTGAAATCTTGGACTCCTCAGCAAGCAGGTCTGCCACCCACTCCGACCTCACTGCAGGAGACATCTCTGTGTCTGGAGTGCCCAGTACTCCAGCTCAACCTGGAGACATCCTATTGGCTCTGTCCCTCTGCCTGCCTCCTTCTGGCCAGGCCAGTTCTACCCCCAGACCACCGGGGAGGGGCCCTCACCTGCCTTCCTGCTCTCCTTCCTGCCCCCCACCTGTCTTCCTGCTCTCCTTCCTGCCCCCCACCTGTGTCTAGTGTTCTCCCAACTGTGAGAAGAGTGGGTTTAAACCCTCAGGAACATCACATTGTGCCCCTCCTCAGGGCCCTCCAATGGCTTCCCAGTATGCTTAAAGTAGAATGCAAATGTTCTGATGCCTGTAGGGCCCTGCATTGTTTGGAGACCACCTCTTCCACTGCTGCCTTCAAGAGCAGACTCCCCTTTTCACTTACCAGGACTTTAGGGGCCTTTTCAGGTACTGGACTTCTGCTTGGAGCACACATCGTCCTCTCCAGATCTTCCCACACAAGGCGCAGGTCTCTGTTCACATGCGCTTCTGCGGGGAGGCCCTAGCTGCATGGAATGGGGGTCTAGTGAGACAGCAGTCCCACCAGGTTGGCACAGGGCGATTGGTCAAATGTGTGGAAAATGAATAAAGACAGAGATGAGTAACTTCCCTGATATTTCAGAAGTTTTCACCATTTAAGCCAAGAACTAAGATAGTTTTGAACTCCTAAGGTCAGTTTATTCTATTAACAGTGGGCCGGGTTCCCTATTCCAAGCAGTATAGGAGCTTTGGGAGCTGCACTGTCCCATATGAGGGCCATTAGCCACGTGCAGTGATTGAGATATACATTTAAATGAATTAACATGAAATATAATGAAAAAAGACTCAGTTCCTCAGTCACATCATCCACATTTCAAATGCTCCATAGTCGTGTGGGCGGTGGCTGCCAACTGGGAAGTGCAGATGTACAACGTTTTTGTCATTGCCATCAGTTCCATTGCACAGAGTTCCATTTGATGGAACACAGTTCCATCAAATGTTGCTAAAGGCATTGTTACCCTCTCTTAAGAACTTCAATCCACTGGGAAAGGAAAGGTGAGTCAACACCATCTAATTAGTCCCTAGTAGATGTATGAATGGGTGCTAAGGATGCCCAGAGGCCAAAGGGGCCTGCAGTTGCTGACTTCTGAGCCAAGTCTTCAAGGAGGACCAGGAGTTATCCGGTAATGAAGACTGTAGGAGATTAGAAGCTGACCCTATTAAGTATCTTGAAAGTAAATACAAATGTAAAAAGCATTCAGCACAAGATGGAAAGGTCTGAGTGTGTTTTTGTGTTTGCTTGCCCATTCTTCTCCCCTCTCTTCCCTACAGCTTTTGTTTAAAATAAAAGAGCATCCCACTTTTCTTCCTTGTTGAGATTGACATATATAGGAGTTTATAACAGAAAAGTGGGGGGGGAGTACTGGGTTAAGTCACATGGCATAGCAGCAGCTTAACTTGCATTTGGGAGATAGAGATGGAGTAAGATTGTGTGAGCTGCTGGACTTAGCCCATGTGGCTAATATACAAAGAACAGAAATTTATTTTGTCATTGCTCTAGGGTCTGGGAAGTCTAAGATCAATGTTTGGTTTCTGATGAGGGCCCAGTCTCTGCTTCCAAGATGGGCTTTGTTGCTGCATCCTCAGGAGGGGAAAAACGCTCTGTCCTCACTTGGTAGAAGGGACAGAAAGGCAAAAAGGGCCTTAAGCTCATTCTCTTCAGCCCTTTCATAAGGCACTAATCCATTCATGAGGGTGGATCCCTCTTAATTACCTCCTAAAAGGCTCCACCTCCTACTTCCACCACAATGGAGATTAAGTTTCAGTATGAATTTTGAAGGGGACGCTATATTTTCATACAAATAAAAACTCTCAAGAAGGGAGTCAGAGTCTTAGGTTTCTGGACATGAGACACTCCTGTGATAAGTAGTGGTTTCAGCTTTAGAACAGGGTTCCTCCACAAACTTGGGTGTTCCGTGTACTCACAGTGTTAATGGCCTAGCCTCCTCCCCTGGGGGAAGCTAACTTGGCATTCTCTCCGACTCACCTGATGTCAGTTATTTCCTTGCCAGGGTAAATGGTTATCAGCCCACCTGATACTCGAGAGTTTCAACTCTTCACACCCTCTACCTGCTTTCCCTTTGTGACTTTGCTTTCTGGTGTCTATGATTCCATTCCCTAGTGAGCAGGCAAGCAGGTGAAGTTTATGCAACCATTTCACACCCAGGTCTTTGTCCCTCTCCCTTCTCCCCCAACACCTGGTAGAACCCTTCCCAGTAGCAGGCACATACCATATGAATACATGATGTTTCAAGTCACAGATGAACAGATGCTTTCCTGGTTGGAGGCCCTGGTGCTCGACTGGGCTTTGGTATTGCCCTTGTTCTCCTAAGCCCCATTCCTGGGACTGTGGATAGTAGAGAAATAAGATAGAGGACTTCCAGATTCCTTGAGAGGCTCCAGAAGTAATACTATGGGTAGTTCTGCTTGGATCTCCCAGAATCTGTGTGAGGAGGGGGTGGCAGAGCAGAGAAAAGAGGTGGCATGCTGAATAGACCTCTTGGGGTCAGTTGATGGAAGGAGAAAGGGAATATGGCACCGATAAGAGACTCTGAAACTGCTCACCCAGAGCGCAAGTGGGAGGAACAATTACCTCCACAACTAACTCCCAGACGGGTCTGTGCTCATCATTAGAAAAATGCTGACAGTGGCAGCACATCTACACAGATAAGACGGCTTTTCCTTGCCCAGTCTGCGTGGGCCATTTTTCACAGCTTTTGGAGGCTGCAATTGCTGCCACCATATGTTGTGCTGGAGATGGTGCAGCCAGCTGAGCTTCATGTGGAATAACTGTTGGCAGCCACGCCAACTTTAAATTGATATTAATGTCAAGCTTGCTTTTTATAGTTTTCCTGAAGGTTTTAACAACAATAGACCAAGGCAAGTTTCATCGTACCTGAACCTGAATCAAGCTCACATTTTTCTGATGTGTATTTAATTCGGTTTTGGCACAGAGTCTGTGTTTTTCTTGGGTTTTACATCATTTATGAGGTTGCATGGATACACTCTAACAAAACATCATCCATAATCAAATGAGACTCACAGAAGAAAGAAGTGCATGCCAATTCCGACTAATCTTAGCCTTTATGGGAATAGCTATTTGCTATAAATGATTAGCCAAACATGTGTGTCAACACTTTCTTAGCAGCAGATAGAGATGTTGTTAACCGCCACATTTACCGTGATATTTCTAGCTCCGTAGAGGGGGAGATGCTCTACCACAAACAAATCTGTCAACTAAGTTCTTCTAAGTAAAATCTACTCTACTAATTAATTGTAATAACTAAAGGCATGGATGTTAGCATGGTGTGTGTGTGTGTGTGTGTGTGTGTGTGTGTCTAAAAATTTTGCCTTATTTCACACTAAACATTTTAATAAAATGACTCCAGTCACTCTCGTATCACACTATGGGGTCGTTTTAGGAAGAAAATGAATTTTTCCCCAATATACAGCGGCACATGGTCCTATCCCTCCTCTAATCCAGGGCATCACCCAGCATTTGCTGCGTTGAAAAGAGGTATATATATTCTTCAAGCATAGTTTATGTGATTAAGTATGGCAAAAGCTTAATAATTGAATCCATAGTAAAATATTTGTACAAGAGTCAACATCTGCACCTAATCATTCTATACGTATGTGATGGTTTTGAGCTTATTGTGGGGGACATATTTCTTTTGGTGATTACAAACACACAGCTGCCAGAGAAATCTGCTGTTTTAAAGCACACTTTTGCTGCTGTGAGGGGACGGGGTGGGGACTATGTGGGCTACGCCCTGGCAGGAATGTCTTCTCTTCTGGATGGAGTCTGGTGATTTGTTCATTTGGTTTTTTGTCTGCTGAGTGGATATTGAATGAAGATGAAATGAGATCTGCACACATTGGTGGCTAGACAATTTATTTTCTCAAATTTAGAAACAGTCATAAGATGTAATTCATGAAAAACCCGGACATTGTTTATAACCCGGGGCAAGGCCGACACTTCTTTTCTGTGTTTTCCTGCACTGGCGAACTCAATGCAAATGGGGCATTTCAATTACATCTGAATCAACTGAAAGCACCCATTGATGTTGGGATAAGTGACTGTCTCTGGCCGTCTCTGTTTTATCAGCTGCATCCTCTGTGGGCATGCGAGGCTTTCCAAAGCCCTCAGAGGAGGCCAACATGAAAACTTTGAGTCATCAGATCAACTAGAGACAAATACCTTGAGTTTAATAAAATGAAGTTTTAAATAAAATGAGTTTTTCTTCTAAAATATCTGTCCCTGTTGAATTTGGCTTCCTTTTTAAGACCCCAAACTTTGGTATGGGAGAGCAAGGGAGAGAAACAGAGGCGTGGAGATATTTCAGTTTTAGATTCTGGTGGTTCTTTGAATTAGTAATGGCAATTGAATAGAATCCAGTTTCAGATTTGATCTCATTCTGGACAAGCAGTTTTATCTTTTTGTTTCCTTAAGCCTGCCTTTTTACTTTGTAAAAGTTCACCTATGAGGCAAGTTATCAGGGCAGTTAGAGAAACAGCTCAAGTACATGTAGGTAAGAATCTGTGTATGTCTTGCAAAAACTCCTTCTGCACTTCTGGGTTGCTCAGGAGAAAGCAGAGGTTTGTGATAACTCCCACTACCTCTGCATCGCACCGACCTCAGCCTGGCACTCTGGATTTTCCCCACGTGTGTCCAGTGAAAAGCCTTGGATTGTCCTGGTTTTTGCAAATTTAACCAGGAAAACAATGTATTACCTTTACTGAGAGGACTATGTAAACCAAAAAGTATCGGAATCAGATCTGAATCAATTTAGAGGTTTATTTTTGCCAAGGTTGAGGATGTGTCCAGGAGAAAGAGACATAAGTCACAATAGGATTTGTGGTCAGGGCTTTTTCCAAAGAAGGTTTTGAGGACTTCTGTATTTAAAAGGCAAAGAGTGAGCAGCAAGGGAAGGAAGAAAAGAAGGGGAGGAAGGTAGACGATGAGTGGAGTGTTACATTCTAGTGAGGCTTTGATTAGCACTGGCTGAATCCACGTTTTACATGTGAAAAGAGGGAGTAGAGAAACAGTTAATTATGCATTTGTAAATCTGCACTTGTAAATCTGCATTCAGTAAATCTGTATTTTATACAGGATAAGGTAAACACAGAGTAGAGGAAGAAGTCAAATGTACATTTGTTTCAGGGTGGGCAGAGGGAGGGAGCATTCTAGTCTTGTTTTTGTCCCATGCCTGTGAAGATAAGCTACTACTTTACACTGTCAGGTGAGATTCCATAGAACTCTGCTTTAGGGTTATGGGTTATAAGGGGGATATGTATTCTGAAATATCTGGGGGCCCATACAAAATTTCCATGTGAGCAATTTGTGAGGGAGGCCACCTGGGGAGATATGTGGCCTTCTGTCATTGCAGCCATCTGTGTGGGAACAAAAAAGAAGGCAAGTTTTCTTCTTTTCTTTTCTTTTTCTTTTTTGCATGACTTAGTTCCCAAGCTTAACTGTCTCCTTGGCATAATGAGTTTGGGGTGCAAAGATTTTATTTTCCTTTCACACCTAAAATGGACAGAAGAGATTATTGGTTTTTATTTCACTTCAAAGTTGGCACATTTGGTGGCCAGGAGATACGGGGTTCTACAGTTGGGTGGGCCCTGACCTTCTGCCTGGGCCGTCCACAGCATCACAGGTATTCCTTAAGCCCTGCATTCCCAGCTTGAAATTCAAGTTCTAGCAGATGGTCAACTCAGTAAATATTCATGGAAACAGATTTATGTACCAGCACCAGATTTGCAAGGGGACAAAAATGTAGTGACAAAAAATGCTCAGATGCTCAAAGAAGTTTTATTGAAATGGAAGTAGTCCATGTTTTTCTCCATGTATTTCTCCTACATCTCCCATATCTGTTGGCCTTCTTCCCTCCTGTGCTTGTGGCTTTACTGGAGGATGGTCGGGACAGCTTCACAAGGGCAACAGCCTCCACAGACTGTGTGTTAGGAAAACAAGGATGACTGTTGAGCTCTGCCATGGCTCAAAGCACCTGGTGGCCCTAAGCACCCACTACACCTGGCCCCTTTCTCAGGTCCAGCACATCTCAAAAGACTGGCACCTCAAGAACCTGCATTCAGGGTACATTTAGGGTACACACTAAGTGTGGTAATAAAAAATTAAGCTGACTAAGTGCTGCTGCTCTACTCCCGCATCCCTTACTTTTGAAAATACTATTTATTGCAACAGATCAGTGGCCATTTGAAAACACACATTCTTCTTGTCCCAGGTGGGTTAATCGCAACTTGTAGACAGAATCCAAGATTGCTTGCTTTGGAAAGATTTGCTCTGGCCCTGTAATTTTTATACTCAAAGGGCAATTTTCATTAAGGCTGTATTTGTCCATTTCATACTGCTATGAATAAATACCCAAGACTGTGTAATTTATAAAGAAAAAGAGGTTTAATGGACTCGCAGTTCCACATGGCTGGGGAGGCATCACAATCACGGTGGAAGGCGAAGGAGAAGCAAAGGCACGTCTTACATGGCAACAGGCAAGAGAATGCTTTCAGGGGAACTTCCCTTTATAAAACCATCAGATCTCGTGAGACTTATTCATTATCATGAGAACAGCATGGGAAAAATCCACCCCCAGGATTCAGTTACCTCCCACCGAGTCCCTTCCACAACATGTGGGGATTACAGGAGCTATAATTCATGATGAGATTTGAGTGGGGACATAGCCAAAGCATATCAAAGACTTACTTTGTCATTACGGAAACTCAAAGTAAAAGCTGATTCACTTGAGTGTGAAATGAGAATTAACTTGCTTTTTAAGACTTTTTGTAAAGTAATTGAAACGCTAGGGCTTTACCAGAAGCCTGGGGTGGGACAACGATGAAAATGAATATAGCGCTCATTCAGGCAATTGAGATAATTTAAAATCGGTCCCAATAAGTTCATTTACTTTCCTGATCTGAGTATTGTCATTGTTTAGCAGGTCCTGAAGAAAAAATTCGCCTTAGTGACATTCCTGCTCTGGTGACCTTAAAATGTGTAATTGACCTAGAAGTTCGTGATGATGAGTCTCTTTTTGGAGCAGTCTTTTTGGGCTTTGGTTTTTACTCTGAGATTCGTCTGGTGACATTCTTAACCATTTGAGTCCCTTAGAAGGGTGCATAGATCAATTTGAACCTCTGAAACAGTTGCTTTTGAGTCAAATCTGTAATGCATCTGCTCATGTTCTCTTTCTTTCTTTCTTTTCTTTTTTTTTTTTTGAGATGGAGTCTTGCTCTCTCACCCAGGCTGGAGTGTAGTGGTGCAATCTCAGCTCACTGAGTGCAGTGACATGACCTCAGCTCACTACAACTTCCACCTCTCAGGTTCAAGCAATTCTCCTTCCTCAACCTCCCAAGTAGCTGGGATTACAGACACCCGCCACCACACCTGGCTAATTTCTGTATTTTTAGTAGAGATGGAGTTTCGCCATGTTACTCAGGTTGGTCTCGAACTCCTGACCTCAGGTGATCCACTTGCCTTGGCCTCCCAAAGCACTGGGATTATCACGCCTGGCCCTATCCATGTTTTCTCACACCTGGCTCACCTGGATGTGTGGCTGTCTTCCTCCTTTCCCTGCACATCCTGTGCCAGTTCCTCTACAGGTACCTGAACGACTCCTATTACAAAATCTGAAAATTAGTGAAAGACACAGAGATCGACCAGAAGGCCTACATGGCCCAGGTGGAAGGCGTCATCAGCGGTACCTATGACTAGACCCAGCTGTCTATGACAGTGGCCTGTGACAGTGGGCCACTTGTGTACCCAGCTGGTTTTGTGTCCATCTTTATGGGGCTGTTCTATGCCCCTGGCCGAGGCACTGACATTCACATGTCCAGAACATCTTTGCTGTGCTCTGCCTGGCCACCTTGCTGCTTGTCTTCTTGATCTACCTCCAGACCTACAAGGTACCTCCCTTTATCTTATTTTTCATGTGCCACGCCTCTTACTGTGTCCACTGCACCTTTGTGCTGTGGCTCTCCTATGACCCAGTGCCCTCGGTATCAGCCTCCTGCTGGTCCAGCGCTGGGGCTGGGGCTGCTGGTGTTCCAGCCTGGCAGCCTCTGTGAAGATGAAAGTGCTGCTGTTCGCCCCTGGGTTACTGTTTCTTCTCCTCACACAGTTTGGCTGCCGTGGGGCCTTCCCCAAGCTGGGCATCTGTGTTGGCCTTCAGGTGGTGCTGGGGCTGCCCTTCCTGCTGGAGAAGCCCACTGGCTACCTGTCTCGCTCCTTTGACCTTGGCCGCCAGTTTCTGTTCTGCTGGACAATGAACTGGTGCTTCCTCCCAGGGGCTCTCTGCCTGCACCGTGCCTTCCACCTGGCCCTGATGGCCACCCACCTCACCTTGCTCTTGCTGTTTACCCTCTACTGGTGGCCCAGGATGGGGGAATGTATCTTGTCACTGATGAAGGATCCCTCCAAAAGGAAGGTTCCACCCAAGCCCTTCATAGCCAACCAGATCGTTTCTACCCTCTTCACCTCTAACTTCATTGGCATCTGCTTTAGCCACCTCCCTCCACTACCAGTTCTGTGTCTGGTATTTCCACACACTGCCCTACCTCCTGTGGGCCAGGACTGCACACTGGCTCACACACCTGCTCAGGTTGCTGGTGGTGGGGCTCATGGAGCTCTCCTGGAACACATACCCCTCCACATCCTACTGCTCTGCTGCCCAGCATGTGTGCCATGCTGTCCTCTTGCTGCAGCTCTGGCTGGGCCTGCAGCCATTCCCCAAGAGCATCCAACACAGCAAGAAAGTTCCCTGAAATCCACCCCTTTCCCTCCAGTGCACTCTCAGGACCTGGGGGAGTGAGATAGACTCTGTGCCCTTCCAAATAAACCTTGCCAAGTCCAATACACACACACAGACACACACACACACACACACACACACACACACACACACATAGACTTCCTCTCTCTATATATAGAGGGATTCACACAGGATGTGCATGGAAAGGCAACAGACAGCCACACATCCAGTCAAAATCACTAGGACTTTTATGTATCTCGATCAACAATGCTATGGCTACAATATTGACACAAAGACACAGAAGGAAGCTGAATTCACAGGAGTACACAGGGATCTTGTATTGTCTTCTGGATTAATCCATTTGTATAAAGTATGCTAATTTTACAGGAGTTGGTTTCCAGCTTTTGGACCAAATTTTGAACATTCTAAACTGGTTAATTTGAGCCTTTCAGAAATTATAATTTGTTCTATATATTTTTAAAATATCCACTTTTGATTGAGTCACTTATATGTTTGTATTCTTAGAATGAGTGACAGCTAAGTAATTGAATTTACGTGCTCTATCATTCTAGTTTAAATATTCAGTTTCATTTTGATATAAATAAATACATGAAATATGAGTATTTGAAGTTTATTGTCTAAAAAATTTAGTTGCATCCTTTCCTTGGGATATTGTCTTTAATTTTTAAGCTCAAAAGGCCTGGAAAAACATGCTTTCAATAATTCCTTATTGATTTTTTAACTATCTAAAAATATGTAGAAAAAGTTTGGTTAAAATAAACCAAAGACTTGTTGAAATTTCTTCGCTTTAAGTTGTTGTTCACCTGTCAATCTATCCAAAAGAGATAGGATGGCAGGAGGGAAGGAGAAAAGGAAGAGAGAGAGTAAAATTAGACCATCAGCTAATTACACGATGAATGATTTAACTACAATTGGAATAATGTGCTGGAAATTAACGAGGTGAATGGAAGAAATATGTACAAGAATGCCTCCTCATTAAGTCTCAAGGAACCATGTGGGGGAAGATGTGAGCTTGACCACACTCAGCACCAGGGAAAGTCTGCTCAAAATGAGGACTCAACATCTCCCTAATCCTTTTTTTGAAAATAACCAAATATTTTAAAACGTACTGATTTTACCAACTTTTTTTATTGCCACTTTTCTGCAAATGGAGCATGACTCACTTCCTTTGGACGAGAGTGGTCCGTCCCCTTTTCTGCTGGTCTTTGCTTCTCCCATGGGCATTGCCTTCTTCTTAATTTGTTTGGTGCCCGTATCTTCTCCATTTCCTTTTTCCTTTTTCCTGAGCACAGGAATACTCACCACCTGCCCACATGGTCTCCCTCTGTAATCATAGGTATATTACTTTCTCTTTAATACAGCCATCCCCTTTCTCCTCTCACATCCACAGACACTCACAGACTTTCCCACTCCACTCAAATCTATCTCACATCCTCCAGCTAGAACTCCCCCGTCACAGCTGGAGGAGCCAGCTCATACTTGGGGAGATTAGGTCACCGTGGCTTGTCTATACAGCTGCATTGCTGGCAGGGCCCAGGAACCACTAATCCCATCCCTTATGGTGGAACCAATAGTTTAGTCTCAACTCCACTTTCCAGGCATGTTCATACTCCCAAAAACATGACACATTCATAATAGAGTCAAAACACAAGTCACCTAACCCTGCCTGTAACTCAGCACCCACTTCCAAATGTCTTTCTATAGGTCCTGTAATCCTGGTGGAGGCCCTAGCCTCATGGAGCTCCTCCCAGTGAGTGGTGGGAGTGGCTGCTGTTATGACCACCATGGCAGTGATGATGAGGTCTGCAAACATGGGTGGCTTTGTGTGGTGAGGCTGTTCCCGGATGATAAGCACAGTGACTGTCACTTTGGGGTAGAAAAGGCCGGCAGCCTCATGCTGTCCACTTGTTGTTATGGCAATAGATGAACATAATTTGGAATTTGATGGATGAAACAGGACCCACAGATGGATTCCAAACCAGAAGAATGTCAAAGGCTGCCAGAAGGGAGTTGGGAATTAGGTAATAGGGAGGGAAGGAGGCTGGTCCATGACTGGGTTCTCTGTCCATCTGTGGTCACCAACAGTCATGGGTTGGCTGAGCTCTACACAAAGCAAGGCCAAAACTGTCAAAATAATGAGCCTCCTTGAACACAGACCATGCAATCATGGGATGTTAGAGCAGCAAGGGACTTTCAAGCTAGCCCAAGTGTTACAGTGGGTAGTCTGGTGGAGATGAGCAAGGCAGGAGAGGCCCCTCCCTTCCCCCAGGAATGTCAGGCCACCATCTGGTGATGCTCAGGCAGTTGTTACAGTCTCTCTAAAATAATAATTGGTCACAGCCAGCACAGGGAAAACCAGTCTCCCAATAGATAGAAAACAGCTGAAGCTGGTGATCGGCAGCTTCCCGATAACATCTCAAGAGTTGGGCAAGTGGGCTCAAGCTTGCACATCAAGAGGCAAAATGGTGGTGTTTAACCGGTCTGTGACCTTCTAGGAACATTCAACTGGAAGGGAAGAACGCCTCAAAGTGAGCACGCGCACAACTCCAGTAAACACACTGCCCATGTGGCCCTCCCACGTGCTGGCAGGCCACTGTGCATGTGGACAGCCTCCCCCAAGGAAAGAATCATGGAGAAGGGACACAAGACCCCAAAAGCATGCCAACATATAAAACCCCAAGTCAAACGTCAAACAGTACCCTTGATCTCTCATGTCGCCTGCTTGGCTCTCTTCCAAGTGTACTTTACTTCCTTTATTCCTGCTCTAACGCTTTTTAATAAATTTCCACTCCTGCTCTAAAACTTGCCTCAGTCTCTGTCTTTCCTTCTGCCTTCTGCCTCCTCAGTCAAATTTCTTTTTTCTGAGGAAGCAAGAACTGAGGTTGCTGCAGACCCATGAGGATTCACCACTGCTGACATATGTCCAAGAGGCTGAGCCAGTTGCCCAAGGTTACAGAAAGTTAGGACCGATCTCCAAGTGCCTTTCTCTCCTGATGGCTTTTTCAATATTTACACAATAAACATAATGCCACAGTGCAGACAAATAAATGTGAGACAAGGAGGTGGTGTTGGTTGACATTCTCAATACTTCACTGCTATTACCCATGTAACTTTGTCAGGAACATCATATGGTTTTGTAGTTGTTGGAAACTTTACCATCCAGTATCACCTAGAAGAAAAAAAGTAACTCCCTTTTGACACCTAAGCATAGTGAGCAGGAGTCAGCAGCCATCATGTTTGTGATAGACAGGCACACGATTGTCTGCTCAGTGCTTCCTGGCCCTCCTCCACTCTTCCTTCCGTTTGGCCAGATCTGTCCTCTCTTATGAGCTTGCATCCGTGGCCCTCTTGATTAACCCAGGATTGGAAACCTCATCCAAGCCAGAAGATTCAGAGTTTCTTCCCTGTTTTTTGAACAGGAATTCCCTGGTGGTAGAAACTGAGCAGGGGTGTCATGCCATGTTCTGCCATTGAGGGACATGGCTCAGGGCTGCAGTGGCCCACTGGGAGAAGCAAAGATGAGGCTCTGGGAGACTTCCTGGCAGCATCTGCATCCTCGTTGTCAGCGGTCCCTGGGGCCAGATGCATTCCTCCCCTCCCAGGGGTTCATTGTTCAACTCTCCCTTGGCTTCTTTTGACCAATTAATGGATGTTTTTCTCATGCTCATTCAAGTCAGATTTTCTGTCTCTTGCTACCAAGGAGTCCTATTTGACCAGAAGACTTCCATTCAGAACCCCAGATACGTAGTAAAGAACACACTCTTTATAGCATTAAAGTAAACCAGATGGATGTCAGTTGCCTTGTTTTAGGCATAAAAAAGATAGAACCCAGAGAGAGGGTGGGGAAAATAGATGAGTTTTGTCAAAGAGAAACCATACATAGTGGTTAGGTAAAATGGTGAAAACATATTTATTCAGAAAAACTATTGCAATAGGGTAAAAGAGACCCCAGTACAGAACTGGCCTCAATTCTGAATACATGAAAAAGGGAGAATTTATAGCCAAGGGGCAGGGTGGGCATCAGTGGATGGAAAATTACTGAAGGGAAACATTGGAGGCCAGGGGAGAGACTAGCTGAAGGCAGACAGGGTGAGCTGACATCTCCCAGGGGATCGTGGGGAATGAGAAACCTGATTAGATATCTAGCATGACTAGATATGGAGAATGGTGGATTCGGGCTGAACTGACTTAAACAAATTCTTGCTAAAATTGGACAACACAGAGACAAACCCAGAAGTCCCAAAGTCAAGGTCTAGTTGAAAAAGATCTCAAAAGGGCCTGAGTAGAGTTTGGTCAAGGAGAGAATCTTTGTCAGTTTGAAACATCTTATTGCATTAGAAAGTAAGAAACTGCTTAAAATAAAAAATGACAGGAGCATGTCACACAAGGACACGGAGCCACAGGAAGGAGCTCCCACTAGCCAAGCCCAGGACAAGTGGCATTCCAAAAAAATAAGGATAACAGTGAATTATTGCAAATGAGTCAGTGAGTCAATGTCAATAATAAATAGGTCCATAAAATAGACAGGGGAGAAGGGGAAGCTCTTGCTTGCAGTCAAGTGCCAAGTTGGGCTGGTCCATGAGGAGGGTGTGCTGAGCTTCGAAAAGCCTCATTCCGTAGCCTTCATGGTAAAGAATGGTTCAGATGAGAACCATCATGAATGCGCAGCAACTGTGAATGCTTCGGCATCCGTGAATGCTTGGTCTATTCAGGGGGCAGGTGGATTTTGATGAAGAGCGGGAGAGTGTCATGCCTTAAAGTGCTCTGTGTGTGTGTGTGTGTGTGTGTGTGTGTGTGTGTGTGTGTGTGGTTTTTGTAATATACATACACATACATACCATACATATATTACAAAAACCACGCACACACACACACACATAATCAGAGACAGAGAATAAATGAAACAGCAGGTGGGCAAACAGGTAACAACGGTTGGTTCTGAGTAAAGGGAATACAGTTGTTCTTGTCTGTTTTTCTAACTTTTTCTTAAATGTTGATTAAAATTATTTCCAAAATAAAATGTTAACCATAATAAAAAGTGTGATGCAAGATATCCCCAAAGGACAAAATATAGGACTAGTAAGTCCGAAGTCCTGGCTGACGATTTGGGTCACTCAGACGCAGCCCTGGGGCCTGTGTGCTCTCAGTTTCTGGGATTTTGCCATTTATATTAATCAATGGAGCAGCAGGCTGGACCTGAGGCTGCACATTTTTCTGCCTTCCTCGTATTTGGTTACTTTCTCTATTCCAGGGTGTTCATTTCAATTAACCTCTAGGTAGCACAGGGTGAAAAACACCCGCTGTGTGCCAACAATAAGCCTCAGCTCTCATGCCACCTCCAAAAACTGTAAATAAACAAAAACACCAGGGATTTCATTTGATCTGGAAAAGGGTTAGTTAAGTATTCCAGGATGTTGGAAACAGAAGATATTTTAAATACCATGGGGGCTGTAAAGAGTGATTTAGGAGACGTAATACTGCTTAATATTAGCTGACATCAACTGGAAGGAAACCACAGCTAAGAACTAAAGCTGTAGTTCTTTAGTCGTAAGAAGTTCTTTAAAAATCCAATGTCTTAGGCCCAAAGACTTCCATGATCCTCATTTTTAAGTGAACAATAATATGATCAAAATATATTTGAAAATCCTTGAGCTCCTTGTGACTCTCTGGCCACTTCTTTTCCATCCATTATTTCACTTTGTCATTGCAGCATCTAGAGTTTACAGGGTCCGTGGAATTACCATACAGCAAGCTGAAGGGATAACTTCAGTGGCTCCCAAAGTGGGGTCCCTGGACTGGCAGTATCAGCATCACCCAGGGAAGTTGTTAGACATGCAAATTGTTGGACCCCACCTAGACCTGTCCAGTTGGAACTCTGAGTGTGTTTGAACAAGCCAGGCCAAGGGGCGGGGCCTCCTAGCAGGGTCTGGGGGAATGCAGGTTGGACCAGCCTTGCAGGGGCTTTTCCCTGCCCCTGTGAGGGGAGGGGCAGCACCCCATGACCTGAGCTTTACCCTGATCATCCCCGAATCCATGCTTGTGCTCCCTTCAGCCCTGCTAAAGTCTGGCCACCAAATCCTTCTCCCAGGAGAGCCCCTTCTTTTCTCTGTGAAGGTCGTTTTGCTGGTGCATTTTTGGGTCGGCCCCTTCCCTCCACCATAAGTGCAGGCTGTGGAGACCCTGGGGACCATGGTTCTGCTTTTTCTCCACTAGTGAGCATATTGCCTGTGATGCTTGGAACGGATGACCTGCCGACCAAGTAAGCTCATCTCCAAAAAAGTAAAACAACAAAACAAAGTTTTGCTATAAGGAAAGCACAACTTATCTAAATTGAGAAAGGACTCCTTCCCTGATTCTGTTCCAACATGTTACATAAGATTCCATTATTGTGCAGAAAAAGACTGGGTTCTTTCTGACTGTGTGGGTGGGGTATAGACAAGCTGTGAGTGGCTGCCCCCAGAAGGGACACAGAAACATATCCTGAGCTTGCATGGCTTTCTAGTGAAAGGAGCAGGGTAGAACATTGCTCCTCTAGTAAGTTCTTCCAGCCTGAGTAGGTGGACAGCATCTGCTATGATTTGAATTCCCACCAAAACTCATGTTGAAATGTCATTGCCATTATAACAGTGTTGAGAAGTAGGACCTGTAAGAGGTGATTAATAATAATGCCATTATTATGGGAGTGAGCTCCTGATGAAAGGGTAAGTTCTGCCCCATTTCTCTGTCTCTCTCCAGCTTGCTTGTGCCTTCTGCTTTCTGCCATCTGCCATGGGATGATCCCTGCCAGGGGCTGGTGCCATGCCCTTGGCCTTTCCAGCCTCTAGAATTAAAAACCAAACAATCTTCTTTCCTTTTATAAAGTACCCAGTGTGTGGTATTCTGTTATACCAGCAAGAAATGGACTAATACAGTATCCCTTTGGCGCAGGCATGGCTGATGTTATCTACATATTTCATTTTGCTCTGGACTGAGACTACTTGTAGCTCAAGCAGGAAATGTGATGACCTGGAATTAACAGTTAGCCAAGACGGAAATTTATCAGGCCCAAACTACTCAGGGTTCTTTGTGGCCCTCCCCACCGTGCCAACATCCCCCTCTCCCCTGGATGGGGGGCTCTCCATGCACAGCAATCCTGTCATCCTTTTTACCTCAATGTCTCCACCTGATGACCTGGTGCATAGTAGGTGTTCAATAAATATAAAGTGAATAAATGAATCTATGTAATCATAATAACATGTCATTATCACATTTCCATAGGAAAAGCAACATTTATGTGTAAAATGAGCTAAAACCCAAGCCATAAACATAAAATATCTCTGCAAGCTTTTCTCAGAACTCCTGGTCTTTCTGTAGATGCTCAGCTTCCTCCCCAAAGTTGAAGCCAAGAATGGGTGAGATAATGACAGTGAATCATGATAAAGTGGGACAGGCAATGCAATCTTCAGGGACTCGTGGGCCAGTGGCTCAGGAAGCTGCCACAATCCTCATCAAAACACATTCTTTATCTAACTTGGATGCAGAAATCATAAAAAGGCCTTGGAAGGTCTAAGTGGCAGGGACCAAAATCAAAGTCGGTAATTAGAAAGCTGTGAATTTATAGATCTCCACTCAAATTGGCAGGAAGTGCAATAGCAGCCACTCCTTAAACACATTTTATGTGTCCCTGAGTTGTTTATTATCTTCCATCCTAAATTTATGCTGTGCCTCTTTCTATGGCCTCTAAGCCAGGATGACAGAAGAACAAAAAGTATTCTGCAACAGGAGAATGGCGCAGGCCAAAGGCAATTCCAGAGAAGAGAGCAAGTTGGATGTAGGGTTGAATCCTGTTCTTGTGGAAAACCTATTGCCAAGAAGGAAAATAAACAGTTGGAGTTTTCCTTAGCAAGAAAAGTTGTTTAAAAGTGTTCTGAAGAAGCTCTGAAGAGGCTGCAGAGAATGTCCATGTTTTTCTACAGCAAGTCTCCAGCTCAGCTGCACTTCCAATGACTAAACGATAGAAAAAAATAGCATATACTCATGAAAAAAGAAACAGTGGGAGATGGGTCATGGGCCTGGGGGAGAGAACTCTTGAACCTAACCTGGTTCTGGGGTAGAAGCCAATAGTGTGTGTGTGTGTGTGTGCGCGCGTTTGTGTACATGCACATGTGTTAGAATATGTGTGCATGTATGTGTGTTTGTCCATGCAGATATGTATGAGTGAGCATGTGCACCATCCTTATAACCTTCAAGACCTAACAGAGTCTTACTGGTCACTTAAGAGTGAAAAGGGGGCCGAGTGCGGTGGCTCATGCCTGTAATCCCAGCACTTTGGGAGGCTGAGGTGGGCAGATCACGAGGTCAGGAGTTTGAGACCAGCCTGGCCAACACAGTGAAACCCTGTCTCTACTACTACACATACAAAAATTAGCCGGGCATGGTGGCAGGTGCCTGTAGTCTCAGCTACTCGGGAGGCTGAGACGGGAGAATCGCTTGAACCTGGGAGGTGGAGGTTGCAGTGAGCCAAGACCACGCCATTGCACTCCAGCCTGGGTGACAGAGTGAGACTCCGTCTAAAAAAAAAAAAAAGAGTGAAATGGGGAGAGAGAGAGAGTGGAAGAAGGAGGGAGAGAAAGGAGAGATGCACATCTGGCAGATTCACATCCAGGTGTCTGGAGTGGTAGTGATGCTGGAGGCGTCTGGACAGCAGGTGAGACAGCCTGGTGGGAAGGGCTCCCTGGCAGGACCACCTACCGGCCTGCACACTGGGAGGGCTGCGCACGGGGGTGGAGCCCTGGGAAGTTGGCACCCTTTGCAAGGGGGAGTAGCCTGGCCTCTCTCTCCTGTTCTGCTGTGTGGTAACCGGGGAGGCAATCTGTTAGATGGGGGCCTGTTAACAGTAACCGCTCTCGCTTTGCTGAGTTTTTTTCCTTTTCATCTAATAAATTCCATTTTTCTCACTCTTCGAAGTGTCTGCGAGCCTAATACTTCATGGCCATGTGACAAAGACCCCGTTTTCAGCTGAACTAAGGAGAAACTCCTACAACACAAGGAGGCACGGAGCCTAGGCCGGCTGCTCCCCAGGGCACGTGTGTGGGGCACCAGCTGTGCCTCCAGGCTTACTAATGCTCGTGTCTTCTGTGTGTGGTTCAGTTTGCTTTTGTAGAGAGCTGGCAGCTTAGTTTGACAGGTATCATGAGGGAGGTAAGGAAACACTTATTTGCACTTGTAGGGAAGGACATTGGAGGCAGCTGTGATACCAGTGAGACCCTGTGTTCTCAGGCCAGTCCTCCTGCCAGCCAGGAGTCCACTGTGGAGCACGACTTACTATGCGTGAGTCAGTTTCTCTGACAGTCCACATGGATATTAAGAAGCTATTATAGGCCAGGCGCAGTGGCTCACACCTGTAATCCCAGCACTTTGGGAGGCCAAGGGGGGGCAGCTCACCTGAAGTCAGGGATTTAAGACCAGCCTGGCCAATATGGTGAAACCCCGTCTCTACTACAAATACAAAAATTAGCCAGGTGTGGTGGTGGACACCTGTAATCCCAGCTACTAGGGAGGCTGAGGCGGGAGAATCTCTTGAACCCAGGAGGTGGAGATTACAGGGAGATAAGACTGTGCCACTGCACTCCAGTCTGGATGACGGAGTGAGACTTCATCTAAAAAAAAAAAGCTATTATATGCAATATTACGCACACATTTGATATTAAACATTGTGTCTTCACTCACAAAACCCTGTTACCAAGTGGAGGTTCTGAGCACACCTGGAATTAGCTATTTTCTTTCATGTCCTTTCTGATCTAAATATAAAGTCAACCACTATGCTTATTTCTAGATTCAATCACTGATTACAAAATAAAATCACAAATTATTATTTCATTTAGAGCAGGGTCATGAACTTCAATAAAATTGTGAAAGTACTATGTGCCAAGGAATTGCATAAAATTTTTGCTATGCAAATTTTACCATTAAAAAAGTTAAGTAAATAACATAAAAGAAAAATGCAGCAGTAGTCCTCAGTTTAACTTTCCCCTTCTAGGCTTTCTCATTGGTTACAAGACAAAGTCCCCGCTCTTTGGGGCAGTGGTGGGGGTATTTAGAATCTTCTCCACAGGCTCTAGCCTACTTCTCCAAGGCCTCTCCCCAGCAGGAAATTTCCCTTCACGCTAACTCTGGTCCACAGGACATTCTCGTGTATTTGCAGACCAATTTCCACCTTTGGAACTTTTCACAGAGCATTGCCTCTGCGTGGAATAGTCTCTTATTTATCCCAGGACCCCAGGCCCACAGGCCCCACAGTCCCCTGATCTATCCAATGCTTCTCAAACATTAGTCTTCCATGGCAGTGCTGGGCCCCTCTCCTGGAACCCTATTTCGGCAGTCTGGGGTAACCCTCCCCTACCATTCCTCCACTGGCCGCTCCTTGCTGCCTTTCTGTAGCGCCCCTGAGGTTTCATGAATGCCCTTCTTTGAATTCATGCAGAGAACGCTTGTCTAGTGGCTTTTACAATATGTGCTTTTTTTGTAGCCAAATTGTGCCCCTTGAGATCACCCACACAGCCCCAGCAGGTGGCCGGGCTGTCCCCTCACAGGCCTGCTTTCAGTTCCTGGGCTGCTCACCATAGAAAAGAAAGAGTCCACTGCAGCCAATTCAGGGGCGTCTCCAGCTCTAGGGGAGTCCAAGCCCTGAGCAGATGCTACAGGCCACCCCTGCCCCCAGCAGCCCCCGCTGTTCTGTGCTGTGGGCTGGGAGCTCTCGCAGGGCAGGGGTGGTTTCTAATTTCTCTCTGGTCCCCTGTGCCTAGATGATGAGGCCTGAAAGGGGGTGGGTGCTTACTAAATGTTTTTGACAGCATTATTTTCAAGTTTCTTCTTCCAAAACCACTAAGAATTGTTCTCCTCAAGTTACCTTCCAGATCTGGGGGCTCCTCAGAGCCTCTTCAGCGCTGGAGTTCAAGGCTCTGCAGCAACCGAAAGAGAGCCCCGGTTCTCGTTGCTGCCATTGTTTTTCTCTGTTCTTTTCTCACCTTATAGAGCATAGCAAGACACTGAACTGGAGGAACTCATGACGCAGTTAGACCTAACAGATTCTGACCCGGGCGGCCCAAATCCCAGGACGGCCAGTGACCTATTGTCCTGGCTCAAAAAATAGGGGCAAAGCCAGAACTTGGTTCTCATGGGGATCTGGGTCTCAACAAGGTTGAAATTTACTGGAGCCCTGAGCTCCTGCCTAACAGTGAAGGCCGAGCAATCCCCCCACCCTTTGTGTTCCGGAGATGGGCTCATTGTGAAGACCACTCTTCCCATATGAGGCCATGAGACTCCCAGATGCCCCCATTTTGTCCAGCACCAGCCAGACACAGACCTGCAAACCCCCATTCTCCACCTCAAAATGATACACTGCGTGTCTTGTCCTCATGAGTACACTGGAACAAAATGCCTGTGGACCAAGCTTGGCATCAGCATCCCCTTCCTTTAGGCCACTGAGGTTTGGCCACACCTTCAGCTGGAGTCTACAGGCTTCCCTTCCAGAAATAGCCTGGCCTCAGGGAGAAGTCTTCTCTCATCTGTGGTCCCATCAGCTACCATGTCATTCCCTTTTACCTTACCCAGTTCTTTCTAGCCTTTTCGTAACCCTTGAGAAGCTTGCAGACCTTTGGTCAGAGCCTTCTGCTGCAACAGCCTTCATCCCACCATGCAAGCGCCCTGTCCTCTTGCAATAATCCTTTCGAATAGTCTCTCCTTAGATGAAGAAGGCTGCCTTTGTTTTTATTTGAGGTGAGGCTACAGCAGTCTCAGTGGCCTTGGAGGAGCTCAGGAAACACTCATGTCCTAGCCTCAGGAAGCCTGTCACCTCTCAACATTCGGTCCACGGAGATGCCCAGGTGTGTCCCTGCAGTTGGGACCCTTGGACCTGAGGCCTGCTGACCCTCAAGGAAGCTCAGCTGCCATGGCCACAGGAAAGAGGCTCTGTCCCTAGAGTGGGGAAGTGGCTCATGGGTGAGCTCCAGAAGGGACATCCCAGGACAAGCCCTGCTTCACGGTAGTAGGTTGGAGAACCTAACTCACTGGAAAGGAGGGAAAGGAAGAGCTTGGATGTGTACCCAGGCAGTCTAGCAGCTCCAGGGTGCCGACGGCTCAGGCTGGGCAGCCATCAAGGGTGTCATGGGCCTCCAGCCTCAAATCCAGACCCTAGATCCAAAACCAGCAGTTTCCAGACAAGAGGCATCAATAAATGATCCCCTGGGGGAGGCTCCTCAGTAAAGCTCTAAAGCTGGCGGGTTTCCATAGACAAGAGAGGAGTTGCACACTTAGGTCAATTTGAGCTGAAAGGGACCCCAAAGAGCAATCACCCCAAACTGCTTCTTTTCCTCTTGTCGAAATAGAAGCCTCCCTCCTAGTGTCAAACAGAGGTGGGAAGCAGAACTGTGATGAAAATCCTGGTCTCAGCTCTCAAATAGAGTGCTCCCGCCACTCACCCCCCGCCACCTTAGCAAACAGGAAACCCCCCAGGACAAAATGTAATGAGAGTATAGGAGAGAACTGACCTCAGATGTGACTATCTGGGAGGTATGACTCAATAATGTCTTCCTCAGGCATAAAGGGTCAGGTTTTGTTTGCAGTTGGGGGTGGGGGGGTGGGAACTGACTCTAACTTTAGCCAAAAATGGGAACTATCTTAATGAGGCAGAAGAGTGGCATTGAGTTAGTTTTCTCCAATAACAAAACACCTATTAAATGTATGAACTTATTTTGCATATGAAACATGTGAACCCTGAAAATCAGAGACTGATTTCAGTTAACTTAAAAAGTTTATTTTGCCAAGGTCGCAGTTAAGTTAAAAAGTTTATTTTATGTGACACAGCCTCAGGGGGTCCTGACCACATGTGCCCAAGGTGGTAGGGGCACAGCTTGGTTTTATACATTTTAGGGGGACATGAGATGTCAACCAATAAGTGTAAATTGTACCTCAGAAAGCTGGGACAACTCCAGGCAAAGGCGGGACAACTCAAAAGCAGGGAGGGGGCTTTTGGGTCATAGGTAGATAAGAGAAAAATGGCTACATTGTTTTGGGCTTGGATGAGCCTCTCCAAATGAGGCAATCAGATCTGCATTTATCTCAATGAGCAGGTGGGTGACTTTGTATAGAACCGGAGGCAGGTTTGCCCTAAGCAATTCCCAGCTTGACTTTTGCATGTAGCTTGGTGATTTGGGGGCCCCAAGATTTATTTTCCTTTCATGAACATTTTAAAGAGCTAGAGAACTTTAATTTGTTATTGTACAGTATGCCTCCGGGCAAACAATTGGAAGAAACAAAGCAAGAAACAACTCCTGAGGCCATGTCTAAATTCATGTAAGGAGAGCTTCAATCCCTTTACTCAGTTTTTTGTTGTTGTTTTTGAGACAGGGTCTTGCTCTGTCACTCAGGCTGGAGTACACTAGTGTGATCATAGCTCATTGCAGCATCAACATCCTGGGCTCAAGAGATTCTCCTGCCTCAGCCTCCTGAGTAGCTGAGACAACAGGGGTGCACCACCATGCCCAGCTAACTGTTTTTATTTTGTCTAGAGACAGAGTTCTACTATACTGCCCAGGCTGGTCTCAAATTCCTGAGTTCAAGCAATTCTCCAGGGCCTCCCAAAGTGCTGATATTCCAGGTGTGAGCCATCACGCCTGTCCCCTTTACTCAGTTTTATTTGTAAAGTTCTTGGAAAAAAATCACTTGGTTTTCATGTATAGATTGAATGTAAAACTATACATCTTTTTCAGATAAAATCTAACTAGTCTCAATATTATGCTTATAAAAAGGGGTGCTATAAGGGAGTGATAGTTTATATCTTCTTTTTAATTTAAAGGAGATTTTAAGATTTTTTTTTTTTTACTGGTATAAACAATCATCACGTGAGACTATTATATAAGAACAATGGTTTTAAAACAGACCCAGCCTATGAAACACCAAAAAGAAGGCAATTTTCTTTGTATTCAGTTGGGCTGTGGTTATTTATCATTTTTTATAAGTGAAGTGAGCCACAAAGGTGCTCCCAGTCTCAGCGACTTTGTACTTGTTGAGCTCTTCTGACAAATCTTGTGCTTTGAGTTTGAATTCTTATACAGTAAAGGAATGCCCTCCTGGCAGTGGTCCCTTAACGCGCGAGTCCCCACGGTTGAATCTGTCTCTGATGGGTGGTGACAGCAGGAGAACTGAGCAGGCATAAAGATGCCATGTCCTGCCAACATCCTATGAAGCCCTGCCTCCATGTCACAGCCCTGGGATGCCAATGCCTTCTCTGTGCTGCTTTCCAGGTGAATGTCCCTCATATAGACGCTTATCCTAATCACTCTGGACAGACGAGGAAAAATGAAGATTTATGGGATTGCACCTTCTGTGCCCAGACGGCTCTATTTAACAAACTCGTCTGGTGTCCCTGGTGATGGCTTTTGTCTTCTGCACAGGCTGAAAGAGCTTTCACAATGAGAGAAACCAGAGGTCAACAGGGGTAAGGATGGCCCCAGCCACTGGTTTGTCACAAGTTCTCAGGCTTTGAGCCTCTGGCGTTCAGAGTTCACTGAGGCTAACACGTGATAACCAAGAGTTCACAGTTCTTCAGTTTAGACCAGAAAAAGCACTTTGCTTCTTTTTTTGTTATTCGCTTAGCTTTCTGAATCTGCTCAAATACCCCTCTGTTTAGGCAAAACTACAGGAAATGCTCATTTAAAGAGGTTGTGTTTTCAACTTCTAAACGTTGAGATTATGTTTTCCAAAGATGTCACACGGCGATTTGGGGCACAGGGTGTTGGTTGTCAGACAATTGGTTATCCTGTTAGTTATTTTCCATCAAATATGACAGCTGGTCCTAAGCCCATCCTTTACAAGTCCAGCATAGTCACACAGATTACTGGGGAGAGGCCTCTGTGTGCCCAGCAGATCCTCCTGTCCTCATATTCTCCAGAATGTGTGGCAGCTCTGTAGGAGGGGCGCAGTCAGCAGACGCGCACATAACAGAGAGTGGGATTCAGTAGGCAAGAGTATGGGAAACGTAGATGTAAAATTGATAGTGCAATTACATCAGTCAACTATAAGGGACCAAAGCGCAGCAAAGCAGGCTTGTTTTTGTTGCCTTAAACTAAGCATGTGCACTTAAAACATCCCCACATTGTGCTCCCACGCACCGGCTGCCTCCCTGCAGGGGAGCCCACTCTGTGTCCACCTCTTCTCAAAGCTGTTCTCAGCCCACACTTAGACCAGCTGACTCTGAGACCTCTCTCTTGCAGGTCTTGCTCTCCAGCCCCTGTAGGCCTCCAGCCTTGATTTAGGGAGGTGACTGCTGCCATTTAAAAACTCAGCCCCTTCCCTGCCCTTTTAACGGGTGCCTTGTAGGATCATCTTTCTCACCCCTTCCTTCCTCTCCCCTCCTCTTAGCTTTGCTTTCTTCATCCACCTGTTTCTGGGCACGTAGATCCTTCTGCTGTGTGCCGAATGAGCCCTTCTCTCTGGTCCAGAATGTGTCCTCAGAGGCATGAACTTCTGCTTCTGTCCCCTCTACCCAAACACACTTGCCCTGCATTCCAGTGCCTTAAGACCCTGCTCTGCGTAAAATAATCTGCTAGACACACCCACTGTAAGATGATCATTGAGTGACTGATAGGGGAAGATCCAGGTTTTGTGGGGGCCTGAAGCTTCACCAGTTGTGCCTTCTGTAAGAAAAATAATACTTTAGGTATAAAAGTGAGCATTGATTTGGGATGGGAAAAGAAAGCCCAACCAAAGACGGGAGAGGCTCAGGTCACTTTCTCCTGGGACTCCAAGAAAAGATTTATGAGAAATGCATCCTGGAAACTGCTCCTGGAGTGCACCTGGCTTCCCTCCCTGCCTGCCCCGAGCAGAGCAGCCCGGGTTACCCAGAGGAACCTGGGAGCAAAGCGTCTGCTGCATCAGCTTCACCACGAGTCCTCCCTCTGGCGGCACACAGCGAAGTCTTCTGGGTTGAGCCAGGCACATCTGATTTTTGAATCATGGCTCCAGCCTCAACTTAATCCCTGAATGGCCTTGGAAAAGACTTTTACACTTAAGGCTTTCCTCGTCTATAACGGGGAACCATATTACCTACTTCCCAAGTGTGTGATGACATCATGTAGGTAATTCTTTTGTCACACCTGGCAGCAAACACCCACTAACTGGTTAACTCTTAGTAATAGGGTTGATTTTATAAACCTGTAGGCAGCTATCTCCTGGCACACAACCGTGGCATTTCCAGTCCACCAGTGGAGTGTCCCAAAAAATTGATCTGATTTAAAAATGATAAAAACAAAACAACAATGATAGAAACAATAGCACATTCCAGAGCAAAATCCCCCAATTGTTCTAGAGAAATATCAATATTAAATAAGCCACAGCACATCAGAACATCCTCCTCTGCATAAATATTTCACCTGTCACTAGCAGTTTATGTCCGAAGTGTGGGGACGATGCGGTACACTGATGATGTGTGCCCGTCCTGGGGGTGCTGCTGAAATGGGAGCTGTGCTCACCGAGACCCTGTGATGCCTCGTTCTTCTCCCAACCTCTGCTTTCTTGAGTGATTTCCATTACTTAGAACAAGAGATGGAAATCAATTCCAGGAGAAGTACATGGCATGGGGGGCATGACAGGAGGTGTTGTTGGCATTTGGGTTTTATTTCAGGTTTTCATTTTCGGGTTTTCTTTCTTTTTTCTTTTTTCTTTTTCTTTTTTCTTTCTTTTTTTTTTTTTTTTTTTTTTGAGATGGAGTCTCACTCTGTTGCCTAGGTTGGAGTGCAGTGGCGCTATCTCAGCTCACTACAACCTCTACCTCCTGGGTTCAAGCAATTCTCGTGCCTCAGTCTCCTGAGTAGTTGAGATTACAGGTACACGACACCACACCCGGCTAATTTTGTATTTTTAGTAGAGATGGGGTTTCATCATGTTGGTCAGGCTGGTCTCAAACTCCTGACCTCAGGTAATCCAGCCACCTTGGCCTCCCAAAGTCCTGGGATTATAGGATTGAGCCACTGTGCCCGGCCCATTTTGGGTTTTTGGTTCTGAAGGATGACAGCAGGATTTCTAGTCACCCCGGGCCTTGCTGGAGATCTCGGTCAGGCAGGTCACAGATGGCCTGAGAAACACCAGGGGACATACATGTTGGGAAGTTTTGCCGCCTGAGCAAATCCAGGGCACTGGGATGGCGAATCCATGCACCCAACCCAAGAGGCATAAGAAGAGAGGGAAAATGAGAGAACTGGTCTAACCAGCACTCCGGAGAGAGCTTGCAGTCTTGACAATCTATTAATTACAATTTTACAACTTGATCTTTGTTTTTTCCCTGTCAAGAATAGAACCATTTTCCCCAGTGAATTTTGTGTGTAGTATGTTTTCTGCTTAAAAATAAAAGAGAAAGTATGTGGAAGGGAAATTCCATATTTGCCTTGTTTATCTTGTGGAAATGTGAGTACTTGAAAAAGAAATGCATTTGTGTGGGGAAAGAGAGGAGAGGACATTCGGAGAAGCAATGGGACAGAGTGTTCTTCCACATGTTATTTTGATTCCCTTCTCTAGCAAGGCTGAAAATCTGCTCACTGGGCTCCAGTTGCACCCCTCAAACATCTTGGTTTGAGGTTGCCACCATCCATTTCCTGGGACCCATATAAGTCTTGATGAGAAAGTAAATGAAAGATATCCCCCTGTAAAGAAAAATACCAAAGGCCAAGTGGAATACTATTCATCTTTTTGTCATCATTTTATGCTAGTGTTAATGATATTGTTACCTAATTTTAGAAACAACTTAGATGTTTTTGGGAGTGAAGAGTTGGGTGCTAAAGAAATAAAACAATTTAATACTTACTGTTGATCTGTGTTGGTCCTCAGAATTCTCCAATGGATTTCAGTCATTCTTGGTCTATCTGAAGATTTGATAGACCTTCAGTCTTGGTTCTTAACCAAAGCTTCCAAACAGCATCTGTAGTTTCAGGGTCTAGGGCTCCCTTGCAGGCACCCACAGGAAGAGTTGGACATAGTTGGCCCAAATTTACATGAAGATTTGCCTTTAAAAAATTGGTCATATACGCATGTTGTCCCTGAAACGCTGTTTTCTATAAAGCAAGCAAGTTGACACGTATATCTCATATCTGACATCTGAGCTTGTCATGTACTATGACCATCAGTCAACACCCTCGTGAAGGACGCCAGCATAGGTATGTTGTTAGTCCCCTTTTAAGTAAGTCACAATTATAAGGACCTTAGCTCAGGCTGTGTCAAAGCATACAAAGGGATTTAACTTTATATTGACCTGATGATCAATCAAAGTTTTTAAAAAGGCAGCTCAAAACATTAAACAACCTGAAATATTAATTCCATAACATGTGCTGCAGTTATCTTCTCTTTGGAACGTCAGGGAATATAGACACTCATCTTAATGTGATGAGAGAAATATTTTATTAGTCAAGGTAATAATATTTGGTATTGTCTGGACAGCTTGGTTCTCCAAGCTATCTCTTTTTTTCTTTATGGTAACCTGGATGCTTCCCAGGGTCCTTTGGCTGCTGGGACCTCATGCATAGATGAGGTCCCCAACCCTAGGTAAGGTTGCATTCACTTCTGTCTTTTATGATCTGGAGTAGGATAAGAAATCCTTTAGTGGCTCCTTGGTGACCCTGTGCTTTATGTTTGTGTATTTTGGGCTGGTTTATTTTGCTTTTAGGTGTGGGGCTATACCATGTCCAAAAGTGAGTTTCTGTGTCATGATCAGAGGCTGTTTACATTTTTAATGATTTCAGTGAGTATAGTTGACACTGGTTTCTCAAAAACACCAACCTCTTTGTCCTCTAGAGTGCCTGTGATCTCTGGCTTGAGAATAGTCCAAAGTTTCACTTTGATAGGCATTTCCAGGATGTGACAAACTTAAGGTAGGAAAAAATCACTTCTTTCTGAAGGTAAATTTCTCAAATCTTCAGGCTTGACACACAAGGTGGCTAATTATACTTTTTATTCTACAAATAAATAGAATGTTATAATTTTAAATTATTTCTAAGAGGTCTATAGAAACACAAACACACAAACACAAGTATTGACATAATCACACTTTCTACTTCATTGCTGAAAAATTGGATTTTTACTTAAAAATGCACATCTCATCTTTCAGCTCCCATTTATAGTGAGAACATGTGGTGTTTGGTTTTCTGATCCTGTGTTAGTTTGCTGAGGATAGTAGCTTCCAGCTCCATCCAGAGCAATGTGAACACATGGACATGCACGGGGAGGGAGCAATACATACTGGGGCCTGTCGGGGGGTGTGCAGGGGGAGGGGCAGCATCAGGAAAAATAGCTAATACACGCTGGGCTTAATACCTAGGTGATGGGTTGATAGTTGCAGCAAACCATCATGGCACACGTTTACCTATGTAACAAACGTGCACGTTCTGCACATGTACCCTGGAACTTAAAATAAAAAAATGAAAATGCACATCTAATCCACAGACTTTACAAATAATTTACAACACCTCAGTAGGGATTGGCATATTTTTCAGAATTAGTAACACTGAACTTAATTTATCATTCCAGGAGGGATTGTGTACTTTGGTGAAATGATTTCCAAAGAAAAGTAAAAACTAATTTTGGCCTCAAATTTCTGCTAATTGTGTAATTTAAACCTCTATGACCTTAACTTCCAAATATTTTGGCCATATTAAACAAAATAAAATTGATTTGTTAGAAAATGACGTTTCGTAAATACAACCATCCATCCAGCCAGCCACTCATTCATTCCTTCATTCTTTTGTTCATGTCTTTATTTTCTTACATTAGTGAGTTGGATTTTCCTTCTGCTGTGGGAAATAGTGCAAGGAATTACATATTATGAGGTGTATCTCACACAGCTTGACTCTCTTCTCTCAGGTCGATTCATTCACTTTGAAGCGTTTAAGAGAAATGTAGAATAGAAACTGAGGAGGGAGCTTTGGGAGAGTGCCTGAAGACACCACATTCCTTTGGTGTCTAACACCAGCGCCTTAGGGCTGGTGAGGAAATGGGGGTATCCAAGAAGGTGGCCTAACTTGTTCTCCTTAGCAGTGTAGCTCTTGGAGTAAGAACGCAATCTGGAAGGAAGCTGTGATTCTGGCCGGGACCACCGGCAGTTCCTCACTCCACCTGGAGTGTTAAGGACCATCCCAGAATCCCTGGGGCCTGTGGTGGCTCAGTAAACACGATTTGTGCCACAGGCTAGGCCTGGGTTTGCCATGGAGAAACCAATTTTTATCGATGTTGAGGGCATATGAGAAAGTCATACATAACCAAGCGCTGTTAGTTATGGTTGAAATCTGAATGGAGATTAATAGTATAACACATTGACTGATAAAATTGTGTCATCAATATTATTATCAAACTGTAGCAATAAGATGAAGCAATTTATTTTCCTAAGCAAAAAGAAAAAAAAACAGTCTATGAGTTAAGTCCAATGTTAACCCCCCACCTTTATCCTACAGGGGGTAACATTAATGTTTACTATTAGGTTATAGTTCCTTTCAATGAATCGAAGGTCTAAAATTAAAGGGCTCACAGATTTCTAGGCTTCACTGGGCAAGCATTTCTCTAGAGTAATCTAAGATGAAAAGTAATTTTTAAATAGCTGAGCACATGATTTTCTTAAGTAAGGAAATATCAGAAACATGTAGAATTACAAGGTTTCCCCATCTTATGATTGATGAGAGGCTTTTGGGGTGCTGGCATGTCACACCATGGGGGGCAGCTGTGCCAGACTCTATTTATTTACTGAAAACTTAAAAGGAGTGTAAGACCATTGGGATGCCATGATTTTACAAAGGATTACATCAAATAGGAGTGGGGCTTTAGCACGCGGTCCAAAACCAATGTTTAGAATAGGATAAAGGAAGCCCAAAAATGCGACAAAACACAAATCCCTTGCCTTTTCCGTTACGATGTTTATACCGGGTGGGACCACATTAAGATGTTGATCCCGGGTGGGATGGTGTTTCCTTTCTTTTGAAAGGGGAGCCTTGGCATTGGAGAGGCCTTCTCTGTCGAGGTCTTTCTTCCTATGAGATGTGGATTAGTCTCTAGGAGGAGCCTGTGGCTCCTGCCCACGCCATGTCTTGTAGGGAAGGGGAGGGAAAGGCAATTCTGTGCCAGTTGTGGTTGACAGGTTCACCAGAGGCAGGATTATAGGGTAAGTGTATTGAATACATTCTAATACACTGAAACTTCAAGTCACGTTTAGCCCATGAGCTAGTGAAGAGACTTGCCTCGCTGGGCATCCCTGGTCCTGCAGAAGCCTCAGTGGGAGTGACTCCCAGGTTAAGGAGATCACCTGAGGCTCTCCCTCAAGGCAGAGAATGAAATGCACGGGCGCCTGGGACTGGGTGCTAGGGAGACACCGTTCAGGTCTCAGCTCCACCTGTTCGCACTTGGGCCATCTTGGACAAGGACTCATACACTCTCTGCCTTGTTTTCTCTATCTGTCACAGACAGAGATGTCAATACCACCCTCAATTTTCACAGGACTGTCATCAACCTAGTGAGAAAGTTCTCAGAGAGCACGTTGTCCAGAGCTGTGTCGCTATACAGGTTGTGCAAAATAAGTTATTTCAACAAGTGGTGCTGGGCCCATTGGACATCCGTATATGAAACAATGACCTCTCCCAGGGCTGGGGCAGTGAATTCTGGAGAGCACCAAGAGGAAAACAATCCAAAAATGCATCAAAACGCGCCCGCAAGTTATGAAGAGCAACAGCTTCTCCTGTAGCTTCAGGCTCCTACATTCCTGGCAGGTAAACGAGAGGCCGTGTTCTTTCTTTCAGGGGCCACTGGAGGGACGCTGGTGGAGAGAGGCTCGGGCAATGCTCATGCTACCCAGAGGCGCTGGGCTGCTCTCCCTCCCCTCTGTCGGGGTTGAGTCTGCCTGTGACTGTGCCACCTGGGCTGAGTGTCTGGGAGAGACTGGCTGGACCCCAGCAGCAGGGGGGCCAGGATCATCAGCGGAACTGATCCACACTATATTTACTTAGAAATTTTATCATCTACTTATTTTAAAGCCAGGTGTTTTCATCGTCTCTCTCTCGCTCTCTCTTTAAGAAAAAACATCTATGTGTGTATATAGAGACAATTTTTTTTTTCTTAAGCATTTACCAGATGAGGAAAAAAATATCCTGGAGTCTATTTTTATTTTTACAAAATAAAATATTATTTTGTAAAATAATTTTTTAAAGATAATTACTTAAATTATCTTTAAAGGACGGGTGCAGTGACTCATGCCTGTAATCCCAGCGCTTTGAGAGGTAGAGGTGGGTGGATCACCTGAGGTCAGGAGTTCGAGACCAGCCTGGCCAACATGGTGAAACCCTGTCTGTACTAAAAATACAAAAATTAGCTGGGCGTGGTGGCGTATGCCTGTAATTCCGACTCCTAGGGAGGCTGAGGCAGAAGAATTGCTTGGACCCAGGAAGGGGAGGTTGCAGTGAGCCGAGATCGCGCCACTGCCCTCCAACCTGCACGACAAGAGTGAGACTGCTTCTCAAAATACATAAATAAGTTAAATTAAATTAAAAAATAAAATAAATTTTCTTTAAAAAGATAATTTTTGTCTAGACTTGCTAAGAATATAATCACAGATGTGAAATAGATCTACTGACTATGAATGTTTGGTTAAAAGAAACCTTTTAAGTGATTTTCATTCCTTAAGATGAAAATCTGACTGGAACAATCAATGAATAAGTATGTGCGTGTGTGAGAGTGTGCATGCATGTGTGTACGTGTGCGTGTGTGCGTGTGTGTGCATGTGTGTGAGTGTGCATGTGTGTGCATGTGGGCGTGTGTGCATGCGTGTGTATGTGTGCGTGTGTGAGTGTGCTTGCGTGCGTGTATGCGTGTGTGTGCGTGTATGTGTGTATGTGCATGTGTGTGAGCGTGCGTGCATGTATGTGTGCATGCGTGTGTGTGAGTGTGCGTGCGTGTGTGTATGTGTGCGTGTGTGTGATAGTACCTTCGTTTCTGATACTTTGAATATAGAGTTCCATTAGCTCCACTAATTTATTATTATTATTATTATTTTGAAACAGAGTCTCACTCTGTCACCCACACTGGAATGCAGTGTCACAATCTCAGCTAACTGAAACCTCTGCCTCCTGGGTTCAAGTGATTCTTCTGCCTCAGCTTCCTGAGTAGCTGGGATTACAGGTGCCCACCACCACGCCTAGCTAATTTTTGTATTTTTAGTAGAGATAGGGTTTCACCATGTTGGCCAGGCTAGTCTCGAACTCCTGACATCAAGTGATCCACTCACCTCAGCCTCCCAAAGTGCTGGGATTACAGGTGTGAACGACCGTGCCCCGCCAACTCCACTGATTTAATCAGCATTGCTCGGCATCCTTTCCAGGGTGAGGCTTTGGGAGGTTCCCTTCCCTCCTGACACCAAATATATGGTGTCTTTTCTAAGGCCACTTCTCCAAGTCTTTGACACCAGCTGAGTGTCTGAAAATTCAACTTAATTCAGCCACTCTCTACCAGGGGTAGCATCAGATCCCATCAGTGAAGGACTAGTCCCACAAGACTGGTCTCACCCCACACACCAATCCAACCCCACATGCTGATCCCATTGGTGAAGGACCCAGTCCTCCCTCCAGAGGCCAATCCAACCCCACAGGCACATCCCATCCATGAAGGACTCAGTCCTCCCTCCACACACCAATCCAACCCCACATGCTGATCCCATGGGTGAAGGACTCAGTCCTCACTCCACACGCCAATCCAATCCCACATGTTGATCCCATTGGTGAAGGACTCAGTCCTCACTCCACACGCCAATCCAATCCCACACGTTGGGCTCCCAGTTCCTTTGACCGAGTGGCTACAAGCTGGGGGACCCACAATGCTTCCTCAGGAGGATGATGTGGTAGAATGGCTCACAGAGCTGGCAAAGCCACTCCCTTTATGACCACCAGTTTATTATAAAGGGCAAAGTGTGTGGCCAGATAAAGGGGTGCATCGCCCAAGGTCAGAGAAGTCCTGAGAACAGGAGCTTCTGCACCGTGGAGCTGGGGTGCGACATCTTCCCTCCAGGCATGTGGAGCTCTCTCTGAACCTGTCATTTAGCGGTTTTCATGGAGGTTTTATAACATAGACGGAACTGACGCAATCACTGGCTGTTGATGATTCACTCAACCGTTGGCCCCTTTTCCCTGTGGGGTGGGGCTGAAAGCCCCAGGCTTCTAATCAAGGCTCGGTCTTTCGGATGACCACCCCTTTCCTGAAGCTTTCCAGGAGCCCACAGGGAGCTGCCCCATTAGAACAACAGATTCTCTAATCCCTCTTCTCACTCAGAAAATTCCAAGGGTTTTAGGAGCTCTGAGTCAGGCACTGGAGACAAAGACCAAATATCCTTTCCTAATATACCACGAGCACTGTGTATTCAGGTCTTAGATGGATTCTCTAGAGAGCCCTACCCTATTAAATTGGCTCTGACTATGTGTTTCTGATAAATGGGGAAAATAAAATTTTAAAATTTAAAAAAATTAATTTTCTATTAAATCACTAACCATGCCTCTAATCTAGATTTTTCTGGGAAATAACTGGTAGATGGTTGAAAACAGAATATTGTTACAGCCTCTCTCAAAGACTGGCCTTTTTAAATTTTCTTTTGGTAAATTTGGATATTTTAGGTGCCCACAGAAACATTGAAGTGTAAGAAAGTATGAGTTTAAAATGATTAAGGATATCTTAGTGGCATCACCAAATAGAAAATTCTTGCAGAAATACTTCATCTCTTTAGCTATTGTGCAAAGAACTGAAGACTTCCCATTGTAAACCTTGCTGTTGTCACCCCACCTCCTCTCCCCTGTCCCGTGCACCAGACCCCAGAGGGCCCTGTCCCTCCCTCCCTTATGCCATGACCCTACTGTAGCCTTTCTCTGGCTTAATATAAGGTTTGTTTGGGGTCTGTCTCTTTTCAGCTCTCTGAAGGTGGTAAGATGCATGGTAGGTCTCCACAAAAGTCGGCGAGATTAATGGATGGGTCATCTCTTCTTTAACGAGAAAACTTCTGAAATTTCATATGTGGGCTGATTTGTTATTAAGTGTTTCTGTTCCTCTCACTCTGTGATACATTGGAATTTAACAGCAAGAAAACCATCATCTTTGTCTGACAAAGTTCTGTGCAAAGATGTCTTAGTCTTGTCACTGATCTTAGACCCTGCAGAAGACCTAGGAGTCCAGTGTCCTCACAGTGATGAATGAAGTAACAGTTTTACTTTTGGATCCTCGTGTACTTGCAAACAACATTTTTTTCTTTGGCCCTTGAACCCCCTGGGAAGAGAGGAGCTCACCGGCCAGAGTGAAAGAGCCCCCGTGGGCTCCAGTAAGGGGTGACTCATTGGGACACAATGAATGTTTGCTGTGGACTGGGGGAAGGACGGTGACTAAGCCACACCCTTGCTCCGTGGTCCCCACTCCCCCACCCCCAAGCATGACTTGACAGCCTGAAATCGGGGGAACCGAGGAGTGGTCAGACAGGCACACAAATACTGTTTACATTACTCTGCAGCACGAAAGAGACCTGAGACGTTTATAGCCCAGATGGGTATTTAGTGCTGATTTAGAAATTCCATGTCATCCTGGTACGTCCATTTTTCACTCTTCTTGACAAGTGCTGCAGCTTGTCTCTAGGATCTTAGAACTCAGTGCCTGAGAAGGTTTACAAGATCTGGGATTCAAAGCATGGGTGCAAATAGAAAAGAAAACAACCTACCATGAAGACAATACAGGCTGCCCGGGCACAGCGAAACGGGCAGTGTCCCCCCTGGACGGTCCCGGGGCAACCGCAAAGAGAAGCTGGGGAAAAAGTAACTCTTCCTATGAGATGCCAGAGGACCTCTCCCTCGTGGATGTGCTGGCGTCCAACAGCCCCACAGCATTCCTCCTCCACGTCACCTTGCTGCTCCTCTGCTCCTCTGACCCCCAAGCCCCAGAGTTCACCCAGCTCAACGTGCCTTGGACCCCAGGAGGAGCTCCCTGTACTAGCCCACTCCACAGCTTCCTGTGAGGTGTTTTCGCTCTTTCAACTTCAGGCTTATACTAGAACTGCCCTCCACATTCCTTTCCTTCTAAATGTCCCTCAATCCAGGTTCTCTAGCTTTCCCTCTAAAGGGATGACATCTCATGCAAACCCACCCAGGGATGGCCTGTGGAGCACCTGTGGGTCTCCATGGACAACGGGGCCACAAAGTAGGGGGTCGGCCATCAGAGGTGGCCTTGCTGCAGCCTCTCTCGCCATTGTCAGTGTTTCTTCTCGTATTCGGTTCTTGGCTAGGTATTTGGATGGCTTGCAGGCTATGGAAAACAAGGAATTTGAAGTTCCTGAGAGTCTTACATTAGGAACAGGCAGAGCACGTAGGGAGGAAGTTGTGAGTTGCTTCTCGAGTAACGGACAGAGAGGTAGGGCTGTAAGGAGCCCTGGTCCTGTTTTGCCATTCTCCATGACGTGACCTTGAAAGTCCTTGAAACTCTTCAGCTCTCAGCTGTTCAGCCTATAAAATAGAGGTGGATTCTATGAGCTCTTCTTCTAAAGAGTCCTTCACAGAACACTGGTTCTTCTCAAACATAATAGTTCTATTTCAACTTTAAATAAAGTAAATTGCACTTCACCAGGTCTACTGCTTTACACCAGGTCAGCACAGTTCTCCTGGCTTCATTTTCTCTGTGTTATTTTTATTTGTATGTGTATACGCATGTGCACACAAAGGGAGTACTTCTATCCATCCATTTGTCACCTCAGTAGCACTGGCAGCAACTCACACAGCTGGATTTTAATTTAGATTTTTGGATGCCTAATTGTTGCTTCAGTTGTCCTAAAAAAGATTGGCTGGGTTGCAGCTTGGAGAAGAAAAATGTTATGTTCCTAGCTGATTGCCTGTCACTGACAATCCATTCCACTCAAGCCAGGGAGAATTGTCCAGTGTCTTGGAACAGGTGGTGGAGGTGGCTCAGGAATGAAGACAGTTTGGTAGAAGCTGAGGCACCTATTACTTAAAACCCTTCTGTCTGGCATTACAGAGGAGGTGTTTAACTTTCAACAATGGACAGTTTAAGGTGGAAAATGTTTGGCCAAATAAGAATGCAAATGAAACCTTAGTATTCTTCAAAAATTCTGCAAAACATGTGCTGCCTGGCTGCCGTGCTGTGTTTTGAGCCGATAAGTTCTGCCTTTCATCCCTGCTCCATCACTGCAGGGAGCCCAGGCCCATCTGCCTAGATGTGTCGGCCCCAAACCTTGACACCATCCTTGGCTCCACTCTGCTCACGCCCACATCCTGTCCATCAGCAAGGCTCCTTGTCCCCACCTGCAGGAGGCATCCGGGCTCGGCCTCTTTCCCATGCCTTCCACTCTGGAGCTGCTGTCTCCCACCAGCATCTTCGTGACTGCCTCTCAGTCGGCCTCAAAGCCTCCACCCTTCCTTCCTCCTCATCACTTCCTCCTCACCGCAGCCAGAGGGTCTTACAAGTCACAGTCCTCCTTCCCCGCCCCCTGCGCCTGCCTCCTGCCTGCAGCTCAGCAGACATAGGAGAACACAGTGGTCCAGGAGACCTCACATCCCAGGGCGCCCTGCCCTGTCACTCGGGCCCCCACCCTACCTCCCTGAGCTCCTAGAGGCCCCTTCCACCTCCCGAGCCACGTCCTGCTGTGGGGACTCGGCCTTGCGGTTCCCTCTGACCAGTGTGCTTTTCCCCCGGCACTTGCCTGGCCTTGTCCTCCTTCTCTGAGCTCTCAGATGCCCTGAGTATAGTGAGGCTTTCCCATGAAGCAGCGATGTCCCTCCCTCCCTTATCCCCGCTCCCAGAGTCCCACTGCCCTCGCTGTTTATCATGTTTCTCCATAGCTCTTAAAACCTTTTGGCATATTATGTGTGTATGTTTATGTGTGTGTGTTTGTGTGTGTGTTTGTGTGCATACTGTGTGTTTGTGTGTGTGTGTGTTAGTTCCTTAGTGCCTCTCTAATGAAGCACCGGAAACCAGATGGCCTAAACGAGATCAATGTATCCCCTCCCGGTTCTGGAGGCCGGAAGTCTGAGGTCCAGGTGACAGCAACGTTGGTTTCATGATGTGGCATCAGTTCCAGCTTCTCTCCCAGTGTCACGTATCTCCTGTGCAGATGTCCTAGTCTGTTGGGGCTGCTATAACGGAATACCACAAGCTGGGTGACTTAAACAACAACCATTTATTTTTCACATTTCTGGGGGCTGGGAAGTCCAAGATCAAGGCATTAGCACATTCAGGGCATGATGAGGTCCTGTTTCTGGGATTTGCGTCTTCACATGGTGAAAAAGGTGAGAGAGCTCTCTGGAGTCTCTATTATAAGGGCTATAATCCTACTCATGACAGATCCACCCTCATGACCTGTCATTTGTCCAAGGTCCCACCTCCTAATAACCATCCATAATAAATTCACAAGGTTTGAACATGTGAATTTCAGAGGGACACAAACATTCAGTGAGTAGCAACAGATAATCTACTTTTGGCCTACACAGCTTTTACTTTTTAGATAATGTGATTGAACATTTTTCACTGAAGTATGCACACTCTAATTTGCCCGGGTCTCTTCAGCTTCCCCACCCTGCCTGTTGTGTGGATTTATAATTTTATTTGTACCCTACTGGTGACTGAGAGTGAAACCCTTCTTTGGCAATGTCTGTTCACATCAAAATGATGGTTTTTCTCTTAAGGAAACCTGAGAGCAAGAATAAGTGTAGCCAAAACATATATAAACTGCATCTCTAGAATCCTCAGTGGTGGCACAATCCATTGTTTGCTAGTGTTTGGTGACTGTTAGATGATGATTAGCTTGATGTGAGATAGGTAAGCTTAAAGACATTCTTAAGTTTAATTTTGTTTGATTTGGTACAAAATGCATTTGTGTTTATTTTAAGAAACTCAACGTTTTTATGGAGTAATCCAAAATGGAGATAAAACTTGATTAAATGAAGAGTTTTTAAAACTGGAAGAGATTTTGGGGAGCATCTGGGATCCTAATTTTTCTTTTGAAAGAATTGAGGGCTGGAGGAGGATTTTGAACACAAGTGAAAAGACTGACTTCTGAGTTTTTTTCTTTTGCAATATTTCTTTTTGAACTTATTATGAAAAAGGCACCACTTGCTTATCCAGAATTTCTAGTCCCCCCTCTCTGCTGCTAAGAAGGTATTTCCTGGAACATCAGGCTGTGGCCAGATTGGATGCAGTGGTAGTGTATGCAAGTCTGCAGGTGCAACGGCCTGTGATGGTAGATGGGCAAGGATGGCACCCCTGGGCTGGAGCAGACACCAAAATACAGCTGCCCCCTAGACAATTCGACAACCAGGGACAAGTGGACACAAGGAAAGCCACAGCAAGTGTTAGGGGTTGCCAGGAGAACCCTGAGATTCAAGAGAGACTGTCTATTGCGGGAACCATCAAGAATCAGCATCAGAACCAGGGAGCCCATATGACCAGACTATTTCTGTGAGTATAAGATGCTCAGCTGTGAAGCTCACTATCAAATCAACAACAGCTTTGACTGAGGGGATTATTGTGGTGGAGATGTTAGGGAGAAGAGACTAAAATGTATACGCTAATAATAAAAGAAACAAGTGTGGCATTTATTTAACATCCTTCCTTAGTATTGCACAATTTGAGCATAAACCATTTTTTTTTTTTTGGGACAGAGTCTCGTTCTGTCCCCCAGGCTGGAGTGCGGTGGTATGATCTCGGCTCTCTGCAACCTCCATCTCCTGGGTTCCAGAATTCTCCTGCCTCAGCCCCCCGAGTACTTGGAACTACAGATGCATGCCACCACACCAGGCTAATTTTTGTATTTTTTAGTAGAGACAGGGTTTCACCATATTGGCCAGGCTGATCTCGAACTCCTGACCTTGTGATTCACCCTCCTCAGCCTCCCAAAGTGCTGGGATTACAGGCGTGAGCCACCACGCCCGGCCTGAGCATAAACCATTTTACATTCAGTCCAGAGAGGCTTCTGAATCTTTTTTGCATTTGCAGTTATCCTTGCATAAATGACCACATGATGGTGGTGTGACCTCATGACACCTTTTGGATTCATTCCTTTATTCAATCAAGATTTATTGTCATTACCAAGACTCCAGTTCTGTTCTAGGGGCTGAATGTACAACATTGAACAAAATGGTGAAGTTACCTTCCTTTGTAGAGTTTCCATTGAAGTGGGGAAATTCAGGCTGTAAACTGCAAATTTACAGATGGTCATGCCAGTTGTCAAAATGACATAGGACTTGAAGACCAGCTCTGGGGATTGAGAACTTGGCTTCAGAGTCAGTGAAACTGCCTGTGCTTTGATCTTCCACTGACTGTCCATGTGACCTTAGGCCAGTTACTTAAAATATTTTTTTGACTTAGTTTGATTGTTCTATAAATAAAAATGTTAATACTATTTTATAAATTTTGAAGTCCTGGTTGTAAATATTTAGTATTTTTCCTGGCTTATAGTTAGAGTTTTGTTATTAATACACATTATTAGTAGCTGCACATTCCTCTCATAACTTATATGCCTTAAATATAAAATCAAAGTAAAGATTATTGTCCAATCTAGAGAAAGAATCCTTGCATGATAAATTATCTTAGTCCTGTAATTTCCAGAAAGGCTGGGGACACTTTGACTTCAGGTATTTTAGAGACTTTTTGCCAGTTTCTACTTGAATATTCAGAGTAGATTGCTTGAGTACTGTCTTCCCTACACAAAGCTCACCCAGTACATTTTACTTTTAAATCACTTAATTGATTTTGGTCATAATTTTGGTTAAAGTGTAGAGAATCTGGATGTACATCAGCTTGCAGGAAGTGGTTTATCATTGTGTTACCTCAAATCTGACCAGTAGAGCCCGCGTCAGCCATAGAGCAGCACCTTGGATAGAGAATGAATTGCTGCTGGAAGGAACAGCGTAAGATGAGAAATGTCTAATCTTTTGGCATTAAATACACAAATCAAATTATGTAGCATTTGCAAATTAATATGCATTATAATTATAATTTCTGAGCTGATGGATGAATGAATCGGAGACAGTGTTACTACTGTGATGTGTGCGTGTTTAAAATTAGTTTCTTCTTTCTCATTAAAAGTGAGCTAGTAAAAGGGGTAGGGAGAGTGGATGGGTAAAATGCAAAGTGTGATTAAATGTCAGGAGCTGGCTTGAACTGCCAACTCCCCCAGGCTTGGCAGCAGAAAACCAAACCAAACACACTCCAGGAATACTGTATATTAATGAGAAGCTCCAGCCTCCAGGGGCAGATGTGATAAAATCTGGGAAAATGTGGGGCTTTAAGGACGTTGCCTAGAAAGAACAATAGTCGGATTTTTCCAGGGCAGGAAGTGTGGGTTGAATGAGTTTTTATTTTATTTTTTCTTAATTTCCTGAATGTGTAAGCAACAGTTTTGAGCCCCAGAGGCCTGGACTGGGGGTAGGACTGCAGCCAGGGAGTGCTGTGCTCAGGGAACTGCAGACTGGAGAGGAGGGAAGAGCTCCAGCTGCACCTCTGTGGAGGCTGGGAGTCCCCTTTGTGGGACGCATCTTGGTGTCTGGGAGAGAGGGAAGCATGCATCACATCCATGACGAAGGCCTAGAATGTCCTAATGCATCACATTCAGGTGGCTGGAAAATGTTTCCATCTGCATCAGGGCTGAACCAAAGCTGGAAGGTCCCTTGTTCTGCAGTGATGATAAAAACTTAGATTTTTCAGATTTGTGCAGCACAATCTAGAAAGGAAGAGCCCCGAGGAGCTGAGATGTGGGTGTGGAATGATTTTTAGGTAGAGTTTTGTTGAAGTAAGACTCAACAAGAGTCCTTTTCATTGATTTCAAGTCTGTTGTGTAACGTGGAACACAACGATGGCCTTCTTAATCTGGTTTGGCCCTGAGAAGGCAGCCACTGCATGTCACACATGGCTACACTCTTGAAAAGTGCTGGCCCCTGGGGTCTTGTGACAGTCCATAGCAGCAGCAGGCAGTGCAGCTGTAAAAGGACAGAGAGGGGGCCGGGTGCAGTGGCTCATGCCTGTAATACCAACACTCTGGGAGGCCAAGTCAGGTGGATCGCTTGAGCCCAGGAGTTCGAGGCCAGCCTGGGCAACATGGTGAAACCCCATCTCTACTAAAAATACACACACGCACAAAAGTTAGCTGAGTGTGGTAGCATGCACCCATAATTCTAGTGACTCAAGAGGCTGAGGTGGGAGAATTACCTGAGCCCAGGAAGTCGAGGTTACAGTGAGCCATGACCTAGCCACTTCACTCCCGCACTCTAGTCTGGGTGAAGGAATGAGACCCTGTCTCAAAAAAAAAAAAAAAAAAAGAAAAAAGAAAAAAAAAAGGAACAGAAATTCAACTTCAGGAGAGTGGATGGAAGGAGACAGGAATGGGAAGGTCTCCAAAGGCTTGCAGCCTCCACTACCCAGTGCCAATAACAAGCTCATTTAATTCACTTGCACAGAAGGCAAACCTGAAGGCCACTCGTGGCATGTAAAGAAAGAAAGAAGGAGAGGGAGTCTTCCCAAAATATACAATTTAATAATTTCCATGTAGTCTTAAGTGTTGGTCTTCTCTATGATGTCAGCCATTAATCTCTTGGGATTACTAAAAAAGGAGTGCATTGGAATGACTCATTTTTCTGTAATATTTTTCCTCCTTATCCTCCTAGAAGAGTGTAGATCATCACTGGAGTCATCAAAAGCAAAGGGAGATTAAACTCTGAGAAGCAACCAGGCATAAATCTTCATGACCTTGGATGAGGCAATCATTTCTTAGACATGACACCAAAAGCAAAACCAACAAAGAAAAAAAATAGATATATTAGACTTCACCAAAATTAACTTTTGTCTTCAAAGGACACTATCAAGAAAGTGAAAAAAAAAAAAAAAACCCACCCACAGAATGGGAGAAAATAAACACAGATCATATATCTGATAAGGGACTCATATCCACAGTATGTAAAGAACTCTTGCAACTCAACAATTAAAACACAAATGACCCAAATTAAAAATTAGCAAAGGACATGCATAGACATTTATTCAAATAAAATATATAAATGTCTCATTAACATGTGCAAAGACACTCAATGTCATTAGTAATTAGGAAAATGCACATCAAAGCCGCTGTGAGATAGCACTTCTGGCCCTCTAGGATGGCTACAGTGAAAAAGATGGTGGATAACAAGATGTGGAGAGAATGGAACCCTCGTGCCCTGCTGGTGGACACAATGGTGTAGCTGCTTGGGAAGCCCGTATGGCAGCTCATGAAAATATTAAACACAGAGTTTCCATACAACCCAGCCATCCCACTCCTAGTATAAATCCAGGAGAAATGAAAGCGTGTTCACACAGACACTTGTACACACATTGTTTACAGCAGCATCGGGGGATGAAAGAATTAACAGATGAAAGAGTTAACAAAATGTGGGACCTCCACTATCTGCAATGAATAGGTTTATCCTTTTTTTATGTCAAGTACAAAAGTCAAATACAATGGCCATGTAGCATATGATTCCACTGATGTGAAATGCCTGGGGCTAAATCATTAAGACAGAAAATGAATCAGTGGTTACCAGGGGCCGAGGCTCTGGCTGCTAATAGTATGGAGTTTCTTTTGGGATGATGAAAATGTTCTGGAATTAGATAGTGGTGAGGATTGCAAAACTTTGTACATATAAATATTTTAAAAATACCGAATTGTACAGGTTAAAAGGGTGAATTTTGTAGTGTACCAATTATGTCTTAGGAAGGCATCTACAAGCCATTTGTAGATAAGATGTTGGGGGATGTATTTAAAGAACATTTCTTGGGGTATCCTGGAGGCTGGATGGTGTATATGGCACAGTTCAGGCATTCCAGCACTCTCCAGGGGCTTAGAGGACACGTAACTCAGTGAGGTGGTCACAGAGGGAGCTCAGCCAGGGTCTCAGCCTAAGACAAGCATGCCTTCCCCCACTGCCCACTGCAGCCACAGCCTCGGGTGCGGATTCTGTGTCTAGGGCTTGGTCACAGCCGACAAATGCAGACAAGGAGGGTCAATAAGCAGGGACGTGACAGGGTCCTCCCCTGGGACTGCAATTCATGAGGATGACTGAATGATGGCACGGAGAGTGCCACTGAAAGTCGATATTTATTCTTCATGTTTTCCGAGTGGAGAGGTCACACCATGCCAAGTGGGGCCGCATGGGGAAGCACCCATGTCTGGCAAGAGGAAGAAAGGCGGAGGAGTGAGTGCAGAGACTGGGCTGCAGCTTGTGTTTTCTGTGGGAAAGGCAAGGCCTGATGGGAAGGGCTTGGCACTGGACGGTTACAATAGTGTCAGCAGGCTCTGGGCTCCGGCGGTGGTCTCTGGTTGCCTGGTACCTGGCTTTGGGGCGATTTAGGATGGGGGATATACTGGCTTGGTGAGTAAGAGTTAGATAAAGGGCGTGGTTTGGGGTATGGATTTGGGATGGTTGGCTTGCACACTCCAGGGTAAGCCCGTCGCTGGCTCTAGATGCTGAGTAGTTCTGGAAAGATCAGGCTCTCCCATCAGGGAGGCCACACACACCACAGAGTCAAGAATACAGAAAGCAAGGAAACAGTTAACATTTTCTCCCCCCCAGCACCCGTCCCCAAGAAAAATCACATTCTATGAACGTGTTTCCATGACTGTGGTTGGCTCCTCTATTTTAATGCCTATATTGGGGGTGTCTGGAGGGTCTACCTTTCTGTTCATGGCAGAGATACTCAGGATCACTCAATGACTGGCTGGTTAATTCATAATGTTGTTCTGTGATTTCATATTCGATCTTCAGTTCTGATGAATGGCTAGCACTCCTCCAAATAAACTCCTCAATCAAGTTTAAGGGTCCTACGTTGGGTGTTGCAAATTGATCGAGAGCCCTGTTTCCATGAGTGCAATCCTGGACCACTTAGGGACATCTGGGCCTGGGAAAACCCCAGCCAGGCTGTAGGAAAGACACGGGAGGCAGCTGCGAAGAGCGGCAATGCTATAGAGTTCCATCTGCAATTGATTTTCCAGATACTTAGAGATAAATCAATCAGAATCCATTAAGAAAGGAAGACTGGAGAGGGTGATCTGTGAGCCCTCTGGGGATGGGAGGGAGTCTCAGGCCTGTGAAAGCTGAGTCATCCATCGTGGGATGAGTAATGCCGAGAGGAAACAAATGCACAGAGAATTCCACACACACGAGGGAGCCAGCGGGGGCCTGGGGACGCTGCATGTGGCAAGAGCGTAGGAGGTCTGGGAAAGTGTGCTAATGTTTAGGATCATCTTTCCTGGTATCCCCCACTGCCAATTACAGTCTCCTTGCAGTGACTTTTCCTGAGCGGATCGGTAGGTCGATTGCTTTCCTCGGTGATTTGCCTTTGAGATGTTGCTCAATCCCCCTGGCTTTCTCAGCCAAGCATTTGGCTCTCTGGAGACACACGCAGTTCTATTCTGGCCTCAAATCCTTCTAGGGGATAGGGAGGTACCGAGATGAAGCTGCCAAGTTTGGGCAATTTTACCACTAATTGTATGAACACAAATGGAAGAGGCAAAATGAAAATTGTTCCATACAATTGGACTCAATGTGAACAATTTGGGATTTATCATGAAACACAGTAATCAAAACAAAAAGGGTCCCTGCCCCAGAAATAGTTTAATATCTTTGAGAAGAAAAGAAACATAAGTGGTAATAGGTTAGCCTACGTGTTCTAAACTTCACTCTGGGAGGGGCTTATAGAAATGTCCTGAGAAAAGTCAAGGAAACTTCAAACCTGCTTCTTCCAGGTCCCAGGTTTGCCAAATCCAGGAGGGAGTGTAGGTGCACAGACCCTGGCTGTGCCACAGTTTGTTCTGCTACCAACCACGGCTGTTGGAAACATTGAATGGCGGGTGGGGGTGCATTCCAACATCTCCAGGCCCCCGCTTACCTGATGCAGATTTGAGAGTATGGCCAGGAGAGGCCGTGGCAAAGGCATGTGGTTCCAGGCTGGCCCCAGGCACAGGGATTTCTCTGCCCAATGAAATGGATTCTTCCTTGACTTCTTAGAAAATGATGACAATTATTAGGCTCCTAATAGACTGTTCCATGAAGAGAGAGAATTAAAATGTACTCTTCCAAAGTCTAGTGTGTTGCTCACCCTCAAGTTTGGCTGTGGCTACTATGAATAATGCTGTTATGAATATTCATGTTTAAGTTTTTCACTGAATATGCTTTCACTTTTCTTGGGGTTACACCTGAGAGTGGAATTGCTATGCATATGGGAATTCTATGCTTAACTTTTTGAGGAACTGCCAAGCTGTTCCAGGCTGCAACATTTCACATTCCTGAGAGCAAGGTTTTAGGGTAATTTCTCCACATTCGCATCCGCACTTGGTATTTAACTTAAAAAAATATATCGCTGCATTAGTGGATGTGAGGCACTATCCCTCCGTTGTTTTGCATTTCTCTAATGACTAATAATACGTAGCACCTTTTTTTGTTCTTGTTGGCCATTTGTATATCTTCTTTGGATAAATATCCAGTTAATTTCTTTGACTATTTTTTAGTTGGGTTACTTTCCTTTTTATTGTTGAGTTGTATGAGCGTTTATATGTTTTGGATAGTAGAGCCTGTTTTGGTCCTTTCTGGCTGCTATAACAAAATACCTTAGACTGGGTAAGTTATAAACAACAGAAATGCATTGCTCACAGTTCCAAAGGCTGGGAAATCTAAGATCAAGGGAATAGCAGATTCTCTGTCTGGTGAGGGCTGCTCTGCTTCAAAGATGGTGCTTCATCACCACATCCTCACATGGCCGAAGGGGCAAGGAATCTCACTTGAGCCTTTGTCATGAGGGCACTAATGCCATTCACAAGAGTGGAGCCCTCATGCCTTAATCACTTCACAGAGGCCCCACCTCCTAATTCTATCACATTGGGTATAAGATCCCGGTATATAAATTGTGGGGAGACACCAACATTCAGACTGCAGCTGACCCTTCTCAGATAATTCATTTGAAAATGTTTTCCCCATTCTACAGGTTGTCTTTTCACTTTCTTGATGATGTCCTTTGATGCATAAAGGTTTATACTTCTTAGTCAGGCACCGTGGCTCACACCTGTAATCCCAGCATGGGATCACCTGAGGTCGGGAGTTTGAGACCAGCCTGACCAACATGAAGAAACCCCATCTCTAATAAAAACACAAAATTAGCCAGGCATGGTGGCATGCGCCTGTAATCCCAGCTACTTGGGAGGATGAGGAAGGAGAATCGCTTGAACCTAGGAAGCAGAGGTTGCAGTGAGCCGAGATTGCACCATTGCACTCCAGCCTGGGAAACAAGAGCAAAACTCCGTCTCAAAAAAAAAAAAAGTTTATACTTCTCATGAAGTCCAATTTATTTTTTTTCTTTTGTTGCTTACGCCTTCTGTATTATAATAAGAAAACTGTTACCAAATTCAGTGTCACACAGATTTATAGAAGAGGTTTACAATTTCGGCTTGTACATGGAGGTGTCTGTTCCATTTTGGGTTGATTTTGAAGACAGGGAGAGGTGGGAGTCCAACTTTATTCTTCTCCATGTGGATATCAAGTTGCACCAGCACCATTTTTTGGAAAAGCTATTCTTTCCCATTGAATTGTCTTGGATGAACTATGATAGCAAATAAAAAATGAAATCTATTATCTGACTGACTTTTTTTCTAACCTCAGAGTTTCCTTAGAGTCATTTGTTGTGTTTTTCACTGGACAGTATCTCCTATAAGTTTGGTTGTTTTTAGCTGTCATGTTCAAAATGATCTAAAGGAGACACAAAAGCTGAGTGTTGAAAAATGTCAGGTGTGTCCTCTGTAAGGACACACATATCTTACAATGTGTCTGTGTGCCCATTGTGCCACTCCTGAAATGCTCCAGCCTTCCCTTTACCATTTAAGACTCAACTCCAGTCTCTCCTCCTATGCTGAAGTCACCCTGAGCCTCCTCTGTGCGCCGATTGGGCTTCTGGAATTGGTATTTTACATGCTTCTATGAGTGAATTTTTCTACACTGAGGTATAATTACCGATTTGATTCACGTGCCCCCTCCCACGTTCGTCTGCGCAGATGGAAGGCCGTGCTCATCTTGGCAGTGTGTACATCTTCCCCTGGCAGAATGACCTGGCTGTGGCTCCCCCTGGGGTGTTGCCCCCACCCCCAGGGAGCATAGGGAATGCACATGCTGTTCTAGTTTGTCCTTGCTAATGGAGGGCAGGCCCGCCTAGTGTTCCGTTTGGAGAAGAGGCATGCAGCACCTACCACCCCACAGTGGGCCACCAGAACATTCGCTCATGGTGGAGAATGATCCTGCTCCCACTGCAGTGATGTCTACTTTGGGACACCTTGGCTTCTAAAGAAAAACACTATATTAGCTTTCATAAAAATTCCAAAAGCTCCATTTAGTAATTATTGAGAAAGCATCTGTCACACAATCAGTCAGAATTAGGATCCATGAAGGAAAAGAGTTAGATTGACGGTTGGCCCAACCTGGCCTCTCTGCCTCTAAGATGGAAGACCTGTGTCTCTCAGGCTCCTACCTTTCCCCTTCCCCCGGCACCATGACTCAGGCGCTCAGGCAGTAAATCCAGGGCTCATGGGGTCTTCTTTATGTTCCGTACTTCTGGTGACTTACCTCTTAGTTTCTCTTCCTGTTTCCCATTCCGGCTTCAGTCCTTTGCCACATCATTGAGGAGGACCCTCGTCCCTCCTCCCTGTGCTGCCCATGGCACTTGTCTTGGCTTCCTGAATGGTCCAGTCTTCTCTCACTGACTGGCAAGTCTCAGTTCATCCTTAGAATTGGTTCCAGCCTTGACTCCATGGCTCCTGTGGGAAGGTACCCTTCCTCCTCAGCCCCTCTCCTGCCCTCCATCCTGGCCCTGCACTTAGCCGGTGTACATGGTTCACACAGCCTACGTGTACTTTTGATATTTTGCTTCTTGTGCTTGTGTTGTGACATCAGCCTGGAGAGTTTTTTGCCTCCAGACCTCAGCGAGTTCCTCCTAATCAGATAAGTGGCTCCTCTTCCCACCCTCATCCCAAACTCAACATCAACACCATGATTTTAAAATCAACGTGTCAATTTCCATGCTTATTTATGCAGGCTCTTATGGTAGCTGCTTGCGGCTTCAAATTTGGAAAACTTATTTCCACAATATAATTAGAAAGCCACTCCAGAACAGGGATTGGCTTATACACTTCTCATTCTTCAACCTAGGTAGCACCAGTAGGAACTCAGACAAAGTTATTGATGAATTAGGTGAAATGAATTTATCTAAACACTTACTCAGCCTCCAGTGCTTTTAGCCTTTGTGATTTTGAGAACAACATTGTCTAACCTCAGGGTGTTACCAGACATTGGAAAGTTTTAATGTCTCAAGTGACTTAGGGTGGATAGACCTGGGTAAAAAACAGGAAAACAAAGAGAAACAGGAACTGAAGGAGATTCCTGGAGAGGTTTCTGGAATGAAAAGTTCTTGGGGTTTGTGACCCTAGAAACCACAAACTTTGTGGTCCTGGTGTTAAGGACAGAACTGCTGAGGCTCGAGGAATGTGTGCACACTAGTCCCTGAGTGCCATGACCTGACAGCGTCTGCAAACAATGTCTCATGTGATTAAAGCCAAAGCATGACCTCAGGGATGGGGACTCCTGGCACACAGCAGCTTAAAACTCCAGGGAGAGTAGGTATTTTCTTTACTTGAAAGCACTCTTTGCATGAAAGAAGAATGCACACTCAGGGGCTGCTTTCGTACTCACTGTTCATTTAACCCTGGTTTGTAAGATGTCATAGTTGAGGAAGAGAAAAGAAAAGGTATCTTCAATGATTAGTTTTGTTTTCCTTTGTCATAAGATAGCAACCGAGGAGTGATTTAAGGAGGTCTGAGATGTGTGCTTAAGATAATCCTTTTAAAATGGTAATTAATCATGACTGAGTCATAGATGACTCTATCAAAACAGTATCTTACATTTTATACAGCTTCAACTTTTCCAAGTATTTTTATGTCTTTTATCTATTTACTTTTCAAGGGGAGGCCAGATCCAGCATACCAGCTTCCCACGCATAGGTCTTTCTCCTTTTCCATGGTTTTGTGTGCATAAATACATAATTTGGGCCACCCACTTAATTTCAAATAATCCTTATTAAACACTGAGTATTTGTTAATCATCTTTACATTTGCTATTTCATTGACAAGGAAATATGGTTCAAACATACACATTTACTCTCTTCTCAATAATTCCTGACCTCCACCCTCACCAAACTAAGTTGCAAGAAAATTGGGACCTATTTGGAAGATAATCTTTGTTTTTCTACTCTGCACATATTTGCCCATTTATGATGTTTGTGGAAGGCAGGAAGAAGTTTCTCATCTTTTCATTTTTGGCAGACTTATTGCCTGAGAGCTTTGGAGTGTCAGATACCTCAGCCAATGAAACACCATCTGCTACTGGACAGAGACTCTTCTTTGAGGCCCCAGTATTCTCTGCCCTGGTCTTCTAGGCTGAGCCATCCATCTTTTTCTATCTCTTTTCAGTAAGCTGAGGAGAAATGCTAAGCACTCAGGCTGAAATGAAAATATCTCACCACGCGCTCCCATCCATAAGAGAACCAGGTGCGTTTGCAGCACGGATCCTTCATCACTGTGCCAGTGACCTCATTTTCTTGGGACTAGATACTCTATTGAGAAAAGGGGCTCCTTCCTCATTAAATTACTTCCTCGGTTAAATGAGTGCGTTTCTGAGATTCTAAAAGTAAATTCAGCCAGGTCTAAGGATATTCAGACCAAAGGTGAAAGGTAGGTTGTTCTTGTGTGGATGGCAGGAAGAAAATGTGCTGGGGACCCCTTGATGTCCTGTGGAGGGACTGGGGGTGAGAAGAATGGATAAGGGTGTTGGGCTTGTGGGAGCCCAGTGCGGCTGGGAGGGAGCTGGGGGCACGTGCTGAGCTTGTACTTGCACATGGTGAGTGTGTGGCCCTGCCAGGACACCCAGGGGAGCTTGTCTCAGGGGCCAATTGTCAACCAGAGGCCCGTGCGGGAAGGGTTTGGAGGCTGAAGACTAAGCAGGGAGTCAACTGGGCACAGGGAGCTCTTGGGAAAGGCAGAACGGGAGTCATCCCTGCTGCCAAGCAGACAAGGTGGCCACGGACCGTCAGAGACGAGCTACGCAGAATCAGCCTGGGGGCTTCTGTCTTTCTACGTCTTTGACTCAATTGGGTCTAAAATAGACAAAGAGAGCTCAGCTTCCAAAATCACCATGTGACCATGGCGAAAATCTAGAGAACAGGTTGATGAGTGTTTGCAGCATGCTGGAGCAAGGTCATTCTTCTACTCAGAGTCTAGGAAGGAACTGCGCCCTCCACGAAGGCCCTGAGAACTGCCCAGGCCCTGAGAACTGCCCAGGCCCTGGGTTTTGCCTCTTGCAGCCCCTAGAATAGAACTTGCAGAGACCTTACAACTCTGTGGCTGACCAAATGCAAGTGGCAACATTGTCCACACACAGCCTTTGCCCCGTTGTCTGCTGATCTGCAACCCAACCCTGCACTCCGTCCAGAAACAAAACTCCCTCCCTGAGTTTGGAGAATCATGAGTATATGGAGTAGAGGCTGAGACATAAAACAATGTCTGAGACTGGACCCTGTAGAAAATCACCATACCCTGGGAAGCCATGGGGGTTGATGTCCGTGTACAGACAGAAACGTGGTGGATGCGAAAAGTGACAGACCACAGTCCTGGGAACTCTGTCCTGCTGCTGAGGGGCGCCTGAGAAGGAAGGACTGATGCCGAGAAGATCCTTGATGTTTATTTACTGTGGTTTCCTGTTTCTCAAAATGGAAGACACAATGCCACTGGTCATGGGGTCTTCCCAGGCTGCACCCTCAGTGAAGACGATAATGAAACCAACTACTGTGCACGTGTATGTGCCTGCATGTGTGCATGTATGTGTGTACATATGCATGCGTGCCTGCGTGTGTGTGCATGTGTGTTTGTGTTTTTAAATTATCCATGCAGGTTGCTCTATCTTGATGAAACTTCCAATGTTGAATGGCTGTGCCTATAACTTTAAGGCCTATGTGACCACCAATTTCTAAAAGCAGCATCGGGGCCGGGGACGGTGGCTCATGCCTGTAATCCCAGCATTTTGAGAGGCCGAGACGAGCGGATCACCTGAGGTCAGAAGTTCCAGACGAGCTTGGCCAACATGGTGAAATGCCATCTCAACTAAAAATACAAAAATTAGCCAAGTGTGGTGGCATGCACCTGTAGTCCCAGCTACTGGGGAGGCTGAGGCAGGACAATCACTTGAACCCGGGAGGTGGAGGTTGCAGTGAGCCGAGATTGCGCCACTGCACTCCAGCCTGGGTGACAGAGCAAGATTTCGTTTCAAAAAAGTAAATAAATAAATCAAAACAGCACCAGCAGCTTTTTTCCTCCTATCTCCTCTCCTTCCTTCATTTAAACTCACCAGGAGCTAATGGAGGTGCCGGTGAAGATACAGGGCTCATTTTGAAAATGGAAATAGAAGAAAGAATAAGAAAATTCTTTTTTGAGAGAAAGAGAGAGAAAGATAGAGACATACATATCTAGGGGGCTTAAACAACAGACATTTATCTTCTCACAGTTTTGGGGGCCAAAAGTCCGAGTTGGAGGCCCCTGCAGGGTTGGTTTCAGGTGGTGGCTTTCCTCCAGACTCATGGGTGACACCTTCTGAGTGTGCCCTCGCATGGCCATTTCTCTGTGTGCACAGAGAGCAAGAGAGAGGTCTCTGGTGCCTCTTTCTCTTCTTATAAGGACACCTGTTCTCTTGCCCCACCCTGTTGACCCCATTTGACCTTGATGACCTCCTTAAAGTCTCTATCTCCAAATACAGTCATAATTGTGGGGACACAATTCAGCCCATGACATGTGGTCCTGAGGAGTGGTTTTGGGTACTTAAGGGTCTGGAAGTAAGCTTAGTGGGTACAGACGTATGACAAAGCATAGCACATTCAACGATTGCACTCATTCAAAAATGAGGGGATAGAGTTAAAGCTGAACAAATATTTGGTCTGTTTCCGCTCAGGCACTGATTCCCACGTGCAGTGATGGGCTATTTAGGTGCACTAAGTACAGAAGACAAATAGAGCTAGGGGCCCTTCTGCATTTGCAGGAGGCCTCCCCCAGGGAGGACAGCTTTGTAACCTTCCAATGCTCCAGGAGAAGGCGTGGTTTTCAGGTTGAGTGAGAATGGGAAGCTAATGGCACACCATGGTGCAGAGTTATTTGGTGAAATGAACCAGGGGAAATGGCACTCCAGGGGGATTATGGAGACAAATGTAGCATGCCTTTCACTTATCCTGATGGTTTTGAGCCTGGTTTTCCTGGGGAGACCAGCATGCCTTCTTCGGCTCTGAAGAAAGGATGGTGATGACCAGATGTGCAAGCAAAGCAGGCAGCAGTGCCCTCTCCCCACGATCAGGGCACCCACCTGCAGAACTCCTCAGGCCTGGGTTCCCACCAGGGCCCGGCACTCTCTTGACTCTTAGCCCTGGGGCACATGAGTGTTGCTGGCTCTATTTCCAGACTGCAGATTAAAGTTCTTAATGATTGCAAACCCACTACAGAGGCTTTGTGGTTCAGCCTCCAGCTGGGAGTCAGCTGCCTGGGCCAGCCATCTAAACCCTGAAGTCAGAAGAAGAAATCCTGCCACTGAGAACCATGCCCAGAGGCTGGCACTAGTGGGAAGATTTGCGAGACTCTTCTCAAGCATCTGGTCTGTGGAGGGGAGCCAGGTCGCTGCCTGGGTGAGTCTGGCAGGCTCGTGGGCCTGGACAAAGCTTCTGCGAAGGACCACTGGCAGGAGGATTTGCCAGGTGGACAGGCAGCCCTGGATATTCTGACCTGGACTCTGCTCACTTGGCCTCTCGAAGTTATTACAGGTGGTTCTGGCTCTGTCGGCAGCAGGAAGACTGTAAATGTAGCTGTGAAAATGTGAATAGGCATCACCAAAATCCTTAAAAATCCTCCAGAGCCCACTTTGCCTGGCTTCTATTTCAGAGCATAACTTCCTATCTGTCTCCTATATTACATGAGTTGAGATTCTGTTTTAAAGGTTGGTGCATGACTTTAAGCAACGGATTAATTTAATAATAGTAAGTGAAATGGAAAGGCTGGCATCTCAGAATTTTGGAGGAGCCTAAGGAATCCAATTCCTTTGTTTTATAAGTAACAAATCCAACAGCCAGAGAACGAAAATGAATTGCCCAGGGCCACCCAGCTAGTTAATATAACCACCTGTTACACTGTGGAAACTTAAGGGAAGGGGTCACGCCTCATTTAGTTTGGAGCCTGGAACATAGTAGGTGTGGTGGGTGGTATTGTTCTGAATTATTCATTCCCTTTCTGTGTGAGTGCCTTACATACCCCACCACTGACATTTACCATGCAGAACCTGCCTGTAGGAGTTCACTTCCCTGCCTCATTGACATTGGACTTGACCATGTGCCTTGCTCTGGCCAGTGGGGCATGAGTGTGTGACAGGGTGCTGGTTCTGGGCAGAAGCATTAAGAGGCAGCTGACATTTCCAGTAGCTTTTCACTCCTTTTCCTCTGCCAGAACAACAGGATGTCCTGGATAGGGGCTGTTCTTCAGCCTGGATTCTGGACTGAAAAAAATGCAGAGGACAGACCCACAGGCAATATGCAGCCAAGATATAACGTGTTGAAGAAATGAACCTTTATTGTTGTAAGTGGCTGAGATCTTGAGGCTCTTGAAAGGCTCTTGAGCTTGGAAAGTCAGCATACCAAGTTAACCCAAGATGAGTGCATTAGTCAGAGTTCTTCTGTGAAACAGAACCGATAGGATACATGCTTACATACATAGACAGATGTGAATATCGATATACAGATATACAAGAGGGGATTTATTATGTGAATTGGCTCACATGGTTGTGGAAGTCCCCCTCTATTCCCTCTGCAGCCTGGAGAACCAGGAAAACTGGTGCTGTAATCTAGTCCAAGGCAGAAGATCCGAGAGCTCTGGGGCTTGGGAAGGGGCTGGTGTAAGTCCTGGGGTCTAACGGCCCCAGACTCGGGGGAGCTCTGATGTCCAAGGGCAGGAGAAGACGAGTGTGTGCCCCTGCTCAAGCAGAAAGAGCTGATGTACCCTTTTTCTGCCTTCTTGTTCTATTTGGGCCGTCAGTGGATTGGATGGTGCATACCCACATAGGTGAAGGCAGATCTTTACTCAATTTACCAATTCAAATGTTAATCTCCCCCGGAAACACCCTCACAGATGCGACTGGAAATAATGGTTATGCAAGCTTGTTCAACCCGAGGCCTGCGGGCTGCATGCGACACAGGATGGCTTTGAATGCAGCTAACATTAAACATTCTTTCTTAAAACATTATGAGATTGTGTCTATGTGTGTATGTGTGTGTGTGTGTGTGTGTGTGTGTTTTAAAACTCATCAGCTATTGTTAATGTCAGTGTATTTTATGTGTGGTCCAAGACAATTTTTCTTCTTCCAATGAGGCCCAGGGAAGCCAAAAGATTGGACACCTCTGAGTTAAAAGGACCTGGGCATCCCTTAACCCAGTCAAGTTGATACCTAACATTATCACAAAATTAACTAACCGAGTTATTTGGGCACTGGCCTCCGATGACCTGCTGATCTGCCAGCACCTACTCAGCCTGATAATGCAGACCCTTCTCTCTGCTTGCAGCAGTGGAACCATTTTCCAGACTGGCTGCTCCATGACCTCACCAGGGTCCCAGGCTGCCCACGCCCAGAGGAATCCATTTTCAAGCATCTGAATTTATGGCACTGTTGGATGGCTGCCATTTACTATTAGAGTTTCACTGTGTTCCAAACTCCTATGACTTCCTGAAAATGGTCTTTTAAAGAGCAGAATCTTCTACAGGGTAAGGGGAGACGGTGAATTCTGCAAAGCTGAGCTTGCAATGAGGTGATAATCTGTTCTAGGATTCAGCAGAGGAAATGAGAGTCTATTAGGAAGCTCTTGAGTTCTAAAAAATAAAAAGAGTACATTAAAAGTACCTACTGAATATTTTTACTTTTCAACTATAAATTTGACACTGGAATCAATGACAATTTAGGAGCAGAAAAAAGATGTGCTCGAGATAACTGAGATGGCCTCAGGCTGGGACCATGTCCTCTTTAGTGTGAGCAAAATCATCCTAATTTACACTGCAATAGGCTTTCCTCCATTCTAGCAACCACAAAATGGCATCTGAATTAAATGTCAAAATATGGGACTTTTATATTTAGCCTTTAATTTTAACCTTAATACAATATTTCCTTGCAAAAAAAATTGCAAAACATTGTCGAATGAGGTGCTGTTGTTTCTTTCCAAATGGTAGTTGCTTTTCTTTCTGAGGTTTAAAGTTTGCCATCAGATAGTAAGGGCAAAATGTGAAAGCTTTCCCCTGAGCTATGAAATCCTGGGGAAGGCACTTGTCTTTCTTGGGTGTCAGGGTCTCCCTCTATAAATTTAGGCCTGGACTGCAGCATCTCTAAGATTCTTTTCAGCTCTGACAACCTGCACCTCTGTGATATGGTTTGGCTGTGTCCCCACCCAAATCTCATCTTGAATTGTAGCTCTCACAATTCCTATGTGTCATGGGGGAGACCCAGTGGGAGACCACTGAATCACGGGGGTGGTTTTCCCCATACTATTCTCGTGGTATTGAATAAGTCTCATGAGATCTGATGGTTTTGTAAAAGGTTTTCCCGTTTGTTTGGCTCTCATTCCCTCTTGCCTGCTGCCATATAAGATGTACCTTTCACCTTCCACCATGATGGTGAGGCCTCCTAGCCATATGGAACTGTGAGTCCATTAAACCTCTTTTTCTTTATTAATTACCCAGTCTCGGGTTTGTCTTTATCGACAGTGTGAAAACGGACGAATACACCCTGGTTCTCAACACATTTTTATCCCATTCGGTCAAATCTCTTGGAGCCCTTTCCACAAGGTCTCTGGCCTTGGTGAGCCAGAGCCCAGCACGTGATGTCCCTGGAGGCTGTATCCCACCTTTGCTTATTATTTTCCTCTTTCTTGGTACCTCTTATTTGGTACCACTCTTGCCGACCTTTCCCTATTTCTTTGACTTCCTCTTGTATAAAGTCCTTTCTTGAACCTTAACACTCAGTGTTTGCTGAGGCTCACTAGATGCCAGACCCTTGCTAATCCCAGGACATGCACGGTTGGCTGAAAGCAAAGTTCTTACCCTTGAAGAAATCCCCCCGAGGTGAAGAGGCAGGAGGCCAACCAGCCTCACACGCTGTGGCTGGTGCTGTGATGGGGTCTCCATGACCAAGTGCTGGGGACTAGAGGAACCTGGGAGGCTGGTCAAGGCCTCTCAAAGGTGCCCCTGTTTGAGAGGGAGACCCTTAAATAAGCTGGACTTTTCCACTTGCACTAGAGAGAAAAGCGCAGTCCTGGCTTAGGGGTGACTGGAGATTTCCAGTGAAAGGTTATTGCCAATTAGGAGGAAGCAGAGGAAGCTCAGCCCACAGTGAGGGGCTCTGCACACCCCACTGAAAAGCACAGGTTTTACCCACAAGTCCTTCATCCAGCGGCTGACTGTGATCTGACGGGTTTAGTTTGGCAGATAGAATAAGAGAAGACAATTGAATGGAGACCATTTAAAAGACTATTGCAACAATCTAGGCAAGACAATAGAACGGAACACTTTTTAAGACTGGATAGTGACAGCACTCAGAGAAGGATTTGGAGGGGGTTATAGAGTGGAGCTGGAGCAAGAGAGGAGTCCAAGGATGACCCTAAGTTTCCAGTTGAGGACACTGTGTGAGTAGTGACCCTAGAATACAGCAGACAAGAGGGGTAACTTTAGGGGCTGAAGAGTAGGAAATAGTGAGCTTGGCCTGGGGTGTGTCGCATCACAGTGCCTGGGAGCATTTGGAGAACTAACAGGAGACAGAAGAAAGGTGTGCCCCAGGCCTAGGAAGGTGAGCTCTATGGCAGAGGACATGTCTACAGCGGAGATGCTTGAGAGAGGCTGTGGAAGACAGCAATGACCAGTGTGCCTTGATTTGGCAACCAGGAGGCTGTCAGCAACTTTAACAACAGCAGTTTCCCAAGAGAGAGCAGGGCAGGAATCAGGGACAATAGATGAGTGGGTGGTACTTGAGGGGTCACCGAAATGGGACCTTTCTCCCCTCCCTAGAATACTTCTGATTACTTAAACTACAATGAGACACTAGAGCAGAGAGGGGTTGGTGACAACGTTTGATGTACCCTCGGCCCTCTGTCCATGCAATGAGATGTGACCACATGGTTTTTGGCCTCCAGCCATCTAAGCTCTGCACCCTGAGCCCCGGTGGCTGGGAGGGACGGCAGGCCGGTGTGCATCCTCTGCAGGTGTGCCCTGTGCAGAGCTTGGGGCCACTGTTCCAGCAGAGCGCTGGTTGCTCCGACCTCCCTTATCGCTGTGTCTGGGCTGGGGTGAGAGGTGGTGAGGGGAAGCTTGTGATTACCTACCCCAGAGCAGAGCCTTGCTGCCTCTGCCAATGGCCCCTCCAGACACAACTGAGCAACAATGTATCATGGGGGAAAGAGGATCTGTGGATCTACCGGGTTTTCTTTTGGTATATGCAGGAGAAATAAATGGCAAGAGGGAGTGAGCGGCTCCCTTCCCACAGGGGCTTCCAAGTGAGTGGATTTGTGGTCCTCGTGCAGAGCTGAGGAGAGGCTGTTGTGCAGGGAAGGGCCTGGTCTTGCCTGTGGACCCTGGACATGATTCCCATTAAGGGGACGAGCACTAGTGGCGGGTCTCAGGAGGCCCACCTCTGCGGGATGTCCCAGATGACCCCGTCCTCATGGAGGAAGTGAGAAAGCAAACACAGGGACCAGGGCACACAACTTGTATAAGTGAGGGGAGGGGCAGGAGGGTGCCTTGGGAGGGACAGGTACAGCACCTGGCATTGCTGAAGCTCTCGGAAGGGGGCTGGGAGAAGTGGAACACCAGGGAGAGGGCACAGGGTGGGCTCAAGAGGGTTCAGAGAGGCCTCCGGGCAGCCTGGCCTGCTGCCTTGGGGAGCAGACTCTGCTGGCAAACTGGCCCGAGGAGCCTCTGAACCCATCCTGTGCGATGCAGAAGTGAGAATTCCAGGCTGAGAAAGGGCCTGTGCTGAGCCCCTGGTCCAGGCTCACACACACTGTTCAGGATGCAGACAGGATGGCAGCGGTGGTGTGGGGGGTTTCACGTGAGTTTTTGTCATAGGAAAGGTGCAGCGTTCTGGGGTTTTGGGGAGAGTTTCTTCACTTTCCCAAGTCTCCTGCTGACTTTCTTTGTTAAGGCTGCTGAGCTGGGAGCTAGAGGTGTTTCCAGCTGGGCGTGGGGGTGGGGGTGGCATTGGAGAGCTGGAGGGAGACAGAAAGAGGCAGCCTGATTGCGGGCTGGAATGTGTCTGGCTGGGGCCAGCCCTGCTCCTCCTCCAGCACAGCTTTGTTTTGTCTGGACTCCTTCACTCAGCCTGGAATTTCTGGGGGCTGCCTTTAGTCCAGGGCATTGTGCTTCCTGGCACATGGGGATATGCCCTTCTCCCCTTCAGGTTCCGTGGGGCAGCTCCTGGTGGGCTTTCTGGGGTGTCCAGCGAGACTAGAACAAAGGCTCTCTGGGCTCTGTCCTGGCACTGGAAGGCAATGAGAAGCAAGTGGAGAAAATCCCCACAGGCAGCCCCCTGCGATGAGGAGAAGTCTGGGTCTCACCACCTGGTGCAGCTGGGCGTCCACCTATACATCAGCCAGGGTGCTGTCCAGATGCTAAGACGGCTGTGCAACTGTGCCAGCCTGGCCCCCTTTTCACCCATCTAGGGCAGGCAAGGGCAGTGAGGATCACACCGCAATTCGTGAGAATCAGGTTAACTGAACACCTCCCAGACAAAGCCCCCCGCAGCCCAGGAACCACACAGCGACTTCTGGGGAGCTGCAGTGTAAGAGCATGGTGGCCTGCGACTGAGTGGAGAGGGGAGTGAATCGTGGGCACCTGTGGATCCACTGAGGCTGAGGGTTCAAGATATTCATGTCAGGATGGGATGCGAGTGAAGGAGCTCTCTCTAGATTTGGATTTCGAAGTCACCCTGTGGTAGCCAGGAACTTCACATCTAGAGCTTGTTGCCAGCCAAACATGTGGAGACTATATTGTGAAAAAACAAAGAGAAGAATCCCAAACCCCGTCACTCCAGATGGAAAGAGATTCTTGGCGGCCAGAAGTTTCCAGAGTGCTAGGTGGGCAAGGCCAGGAACCTGCCTCTGAAGAGCTCTCAGAACATCAGGAAGTCAAGGAGGTGCAGGCAGGAAAATGGTGGTGTACAGGGAGAGGCTGCACTGGGCAAGAGATGATGGATGTGGCCCGGCAAAGCCACAGAGGCTGAGATGACATGGGCACTGTGTGTCCACAAAAGACAGACCATGTAAAGAGAGGAACGGAAGGTGAGGGGCACAGGGTGAGGTTCGAGGTCACAGTTGAACACCCAGCTGTGCCATTTACTGGCTCCATGGCCTGGAAGAGTCACGAGGCCTCGATGTGCTGCTCCCTCTTCCTCCCGCCGTGGACAGGGCCATTGATGGTGCCTCCCCCAAGGGAGGGTCAAATGGGCCTTTGCACATGAAGCGTTCATCTCAGGGCTTGGCACACAGCCAATGCTAAATATAGCCTAAGGCAAATGCAGCCCACCCCAGTTGGATGTTGTGATGTTGGCTATAGAAGCAGACGAAGGCTTTGGCCAGTGCCTGACATGATCTAAGCCAGCCTCTCTCAAGCCCGTTGTAGGGGTGTGTCAGGCCAGTTGGAGCAGCGGATTGGGACACAGAGACGGCCTGGGTGAGAGATGCTAACCAGGTGCCTGGCCGATGAGTCCTGCAGCCCCAACAACCCTGGCTCTAGGCAACACCTCACCTGCCACGCCACCCTTCTCCACCCGGCATCTGTCTCAAGTGCAGAGTCATGAACAGAACACAGACTGGTGACGGGTGAATTATGGGTAGATCATTGGCAAGTCGCAGACAAATCATGGGTGGATCCTGGGAAGGTTATGGGTGCTTCTTCCATCTGCCCCTCTTGCCCATGCTCTCTTCTCACTGTAAGAGCCCAGGTTGAAGAGCCCAGGTTTCTGGTCTACCATTTCCCTCCTTAACAGAAGCAAATCCACCCCCTCAGCCTGGCCCCATCCTGTGGTCATGGTCAACCTCATAGTGCATCCATTTGCGGCCATACATTATTTCACTGCTGGAACAAAAAGCCCTTGAAGGCAGGCCCACATCTTGGCCATTTTTGCCTCCTTCATGGAACAAGGTCAGCAGGTGTCCCATGAAGGGCTATTGACGATGTGATAGAAGGATTACTGAAAAGCTTCTGTTTGAAGGATGGAGGTTTAGAGGACAGCCCCAGTGCCTGGGTGAGTCAGTAAGATTGTGGTACCCAATGGCTCTGGGTTTTGGAATAAGCTGCCCCCAGCTCCCCAGAATCCTGTAGAATTCTGCAGAATCCCCCTTTCTCTCTGGCAACTCCAGAAAAAGCTATATAAATTTTCTGTCAGAATTTCTGCTCTGTAAAATGGGATTGGGAATATCTCCTCCCATAAGTGGGTCTGTGCATTGGAAGAGGTGGTGCAGAGCCTGTTGTGCCACGTCAACAGCTGGTGTTATGCACAGACCAGGCAGCCAGAGCATGTGTGGGACCCGCCATCCATTCCAACAGCCGACATCCCGAGAGCAGGTGTCTGCCTTTGTCACACCAGTGGTACTGGCTTCTCACCGGGTCCCAGTTACTGCTGGTTAAATCCAACCCCAGGGAAAGGGGCATAATGGTGAATTTTATGTGGCAATGTGGCTGTGCAGTCTTGAGGCAGAATTGCTGCTTCTCAGGGAAATCTCAGTCTTTGCTCTTAAAGCCTTCATCTGATTGGATGAGGCCCACCCATACTATGGAGGGTACTCTGCTTACAGTCAATTGATTGAAATGTTAAGCACTTCACAGACTGCAACACAGAAGCCCTGCCTGGCAGCAATAAATAGCTTACCAACCAAAAAGAGCCCTGGACTAGACAGATTCACAGATGAATTCCACCAGCGGTACAAAGAAGAGCTGGTACCATTTCTGCTGAAACTATTCCAAACAACTGAAAAGGAGGGACTCCTTTCTAAATCATTTTATGAGGCCAGCATCATCCTGATACCAAAACCTCGCAGAGATACAACAACAAAAAAAGGAAACTTCAGACCTATATCCTTGATTAACACAGATGCAAAAATCCTCAATAAAATACTGGCAAACTGAATCCAGCAGCACATCAAAAAGCTTATCCACCATGATCAAGTTGGCTTCATCCCTGCGATGCCAAGTTTGGTTCAACATATGCAAATCAATAAATGTGACTCATCACGTAAACAAACTAAAGACAAAAACCACATGATTTATCTCAATAGATGCAGAAAAGGCCTTCAATATAATTCAACGCCCCTTCATGTTAAAAACTCTCAATAAGCTAGGTTTTGAAGGAACATACCTCAAAATAATAAGAGCAATACATGACAAACCCACAGCCAATATCATGCTGAATGGGCAAAAGCTGGAAGCATTGCCCTTGAAAACTGGCACAACAAAAGGATGCCCTCTCTCACCACTCCTCTTAAACATAGTATTGAAGTTCTGGCCAGGATAATCAGGCAAGAGAAAGAAATAAAGCGTATTCACATAGGCAGAGAGGAAGTCAACCTATCTGTGTTTGCAGATGATATGATCCTACATCTAGAAAACCCCATTGTCTCAGCCCAAAACTTCTTAAGCTGATAAGCAACTTCAGCATAGTCTCCGGATACAAAATCAATGTGCAAAAGTTGCTAGCATTCCTATACACCAAAAGGCAAGCCAAGAGCCAAATCATGAATGAACTCCCATTCACAATTGCTACAAAAAGAATAAAATACCTAGGAATACAGCTAACAAGGGAAGTGAGGCACCTCTTGAAGGAGAACTACAAACCACTTGTCAAAGAAATCTGAGATGACATAAACAAACCATTCCATGCTCATGGATAAGAACAATCAATATCATGAAAATGGCCATACCACCCAAAGCAATTTATAGATTCAATTTATAGATTCAATTTATAGATTTAATGCTATTCCCATTAAACTACCACTGACATTTTTCATAGAATTAGAAAAACACTATTTTAAAATTAATATAGAACCCAAAAAGAGCCCAAATAGCCAAGAACAATAAGCAAAAAGAACAAAGCTGGAGACATCACGCTAGCCGACTTCAAACTATCTCACAAGGCTGCAGTACCAGCATGGTACTGGTACAAGGACAGACACATAGACAAATGGAACAAAATAAAGAACCCACAAATAAGATAACAAACCTACAATCACCAGATCTTTGACAAACCTGAAAAAACAAGCAACGAGGAAAGGAGTCCCTATTTAATAAATGGTGTTGAGAGAACTGGCTAGCCATATGCAGAAAATTGAAACTGGATCCCTTCCTTACACCATATACAAAAGTCAACTAAAAATTGATTAAAGACTTAAATGTAACACCCTAAACTATAAAAACCCTAGAAGAAAATCTAGGCAATACCATTCAGGACATAGGCATAGGCAATTGTAACAAAAGCAAAAATTGACAAATGGAATCTAATTAAACTAAAGAGCTTTTGCACAGCAAAAGAAACTATCATCAGAGTGAACAGACAACCTAAGAATGGAAGAAAATTTTTGCAATATTTGCATCTGACAATGGTCTAATATCCAGCATCTACAAGGAACAAATTTACAAGAAAAAAAACGAAGAACTTCATTAAAACGTGGGCAAAGCACGTGACTGGACACTTCTCAAAAGAAGACCTACCTGTGGCCAACAAATAAATGAAAAAAAAGCTCAACATCACTGATCATTAGATAAATTCAAATCAAAACCACAATAAGATACCATCTCACACCAGTCAGAATAGCTATTATGAAAACGTCAAAAAACAACAGATGCTGGCATGGTTGTGGAGAAGAAGGAACGCTTCTACACTGTTGGTGGGAGTGTAAATGAGTTCAGCCATTGTGGAAGACAGTGTGGTGGCTCCTCAAAGACCTGGAGACAGAAATACCATTCAACCCAGAAATCTCATTACTGGGCATATACCCAAAGGAATAGAAATTGTTCCATTATAAAGACACATGCAGGTGTATATTCATTGCAGCACTATTCACAATACCAAAGACATGTTCAACCCACACACCCATCAATGATAGACTGGATAAAGAAAATGTGATACATGTACACCATGGAACACTATGCAGCCATAAAAAGGAACAAGATCATGTCCACCGTAGGGACATGGATGGAGCTGAAAGCCATTATCCTTAGCAGACTAACGCAGGAAAAGAAAACCAAATACTGCCTTTCCTCACTTGTAAGTGGGAGCTGAATGATGAGAACACATGGACAGGAGGTGGGGGGGATAACACACACTGGGTCCTGTCAGAGGATGGGGGACTGGGGGAGGGGAGAGCATCATGAAGAATAGCTAATGGATGCTGGGCTTAAAACCTAGGTGATGGGATGATCTGTGCAGCAAACCAGCATGGCACACGTTTACCTATGGAACGAACCTGCACATAAGATTTCTATAATGCCTGGCTTCCCACCTGGCATTATAGAAATGGCCAGACTCATTGAAAAAAAAATTAAAATCTCACAACACACGAAAACAAAACACAGGACTCTAAGGTTATTGTCACATAGGCTGTGTGGCTGACGTCTGCTACAATAGAACCATAACTCTTCTCAGGATGGTAGGGTTTTGATGTAACCTATACTTCCCGCACATGTACCCTCAAACTTAAAATAAAAGTTGGAAAAAAGAAAAGAAAAAGAAAGAAAAGAAACTCTGCTTGAGGCGCCAGGCTGCTGTCCTGTGGAATTCAAACTCGAGGCTGCAACATCAACTTTTACCGTATCTCCAGCCTGCCGGCCTGCTCTCCAAATTCCAAAACTGCCAGCCTCTGCAATCCTGAGAGCCAATTACTGAAAATAATTTGCTCCCCATCCCCCGCCCCACCAACCCTCTCGATGTCCTACTGGTTCTGCTCCTCTGAAGAAGCCTGACTAATAGGAGTTGAGGTGGCACGGGGAGGTCCCACCTCCTTTTAATTAAATGCAGCAGGAAGCCACCATCACCAACCACCACCATCTCCCCTGCAGCCTCCTCTTCACTCAGGGGCACTTTCTTCTAGGCCATTTCTAGTTTTCTCCTGCAGTCTAGAGCCCCATTTCTTCCGCTTTGAGACCTGTCTCCCGGTATCTTAGTTCCATCCTTTGATTTCAGAAACAAACCTTGTGAAGAATCATGAGGTAGTTCAGAAGCACACTGTACCATATAAACTTTATTATAAAACTTCAGCAAATATAAATATCCAGGTGCCCCTTTGGAATGGAGCCACAGCACCGGACAGGAGAACAGCAGCCGCACTGAGGATGGCAGGGAGGGTGCCAGAGACGCCGGGCAGATTCCCACCCTAACACCCGCAGCCTGGCTTCCCACCTGGCATTATAGAAATGGCCAGACTCACCGAAAAAAAAAAGATTAAAATCTCACAACACACAAAAACAAAACACAGGACTCTAAGGTTATTGTCACATAGGCTGTGTGGCTGACGTCTGCTATAATAGAACCATAACTCTTCTCAGGATGGTAGGGTTTTGATGTAACCTATACTTCGATCTGTCATTTACAAAGAAAAGCATGAAGAAGTGTGTTTTTAAAAGGACACTCACTTGCAAATAACTGAGAAAGATAAAACATAAAGTATAAAAAATCTCTCCTTCAATGCATGAATCTGAAAGAGATAGAAGCACCTTAGCAGGAATTTCATTTTTCCCATTTCCATAGGCAAAGTCCCAAACCAGAATGCAGTCCCCTGGCCAGTGACCCTAGAGATGACGCTGGCTCCGGCGGTGGCTCCAGGTTCCTGGTAAGAGATGCTCGGCCGCTGGGGAGGAGGAGGAGGAGCCTGGGCAGCCTCCTGGAGCTCCCCTGACCTCCACCCAGGAAGTTGGTCACTCCTGATGGCTCGAGGGGCCCTCCTAGTGGGAGGGGAGGCTGGTGAACTAGGGGGTACATATTTTGTATGTTTTCCTTATTTCATGGCCTTTCCTTCTTTTTCTAAGGCACCAGACATTTAGCAAGTTCAGCCTCGCCTGTCTTTTTGACTTGATTTAGCTGCAACAGGCAGGGGTGAGTGCTGCCTCTCCCGTTGTGGTGCCTGCCTTCTGCCTCACGAGCCACAGCTCTGTCTGCCAGGGTGCCACATTTCAGCCTGACAGGAGACACTGTGTGCATGGGGACACAGGTCTGCACCCAGGCTCACAGTGAAACACATACATACACTCCTGGTCAAAGAGCCTAACACGGTTTTCTTCTTTTGGCTTTGCTCTTCCTTGGATGTATTCCGACGTAGATTGCACAGCTCATTTGTGGGAAATTTCTGTGCCACGCAGGCACTTTCTCTGCTACGGAGAGCGGTCCCAACTCACAAGTTGGACTTAGAGCAAGTCTTGCAGCACTGCTTGCCGTAGAACTTGTGGCTGCACATCCCGTGCTGGGGTACCAGGTAGCACCAGTGGAAGTAGTCTTTGCAGAAGGCATCTGAAAATGAGCAGAGCTGCATTACTCAGCGATCCCGAGTGCAGCGACTGATGTTGCCAGCTAATAGCTCTGTCTGGCAAATAAAAGCGAATTTGTCACGCTCTGCGGCTGCTGCAGAGAGGCAGCCCCCAGGTCTGATGGGGGTCCCGTGGAACCTATTATTTTCACAAGAGCCTTCTTGGAAGTTTTCTGCAAAACTGAAATTTTCTTCTTGTGCTGACCCCACTCACTCAACCACGCATCTACCCATTGGAGCCTCTGTTGACTGAATTTCAATTCTCCAATTCTCTGGTTGAGCCAAACCACTCGCCTTCCTCAAGCCACATTATCTCTCAGAATAGCCTTAACAGGCGCCCAGCCATCTGTCTCCGCAATGCTGGGGGATTTTGTGTGTGCACAGGGATGGCATTTAGAGGGCACCCAGTGAATAAGGGAGGCTTTTGTTTATCCTAGGGAGAAAAGCTGCTTTAGTTAAGATTGCTTTCTTTAAATATAGTGAACAGCATTGATATAGGAAAGAAGTCACGCTTATGTCACTACCATCTATGTTGTCCTGGGGCATCATGAGAGGCAGCCCGGTCTGCTCTATGGACCATTTCATTGTAAAACTGGAGAAGATGCAAAGAGAGAAAAGGTAGATCAGACGCAAGACCCTAACTCCAGGCCCCCCAAGGAACTGCTCCAGAAACCTGACATTCCAGCCCCATGCCCAGGTCATGCTGAGGGGCCCCATGTACTCACCTTTCTTCTCTGCAATGGGGCAGAAGTGAGTGTTGCAGGCCAGGGAGGCCGAAGGCTTCTGGTGCAGGAGGCAGCCTGAGGCCGGCCGGCCCCCAGCCAGGCACTGCACGGACCTCGTCTGAACGCCTCCCCCACAGCTGGCCGTGCACTGTGAGAGCAACACACACATGTCACCATGGCCCCAGGCTCTCAGGCACCTGGTCAACCTCAGTGTGCCCACCTTTCTAAAAGGCCTGCTGCTGCAGGCCAGTGAGGGAAGAGCGACTTAGTCGCAGAGGCAGGTGGAGTTATGGTTGGCCACGATGTGCGCGAGTGAGCACGGTCCCTGCTCACCTTTTCCAGAAGCAAGCACCAGGCATGTGCTGGGCCAGGCCTCTAGCAGAGCATTCCAAACCAACCAGCTGACATAGCTCCTGGAACCCTTCCTGTTTTCAGATAGAAGACAGCCTTGAGCCTTGAGCGGTGACAGGACTTGCTCAGGCTGGGATTTGAACCGCTAGAGTTGGATTCTATAGTCTCAACAGACGGTTCCCGGGCTTGGGCTTTGTGGGGGCTGAGTTCACTTTTTAAAAAAGTAAATATACTGCCGGGCACGGTGGCTCATGCCTGTAATCCCAGCACTTTGGGAGGCTGAGGCGGGTGGATCACCTGAGGTCAGGAGTTCGAGATCAGCCTGGGCAACATGATGAAACCCCGTCTCTATTAAAAAAAGAAAAAAAATTAGCTGGGCCTGGTGGTGGGCACCTGTAATCCCAGCTACTTGGGAAGCTGAGGCATGAGAATCGCCTGAACCTGGGAGGCAGAGGTTGCAGTGAGCTGAGATCATGCCACAGCACTTCAGCCTGGGCAACAAGAGCAAAACTCCATCTCAAAAATAAATAAATAAGTAAGTAAGTAAGTAAGTATACTGATTAAAAAAGCTGATATTCATGGATTGGCATATTATCTCCTCAAATTACAGGCAGCAAGGAAGAACAAACTTAGATCCCCCTGCCAATAAAGTTACCTACAAGTTATCCTTCTGATTGAAAAACATGAAAAGACTTAACATCTTGGTTTCTATTTACGGTATTTCAGAGAACACGGTTGCTGATGTTACCACCTGGGACCTGGCGCAAAGGTACTTACTTCCCTAACTCTTGTCCCCAGGACCAGCCCTTGTCACTGCTGGTTGGGGTAACCCCTCATTTCCTCTTGCCTCTGCATTTGAAAGCACCGCCCCTCCACCCAGACCATTTGAGGTGGTCTCTCTGTCTACAACTGTGAGTGGCTGGCCAAAATTAATCTAGGTATGGATAGAAGGAGAAGTGTCTGGAAGTCTAGAGTATTTTTGAGTGTGTCAATGATGGTTGCATGGCCACAAGGAAACTGGTGCATATCTGGGGATACCAGGCTTGTTCTCTGAGCCTAGCGTGAAAGAAGTAGTGCCCTTCAGGGAATGCCCTTGACAAGCCACCCTTTCTGGTGGTCCGACGGGGAGAAGCTTGACAAGCCAATCTTTACAGTGGCACCATCACCCACATTCCCAGGCCCCTGATGCATGAGGGTGGGCACTGCCAGCTGCTGGGGCTTATTTTGCTAAGGTGTTGGCATCCTATTGAGGCTCCCCCAATACTTGGAGTATCAACAGCACAGGGAGAGAGAGGGAAGGAAGGGAGTGAGCTCAGTTAGATTATCTTTCATGAGCTGGCATAATGCACATGCCACAGAACATGAGCAGGACCCATCTGAGATCAACCACTGAAAATAAATCAGTGGTTAGGCAGCTAAAGATACAGAGACACTGGAATCTGTGATTGAGTCATCTGAAAAATAAAACTACCCACTGTCTAGACTAAATCATGTAAATTGTGCTCAAACGAGGCTAGGGTTGGAATATGTTGGAAATGTAAGCAATTAAAGGAGCACCTGCAAGAAGATTGGGTCAGATAACATTTTGGAAGTCCTGGTGCATGGTGGGTGAAAAAAACAACAAAACTGTTGCTTTAAAATGCAAGGATCACACTGTGAAAAACTGGGGACATGCATGACTCCCTTTGCTGCCCCAAACCTACAAGAGAGTATGTCAGAGACCATTCCAGCAAGTGAAGGCATCAGGCCTGGGGCTGGTTCTCCACAGCCCAAACCAGCCTGCAAGTGAACAACCAGGGACTGAACCTTTCTGGGACCTCCTGCAATCAGAGCTTTACGAAGTGACTTAAATCGCTGGGGATGGGATTCAGTGATGGAGCAAGTCAAACATCTTTATCTGCCCACTGAGAGGAGAAAAGTTGGAGACACAAATGGCCCTGAAAGTCACAAGCTGAAACTGTTTGTCTGTTTTTTTCCCCTCTGGATGAGGAATGGCTGAGCCCCTGAGCATGTGTCTGGAACTTATCTGGGAGGCTTACTCCCTTTGCTTCAAACCCAATTTTAGAAAAAGTTGCCAACAATATATGACTACGGAAAGTAGAAAAAATAATGTGGGGAGATTCACGTTTGATTTCAGAATTATCAGGGTCACAAGGATAGAGCCAGATGTTGCCCATCACTTATTACATCTTTCGGAACATTCTGCAGAACCACATTTCTGCCTTTTTTCTCTGCTGTCTGCATTCCAGACACCCTCTTAGCTCACACAGTGCGCCGAGAACCTTGGGGCTGTGGTCACCCTGCTGAGACAGCAGCTCACAGGAACCCTTTGGCCACATCCGCATCCATCAGTGTCCACAACATCTTTCGTTTCTTGAGTTAGATTTATTTTATGATAAGCGGCTCAGGCAGAATTCCATTCTTGCTTAAGATATGCCTCAATTAGAAATCAAGAGATCTAGCCATTGGTTTTTTTTTTTGTATCATTTAAACAGTTCCAAAATAATTAATATGTGGTTTGATTCATTTTTGTCACTGATTCACTTATTCAGCAGATTTTAATCACTGATATGGTTTGGCTGTGTCCCCACCCAAATCACATCTTGAACTGTAGTTCCCATAATCCCTAAGTGTCATAATCCCATAATCCCCGCATGACCAGGAGGGCAGTAACTGAATCACGGGGGCAATTACCCCCATGCTGTTCTTGTGATAGTGAGAGAATTCTCATGAGATCTGATGGTTTTGCAAGGGGCTTTTCCCCCTTTCCTCAGCACTTCTCCTTGCTGCCGTCATGTGAAGAAGGACGTGTTTGCTTCCCATTCCACCATGATTGTAAGTTTCCTGAGGCCTCTCCAGTCCTGCGGAACTGTGAGTCAATTAAACCTCTTTCTTTTATAAATTGACCATCTCAGATGTCTTCATTAGCAGCGTGAGAATGGGCTAATACAATCGCCCACCTCCCCAGTACCAGGCACTGTTCTAGGCACTTGACATAAGTAATGAACACAGTCGACTTGGCCCTGAGCCTTAGGACAGTTGCAAAACCTTGCTACTCACAGTGAGGTTCTTGGCCCAGCCACAGGGGCCTGTGGGGAAGCTTGTTATCAGGGCCAACTCTCAGCATCCCTGCTTCCAAGATGCACAGTGTCAGAATCGGTGCCGTTCCCAGATGATTCCTATGCACAGGTGTGAGAAGCACTAGTCCAGAGAGTTTTACAATTCCCCGTGAAAAAAATCCATGGGGAGAAAAGCTTCCACATTTCTCAAAATTTTCATTTCTTTATGTAAGATGAAAGAAAGATGTTCAGCTGCACATTTTGAAAATATTTTGAATGGATAAAGATGGTGATATACTAGGAGATGAAAAAGAAGAAACCTGAAAATGTTTATTCACTTTTCATTCCAGGAAGAAAAAAATCCAAGTTGTTCCTCAGTCTCCCAAATACGATGGCTTAAAACTCAGCACAGCCATTTAGAATTCACCTTCCAGGCATTCCCTTGGTGACTTCCAAACAGACGGATCCTAAAAATCACCTGGAGCCTTGACAATCACACAGACTCCTGCGGGGCAGAGCTCATCTCTCAAACAAAGGGAACAGAAAATAAATACATGCTAATTCCTGGAGGCCACAGGCTTCACACATTTATTTTCTTACTGTGAAGTCTCTCCTGAGAGGCCTGCTCTAAGTCCCTCTCTTTATTCACCTTCCTCCTGAGGGCCTTGGTGTGCTCTCTCTCTCCCAGCTTAGAGCTTCTGCCCTGCAACTTTCCACTATTCCAGGACCAAATGTCCATGCTCATTTCAGGATGGGATGGCAGAGACCTCAATGGCCTCATTCACAGACACCTCTGCTGTCCACATAACCGACGTTGTGAATTTTTGTACAAATCCCACTGGTTACAAATATAAACTCCCTCAAACCCAGGAGGTGTGCATGGTCACCTTCTCTATCCAGCAGCAGGCCGGTTCTTGTTTTTCTGGGCACCACATAATTTTGGGAGATGATGACAGCAGATTTAGTGTGGAATTATCAGAGGTGGGAGACTAGATCAGGGTTCAGGGGATAACCCTGGGATGGACTGCGCAGCGTTCACCCAGCCTCATCGGTTGAGATCTCCATGCACTCTGTGTGTGTTTGCGTACACACGCAGGCACATGTGTGCTCCCGTGTGCACTTGGTGCAGAATGCAGTCTCATGCAGTCTTAATTGCCACGGTGGAAAATCAAATTCATTCTCTGACACGGCTGCTGCCCCTCAGTGCCCATGAGTTTCCAAATCAGTGTGTGCGCTGTCCTGGTCACAAATTGACCAAATTGTGGGGAGCTCCCAGAATGAGCCAGCCCCCACCCCCCACACTGCCCAGCACTGAGGGCACACCCTGTCTCTGCATGTGGGGTCAGTTTCCAACAGGTGATCGCATGCAAGCCATTCCCAGACCAAATTAGCGTGGGAACAACCTGACACTAAGCCCAAATGACTGCAGTGATTTAAATCAGTCCTGCGCTGCCCTGCACCATGAAATGTGAAGATAAGCAAAACATTTAAATCAATGGAAATCCTGCAGACCAAATAATAGGAAGGGCGATCTTTAGACTGTCACAAGAATAAGCCTGTCTGGTGGCAAAGTTCAGCCAGGCCCGGGCCATTCATTACCGTCTGACAATTTCCCACAGTGTGAAGGCAGAGACTTGGGCACAAGTGCTATGGTAAACACAGCCCTTTCAGCCATTACCACCCCCAGGAAAAGTTACAACCTCAGAACATAGCAGATGAATCATGGTGGATAAAGACTTCAGCCAGCTTGTGGTAAAAATGACTTAGACAAACAGATTGAGTATCTCAGACCGGCAACAGCTATTGAAGATACAGTTTAGGTTTTAGATGTATTTTAGGGTATACGTTAAATAATGATAAAGCTTGTTTTCCACTTTCTAAATTTGCCTGAAGTCTCTGCAGTAAGCAGGAGGGTGGTGAACGTGGGCTTGGCAGCCAGAGGTTAGGGTTCAGTTTCAGCGTCCTCAGTTTCCTCTTTGTCCCTGACCCACATTTCCCACAGACAGAGAAGGCAAAGTATCTGCCTGAGAAATGCCTCGACTCAGCTGCCTAGCTCACTTGCTGCTTTACCTGACTCAAAAGACAGCAGACTCAGAAGAAAACAAAAGGAAGGGGGCTGGGTGCAGCGGCTCATGCCTGAAATCCCAGCACTTTGGGAAGCCGAAGTGGGCGAATCCACTTCTCGAACCTGAGGTCAGGAGTTCGAGACCAGCCTGGCCAACACGGCAAAACCCCGTCTCTACTAAAATTACAAAAATTAGCTGGGAGTGGTGGAGCACACCTGTAATCCCAGCTATTTGGAAGGCTGAGGCAGGAGAATTGCATGAACCTGGAAGGTGGAGGTTGCAGTGAGCTGAGATTGCACCACTGCACTACAGCCTGGGTGACAAGAGCAAAACTCTGTCTCAAAAAAAAAAAAAAAATAACAACAACAAAAAACAACAAAAAAAGAGAGAAAATGACAAGAGGTCTCCTGGGCAAAGTTTGTAGCTACTGATACTTTTTGTCCATTTAAAATAGGACATGCTTGCAAAGGATAGAGTTCAAATGCTCCCTGCTCCAATAATTTAATTTCAATTATTTATTTCTAACTGGAATACTTTTGGGGGAGGGGTTCATGTATTTCTAAATGAAAAAGCTGCATCTGGTTTGGAGGTAAACAGGAAGCAGAGGTGGAGCTGGCCCACAACACAGCAAAGCACGCAGAGCTGGGGAGAGCTCTTTACAAGCTGCTTCTCCCCGGGTTCCCAGTCCCTGCAGAGCTCAGGGACTGGGACCAAACATTCTGTGGAGAAATAAAGAAATACAGCAGCAGACAGGCTCGGACACTACGGTTTTTAAAGAAGCGAACCGATGGCCGAGTGCAGTGGCTCACGCCTGTAATCCCAGCACTTTGGGAGGCTGAGGCGAGTGGATTACAAGGTCAGGAGATCGAGACCATCCTGGCCAACATGGTGAAACCCCAACTGTACTAAAAAATACAAACAATTAGCCAGGCGTGGTGGCGGGTGCCTGTAGTCCCAGCTACTTGGGAGGCTGAGGCAGGAGAATGGCTTGAACCCGGGAGGCGGAGCTTGCAGTGAGCCGAGATTGGGCCTGGGTGACAAAGTGAGACTCCATCTCAAAAAAAAAACAACCAAAAAAAACAAAAACAAAAACTAGCTGGGCATGGTGGTGTGCACGTGTAGTCCCAGCTACTCGGGGGGCTGAGACAGGAGAATCACTTGAACTGGGGAGGCGGAAATTGCAGTGAGCCAAGATCACCCCACTGCACTCCAGCCTGGTGACAGAGCAAGGCTTCATCTCAAAAAAAAAAAAAAAAAAGGAGCAGACTAATACACAGCAACGCCGTCTCACACATGCACACCCGGAGCTCCAGCGAGCGGAGTGAAGGGTCGTGTCATTTGGAGGGGATTTCGAGCTGGTTTTATTTTAGTTAAATTTTAGCTAATACCGAAAAAAGATTCCAGGGCGGATTAAATTGGTTCAGATAAATATTTGTTTGTTTCCTTTAGATTTAGATAAAACAATAAGAATGTTTTTTTGTTTTTTTGTTTTTTTTTTTTTTTTTGCCTATGTCAAACTCGCCTGGTCCATTGCAGCTTCCCGTGCAGGGCTGGGTTGAACTTGGCAGATGCTGATTTTAGGTCTCGGTAGGTGGTGGGTGTGAGTGATGCCAGAGGCCTGCAGAGTTGGGGCTACTTCGGTTCAGGGGGAGTCAGGAAGGCCGAGAGTGGACAAGCCAGCAAGTCCCTCACTTCTCAATGTCCTGGCCACAGGGGCTGCGAGGCACAGGGCCCTGAGGTCTTGATTCTGTGTCTCTAGCTTGACACGGGAGGAGTCCAATTGCCAGCAGAAGCCACGGGCATTCAGTGAGATCCAGCCCCTGCTGCTCACATATCTCTGGTCCTCGTGGCTCTGGGCTAGGGCTCTGCAGCATATAAAGTGAAAGAAGGCACTTGCCTTCAGGCAGCTGACCCTCTCTGGGGTCAGGAACAGACAAAATGAGACAAGGACACAAATAACACCCATGTGAGTTCCCTGGGGCTGCTGTAATAATTGCTACAAACTAGGGGCTCAAAATAACAGAAATTTATTCTTTCACAGTTTAGGACGCCAGAAATCCAAAATTAAGGTATGAGCAGCAGAGGTGGTGCCTTCTGGAGGTTGAGGGAGGGCCCGTCATGCCTGGTGCAGAATCTGGTGGTGCTGGCAGTCCTCGGTGTTCTTTGTCATATGGGCACCACTCCGATGCCTGCCTCTGTCACCCATCACACAGCCAGTGCCACCCACCACTTGCTCCCCATGTGAGGAGTCTCTGTGTCTTCCTGTGGTCTTCTCACGAGGACAGCCAGTCTTTGAGTTTAGTGCCCACTCTAATCCAGGATGATGTCAGCCCAGGTCATTACATCTGCATCTATTTCCAATAAGATTATATTCTGAGGTCCCGGGTGGACATGAGTTTTGGAGACATTACTCAGCGCAGGACGCTGCCAATGAGACACAGTGTGGGGTCCCTCTCCAGAGGAGAGATGACCAGTGGCGGGCTGGAAGTGGCCACAGAAAAGGGAATTGGGGGCTAGGAAGGATGAGAGATGGGCTGCGCAGTGTGGGTGGGGTCCTACGAGCTGGAGGATGGTGGACATGAGAGGAGAGACACAGGCTTGGGGAGAGCTGGTCATCGTCAGGGACAAATGGTTCCATCTGACCAAGCATTTGGGGGATGCTTGGCTGCTGAGCTCAGCCTCCTTTGTTCACACCTTGACCCCGGCTGCCCAACAGGCACCTGCACTAATTTCTGCACTCCTCTGCCTGCGGAGTGGCCTATGGTGGGTTTTGCCCCACTGGCAGGTCAGTCTCAGGAATTCTTCAATCCTTAAAAACCCAATCAAATTGGTTACTAGGGGACCTGGCCACCTGACTGGGATGTGAACTGTGCACGACTGTTTATGAGCTCGTCTGGCCACATTCCGTTTGCTTTCTCTGGCAGCGCCTCTCCCTCTTCTGATCACATGCACACACACACACACACACACACACACACGAGGACATGACCTGTCTCTCCTAAACCCACACATGCACTCTCCAGCCCACCCCAAACCAGCAGTGTGCTTGGGTGTATCTGTTTCCACTTGCATCATGGGTCAGCAGCCAGGAAGCACATGGTTGGCCAGTGAGGGTTACCTTTGGCTTTTAAAGATGATACTGTCAAAACCAGGTCTCTCAACAGATGCACAGTATCCACGCACAATGAAAGAAAAACCCCAGACCAGTGTGTGCTTTGATGTTCTGTGCTGCAGGAGGAAACTTCTCTAAAGACGGAATATTAGTAGCTGCCGGGACCCGCTCATTGAATTTGCCTTTCCTTTAAAATTCACCATTCAGCAAGCATTTCCTGAATACTTACTATGGGTTAGGCGCATGGCTGGCATATATATGGTATATCAAAGACAGTGAGCCCTCCTTATCTGTGGGTTGCACATCCCTGAAATCAACCAACCAAATCAACCAACTGCAGATCAAAAATATTTGAAAAAAAAATTTCACAAAATTCCAAAAAGCGCACCACTTACTACATTGACGCCATGAGAACGAAGAAGTGTGCAGCATGTATTAGGCATTATTAACAATCCAGAGATGGCTTCAGCCACCTGGAGGATGTGTGTAGGCTGCATGCAAATACTGTGCCATCTTCTATCAGGAACTTGTGCATCCTCAGATTTTGGTATCCAATTCCCGTAGAGAGGGATGACTGTATATGTGGTTTATGCATGTGTGTGTGAGTGCGTATGTGAGTGAATATGCACACTGGTAAATATATAGAATATACATGTAAAACACATAGCATAACAAAGCAATCTGGATAAACATCATTCTTGATGGTTTTCATGTGATCCAATCTGCTTTTTTTTTTTTTTTTTTGAGACGGAGTCTCTCTCTGTTACCCAGACTGGAGTGTAGTGGTGCCATCCAGGCTCACTGCAACCTCTGCCTCCTGGGTTCAAGCAATTCTCCTGTTTCAGCCTCCTGAGTAGCTGGGATTACAGGCGTGCACCACCACACCCGGTTAATTTTTGTATTTTTTAGTAGAGACAGGGTTTCACCATGTTGGGCAGGCTGGTCTCAAACTCCTGACCTCAGGTAATCCACGTGCCTCGGCCTCCCAAAGTGCTGGGATTACAGGGATCCTATCTGCTTTTGAGTAGCCTTGATCTATGCTGGCCTTACTAGGCTCGGGGCCCACAATGGGATGGGAAGCGTGTCCAGGCAGCTGTCTGTTTTCTGTCCATACTTCCTTTTAGCACAGGCCCTGGGGGAGGTTGAGGGTGTGAGGTGCTCCCTGGGAGGGTGCTCCCTCCTCCTTGGGATGGGCTTGTTATGCTGATAGCTCACAGCAACACCTGGTACAGTGCAGGGGGACCCAGAACAGGTTGGCCTGAAGAGGTGGATGAGTGGGCAAACTGGGAAGAGGACTCTTGTGAGAGGCCAAGCACGGACTTCTCTGTGGACAGTGGCAAGAGGTGGGCAGAGAGGGAAGGCTGTACGTACACTGTGGATAGGGTTATTCCTATGGCACCAGACACCACGCTGATCACTTGGGAAATGTCTTTGGAGACAGGCAAAGACCTGTGAAAGTTTTTCTGAATGACAGAGCACAGGCCACAGCCCAATGGCCTCTGGAATCAGATGCTGGAAACCACGGAGGATGCGGGAAAGGCTTTGGTGACGGGTGTCTTGGTGGCACGATCAACGTAAGACTTCACCTTGGGTGTGCCACCTGTTATGGTCATGCAACCCTGGCCGGAGGCGGAGGTGTTTTGATGAGGTGGGAAGCAGAAGCACATGCATGAGGTCATTGTCATTTGCTTTTTAGCAACCAGCATTCAGCCCCCATGACAATAGGCTTCGACCGGGTCTTTGTTCTGCTGCCCTCGCCCAGGAAATGCAACCTCTGTCTGCCTCCTAGAAGTGGGGATATAGAGCAGAGGGCGCCGGGCAGGACCATGTCTAGGACCCAAGGACCCCAGTGCAGTGACTATTCTCCAAAGCCAAATGACACGTGTGGACCCCATCGAGCAGGTGAGCTTGTGCCTCTCACTAGCGCTGTGGGAGCTGACTCTGTGCCTCAGTTGCCTCATCTGTGAAATAGGGATGATAAGGTTACCCCCTTAGAGGGCTAATAGGAGAGAGAAAGGAATTGACTCAGAGCAGCGCCAGCACACAGGGCTCTCCACGGTGGCTAGCTGTTGTCCCTGCACTTATTCCTGTCCATTCCACTGTGGCACCCAGTTAGGGACCCACATGGAGATGGGCGAGACAGTGAGAGAGCACATGTAGGGGCTGTTGCCACACGCAGTCACTCCTATTCCCTTCCGCCTGCTTCCTTCCACCTCCATCTCTCCAAAAGGAGAGAATCAGAGCCAGGGCCTCTGCAGCAGGCAGAGGGCCTCTGTGTAAATTAGAAAGAGGCTCACTCTCCCAGCCAAGAGATGGGAAAAGGAGACCAGATGAAGCGCCTCTCTACCGGGCAGCCACAAGCCAGTGCACACGCTTGCAGTGTGCTGCAGAGAACCGAGTGTCAGCCTTCGGAACTCCTAAGGGGTCTGGGCCCACCCCGACCCGAAAGCAGAAATGCCAGCAGCATCGCAGGGGTGGTGGGAGGCGCGGGCACAGACGAGGAGAAACACAGGAACAAAGACCCCGAGGAAGGAACCCCCGCTCCATGGTGGGCATGAGGCTGCTAGCGACCCGATCAGGAAACAGTGAGGGCTGAGGGTGGGCTGAAAAGAACAACCACCTATTTATCCCAGGGCTCGCATTCCTTTCCTGTTCACACTCATCTCTGGGGAATTCAGCCCAGATTTTACCCAAGGCATTGCATTTCCTTATACTTAATTGGGTGACATTTAGAGGAAAACATATGTGCCCTAAAAGATTCAGCAACACTTGGAGACCATCCTCAGAAAGCCACACCCACACCCAGGAACCAGGCCACCCGCACATGCTCTGGAAAGAAAACCTCATGCAGTAGCTTGGCCAGCTTTGGGGAAAACACCCTCGCAGAAGCATCCCCGGGAGCCAGCGGCCAACCCCAGGCCAAGCTGTGCTCGCCCACTCTCCAGGAACCGAGGGCCTCCCCTACCTGAGACCAGGGTGAGGCAAACCAGCTGCCCCTCGAGGGTCCCGCAGCAGCAAATGGGGGGTGCCTGGGGCATGGAAGCGGGGCGCAGGCACGTTCCAGCTCCAGGCTGGGCTTCGGCAAATGTGAGCACTTCTTTGAGGCCAGCTCTCGATACTTTCCAGAAACATACTTTTCAGCACATTTTAAGAATCTTTTCTGTGTTCCTCTTTCACATGTCACAGAGCACTAAAAAGAAGAGAACAAAAGAAGTCAGTGAAAAAAATCTCTTTTTTTGCAAAATCTGTGGGTTAAAATATCAGAGATATCTGCTTGAACATTTATATAAGTGTGAACATTCAGTGAAAATTATTGGACCTTAGCATTTTTAAGAGACATTATAGAATCTATCATTAAAAATAAGAGGAACTTGAAGTCAGTGGCACAGCATCATGGGGCATAAGTAGGGGCAGGGCAGTCAGAAACCATGAAGGGAGTAATTCTAAAGCTACCGTTTCACTGGAAAATTAAAATGTTGGGCTGTCACTGATATCGAAGCATACTGAAACTTAATACATAAGTACATGTGGTAACTACCACGGGTCCATGGATTAACCCACGCAAATGCAGTGATGTTGGCCCCTAAAGCTGGGGCAGGTAGAAGAAACTCAGGGCTCACAATCTTCCCTAGGCATCTGAGTGCTGCCTGCGAGGAAAGGAAGCGTGCGTGGAGAGCACGTCCCTTAGCTCTCCACTAAGGCAGGCTCTAAGCTTGAGCTGCTCCAGTTGCAGACACCCTGGCTTGTGCAGAGGTGCCCTGTGCAAACGAGCAGGCCAGGCAGGAGGCTGCAGCCCCCACTTGCAGGGAGAACACACAGGAGCAAGGCACACTGTCCCACCACAGACTGGGCGCGGAGGGTCTCTGGGACAGAGGTCCCGGCCCCTGGCGTTGCTGTCTCCTGCTGGGGTAGAGCGGACGATGCTGTGCAGCTCCAGTGGACCTCTGGCTGAAGTGTCCCCAGGTTCCCCAGCAGAGGAGCCCAGGTGGCAACACCTGCCCAGGTCCTGACCTTGCACTCACATCTTTAGGCTTACAGGTGTGCTTTTTGTGCATCCTGATCGAAGATGGAGAGGACTTGGAACACTCCTCTTGGTTGCTCGCTGATCCAGGCCTAAGAGAGAAGCTCTGACGTGTGTGTGTGTGTGTGTGTATGGTGTGGGATGTGTGAGTGTGTGGTATGGGATGTGTGTGTGGTGTGGGATTGTGTGTGTGTGGTGTGGGATGTGTGTGTGTGTGGTGTGGATGTGTGTGTGTGGTGTGGGTTGTGTGTGTGGTGTGGGATGTGTGTGTGTGTGTGGTGTGGGATTGTGTGTGTGTGGTGTGGGATGTGTGTGTGGTGTGGGATGTGTGTGTGTGTGGTGTGGATGTGTGTGTGTGGTGTGGGATGTGTGTGTGTGTGGTGTGGGATGTGTGTGTGTGGTGTGGGATTGTGTGTGTGGTGTGGGATTGTGTGTGTGTGGTGTGGGATGTGTGTGTGTGGTGTGGATGTGTGTGTGTTTGGTGTGGGATGTGTGTGTGGTGTGGGATATGTGTGTGTGTGTGGTGTGGGATGTGTGTGTGTGGTGTGGGGTGTGTGTGTGGTGTGGGATGTGTGTGTGTGTGGTGTGGGATGTGTGTGTGTGTGTGTGGTGTGGGATGTGTGTGTGTGGTGTGGGATGGATGTGTGTGTGTGTGTGTGGTGTGGGATGTGTGTGTGTGTGTGGTGTAGGATGTGTGTGTGTGTGTGTGGTGTGGGATGTGTGTGCATGTATTAAATTTCAGGGCAAGGACTTTCTACCTGGACACAGCCCATAGATTATGCAGCCCACATCGCTTATTTTCTGTAGACTCTGCCTCTAGGGATATGCACCCAGGGATGTGTCTTTTCCAATGACAGTGCGTTCAGTTCTGTGGGACACTCATTCCTACCCTCCAGGTGAAAGAGGACCTGAAGTGCATTGTTAGCAATGGCAAGCTCACTTAAGCGAGCAAGGGTGTTCTTATTTTTTAGTAACAAACTGAAACAGAGTCTCAACAGGATTCAATGCCTTGCTTGGCACTTCCTACCAATCTGAACAAAGAAGCCATCGTTCGAGGGTGGAGAAAACGCAGTGCCTGATGAGATCCGGGTCCCTCCCTGAGGAGCGTGGGATCAGGGAGGAGCTTTCTTCCCACAGCTGCTGTGGCAATGCAGAGGCACAGCTCTGGGTTACGGTGATCTCTCAATACCCCGTTCAGACAGGTTCATGCTTGGCTGGTGGTGCTGTTGCCACTCTGTGGGGTGTAAGATTTCCAAAGTGCTTTTGGAACCACTTGGTCCAAAGCTGGTCATGAAACCATCAGTATTCCAAACTCATGATTCCAACGTTATTCCCATGATGAAGGGCTCCAGGACAGCTCCTGAATGGTGTAGAGGAAACGGCTTCCCAGCCTCCTGCAGCAACAGGTGATCGATTTCAACAAAACTAACAGGAGAGTTTCCTTTCGCAAATAGAACAGCTGCCCCCGGAAACTTGTCTCAGGAAATGGGTACTGTTTCTTCCCAAGCAACGCATGTTCTTCCTGCTCTTCAGGAGCCGCGCATTTCCTGGAATGTGGCTACACCTGCCCAGGAGTTAGGTGAGTCTCCAGGGCCCCGCTGTCAGTGAGATGAGTGAACCCCTATTCTCACGCTCACACCCCCTCAACCCTCTCGTCCTCTGCTCCACGCTGGACCAGTGATGATGACGTGGACGCCACTGTGTGATTTGCTCCCAGGACACGATTCAGAAGCCAAAGGAGATTAAGCAACCCCATGAAGTTGTTGGAAGCTGAGAAGGTGCAAGGAAGCCAAGAAGAGATATAAGGGGAGAAGAGAGAGAAGTGAGAAGAGAAAAACCAGGAGAGAAGAGGCAGTCCCGAGGGGAGAGCTAGTCAACCTCGCTCCCGCGAGACCAGTGCACCTACCTGGGACCAGGCGGACACCAGCCACTGCAGCTTCTTGGGCTTGTGGCAGCGCTGAAGCAGACAGGCTTCATGCATCCTGGGCTTGGGCTCGGAGGTGCAGACAGCGTCGGGCAGCAGCTGCGCTCTGGCCGAGGGGTTGGTGCTCTTACAGGCCACTGCCCGCTTCCTCCACCCCTTCCCACAGGTGTGTGAGCACTGCACAGAACAGTCAGGATAAGCACCCAGTGAGGGCCATGTGCAACACAGCAGATCATGCAGGGGCCCTGCTGCCACCCATGCCAACCCCACCCTGGTTACCTCTGCCCAGGGCCCGGCGCTCCATGCAGGTGGGCAGCTCTGAGAGTTGCAGGCCTGCCTGCTGGAGGGAGCAGGCTGAGGGCACAGGCTGGCCGGGACTGGCTCCGAGTCATAGTGCACCCGCCGTGTGCACTGCACGGGGCGGCTCTGGGCACCCCCGCCACACGTCCGACTGCAGGCACTCCAGTTCCCCACGGACCAGCTGGGCAGGGACAAAGAGACCTCGGTGAGGGATGGCTCCATCACTCTGATAGAAGCGGCCCCACATCTGATGTGGAGGCAGCGGCGCGATTTCCCAGCCACGGTCGTGTGTGTGCCGTTATTTTCAGTTCCACCTTTCCTGGGTGAGCATTCCTACCGGAGTCTCCCTGCGCCTGCTGTTTCTCACCTCCCTGATCCTGATTCATGCTCTGTCATTCTTTCCCTTCCTCTGGCTTTTGGGTTCCAGTGGACTTGGAAAGAACCCTATTCGGCACAGTGTGTCTGTTCTCTTCTTTTTTAAAAAATGCAAAATTTCAAACATATAAAAAATAAAACACCTCTGGGTTCCTGTCCACTCAGCCTTCACAATTTTCAGTGTATGCCCCCAACCCCTACAGCGTTTTGAAGGTGATTCCAGACATGAAAATATCTCAATATGCATCTCTAAAAAATAAGGATTTTTTAAAACATAACCGTAATATCACCATAACATCTAGAGCATTAATGATTCGTTAACATCCCTGAAGGGCTAGTGTTCCAATTCCCAGCTGTGTCATCAATATCATAATTTAATATGTTTGTTTGAGGATCCTAATAAAGTCCAGATTGTGCAACAGATTCACATCTTCTCTTTTAGTCTTTAGGCTTTACCTTAAATTTTATTTTTATGTTCAATGTATTTGTTAAAGAAACCGGATCTTTCCCTTACTGAGTCTTCCACAGTGTGTTTTGCTGGTTACAGGATTCTTGGAATTACATCTCTGTGGTGTTGGTTCTTGTGTTTCTCTGTCCTCTATCTTTTCATTCTTTAGTGGTTGGTTCTAGAGGCTTCTTTAGATCCTGGTTCTCCTTTCTCGTATGATTATTGCGTAAGTTATCAGGCATTCTTCCAGCAGGAGGCTCATCATGTCTGATTATCTTTCTTTCAATTTGTTAGCAGCTGTTGATGCTTGTAAATGTGTTTTTCTTTCCTGGTGATTAAAGTAGACCCCATCAACGTGCATGTTGTCAAGTGATGGGGTGCAGAGTGGAGTCTGAGCCAGGCTTTGCCCAGTGGCATCACCTTTGATCAAGACACTGTGCCTGAGTGTGTCTACCAAGCCTCAGCTGGTTTTGCACAAGCCCATCTGCAGGAGGGCTTGGTGTGCACCCTGGAGAGGCCGTCAAGAGGAAGGGGGAAACATGGCGCCATAACAGGGACTCACTGGGCAGGAGGGCTTGAGCTGCCTCCTGGAGTCACTTCTGAGGACTTGATGATTTCCATTCATGTTAATTTCCCTGTGCAACTCCCTGTGGGCCAGTCACAAGGGGATGAGAGGGGAGCTGGCTTCCTCACCACCTCCTTGCAAGCACATCAGTGCAGGGCACCAGGGGTCCCACCTAGGGGTCGCCTGCGAGGCTCTGCCTGCAGCTGTGTCTGTGCTGAGAACCCAGGACAGGGGCATCCTGTCTTCCACTCTACGGCATTGCTGAGTAGAGTTAGGGCAACAGTGACTTGCTCCTGAATCTCAGGGTAAACCCGAGGACTTGTGAAGATGCTCAGGCTTCTCCTTTGACCCTCCATCCTGTGCCCCCACACTGAACCCCACAGTCACCCTCAGGTTAGGTGTCAAAGCAGAAGCCCAGAGAGCTTGGCCAGGAACTCCGGAGGTGCCTCTGGCAGCAGCCACGGCACCTGGGAGAAGTGTTCTCGAGAATGGCATTTGTGGACCCAAGTTACACAGTGAGAGACAGAAAGGAGAAGGGAAATCCCGCTATGATCCCTTCTATGAACATCACTACGACTGTTGCTTCCAGTGCTTTCTGTGTGTAAACATATTTTTAACATGGTTCAGAGCAGGCAGTATATGCAAGTTTTATTCAGCATTCAAAAAATTCAGTGTCTAGGCTGGGTGTGGTAGCTCACGCCTGTAATCCCAGCACTGTAATTCCAGGCTGAGGCAGGAGGAATAAGCCTAGAAGGAGGATGCTTAAGCCTAGGAGCTTGAGACCAGCCTGGGCAACATGGCAAAAACCCATCTCCACACACAAAAAATACAAAAATTAGCTGGGTGAGGTGATACACAACTGAAGTCCCAGCTACTCAGGAAGATCACTTGAGCCCAGGAAGTCAAGGCAGCAGTGGGCTGTGATTGTATCACTGCAGTCCTGCCTGGGTGACAGAGCGGGACTCTGTCTCAAAAAATAGAATACAATACAATAAATAAATAAAAATAAAAATTCATTGTCCAAAACAAGTGTTTTTCTTATACTTCAAAGCCTTTATAAACACATTTGAGTGTCTCTAATTCCACAATCTGGATCGAGGTATACAGATATCTAAGTAAGAAAATACAATCAAAAAGGTTTGGACCTCAAGCTCCAGGAGATCCAGGAACATCCTGAAACTGCTCCAGTTCTATGCATGCCTGGCTGGACGTGATTTCTGAACAAAATGATGAGTGCCTTTCCTCAAGTTCTCCAGGGAGTCTGTGACTCAAGTAATTTTAGAGCCAAGGTTTGGACTCTTCTGAAAGTCCTGAGGATGAATTAGGTGGTAGAACCTCGAAGGAGAGGGAAATTGATGCTACTTCCTGGATGGGAAACAGAATTGATCCCGCCCCAAACCCTTGATAGCCACACCACATTACTTAAGGCCTTTAAACCGAGCACCATGATCGTTTTACTTGCTTTGGTTTGTAGAAGCCTTGAATTATTTTGTACCAAGTGTTTTCACTGAAAAGATTCAATTATATTTTTAAGAAAATTATACAAAGACTAAAATGTAAATTTGTGTACACATAAAAAATACACATGTCAGGGTTGTAGGAGTTGCCCTATATGGATTGTGGTAATGCTTCCATTTTCCAGTGTCAACGAGATTAGTGGATTTTTTTTTAATTCCATGTTAAGCCACCTAAATTACATACACATCCTCATTATGAAAAATTGATTCTTGGCTTCCCGTCTGTGATAATTCTCCATGTAAAGCCTCTCGGTTACTCTGTTGCCGCTTCTGTGTGCTTTCCTGTTGTTTTTAACTTTCCTCCCATTTCTTATATTTGCTCTCTCAATCCTGCAGCCTTATAAATTACAATGGGTATTCTACACTGAGGCTGCAAAAGACACGTTGGCTGCTCAAGAGCTTTTCACACCGCCTCGTTAAGTCTTCTGTCTCCACCATCTTAAGACGTTCCAACTGGGTCGATCCATTCTCTGCCTTCTCTCTTAGCTGCACTCCATTCAAACAGTCCTCCTGAACAAAGCTCCTTCATACCACATCTGGAAACACCAAGTGTCTGTTTTGTTTAAAAAACCGAGCTTTAGGGGAATGTCTTCATTTCAGCTCATGAATGAGTCAAAATCCACGCAAGCTTCTGTGCTAATGTCTGAGGGTTCCATGAACAGTAACAAGCTGTGTTCAGTTGCCCACCAGTGGCCACAAGCGTTCTCGCTTTGTTTTGGTTTTCCTAAGTCCACCAACTGGAAGAATGCAAAGTGGCTGGTATTACCCAAATCAGTCAGTTTCCACTGCGGGACTCTGGAGACGCAGTCCCCACTGGCCCTCAGGACCTCCACTGCCCAAGGCTCCCTCCCAGGGTGCTCCTTTGTGGCTCTCAACACTACCCAGAAAGTGACAGGGTTTACAGCCTTCGCTCAACGGTCTACCCAGGATTTCCTGGTATCATCTAATCAATATGCAATATCCCTAATGCCGAACAGTCTTTAGTCATTTCTCAACAAAATGACTCCCTCTTCCCCATTAAAAAAAAAATTAAAATGACATTTTGGTTTTTGCATATAATGCTTTCTTTGAAAATGCAAGTTTCCAAAAAGGGTTTAGTAAAGTCCCTTGTCATTACACACGACATCAGCAGATTATGTGTCATAATGACAATTCAGATGCAGAGGCCAGCCCTGGTCTGGGCCCGAGCTGCTGCCTAGGGCCAAGCCCCGCCAGGGCAGCCATGCTCTGCTTGTGGCTTTCACATCAGCAAGTCTCCCTGAGCCCTCCCTTTTAGAATTTAGTTTCAGTGTCTTTTGTTTGCTGATTCTTTTTGAAGTTTCACCATCCAGCATTCTGTTGTTCTATTTTCAAGAATAACTCTAGGAATTCTAGGCAGGAGTCTCTCATAACACAATAAAGACAGAGAATAACAATGGGGCAGAAACCTTGTCACGACACAAACCTACACGAGGCATTGATAAGTATCAGGGCTCCAGCTGCCAGCTGGATTTAGTCCAGAGTGGCGGGTGCTGGATGCCGTGAGACGCAACATTAGAATACAGCATTCGCTAGGCGGTGCCTCTTCAGCATCAGAGTTAGACGTGGGGACTCCTGACTTCCGCAAGCTGCTGTATGGGTCACAACTGTCCAGTAGGCTGTTCTAAATTAAACCATTCGTGTCACTGACTATACCCAGATACTCACACACTGCAGACTCAATGGCCCAGGGGTCAAGACAGCTGCCAACATGGTCTGACAGGATCAATATTACTTGGTTTTTGAAGACACTACAACCTTGTCTTCATATAAAATAGCAGCATCTTCACATGTATAATTTGAGATCTAATATAATGTAAGTAAATTGAATGCTTTAAAGATAGCAGTGCCCATTCAACAATAAAGAGATGTCAGTTGGAAAAATCTGCCTCTTCCATAGGGAAAACATTAGTTAGCAAATTAACTAAGAGTGCAGGCCGGCTGTAAGCTGAAAGTACAGAGGCCAGGATCAGCAGAACTTGGGAGACAATGATGTCCTAAGCCTGTCTGGCAGGTGGCCAAGGGCCTTATTACTTGCCATCCTCCTCGGTTGGCTTGGGGATTTGCTATGGGTCTAGGACAAAGGACGCTTCATCAGTATCACCTGGTGCCAGCTACACTCCAAGCAAGTTCAAAGGTAGAAGTCCAGCTCTGAAATAAACAATGATCTCTGTGACCAAGTAGGTAAATGAGCACAGTAGGTAGAATGAGTTATTAGACAGATTGCACTGTGCCCACACACGATGCCTGCTGGAGCAATGCACTCCAGTCTCCAAATCCTCCTAAAGTCCACCAGTCAGTATATCAGAAATCAAATCCTCCAAAAACCCAGCAGTCAGGACATCAGAAATGACAGCAACATGCCAGCTCATCCCTCCCAGCCACAGTTGGTTTGCATAGATGTTCCTGACACTGTCTGGCAGGGCAGGACCCTTGGGCTGTCTCCTGGGAGGTGTCCATCTAGGAGTTAATGCCAGGGTCTAGTCTGGTTTTTCATGTGGGAACGGACAGCCCATTTCTGATGACTGGTTGGCAAGGAACAGGGCCCAGCACTCCAGGGCTCGCTGTGAGCATTTGGAAGCTTGCAACTTGACAGTCACTTCATTTTCTTCAGTCTCAAAAGTCAAACCACTTTGCCCGATTTGTGAAACCCAAGGAGAGATTTACAATGAGCCAGACACAGACACTGAATTGTTTTCACCTCTAAATGCAGGATTTCTTTGCTGAAGCACACATAGCCAAACCGAGGACATCAAAGCTCCTCACAAAGGCAGCGCTGTGGGCGTCATCTTCAGGGACTGTGAGGAGCCAAAGGTGTGGAGGAGATACTACTCCGAGGCCAGCATGCCATTTTTACCAGGTTTTCCTGTCTCACCATCCTGTCATCAGAGCTTATCTTAAAAGGAATCAGTATGATCTACAGAGCTTTCACTGATGGGGGAAAGACAGGAACATGGAATTATGAGACACACAGACCAAAGAAACTGACCTCGCTTTTCAAAACAGACAGCCTCAGTAATTCCCTCGTTCAACAAAAACCCCTCATCTGAGGGTTTCCTCTGCAGAACACTGGGGGCTTTTGCATTCCCTTTTAAAAGGGAAACCAGTCAACTCTAATTGGCAACAGCACTCTGGTTCTTGGGATGCTGCCCCTCTGCCCACTTTCCAGGGAAGACTGGAAGAAAGAGCAACGCACTCTACTTTTTTCATCAGAGTAAGAGGTCTTCTCTTCTGTCTGGTGTTGACTCCTGCATCCTCTCTGCTGTGATCCACAGCCATATACGCCATTGCTTACAGACACCTCTGTCTCGTGGGTAAAGGGCATCCAGAGCCAGTGGTCCCCATCTTTGCTCTCTATGTGCTGGGAAGGGCTCCAGCATTGATTGCATTTACCAGCCTCGTCTTATGTGTGTGGAGACTGTGCTCCCAGAAGCAAGGTGATGCACATTTTACTGCCAGTCCCCTCTCCAAAACAGTGCTGTTGTCACAGTCAGAATCATTCCTGCTCTACTCAAAAGAACAAGAGTATTTTGCCCTCTTCAGGTTTCTGTGCTGGAAGGCCACCTCTCCCTTGCCGCTTCTGTGCCCCTTCAACACCCACCCATTGAGCCAACGGTTTCTACTACAATTACCTTTGCTATGGACTAAAAACTACTGTGGTGGTAACACACGGGTAGGCAACCTAACGATCTAGACCTAATTACATCTGAGGTTGAGTCCTGTCTGAGTAAGAGGTAACTCCCTCCTCTTTACCAGGCTTAACATCCAAAGTTCTCATGTCCAACGATAGCACAAAGGGGCAGCTGCCGTGGGGCTCTCAAACACCTGCACATTCCTGGTCTCGCTCCTGTTCTGTATGAACCAGAAATTGAACGGCCTTGGCTCTCTAGGGGTTAGGGGTCAGGAATCTGAAATTGTGCAAAGCCTGGGGGCCTGGATGACTGGCAGCTTTGGAAACACGATTTTTGAAATGTAACATCCAGCTCTTCAGAAAATCCCCGAGACTGGCCAAGAAAGTTCTGAGCTACCCTCCCTTCCCCTTTGTGGCGTCAATTTCTTGTATTAAAGTTGTACTAATTTTATTTTTTACCCATTATGAGGACTAACTAGGATGTGGCAATAAAAAAACTGGGGAGGGCGGGGAGTCCGGTCAACCGATTCCTCCGGAGGAAAACAGATGCTTTAATTCCCTGTCACTAGCATCTCAGCAAAGCCCATCTGAGCTCCTCTGTGGAGCAGGCTGTCTGGTCCTGCACAGCCCTCCTGATTTTGAAGACTGTGTCTGCAGCAGGCTGCTGGCTCAGAGCCTGTGACTTAGCCTCTGTGAGTGCAAAGTCATGGAAGCTTGAGTTCCTTCTCAAAGAGGGACCCACCCAGAACCAAAGGGGTTTCGGAGCTGGGATGGACCACAGACGCTTCCTTACATACTGACTCTTCCAACATTGAAATACAGATATCTGAAAAGTAAAGGTAATGGTCTCCAATATTAACGTTCTTGCAAGCCTCCTAAACAACTCAGCTTAAGAACTGAGGAGATAATCCTAGCCAAGGATGTCCTACCCTTAGGGCAAGATCTTAAACTTACATTGTATTTGGACATAGAAGGTTGTAATGGATGTACTGATAACTGTTCAGGTTACAAACATTCTTCTGCTACCCTGACATGGAAGCACACAAGTGGTTTTCCACTGGGTATATAACTTCCTGTGCGAGACCCTTCGGCTTTCTACTCTCTGGAGGGCAGAGCACTAGAGTATTCTCTGGATCTATTTCTGTCCTAGTGGCTCTCTACCTGTCTGCTCCGTTCATCTCTGGACACTAGATGTGCTGCCTGGATGGGCTCCTCCCTGCCCACTGGTTTACTTCCAGCCTTGTTAGAAACTCTTCTTTAGTCATTCTGAGCTGACACATGAGACTCACTGTGCCTCTTCATCCCTTGGCAAAACACATTGGCAGCCGCCCACACCATGCTGAGCACCCGTGGGTGAGGTGCCAGCCTTGCCCAGGGATGTCAGCATCCTTCTGCTGCCACTCCAGGGCTCACAGGGAATGGGCTGAATCTGTCCTCCAATCTGTTTATGGCAGCTGAATTTGTTATTGGAGTTATGTAATATAATTTGGTGTAGCTCTATGAAACATGAGCATTAGAAAAGAAGAGCTGTTTCTATGAAAACGAAGTTAAATCTTTGGAATAACTCAGTGGAGACCAGTCATTAAACAGCACTGCTGTCAAATTAGGTGTGGCTGAGACAAAAGTAAAATATTGAGGAAACATACAAATTTTAAAACAACTTCCCACTCAGATAAATGGGACAAGTTTCATCCTTCTTTAAAGAAACTCAAACTGGAAATTATATGCAATGAGCATGTTTTATGAAATAATCCACTTAGATCCTTCCATAGGCAGACCCTACTCAAAAAAATGCTTGGGCCATAATTAAAAGAATTAGCAAATGAATGCGCATTTGTGTCTTTTAAGTGAAAATAAATGTTTCAGGTATGTGTGTGCATTTTTTTTAAATAATTTTTCCCTCTATCTACTTTTTTCATCAGAGTAAGAGGTCTTCTCTTCTGTCTGGTATTGACACCTGCATCCTCTCTGCACTCCACAGCTGTATAAACCATTGCTTATAGACATCTCTGTCTGGTGGGTAATGGGCATTCAGACCCAGTGGTCCCCATCTTTGCACCCTCTTCCTTTCCTGTCACCTGCCCTTCCTGTCATCCTAGAAGTGGGATGCCCCTGGCTTCATCCTCCAGCCTTTTCCTGATCCCACCAAATCACACAGACTCGGCTTTCCAATTTTCCAGCAAAGCTACTCCCTCCTGTGTATCATTCATGTTGGCTGAGTCCAGGTTAACTTGATGTGTCAACATGTCTAGACTGCAGTAGACAAATATTTAGCTGAGCATTATTCTAGACATTTCTGTGAAAGCATATTTAGGTGAGATAAACATTCAAATCTGTAGACTTTGAGTAAAGTTGATGACCCCTGTAATGGGGGTGGAACTCATCCAGTCTGTTGAAGGCCTCAATAGAGGGAGGTATCCCCCAAAAAAGTCTGGGCTTCAGACTTGAACTGCAAAACTGCAACTCCTTCCTGGGCTTCTGGTCCACTGATCTGTCCTGCAGATTTTGGACTTGCCAGTCCCCACAATCACATAAGCCAATTCCTTAAAATAAATCTTCCTTTGTCTCTTGTCAGCTAAAGAAAAGGCAGGCTTTTAAAGAATTAGTTTTATTTCGAAGTCTTATAGATGATTGCAACCAGGAGAGCCTTTACCTCACACAGGCACATCCGCATATAATTGGTTCTGGTTCTTTGCAGAACTCCAATACAAGATCCCTGTCATTTTTCACAGGGATTGCTCCTTAATTGTCCCCTAGCTTCTAAGTCTGAGTTGATAAAAGCTAATCTCCACTCTGCTGCCAAGAAGAAGTATTTCCAGCGCGAACATGAACACACAACATTACTATAATATATGAAACACTCCATGGCTCCCCATTTCCCAGGGCACGGGGCTCACACACATGGACCTGTGGCCTCCATCCCCCACCTGTCTGAATGTCCACAAGCCCCAGTGTGCCAGAGGTTCTGGGAGTTCAAAGCTCCCAGGAAAGGGCCCCTCAGCTGTTAGAGTAAAGATGGGCTGTGTTGGCAAGATACCACAGGATGGCAAATCTCTGGTGTTGCTTCCTTTACGTCCAGACCTAACGGTTCATTTGGTCACACCAAGTACCTAACTAACATGTCTACTGGTTGCTTTTTTACCAAACGCTCAATTTGGCAGTCTTGCCCTATATGTGGCCCCTGCCTCAGCAATATAGTAAACTCTTTTTCCTTTTAAAGGAAAGGAACGCAAGCTCACTGCAAGCACACTGGAAAGGCATGGACAAGGACGGAAACACAGTTGCTCCCGATCTCAGGACAGAGAAGCCCCCTCTCATAGCATCCAAGCTCCAGGACAGACCTGCCCGCCTCAGCTCCTGAAACCCGGCCTGGGGTGCTCTCCAGCCAGCTCTTTTCTGACAGTGCTGAAAGGAGACATCATGATGCAGGGATGGCAAGAATGAAATCACATCTTTTAAGGGAATGAGAGAGACTGGTTTGCGGATCAAGAGGAAACAGCATGAAAGAGCTCTGAGGGCTTCATCCTGGGTAGGAAGCCACTTTGCCCACTGAATATTTTCTTCTCACACAAAGGACTTGCATGAGGGAACCGAGAAAGGAAACTGGGAACACACAGCCACAAGAGGCAGTGACTCCTAACTGTCCTCAGGTTCAATGCCACACCCATCGAACTAAGAATGTGCCAGCGCCATCATCAGAAAAATGTTAGGAATTACATCTCATAAACTAAAAAAGAGCTAGAAAACCGTGACACCATCAGAGCATCTTCCTGACACCTGCACCCAGGCCAGGAAATGGCCTGCCAAGGTGCCCTCCATCTCTGTGTCCTCCACTGGGTCCCCTAGACTCACAGGGTCACTGTGGCTTCCATTCCCATGAGATGCACTGCCTGTGCCTTGCCCTCCATCCACAGCATTCACTATGTTGAAGGGAATGAGGGAATGCCTGTTATCCCTGTCACAGACACCACGTGGGGCCCATGGGCCAGGCACCACAAGCCTGTGCACCCTGCCATACCCGATCAAGGGCCTCCCTGGACATTAACAATGGCTATGAAGAGGGATGACAAACAAATGTGTCCCAAGAAGGGGTGAACGTTAAGATAGGCTGTGCAGGAAGTCAACAGTGAAAGGTTATGGTGACAGCAGGGCAAGGAGGCCTTCAGTGTGGCAGGAATGAGGGCTGTTAGGACAGGGCCCGTGAAGACACTGGAGGAGGCAGTGGCAGGTCCTGGAGGGTCACGGAGGCCACACGACGGCATTTGGGCACCAAGCAAATGACAATGGAGAGCCATGGAAGGCTGGACTTGGAGAAGTGTCTATACTGGGTTTGTATTTTATTTTATATTTATTTTTTATTTTTAAAATTATTATTATTATTATTATTATTATTATTTGAGCTGGAGTCCCACTCTGTCACACAGGCTGGAGTGCAATGGCACAATCTCAGTTCACTGCAACCTCTGCCTCCCAGGGTTCAAGCCATTCTCCTGCCTCAGCCTCCCAAGTAGCTGGGATTACAGGCGTGCACCTCCATGCCCGGCTAATTTTTTGTATTTTTAGTAGAGATGGAATTTCTTCATGTTGGCCAGGCTGGTCTCAAACTCCTGACGTCAGGTGATCCACACCATTCAGCCTCTTAAAGGGCTGGGATTACAGGCGTGAGCCACTGCGTCTGGCCCAGGTTTGTGTTTTAGAAAGATCACTGCGACTGCAGAATGAATAAGACACTAGAGGAAGCTAGACTGTAGGTAGAAATTTCTACTCAAGTCTCCTGAGGCTGCAAGAGTGAGAGGCTGGTGGCTTGACTATGACCAGAGCCTCATTTCCATTAGAGAGGGCCATTCTGTCTGTCCACAGAATTTATGCTTTATAATTTGACATTTCATCAATGCCTCTGTGAAACTCACAGGACTGAGCACATGCAAAATACTAAACATTTGTTGACCAGTTGACAATGAACGTCACCCTCCTCAATTCACATATACAGAGCTATGTTATTTCCTAAATATAGTAACATCACTAGAAGTTTCCTTTTGGGCTCACCATAATGTACCTGTGTTTCAGCAGATTTGCTTTTGCCTGTGGATGTAGAAATCCATAAAGTTATAGCCAGGCACCAACAGGGCAACACAAATCAAAGTTCTTTGTGAAGTCTTGCCCTGGTCCATGACCCTGGCTGGCTGACTGCCCGAGGACAGCCTTTCTGTGTCTAAGGCCTTGTGGTGTGGGGGTGGGGGGGTGGGGAAGCCGTGGCTCTGCGGTCAGGATGCCTGGGTTCCAACCTCAGCTCCAACCTTGCCAGCTGGACGGCCTTCAGGAAATCACGGGACACCAATGTCTCCATTCTCTCCTCCGCAAAGGGGAGATGGTCACAGTAGCTTTTCTATGCAGTGCTGGGCAGGCTGGGAGGACTAGCAGACAGGAAGTGCTCGGGAAGGGCTGGCTGTGGTTATCATGATTTCATTCCTTTGTCTCTTCCTCATCCTGTCCCCTGCCTCTTCTCCTCCTCAACCCTCACCTGGGAAAGGGAGCTCATTCACATGTGGTCCACAGGATTCCAGACATTCAGTCCCTCAGCCTGTGTACAAGAGGGAAAGCCATGTTTTCCTATAGCAGTATTATTTTATACTTATTATATACATCCCTTCTGAAAATCAACAAAGACCTGACTGGTAAATACGAATTAAAAAAAAAATCACAGAGACACAGACATTAATTTTGTTGTATTGCCTCTCAGTGATTTTCCGGCATTGGTAAAAATGATGTCATGATATGGTCATCACATGGAACTATGTGATTTTGGAATATTTACTCTTATGAGAACTATTGAGAAATTTTAGAATTTCTAAAATTAGAAGAATGGGGAGGTTGAAAGAATGCAGAAAACAATGCTCCCAAGTGGTGGTAACTGTACTGGATGGATTTATTTATACCTAACGAAAAGAAAGTGAACGCCATCTCAGTGACGCCCGAAGAGCCCGCACAGGTGTTCTCCACCTCGTCTGGGGAGAGAATGAAAGCAAATGGTCACAGCGGGAAGAACAGGCCTTTCAGGTCCTACACAGTGAAAGTTTACAAGGGGAAAGAAAAGACTGCCAGTGCCTCTTACAAATCCTTCATTTCAAACAGAAAAATGATATTAAAAACTTGATTAACTCCCAAGAGAAGCTGCTGAAGCCCACTGCAGCATGGAAACAAGAATTTTAGCGCCTCTATTTTGTGCAACACCTTTTTTTTCTTTGAGATGGAGTTTCGCTCTCGTTGCCTAGGCTGGAGTACAAAGGCTCGGTCTCAGCTCACTGCAACCTCTGCCTCCCTGGTTCAAGTTCCCATCTCAGCCTCCTGAGTAGCTGGGATTACAGGTATGCACCACCACGTCCAGCTAATTTTTGTATTTTTAGTAGAGACAGGGTTTTACCATGTTGGTCAGGCTAGCCTCAAACTCCTGACCTCAGGTGATCCACCCATCTCGGCCTCCCAAAGTGCTGGGATTACACGCATGAGCCACCACGCCCGGCCTAGGCAACACCTTATTAACATTCCCAGGGGAGAAGTGGCCCTTCTGCCACAAAGTTCATGGACTGTGATCGTGAGACCACTGACTTCGTTTAGACATTTTAACAGCTGACTAGGAAATGTCTTCCTCATACAGTTTCGGTGAAAGCCAGCTGCAAGAACACAAGCTTGTGGGTTACACAGATTTGATGATTTCAGATCTGACTTGCTTCTTTACCTCAGGAGATTTTGCTATCCTGAAGACAAGCCATTTTCTTGAGAAAGGAAATATGTTTCCTAAATCGCTGAGAAGATAAATGTACTAAACAATACATCATCTAAGTCAATGAAAGATACTTGCATGCTAATAATGAGATGACCGTAGACTGAAACTAGGTTTAGGTTTTCTGAACTGCTTGGAAATTCTTGGCTGCCATGCCATTAACACTGCTATTTTGCCCTGATTGAAAGGTGATGTAGAGACAGCACTTTTGATTAAGACACTCATTTTGCTGGAGGATGCTTTCATCTAGCCCAAAAGTTGGCAAGTATCTTATTAAAGGGCCAGATAGTAAATATTTCAGGCCGGTGGAGATCTCTGCTGTGAGGACTCATCCCTGCTGCATCAGTGAGAAAACCACTGGAAACCCCATGTACATGAATAGGCCTGACTGTTCTGATGAAACCTTATTTACACAATCAGGTATGGCAGGCTGCACTTGGCTCACAGGCCATAGGTTGCCACCTGCTGATTTAACCAATTCTACTTATAAATAATCGAACTGGACATATCTGTAAAAACCAGAAAGCAACTAGTGTTTTTACAGCACCCAAGACACCTTACAAGATAGACCTGTTGGAGTTTGATACCTATGTTGAGCCTAGCTATCATGGATTACTAGGAGATTAGGACAAATGACCCCATTGTTGGGAATGTTAACAATGAAACAACAGCAATAACAACAAACAACAACAAGCCCACATATTAAAGCCTGAAGTTCTAACAAAATATTTGCAAATCTTAAAGGGGTGAAATGAAGCTTATGCAGACGGCTTCAAATATTGCAGTAAGTAAGAAAGCAAACCAGTCGCACCTTACATGTAGTGTATGAATTTGGTTATTAACAGCCACGCAGAATCAGTGCCCCTGGAGGACAAACCAAATGCTAGGCAGGGCACTAAGCTTTTTTTTCTATTATCTGTTGAGTGGTTTAATTTTCCCTGCAAACCAATGATGTGGACAGATGCTATTATTTCCTAAAAGTGAAGTGCAGAAAGGTGACATAAGTGGTGTGAGATGGAATTTACACCCAGGAAGCCCAGCTCCAGGGCCTGGACTCTCATGACCAGTTCTGGTTCCTTTTAAAGCACACATACACACCAAGTAACCCATTCACATGCATTAGCCCACTTAACAACCCTATGGGGCACTGCTGTTAGAATTTCATTTCATGAACGAGGAAGCTGAGGCTAGAGACACCGAGGACCCTGTCTGCAGCCACAGAGGTCGTTGATGGTCAGCATCATACAGCTGGAGTGGCAGGATCAGGAAGGGAGCCCAGTGAGCCTGGGTTCTTATCCACCATGCTGCATTGCTCCCAGATAAATACAATTTCTACAAGGCTGGCTTGTCAGCTGGAGAAAAATCTGACGTGAGTTTGTAATTTAATGTTCCTTAGCTCTAAAATGACCTAGAAAAAATGTATACATTTAGTAATTTTGTGGGCTTGAATATTTTAACTGGACAACGGCAATTTATGTGATGCCTATCTATTTTATACCCAGATAAGTAAAGAATTCATTACTCCTGGTAAAAGTTGTGTATTTCTACTTTCTGGCTGATTATCTACTCGGAGAAGTTTTCCGAAAATTCCTGAATGATTCAGTATTGAATCAGTGTCAAGTTATTCAGAGCCTCAGTCGTTCCAAACAGGTTTCCCTTAGTCATTATGCACATACAGATTATCTATAACATCTGAAATATCTTTTCCTGCCTCTCACCGGAGCCTTTTACGTGGCATTCTAGGGAAAGCCTACGTGTCTAACATGAATTTAAACATTTCATGAGTAACATAGGTTCATTTTTCTTTCTTTTGAAATGAATGACCTTCCCACGGGAGATGGTTTAATTCATTTCTCAAGGTGTGAAATGCAATTTAAATCACGGAGGATTCACTAGCAACTGTGTATGGGCTTCCGTTCTTCGGCTCTTCGTTTTCTTGGGAACACTGTCAGTTTCCCATTCTATTACAGACGTGAACCCTCCCCGCTGTGACGACTCCTTCCTTTTATGACAAGGATTTTAAAATGATGGCCTCCTTCCTCCTCTAGTTTCGGGCTTTTCTGGCATTTTCGCGTCAGGGTTTCTTGGATGTTCACTCTGAGACTAATACTTAGAAATGATCTTCTCCAGGCTCTTGAGCCGTTTTTCTGAGATTTTTTTCCAGGTGTCCTCCTGCAGCGAACCTGGATGCTTTGAGGCTGACCTGCAGCCGCACAGTTCCTAAGGCTCCTGAGCTCCACCAGTGCGTGGGCTGTGAGGGTCTGGGCCGAGCAGGACTGGCCAGTTAGGACCATCCACAAAGGTTTTATGTAAAGTCTTCAGTGACGGGGTCACCAGGAATCACCATAAATCTAATGGGTTTTAAGAAAGAAACCAAAGAAGCAGATTGAATCCATATTTTACACAAATCAAATCCGCAAGCAAGCTGACACCGTCCGTGAAATCAACATCAATATCCCGCCCGGAGCCTCAGGGACATTCTTTACTCTCAGGCAGTAAGAATATCTTGGTCACATCATTGGATCCAAGAACTCTCTACGTCGCTTTCTTAGTGGTTACCTTGCTCATGCTAAACAAAACTGGGAGTCGAATTTCCTTGCTTTTAAAGAAATTGGTGAAAGCAGTCAATGGCAACTGAATGATGAGGCATATGAGGTATAAGCCTCTGTAGATGGGTCTAGGCAAAGAATTGAAAAGTGAAGAGTTGAAATGACAGCAGACTCAGGAATACTGTCATTTCCACATAGGATTTGAATTTTTACAATGATTTGTAAGAATCTGTAAGTTTTATCTTTTAAGCTTTCAAATAGCTACCACGATGAGACTCAGGTGTGAAGGCATCACACGCTGCAGACAGTTTTTCTGGCCAATAGATGCTGCTGGGCCAGGGGTCTGCCAAGAGTATATGGCTAACATTTGACATTGGAGTCATCTTTCTTGATAAGTCTGGAACAATTCCATTCTCTGCAGGAAGGACTTCACACTGTGGCACTTTGAGAAGATTAATCAGCTCCAGGAAATGAATATATTGAGTAGGTAGAACAATATTTATGTAACCTCCTGGCTCCTGTTCCTTGAAACTACCTTTCTGATGCCTTCATTCTTCTTCAAGATACCTTCAGATTGTTATTTCTGATTTTCTTACTAAGTCTTAGGTACTCATTGGTTGAATCTTTTTCCCATCAAGTAGGTTCTATATGTTAGCACATACTAAAGGGTTATAAAAACTCTTTTTTTTTTTTTTTTTTTTTTTTTTGAGACGGAGTCTTGCTCCATCGCCCAGGCTGGAGTGCAGTGGCACTATCTCGGCTCACTGCAAACTCCACCTCCTGGGTTTGCATCATTCTCCTGCCTCAGCCTCCCAAGTAGCTGGGACTACAGGTGCTCGCCACCGCACCTGGGTAATTTTTTGTATTTTTAGTAGAGACGGGGTTTCACCGTGTTAGCCAGGATGGTCTCCATCTCCTGATCTTGTGATCTGCCCACCTCAGCCTCCCAAAGTGCTGGGATTACAGGCGTGAGCCACCTCACCTGGCTAAAAACTCTTTAAAATATTTAAATAATATTGTTAGATATTTAGTCAGCTAAATAATTAGTTAAACAACAATTACTGTTTCATTCTTTGGAATCAACTTCCAACTTCCAAATGTAAAGCTTTAGCCATTACATCACAAAACTTATCAAATGAATCATGTTGAAAATGTCATATTTATCTATTGCTCTTAAAAACATTGGTCCAGAAAACTAAGGGAATATGAGGAGGAATATACTGTACTGTATAATGAAATTAGCTGTATTATCATTGGCATAATTTATTGGTCTATGCTGCAAAAAGGCCTAATCATTCTGTGGTATTTATGTATATAAATACAGACATCAGAAAATACTCTATTTTAGATTTCAGTGGTTTCACATATGCTCAGTATTGTTACAATGAGTTGGGGGTAGAGAAAGGCTGTATTTAAAGACCTCATTCTCTAGTTCATCCCATTTAAATGGGAAAGCAGCCAACCCATGTAGCATTTATAATGATTCATTCCGAAGGGTCATATGTAGAACAGAGGAGCAGCATCTGGGTAGTTTAGGCAGTGTTGTGATGTCTTCCTTGAGATGCCACTATGATGCAAAGTCTACATACGCACAAGTCGCAACAGAGAATTGCATTAGCATTCACAAACTCAGGAAAGCACTGGGGAAATTCAATTATTTGAAGTAAAGAAAAGGTTCTACTGAAGAAGAAGAAGAAGTGAAGGCATCTGAAATGCTGATATTACTGGAGAGTTGAATGCAGATATCTAATATATGGTTTGTTGTGTATTATGAGTTAAAAGGCATTAAGTGGCCTTGAACAGACATTGAAAAATCTCATTGTCTTAAAGAAATCAACATCTATTGCAAGTCTCTGAACCATCTACAGTCAGATGATCCCTGCTGATTAATCCAATGTCCAAATCCCTCTAGTTTACAGAGTTCCTATAATACTAATAGCTAGTATTTAATGAGGTGCTTTACCTGCATGAAATTTTTAATTCTCACAACAAATCTGTGTGGTAGCTTTGATTATTGTGCACATTTCAGAGATTAATAAACAGGTGCAGAAATACTAACAAATGTGCCCAAGGCTTGCAGGAGCACGTCGTGGAGCCAGGATCCCAGCACAGACAGGCAGTCGGGGCTGCACCCGAGTTTGGAACATTGTGAGACCCACCATTCAGAGGTAGACTAAAGGCGCATCCCAGATGTGGGCACAGTGGCCACTGGGAGAGTGTGGCCACTGCCAGTGCTGAAGAAACCTTTCACAAGCATCCTTCACTGCAGGTGGAAAGGCAGCATGGTTTTCAGAGAGAAATAACGCTTCTGTTGGTCAACACACCAGATTCTGAGTTAATGTCTTTGGTATCTATAAGGCCATACAATTATTTGATGGGTGTGGACCACTCTTTGATAGCTTTATTTTTTTTAAAAAAACACATCTCTCTGAAACTTCTTTTTTATCTTAAACATCATGGTGGTCATTTTGGGAGAGATGGTGCAAGTGAGGTAGTACAGATTCCTTTTCCCCAAATCAAGTAAAGGCTGACAAACTGTGAACATCTCAAAAGAACCAAAACAAAAGCACTATTCTTGTTACAAGCCATTGGTATTGGTTCCATAAAGCACTCAGAATAAGTGCGCCAGAGGAACAAGGCCTGCAGCAGGGAGATCAGCTCCATTTTTGGTCTATAAATGACTTGTATGGAAATTCCCTGGTCAGAATGAGTTGGGAAAAAAGAAACCTCACATGGAACCTACAGAAAAATTACAAACCCCTCCCTACAAAAACACATATGTGAAAAGGGTATATGGCATTAAAATTTTAAAAATATTCTGGAAGAAGACCGACTTAAGCAAATCAATTTCACAAAACATGATTACACTGTCAGGTAACATAAGAGAGTGAGAATTCAATGAAGACACCAAGTGGAGAAAACAAGACAGAATTCTATTAACGAGCTGGCATGGAGCAACAGAGAAGCAGCAAGCAGCCAGGAAATCCAGGAGCAATCATCCTTCTGAACAACACTCCTGAGATGCTCACTCTCTGAGCAGGGAGATTATACCATCAAACTTGAGAATCAGAAAGCTATGGCACAGAAGGACTGGCAAGGCCACTGGATCCACTTACATAGACAATTCAACCTGAACAACTGTGGTGAAGATTGTAAAACAGAATTTACATGCATTACTATTGAAAGGTTAGAGGTACACAATATAAAATATTAAAGTGAAACTGAAATAAGGAAACTGCAAGCAATTATAACAAAGGTTGGAGCTTGAACTGAAATGAGAGGACTAGAAAATGAAAGAGGTAGAAATGTGCCAATAGCTTTATTTTGCCTGTGAAGGTCTTTATGGCTTTAGTTTAATTTGTAACATTAATCAATCAAGAAAGAGTGGCATAAGCAATGATTTTAAATTGTAGAGGCAACTATAGTAGTATTAGAAATATATGGTGTGTTTTCTAAATAACCAAAGGGTACAAAAAAGAAGACAGTCATATAGCAAAAGCTATAAAAGAAAAGTAAACATTAAAAAAGTTAAATAATTCAAATAAGAAGTAAACTTAGATTAAACAATATAAGACATCTTTTGAAAGGTAACACACAAATAATATCATAGACCAATCTTATGAAATGTATAAAAAATTATAAAGAAAATACTATTAAAGCCACCAGACCAGTAAAGAATACATAAAGATCAACTGGGGCTCATTACAGGAGTGCAAGGATGGTTTAATTACTCACACACCCCAAGCTTCATTCACCTAAGGTTATAGATTGAGGTGCACTTTTCTTCACAAATATAAAGTCATGACTGCTCACTTCTTTTGAGTGATGGAAATGTGCATGGGTTCAAGTGTTCTTCACTGATGGAGCTAACACAGTGTCATGTACATAAAGACACAGAGCATCAGTCAACACTCAGCATCCTCTGTGACTCTGTGATCCTGGGGTCTCGTGAGTTTACACCTTTTGCCTATTGAGCCCAGGATCCTGTGTGACTGGACAAGGCCAATCTTCTTGATAAAAGAAAAAGTCACCAAGGATTGGTAGACACAGAGCTTGAGGTGACAGAGTCCTGTGGGCTTTCTGGGGGGGAGGTGGGGGGAGGGGCATGGGTCTCTTCCTTGTGTTGTGTACAGATTGTCACAAACTTTAAAAAACACATTTGTCAACTTCTTTTCTTACAATTTCTCCAAGGCCACTATAGAATAGTTATGTAGGAGAAAAGCCATGAGCAAAAATTTAGTCATGCTGAGAAGATGGAAATAAGTGAATGTTTCCATAATCAGATAAAAAATTACAATGTAATATGTGATACATATCAAATAAGAGCCAGCACTTAATTGTGAAAATGCAGAAACATTCTAACTGAGATCAGGGACAGGAAAAAATACATTGTAGTATTGTTCTAGAAATATATGTCATTGCCTTTAAACTAAGGGCAGGGGTAAATAAGAGATATACACACTAGAGAGGGAAGCCAAAATTATCAGTATTGACTTATGATATTAAAATATATGATTATTGTTTGAAAAAATGTAAAAATATAAAATTTTAGGATCTGATTACACAATGAATGTTTTACTCTATAAAAATAATACTAAATAAAATATAAAATTTTATTTCCGATATTAATAAAAATTATTAAACATTATTAAGGAAAAAATAACTACACTTATATTCCCCTACATAAATAAATCTATAAACTGTTCTTGAAAAAAACAGTGACTAAAGTAAAAATTTTTTAAAATGGTTTCTGATAGGTAGCTTCCAAGTTTTTGAGTTTTCAACTTTGCCTAAATTTATCTAATAATACAATGTAATCCCAACCAAAATTTCAGAAAGATTATTTTTTATTTTTAAACTTGACAACAAGAATATATATTTCTTCTGGGAAAAACATTCAGGAAGAGCCCTAAACCTTCTAAGAAAGACAAGTGTTGAGAGGTGGGCTTTCCCTGTTGGGGAGTAAGCTTTAGGAACCACTGCAGGGATGAAACAGTGGGGAGGAGAAGCCAGCGCCACAGGGAAGGGCGGGGAAGGACAGTCAGGCTTTGTGAACCGCATGTGGATTTAAGTGAGGAGAGGGCTGGCCTTCCAACTCAATGCAGAGAAAATGAATTTTTCAATAAATGTTGTTGGTACAGATTGGTAGGCATTGGAAGAATAACTGGGAACCTTACACTTCATTCCTTATGTCAAAATAAATCTCATTTTGGTCAAAATCAAATTCAAAGTAATCAAAATGTTTGAAGAGAATATGAGTAAATATTTCATAATATTAGAGTATTAAAAACTTTCTAAATGTGTCATGTAAACAAGAATCTATTAAGGGAAACTCCATTACAGAACACAAATATAATGTGTAACAGCCACAAATCAATGTGTCTGGCAAGATGCTACAATGAACGGCCATGATCACTACCCAGAGCGTGACAGTTATGCATCAAGGACCAAACAGTTTATCTCCCAAACCAGCCACTCATGAGGGTCGGAGGCTGCTAGCCAACAAAGGCTCAACGGGTGAGCATATACTACTGTTCTGAGCAAACCAATGCATTATCACACTCATCATCATAATGCAGTAACTTGTCACGTTATTACACTCATCATGAGGGCCTTCGTTTTCTGTATTTTGTATACACCCACTCAAACACACATTATTCACTTTTATCACACACAGATATGTGTCTGTATTTACATATTTTCCTAATACACACATACACACACGAAAAATTAATAAGGTAAAAATAAGAGTCTGTGAAATACACTTTCATATGGAGTCATTTACATTCATTGCCTATAAACCACCCAATAGGGTAGTGGATTAAGCATGTCCCTGGTATTTTTCTCACTCTACAATCCCCAGTGGCCAACTCCCCAGTCTCTGCATCTACACATGTTTTAAATACAAAATTTATGGCCTGGTTTGGGAGATAAACTGTTTGGTCCTCAGGGCATAACCTTCACGCTCTGTGTAGCAATCATGGGATTTTGTTGTAGCATCTTGCCAGACACACTGATTTGTTGCTGTTACACATTATATTTGTGTTATGCAATGAAGTTTCCCTTAATAGATTCTTGTTTACATGATATACTTATAAAGTTTTTAATACTCTAATATTATGAAATATTTACTCATATTCTCTTCAAACATTTTGATTACTTTAAATTTGATTTTGATCAAAATGAGATTTATTTTGATATAAGGAACGAAGTGTTAAAATACATGTTTTAATACAAAAGTTTTAAAAACCTTTTATCATCATCATAAGCGCTATTATCTATTATCTGAGTGGATCCTGGAGGTTTTGTGAGGCCTGGAGCTTATGTAACTTAGGGCTACCCCTTGTAAGAAGAGTATTTTCAAAATTAGGAACTTGCGATTAGAAGAGCCTTAAAGCTTCAGCTTTCTTGGCTTCATGTGATGCTCTCCTCCCCAGTAATTACTATCATTTCTGCACTGACACTCCAGTTGTATTCCCTGGACATTTCTGCTTCTCTTTTTAAAGAACTGTCATTATTTAGCATCCAATGGTGAATATTGCTGGCTAGAAGGAAAATAACTGGATTAACATTTTCTACTATAATTCAGTATGTTTATCAAACATGAAGAGATAGGGTAGAGCAAACAGCTGCGCTGGTTTGCTTGGGCCTGAGAGGGTTCCCAGACTTGGGATTTCCAGTTGTAAAACCAGAACAGTTCTGAGCAACGTGGGATGAGTAGGTTCCCCTAGAGGTAATTTACTTTATTTTCTTCTCAATATATTTAATTATAGGCTTATATCATTTTTTCCATATTTCAATTGCTTTAACTTCAATTTATTATTGCTAATTGTTATAATGAATGTCTTATGACTAATTAGGTGGCGCTTTAAGCAACAATAGAATTCCGTTACTCAACAGATAGGTTTAGCATGTACTAAACCTCTCCACCACCATCCCCAATTCTAAGGAAGGCCAGGAAGGAGGTTCCCATTGCAGAGACTGACTTGGGGATACCAACCTCAGCCAGAGGTGTTTAAACGGGAAATTCCAAGACACTTTCCCAACCTTGTCTCTGTGCTTCAGAGTACTAGGCACACATGTTGATGCACCCCTGGAATACAAACACACCTCCAACTAAGTAGTCATAAGACACACAACTTACAACTAAGTAGTCATAAGATGTTCATTGTAATAATTAGCAATAATAAATTGAAACACACACACCCCTCCATTGTCCTTCACTCCGCCACAGGATCCTTCTCTAGAGAAATGGATGAACCTGGAGGAAATAATTTGGGAGGTGGCAAGGCAGAAATAAAAGGCTTCCTGCCCAGCCATTGATGAAGGAGTCTCTCAACACTGAGAACATCTAAGTAAAGTCTTGGTGACTCAGTCTTAACGTGCCTGGATTCAGGATTCAGGATTCAGGATTCAGTTCAGGATTATTAGATATTTATGGAAGATATCAACACACACAAAAAAGGAGCAAAATCTACCACTCAGACACTGGAAGGATTGTGGAGGAAAAATACTCTACAGATAAAAATACTTTACAGAAGACAAAGAGAAGAGTAGAGAAAGAAAAGAAAGAACAAAATGAAAGAAAAAAAGAAAGAAGGAAAGAAGGAAGGAAGGAAAAAGAAAGAAAGAAAGAAAAAGAGAAATAAAGAAAGAAAAGAAAAGAAAGAAGGAAGGAAGGAAGGGAGGGAGGGAAGGAAAATAAACAACTCTAGTATCTTTATAGAGAAACAAGTAGAGCAGGATGCCTTAAAAGAGAAGAAACAAAGACCAAAAAATAAAATGAGCATTTGAAAATATGAAGGAGGGTAATCAGGTATAAAACAAGCAAACAAACAAAAGCAAAACAAAAAGCAGAAAACCTGGAAGATAAAATTCAAAAAAACTTCCAAGATAAAAAGACAAAGAGATGGACATCTGAAAAGAAAACACAAGAACATCATAACATTTGTCTACTGTGTTAGAGTTCAGAAGGCAAGAGCATAAACAAATGAAGGAGAGTATTAATAAAATCTTTTTTCCCCAAATTGAAAAGAACCACTGTGGACTCAGCAAATGAGTGAAAATACCAAGCCATTAAAGCACGTAAGAGACCAGGAATAAGTAAAAGTCCCTAAAGCTTCCAGAAAGGGGAGAGGAAAATGAAAAAAAGACAGTTTCCAAATGAAGGACTGGGGATTAGAGGAACAATGGACTTCTCAGTAGCCACAGTGGATGGGAGTCAAGGACATTACGCTAAAACTCCTGGGGAAAGTGACTTCCACCCCAGAATCCTGTTCTCTAACTCTTTGTTAGCTGAGAAGCCTTGGAGGCAGTCAGAAGATTGCTTCTGTGTTTCCCACAGACAGACAATGCCTGGCATCCACAAACAGGGTGTTCAGCATGGCAGAGACACACAGGAAGCTCCAGCAGGGTGACAGGCCTGGGCTGGAACAAGGAGGGCAGCACTGGGAATGAGGAGTGCAGGGAAAAAGGGATGGAGAGATTGGCCTGTGTGGGGGAAATAGAGCGTGGACATTTCACATGCTCACCTCCTCCTAACCTTTGTTCAAATGGCACTTTCTATTCAGTCTACCTACAACCTGCACCCCCTTCTTTTGGAATTCTAATCTCCCTTTCTCCCTTCGTTTTGTTTTTTTTGTTTGTTTGGTTGGTTTTTTATTGGTTTTTTCCCCCTTTTTTTCATTTTTATCCATGACACTTATCACTTTCTAAAATGTGCTATCATTTAAAATACATTATGTTTATAAACATCTATAAATAAACAAAAAGAGAAATAAACATAAAGTCTAAGCATATGGTCTAAATAAACACTGTATCTATTGTTGACTCTGTCACCCCCAACTTAAACACATGCTCCTCCAGGACAGGGAGCTTTGTCTGTTTATTCACTAAGGTGTCCCAAGGGCCTGACACATAGTAGACACTCAATTATATTTGTTAAATGAATCCATGAAGTTGATATATCTTTTGGAATTTATATAACAAACCTAAGCAAACAAAAGTCAGGCAATCATTAGCTTCTAGACAAATAACATTTTATACATGTAAGAAGATAGAATCAGGGAGCTCTGCTTAGCTAGCAACAATAATAAGGAGTGATGACAATGAGTAACCATGGGCTCTAATCACATAAGCAGGACGGAGGGACACGAATTTGGTGGTAAGAGAGCTGAGTGATATAAAACTGATAAAAGGTGCCACAAAAAGGCCAAGTCCTCACCTGCAATGGATAATAGGATAATCTTTAAAATCAATAAATAGAAACCGGCTATCATGCATGTTATTTCCAAATATCAGAATACCAGAATGGAGAACCAAAGTCACTGGAATTCTTGGCACCGGGTCATTGAGGTTGGAGATGGGTGAGTGGCTGGGGCAGGGAGCTGTGACTTCTCATAGATGGCTTTAAAGTACAATACAATGAAGGGTTTAAACAATGTTCACGTGGTCACTAAGTAATAAGTTCACTGAAATAATAGATGTCAGAAACAAAAACCTACATTTAGTTTAAATGTTCAATTTTAACAATTTAAACAGATTCTTCTCTTTACTTCTCTTTAGTCTTTTTTTTCTTTTTTTTAAGACAGAGTCTTGTTCTGTTACTTAGGCTGGAGGACAGTGGCATGATCATAGCTCACTGCACCCTTGACCTCCCAGGTGCAAACAATCCTCCTGCCTCAGCCTCCTGAGTAGCTAGGACTATAGGTGCATGCTATCACACCTGGCTAATTTTTAAAATTATTACTATTTGTGTAGATGGGGTCTTACTGTGTTGCCCAGGCTGGTTTCAAACTCCTATCTCAAGCGATCCTCCGGCCTCACCCTTCTACAGTGCTAGAATTACAGGGGTGAGCCGCCACACCCAGCTTAGTCTTTGTAAATTAAGGAAATATATCATAAATGCATCAAAACAATGAAAAAGCCCTAATTATTGGAATTTCATTTGGCGTAAAAGTAAAATCAGACTCTGGGACAATGTGGGTGGCTGGAGCTGAGAGAGGAATTCTTGCATGGATTCTTGCCTTGCATTGGATCCAGACAAACCCATGCATTCTAGGAGACTGTGGTCTTCCTTTATGATGACTGCAATCATTTCAAACCTTGAAATGATTCTGTGCGTTCACTGGTCAGCCTGGTGAGCAAGCGCCCCTCTCTAGCACGTTGGCCCTATAGCTCAGGGGCCATTTCCAAACCATGTAGTCCGTGGCAGGTGTTGGGCTGTCTGTCACTCAGTAAGTATCTGCCGAGTAACTGAACACATGCTGTAGTATATATTATCTCCCTGATAAAAGCTGTCTTGGTGAATGGGGAGGAAGCCTGGTTTTCTTCTGTGATGCGGCTGAAGCATCTGTCCTTCCACTGACATTTGACTATTCTTTTAAATTACCTTAGCAAACCTCATGCTGGGAGACAGCGTAAGGGGGAGATTTCAATCCAACTCTGTCATTGAAAATCACAAATTCTAAATTAGTGACATCTTCATAGGTTTCATGTCCAACACATTTAGCATCTGCGATTTTCAGAATCAAAGCATGGTTTAAAAGACTGCAATGTTTCGCCATGTTTTCTTTAACAGAGTGCAGTGCTTTCGAAAACGAGGCCTCGGTGAGTATCTTGAAAGAAATCGTGACACTAAAACATATTTATTCTTAATAAACACAGGGTTAATGAAGATTTTTTTTTTCATTTTCCTTCATTTTGTTTTGTTTCTTGTTTTTGGCAAGAAAAAAGAGAAAAACGAGGCTAGTGGTCACACTCTGAGGGAGATGTTCTCTTTCCGGGGCCAGTTGTGCTGGGTCCTGTTTCTGGGCTCAACAGTCCTGGCTGACCCCACTCCAAATGCAAGCAGCCCCACTGTGTGAATCAGCGATGCCTTCTCTCCTGCTCGCTGGCCCAGCCTCCCCAGAGACTGTCCATGCTAGTGTGTCTGCTGCGTAGCGCCTGGCTCTCGGCCTGCTGCTTTCCAACACCCCTTGAAGAATGTGCACAGAAAATCTAGGAACTCTGCATCATAGGTCTGCAAAAAGATTTAATCTTCAGTTTAAGCTCACTTCGCTCTTTGTATAAATTCCTTATTCCTCAGAGTTTTAAGATAATCTTGTGTGAGTAATCCTGGATATCTAGCAAGTTACAGTAATTTACACTCGGGTCTGTCTTATCTATTTTAAATCAGAAAGTGGTGGTCTTATAGAAGAATATATCACTTCCAGCAGTAGTAGAAATAGAAGAGAATAAAGACAATTCTACAGATTCGTTAGAAATGAGCAGAGACATGAAACGGTAAGATGAAGAAAAGAAGACATGGTAAGTAGAAGACATACAATAAATTGGTGGACCTAAATCCAAATATAACCACACTCCATAAGAAGAGATTCAGCTTATGTTAAAAGAAAAGATAGGTTTGGCCGGGCACTGTGGCTCACACCTGTAATCCCAGCAGTTTGGGAGGCCAAGATGGGTGGATCACCTGAGGTCAGGAGTTCAAGACCAGCCTGACCAACATGGCAAAACCCCTTCTCTACTAAAAATACAAAAATCAGCTGAGCATGATGGTGCATGCCTGTAATCCCAGCTACTCGGGAGGCTGAGACAGGAGAATTGCTTGAACCTGGGTGATGTTGGTTGCGGTGAGCTGATTGCACCACTGCACTCCAGCCTGGGTGACAGAGTACGACGCCGTCTTAAAAAAAAAAAAAATAGATTCTTCATTTGATAAAATTAAAATTCAGCAGAATATTATTTACTAAAGACATAGGTAAACCCAATGACACAAACATTTAAAAATAAAAATAATTAAGAAATGTAAGCCGAGTCAAAAAATAATAATAAATGGAGCTGGTGCCCGTAGTGTTAATTTCAGACAAAATAAATCATAAATTGGAAAGCAAGATCAGAAATAAGGATGGTCATTACTTAATAACAAAAGAACAATTTATGCAGAAACTATAACTATCTAACAATACAAAGTGGAATTTTAAAGTCAATTGTAAAGTAAAACTAAGAGAAAAAATGGAAAAACAATCAATCATAATGTGAAATTTTAATAGACTTCTCTCAGAAGCAGAGAAAGTAGACAAACATAAGAACATAACAGATTTAAATAAATAACTATGGAATTTGATCTAGTTGTCATATGAATAACCCTATTCAGAACACATTCCTTGATTCTCACGGGAAATATTTATAACAAACTCCCATTGTTAAGCCATAAAGGAAGTCTCAAAAATGCCAAAAATAAGATAACTTTAAAACTTCCTTTGATTTCAATATAAGAACACTTTAAATAACAGAAAAAAATGTACCCTGAAGCTTCCATACATTTGGAAATATAGAACCACAATTCTAAATTATTGATGGGTCAGAGAATAGAGCAATGGTGCCTAATTGTATCTAAAAACAATATATTGTGTTCTTCCCTCCAACCCCAGAACCTTGATTCTGAATGAAGCTTGCACTTTTCAGCAAATATTTCAGGAAGCACTTATGAGCACATTTGCAGTAATTGCATGGACATAGATAGAGATTTGTAATGCAAGCTATCTATTCTATCTATCCACCAGTTTGTTTTGCATTCTCATTCCAAAATATTTGAAGCATGTGCCACGGTTTTAATTATTAGGGGACAGTTACGCTGAGTGTGGGAAATCTTAGTGAATTTTAGAGCCAACCACACTGAGTCCCAGAAAACAGAAATGAAAAATTTAATGATTTAACCTAAATAACCAGCTAAGTTTCCTGAAAACCAGAAGTATTCTTTAGTTCACAAGGTATCTTTCTGCCCTTTCTTATATGGATGATATACATATATGTGTATATATATATATCTGTGTGTGCATGTGTGTGTATGCATATATATGTGTATATATATGTATATATGTATATATATACACATATACACACATGCACACACATATAAAATACTAAAAATGTACTAAAAGTAAAGCAACCAAGATGTCCTTAAGCAGGTGACTGGATAAATAAACCTGGTGCATCCAGACAATAAAATGTTATCCAATGCTAAGAAAAAATGAGCTACAAAAAGACATGGAGGAAACTTACACGCATGTGACTAAGTGAAAGAAGCCAATCTGAAGAGGTTGCATGCTGTATGATTCCAACTATATGACATTCTGGAAAAGGCAACACTGTGGAGACAGTAAATAGGGCAGCGGTTGCCAGGGGTTGGTCGGGAGGGAGGATGAACAGGCAGAGCATGGAGGATCTGCAGGGCAGTGAAGCTCCCCTATATTATACTATCATGGTGGATTGATGTCAGAATACATTTGTCCAGACCCACAGCATGTATGACACTAAGAGTGAGCGCCCATGTAAACTATGGACTTGGGTGATAGGGATGTGTCCATGTGGGCTCACAAATTTTTACAAATGGAGCACGCCGGTGGGGAATGTTGATGGTGGGGAAGGGTGGACGAGTGTGGGCCTAGGAAATATATGGGAATGTTCTACTTTCTGCTTAATGTTGCCATGAAATGAAGCAAAAACTGCTGGAAAAAAAGGTCTTTAAAAATAAGTAAATAAAACAAAACACATACACATACAACACAATGAAAATCAAGCAAACAAAATATAAAAACTCAAAGTACAAAATACCTTACAGGACTACTTAAGGCACATTTCTAGATGTACAATGACATATTCAAATTCAGAAAGTTAATGTTGTATCCCCACTGCTTCTGCAATGGTTTCTATGTTCCTTTTCAGTGTTTCATGAAATAAGTTCAATTAGTCTGGCTTACGGTTTATTGTGTTTGTCTATAGTTATCACTTGACTTTCATTAGAGACGTATGCAGGCCAATGTCTGTACCTGCTTAAATACATTTCAAGCTCATTGTTTTGGTGCAAAGTCACATTTTCCCCAGGGGAGACACAGTAAGGTGTCATCTTTTATACCTCAGAATCAGCACATTGAGGTGATCAGACAGTTTCAAGCCACGGCATTCCTACCTGATCTGGTGACGTCACACTGTAGCTGAACAGCTCCCTAACAGTGTTTATCTTTTATTTCATACATTTATTTATTTATTGAGACAGGTTTTCACTCTGTGGCCCAGGCTGGAGTGCAGTGGTGCCATCAGGGCAACCTCTGCCTCCTGGGCTCAAGTGATCCTCCCACCTCTCCCTCCCAAGTAGTTGAGAGCACAGGCGTGTGCCACCACATCAGCTAAGTTTTTTGTATTTTTGGTAGAGCTGAAGTTTCACCATGTTGCCCAGGCAGGCTGGTCTCGAACTCCTGAGCTCAAGCCGTCCACTTGCCCCAAAGTGCTGGGATTACAGGCGTGAGTCACTGGGCCAGGCCCAGCACTCATTCTGGAGGGGCCATAGCACTTCTGGTTTCCCTGATTAGACTGAGATTGGTTAGATGTCTTTGCAAAGGGCACAGTGGAGGGCAAACAGGTACCCAAAGACGATCAGGTGGGCCTCAGCACGGTGGCTTCTGTGGGTGAGACACACAGTCCCGTGTCCACCCCACTGGGCTCTCTCTCAGCAGAGAGGGCAAACCTTGGGATCTACAGAACAAAGCTCTAATGACTCTGGAAGGGCCCCTCATGGTTACTTCTTCCCCCTGCAAGTACTCCAAAGTTGAGTAAAACTGGCTCTCATTCCAGAAGCACAAAGAAAGTAACTGCAGAGAGCCACTGCCTGCGGACCTTGGAGGCTCACACCCATGATCTGACAACAGTATAGAATGGCTTCTTGAACTCAAGTAATGAATGCATAGTAGATTTGCTAAAACACCAAGCATTCTAATACAATCCCCAAATATTCCAGAAAGCCATGTTGACACAGAAGTGGGGCTGCCTGCCACCCTGACTGTGCCGTTCGTGGGCCCCAGTGCAAAACAAATGTGCCAGGCCCCTTGTTAAAAATCCTTTGGGGCCGGGGGCAGTGGCTCACGCCTGTAATCCCAGCACTTTGGGAGGCCGAGGCAGGCGGATCACCAGGTCAGGAGATCGAGACCATCCTGGCTAACACAGTGAAACCCCATCTCTACTAAAAATACAAAAAAAAAATTAGCCAGGCGTAGTGGCGGGTGCCTGTAGTCCCAGCTACTCAGGAGGTTGAGGCAGGAGAATGGTGTGAACTCGGGAGGCGGCGCTTGCAGTGAGCCGAGATTGCGCCACTGCACTCCAGCCTGGGTGACAGAGCAAGACTCCATCTCAAAAAAAAAAAAAAAAAAATCCTTTGGAATTTCATATCAGCAACAGCCGAGAATAAAACTACACAGGAGGCTCCTCTGAGCAGGGAGCACTGGAGGCTGCGCAGGTCTCACTCCCAGGAAGCCCATCCTGCTGCTTGGGAACGCTCAGCTACTTAGATAATTAAATGAACCGAGATGTTCACTTCTCCAGCATTCCTGTGAGCAAAACCCTCTCCTACACAAACACCACCTAAGCAACCAGATTTCTTTTCATTCCCTTGGTAACGGGTGCATTACTGGGTGATTAGTATTTTCACGGCCTCAGATCGAAAAGAGATAAGCAACTACAGAAAAGGAAATTGCTCCCCCCTTTTCATTGCAAGTGTTTCTATAGGAGAGCAGTGGAAATAAAGCTGCCCTGCTGAGCCTTATCTTTCATTTCTAGAGTGTGCAACCAGCAGGCAGAGCTACGGACCCATGTATCTTGGTTGTAAAAGGAATTATTCCACTAATGGGTTTGTATAAGCAAGAAGAATAAGCCATCCAAATATCAAGTGGAGACGGGGCTACAGAGAAAACAAAGCATTTGATCACGATATGTGATCCAGACTCTTACTCGGCGTTATCTAGACTCTTACTTGGCATCCCTAGAAGAGTCCTGAAAACAGAGGGGAAGTCTCCATTTACCATCTGGAAAGCATTTCCTCTTGTATCTTCAATCCCCTGTCCTGGCAGGTGTGTGATTAGTGTTAATGCTTAGAAAACGAGAGTTAAGATGAATGACCCGAAGAGCCACTCCATTTAGATAAACTGAGAAGTATAAAGGGAATAAATATTTGTGTGATTTATCATCCATGTTTCAAAAGCAAGTGATAAAAAGGCCTGATTCATGCTAGAATGCAGATGGGGGCGGGGCAGCCGCGGGAGGGCCGTAGGCTGCTTGTCTGGGCAGTGCCCGCGCAGGGAGGAGCCTCCGTGTGAGGGAGGAGCGGGAGGAGCGGAAGGAGCGGGAGCCACAGGCTGCACAGCTCCCCGGTCCTGGAGGAGCCACTGGGAATTGCTGATGCCTGTTATTTCTCCAGGATACTCCTGCTGGCCGAGGCTGCACAGCCATTTTAAGAGAATCTCCAGCAAGAAGACTTCTAGACACCCAACACCCTGCCCCCTGCAGAGATTTAGGACTTAGGGGATCCCATCTGGCAATGCAATTGCAGGAGCCTGCAAGGCTGCAGGACGGCCTCTGGGTGCTGAGGAGGAGGCTGGGGCTCCAGCCAGCACAGCAGGTTTCCTTTTTCATTTAAGTTAAAAGTGATAAGGCTGTGGATTAAGATGTTTTACAGGTTCCACCCCTCAATCCTTGTGGAACCCTCCTTCAAGTTGAACATGAAACATCAGATCACACCCCACTGAGCCCCACTTAGTGTCAGACAGAGCACGAACTGTGGGGAAGGAGAGTGCGGCTTATTCCCTCGGGGCTGTGGCTCCAGCTTTGCCAGGCTGCTGAGGACAGAGCTCGGAGTACCTGCAGCCTAGAGGCCAGGGAAGCCTCTCAGGGAGGCAGAATTCAGTAAGAAAGATGCACACTCCATCCTCAGAGAAACGGAACATGGGTTTCCTGAACATTTAATCAGGAACAAAAAATTGTTAGTATCCAGGACATAATAGAAATATATTTTGCATTTCAGAAGAAAAGTAAAGCAACATTTTAAATTAAAATCTATGTTCCCAACTCAATTGTTAAAATCATACAATGAAACAACAATCCCCAAGGGTTGACATATGCCATGTAGGTCCATTATTCTGTGTTTTTGCCATGGATAGTTTTGCTTTATAGACTAAATTCATAACTGTTGTGAATTTCTTTCTCCTTTTACAGCAACAATAATCATAGCCAAGATTTAGTGAGTGTTTATCACACCTGAGAGCATTTACGTGGAATCCTCACCTTATCCTAGGAGACAGGAGACCTGGATCATGCCCGAAGTGGGGAAGGCAGGGTCGAGCCCAGGGAGGCAGGCAGTGTCACGGCTGCACCTTTGACAAGGTGCAATGCCGCCCAGCGCCTTTGTCTGACTCTGGCCCATGGACATAACCCATGGCAACCAGACCACTCCATAGAAAGAATTCCAGTGCAGGAGAGTTGTGGGAAGGGAGCCTGGAGATCTTGTTTCTCCTGTGAGACAGAAATTTACTAAGCTCCATGTGCGATCAGGCCCTGGCTATTTGTGGGCGATGGACGGGGAGATCCACTTGGTTCTCCTTAAGATTCTCCCAGGCAGGAAAGCATGGCATTGGGTTCACAGAGAGGCTTCTGTATTGTCTCAAAGTTTCCCCTTTCAGAGGGCAATATGAACATTCCAAAATAGGAGGTCCACATGTCAAAGGGTGCCATCGGATGGAGGGCTCCAGGGTTGACTGAAGTGGATTTGGGGCAGCCTCAGTCTCATGTTTCTACTTGCTGTAGGACACATCAGCTCCAGCTTCCCCTAGACTGGCCCTCTGCTGCTGAACTGCACCTTTTCTTCCAGCACACAGTGCTCTTGACAGCATGTGTGTATTAAACCGTGTTTGAGAGAGTCAAGTGTAGAAGATAGGACACAGCAGAACGCAGGGATGTCTTCAGCTCCAAATCTCTCAATACCAGAAAGACCAAGCGTAGAGAGGTGGAGGCAGAGGAGACCCAGCCAGAAAAACAACAGGAACCACTGGGCGAAATGGGTCACTTATATGGAAAAAATAGTAACTTCCAAAGGCTCCTCTAGAGGCTCGGGACCATCTGCCCTTTGTGATGGGAGGGAGGGCAGAGCAGCGGGGTTGGAGGCACAGGGAGATTCTGGCAAGAGGAAGGGCTGGTCATTGCTTCCTTCTCTTTAGTCTGAGGTCCCAGGTGGAGAGTGTGGGGCAGGGAGATGGAGGAGATTGCAGGTGATGTGAACTCAATGTCCTGGGAGGTGGGGAGCAAATGACCCAGGGGCAGGTGTAAGGATTGTGTACCATCCTTGGGTGACCACACTTTTAGAGTGATAACATGGGATTTTGGGGGTAGCATTTACTGCTGAGCTCCATGTGCACAGTGGGTCAAGAGTTGGGGGTATCCAGGCTGAGGTGACCAGGGTAGTATAGGGGAGCGAGGGTGAAGCAAGGCAGCTCAGGTGCTGGTGAGGGGAGGGTTCCAGCACTGCCACAGCCTCTGGCCTGGGTGGGGGCTCCGGGGTCCTGGGCAGTGAGCGGTGGGACGATCAGCCATGCAGTGAGACAGAAGGACAACTTCAGTGTGGATCTTGAAGCATAGGAGCTGCATGACAAGAGGCATGGCCTGTCTGGAGAGGGGTGTTAAGGACCGAGAGGTCACAGGTGAGGTGTGTATGAGCTCAGAATGTGGCTGAGCTGCACCAACTAGACCCAGCAGGCATGGCTTAACAAGGGAGGGAGCGGTTCCCTTTGTGCGAGTCTGAGCTGGTGGGCAGTTGTGGGGTCGGGGAGCGCAGTCCTTCTCCAGGTCACCAGGCTCGACTACCTCCGTCTTGGCCCTCTACTCCCCTAGAAGGTGACCCCTGCCTGAGGGGCTGCAGCTGCTCACTAAGGCCAGGACCTGCTGCAGCCACAGAGGTGGGCAGAGAAAGAGGAAGGAGCAGCTGCCTCTTGAGGGCTTAGCATGGAGGGCATAGGCTCACATCCCATGGGCCAGACCTTAGCCTGGGAGGACAGAAATAGTGTCCAGTCGGGATCCCTGTGCAGGTGGATGTATGCAGTGTATGGGGCAGCGGCTTCTATTAACAAAGACGGGAAGGAGAAATGGACCTTGAGGGATACCTCTGGGCAGTTATTGTTGATGGCAGGCGTGAGAGACCGAATCAGGGGAGACCATTTGATGGACAGTCAAGGAACAGAGAGGTAGGTGCGTTGGAAGGATCCCACGGGTGGATTTAATGTTGACAAACTGACCACAGCAGTAGCAGTCGCAGTTGCAGTAGCTGTGGTGACCGAGCGTCTGATGAGACCTTCGTCTGCAGTGCTACGTACGGTGAGTCAAGGATACCGCAAATGCTCCTATCTTGGGGTCCTCCCAGGGGAGCTCCTGAAGGAGGCTGACGTGAGGCAGATACTTTACATGGGAGATACGTGGGAACATACAAATGTGGTTTAGATGTATTAAGGAACAGTTGATTCCAGAAGCTTTGTGATGTCTGAGTAGTGCCTATTTCTCAATGGTGGCAATCCAGACAGGATCTGTCAAGCTTCTCTACAGAACAGCCCCAAGGGAGAGTGGGGTCACAGAGCTTATAATCTTGGGATGTGACTGCACACATTTTCTTTTTGTCATCTCACAGCCAGGCAAACTGAGGCATAAAGAGGTGCAGCCACTTCCCCAAGGCCACACCGCAAGCCTGAAGTGTCTCTTCCTGGCCTAATGGGACCATGGTTCATCCGTGTCTCCTACGAACACCTATTAAGGTCCCACGTGAGCCAGGCACGATTCTCATCCATTGGGATGTATTAGTGGACAAAGCAAAGATCTGATTCTGATATGGGAGCGGGGCAGGGAAGTGCTGGGAGGAGAAGGGGGCGGTCCCTGGTGAGGGCTCCACTCTCGGGCCTGTGCCCATGGACCTAGGTGAGGACAGACATTTCTGTTTTCGTGGCCAAATGTTGCATTTTGCAAGACCACCCTGGCCCACTATGCCCCCATCCTGGGCCTATAAAAACCCTGAGGCCCTAGCCAGCACATAGACAAGCAGCTGGACGTCGAGCGAAACATATTGGTGGAAGAACACACAAGTGATTTGACATCGAGAGAAACACATCGGCAGAGGGGCACGCTGACAGGCACCAGCAGATGCCGGCAGGCCATCAACCAGAGTTTGTCTGGGACGGTCGGAGGAGAACTCAGCTGTGGAGCAGCCCAACTCCAGGGGAAAGACCACCTACCCATTCCATCCCCTTTCTGGCTCCCCATTCACCTCGCTGAGAGCTACCGCCACTCAATAAAACCTTGTACTCATTCTCCAAGCCCATGTGTGATCCAATTTTTCCAGCACACCAAGGCGATAACCCAGGATACAGAAAGCCCTCTGTCCTCGGGATAAGGCAAAGGGTCTAATTGAGCTGATTAACACAAGCTGCCCAGGGACGACAAACTTAGAAGAGCACACCGTAACACATGCCCACTGGGAGTTCAGGAGCTGTAAACATTCACCCTTAGACGTTGCTGTGGGGTCGGAGCCCCACAACCTGCCCATCTGCCCGCTCCCCCTAGAGGTTTGAGCAGTGGGCCACCAAAGAAGTAAGCCACGCCCTCATCGCACACCCTGCGAGGGGGAAAAGGGAGCTCCTCCAGTTTCAATTCCAAAGAGATTTTCCCACATATTTAGTATGAAAATTCTGCACCAGGAACAAAGATTTATCTAAGTGAATACAAGAGGTGAGGATGTCATTCTTGGATAATGGTTGGTGGTAAGGGCAATTTTGCCTGACAACATAAGACTGCTTAGATTTCCATTACTGAAATTCAATAATTGTATTATGGTCTCGCTTGGAAAGTGATGTTTTGATAGATTTAAAACAGGGTGAGATGATATAGAAACAGCAAACCACTAAGAGTGACAGTAAACGAGCGCCACATAATCTGTTGAGCATGTTCTACCTGAGGTTTGGTTGAAGAAGAAGTATGGGTAACACCAGGAAGAGTAGCCCCAGGAGGAGGAGAGCTCCCTTCCCACTGGGGCCATCCCCAAAATCCCAGGTTTCCTCTTGCAGTGAGTGTCAAGTAGGACGTCCCTTTGGGCAGTATGGGGGAGGCGGCAAGAAAGAAAACAAACAACCAACAAGCAGATTGCAACAATGGGCAACTGTGATTTAAATGAACTCTTCTGCTCTTTCCAAGAAAGAACTGAAGCAGCTGCCAGCATTCTCCCCATGCGGTAGGGCGGAGGCCCGTCCTAGGGAAAGGACTTAGTTGCTCCACTCTGCCGTTGCTTTTGCTTCTCTCTGCTGCCCTGGGGTCACCAGCTCTCCTGCTTTCTATGCCTGGTCCTGTGGGGTTTGCAGATGCAAAGGGGCCTCTTCAGGGGTGTCCCAACTATCACTTCATATCTGAATTATGTGATACCTCAAAGCACACAATTAGGAGCCCAGACATTGGTAGCTTGTTCCTGTGTTGGGGTGAGTTTTCTCTAGCATTCTCTCTAGATGGGCTTCACAGAGTAGACCAGGGCTGACTAGACTGCAAGGGTATGCTTGATCCACTAACATGACTAGCTTGAGAAATAGCATTCAAGCACTCAACATTTCCAATTACCCTGAGATTTAACATCCTGATGGATTTACTTCCACATGGAACTAGTAACACTAGTCCCTCCTGCATGTGAAAGTCACACACACACACACACACACACACACACACACACACACACACTTCTTTAAGTCTAATTTACTGGTTTCCCCACTTCATAGCACTGGTAACTCGGTGCCTTGAGGAATCACAGATGCTTCTCCCTTAAGAAACCTGGACTAAACACAGTATGGAAAGAGGAATTCAGCACAGGAAGTGATGCTCCCAACTTCCATATGTCAAGGCAAGGACCTTCAATCAAGGTTACAGTGATGTCAACACCAACTGGAACACAAGCAGACCCCACTGTCCGGGGAGCAGGGGGTGTGAGGTCAAGTTGGTGCAGCAGTTGACAATGTTCTGTCCTTGGCCAAACTCTAGCCAGGTTCCTCTGAGCCCACTTTACCACAAGGCCTCACCTTGGCTTATAAAGTCATGAACAAACACCAACATGGTTTCTAACAGCTCAAGGCTACATCCCTAAGATAACCCCAGCCCCTCTTAAAGTGCCTGTCTGAGAAATCTCAAGGCTTCCCAAAGAATTTCCTGTTTGTTCTGGCTGACACCTGCAGATAGGACCCCTGTCTCCCAGGCTCTGTGGGAAGGTGGGAGCCTCACTTCTATGACCGCCAGTTGGCAAACCGAGATTCCACAAGGACCAACCCTTCTTCACGCTTTTTGCAGTTCTTCACCTCCCCAGCTCTCCCTGGTTCAGCCCCTTCCCGCTCTTCTATTCTCCCTGTAAAATGCCCAGTCCCTCTGCTGATCGAAGGTGAGTTCACTTCAGGCCACAATCTTTTCCCTATTGCAGCAGGGATCACTGACTAAAATCTGTCCTGACCACCTTACCTAGTGTTTGGCTTTGTTTGTCTTTGACACAACTCAGCAAGGGGCCTCCATTTCCTTCGGACAGGAAGATCACTTTTGCTGACAACTGTGCCATGCTACATTCTGCCTCAGCCAGCCATGGGGTTTATTTCCTAAACGATGAGGGTGTGTCTGCATTTGGTGTGTCATTCCAGGCACAGAGGGAGCCCCTGATGAGTGGGCTGTGCTCTTGTCATGGAGCTCAGCATAGGCTGGAGGCCTGTCTGGGTGGGAAAGGCCAGCAGCCAGCTCTCCTGCAGTGGCCCACAGGGTTGGCTCAGGGACAGGTGAGGGCCATGGAGCATCGTCGTGTGTGTCCATCAACTCCACAGGCCCTGGCTGACACTGGGAAGGTCCCCCAGAGGGTGTCCCATGCCTCAGTGTGCTGCATCTTAAGCACTTAATTTCTTGTGTAAATTCTCTCTTGATAGCAGATTGTGGGGAGTGGTGGTTCAGGAACTGTGGCTGAGGCAGGGCTGGTGGCTTTATAAGGTGACAGGTCCCCGATCACATCAGGGGCAGGTGTGCTGGGAGGACAAGATCTTCCCAAGGAGGTGTCCTCCTTACTGTGATTGCAAGAGGGGTCCTGGCCCTTCAAATATTGGTAAGTGACCTCCTTCTCTTTACTGAGAGAGAGACCAGGGGTAACACCTACAAAAAGAGACGGTGCCTCCCACCTTCCTGTATTTTATTGCCTCGGGGAGAGTACCCAGCTTCATGCTTTTGATCCATAGTTCAGCAAACTTGGGATCAATTTGCCAGCTACTGTGGATCTTTATCAAAATGTATTAGATTATCTTGTATTAAGTCTTTGAGTGCCTTGAGCTATTTGAAAGATCTAGTTGGAGTTAGAATTTCATTCTGTAAATATGTGATCTCAGGTGGTTTTTAATAGAGGCAGGAGGCAGAGAAATCCTAGGCAGACAGGGGCAGGTCCCCTGTGAAACCCCAGCTTCAAGCCAAAAAGAATCTGAAACCCACAGACCAGAGCGAGAACTTCCATTCCTGTTTGCCTGCTCTCTTCCGATTGGTTCTTTCTCAATAATGCCTTTTAAGCAATCAAATGTTGCCCTTTCCAATAGTACATATGGCCTGGCCGGCCCCCATCCTGTGCCTCTAAAGACCCCAGGCTCAGTTGGTAGAGGGGAGATGGCCTGACTTGGGGGAGGAGACCTGCTGACTTTGGGAGAAGATGACCTGCCATTCTCATCCCCTCTCCAGCTACCCTCTCTGCTGAGAGCTATTTTTATCGCTTGATAAAATTCTCCGCCCTCACCATCCTTCAGTGGTCAAGCATGACCTCATTCTTCTTGGATGGTGGACAAGAGCTCGGGGCCCACTGAGTGTGGGTACCAGAAAGGCTGGCCCTTTGCCCCCGCTGGTGGAGGGCAGCTGCCCCCCACTACAGGGTCAGGGGCTGACTGAGCTGCGAACACACCTCCGTCCATTGGGCTGTGGATGATGGAACTAAAAGAGCTAATTAGCACATTAACACCCCCTCTGGGGATTTGGGGTCACGGGCACCCTTGCCTGGGTGCCACTGTGTTCCCCTCCAGGCAACACGCCTGGTCTGGCTGTGGGCTCTGCACAGAGCTTGCTCCTGTGTCTTCAGAGTGACCAGCTGGATCCTGTACTCACTTGCTCACATGCTCCCTCCCACAAGGGGCTGAGTTCAGGAGGCCAAGTAGAGAGGCACCCCTGCTGGGAGTCCAGCAAAGAGCCTGAGAAAAATCCTGCCTTGGTTTTCACAACCTTCTGTGACATGTCCCATGTAAAGATGAAGAAAATGAAGACCAGAGGGATGAAGGCCTTGCCCAGACGTGATGGCTCCTGACAGTGCAGCAGGACCATGGCTGCCTCAAGGGGCCCTTCCCCACCTCCTGCCTCAGAGAACCCGAGCTTGGGTTTAGGAACTCCTAGGGGCAGTAGCAGTGAGGGTAGAGTGGATGACAAGAGCCCTGGCTTTCTGTGGCTCCAGTCCTCACAGCTGTATGTTTGCAAGGCACTGAGGAATCCAGGGTTCCTTCCCCACTGGCAGGCCTTGTGATGGGTTCTTCCAGCAAGTTTCATTCAGCAAGAAAAGCACACACTAGTGGACAGGACAGCAGAGAGAATGCATCATTATCACCATAGCGTGTTATCACTCCTGCCAGCCTGCAACCAATTAAAGCACAAATACAACAAACAGGACGCCATTCTAAGAATGTCCACTTACAGTCACAAGAATTTCCAGACCACTTCCCGCCTAAACACACTCTCTAGGTCCCTTGTCCAGGCAGCTCTTGTCCCCTTTGCTTCTCCACTGTTATGAGTGACATGATGGCAATCAGCACTTCTCTCTCGAAATCAGGAGCTGCAAGACTCGCTGAGCACGTCTGCAAACTGGGAAACCTGCTTTGATGAACGCGATGCTTCTTACCTGGGAGGACAGGCAGATACTTTGCAAGGCACCAGCCCCGTGACAGGTCGTGTCTTGGGATTGCAGAAGGACATATTTACTTGAAACTTCAGGTCTCTGTAGCAGCCCTCTCTCACGGTCATCTGTCCTGCAGGCAAGGATGAAATGTAGAATAAAGACTCACATGCATGCCCCACAGTAAAAGGCAGATGATGAGCTAATAAAATCTCTTTCAAAGAATCTTAGCCATACTGGCATGTGTTTGTGTTAATGACCAACTGGCCAACTATTAATACTCCACTTTTCTGACCTGTCTTCATAAGTTGTAATTCGTGAATTTCATTCATTCTAAGATGCACATATTTTCCCTCCATATTTTTATATTAACATCTTTAAAGTCAACATTTGTTTTGCGATTGATGTCATCATACATTTGCTGAAATGTACCTGCTTCTTTTCTACTCTTTCCATAGTTGAAAACACCAGTGGATTTTCAGCAGAAACACCAATATTAAATACACCTGTTCCACATTTCCACTTGAGATGACAACAAGAAACAGTAATAAATCAGCAGGAAACATAGACAACAAACTAACAAGCAGTTTGTCACCAGAGAATGCACAGAGCTAAATCTGAAAGGCTAACTTTAACAATCATGACTTAGGTGTTGTATAGAAGGAAGTCAATGGAAATAGAAGTTTGTTTGATTCTCAGCCTCTATCTATTTAAGACTTTGTGAACATTCCTATATTTGTTCAATATTTCAATTAATTAAATTTATCCCAAAGGGATTTTAACTTAAGTGAGGTACCAGGAATAGTCAATTCATTGAGATAGAAAGTAGAATGATGCTGGCCAGGGTCTTGGAGGAGGGGGAGTTGGGAGCTAATGTCTAATGGACAGAAAGTTTCCATTTGAGAAGATGAAAAAGTTCTGGAGATGATGGTGGTGATGATTGTACATCAATGTGAATGTACTTAATAGTAGTAAAATGTACATTCAAAAATGGTGAGAATAGCAAATTTCACATATATTTTGCCACAATAAAAAAGAGATACTTTGGGCGGCCGAGGCGGGTGGATCACGAGGTCAGGGGATTGAGGCCATCCTGGCCAACATGGTGAAACTCCGTCTCTACTAAAAATACAAAAATTAGCTGGGCGTGGTGGCACGTGCCTGTATTCCCAGCTATCAGGAGGCTGAGGCAGAAGAATCGCTGGAACCAGGTAGTTGGAGGTTGCAGTGAGCAGAGATTGTGCCACTGCACTCCAGCCTGGTGGCAGAGCAAGACTCTGACAAAAAAAAAAAAAAAAAAGAGGCTATAACTAAAAGACACTTTGAGGAATGATATTAAAGAGTGAATGCAGGGCCAGGCATGGTGGCTCGCACTTGTAATCCCAGCACGTTGACAGGCTTAGGCATGTGAATCGCTTGAGTCCAGGAGTTTGAGACCAGCCTGGGCAATGTGGCGAAACCCCATCTCTACAAAAAATACAAAGATTAGCCAGGCATGGCGGCATGCACCTGTAGTCCCGCGTACTCAGGAGGCTGAGGGGAGATCACTCGAGCCTGGAAGGTAGAGGCTGCAGTGGGACGAAATGGCACTTCACTGCACTCCAGCCTGTATGATAGAGGGAAACCCTATCTCAAACGAGTTGATGCAGTAGGGGATAAAATAAATAGAACCAGCCAGTGTTGATTTAATATTAACACACAATATATTCAGATCTAAGAGTGATTTTATCACTCCCCTTGGAAATACCGATGAAGAAGTCCTGTGGATTGGGTGGAACACCTGTTCTCACTCCTCTGCAGCCCAAGCCGTGTACAACTCAGATGGACTCGGACAACTCAGAGTTTGCTCATAAGGAAATACAACAAAGAGATTGTCTCAGAGGAGCAAAGGGACAGACTGTAGACACGAGGCACAAAAATCCCTCATGCCAGTTCCACAGAAGTCAAACCCTTCCTGACTTAAGGAAAATTGAAAGTCTCTAAAATATACACTGAAAACCAGTTGGACATTTTGGGGCTTCTTAGTCAAAAGGAGTGGGGCCCTTCAGAAGGGAAAGTTGCACTCCGTACAGTATCAGTTTTCTCAAGTGTAAAGAGGAGGGCAGCTCTCCTAAGTTCCAAAGCAGGAGCCACTGTCGGAGCTCATGGCTCTAAGCCCCAAACCACCCATTTCCTGAGGTTTAGCCCTTTGAGCATTGATAAAGCAGAAAGAGTGGTTACATAGGACCCTCACAGTTTGGTAAAACCAGTCATCTCTCTGCTAACTTGGCAGAATTATATATTTAACCCAGGTAAGTGGTTTGCACATGGTGCTCCCTTAAGGTGAATTTTGCAATTATTTCTCTGATTTTAGTGATCTCTGATCAGGAATAGGTTATTTAAAAATGACTTTGATATATACTCTAGAAATGTAAGAAAATTATTTTAACATATTGAGCCTCTTGAAGAAGAATATTTCTATGAAAGAACAAGATTTAAACTCTGGAAATGTAAGAAAATTATTTTAACATATTGAGCCTCTTGAAGAAGAATATTTCTATGAAAGTACAAGATTTAAACTCTGGAAATGTAAGAAAATTATTTTAACATATTCAGCCTCTTGAAGAAGAATATTTCTATGAAAGTACAAGATTTAAACCACTACAGACTAAAAGCAAGAGGGCCAAGGAGGCGTCCATTGAAGATGGACCTCAATCCCTTGGGGCAACAGAAAGGCAATACAAGTAAATATTTCCAGCACTCTGGTAAGTCTGTAGATTCAACATCTGTTCTAAAAGATCAATTTAGGAAAATCAAAGATGGATTTGGGATTGGCCTTTGAGTGTCCAAAGTCCCCCCAGGCAGGAGAAGTGGAGGTCGGGGGAGGGAGCTGCTCAGGGCAGCCTTTGAAAGGGGATGACACAGCGGGGTGAGAGTAATGCTAAAAGAAAATAAAAACTCAAGATTCCAATTCACTACACCAAAAGGAAAAATGAAGCTGAAAGCTGAGTTATGTAAAAAGCTGCCTTTCCTTTTGTTCCTAACAAGAAAGCTGCAGATACAAGGTTAAACATCCCCACTGGTAGCTACTGCATGTTCACCTTATCTTGTGTACAGTGCCGATTTACTGAGTGAGATGAATACTCAATTGATGATTCCCTGCCTGCTCCTTTTCCCTTGCAACCTGTGGATTCAGTAGTGGGACCATAACCTTACTCTTTCCCCTCTAGCCCACTTCTCCCCTTTAAATATTGAAGCTCTCAAAATAAATCATCTTTGGAGAAAGGCACAAACCACATACTGTGTTTCTGGGATTCTGTATTCCTTTCTCCTGGCCTATCCTTAACCTTGGCAAAATAAACTCGATTGAGACCTGTCTCAGATACTTTTTACAGTAAACAGGGTGGGCTTCTAGAATTATGATGCTCAGCTGCCTGAACCTCGATTCAACAGATGTGTCCTTGTGTTGGAGATGAGAGCAGAAGTGGAATCTGCAGAAGCCTGAGTGGTCACAGGATCCTGCCCCATCAGTGATGCTGGACAAGGCTCAGTTGCAGCTCAGGTGGGACTCAGCAGGCCAGAGACATGCACAGGTGTGTACAGGATTCACAGTAGCTGTGCACGATAACCCAAATGGCCGCAGAGTGGAAGTCACTGTGAAAGGAAGTGATGTCCCAGAAAATTATCGCTGTCAGTGTCCCTGAGATAGCAGTGGACCATCTCTGTGAGCCACCACGTCACACCCAGCATGGACACGGGTACCGAGGGGTGGGCAACAATGTGCCCCAAATGCCTCATAGCCAAGGCCTCACAACGGCTCCTGCCCTCAGGAGGGGAGAGCAGCACTCTGTTCTGGATCAGCTTCTGTTTTCCAACAAATGAATGTCCTTTTAAAAATGGCATTGCCTTTTAAAAATATACATACACACCCAAGAATGATCAATAAATACTAAAAAAAATTATATATATATATACATATACATATACATATGCATGCACACATTCCTGCCACTCCCAGATTAAAAGCCTATTTTTTCTGTGTTTCAGCTCTGGACTTCCCAGCCTTGCCCTTCTAGGCCTGTGATGCTGTGACCCTGCCCTGCAACCTCTCCTATGTCCTCTGACTCCCCAGGACCATCCACCTGCTGTTCTCTCCACCTGGAGTGCTGTCCTCTACAGCCATGCCTGTGGGCTTCGCCAGCAGGTTTCTTCTCATCCCTTTCAATCAAACTCAAACACCTGCTTCTCTGGATTCCTTGGCTCACCGGTTCTCAAGCTTGAGTTGGTATCAGGGCACCCTGGAAGGGCTCATTCATTAAAACACGGAGTGCCAGGCTGTGCTTCTGGATTTCAGCTGCAGCAGGTCCGTGGCTGGGTCTTAGAATTTGCATTTCTAACAAAGGCTCAGTTGCTACTGCTGATGCTGGACCAAGGACTACACTTTGAGAAGTGTAAGTCTGCTCTGGGCAGTCTTAGAAGCCACCATTGATTTCTATTTGAGTTTACCCAGGTGTCATTAGTACACACAGCTCCTAAGACCCCTGTGATCTCTGGAATATGGAATTTTCAGTCCCCACTCCCCGACCTCACCAACATCCAGAGAGGGGAGAGAGGCTTGAGACTTGGCTAATCACTAACGGCGGATGATTCAATCAATCATTCCGATGTCATTCAACCTCTTTAATGACGGAGTTCAGAGAGATTGGTAGTTGGTAAACACATCCACATGGTGGGGGTGCACATCCCAACTCCAAGGGGTCAAACGCTCCTGTGCTCGGGACCCTTCGAGATCTCAAGACCTATGTAACTCTTTGTCACTTGTAACCTTTGTAGTAAACCCATGATCGTCAATCAAGTGGCTTCTTGAGTTTTATGAGCCATTTTAGCAGATTAGCAAACCTGAAAGGGAAAGCCTGTGGGAACCCCTGACTTTGTAGGCAAGTTGTGGGTACCCATGAGACTCAAGACTGGAAACTGGCATCTGAGGGGAGGAAAGTCTTGGGGAATTGAGCTCTTAATCCTCTGGAGTCTGATGCTAATTCCAGGTAGTCAGTATCAGAACTGAACTGAATTGTAGGACACCAAGCTGCCAGCATCTAGAGAATTGGAGAACTGGTTGTTAGTGTGGAAAAACCCCACCAATTTGGTGTCAGAAGTGCTGTGAATAAAAACAGCTCATGTCCGGCTAGCTCAGCTTTATGCACATTTGCCCTGAAAAATGATAGCAGTAACATCATTTCCTCTCAAAGCATCCCAGTTGTTTGCATTACATTGCCGTTTGCATTACGTTGCAGTTTGCATTACGTCGCAATTTGCATTACATCCCAGTTTGCATCCCAGTAATGCATTACATGGTGACTCTAATTATAAGGTTCTGTTAACATTTGTGTGTCATCTGTTGGAACAGATTTCTTGGGGGCAGAGTGCATGTGTTATTCATTGTTATAATTTCAGTAGCATGCATGGATTAGTTTGTCACTTCACTTATTAAGTAGTTTTTGAGCCACTGGATAATTCTGTTATATAAGCTTGGACAAGTTAGTAGTGGATTAACTAATACTTATCCCCCCAAACATTATCAAAATAGGGGATATTCTTTTCTTTATGTATTACTTAAGGGCAAACTGGGGCACAATTTCAATGACTGACTCATGCATTAATGTTGAGATGCAATATGAAGATGTTTTATGGACCTACTTTCCACTTGCTAACTAGGGCTGAGAGACTATTAAATTAGAAAAAGAAACAAATGTTTGTTTAAAAATGTTCTGCAGAAAATCTTACGGACTTCCTTAAGTGTAATAGTTATGATAACCCGATTTAAATAAGAAACATACTGAATAACCACACTATTTTTCTAAAACTGTTAGAAGTCTAATGAATACAAATGAAAATTAATCTGTTCCTTTCCTTACACTTACTTTTCAAGTTTAAAGTCCATTTTTTAATTCTTAACCAAACTCTTACGGCTTTTTAGGAGGTGTGATTCTATAAATAATGGCTTCAGTTTGGTTTCCTGTTTTGAAATTAAAAACATGTGAAATTCAAACCTTCTGTTCAAGTCTGAACAAAGAGTCATGCCTTTATGATCATTGATGATTCTGCACAAGGTACGGTCTCTTAACTAAGCAAATAAGGAATCTGTTTTGCTTTGAAATAGAAACAGAAGTTGGCTTTATTAATGTCCTTAGTTTTCTTTCTTATTGGAGACATTTGTTTAGCTTCACTCTTGAGCTGCCTCAGTGTGGGCAAAGTCCCAAGTCCAAGTCCCAGAAATTTACCTGTTAATTGGATAACAGGGAAGTCTGGATCTAGTAAGTCATGTGATAATTTAGTAACAATGTAGTAAAAAAATTTAAAACTCAATGAAAAACACTGTGTTTATCCAATGCAGGTGCAAGTTTTGCCTTGGCCAGTTATGTCTTAGCTGTGACTTTAGAAATCTTTTGTTTTCCTTAATGAGACATTACTAGCATTTTAGGCAACAACATTCCTTGTTATGCAGCACAGCAGTGCATATTGCAAGACTTTTAGCTTCCCTGGATCCTGCCCAGTAAATGTCAGTAGCATCGCTCTCCCAATTATCATGACAACTAAAATACTGCCATGGGTTTCCAAATGCTTCTTATGAGGGACAGTAGAATCTTCAGTTGAGAATGCTGATGGATGAAAAGCACATAAGGTAAGTATATAATTAGGAAATAAAAGAGGAATGTAAAGTGTTCCTTTGAAAGTTTTAGCAATTAACAGAAATAGAGCAAAAAGAAGATCAGGTAGCAGGTTCCAAAAAAACTTACTTAAGAAAATAATGATGAAAATGCTACAAAAGATAAACTGTGGAATGTAGCTAAAGCAGTATTCAGAGGACAATTCATGGCCTTAAATACTTATGTCAATATATGAGTAAGAATAAAAATAAGTGAACCAGATATTTTTAATTAGGATGTTAGAAATAAAGGATAGCCCAAGAAAGCAGAAAGAGGGATCTGATATAGAAACAAAAGTCAATATATTAGAAACAGAGGTCAATATGTTGAACATAATAACATACAACTTTGCATACCTTCTTCTTTCACACTCTCCTCTGTATCACAGGTTCTAAAAATCAGGAGTACATTTTCTAACTCTCATATCTGTGAAGCTTTCAGTTAGATCCCACTAATCAGAGGCACTAGCATGAGATTTGGAAGGTGGAGGAGTGAGAAGCCACATGCTCCCATCTCTGGAAGCAGTGGATGTAAGGATGGGCTTTGGCAGATGCAAAGGTCTGTGGCCATCTTCAAGCATTTTCCTGGGAATCACTTGCTCCAGTGCTGGATTATCTGTAATCATCACCAATGATCTCTAAAATTTTCTGCAACTTTCTGACTTTTCAAAATCCGGAGTAACTCTGAGAGCTACAGATGTCTGGCCTTTACTCTTTCAATCTCTCTATTTATTTTGTAAACAACAAATCCTCTGTGTTAAATAACTTCTTGCTTGAAATACCTAGAAAGGTTTCTATTTTCTTGGTGAAATACCTAGAAAGGTTTCTATTTTTTTGGTGAAACTGTCACTGATACATTGACTTCATGAAGAATATAAGTAGTAAGTACAAACATGCAAGATAAGAAATGAGAATAAGAAAATATTTACATGTAGAAGAAATGAAAATAATCTAATGGGATACTCTTTTCAAATATATAAAATTAAATTTTAAATAATACATTTAAAAAGATGGTTTTCTTAATTAGAAAAACTAATTCCAGAAGGGATAAACAATCTAAGTAGTCCAATTACCATACATAATAATATAAAAATGTATCAAAGATCTAACTCCTTCAAAAAGCAGCAGATTCAGCTGCTTCAAATATATTTTACCAAATGCTAGGAGATAGTTAACACCAAAGCTATTAAATTGTTCCAGAGCATAAAAAATACACTTATAGAAATTAATGTAGTATATTTTAGCACACAAAAGAAAACTACAGCTCAATAATACTTAGGAGTATTAATGTGAGAAATACTAAATAAATTAAGAGAAGGCAGGATCAAGTAGCATATTAGAAAGAAATAAATCACCAGATAATGATTCATAGCAGGAATGTAAGGATGGTTCAATGTCAAGAAAATATGTTAATATATTTCACCATGTAATGGATTAAAGGACAAACATAAACTCCATAAATGTAATAAAGTTCAGCATTTCATAAATTTACCCTCTATTTTTTATAAAAATATTAATGAAACAGACAACAGATGGATATTTACTCACATCAATATATCTGAATATTTGTATGAGTTTGTGTGTTTATGTGTGTATATCTGTATCTACATATATAAATATAGGTACTTGTATGTTTATTTAAACCTAGAAGCTAGCATTATGGGAAACATTAGAAATATTCCCATTAAGGTCAGAAATAAAAAAAATTATTATAAGTTAAAATTATTTTGGAGATGCTGGCTGACACAATTTGACAAAATTAAAAGAATATAGGGCGCATGAAAGTTATGACAACGGGAAAGCTTATGTGGTATGATTATGTATCTAGGAAGCTCAAGAGAATAGGTGTTAAGATGGATCTGATAACTGATTATTGGAAGTGGGGAAAAGAAAGGACTAGAAACAGGGAGAGCAAGATGAATGATCAGAGATTCTTGGGTAACTTGAAAAAAATCAAGCCTGAATGTAAAAAGCCCAGAGAAGTCTTTGAGGTAACTGGGAAATGACCCCTGTTGCCAAGACAGTGTGAATTCGCTACAATGGGGCAAACCAAGCAAAGGTGCCCTTCAGGCCACCGTAGGTGTAGGACTGACGAGAGAACAGAGATAGAGGCAGAGATTCACGCGAAAAGACACAAGCTCTTTCCTGGGTAGTGATGGTGGGGAAAAGCATTCGATAAACCATCACTCTAAGGGAGAATACAAAGAAAGGAGGGCCCTGATCTTGTTAGACATCCGCATTCATGGGAATAAACAGGTCTTGGAAGTCCAGAGGAAAGAAGTTTCAAGGGAGCAGTGACCAGCTGTCGAAGGCTGCAGGGAGGCCAGGGAGGAAGTGCTGAGAAAGAGCCTGTGGATGTGGTGACCAGGTGGGGTCTGGATTGGAGAATCTTCGAAGATGTGGGTTGCAGAGATGAAACTGAGGCACTAGGGATGAGTTGGTGGTCCCTGGGTGGGAACGCAAGCAGGAAGTGCGGGTTGCATTGATGAAAACCTTGTGAAAGGAAAATAAATCTTGGGACCTCAAAATTACTAAGCTAAAGGGAGAAGTCAAGCTGGGAACTGCTTAGGGCAAACCTGCCTCCCCTTCTGTCAGTCATCCCTCTGAGGCTCACCTGAGACAAACGCATATCTGATTGCTTCCTCACCCCTATTGTTTATGTAAAAATGCAGAAGTGCTGAGCCAGACTAAATAGTGTATTCAGTGGAAGGCTGATCAAGGACACAAAAGAATGCAACCTGTTGTCTTGTATCTACTTGTAACCTGGAAGCTCCCACTCTGAGTTGTCCCGCCTTACCGGACTGTACCAATGTACATCTTACACATATTGATTAATGTCTCATGTCTCCCTAAAAATGTACAAAAGTAAACTGCACCACTGACCACCTTGGACACATGTCTCAGGACTTTCTGAGGCTGTGTCATAGGAGTGTCCTTAATCTTGGCAAAATAAACTTTCTAATTGACCAAGACCTGTCTTAGATATTTTGCATTCACAGGCTTCACACTGAAAAGCAAAGAAGGAAGAAGAGAAGTAGGAGAAAGAAGAGTTTAAGATTATGGAGGCATGAGCACATTTAAGAAAAAGGAATGGTTGGGAAGGAGAGGGAAGAATGACATGGAATGAAAAAGAGGGTATATTTGATGATAAGAAATGTGGATAATGGGATAAAGAGCACCAGTGGAGAATTTCATTTAGAGAGAAGCATCCCCTCTGGGGCAAAAAGACAAGAAAAGATGAGTAACAGGGGACCCTTGAGAGAAGGTGGTGGGAGCAAGCTGATGCTTACATATGGCATGGCCTTTCCTGCATAGGGGGACGGAAACTGCCTGGTGTACACGCAGAGACCTAGGCTGATGGAGACAAAAACATATGGAACCTATTGCAGCATATTCCATCATGGGTTTGGCTTTCAATTTGCTTCTGAGGGTAAAGTTTTGACTTTAATCTATAAAGATCAGTAGGGTTTGGGATTCTGTTAACAGAAATTGTTTTCCTCTTTTTACAAAATTACCATGATTAAAGTCATATGAGGGGGGCGGTCCGCTAATGATCCTCAGGCTTGCATCCTGGGAGTTCTCCAGGGAAGCCCTTGTCTTCAGTTTTCACCCCCATGCACTAAGGCGTCTACACTCACCTTTCAAAGGTCGTAAAGGTGGGCCTTTCCCTATCCCAATCCCTGAAATGCCACTTTAAAATTAACTGCTGCATTCAGTGGAATTATTGTTTTCCTTAAAATGCAGTTTTCCCCCCAGGGCAATCATTTTCTCATTGTGACTTCTGAATGCCAGAGATTCCAGAAATCTCTCTGGGGGCTCCCTGGAGTACAAGCCAAGGACTGGTGAGTGTCCTTTGCACAGGATGTGTTTGGAGAGAAGTCCCCTGGTGAAAACACAATGGAAAGCGACTTTCCTGTGCATTGTAGACACGGGGATGTAGTATTAAAAGCACCGACGGCCAGGCACGGTGGCTCACGCCTGCAATCCCAGCACTTTGGGAGGCCGAGGCGGGCGGATCACGAAGTCAGGAGATCAAGACCATCCTGGCTAACACGGTGAAACCCCGTCTCTACTAAAAATACAAAAAGTAGCCGGGCGTGGTGGCGGCCGCCTGTAGTCCCAGCTACTCGGGAGGCTGCGGCAGGAGAATGGCGGGAACCCGGGAGGTTGCAGTGAGCCGAGGTCGCGCCACTGCACTCCAGCCTGGGTGACAGAGTGAGACTCTGTCTCAAAAAAAAGAAAAAAAAAGCACCGAGTACTTGGCCCCATGCCCAGGGCTTTTGATTCAGTAGGTCTGGGCTGGGGGCCCGAGAATCTGCATTTCTCAGGAGTTCCCAAGTGATGCTGAATCTGCTGGCCTGGGGTCCTACGATGCAGAGAGCATCTCAGTTACTCTTCCACAAGATTTCTGAAACAGTGATCTTACCCCTGGTAGGCACCCAGGTTCATGAAAGTGAAATCAGAATCTTTACAACTCCATCTCCCTTCAGTCTCTGTGCCACAGAAAACTAAAAATCTCTGTGTGTGTGTCACATGCACACATATTTGTAGTCAGGGTTTTCCCAACAGAAAAGGTTTTAGACTTTTAGAAACCACCCCATTTGAAACACTCTCCATAAAAATGAAGCCAATATTTGTAATTTCTAAGGAACTTTCTTTGGAGTATAGAAGCATTATTTGTTTATAGTCTGTTGAAAGTAGGAATAGCACTTGGATATATTCATAATTGCTCAAGAATGTGAGCTGCCACATTAGAAGTGGGCTGTTCATGCTCATACCTAAGGAGAAACTCTCTGCAAATGAAGGATACAGATGACATAGTGACATAGAAAAAGCTGATCACTAGGAAGGTATGCATTTGCAGAGCTGTGCATGGAGGGAGAGACCGAATGGGTGCACCAAGATGCTTACAGTGATGTCTTTCAAGGAGGGGTGTCTCAGGAATGATTTGTGTTCTTTACTTTCCATTTATTTATGACATTCGCAATGAAAAACATGCCCAAAACTTGCAAATTTGAGCCTTCATGAAGGTGGATATCCTGTCTTGCTGACGCCCCGGGCAGGCTTGGCTCAAGGACACTGGGGAGGAGGCCCCGACTGCTCTGAACTTTCTTATCTGCCTACACTCTCTGTCCACCACTGCTATGGCCTCTTCTTCCCCTGACTGCCCCGAGGACTCTGAATCCAAAGGCCTAAAGGGACGAATGGAGGGAGGAAGGAGTCAGGGACTACCAGGCAGCTGACATTTGGTTTTACTTTGATTCATCTTATATATTGTTGACTGACATAGACCACAGAATATCAAACTGGAGAGACCTTAGAAGCCCCTTTAAAACACACATCTCTGTGCCTCTCCAGGAGTGCGCGCACACACACACACACACACACACACACAGAGAGAAGAGACAGACAGGGTGATGAACCAGTTCAAGTACCTTTCTTAGCAGAAGGCAGAATAGAAGTCAGTCCCAAACAGCACCCTCTCCACCACACCATCCATCACACCAGGGTCCTGCTCCTGGGCCTGGGCCCCAACACTCATACCTGAGCTCTCAGGGATCACACAGGTGTCACATGGTTGGGTTACTAAAGAGTAGGTTTGAGTTATGCTTTAAGAAACCATTTTTCATGGTTAATCCAGCACTATTGGGAAACACATGAGATCAGAAGGTCTTTGCTTGGTTGGAGAACCTGAAAATCTGAGGTCATAGGCTGGCCAGGGACATTGAGATTTCTTCTTCCATATCTTTGATTTTGTCCCTTATTTTCTGCATGGCTCCTATCAGAACAGTTCCCCTATAGGATTTCTCCCTAAATCCTCTCTCAAACTCTTGCTTTTCTGTTGTCTATTTGATATGAACAGGAGGCAGGGAAATACTGGGTAGAAGATGGCAGGTTCCTGGTGAGGGCTCCACCCTTAAGCCTGGACCCACAGCGCAAAGTGAGAACTCTTCCTGTTTTCTTGCAAGAATGTTGCCTTTTGGCTCACCTTGCCCCCTATCCTGTGCCCATAAGAACCCCAAACCTCAGACTCAGTGGACACACACATACACGGAAGAGAGAAGCATGTGAACATCGAGAGGAGAAAAGTAGCTGGACATTGGAGACTATGGTTGGAAAGGAGTTCAGCCAGGGATGGTTGGAGAGGAGTTTGGCTGGGGACAGCCAGACTCCAGGGGAAGATTATCTTCCCACTCCACCCCCTTTCCAGTTCCCTTTCCCACTAGAGTCACTTTCACAACTCAGTAAAGTCCTCCATGTTCACCACCCTTCAATTTGTTCCTGTGACATGATTATTCCTGGACGCTGGACAAGAACTCGGGTACCAAGAGGGCAGGGTGTAAAAGGCTGTCACCTGACCCTCCACTGAGCTGGTTAATACTTAGCAGTCTACAAATGCTAAAAGAGCACTGATTGTAACACAGGCCCTCTGGGGCTCCAGGGGTCGCAGACACCCTTTCCTGGATGGCAGAGCTGAGAGAGTATTGTAACACACTTGGATGCTACTGCAGGGCCCGTGCAAAGCCTGCTTCCGCCACGCAGGAGCCACCAGCCAGTTCCAACGTTCATTCACTCTGGTTCCTATACCCATCTGCTTGTGTGCTCCTTCTCATAAGGGATTGAGCAGGGTGGCTGAGTAAACGAGTCACCCCCTTCACGGGTCTCATGCAGGGAGTCAAGGGCACTCTCCCATCTCATGTTCAGAACACCGTGCCAATCCGTGTTTCCATTATCCAGTAATAAGACATCTACTTCTTACATGTCCGCCTCACATGTAGGAAAAACTGCAAGAACTAAAAATTAAGCAAAAGAAACTACACTCCAGTTCTTGCATACTCTGTCTGTTTTCAAAGGGTTTTTCTTGGGTCCTTAATCAGAGACTTTTTATGACAATACACATGTAATTTGCTTGCTCAAGATCTTGGATTAGTCTACTTAGACCTAAAGTATTAAGTTCTTATATTTGACATCAGCACTCCTGGTCCTAGGCCTTCAGGCTCCAGGACTCACAGCATTCTCCTTCAGCCATCACCTCAGACTCAGACTGGAAGACACCTCTCTGGTTATCCTGTTTCTTTAGCTTGCATTCAGTGAATTATGTAAGCCAATCTCTCCCAATCAGTCTCTTTTTCTCTACATAGATAGATGAGCAGATAGACAGATACGTCCTTTTGGTTGTTTCTCTGGAGGACCCTAATATACCAAGCCATATAAACAGTAAGACACAAAAGTGAATTTAAATGTTTATTCCATTGACTAATTCCAAATGTCTGAATATTCTGAGAATGTAAAAATATGTACAGACAGCCATATGTCCACTGGTATTGAGGCTTTCCAAGGTCTATTGTTATACCAGATTTTGGATGATTATGTTTTCAGATGCATCTCACGTGATGGAATGGAGAGCCTCCTTGGCAATTAAGCTCAGATATTACTTCTCCGAACATTTATGGAGACTCAGGTATTATTTCTCTGACTAATGGCACGTCCATGAAGCAACTTCTCAGCAGTACTTACAATCACTTAACTTTGTCAGAAAGAAAAATCACAGAATCTATTTGAATGCCAGAATCACGCAGGCCAATTTTCTAAATGATCTATATTAATAGATAAGAGAAAGGAAGGGCATAAGCTTCAAAAGGTAATGTAAGAAACTTGGAGAGAACAATCCATTAGCTGTGGAAAGACAAACCCTGCCCATGGGGTGGTGAGTTTGATGAGCAATGTGCTTGGGCGCTGCTTTCATCTTTTTTCAGAAACCAACTCTGGCCAGGTCTTTGGAAACCGCTTAAAAATCCTCATGTTTGCCAGGCTGTCTAGAAGAAGAGTCTTAAGTCTGAAAGATCATGATTTCATCAAAAAATTGCTGACTTTTCCATAATGTGAACTATAGAATGAATTCCAGCTGTTGCCAAAAGCTTTATCCTCCTTTTATAAAGAAAAAGAAAAAAAATCAAACGAATTCTGTAAGCAAAATTACATGGAAAACCAGACGGTGTTCCATAAATGAACGCATGAGCTCTCAAAAGAAGCATGCATTGTTTCTATCACATGTGCTAGATATATTATTGATGCCTCATGCATGCGCATTACAGGACCTTGAACTCGGAAGAGGGAAGATAGCTCAAAGGTGTATTCCTGGATGCAGTCCAAATTCTGAATGGTTCCCAGTGTATTTAAGTGACAGGCTGGCCCTGCACAATTGCTGTGGACACATGTTATCCCAACATTTACTAGAGCTTGGAGGCTGAGGCACCTTCACATGTCTTACCAGAGGCAGATTCCCTGCTTCACAGGGGCTGGCTTCACTAGCTGATTTCCCTGACAGCCTTGACTTGTCAATGGCAAAGGGAAATGCAGCCCATCTGGATATAGGCAGTAATCGCCCATTTTTAGGGCTCCAAATTTGCAGACGTTAAGACCTGTGGGTACAAGTGACCTGCACAGCGAAGGTGGAGAAGAACAGGCCATGGCCACGTAGTGGGAACGTGGGAGGGACCCCGGCACCCCTGATGAGTGGAGGCTTGCTGGAACTGCACAGACTCTGGGAATGGGAAAGAATTCCTGCTTTTTGGGAAGATGTGGGCTTCCTTGTTTTACCCTGGACCTCTGAGCACACTTGATGAAATGGGCCTGGGTGACATCACACAGCCCAGGCCCCTGAGGAATACACCCCACTCTCTGGGAAACAAACCTTTGTTTTTCTCTCTGCTTTTTTGGGAAGAAAGGGGTTGGGATCGGGGGGCGGGGGGGTAATATATTTTGTAATTTATAGGGACTTAGATAAAGAATAAAGAACGGGAGACGTTTTTAGTAGATCAGCTCAAAGGTGACCAAAGGCAGGGAAGAAGAAACCAGAATCATTTCAAGTTGAACTCTGGGACCCAACCCTTTAGCTGAAGTTTAAAAGAGAAAGAGACACACCCACTCTGGGATTCAGAACATTCTAGCACACAAAGTGAGGATGGGGAAGATCTCATTTGAAGCAGTTCCTGTGAAAAAGATGGAGAAATGTTAGCCAATCAGATGAGCAGTAGGAACCAAAGCCCACTGCTGCTCTTTAAAGCCATCCCAGCAATGGAACTCAGAGGAAGACAGGCGTCCCAACTGCAGCTGAGCTGAGACTCTTCCTGCCCACAGGCCTGGAGATCTCTCTGAATTCTCACAGTTCTTGGAACACAACGCAGTCTATCATCTTGCATTGTCACACATGGGCATATGGGTAACTCCTTGCTCCAGACTGCAAATGATTTGGAGGACAGGGCCAAGTATATACCATCTGTCCTTATACACTCCGAACTCAGCATAGCGGCTCGCACATTTAAGAAAAAATCACTGGATCGAAGTACTCGATTCCCCGATTAAGATGCACAAATGTACAATACCTCAACTAGCTATGACACTAAAGAGGCACTAAATAGTTTTCATGTAAAGCAACACCGACTTTGGCATTTCATTGCTCAATTCAGATAGAGAAGAAATCAAGCAAAAGTCTCTTGTATTTCCTCAGGTGGCTTTAAGATGTTTAAGGTTCAGATCCAAACACCCAAGCATATGCTGACTGATGATGAATGAATGAATGGATAAATGGATGGTTTGATATCAGCAAAGTAAGGCAAGTTTGCAAGCGATTTCAATCATTTTTTTCAAACCTAATCCCTAAATGAATTAAACCTTAAGCCCTAGAAATATCTGTGGATGGTGAAGAGAATATTATTGAAAAAAATGTAAGAGAGGATGGTTTTCAAGCCAGTTTAAGATTTGTCTGAGAAATTTTTGCTGTGAATTGGATGAATATTTCCATTTGAATAAAAACACATCATCCCCAGACATTACAGCATACATGTTGGACAATTTAAGACACAGGTCAAATTTTAATAAGTATTTTTATTTGGAAATAAGTCAGAGGTTGAAGATTAGTGATTTGGAATACATTGGGCCAAGTGAATTGTAGATACTGACTTTAAAAGATGACAGCGTATATAATTTTGAGAAAAAACTGATGTTTTGACAAGGTAAACAAAAGTCTAGTGAAGTCATTACCACACCAAAAAGTCTCTGTCTCAGAGACAGACACAATAAGATAAACTGGTTCTGGGCAATATTCTTGGCATGCTGTTTCCCTATTTGAGTTTTATGTCCCATTACCAATGCCCCAGATGCTCACTGAGAGTCCAGTTAGAGCATGACGAAGCAGGAACATTGAAATTAAAAAATGCAGTTATGTCATAAAAGTGAGAGGAGAGAAAAAAGAAACTGTCAAAAGGGAAGAAGAAGCTGTCAAAAGGGAGATAAAAGGCATTACCTGGCTGTGTGAAAACCTTATTTCCTACAGAGAGATGGGCCCATTGTAAGAGATAAGGAAATGAGATCTCTTTAAATCAAAAAGATTTATCCGTCCTCTTTTGATGCAAAGTAATGTTTCTGGAATGAAGCAAGAGGTGGGAGAAATTTTCCAGCTGTCTTCTTCCCATTCATGAATTCCATAACTGCCCCTCGTAGACCCTTAAATTCTCAAAGAGAGAGCTAAGAAAAAGATGATTTAAACGTTTCAAATTCAGAACATCAGGAGGTCTATGCAAGTAGAAGTCTTAAAAATTATACAATATGCAGATAAGAGGAAAATACCATCTATACTTTCCCTTTTCCTTTGGGAATCAGGTCAAGAATTTTCAGGTGATGCATTGACCTCACCCTCTAAGAAATGAGAACAATAATCAAAGGTTATTGCTCATTGGCAAAGTTAATTATTATCTCACAAAATTGAAAAACTGAGAATGAGATTCATTTTGGATTTTCACCCTCCAATATCAATCATCCAAGCAGTTAAAACATGCTATTGTCAGATACCACATAATTTAAATCATCTGATTTAACTTTTGAAATTTAGAAGCCTCCAATGGGATACACCTAATGAAGCATTTAATAAACTTAAAGTAATTGAGGATTTAGTTCCAAAGGATCTATGTCATCGGATAGCATCAAATCCTGAAACTCCTAAAGTTTACAAGGCAGAGACAGTAAATTCTGAAAAAGTGCTTAATCAAAATAACCACTTAAAATTGAGTAATGAGATCTTGGGAAATAAAAGCCCTTATCTCAGAAGCAGTCACTGTAATTAACATTCAGTGAATAACTATCTTAGTTAAGACTATTGGGGGAAATTTGACAAGTCCTCCAAACATAGATCAAGGGAAAATTGAATACCAGAACTGAAGAAGATCAGCCTTCACCCTGAATGGCCATGAAACATGAGCACCGCCTACGTGTAAGGTCGTCTCCTCATTGCTGATATTTCAATCTTATGTTCAATGGACTGCAACGCCCATTGCCAGGTAGAAGCTGTATTATGAAAGGAAGACAGGAAGTTCGAAGAACACGTTGTGCTTCCCTGGCAGAATAATCTTTGTTAAAGAATGTGAACATCAGTAATGTGCTAAGTTGCAGTTTGGCTGTGGTGGGGTGACATAAGAATGGGAGTCAGTAAACCTGTTTGAACCAAGTTACCTGTAACCTCTGAGATGATAATAAGGATTGCTTCCAGGCATTGGTATTCATACAATCTTTAAACTTCACAGACATGAAAGGCTTGTTCAAAATTTCTAAGGAGCATGGCCTGATGAAGCCAAGACTTGAATCTGATATGGCTGCCTCAAACCTGTGGTCTTTCTACCCTTACCCTGTCGAAGGTTTTGACAAGATAATATATGTGAAAGCACATAGTAGGTGCTCAATACATGGCAATAACGTGCTTCTTGCTTTCATCTTGCTTCTATAGAAAGTAATTCTGGGGATACTAGGGAAGGAAAGAGAGAGAACAGGAGAGAAAGGCTGTGGTTTTATCCATCTACGAAAACAGAGGAGGATCGACTATAGTTCAAACCCTGCAGGATACCATTTGCAAGTGTTCCCCTTCCTAATGATACACACATGGGCAGTGACAGCATGCCTTGATTAGGTTCTGAGTCTTCTGTCCTATGAAGAGGTCAGGTTTTTACAAGGAAGGCTGCAGAGCATTATCCTACAGAATGTGGGAAATACAGACATCCTGTACTCCATCCCGCTGTTGAATTGAGAATCCCCGTTTTCCACTGAAATTAAAAACAAACAGAACTCACTAGCTCTATAATGCAGCTCTTTAGAAAAGTGATTTGGGAATGGATTTTGGGTTGATTTCCCCCAGAAACTCTCAATTATTCCTTAGGGATAGTTAGGTGACTTGCAAATACACTAATCATCCATTCAGTGTTTCAGGATACTGAAACAACTAGCCTGTTAGCAGCTGAGAACACTGAGTTCCCCTGAATGCTTGATGCTCAAAGGAAAGACACCAGTGAATCTGGTATATTGAAACAGAATCATCGACTGGCCATTCTCTACAGATGTTTCCATGGAATTCATTATACATTTTTTACCAAATGAAAATGTACAAGAAAGAGTTCAAAAATTCATACTTTCCTTAAACAAATATGAAGTTTTCTGATTCTATTATTATCCTAACCAACTACTATTTATTAGAAGATCCTAAATAGGGAGAGGTAAAATCAAGTGCATTCAACATAATCCATAAAAACATGGTTATGGTTTTAAGATCAGAGGGAAAAGAAAGGAAAAATACATATGGTTAGGAATGTCCCACGTCACACAGAGAGAAGAGCATACAATGTCCTTCTGTTCCACTGCTTTCTAAATAAAGTAAACTGGTGGCTGACTTGGGCCATATCACTAGTGTGAGATTTCCTTCATATTTCTCTCTGGTCACTATTAGAGCAACATGCTTGCTATCCTTCTGTGCAGAAGGTAGTCATGTTTTTCCTAAGACAGTATTTCATTCAGTCATTAGCTTTACCAGCATCCATAATTTAACTATTTCATCCTTAGTTCATACTGGGAAGAATGAACATATGTCAAGCACATAGTGTTAACTTTTAGGACTATTTAAACTTTTTGTTAATCTTTCAGTTTTCCTTTAGTTTCTTCACCTTATTTATTTAGAGCAACTATTGAGAACATGTAAATTTATTTTTATTTATTTTTGTTCATTCACTACCTTCTTAACTTTATGCCAGTTCTCATTTATGAACCATTTTCTTTTACTTAAACATAATATTGTCTAAATTAACTTCTTAGTTATGAAAACCTAGATTGCATAAAGCTGAAATCCATTTGGCCAGATGGAAACTTGTGTATTTTATACATATCAGATAGAATTTACTATGTTGTTTTAAACTTGCAAATATTTACTCATCACTGTTTATATCAGACAGTCAGTACATATTGGCTCTGGCTAAAAACTTCCTTTAAGTGGAAGTAGCTTTACCGATATAAATGTGAGCTTCCATTGTTTACAGTATGAAGGCGACAAGGCACTCAATTGACATGTGCAGTTCTTTTTGACATGTTTTTTTCTTGATGTTTTCATTGGAACTTTCAAAATATTCTTTTATTTTCTGGACAAATCTGACTATCTGACTTGCAGGCAAAGCTCTTTCCAGGAAACGTTTTGAACAAGATTAGTTAGATTAAAAAACCCACTCTAGGTCAGTGTATTTTCCATGGTAGTGTCTGTTTCTCACCGTCAACATGATGTATCTCATAATTACCGTGACTTTCATTTGACTCATCTCAATTAACAAAATCATCCTCTAAAAAACCTTAAATTAGATGGAAAGTAGGAAGCAATGCATCTACTGACTTCCTCAGAGTCACACACTGAAGCAGATAGACTGGAGAAGGCAGCTCGGGCCGACAAGTGACACTCAGGACCACCACTCCCCACCTTGGGAATGTCACTGCTACTGGCAGGGAGAAGCCCCGGGCTGCTCATTAGGATTCAAGAAAGGCCAGTGCAATGTACGCAGTGGCTGAAGGCTGACATGCTGCCTCCAGGAGCAGCACTGGAAGGCACCTACCCCCTCCGCAGGACACGGAGCACTCAGAGCGCACGATGGCCCAAGTGTAGCTGGGCTGGGCAGGGGGCTGCTTCTCGGTCCCCAAGCGAGGCATGGAGTATTCCCAGGCAACACCCGGGTTCCTTCCCTGAAACAGCAGCTACAAAATAAGAAAGGGGAAAAAATAAAACAAATTAATGCAAAACCAGCAAGTACATGCTAACGGGATTTAGACTACTTAAAACAATAATCAATCAACAAGAAGTTTGTTATGATGATAAAATACATTCAGACTATCATCCAAACTTTACATAAAATTTCTGAACCCTCCCATCTAGATTCAAGCTCATCTAAAAAAATGTCTAGACTGTACCTTCTCCTTACAGTTAGTGTATGCCCGCATGTAAAACTTCAAACACTTTTGCAACTTAGAAAAAGCATTTCTAAGTTATCATTTTTTATTGATACATAACAGATACACATATTTTGGGGGTATATGTGATAATCTGATACATCCTAACAAAAGCATTTGGCTATCTCATTGGTGTTTCTTTGGGATCCCCTGCATCTGAGCAAATCCCTGCATCTGAGGGATCCCCTGCAAATCCCTGCATCTGAGCAAATCAGAAAGAGATACCTACAAAGCATCGTCATGCTTCCTGGTGAATTCAAATAACGCAGGACACTTCAACAGCAATAGGTATGATCCATGCCTGACCAAAGTTAAGTTAGAGCACTTTCTATGGGGAGAGATGAAGGGGACTTTTGCCTACGGGCAGGTACCCATTAAGTCCGCAGGAAAAGGTGTTTTATTAGTAAAGAAGATCACTGAGTCATAGTTTAGGGCATGGAATGGGTTTGGACTCTACATTTCCTAGCTTGAAACCCAATCATATGGACCAGCCACCATTTCTCTCATAAATGTATTAGATCCTTGAATCTTAGTTGGAAGACTTTTCTGGAAAACTCACCATAACCTGTTGACATAAATCCCATGCCTGCACCTGACAGGCATTGCATGCTGATATGATGCCCATGTAGAAAAAGATCCTCACCCTCCCCTGAGTGTCCTGGCCCCATGCTCCACCCTCTGCTTGATGACACAGCTCCAGTCTCAGTGGTGCTGATGTTGTGGGACAGGTATAAGCCCAGGACAGGGGGTTGCACTGCAAGGCCATTGAGATACTCTCCAGCCCTGACATTCTGAGGCTCTGCAACTCTTCTTCCGTGGAGAACAGTTTCCTAACAAGCCCCACTTATTTTCAACCCGGAGGCATCTTTCTCTCTGATTGTTAAAGCTAAAAGCCTTAGATGGTGGGAGACGTGATCAAGGAAAGATCATGGAAAGAATTCAAGATAAATTGATCAAGGAAAGAATTCAAGATAAATTTGTTTATAAAGGGATAGGATGAAAGAGTTCAGGGGCAGGACAGGAGATGGAAGTAGGACCTGTGGAGATGCAGCAGCTGCTCCATCTAAACCACACCCCGAATGCCTGGGGAGGCATCTCCCAGGAAGACGCAAGAGGATGGGATAGGGCGGCCTGTCCCAGGGAACAGGTGGGGGTATCCAGGTGGCTGTACCTCCACAGCAAGGTGTAGGTGGATGGGGCAACTTTTGAACCAAGAACCTTCTTTCAACTGTGCACAGAAACATAACAAGGTGGGGAGTTAGAACATCCACTGCCCACCACTGCCATCTGCACAGTCGCATGCGAGGATGGTGTTGTCAGAATCTGACTATATTTTGTGAGCCTCTGCATTCATGAGTAAACAGAACTGCTCGGTTCAGGGGGTGACCCCCGCACTGGACACTGGGTTGATGTGACTGCGGAGCTGTGGCCCGCCAAGGTCAATGCTGTGACACAGGTAGGTCATCACACAGCAAGGGGCTTCACCTCTGGGCTCTCCTCTCCTATTGCCACAGAACGCAGCAGAAATGCTGATCCCACCCCAGACACAGGCGAAGTCAGACCCCACCTCCCTCCCCCAAGAGTGGCCGCATCTCACAGCCATCGAGCTTACAGGACAGAAGAAGACTTCTGCAAACACCTACTGCTAAAACCCCCAAATGGGAACACAGGTGAGCACTTAAATACAAACGTAATCATACACCAAAAAGTGAATGATGATAAAAACAAGCCTGCTGCCTCATTCCGGCTATGGATGGATCACTCTTTTTATAACTGTTTACATTCTTCTTAAAATTATGCCAACAGCCATTAACTTACACAGACACCAGAACACCCCCAAAATCCAAGCCCCAAAATCAAGAGGCTGGACTTTACCTCCACAATCAGTGTCTCGTTGGTTGGTCCAGTAGCGATTAAGTTCTCGGGCTCATTATAGGACCGTCTGTAGTCGAAAGTAGTGCCCGAAAATTTGTACCGGCCGGGCCAGTCCACGGTCCAGTGCCCATTCAGGTAGTACCTTCTGAGGGCATTGCGCACAGAAATGTAGGAGGTAGAGACGTTCATTTCATAGATGCGGATACTCCGGGCTCCAGAAGGAATGGTGACCATGTGATAATACTCTAGATAAAGGAAATGGGGAAGATACAGCTTTTCATTCCAGAAAGCAGGGGCAAAATCTCTAAGCAACCCCAGTCCTCGGTAAACAAAACCTGAGAATCCACATTTGGAACTGGGTGAAGACGTGTTCTGGTGATCAGTTGCCTTAGAACTACACCCGGCTGCTTTTTATCAATTGGAGCAGAGCCCCTGTGATGGTCACTTTTCCTAAGAACAATTTTATTGCAAATAACTCAGCAACCACTTCCAATCAAAGCAAGAGGCTCGAGAAGCAAAGCGCCAGCTGAGGCAGGAAGCGAGGCAGCGGAAGGAAGTCCTGCTGTTTTCACTGTCACCTCAAGCTCTGCTAAGAAGCCCCAGTTACAATCTTCTTTGCCCAAGGCTTGCAGGCAGCTCTAAAGTACTCACGGTTGGTGTGGTGGTGCTTGGTGTAGAGACCCCTGTGAATCGTGCAGGCTGAGTTATTCCCGTTACACACCCCACAGACGTCTTCAACAGCATCAGATCCAAGGACATTGTCACATCCAACTCTCTGGAGGGCCCATGAGGTCACATGTCATTCATGAAAGAAAGGACAACACAGCAATACTGTCACCAATCTCATGCAAGAAACCTCCTCCCCACTAGAGTTGAAAATTTCACCAACATAGGGTAGTTAACAAATATTTATTGGATACCTAATATGTGCACAGCGGGGCTACAGTGTTACCCTTCAAAAATGTAGGAAGCTTTTAAACCGTGAACCGTAACCTGTCCTCTTTAGTATTGTTACACAAGTGGCCCCAAATTAAACCTGTAGGTTGTCATGTTGGAGCGATGGGTGAATTTCACACTGACCTAAAGGGCTTAGTACAATGACAAGCAATGTGTCTACACAAGGTTCTAACAAAATATGCCATTGTGGGCTTTAATTGTCTCATGCAATGACAGAGAAGGAGCAGATGACACACAGAAATTCTCCTCAGTAGTAATTACATAAAGGGCATGTTTATTCACTTCCTTAGAATTTTAGGAGCTCTTTAAAATTACTCTGATGTTTGTTTGTATTACACTTTCTAACAAAGAGAATAGGCTCTATATGTACAAAAAAAATCCATTCAGAAGCAAAATAACTACAATTCTTGGCTTGAAATCCATAGGGCCAGATGTATTTCACAACTTACAGTGTTTTTTAATTTTATAAAGGTAATAGATACTACCTTTCTAAAATTAAAATTTTAGACCTATGTCTAAAAGGTGACGTATGAAATGCATATGAGAATCCCACAAGGGCTTAGGGTGGCATCCCATAATTAACTAATTAATGTTTCTATAGTAAAACCCTACAGATTTACAGTAAGTGAGATAAATAAAACCAATCAGTAGTCTCACATCAGTTCAGGGCAGGCTTTGCCACCAAACAAATTCAGGTCCCCCACATTTTCACAGGTTTTTGGATTTCAGAGTTACAAATAAGGGATTATGACACTATATCATTAAGAATACCAAAATACAATAAAATAGTGAACACATCAATTAACAATTAGACAAAATTGAGGACTGTACAGCTGAGGTACAATGAAAGAGATCTTAATGGAATCATCCAGCCTAACCCTCATGTATTCAAAATGATTACACTAAGGATCTCAGTGGATGATTCAACTTTACCATGGTCAATAATTTAGGGGAAGCGAGAACTAGAAAAGATGTTTTTGGACTCCGTAGGATATGCAGATTGAAAAACTTCTTCATTTGAAACCCCATTGTCTACATGCAATGTGTTTGATCTGCTAACACCTTCACTTGGTTTATGATAACATTTTTTTCCACCCCTTCCCTCTGCCAATCAGGGTAAGGGTAACATCAGTCACTTAAGTTCCTTTAGCCACCAACACTTCCCCAGCTTGTCTCCTGCATCCCTGTCTGCCCGCCCTCCTCAGTGAAAGTGTAGCTGCTCTATGTTGCTGAGGCCTCTGTCCGAGCTGCGAAGTGGCCCAGGCTCTCACCCACCCCTGCTTCACTGACTCTCCACACTACTGCCCACAAACCGCAACCAAATCCTGTGGCTCCACTGTTCCCAGACTCAATGCCTGCTCTATCTACATGGACACAGGATAAAAATCCCAACTCCTTATCCAGCCTTGGAGTCGGCCTTGGAGACCCTCTTCTTACCCCAACCCTTCCCACAGCATCCCCCAGTCCCCCACTTTCCCTCTGGGCGTTCTGATGACTGAATCAGTGGCTAGCAACCCATGCATCTGGCACCACCACGTCCCCTCTCTATTTTCCTGACATCCCTCTTCCAACTCACCCTTTCAGATCTAGCTTGGATGTGGATGTTCCCTTCTCCTAGGAGCCCCACGAATGTCCCAGACCCATATCTAAGACAGAACGGGCCCCTCCCTCTCCTTATGCTCTGCACACACTTCCACTGCAGCAAAGCAGCATGTCATCAATGTGTTCTTCTGGCTTTCTCCCCACTGGGCTGCAACTTAGAGGGAAAGGCTTGTCTCATATGTCCAGTCTTTCTAGCCTCTACAGGATGCTTGACACAAAGCAGACTGTCCGGAATCATTTGTTGAATGAATGAAGGATCATGATTACCTCACATATCCCATCTATACAAACATTACGGCTATCCTCCGAGCATGGAGTCCCATCTTTGACTTTATTTGACAAAGAAAAGAAGAAATCAAATCCTTCTGCGATACAGTAGAGTTTGCATAAGTCCTGATCTTAAAAAGAAATACACACACAAACACAAATAAGAAAAATACTTAAGCTCTGATCATTTTTGCTCTGAATTTTAGATAGACTTTCTTTCTTCCCCCATAAAATAACTCCCACACAATAATACATTACAATGGCATTTTTAATGGTTGCCTCATTATGTTTTGTTTTGTTTCTTTAAATTTATTTATTGCTTCAATGTTAAATTTTACTCTACAGTGTCCTTTAAGACCTTTGATTTTTATACAGTGTTTGGCACATAGTAGGCATTCAATAAATATTTGTTGGCTACAACATTAATGCTTTACTATTTCACTAGTATCATTAACTACTATCTTGTAGAAATCCAAAAAAAAAAACTGCCATTTTGTAGTAACACACAAAATTCTTACAGATAAAATGTAATAAAAGAATCAAAAACATCACTGAATTTCTTAACGCATTTGGTAAAATACATAAAAATTAAACTAATAAAAGGAATAACTTAGATGAAGTCTCGAGAACAATGTTTTCCACAAATACAATAAACTGTTTTAAAATATTGGTACCTAGAGAAATAGGAAGTTTACTTCCTTCCTAAATAATCCATTTCAAGGTTTTTGGTTTATATTTAATATGAACTTTTTTTCAAACCATTTTGCCCCTTTTGTTCTCTTCTTGGTAAAAAAAAAAGGGGAGGGACAATTAATGATGAAAATTTCATCTGTCTTAGAAATTTTTATAGGCCTGAGACTCATCTACAGATATTTTCCTTATCATTCAAGATAAGAGGCCCAACTGAATAATTCTAAGAATCAAATTTAGTGTGTGCGTCCATGATTACTGTGTGCTTCCATGATTAATGAGCTTATTCACTGAAGATTGGCAGTCAGGAGGAATACACACACATTTTTGAACCACGGTTTCAAAGTTCATTCTACCTTTCTCTCCTCCCTAGTGGCCTGTATCATACTGGCTACATTTGTACAGATTTAGGAGTAAAGGGACAACCAAACATGCTTCCGGGAAATTGCTTGTAATTTCCTTTCAGAATTTTCTAACTGCATGAACCTGACACTGTGAAAACACTGTATGCACTGAGATGATGAATGGGAATGTCAGATGGGACGTCCCACTTATGTACATCCAAAGGGCTTCTGTCATTTTTTCGGGCAATGTTCCCAGTTTCAAGCAATGAGATGATTAGGTTTTCTTTGAATTTCTCCTTAATTATGCCACTTGAGCTACTGACTTTAAGTTATTTTAATCATGAAAACAACACTTATTTCTTTCCCACTGGGGAGTAAAGTCTTATACATGCCACAAATAAACTTCTTGGTGTATAGTTATAGATCAAGACTTTCTGAACATACTATGCTTCAAAATTGTTCCATTTTCTAAAATATACTGAAATTTCTTTTTCATTCTTTGACAATTATAAGTATTCAATGGGTAACTTGCTTATAGCAACAACTACTGTAATTCTTAATTCAAAAACATACTGATTCAATTTCCATGCAGGATCTACTTTGTGTTTTTTATCACTTCTTTGATGAGTTTCATTGTATTATGCACACGCTTTCTATCTGGTGTGTTGATTTCTGACCTCACCGCTGGTGAAGTTTAGATAAGAGGTCGTGATGGTGGGGCTGGCAAAATAAAACTAACCTCCAGAAGAGAATATGCGACCCTCACCTCCCAGAGCGACGTCTGGTTTATTTGTGCACCACACTCTCAATCATGTACTTCTTTAAAAAGTAAAGGTAGTAAAGCATGAGGCTATTACCCGAAAGCAGTTTGAGATTTACCTTCTACTTGAGTGTAAGGCTTCCACTTGTAGTGCCGCCCTCTGAATCGTCTGCTGTTGTGCTCGGCACACTGAGCAGCACGGAAGTCAACACTGTCCCGGGGACATTTCTGACTGTTGCAGAGCTTCAGAGTGCGAGTGGAGCCCTCACAGAACTTCCCTCCATGCGATGGCCTGGAATGTGTATTTTGAAGTTAGAATTTTTATATTTTAGTAGCTACTAAATTCTTTAAAATTAGGCTTATTGGAGAGATGAAGCTAAGAGTGTTAGAATGGGTAATTAGGAAAAAAGTGGATTCTTTTTTTTTTTTTTTTTTTGAGATGGAGTCTCGCTCTGTCACCCAGGCTGGAGTGTAGTAGTGTGATCTCGGCTCGCTGCAACCGCTGTCTCCTGGGTTCAAGTGATTCTCCTGCCTCAGCCTCTCGAGTAGCTGGGACTATAGGCACACGCCACCACACCCAGCTAATTTTTGTATTTTTAGTAAAGACGAGGTTTCACCATGTTGGCTAGGATGGTCTTGATCTCTTGACCCTGTTGTCCGTGCACCTCAACCTCCCAAAGTACTGGGATTACAGGTAGAAGCCACCACGCCCAGCTGGAAAAGTGGATTTCTAAGTGGTCTAGAACACATTCTTACACACGAATGGTAAGGTTGCACTCCCTTTTCTATTGAGTGAATCCTTTACAAGAGCAGCAGGGCAGGCTGGCCTGTCTTTGCTCCTCTCTGGGCCCAGTGCCTCTGCAGTGGTGAGGCAGGGTGGGCAGGGCTGTCCTCACCCTGCACAGGGAGGGGCTGATTGAGGAGGACCACACTTTCCCAGGATAGCACATTTGAGAGAATGTGGAACTCAGAGGGAAGTTCAATGACTTTGCTTTCAAGACCAAAATTTCTTTCCACCACCAGTCTTCTGGTGACAAGGCCAGGACCCAAAGACCAAGACTAAAGAACCAGTCACCTTTGCTGGTTGGCACTGACAGCTCACCCCAGAGAATTTGCATGTACACACTGGTAATGCGGGCAGCGCAAGGGGTACAGCGTGGCGTAGGGGGTGAGGTGAGCTCATGCTTTAAAGATGGGACTGAAACAACAAGCCAAGTGACACATCTTAAACAAGCTTAAGGGCAAAGGGAGATGTGAAAAACACCAGTCAGAATGGCTACTATTAAAATGCTAAAAGATAACAGGTGCTGGCGAGGTTATGGAGGAAAAGGAACACTTATACACTTTGGTAGGAGTGTAAGTTAATTCAACCATTGTGGAAGACAGTGTGGCAATTACTCAAAAACCTACAAAAAGAAATATCATTTGACCCAGCAATCCCATTACTGAGTATATATCCAAAGGAATATAAATCATTCTACCATAAAGACACACGCACATGAATGTTCATTGTGCAGCACCTTCACAATAGCGAAGACATGGAGTCAACCTAAACGCCCATCAATGTTAGACCAGATAATGAAAATGTGGTACATACACACCATGGAATACCATGCAGCCATAAAAAAGGAAGAGATCATGTTGTTTGCAGGAACATGGATGGAGCCTGGAGACCTTTATCCTTAATAAGCTAACGCAGGGACAGAAAACCAAATACCGCATGTTCTCACTTATAAGTGAGAGCTGAATGATGAGAACACATGGACATATAAAGGGAAACAATACACACTGTGGCCTGTTGGAAGGTGGAGGGTGGGAGGAAGGAGAGGACTGCAAAAAATAACTAATGAATACTAGGTTTAATACCTGGGCGATGAAATAATCTGCACAACACACACCCGTGACACAAGTTTGCTTATGTAACAAACCTATACTCTACCCCTGAACTTGAAATAAAAGTTAAATTTAAAAAATTAAAAATTAAAGCCTCTTCACTTCCGCACACTGGTGATGCTTCTCACATTCATTCTTACTTCTTACAGAAGCTGGCAGTTAAACCTCCTGTTGTGAAGGTAAATATATTTGATGGAAAACCCCCAAATTTGCTTTTTTCCACGTAAAACCATTGTTCTTACTGATCTTATTTATTTGTATTCTATACACTTTTCTTATGATTTATTTATTTGTTTTAAGCAGATCCTTGGTATGTCAAGTAAATGTGGTTAAAATTCAATTCCTGAATATCACTGTTGCTGCTGTTATTTTTTTGCTGTGGTCAGGTAGTTATAAGCATCTTAAGTTATAGCACAGAGAGGTAATTAAGAAATGCTTGAGTGAAATACCTTTCCTATTCAGTGCTTCTTACGATTATATGTACAGTACAGGCTTGCTATTAAGAGCTGAGGCCGGGCGCGATGGCTCATACCTGTAATCCCAGCACTTTGGGAGGTCACGGCGGGTGGATTACCTAAGGTCAGGAGTTCGAGACCAGCCTGACCAACATGGTAAAACCGTGTCTCTACTAGAAATACAAAAATTAGGAGGGCGTGGTGGTGGCACCTATAGTCCCAGCTACTTGGGAGGCTGAGGCAGGAGAATAGCTTGAATCCGGGAGGCGGAGGTTGCAGTGAGCCAAGATCACACCACTGCACTCCAGCCTGGGTGACAGAGCGAGACTCCATCTCAAAAAAAAAAAAAAAAAAAAAGAGCTGAGACACAGGCATACTGCTTGGAGGGTTCATGGCATGGAAATCAGTCGTTTGTGAGGAAGGAGGTCAAGGCATACTTACTTGGGGTTGGTGCAGAGGCGACTCCTATGAGATACTCCCCCTCCGCAGGTCCTGGAGCATGGGGACCAAGAAGACCAGTCCGACCAGTGGCCATGGGTGGGCTTGGGGCCTTCATCACCATATTTCACACACTGTCCTCCCCGGCACCACTAAAATTTTCAACATAAATAAGTTGACTTGACTCACACAGATGGATAGATGGGTTCATCTCATCACTGCTATAAGGCTGAGCAGTGGGGAATTTTGTAAACTATGCAGACATTAGCCTCCCCCTACACTCAAGCAGCACCTAATATAAATACAGTACATTCAATGTTGTTTTTTTTTTCCTTACCCAACCTAGCATCCTCCTATAAATTCACATACAGGGAAAATGAATAGAAAAATCATTTTCAAATGTCTGATCTCCCGGAAACTTGACACTTTTAATGAAGGAGTGTTATCTGAATACTTAGTCTGGCTGTTCAACTCCCAAGTCGGTGAACTCTGACCTGTCCTGAAAACAAGGTGCTTTTCACATCTCATGTTCAGAACAGAGAGAGTCTCAGGTAGGAAAGCACAGCTGGAGGCTCCACATGGCTCAACACCTTGTCATTTCAGGCCCATAGTCTGTGCTTTCCCCCCAAAGCACCTGGGCTCGGAGCCTTGGGACGATTAACTGATGCCATGTTAGAGGTCACGCAGCTTCCAGGGTGATGAAGCAATCCATGTGGAATTTCATCTGTCCCCACGAAGGCTGGAGATGCTATCTCTTCCCCTTTCTCCAGACAAGTGCTCATTCATTTTAATTCATGCTAAATTCCGCATGGCAAATTCACTGCACCACACATCAGTGCTATGCACTATTTAACACCGTGTCCAACAGCGGTGGTTCCCTGGGTGGTTTGGTATGAACTTCTAAGATTTTAAAGGTCCAGACTGTCCAGACTGTCTGTTGCGAGGAAGAAGGAAGATGTTTGTCTCTTGTCCTGGCCCCAGTGGAGTGAGAAGAGCTTGGTCTGTGGGCTGGGGAGACCTGAAGTCAAGTCCCTTTTTATCTCCAAGATTAGAGCCACTAGATTTGTACTGACAGAAAAAAAAAAAGGCTACTTTCATAGGAGGAAAGTAATACTTCTATTATTAGTTGAGGTATTAGGGTAACACATATCAAACTACTGATATCTGACCAGTGTTGGCACATACTATGGCAGTTCAAATGGCCCCATTTAATGCTATTTAAGTAAGAACAATTCCATTTAAAAACAAGAAATTCTGAAGAGTAAAGCCTCATCCATTCATTTCTTTTCTTTAAGCAAAACAACATCATCTCTTCCATCCCTGCCTGCCCTCCCACCCGGTGTAGAACAAAGTCCACTGTCTCAGGCTCAAGGAGAAGCCCATTGCCTGGAATAGGCTCCTGCTCTTGGACAGCATCCTACAGGTGTGGGGACAGGAGTGAGGTTGCACCGGTTGTCAGAGAGGAAGGAGATGCCAGGTGTGTGCTAGTTGTTGTCGTTTTCTTTTCCCCCCTTTTTAAAAACCATCTGGTCATAGCTTTCTAATGCAGGAGACATGAAACATAAAAATGGAATTTCAACAGGTTGAATAACTGAAAATATTTCTGGGAAAATCTCTCTTGGTTTGAAGATGAAGAACAGGATTCGAAGCCCCAGAATGAGGTCAGGTTAGTGGAAGACAGGAGCGCTGTCTCAAAAGCAAGGATGTTTATCAAAGAAGCACTGTTTTTACCAGGAATCTGTGAGCAAACTCAATGTGCATCATAACATCGTTGTTGATTTGCTGTTGTTACCTGGCAAAGTTCATAGACTCAGAAAGGCGTATTGACATGGTAATAGCTTTCACTGTTTTGTTTTTGTAAAAAGCTTATTTTTTAATGAAAGATTTAAAGATATACACAAGTAGAGGAAATAGTACAGGAGCCCTTGAAACCTGCAGTCCTGCCTCAACATTTAATAACTCACGTCCAGTCTCATTTCACATAAATGCTTGTCCACTTTCTCTCTCCCAACACTGACTCCCAGACTTGAAATCATTTCTTCGAAGCTCTTTCACTAAGGGTTCTCCAAATTAAGAACTTTAAAAAACATAACCACAACACCATTATCATACCTAGAAACCTACAATCATTCCTTAATATCATCAAATGTCTAGTGAGTATTCAAAATTCCAATTTGGTATTTTATTTTCTCTCAGTTAACATAGAATCACAATCAAAACACGGTTCGTTTATTGCATTCAGCTGACATGCTTCTCATGTCTCTCTCCACATTCAAACTCTCCCTTGACGTTCTGTTTTTCCTGAATTCACGTGATAAAATAATGGATCTGTTTGTTGGGAGTTTCCCATATTCTGGATCTTGCCAGCTCCATCTCTGTGGTGCCATTGAACACGTCCCCTGGGTTCTCTAGATCTGCTATAATCAGGCAATTGGATCTAAGGCATTGGTTAGGTTCAGAGTTGGATTTTTGGCAAGATTGCACCATTGATGGCTTCATGTATATGCACACAGAATGCCTGGTGAGGCCCAGAGCATTGGTGTTAGGATGCTTCAGTGTTCAGGGAATATAGGCTGACTTGCAAAGGTCCCCATCAGCTTCCCACCTAATACTTTTAGCAGCCATTAACAATCATTTCCCAGATCCTTTACATCTTTGAGTGTTGCAAGGCTAATGATATTCTAATTCTTTTTTCTTTTTCATGACTGGCTGGATTACTTCTTTTAAGAAAAAACAACCTTCACCAAATATCTCAGTACCCTGAGTTTGAGATCGTACAGGAAAACCACGATGCTTTTCTCTAAATGATAAAGAAAAATATGCTAATGTCATATGTTTCTTTTGGAAATGTTTCTTGAGTTTCCTCTTGACAGGAGCCAGGAATCTTTGGCAGGCTTCTAGCTTTCTGACTCAGCAAGGTATCCGAGGCTCATCTTGTACATTCCTTGTGTTGGGAACTGCTGCTTGGTGTTAAAAAAATCAACACTGAGACAAAGGATCTCTCAGCAAGGCTAGTTTACTTTCTGCAGAAAGGGTATACACGCCAGCAGTTTTGCCACCAGAGTACACCGAACAAAGGATACAAGGTCATTTATAACCTGACACATCCACCTTACTGCAGTGTCTGGTTTCCATTGACTGGAACGGAACCTAACGTTCTCTATTTATCCCAATTGGTTAGCAACTTAGAACTTCTTTTTTTTTTTTTTTTTTTTGAGACGGAGTCTCGCTCTGTCGCCCAGGCCGGACTGCGGACTGCAGTGGCGCAATCTCGGCTCACTGCAAGCTCCGCTTCCCGGGTTCATGCCATTCTCCTGCCTCAGCCTCCCGAGTAGCTGGGACTACAGGCGCCCGCCACCGCGCCCGGCTAATTTTTTGTATTTTTAGTAGAGACGGGGTTTCACCGTGTTAGCCAGGATGGTCTCGATCTCCTGACCTCGTGATCCACCCGCCTCGGCCTCCCAAAGTGCTGGGATTACAGGCGTGAGCCACCGCGCCCGGCCAACTTAGAACTTCTTAAAAGAGGCAAAGGCAGAGGAGAACAAAGGAAGGAAGAAGTAACTTGTGGAATGCTGACAAAGGTAAAAACACCTTCAAATAAGGAAGAGGAACAGGCTATGACCTAATGCTTGCTTGGACCAGTATAAGCATGCCAGGGCAAATATTCAGGCTAAAATGTGGGAGCTAAGAACACAAAGTACATTGATTTCTTTATTACGGCTAGCAGATATCTAAGAATGCTAGCACGGGTCTTGAATAAATTTTGCTTCTAAGGGAAGTTAGTATTTATTCCTAATTAGATGGGGAGAAAAGTCTCTTTGAAGAGGAACCTCTACTACACTGTTTACACTTGTTATAGGCCTGGAATCATCCATTTATACAAAAAGTTCTGGCTCCTTTTATTGAGAAAACTAGATTAAGAGGCTACAGCCTCTTAATCTGTTTGAAGGGTGGTTATTGTTACTGAGTTGGTAAATAGAGCTTTTGTGTGAGTGTATCTTTAAAAATTTTAATTTTAAAGAAAAAATACTTCATTAGTTCTTAGAAATGTATTAATTTTAAATTTAGGACTATAAATGTTACTTAGCTTCTTTGATTTTATATTTGTATCTCTTTTATATATTAAAAATCTTGGTTCTTAACAATATAAGCACAGTTAGTACTTCCTTTATCCTAGCAAAATAAATCCATCAATAATAACGTGATTACTGAAAACAGTTTAAAATTATTTGTAGCATCTTTTTTCTCCACTGAATCTATCCCACTTGGAATGTACAGTCTAATACTGGAGTTTAAAGTCTCTTGAAATAATTCTTCTGTTAGGATTCTGGTTAAGCTAACAACTTGATACATTCAAAATGTTTCATTCTGCCTTTGATGTTTAGGGATTATTTAACAGCATTTTAAGTTATCTAAAATATTTACAAGCTTTTTCAGCATTTAGGGTTTATCCTTTTTAATGTAAGCAAATAGCTATTGATTAGTATTTCCTTTTCTTTGATAAATGACAGCATATTACACAGAATTTTTTCCATCCTACGTTTCCACTTAACAATATGTTCTGTTCATCATTCCACAGAAGTATATAGACATGTCCCTCATCGCATTTTTACAGATACATAATATTCCATGGGGTGTTTATCCAACCAGTCCTCTACTGATGGACATTTGCATTATTTCCAGTCTTTTGCTGTGATAATGACTGTTGCAATTCCTTGTATTAGGCTGATGCAAAAGCAATTGCAGTTTTTGCAATCAAAAGTAATGGCAAAGGAAACACCAAAAGATGCATTTATTAAGACAGTGCAAAAGTAACTTTGGTTTTTACATCTTTTGTTATTTCTGTTAGAGTATCCTTAAATGATTTTCCTACTTTTAAAAAGTATTAAAACAAAAAAATTTTGAGAATCTGATGAGAAAGCACTGTATCTTCTGCTAAGGAGGTTGGGGGAAATATAAGTGCATGTAGAGACACACACACACACACACACACACACACACACACACACACACAGTATTAGATCTAATTTTAGGCACACAACAGACCGGTGGAGCCATCAGGTCAAAATTAAGAATGCTGTGTTAAATATATATATAGATTTCCACGGAAATACCAATTAGGTTTCTTAGGACTGACTTTATCACAGTTTTGTATTTTATTGACAGATACGATGACTTATGAAAAAGGCTTTATCTTAGAGAGTAAGATGCCGCAACACAGTCCCTACGCCTGTGGCGATTACTGTTCACAAAATAAGCACGTCACACCTAAACGCAGTAGATGCAGGGGAGCAGTGTATTAAAGCAGGAAAAAAAGCACTGAGTCATCAAATGGGCATCATAGATCTGCTCTGCGAGCTGCGTGACCTGGGGAAGGCACCCATGTGCTCTGAGCCCGGTGTCCTCTTCTGAAATTAGCGATGATAGAAACTACCAGAATGAGTTCAGAGGGAGGGTTCAATGTAAGGACTAGGCCAAGTGCCTAGCACTGGACCTGATAGAATCACACAGTGACAGCTGGTTTGATTTCACAAGAGAGGTCCCCAGTGACCGAAGAGCTAGAATCCATCAGATACGCATTTCAGCTGTGGTCCCCACCCCTTGCCCTGGATTTCTCCTGGGGTGACCACAGAGGAACCCAGGGTCTCTTTCCCAGAAGAACTCTGGAATGTCCAATGGGGACTGCACTAGGCTCACCTGTAGGGCTGTTTTGAGGATGAAATGTACTAAGCTTAGAATTTGGCATTAAAAATGAAATAAATATCAGTCTATGTTACCACCTTATGCAACCACTGTGGAGCCTCAGCAGCACCCTCAGTAGCAGAGAGAGGAGACGAGGTGCCATCAAGAAGAACAACAGTGGGATACTGACCGCTGGCCACACACACATCTAAACTGATAAACCTCAGGGGTACATGCAAACCAACGACACACAGACACACAACTAATATCAAAAGGGACTGTTTACGTGAGACTTGGATGTCTTATATGGTTTGGCTGTGTCCCTACCCAAATTTCATCTGAAATGTAGCTCCCACAGTTCCCATGTGTCACGGGAGGGACCTGGTAGGAGGTAATTGAATCATGGGGGCGGGTCTTTCCCATGCTGTTCTCATGACAGTGAATAAGTCTCATGGGATCTGATAGTTTTATACATGAGAGTTCCCCTACACAAGCTCCCTCTTGCCTGCCACCATGTAAGGTATGACTTTGCTTCTCCTTTGCCTTCCACCATGATTGCGAGGCCTCCCCAGTCATGTAGAACTGTGAGTCCATAAACCTCTTTCCTTTATAAATTATCCAGCCTCAGGTATATCTTTGTCAGCAGCCTGAGAAAATACAACGTATGAAAGGAAAATAAAATCTTGGACCTTCACACTCACTATACCAAAAGGAAAAGTTAAGCTTGAGAACTGAGTCGTGCAAAAACCGCCTCCCATTTTGATTCTAAATAGAGAGATGCGAAGATGGAAGGCCACGTGTCTCCATGGGTGGACTCCCTCACAAATTACTCACAAGGAAGTTCTTTGTGGGCCCCCAAATCTTTACCCTAAAACAGAGCTCTGTTGAATTTCGCCATGACCATGTGAATTAATGAATTAATTTCACCATGACCATGTGAATTAATGAATTAATTTCACCATGACCATGTGAATTAATTATCTTCACAGATACAGGGCAAAGACAAGACTAAAATTCATCTCTCCACTCACCCCAGGCAAATGCATATTTGCCTGCTTCCTCTACTCTATGTTTTCTTTATACTCACGAATCTTCAATCCTCCACTCACATGTAAAATGTGGATTCAGTGAGTGTTGACTGAAGCTTCCAAAGAATGCAACTGCTGGCCTTATTTGTCTACTCTCCCCTCTTTCTTCTTTCCTGCTTCCTTTGCTCCTCTTTCCTTTTTTTTTTTTGAAACCAAGTCTCCTTCTGTTGCCCAGGCTGGATTGCAGTGGCATGATCTCAGCTCACTGCAACCTCCGTCTCCGGGTTCAAGTTATTCTCCTGCCTCAGCCTCCCGAGCAGCTGGGACTACAGGCATGCGCCACAACGCCCAGCTAAGTTTTGTATCTTTAGTAGAGACAGGGTTTCACCGTGTTGGCCAGGATGGTCTCGATCTCTTGACCTCGTCGTGATCTGCCCACCTCAGCTTTCCAAAGTGCTGAGATTACAGTCGTGAGCCACTGCGCCCGGTCTCTTTCCTCTTTATATACTGAAGTCATTAAAGTCCTCTTTGGAAAGAGCAGGGATCACAGGTCCTCCTGTGATTTTTGTCCCGCCCCCTCCCAGAGCACATCCCCAACTTTGGAAAGGTAAACCTCTACATTCATTGAGATTTGCCTCAGTTATTTGCTTTGGCTTACAGAGTCCCACACTGGCCACTGAACAGCCAGGTGACCCTGGACAGAACTTTATTGCTTTGGACCATGGTTCAGCTGTGTAATTTTTAGGAACCTACTCTATCTCAGCATAGCCTTTTTGTTTTTTTTTGGTACAAAGGAAAAAGCTATATTTGAAATACAAGGGAAAATAATGTCAAATATCAATGGAAATCAATTTAATGGTGCCTTTGAGATAAATAAAATGTAACCAGAATGTACAGGTTATTGTGAAAAAGCATCACAACTACATTACCCAGGGAAAAGTAGCACCTGACCACACAGAAAGCAGGATGCCTGGAGGACCACCTTGTGTTTCATGCAGGCAATAGCTCAAAGGCAACATCAGAAAGGCTGTTGGTCTTTTAAGAAACAGGCATAATTTTGCAAATGATCACCTGAATAATCCATTTTAATCAATGACAGCAGAAAAGTCATGATTATCTGCAGCTTAACACTCAAGTAAATTACCTGATGTCCTTTGACAATTAGAATTTCCATGCCATATCTCATTATACTCATTTTCTTTCAAGAAACTGAAAGCAGTTGGCCGGATGTGGTGGCTCACACCTGTAATCCCAGCACTTTGGGAGGCTCAGGCAGGTGGATCACGAGGTCAAGGGGTTTGAGACCAGCCTGACCAACATGGTGAAACCCCGTCTCTACTAAAAATACAAAAATTAGCTGGGTGTGGTGGCGGGCGCCTATAATCCCAGCTACTCAGGAGGCTGAGGCAGGAGAATTGCTTGAACCTGGGAGGCGGAGGTTGCAGTTAGCTGAGATCGCACCACTGCACTCCAACCTGGGTGACAGAGCAAGACTCTGTCTCAAAAAACAGAAAAGAAACTGAAAGCATTGCTATTACCATTACATATTATGGATTAAATCAACTGGATCACTGGATCACTAGTAGAATTCAATGAATTAGAAGAATTCAATGATCAATTTCACGCCCTTCGAGGAACTGAAAAAAAAAGCATATTAGCAATGTGTCCAGAATGAATGGTGGCTGGGGGCTATTCTCAATAAGTTTATCTTATTTCTGTTCATTTCTTCAGTTGGCACTGCAATAATTTAACCTGAAAACGTGTGTTAGCATTGTTGTTAACATTTTAAAACCTTTCTGTCTGTAGTCACATTCGAATATGTATAAGATGTGATATATTTTCTTTGGTATTTAAACATAATAGAACAATGATATTTAGGCATGTTCAAACACCATACTAGATCAATGCCTAAATATCATTTCATATTCACTAATGCCACTAAAAACTCAGATACATAAAAAGCAAAAATAGTTATAGTGATAATGTGGGTCCAGGATCTATCTTTATTAATAGTCTTTTATATTTAAAAAATGTAATTATAAGTTAAATCAAAAGAATTAAAATATTAGTATGGAGTATTATAATTTTTTAAAGTTTTAATAATGAAATTGTCATTCTTTACCATTTAGTAATAAACTTGTTATCTTGTATATTTCTTTTTTTTCCGACTTTTGTTTTAGGTTCAGGGGTACATGTGCAGATTTGTTACATGGGTAGATTACGTGTCACTAAAGTTTGGCATTCGAATAACCTCATCACCCATGCAGCAAGCACAATATGGGATAGTGTTTCAACCCTTGCCCCCTCCCACCATCCCCCCTTAAGTAGTCCCCGGGGTCTATGGTTCCCATCTTTGTGTCCATGTGTACTCAGTGTTTAGCTCCTGCTTATAAGTAACAACATGCAGTATTTGGTTTTCTGTTCCTGCATTAGTTTGCCTAGGATAATGAATGGCCTCCAACTACGTCCACATTGCTGCAACATCTTGTATACTTCTTCTTTTCTCTACCATAGCTCTCTCTCTTCTCACAGAGGCAACAATAGGTGAAAATGATGTGCTCCAGGGTCTTCAAACCGATGTTCTGTGGCTTTCACAGCACTGTTTAATGCTGGTCCTTTCCATGATAAATGGTGGTCAATGGCTTAATGTTTCCCCTCAATAGACTGAATCTGTCATCACCTGTTGTCTGATTTCTATGTCTATGAATTCCAGGTAGCTCATCAATTTTATTTTCACAAAAGTGAGAAAAGGATTCCTCTTCACATTATCAATATAAAATAAACACAGTGTTTGATAGGAGCATGGGTATGCATATGTATATGAGAAATACATGTTTTAAAAATACCTATGCAAGAGGAGCAAAGATGCATGGGTTGAAAGACTAGCATCTGAATACGATGCTGTACCTACAGTTAGCTTCTTACCATGTCATGCCCACAAATTGTGCCTTCTGCTGCTGGCATAAATTTAGTCTCACATTTCCTTCCAATACGATGGCACCACAGGGCTTTACAGATGTCCTAAAGAAATTTTGTAAAAGGTCATTAGGATTACATCATATTGTCAATTCATCTATAATAAAAATATCACTGAGAGATTTAAGGTGAAAACAACAGATATAATTTACAAGCGAATGCCTACTTAGCAATATGATAGCATATAATAGAGTAAGGTGTAAGGAGACTCATGCTCTAGACTTGGTTCAAATTAATTCCATCTCTTATACTTTATTTGTTTTATTTATATATTATCTTTTTAACAAAATTATATTTTCTAAATTAAAATGTAAAATATGCTTAATTCAGACATTGCAGAAAACTATAAAAAGTTAAAATAAAAAAACTAAACTTAATATTTCATAATGTATCCTTCTCAACCCCACCTTCCTGAATCTGTCCAAGTCTGAATTCTTATTTTTAAATTAAGGATGTTTAGGATGCTTGTTCACTTGTCCATCCATCCATCCATCCATCCATCCATCCATCCATCCATTTAACCATGCATCCACCATCCCCAAATCTGTGATTAAGGCTTAAAATATGTGAGGCATCTTGCCAGGCAAGAGGTTCCATTGTGAACATGACCTTCTTTGCCTCTTGGTCTTCATAGGGTAAAGAAGGAATTTGCTGTAAATCACCATTTGGCGCATACAGAAAGAGATGCCCCAATGAAAAAGATTTGTAAACTATAAAAGACTCTCCGAGTGCAAGGAATTGTTTTTACTGAGTCCAAAGGAATGTCTCAATGAAGGGCAAACAGTAGGACTTGTGAAATGATGGAACCTTCTGGAATGCTGGCGGTAGACTCAACTGGACATGCTGAAAACATTTCTTAAATTGTCTGCACAAGTGTTCAGAACATTTAAACAAGTGCTGCATTATTCCCCCAAGAAATTAAATGGATGCATCTACTGGGTGATTCATGTCATGAAGAAAATGCAAGGCAGTGAAACACATCGACGTAGTGCAGCTGGGAAGATGGCATTTTGCTGCCTGGTGATCTCACTCCATATTTCCACCATGTTAAAGGAAGGTTTTCTGCATTGTGTGAGTCATCTCATGAAGGGTTTTAACACCAGTTCTTAAATCTCCTGCATGTATTTCATTATATACTTAGAAGTTAAGGTGCTTATTAAAGACACAGCTTCGTATTTTCCCTGGCTATATCTCCTTCACTAATAAACCAGATTTTGGAGCTTGAAATGTTAACAAGTAAACGTTCAGTGTTTTAATTCAGATATCAATTGCTTTCATATTGCGCTGTGGTTTAAAATCTCATATGGTTACAATCACTGTGCAATGAAATGTCATGATCTTTCGAGTCCCCTGGGATCCTCGCCATTGTGATAAGTGTGTTGTGTTAATGGCCAGGGCTTTGCCTGGCTGAGGTCTTTGTCAGCAGGGAACAAACAGTGATGCTCCTATGGCTGCTCCCATGAAGACTGCTGCGAGCACCCGGGTATGTTCTCTTTCAGACAGGCTTTAATTACGTTCATTACTATATGGTGTCAGGGGCCTCTGTTCTTGGCCAGAACGGAGTTTAGAGATTAAAAAAAATGTATGCAGAACCCAAGGAACCCATGAATTCAAGGGTCCTGAATGTAATTCTCCAAACAGACAACTGGCCAGCTCTATTTGCTTGCAGGAATGACAACTTGATAGAATGCCAGGATAAAAATAAACTCCCTTAAAACCACAGCCTGTGCACACCGGCTCGATGTCTGGGTGGCAATATGATAGGTCAGAACGGGAGACTAGGGAGAGAGATTGAGCAGCCCCTGGGCGGCTCACAGAGGCCTCCTGGACCGATGGGGCGTAGAGACCTCCTGCTTCAGGAGGCTGAGCATGCATACCTAAGGAATGAATGAATGAGTGTGAAAGCAGATTCCTTCATACTGAATGAATGAGGGTGAAAGCAGAAGCTGCTTGTGTGGTTGGGTGATCTGGGAGATGGCCACAATGGTCCAGTAGAGTTTGGGATTCCCAGGTAGATAAGCAGCTCCAGGGTGAATTTTGCAAGCAGATGTGGGCAGGCAGGACCCCTGAGTCCTCACTGTGCACATGAGGACAGCAACGTCTAATCGTGGACTTGTCCTGGGGACTAAATGCAGTGGTTATAGGTAATGTGTTCAGCTCAGGGCCTGGCACCTGAAGTAAAGGCACTAGGGCACTGCACCTTTCCTTTCTCGCTTAAGGGCTTGAGGAGACAATGGCACAGGTCTCCGTCTGCGTTCAGGGCTCTGCCGTGTGGCTGCTGTGATCTTAGGGATCTAGGGTCCTAATTCACAGGGCTGTTTCTAAGGCTACTCAAAATAATACAAGGTAAAGTGTGTTTTAAAATGTTAAATTATTGGCCGGGCGCGGTGGCTCACACCTGTAATCCCAGCACTTTGGGAGGCCGAGGCGGGCGGATCACGAGGTCAGGAGATCGAGATCATCCTGGCTAACACAGTGAAACCCGTCTCTACTAAAAATATAAAAAATTAGCCAGGCGTGGTGGCGGGTGCCTGTAGTCCCAGCTACTCGGGAGGCTGAGTCAGGAGAATGGCGTGAACCTGGAAGTTAGAGGTCGCAGTGAGCCGAGATGGCACCACTGTACTCTAGACTGGGTGACAGAGTGAGACTCCATCTCAAAAAAAAAAAAAAAAAAAAAGTTAAATTATTTTACTATGTTCCTTATCATTATCTGGTACAGTGCTTGCTACTCGTCTTTCAATAAATGCTTTCTGGGCACATGGAACATGTAGTCATTTGCTCCTGTGAAAACCAGTGACAGAGGACCAGGAAAGCTTTACGTACAATAACATTAGCAAGAATCAGGAAATCGTGATCATAAAAAGCCAAAGATGACTTAAGATGACCATGATTCAGACTACCATTCAGAGTAACTTCAGAATATTCTTAGGTTTTAGTTTTGGGGAGCATTTTGCAGAATAAATACTGATGATGATATTGTTAAAGGTTTGGGCTTTCAACTTTTTAAAGTATAAAGCCTTCAAATATAGGATGCTGGTGACAGCTCACTGCCAAGTCATGTGGCTCTCTAATTCAGTCTGTGATTCGGCTCATGCCATCTGTGTTTTTCAGCCTCATTTTGGGACCTGCTCAATCCCCAACTCCAGTCCTCAAGGCTGGAATAAATCACAAAGTTAGAAGAAACTGACGATCATATAACCCACGGTATTGTCTTTCAACACTTAAAACATAATTTGGGACCTTGGTATCCTGTAGATGTACTTGTCTGCCATTTAATAAACATGACACTCTGTCCCATACAAACGAATAAAAACTATAGTGTCTTAAAGAGTTGCGATGACAAAATAAAAATATTGTACATTCTCATTCACACGTGGAAGTGAAAAAATGGATTTTGTAGTGGTGGAATGATAGTTACCGGAGGCTGAGAAGTGTAGTGGAGGGGGATGGGAGGAATAAAGAGGAGTTGGTTAATGGGTTCAAAAATACAGTTAGATAAAAGGAATAACACCTAATGTTTAGTAGGGCCATAGGGTGACGATAGTTAACAACAATTTATTGTATATTTCAAGATAACTAGAAGAGTGTGATGTTCTTTACACAAATAAATGATGAACATTTAAGGTGAAGGATATCCCAGTTTCTCTGCTTTGAATATTACACATTGTACGCCTGTATTGATATGGGAGGGGGCAGGGAGTTGCTGAGTAGAGAAGGGGGGGTCCCTGGAGAGGGCTCCACACTCAGGCCTGTACCACAGACCTAAGTGAGAACAGACACTCCTGTTTTCATGCCCAAATGTCGCATTTTCCAAGACTACTCTGGCCTGCCACGCCCCCGATCCTGTGCCCGTGGAAACCTGAGACCTTAATGGGCACACACAGTGGCTGAACGTGGTCAAGAGAAGCAGAGGAACAGACCAGCAGACACCAGCAGACCGGCAGACCAGTGACGGTGGAAAGATGAATGACGTGGCAGAGGAAGAGAGGAGGGATGTCTGGATGCTAAGGGGAATTCAGCTGGGGGCAGCCAGAGAAGGGTCTGGCCACTGGGCAGCCTGACTCCAGGGGAAGACCACCTTCCCACTCCATCCTGCTCTTCTGATTCCCCATCCACCTTGCTGAGAGCCACCTCCACTACTCAATAAAACCTCGCACTCATCTTTGAGGCCACAGGGGTGACCCAGTTTTTCCAGTACACTGGGAAAGAGCTTAGGATACAGAAAGCTGTCACACTGGCCCTCTGCCCTTGGAATAAGGCACAGGGTCTATTGAACTGGTTAACACAAGCCATCCACAGATGGAGAAGCTGAAGGAGCACACCGTAACACATGCTCACTTGGGCTTTGGGAGTTGCAGACACCCACTCCTAGAGGCTGCCGTGGGGCCGGAGCCCAAGAGTGCTCCCCACAGTCTCTGTACCTGCCTGTCTGCGTGCTCCCACTAGGGGTTTGAGCAGAGGGGTGACAGAAGGAGCGAGCCACACCCCTGTCTCATGTCCTGCAAGGGGGAAAATGGAACTCTTCTGTTTCAGTATCGATGTATTACAAGCACCCCATAAATATGTGCAACCATTCTGTATCCATAAACATTAAATAGAAAAAGTTAAAAAAAGAAAAGTAAACTACAAATGAGCAGCCAAAAACCAATTGTCCTGTCCAACTTTATCACTTTGACTTAACTGCTAACTTTATGGTACATAACATACCATGGTTTTATTAAAGCACTATTGTTGTAGGTCATTATATCCTTAATGAAACTTCAGAGTCTTCTTGGAACAAAGATCCTATTAAATCACGGTTCTAGAGTCCAGGCAGTTGGAATGTAAGACTTGCTGGGTTTTGGGGTTACTCCCAATTTAACAACAGTACCTAGGATGCTGAGGTGATCAAATTTCAAAGCAATTCTGGCGGCTTATGTTTCAGATTGCAGGGTCAGGCCACCAAAGCAATGATGATAAAGCATGATAGGTACACGATGAAGACAAAATGTTTTTAATAACAAATACCTAACTTGGGCAGAAAAGAGTCAAAACCTACGCAGAGTATTTACTCTTGCTTTATCTTTGTAGCTAAGGTATACTATCTTTAATGAAGCCTCTCTCTTTTTATTCTAGTCCATAATTTAAGAGTTATGTTCACAAAAACCAATTTCAGTAATACCAACTTGGTTAAGGTTTAACACCACAACATAACACCCCAGGTAAAACCAACATTTTCAGATGGCTGGGCTGAAACTGCATTGTGGTGCTTCAATATTGTGAATGGCACACTACCAGATTCACTTCCTCAAATTGTCTGTACTACACTCTTCAACTTGAGTCGGATTACAGACTCAAACCTAAGACCTGAAACTATAAAAATTCTAGAAGATAACATTGGACAAACCCTTCTAGACACTGGCTTAGAAAAGAATTTCATGACCTGTTCACTCTGATGGTAGTTTCTTTTGCTGTGCAGAAGCTCTTTAGTTTAATTAGATCCCATTTGTCAATTTTGTCTTTTGTTGCCATTGCTTTTGGTGTTTTAGACATGAAGTCCTTGCCCATGCCTATGTCCTGAATGGTAATGCCTAGGTTTTCTTCTAGGGTTTTTATGGTTTTAGGTCTAATGTTTAAGTCTTTAATCCATCTTGAATTGATTTTTGTATAAGGTGTAAGGAAGGGATCCAGTTTCAGCTTTCTACATATGGCTAGCCAGTTTTCCCAGCACCATTTATTAAATAGGGAATCCTTTCCCCATTGCTTGTTTTTCTCAGTTTGTCAAAGTATGTTTATTGCGGCATTATTCACAATAGCAAAGACTTGGAACCAACCCAAATGTCCAACAATGATAGACTGGATTAAGAATATGTGGCACATATACACCATGGAATACTATGCAGCCATAAAAAATGATGAGTTCATGTCCTTTGTAGGGACATGGATGAAATTGGAAATCGTCATTCTCAGTAAACTATCGCAAGAACAAAAAACCAAACACCGCATATTCTCACTCATAGGTGGGAATTGAACAATGAGATCACATGGACACAGGAAGGGGAATATCACACTCTGGGGACGGTTGTGGGGTGGGGGGAGGGGGGAGGGATAGCATCGGGAGATATACCTAATGCTAGATGACGAGTTAGTGGGTGCAGCGCACCAGCATGGCACATGTATACATATGTAACTAACCTGCACAATGTGCACATGTACCCTAAAACTTAAAGTATAATAAAAAAAAATAGAAAAAAAAAAAGAATTTCATGACCAAGAACCCAAAAGCAAATGCAATAAAAACAAAGATAAATAGCTGGGACCTAATTAAACTAAAGAGCTTTCACGTGGCAAAAGAAACAGTCAGCAGAGTAAACAGACAATCCACAGTGTGAGAGAAAATCTTAACAATCTATACGTCTGACAAAAGACTAATATCCAGGATCTACAATGAACTCAAACAAATCAGTAAGAAAAAAAAAATGGGCTAAGGACATGAATAGACAATTCTCAAAAGAAGATATACAAATGGCCAACAAACATATGAAAAACTGCTCAACATCACTAATGATCAGGGAAATGCAAATCAAAATCACAATGCAATACCACTTACTCCTGCAAGAATGGCCATAACTAAAAAATCAAAAAACAGTAGATGTTTGTGTGTGGATGTGGTAAACAGGGAACGCTTCTACACTGCTGGTGGGAATGTAAACCAGTAAAGCCACTATGGAAAAAAGTGTGGAGATTCCTTAAAGAACTAAAAGTAGAACTACCATTTGATCCAGCAATCCCACTACTGGGTATCTACCCAGAGGAAAATAAGTCATTATTCAAAAAAGATACTTGCACATACATGTTTATAGCAGCACAATTTACAATTGCAAAATTGTGAAACCAACCCAAATGCCCATCAATCAACAAGTGGACAAAGAAACTGTGATATATATATATATATATATATATATATATATATATATATATATACACATACACACCACATATATATATATATACACACCACATATATATACCACATATATATACCACACATATATATACCACACATATATATACCATATATATATACCACATACATATATATACACCACATATATATATATACCACATATATATATACCACATATATATATATATATGTAATGGAATACTACTCAGCCATAAAAAGGAATCAATTAACAGCATTTGCAGTGAGCGATGAGACTGGAGACTATTATTCCAAGTGAAGTAGCTCAGGAATGGAAAATCAAATATTGTATGTTCTCACTGATATATGGGAGCAAAGCTATGAGAACACAAAGGCCTAAGAATGATACAATGAACTTTGGGGACTGAAGAGAGGGAGGGGGCCGAGGGATAAAAGGCTACAAATATGGTGCAGTGTATACTGCTTGGGTGATGGGTACACCAAAATCTCACAAATCACCACTAAAGAACTTACTCATGTCACCAAATACCACCTGTACCCCAATGACTTATGGAAAAAAAGAATGCAGTTACAATTGATGTTACAGTCAGATATACAGGGCATTGTCATTATTTATTCTTCAAGCAGTGAGATGCTTTTATCACTAATCCTGATTATCACTCTACATCAGTGACAGAAAAAGCCATTGTCATATATGTGTCACATATTATACATAAGTATGTAAACATACATACACATCAAATATACATTCACATATACAAAAAAAGGATGCATATGCATTTACATTGTCTATTCACTTTTCAAAGGAAATAATGTTAGCTATTTAAAAGAGATTCATCCCTTCCTAAAATATCATCCATCCATCATCTAGATTAGCATATTTCTGAGTGACTCTACTGTGCCCAGGGCTGGTCTGGGCACTGGGCCATTTGCTTCTTATTGTTATTTCTTGTTTTATATCCTCCCATTAAGAAACTTCCTGATCTCTACATTTCATCTGAACAAAATAGGCCCTTTTAAATAAAAATTGAGCAGGTGTTCATTAAAAAAAATAAGTTTTATAGTTTAAATTGTTCTGAGATGTTTCAATTCACATAGAAAATTTTTAAAAATCTCTAATTGCCACACCATATGTAATTTTGAGATTTGGTGTCTGAGAGATACTGGCCACACAAATAGCTTCTAATTTTTAAAAGAAAATACAAAGCTGGGTGCGGTGGCTCACAGCTGTAATCCCAGCACTTTGGGAGGCCAAGGCAGGCGGATTGCTTGAGGTCAGGAATTCCAGACTAGCCTGGCCAACATGGTGAAACACTGTCTCAACAAAAAATACAAAAAATTAGCCAGGCATGGTGGCATGCACCTGTAACCCTAGCTACTCAGCATGAGAATTGCTTGAGCCTGGGAGGGAGAGGTTCCAGTAAGCTGAGAGCTGGGATGGTGCTACTACACTCCAACCTGGGCGATAGAGCAAGACTCCATCAAAACATAAATAAGTAAATAAAAGAAAAAAGAAAATACATAAAGTTTGTGTTAAAGAACAATTTTATATATCATAAGGAATGATCTGACATTATGTGATTTTAATAGATGTACTGTTTTTTCAATTTTAAAAGATACTTTACTTCTCCCACCGTCCACTATGAAGTAACTGGTATCAAATTCACTTTTCTGCAAAACAAAACAAAACTGCCACAAAACTATGAAGTTATATACACCACATATATGGACCAATTGTTTCAGGTCTTGACAATAGTCAACACAGTACTGTGATGCTCGAGAGAAGGAAAACATGCAAGGAGAATGAACGCCGCATTTGCCCACCTCTCTGCCTGGGAGCACTTTGCAGACCCCGCTGTTGGGAGGTGGATACCAGGTGGATGATAGCAGTCTCACTGACTGGAGGATGCAGAGGTCAGAGTAGAGGCCTGTTCAGCAGCTAGTTGAGAGTCAGCTCATATAGAAAAAAGTTGCATTGGGCTGGGGGCCCCAGGTGTCTGTCTTAGGTTTTGCTGCAGGTCCTAACGGTAAGGGGTGAGCAGCTGCCACATAGGAGATTCCAGGTGTCCTAGCAGAGGACCACAGCTGCAGGCTGAAAGCTGATGAGGGCTTCAAGACAGAGGATGCATAGGGCTGGGAGAAACTAGAGTTTTGGCTCACACAGAGTAGAGAGACCTCAATGAGCATCCTGGGCATTCAGTGGAAAGCCCAGAAGTCCATGCCTCATGGGGAAGAACCACACACGAGAGTACCGGCTACACCACAGGGCCCAGAGAAAACTGAAAGCGATGAGCCCTAATGAAGAATAAAGCAAAGTCTTCGGGGATCAAAAGGACTCACCTTATATGTAATAACATAATATAATAGAAGTATCTATAACATAAAATAATATACTATTCAAGGAAAAGTAGAGATAAATGAATAAATGGGAAAATGCAGAAGATAAACAGAAACTATAAAAAATGGAATTCTGGAACTAAAACTTACAATAAGCCAAAGGTATATTTCACTGATTTATCCAAACACTTTTCATCTTCAAAACTGAGGATGAATTCATGACATTTTCAGATAAAGAAAATTGGAGATAATTTGTGGCTAGCAGATACGTGCTAGAATAAATGCTAAAGGAAGTTCTTTAGGCCTTAGGGAAATGATACCACTTTGAAACAGACCTATAGGAAAACATAGATACTAAACAATAAATATAAAAGATGGTTTAATTTCTTGTCTTATTTAAAAGCAGCTATTTTTAAACAAAAACTACAACATTGCATTTTGTTGCATTTAATTTGCAGAGAAATGAAATATATGTCAATGATAGTGCAAGGAAGAGGGATGCATGGATTTATTTGTTGTAAGGACCTTGCATTTTGCACGAAGTGGGCACAAAGTTAATTCTACATAGACTCTAAATTAGGGATGCATGCGGTAATCTCTAAAGCAACCACTATCAATTAACATAAGGAAGTACAGTTAAAAAGCAAGTCAAGGTAAAATACTGAATTTAAAAAATAGTTTAATCTAAAAGAAGGCAGAAGAAAGGGAACAGAGAAACAAAATAGAAATGAGACTAATAGAAAACAAATAGTAAAACAGTAGATTGAAATCTACTATATAATTTTTACATTCAATATAAATAGACTAAACATGCTGGTAAAAGGTCAGAGTTTGTTTCAATGAACAGAAAAGCAATACTAGGCAAAAGGATGTTTACAGCAGACACATTTTATATAAACACACACATAAATTGAAAGCAAAAGAATGGAAAAAGTGATCATGCAAAGAGCAATCCTAAGTGAGCTGATGTGGCTATATTAGTATCAAATAAGTAGAAATCAAGCAAAGTAATATTACCCAACAATAAAGGAGGGTATTTTACAACGAGAAAAGAGTCAGAAGACATAGCCATCCTAAATGTATGTGCACCGAATTATGAAGCTTCAGAATATATAAAACAGAAATTATCATGATGTCAGATCGAGACCATCCTGGCTAACATGGTGAAACCCCGTCTCTACTAAAAATACAAAAAAATTAGCCAGGCGTGGTTGTGGGCACCTGTAGTCCCAGCTACTCCGGAGGCTGAGGCAGGAGAATGGCGTGAACCCGGGAGGCAGAGCTTGCAGTGAGCCAAGATCGTGCCACTGCACTCCAGCCTGGGTGACAGAGCAAGACTCCATCTCAAAAAAAAAAACAAAACAAAACAAAACAAAAAAAACCCCAGAAACTAATAGTACTAACATGAGAAATAGAAACATACGTAATAATTGCTGGAGATTTTAACACTCATCTTTGTAAAACTGGTGGAACAAGTAGGAAATATGATGGATGATGCAGAAGATGTAAGAAATATTATTTAAAAAACAGTTATTTCTTGAATATTCTACCCAACCACTGCAGAATTTATATTCATGTCAAGTCTCCACAGAATGTTCACCAAGACAGATCATAGGCTAAGCTATGAAATATGTGTCAATACATTTCAAAAGTACATGTAGAGTATATTCTCTGAACAAAATTATGAAATTAGAAATCAAAACTAATAAGTTATCTGGAGAATTATTTGGCAATTAAATAATATTTAATATATTTCTACGTAATATGTTGGTTAATGAAATTACCAGTTAAATTAGAAAATATTTTTGCTTAATAATATTAAAAACCCAGTATGTAAACATTTTCAGGATACAGCTAATGTGCTTAGAAAGACATTAATAGCTCTAAATATATTAAATGGTTATATTAGGAAAATAAGAAAGGTTTAAAGTCAATGATTCAAGCTGCTACTTCAAAGGGCACGAAAAAGACAGGCATACTAGCCTTGGAATATAATAAAGACAAGACAGAACTTAGTGAAATAGAAAAGAATCCAACAAACAAATTTTACAAATTAACATTAAGCCCAATATTGATGCTTTTGAAAGGATTAATATGATAAACTCCTAACTAGACTGATAAGAAAAAAAGATTTAAAAATACATATTATCATTATGAGGAATGAAAGGGGATATATCATTATAGATCTTACAGTAATTAAAGGAATTCATAACCATTCATTGAAAAAATATCTCCTTTAGTGTCACTTTTAATGATTTCTTTACTTTTTCCAATGAAATTGATCAGTCTAGTTAGGAGTGTCTTCTGAATAACCCTTTATCTATTAGTGTAGTTGAATCAGTAATTACAAAAACCTTTCCATAGACAGAGCTCACTGGTGAATTCTAATCAACATTTAAGGAAGAAACAACACCAATCTTTTACAAACTCTTCCAGAAAACAGAAGAGGAAGGGATACTGTCAACTGATTTTATTAGGTCAGCACAACTCTGATAATCAATTCTTGAAAATAAATTATGAGAAAGAAATTTCCCAATAATATCAATCAAGAACACAAATGTAAAAATCATGAGCAAATATCAGCAAATCAACTCAGCAGATTATAAAAATGAACAATAGATTACGACCAAGTGAGGTTATCCCAGGAAGGCAGATTGACTTGACATTCAAAGTCCAATGGAAAAAACTAAAGATCAATCAAAATAATTCACCACATTAATAGAACAAAGGAGGAAACAATATAACTATATCAATAGACGTAGGGAAAGATTTGACAATATTCAACACAATTGTGTGATAAAATCTCTGAACGAATTGGGATTAGAGATGAACTTCCTCCTCAGTTTGATAAAGAGTATCTGTATAAAAACCAGCAGCTAACATCATACTTATTAATGGTGAAATATTATACAATTTACTTTTAATGTTACTATATGGAGCAAGGTAATTATAACATTCAAGAGCAGGCAACATTTAGCAATTATGATAGAAATGAGAATAATTGTTACTGGAGTCAGGGAGGGGTTGAAGGAGGGGGCACAGGGAAGGTTCTGGCTTATGCAAATAAAACGTGTCTTGATTAAGATGCCAGTAACATGTGAGAATACATTTGTTAAAATTCAAATTGTACATGTAAAATGAATGTGTTTCTCTCCATGTAAATATGTCCTCAATAATAAAAATGCACCTTGCATCTAACTTTTCATTGCCTATGTTTTCCAAATGACAACAGGGCACCATGAATGACACAGTCCGTGGTCACAAAGCTAACTACCATGGAAACCAGAAGCACAATCTAGAAGATCCTATCTTTGAAAAAAACCCATTAGTTTTATGTCCATTTTCCTTAACAAACAGAAGAGTAACACTAAAAAAAAAATTTCTCAGGGAATTCACATCTTCTGCCCATAAGAAAAGGCAGTATTGAGAATGTCTGCTGCTGCTGACGGATTTACAGATCTTGTTCCAGTCTGGGACTCCCCAGCTGAAGAGATAAGGATCCAGTTCTGGCACATAGCTGGAATTGATCTTTGGGGGAGCTCTGCTTGACTTTAGAAGAAAGATGATTATCACGTTAGATTTAAGTTGGGAGTATTCCCAATGCATTTTGAAATGTTTGGAAGTTTCTGGAGGATTATATTTTTCTCTAATTTCTTCTTGATTTTATTATAAACTAGAATAAAAGAAACCTTAAAAATAGTTACTTTTATTTAATTTATGGGTAGCTTTTCCTGTGTTTGATAGAGCAGGTTCCTAAATCTCGATTTTCCCTTTCTAGCAAGAGCATATGTCTCTGTGTTACATGAGCAATTTCTGTTACTAAATCACTCTGGTAAAGTTCCTGGGGTTGACGGAGTAGGTATTACCTTCTATGAGAGACAACTCTATAAATACCTTGTTTGAGGGAAATTTATTAATCAGTAGCCCTAGGTAAGCTGCTGCTTTATAGTAAAGTATGCTTATATTGGGAGAGAGGAGGGGGACTTCGTTTTTTTAAAATCATTTAAAAAAATGCAGAGTATTAATTTGCCAACTTACACTGACTAAAAGTTATTGCTGAGCTCCCACACGATAAATCAGAAAGAAAGATCCAACCTAACAGGCCAAGTCGGTTCTCAAATGAAAACTGATACCCACAACAGTATCTCCTGTCGTCTTCTTTGCCAGTGAAACATGTGTTTCCCGTTATACAGGACCAGCCTTAACATACAGGATTTGACATTTGGTAGGTACCCAATAAATGCAGAATATATCAACATCAGTTACACTAAATAAAACAGTCTTATGAATCATGTTGCATTGAGCATGTGCCAATAATCACTTGCCTTTTTAAAGTCCAGCATGCAGAGCTTGGCTTTCTCTCCGAACTGCCACTTGCACTGTGTGTTTGCATCATATAATTCTCCTGGCAATTTCTCAGGATACTTGTATTCCTTCACAGGCTTTGGCTGATCAGCAAGGCAGATAGCTTGAGCGGTGCTGAAACAAAGAGGAGATGAGCTACTAGTAACTGCCCGTAGAGTAACCAAAGGACTTACAACTAATTATGCCTTTCTCCCCCATGTAATTTTACAACATATATTGTGTATACAAAGAGGAGAACTTTTTTTCTCCTGAGTTACAATATAATACTTATCTTAATTATATTTAAATACAGAGACTCCATTTTCTGAAATTGTTTATTATACATTGTACCTGTTCCAGGGAGACGATTTGTACTTATTAAATTTCTTAAACTTATCATGAGGAAAAGTGCAACTGAATAATTACAACCAGTGTTCAACATGAGAAGCTCTTATGATGGACATCTTTTATGCACACTTCTTGGCAGAATCAACCAAAAGATGGGCATTATAAAAATAAAACATACTCTATTTCAAAGACTGGAACTTTCTTTGTTTCTTTGCTTTTCATTCTTTTTCCCTCTAGGCTAGGGGACATGTATATTATCTTCGAGATTGTAGAGGTTCTTCCTGGATCACTGGATTTCCACCAGCAATGCTCTGTGCTCAGGATGATTTCTGATGACCCCCAAGTCAAGCAGAAAATTAACCTTGCTGAAATCATTGGTAGATGGCTAAAGAACAAGTAATAATTTCTTTTTCCATAAATAGATTATCCTCTTCTCTTCCAGGATGTTCTTTGGTATAATTTATGCATTTGGGAAAGTGTATTTAAACATTTTTGTGTTTTCAAATAGCAACTAAATCCCTCCTACAAATTTCAATAGGCCCTTCCCTGAGAAAACCAAAAAAACAAAAACCTAGAATCACAATACAATGAGCAATGGCAGATCATCCTCCAAACTTGGCTCTGAGTGGTTGTCCACCTTGACTGGAAGATTTCTGGCTCATTTCTAGGACCCCCAGTCCCACGTTCCACTGCTTCAGAGCTCAGGACTCCGTGCATAAAAAGCAACATATAGCCCAGATGGGTTCTCTGTGAATTATACCAGAGATTAGGGAAGAACTTATACCAATTCTCTACAATCTCTTCCAATAAATTGGAGCAGAGGGAATACTTTCTAAATTTTAAGATGAGGTCAGCATTATCCTAATACCAAAACCAGACAAACATAGTACAAGAAAAGAAAGCTTTTCTTATCTCTCATAAACATCGATACAAAAATTCTCAACAAAATGTTAGCAAATTGGATCCAACAATGCATGAGAAGAACTATATACTATGACCAAGTGGGATTAATCCTAGGTCTGCAAGGTCTGTTCAATATTCTAAAGTCAATTAATGTAATCTATTACATCAATAGGCTAAAGAAGAAAAACCACACGATCATATCAACAGATGAAGAAAAAAACCATTTGATAAAATTTAACACTCATTCATGATAAAAAAAAAAAAATCCCAGCAAACTAGGAATAGAGGAGAACTTCCATCTACAAAAAATATAGTTAACATTATAATTAATGGTGCGAAACTTAAAGCTTCTCCACTAAAATCAGGAACAAATAAGAATGACTCCTCTTACCACTCCCTTTCAACATTGTATTGGAAGTGCTACCTAGTGCAATAAAGCAAGAATATTACATAAAAGGCATACAGACTGGAAAAGAATAAATAAAACTATCTTTGTTCATAGATGACATGATTGTCTAGGTAGAAATTTGAAAGAATCCACCAAGCAACTCCTGGAACTAATAAGTTACGGCAAAGTTGCAGGATAAAAGCTTAATATGCAAAAGTCAATTGCTTTTCTATATGCCAGTGACAACCAAACAGAATTTATTGAAAATTAGAAACATGTCATTTATATTAGCAACCAAAAATGAAACAGATATAAATGTAGCAAAATATGTGCAAAGCCTACATGAGAAAAATCTACAAAACTGATGAAAGAAATCAAAGAAAAACTAAATAGAGAGATATTTCATGTCCATAGATCAGAAGACTCAATCTTGTCAGGAGATTAGTTCTTCCCATTTTAATCTATAGCTTCATTGCAATGTCAATCAAAACTAAAGGAAGTTATTTTGAGGATATAAACAAACTGATTCCAAAGTTTATATGGAGAGGCAAAACACTTAAAATAACCAGAGCAATACTGAAGGAAGAGAACAAAGACTGACAATACCTAACTTCAAGACTTACTATAAAGTTACAAAGAATGGACAAATAGATCAGTGGAACAGTATAGAAAGGCCAATAATCCACCCACATAAATATAGTCAACTGATCTTTGACAAAGGAGCAAAGGCAATGGAATGGAGAAAAGATAGCCTTTTAAACTGATCATACTGAAACAATTGGTCATCTACACGTAAAAAAATTAATCTGCCGGGCGCGGTGGCTCACACCTGTAATCCCAGCACTTAGGGAGGCTGAGGAAGGTGGATCAGTTGAGGTCGGGAGTTCGAGACCAGCCTGGCTAACATGATGAATTCCTGTCTCTACTAAAAATACAAAAATATTAGCCAGGCATGGTGGTGTGCATCTGTAATCCCAGCTACTCAGGAGGCTGAGGCAGGAGAATCGCTTGAACCCGGAAGGCAGAGGTCACAGTGAGCCGAGATCATACCACTGCACTCCAGTCCGGGTAACAGAGTGAGACTCCATTTCAAAAAATAAAATAAATAAATAAATCTAAAAAATGAATCTAAAGGCAGATCTTTTTTTTTTTTTTTTTTTTTTGAGACGGAGTCTCGCTCTGTCGCCCAGGCTGGAGTGCAGTGGCGGGATCTCGGCTCACTGCAAGCTCCGCCTCCCGGGTTCACGCCATTCTCCTGCCTCAGCCTCCCAAGTAGCTGGGACTACAGGCGCCCGCCACTACGCCCGGCTAATTTTTTGTATTTTTAGTAGAGACGGGGTTTCACCGTGTTAGCCGGGATGGTCTCGATCTCCTGACCTCGTGATCCGCCCGCCTCGGCCTCCCAAAGTGCTGGGATTACAGCCGTGAGCCACCGCGCCCGGCCAAAGGCAGATCTTATACCCCATACAAAAACTAACTCACAATGGATCATACAGCTAAATATAAAATGCACAACTACAGAACTTCTAGAAAATAACATAGGAGAAAATCTAGGTGACCTTGGATATGACAATGGCTTTTTTGATACAACATCAAAGGCATAATCAATGAAAGAAATAATTGACAAGCTGTACTTCATTAAAATAAAAAATGTCTGCTCTGTGAAATAAATGTCAAGAAAATGAGAAGACAAGACACAGAGTGGGAGAATATATTTGTAAAAGACATAGCCAATAAAGGGCTGTTACACAAAGCATATAAATAACACTTACAATCCAAGAACAAGAAACAGTAAGAATAACAACAAGAATAACAAAAAGTGGACAAAAATCTGAACAGACACCTAATCAAAGAATATATAGATGGCAAATAAGCATATAAAAAGATCTCAACATCATATGTCATTAGGGAATTGCAAAGGCAAACATCAGTGAGACACCACTACACACCTCTTAGAATAGTGAAAATCCAAAACACTGACAATGTCAAACACTGATGAGAATGTGGAGAAACAGGAACTCTCATTTACCTCCAGTGAGAATGCAAAATGGTCCAACCACCAAAAGTGTGGGTGCAGAAAGGAAAATCATTGCAACCATTTTATAATCAATCGACCACAATAACCACATGGATAAAATGAATGTTGACTTTTTGCATGCCATATACAAAAATTAAGTGGTCTACATGTGATAAGCAAACAATAAAACTTGTAGGAGATCATGTGGAAGAACACCTTTGCAACTTTGGGACAAGTAGAGCTTTTTTTTTTTTCTTTTTTTCCAGCAGTGTACAAAAGCACCAACCCTAAAGACACATTAATAATTTGGATTCCATTAAAAAAATAAAAATTTCTGTTTAGCAAAAGGCACCATTAAAAGTGTAAATAAAAAGTCACAGAGTCAGAGAAGATTTTATAATACGTATATTCCAGAATGGGACAAAATGTTTATACTCAGAATGTATACAATACTCTCACCAAGAGAGAAGAAAAAAAACAGGGTCTATTTTTTTTACATGCACAAAAGATTATAGCACTTTACTAAAAAGGAAAAGGTTATTCAAGTGGCCATTAAACATATAAAATGTATTCAATCTTATTAATTAATACATTGATATGAAACTACACACCCACCAGATACCTAAAATGAAAAATATCAACGTGACCAAGTGTTGGGAAGGATTTGAAACCATTTTGAAAGTTTCACAAATGCTTCTGGGAGTGTAACTTCACACAGCTACTTAGGAAAGCTGATTAGTACTGTCTATTGCACCTGTGCTTATACATTTATGACTCTGAAAATTCCATTCCTATGTACACTCAAGACACATATGCAAACCAAGAGAATATTCACAGTGCTGTTCCTTGTAATCGCCAAAAATTGGAAACTCAAATGTCTATCACCAACAGAATGAATGAATAAGTTTTAGTATATTTATATATTTAGTATATAAATTATATGCAACATAACTAAGTAGACTAATGCTATATTTAGATGCAGCAACAAGGATGAATCTCATAACTGCACAAGGGTGCATAACTCCTGATTCCAATACACAGGGTTCCATGTCAGGATGGTGGTTACCTTTGGGGAAGAGCGGAAGCCCTTGGAGTGGGGAGAAGCAGCTTCTAAAGTCCCTACCACACTCTGTATCTTGATCTGCATAGAAGTTAGTTACACTATTGCGTTCATCATGCCAAAATTCATTGAGCTGTAGGCACTCTTATAATTTTGTACTTTTCTGTATATATTTCGTACCAAAACAAAAATAATGTTAATGAACACATTAAGGAAGGTCAAAAGTATCATTACAACATTTCAAAATCCCTTTCCCACTCTAAGTGGTGAATCAAAAAATGTTAAAGAGCTTGAGAGATCTTTTAGTTATATCCCATCATTTTTCAGTTAAGAAGACTGAGGCCCTCAGAAAAGGTTATATTACCCACCAAAGACCTTCCCAGACATGCGTGAACAAGACATGAACTGATTCCCTCGGTCCTTCTCTCCTCCGCAGGAAAGTGCCTGCCCTCTAGTCTTAGAGTCACCCTGGCACTGCAGAGACAACAACTGGCCATGATTTAAGATGAGCTTTGTATCACAGAGCAGTGTGTGACTCGAAATGTATTATTTCCATTATGCACAAAAACACACTTAATGGGCTGTCAGGTCAGATCTCATTTTCCCATCAACAGAAGTAGTATGGGGTACGGCGCCGCTTACACTCCAAGTTCCCTGCGATGATGGTCACCTTTCTCATGCTTTGATGTGTTCAGATTCACGTGGTCAGAGAGCTGGCATTTTCACTGATCTGCAGGGCATGATTTAAATTTTTAAAAAGTAACTGAAGATGAGTCCCTGTTGTCATGAAATTTAAAATAATGAGCTAAAATTTCCCTAAGTCACAGGCCTCCTGGATGCAGACATGAGTAATGTGATGAGGTCTGTGTCGGTTAATGGAAAATGACACATGACTTTATTGACTAGGTTGATGAATTCACTCCAAAAAACTATCAAGCCTTCATAACTCTACCAAGAATAGAGAAGAGTTGTGCTGAAAACTTCAGGCCAATTGAGTTCCCTTACATTTTTTCCCACTATCAAATGCTAGACTACTAATAAGGAGAACAGATTCATCTTAAAAGGTAGCCATTTATCCTTGCTCATTGTTGGGATCATATCCAAAGAGCCACCTAATTGGTGGAGAATATAACAGTATTTTGATTACTTGGAAATCAGAAAGTCAGCAAACAATCAAACAAGACAGTCTCAGATTCATTAAGTCAGTGAAAAATCAAGATTTAACACACTATAGAAGTGTCCAATTTGCAACTGGTTTTCGAGTAAAATGAATCTTAATAGTGAATTTAACAACAAGAGACTTTCTTGGAAAATTTCACCATTCAAGAAAACAAATCTGTAAGCACGTAAAACCTTACCTATTTATTTATACTCATGTGGTCAAAAGAAATTGGTAAAGTCCCTGAAAATAAATGTTTATCATTGAAATGCTACAGTAGTGTTTTGCTGGATGCACACAAAAACACATCAGCACACTTCAACTTATAGTTCAGGTGTTCCAGTATCATAGAAAGAAAATGGCTTTTAATTCCAGTACCTTAATAATCATTCTTAGGACTATATTATGTCTTCAAGATGGCATTCTATTTTCAACGTCCTCAAAATAATTATTCCCCGAGCATGTAATTATCTTCTTTCCATGAGTCTGCCTATATTTCTTGGCAGTTTCAAAACTTTTTTTGGACTTTAATAACTTGGGTGTTCTCACTACACACCCAAATTATAATCCCCTGATTTTTTCAGTTGTCAGAGGATATTTCAAAATAGAAAAAGTGTTACTGTATCTTCCTCATAACGATTAAGATGAAAAAGAGGTTTAAAAAATTCTGAATCTAGAAAACTATAGAAAGGATCTGGAATATAGAAAACTCCGAATTTTCCTTGTTAATGCAAATAACAGCATGGTGAGCCTAAACTGAATAATCTTCCTTGTTACCCAGAGTAGAATTTCTACACACACACAGAGAGAAAAATGTGAACAGCTGCAAGAAACAGCTAAAAACAATGCTAACAATCCCCAGCTTGACTCTGAGAATACCATGCAGGGAAAAACAAATGCTAAATGTACTCCTATGCATCATGTCAGTTGTAGAATAGCTTTAACATTGTCTTTTTTTGGTAATATAATTTTTTTTTAAAAAATGATCAAGTGTATATTCCCAGAATACAGGTTTATATTACCAAGATACACATATCGTCCAAACTGTTGCCACTTATGCTGGGTGGCATAAACTATGAAACACAGTTGTTCCTTAATGTGTTAACATACTTTAGTCCTTGGAGGAGGAACACCAAAAAGGAGGAAGCTAGAGGAACACAGCCCCTGGAGGCTGATGATCAAAATCCTGGCTGGGAAGATGGGAAGCCAGGATCCCTAGAGAATGAAGGAAGACGCAGCCATAGGGGCAATCCAGCCCCAGGTGAGCCCTGGGGCAACAGACCACCAGAAAGTACACTGGAGTAAAACCAACAGAAGTACTGGTGTGATCCTGCTACTCAAATAGTGTCTTAGAAATAAGAAGACTTAATTTGTGCAACAGAAAAAAAGAGCTCTATTAATTAAATATATGAATAAAAAAGGAAGAAAGAAAACAAAAAAAAGGTAGGACACAAAGAAGTAAGGTCAGTGAAAGGAACCAGAGAGGCCGGTTGAGAACTGAAGAGTCTACAGGATCTAATAGGATAGGGGAACTTTGTTCTTAGTTCTCAGTTTGGAATAACTAGTTCCTAGTTTTGACTGCAAAGACATGTACATTACAAAGACTTGGAAGGCAGATAATCTCGTTTCCTAGCCTGGGGACTTCTTGGGTGCTGCTAAGCTATTTTTTTCTTCCACCAAACCTGCTGGAATCTCCCTGGAGATTATTTCATTGGTGCATGCAAACGTCTAAACTCATCTTACTGTATACGTTAAATATGTGTAGTTTTTGTGTATTAATTTTAGCTCATTAAAGCTGTTACTTAAAAAAAAAACCCTTTGCTTTTGTTGGAAGTATTAGTATTTGCCCTACTTTTTAATAATAGAAATATAATTCTTCTTGTCAAATTTCAAACTTTCCTATCACAACTAGCTAGTTCCTTAGAATCTATACATTTGTGCCCTTCCCTCTGTTCTTCATTTTAAAATTTTTATTTGCTTTTTTAAATTTTTAAAAATATTTTTATTTACTTTTCTGCAATAGGATTTGGGGTTCATCATGTGGCACAGATGGCTCTCTGTCACCTGAGCACATGGGTAGAGGACATTTCTCAATGCCCCTTGCACTTCTGGGCAGTCATATGAGTTCCTCCAGGAACACCACCCTTGTCCCGCACACCCTCCTGTGCTCTCTCTGTCCTCAGTCCCCGGATGGCTGCAGTGGGGAACTAGGTCCTGGAAGAGGAAAGGTCACAGGATGGAAGAAACCTGGGTCTCTGAATGACTGTGTGGAGCAGAGACTTTCCAATTCACACTGGACTGTAATGTCAGAAATAAAGTTTTGGCTTAAGATTTAAACCAAACTTCAAACTCAAAGCCAAAGAGATTTAGGGAACAAGCATATAAACTAGCAGTTCTAAGAACGTTTCATAAAGTTCCTCATTTCTCTGAAATTTTCAAATCTACTATTTTTCAAGGATCAAACCCTACCTCCCCAATGTTTTATCTCCTAAATAAATTAGTGCTTAGAGAAAATTTCTAAAAATATTATTGAAGATTACAGAATATTAGAGCTAGGTTAAAGTTTATATACTCAAGTTTCTTCACCTAATGAGGAATGCATTTAGTAAAAAGAAAGAAAGTGAGAGAGAAAGGAAGAAAAAGAAAGAAAGAAAAGGAAGGAAGGAAAAGAAAGAAAAAATAAAGAGAAAGAAGAAAAACCAAAAAAAGTTATGCTTTATTATTGTGTATACAGATGTGTACATGTACGATCTTTCTATTCACTTCCTGAAGATTCCTAATTATGGAAGTGAGAATTGTAAAACTTAAATGTTAGTGACAAATATTTTGGTAAGTGTCTTATGGCTCCCTTTTAGTCTCAAGTCATTGATTCCCTTTGAATCAATGTCAGATTAAGCCAACAGGCCTCCATGCTCTAAGGAGATTTTTAGCAAACTCTTCGGTCAACTGAATGTCTCAAGACACCTTCAAAGGGAACCACATCAGGAAGCACAGCCTGGGGCTGCTTGCACAGGATCTGGCTGACCAGGCAGTGAGCATCAAAGGCCCCGAAAGATCACAAGACCAGCTTAAAGAGTTCCTACCTTAGAAATTTGTGTAGATACTGGCGGCTGCAGGGTGACCAGGAGAAGACTCCATTGCGTCCTGCCAATGTAGGGGACATGATGTTGCCCTCGGACTTTTTGCACATGTTCCCTTCTCCATCATGAATCATGCCAAAGCTATGAGAGAGAGAGAGAGAGAGATGGTTCTTTCAGAACAAAAACAGTTTAAATTATCTGATACCCTCTAACAATTACAAGTCAAGACTGTGAGACTCCCTCACCCCTATATGCTAGGCAGGCAAAAATAAAAGTCACAACTGCCAATTGGTTAAGAATATTCACGTATTCCAAGACAGTTTCTGAAGAATGGACCATCCACCAAATTGCCTCAAAGTGTACACCAATATCATAGAAATGTCCAGATGCCTGCGTATTGAATGGGGTGGAGGGACTTGGGATCTTCTTGATTAGGCTAACACTGCTCTATGTAGCTTCTTTTTCTCCACACTCTTTTCTGCTCAGCAGGATCGTTAGAGTTTCCATGGGTGTTCGTTAGAAATGTAGATGCCAGGCTTCTACCCAGGAATTGTTGACTCAGAAAAGAGAGATCCAGGCGTTTGAGCTGTCCAAACAAACTCCCCAGGCGAGTTTGATGCTTACTGCAATTTGAGAACTACAAACAGCTACTGCAACTAATGGTGGGCTGACATTCTGTCTCTACCCCTACCTGGGGATGTTCCATCTCAAACTATTAGGGCTGCACTGCTGGAGGCTGTGATGGGCGGGCTGTGCTTGACCTGAATCTGTCTGTCTATTTGGAGAGAGTAGCTCCACAGAAACCCAACAGGTGACTATGGCTTCATGTATTTATGGGTGTCGTTTGAAGAAGCACAGGTTACCTTCATGTGAAAACCACACCACTTTGGAGATCCACACCTGGCTCAGAGTACAGGTACATCTCAAGCTACAGCAGCTATAGGAACCCTTAATGGGGGCCATCAGAGGTGTTGAGATCCTACAATGCCAATTAACACTCCCTTAATAACACCTGAGAAAATGGAGCCGTGCACCTGTGAGAATCACATTTTCCAGGGCTGCTACCTCCGTCATCAGCAAGTCTCTTCTTCTTAACCTGTGAAAGCTGTAGGAGGGCCTTGAGTGCTCTCAAGGCTCATTTCAATGATCCCATTTTCAACTATCCCAGAAGAACACAACATACTTCCTTGGGAGCTCTTGTGGCTCTGAAGACCTCTCATTAAGGTAAATACATTCTTGCAGAGCTAAGCCACTATTGCCATTAATGTCTGGCACCCAGCCATTGTATGGATTCCCAGAGCACAGGGTCTCATGTGGTGAGATGCAGAGAAAAGGGGGAAGGCAAGAGAGAGGGAAAGCAAAGAAGGACATGGTGGTTTCTATTTATGTGGGACATTATGCTGCCAAGAATTCCATAAGGAGTGGACAGAAGGCAGCAGGGACAGGAAGACACCAGTGTAGGGGAAAGTCAGCTCCAAAAGGTGTCAAGAGAATCTGTACTTGTTGCCTAGGCTGAAGACACATTTGTCTATTTAACTGCTTTGCTTAGAGCTATTTAGTAATATATTACTAGTAAATATAGTAATTAACATTTATAAGCACGCACCATTTTACAGCTTTTATGGTACGCTTGTAACCTATATTCTAATTTAAAACTCAACACAGCTCTACAAGGTAGCTTTAATATAAAGACAGCAAGACCGAGGACTGGAGAAAGACTACATCCAGGGTTACCGAGTCAAGGCTGAAACCTTGACACTTTGATGTCACAGCCTAGCTGGGATTCATGTAATAGTGTAACCTGAACGTGATTGAAGGCGGTATCCAAGGAAATCTGGCGTGCAAATACTGCTGAATTTCTGCAAAATTCTTGATCAGTACCAAGGGTGATGTAGATGTAGTCATTTTAGCCTCCACCCATTCTCTGAAGTTCTATTAAAGGCAATTAATCAAGGCCAGGGTAACCACATGGCAGAGGAAATGTGTCATGGCTGTGAAAAAGATTCAGGCTGAAATCCTAAATGGGAGGCTGCCTTAGGGAGAAAAGGAGGAACACGAAATACCAAACTACCCTCCGCTGGCTGGCCCTTGAGCTGCTAATGAAGAAGACACATTACGGTCCAGAAATTGCCCTCGATAAACTTGCTACCGTGTCTGCCTACCTTTCTAAGGAATTCAAAGTCCACAATGTCCCAAGTCTGGGGAAATCTTGGTCTTCAACTTTTACATTTAAAGTATTTTCAATGATTTTTTTCTAGTATCAAGTCTCAAACTCTGATGCATCAACATCTGAGAGATACAGAGCACAATGTAGCTACCCAAGCCTGCAGTGGTATAGTTCTAATTTTGTGGGTCGAGGGTTAGGAGCTGGCATTTGGGTGTATTGGAACACATCCCCAGGTGATTCTGATTCCCACCAAAATCTCAGCACCACTATTTCACAATTTGTGTCTCCAATCAGTACAATGCCCACATTTGTAATGCAATGAATGCCAGCAGATCAGCATAAAAAAGTAGCACACAGTGATTACATTTAATACCACCATTAATAAAGTCACAGAAGAATGAATAGAACACATTTTGAAGATAAGGTTGCTATGTGGCAACCAAGAACTATAACTACTATTCAAATTATGCAGACCAGAGAATATATCTTGCTCCTGTGCACCATAGTACTTTAAAATGGTTATCATCCCATTTGCTAAAGTCATAAATATATTTTATCTTTTTCCCCTTACTAGTTTATAAGTTTCTAAAAGACAGAGACGCCTCTTATCCATGCTCACAGCCCCACTGCCAGTGGACTTGACAGTACCTAACAGGTTTCTATTCGTGTTTGTTAAGTGAAGGAAGGACAACCTTTTCTGCTGTAACACTAACTCAAATACCCAGACGGAAATCTAATTTCAGATTAAATTGAATTTGGGAATTATATTTCAATGTCATGCTTTTATCATCTTCTACAATATTTTTTGAGTGATTCAATTACTATTGGGAAGTATTTGTTTATTATTAATGATATACTGAGAATGCTGAATAACCAGCCAAGTGTTTGTAGAGGCTGTATCACTTATTTCAGGCTGTTCAGACAGTAGTGGTTAAGGACATGAGACATTCTTAAAGGAACCATGGGCCAATGTTATCTGGATGGCAAAGTCTACCTTTGGCATAATGATGGCGACCACAGGTAAGACTGAGCTGCCCAGAGCCCTGACGCAGGCTTCATGCAGGCATCTGGAGAAGCACAGCTCACCCTCCATGAAAGATAGAAGGCTGAGCTGAAGACAGCAGTTGCGGGGAACTGAGGGAAATGGGCAGAGAAGAAAATGGGAGACAGCATGGGCTGTGGAGGTGCAGGGACCTCAGTCAGGGTCTTGGCTCTGTCATTCACAAGCTGCTTGATATTGGGCAAATTACTTGACCCCCCCAGCCTCAGTTTCTTTATATATAAAATGGGATAGTAAAACCTTCCTCATGAACTGTACAGAATGCCTGGGACTGTGCACATCAGAAAGGAAAATTCAAAACTTCTATTCCCTTCCAGGATCCAAATGTGGTCTTGGTCAAATCATATAACACCTAAGTGCCATTCATGGTTGGTATGCATATGTGCATGCATGTGTATGGGAAGGTCTGGCCAAATATTAATGGATTTCAAATACTTGTTGGACACAGAAACAGACAAGAAATCCTAAGAGGAATGACAACAAATAAAATTGGTAAGAACTGATGCTCTGACCTACCACAGCTACCCAGAGAGCAGCCTGACAATCCCCAGTCCAGATGATGGTTAGAGGGGCTGGCTTTCTCCAATATTCTTCAAGTCTTTAAAAATCACCACATGCCTCCCTGATGCACTGGAAGAGGCCCAGACTGGTGACAAAGCACAGCCACAAATGGGGTGGAGGCACATGTCATCATCAAATACTGAAAGGGGCATCTCCAGTGACTGTGGTTGAGCTGAATGGTATTTTCAAGCTAACTACTAGTGATACCAATAGTGACACCAATGCTGCTTTTTTTTTTTTTTTTTTTGAGATGGAGGCTCTCTCTGTTGCCCAGGCTGGAGTGCGGTGGCGTGATCTCGGCTCACTGCAACCTCTACTTCCTGAGTTCAAGTTCTACTTCCTGAGGTTACTCTGCCTCAGCCTCCTGAGTAGCTGGGATTACAGGAACCTGCCACCACACTCGGCTAATTTTTGTATTTTTAGTAGAGATGGGGTTTCGCCATCTTGGCCAGGCTGGTCTGGAACTCCTGACCTCATGATCCACCCACCTTGGGCTCCCAAAATGCTGGGATTAACAGGAGTGAGCCACCACACACGGCCCAATGCTGCTTCTTTTAAGACCTCCCTGATTGTCCCTGTGTGGTCTCTTGCAATACCGACAGCTCTCATTACTTGATATCTTGCATGGCATATCTATTTATTCTTTTCTCTTAAACTTTGGAAGGGCATAGATCACTAGTCTTTTTGTAGACTCCTACACAATGCCTTGCTCTCAGAATGCAAATTGTGCCCAGTGACTGGGTCCATAAACTTGGGGAAATGCAAGAGACAGACTGATGAATAATGAATACTTCTGCACACAGTTAATATATTTGTTTTATAGCACCTCAATGGTCTCAAGTGATAATGCAACTTGGCTATTTAAGCCTATTTTATATAAGTGGAATGTACAGCTCAAATAATGCAACCTAAATTACACTTGCATATATGAGCTACGGAGCATATAGTGCTCTATTGTTTTTGCAGATCGGAAACCTAGGTAAGAGCTGTTAAGGGCACCCTCCCTGGTCACTATCAGACTGTGGTAGCACTGTGCTGATCTGGAATCTGAGTCCCAGAGCCCTACCCATCAAATGACATGACTTCCCTTAGCAAATGGGAATTTTTCAGATGGATTCATGCACAGATGACATATTCTCCCAAATGCGCAGTTCAGCCCTTGGTGCATCTGTGCCAATGCTTCAGCACCTGCCTTAGCAAACCACATGTCCTGTGTCAAGTGATTTAACATAACCAGGAAACTCTCCTTGTACCACCAGCTTAATACAAATCCTGATTCAATCCCATGTACTACAGGAGAACACATATCTCAGTTCTGGTTCCAGTCTCTCCTCCTCTCTTTCCAACACAAATCCAAACACCTGTTCTTAGTAATTTCTATTTTTAGGTCACATTCCCTAGCATAAACTACATGATATTTTGAGATTTTTTTAAAAAGTGGAACTTAGGAGGACAGATTGGATGGACACTAACTGAAATCTTTATTTGAGTTAAAGGTTAGAAACCTATGAGTTGCAGGCATGGAGAAGTACTCCTCCATCCCAAATAATGTCCTCCGAATGTAAACAGAACTGAAAAAGTAAAATTTACCTTCGAAGCAGTATGTTTTACACGTTTTTTAATAGTAAAAGTCATAATAAATTCAGAATTGCTTTTTAATTCTTGACGTACAGAACTCAAAAATTTGACTCTGCTTGGAGCTCATTGATAAAAGCAGACCGTTGATGCTCTGATGTTTGCTCCATGCATCAAACTTATCATTCCTTCTTCCAAAAATAAAACTCACTAAATACATGAACTGAACAAATGTGTTTGTCTTCAGTTTAGTTCAACTAAGATACACGGAGTTTTATCATTGAGTCTTACACATCACAGCCTTTCTCATTTGAAGTGGTGGTCACAGCTAACAATTCATTTGAAACGTTTACTCCTCACCTGTTGCTTGCTCACGCCCTGCGTCACTCATTCCCCGACTCCATTCATACACATTTGCTGAATATTCCACATAGTCTCCCCTAAGTCAGTGAAGGCGACAGAAGGAACTGTCCTGGGTGGTTTCCATGGTTTGAGCTGTATGTGAAATTGCTAGGTGAATTTTACAGAAAGTGCTCCATGAAGAGCAGACACTACTATTATCATTACCGTTACTACTATTACTATTATTGCCACTCATTTTGGCATTTAGCACATGATAGATACATATATTTTCTATTTTCTCAACATGGTCAGCAGGTTTTTCGTTGACAAGCTCCAGGTTCTCTGTCTCAGAGAACTTGAAGAAGTCAGGTGTTCAAGAAAGATCTGATACTTTCTGGCAGTTAATCCTATATTAGCAATGGGACTCTCCTTCATCCACATGCAGGGCTTATTTTTATTTTTTTTTTATACAGGGTCTCATTCTGCCACCCAGGCTGGAGTGCAGTGGTGCAATCTCAACTGACTGCAGCCTCGACTTCCTGGGCTCAGGCGATTCTCCCACCTCAGCCTCCCAAGTAGCTGGGACTACAGACGCACACCACCATGCCTGGCTAATTTTTTAAATTTATTGTAGAAATGGGGTCTTACTATGTTGCCCAGGCTGGTCTTGAACTCCTGGGCTCAAGTGATCCTCCCACCTCAGCCTTTCAAAGTGCTGGGTTTACAGTGAGCCACCACGCCCGACTGGCTTCTTTCTTTATTCACATCTAGATTCTGACTTTCCAGAAAAAATATTTTTTTCTTGTTTGGAGAAAATCTTTTTCCAACTACACCCAATTTGAGTGAGGAAAGGAAATAGTAATAATTGACTTCTAAGAAAAATAAATGCCAACACTGATACTTGCTTGACACTGAAGATCAACTGAGGGCCTTGTGTCGGATGCCTCTAGTTTAACTTAGTTAAGTTCACCACCTGCAACGGCTGGCACTGCCAATTCCCATATCTCAACTGCTTATCGAACGTTCACTGGCTAAGCCCTCAGTGACTTAAATATTTCTTGCCTTGATTGTTTAATTAAATTCAGGTATGGTTCAGAGGACAGCAGGAGCCTCATGTTGTTACAATAATGAGAGTTTTTGAAGTTTTAACTCTAGCAGACTATTAAAAATACAACTATGATTCAACTGAAAGCTTTATAAAGTGAAGGTGTAATTTTCTAAGCAATGAAATAGTCAATCATTACCTGTGGTGATGAAGGGATCAGTAATAAGATATGAAGCTTCATTTTTCAGGTCATCAGTTCACACAGCTAAAGGGTGCAGAACCTTCGTGGAATTCCATTAAACACAAGCACATGTGTATACACACGCAAACATACATGTACACGTATATGTGCGCGCGCGCACACACACACACACACACACACACTGCTTTGAACAAGTCTGAGGCCTCAGTCCATTTTCCAATAATGGATAAGTCAGCTTTGCAAAACCACAAATCACAAACACTTGCCTTGGTTTTCCTTTTGCCAATAAAATCAGGTTGAAATTTAAAAAAAATAAAAACTTATAATTCCTGGTTGTAAATTTTTCTAGGAGAAATTTCAAGTATTGTTGCAGCATAGCAGGAAAAGATTTGCATTCCAGTTGGTGGTTCTGGTATTACTCAGGGTGATTGCAGGAAGTCCCCAGCTGCTTGGGCAGGAAATGGGCCCTTGATTTTTTTATTTAACAGACGATACTTCAAGGTAAAGCAGCTCACAGAATTATTGGCCTCAGAAATTGTATTAAGAATAATAGTTTCCACAAATAATTGCTAGAAATTGTTCATTCTACAATTGTAAGCATTTCATGTAAGGTGAAAACACTAATGACCCACCGCCCATTGCTGAGACCGCCAACCTAGGACTGGCCTCTGTGTTGAGCCCCCAGGCTCGTGGGGCTCCCTGAAACTTTTATTTCCAAGCCATTAATGGTGCAGTCAGAGGTGGAATAAGGGAGGCAAATCAGTTCCTAGAGGCCTGCCTGATCTCTTGTCAGTACCCACTCTTCCAAACTCTTGCTTGGAGTACCAATGAAAAATAGCATCTCTATAAATTGTAAATACATAAATATATACAAGAACACAAACGCGAGGGTAACAGCAGGAAGCAATGGGAGGGTTGACACTGTTCTTCATCATTTAGAGTCCCCTGTTAGCAGCTAACCATGGAATGAGATCAGCCCACCAGACCACGTTCAAAACACGGGACAGAGGAATCGGGACAGATACAGCTATCCTCAATCTTAGGCACAGGTGTGTACAGGAGTGTTGGAGAAAGACCCAGGGACATGGAAACTTGTGCATTGCTGTGGCTTTCAAATGTGCACAGCCTGAGCAACACGGCGAAACCCTGTCACTCCAAAAATTACAAAAATTAGCCAAGCATGGTGGTGAATGCCTGTAGTTCCATCTATTTGGGAGGGTGAGGTAAGAGGATTGCTTGAGCCCAGGAGGCAGACATTGCAGTGAGCTGAGGTCATGCCACTACACTCCAGCCTGATTGACAGAGTGAGCCTGTCTCAAAATAAAGTAAATAAATAAAAATAAAATTTGCACGATGTGGGACATAGAAACAGAAGTCCTAAGTGACAGCATTTTATAACTGTCAATGGCATTCTCGTTGGATATATGTGAATTCCCTTCATGGACTTGACTTGATGAGTCAATATTTCCATGGAAATCATCCAGTAAGGAAAAAACTCGGGATGCCATCCTCCCATGGAGATGCACTTACTTGTGTCCAGACTCATGGGCAATGGTGAAGGCCAGTCCAAGACCTGTATCTTCATTAATCGTGCAGCTGCGATATTTACTACACATTCCACTTATGGGTGCAAATCCTGTGAAGGACAAAGATCAAAAGAACACATAGCGGTGTTGTAATAAAATAAAGCATAGTATATTTATTTTCTACCCCTTAGTGAAATTTAGTTCTTATGTTCATATGGGAAAATATGAAATGGGAAACACTTAGACAACCGTATAAAGGGGACTTGATAAGGTAGGGGAAGGGACTCCCTTCCAGGGAGCCCAAGGACTCTCTGTATTGTGGAACACAATTCATGGTTCTATGTAACGTTCGTGGTGCAGGCTCTAATTGGGGCGTGACTCTATTAGAGCCTGGGGCAGGCTCTAATAAAGCGTGGAATCTATTGCAGATGGAGGAAGGTCTTTGCCTTATTCTAAACACCTATGTTCCCAAAAGACCAAGTGAAAAGGTGCTGTAGAGAATGGGTGTGCTGGGAGGTCCCCAAGACCACCCCCAGCTTTAATGATTCACATCTGTCATAACGAGCATTTGTCACCCTCATGGTTATTATTTAATATGGCAAAAGGACACAGGGCAAAATCAGCAAAGGGAAAACACATGGGCAGAAGTCGGGGGAAACAGGCACACACGTCTAAGGGTCCTTGCCCTGCAGAGTCACACAGGATGTGCTTTCTTCCCCAGCAATGAGTCGTGGCAATGAAGGTGAATGTTGTCCACCAGGGACACTCATTAGAAACTCAGTGTCCAGGGTTTTCTCTGGGAGCTGGTCACATAGGCACCCACTGCCTAAAGTTTGCCAAAATTCCAGAACCTCAGAAGGAAACCACACTGTTTGTACACACAATTTAGGCACAATGAGCCACTCTTTGGAGGTAGGGCAGTGGGAACCATCCTACAACCTGAGTTCTCGGAGTCCAGCCAAGAGCCAACTGGGTGAGGAGGGCTGTCTAAGGACAAGCAGCCGGGACACCACGTTAACTTGCTTTTGCACAATAAGACTAACCGCTATTAAATTGGGCTTTATCTGAAAGTTTTTATAAACAAAAACCCTTCCTCCCTAGGAACTTGGGAAGAAACGGAGAGTTAGAAGACATGTTCAGCGGAATCCTGGTCAGTAGCACAGTGTTTTACACAGACCATCCGGAAAGAATCACAAAGTGCTGCCTCTACAAGTCACACCCAGCCCCGTAAATGTCTAAAACATTGCTAAGATTGAGATACAGAGAGAGAAGGGAAAAAACAGGAAATATAATCTGGTCGTAGTATCTCCACAGATACTCATCAATGTACTATTTCCACTATATAATGAGAAAGCCTTCGATCTATCCACCCCATTGGCACAAGCAGTAGAAGAAACAAAAAATATATATGTATTTATTTTGTTAGAAGAGATAGGAACTCTGGAATCTGTAAGACATTTACTTGTTCAATAATCACTCTTGATGAATGCAAGCGTACTTCTATGTTTGGCTAAAGTTTATACAGGGAAGTGAGTCTTTACACCTTCACTAAGAAGCTGCTACTGCTTATTAACAAGGAACAAGGGCAAAAATACTCAACACTGTGTCACGGCCAGGGGTGCACATTCCACACACGGTCCTCACACTCTGCTGGAGGTTCTCACCCAAAGTGTCACAGGGCTCATTCTTCCAGGAACATATATCCAGACCAGTCAGTAAGATGGCGTGGTCATGACGAGTCCCATCTTTCCCCATCAATCCAGACTGCCACTGGCAGAAGCTACTTAAGGTGTGGTCTGCGTGGTGACTTATCACCAGTCCTGGCTGTGCAAGAGACAAGGACCGAGGACCCCATGATAATGAAGAGAAAACATGTTATAATGCATTGTCATCACAGCAAACTATTATTGACCTGGATTTCAAATACATGGCTGGATCTGGATGGCATATAAGCTAACGCGTGTATTTTACGTATTCTATAAAACCCGTACAGATCCAGTGTACACACTTAGGCACGTTTCTCTGGTTCCATACATAAACAATTGAAATGTATCTGGCTGATCCTGAATGCATGTTCAATGACCCAAGAAAGATTACTTCTGTGCATGAATTTTTTGTTTTCAAAAATCTTTCAAAAACACTTTTCAAAATTAAGTAAAGCCACAGAATCATTTATACATGGCTTTGTACATACATATACAAAAACACGTCTAGATGGTGATATGTTTATCTCATAACCAAGTTAAGCAAGTGGGATTTCCAATAAATAAGTCTTTTAATACTTATTATTATAGTGTTAAATTAAATATCTTTTCTACAAAGGCAGTATATTTCTGAGAGGAGGTGGGTCAATTGGTAAAGCTTTATTTCTGGAAAATAAACTGCAACTAAAAGGAGACTTTGCAAGCCATGTTCAACCTCCTCTGTCTCCATTAGGTTCAGATAACGCAACGATGAAGTAACAGAGCGTAGAACATTGGAACTCTTGGGAACGGAAGAATTCGAGACACAGAAGAACATGCATCAGACCAGCCTGCACCAAGTTATTTGAACCTTATTCACCGGCATGCTCTAGTTTCCTATGGCTGGTGGGACAACACCAGGTTTAATTACCTCAGCTTCAGGACACTGGCTTGTTTAAAGCTTGCACTGTTAGGATGTCGTATTGAAATTTTTGTCTCTCAGACACTGAATATGTTTTCTCCTGAAATGTTTATGTTGTTTTTACAGAAAGTCAAATATACCCAAGCAAAATGCTACACACAAACACGGGGGCAAGCCTTGCGTTCTTTAGCAGGTGATTTCCAGGAAAACTGCATTAATTAAAGTTAACACAGGTGTACGATCAAACGATAACCTCGCTTATTCTTTGCAGCTTGGATGAATTCCAAGGTGAAGAGGTTTTAATACCAGGAATAATTAACCTGTCACCTGAGAAGCCCGGCATGTTCAGCAACCCCCTCCCCAACTGCGCACTCACACAAAAGACAATGAGGTTGTATCTTCCCTGACTAGTCAGACTAGAAATAGCCCTGTCCACACATGCCCCCACCATGCACAGAAAAAGAGCAGCATCCCAGAACTTTAACATCGAAGGCATCTTAGATCTTATGAATGATCTCGGGTTTCATCTAAAAAATTCTTTGTTTTATAAATAAGAAAACTGTAGCTAAAAGGAGACTCTGAAAACGTCAGCAAGGGTGGAGCTGAGGCTGGGCTCTTGGCTCCTGTCCAGTACCCACTCTCCTTTGCCCAGTCAATGATTAGCTTGGGGAAAAATGGAAATGAGAACATTTTGTGCCTAAAATGCCTCCCCATTACTTAGGCCACAAGGTGTTCATGTCCATCCTTTCTGTGAAGGGACCACCTCTATGCATTTACGGGGGTCCCAAATGAAGGCAAAGGATCTTTAACCCACTGCTACCAAGACCCAGCATAATCTGGGTTTTTGCATGCAGTGAGGGAAATGCGCTTGAAAGTCCATAGAAATCTCAATAAAAATAAAAAATCTCAGACTGTAGATGGTGAAGGTTAAGAGCTGGGAGATAATTGAATAAAGCAACACAGGGCCACACAGTACAATGTAACTTCAAGACCACAAAACATTTATACTCTCCTAGCAAGAAGCAGAAAGGGCTCATTCCCACTGGCATCCTGAAAGCTCACGATGGCTAAGATATATTTTGTGCTGTGTATTCCTAGTGTGTGTCCCACCTATATGCTGAAGGCAGCTTTTACATGCCATTTTCTTACAGGCCAATTAAAGGATAATTTCTTACCACTTTTGCACAAAAAACCCCACAAAAAATCCAAAAAACATTTAAAAGGATTGAAAAGACACTCATTTGCAGTAGACACAAAATATTAAATACATTTTGCCCTCGAGAGAGAAGAACCCATAGAACAATTATATTAAAGAAAAAAGCATTATTTTGCATTTATTTTTCTAGGAATAAAAAGAGTAGATAGTTTCAAAGATAAACTACCTGTTCATCTTCTAGAAGAATCAGACCTACAATTGCAATGTTGATGTTTCCTCCTATTGTTCCATCTTTGAATAAAGCAGATACCTGAAAAAGACAGGAAATCCATGTCAGCCCCATAAATGGCATTTTCCCCCCTACTTACTAGCGGGCCTAGAATCCAACGCCCTTGTTCTTCAGTGACAGAGCACTGTTAACTTTCTTGTATTGCTAGGCAGACAGATGTATTAATCATATCACGGTAAAAAGCCGAAGCTTCAGCTGGGAGTGGGGTCCACCTCTTACGGTCAAACACCTAAGAAAGGATCACAAGGCTGTGGGTTGGTAAGGGTTCCCCTTAGAATATAAAGAGGATTTTTAAGCTAATCATGATGATGACAGAAGCCAATCACTTCTCAAGCTCTCCTGGCAAGGAATTCCATAAGTGCAAGAGAAACTCTCGCACTTATGGGATTCCAAGAGGATACAAGAAAGAGAAAGAAAAAATCATGGTAATGAGATGATGAGAGAAAGACACAATTAGAGGTGATATCAGAGGTGATGGATCATGGAAATGGAAATGAGTGATCACAGTGGCATTTGGGGTGGGGAGCAGGAACAGCACGTCCACCATGGAATGTAACCTGAAGTGATTTGCCACTGCGCTGCGGAAATATTGGAAAAGCTCTACAGAAGAGAGGCAAACACTTCCACGCGTCAGAGCAGCTTGCTGAGGACAACAGGGCCGTGCTTGCTTTGACCCCGTGCAGCGGGAAGGTGGCTCTATTTCACTGCCTCCTCAGCTTCCTGGGAGCCCAGAAATCTAGTGGTTCAGTCTACCAAAAATAACACTAGCCATAGTAATCACATGACATCATGGAAAGATGGGCACATTCAGGGGTACTCTGTTTATTGAGGCAGAAGAATGCAAAGACATACTTTTAAAATATTGTCATTAAAACTATTCTTAAAAACACACTTTGGCAACCCAATATTTTGTCTTCTGTTATTTAGATTTCACTTACATGAAATGAGGCTTAGTATACCTCTCATCACTCTTCAGTGATTAATACAGCTGCCAATTTGAGACACAAACACATTTTACCTGAGGTGATATTCTAAAAGGTTGCACTTTTCCTGTTTTTATAGATAAAATAATTTATATTTAGCATTTGAACATTAGTATTTCTAAAAAGTTGGGCATTTCTATAGAGCCATCTAAAATCACACATCTAATGCTGATAATCAGATTTACTGCACTACAGTGGCTCAGCAACCCCTTAGAGATTTCCAGTAAATAGATGCCAGTAAGCCCAAAACATCTCACAGGCTTACAGAGGCTTATAGAGAAGGTCAAATGATTTTTCCTACTGAATTAGTCTATGAAGTTCTGAAAATGGCTCTTTTCATTGGAGCATAGAAAACTAAATGAGTTATCACCAATAAAATATTTCTCATATATGGAACATCAATCCACAGGTAACAAGTAAAATGGAAACACACACACACACACACACACACACACACACACCCTACGAAGTGCAATGACACAGGTGGCCTCAACTGGAAGGATGATCCTACCATGTTGAGTATCGTGAGCACGTAGGTGGTGATATTTTCATGGCCATGGTTTTGCATCATCTTTTTGTCGACCACCACCAAGGTCTCCACGTTCAGTTCTTCATTTCTATGGGACCTCAGAAGAGAGCGCTTATGCCGTAAGCAAGACTTATACTCATCTGGCAAGATGAAGAGGTCTTCCTTGGGAGGCTGGGGCATGTCTATGGAGGGACACATGGAGGGCAAATGGAAGCACAAGTCACACACAAAATCAGGGCCGTAACTCGTCATAGAGAAATTTGGTCTCAAAAATGAACACTCATGATAAAAACCACATAAACCTTTAAAACCTTGTGATGCAGAAACTTGTATTAAAGTAGCACACTAAATTTAAGTAAAATTCATGTAGTCTAGGCATCATGGAAATCATGGCTGTATTTCCCTTTATATAATTTCATCCTAATTTAAAACAGCAAGAGAGGGCACTCTTTGGCTGTAACTCCTAACATCTGGTAGCAAAAGGGTTCAGAGACTTTGAGCATAGGGATTTGTAGAACAGATTCCTCTGCAAAGACAAAGCAATGGAACAAACAATTACAAGAACACGAGCTGGCTGGCTTGCATTGTTTTCCTGCTTGAAGACTTTTAACGACTTGACAATGTTTAAAGTTGATTTCAATGTCTGGACACATAACTAGCTTGTCTACACTGTTTCCAATAGATTATAAAATGCTTGAGGCAGCTCCACTTCACTGAAGAGCTTAATTTCCTAGAAAGTACCATAAATATTTATGTATTTGATTAGAAGACAAAGCATACACTTTCCTCTTGAAGTAATCCCTTTAAAAATATTTTTGGCATGTATAATTGTTAGGTTAACACTACATTGAAAACAATTAGGTTTAGTGGATGCCTCAGAAAATGTGGTTAGAATTGTTTCGTGTGAAAGTGGACTTCAAAAAGCCCAGATATTTAGGTGGCATGCACACAAAATCTATGCAGACTGTATTCACGGAGCATACTGTAAGCAGATGCTATTTTGTTTGACTAGTACATCCAACACGTTTCATTTTCCTTTGCTAACATACTTCCAAAATTAAATAAAGCTTTTGGAGAATAATAATGATACCAGCTAATGTTTATTGAGCACTCATTTGCCATTAATGTTTATGCAATGCCCGCAGGTGTGAGCTCCACCCTAGGAGATGTCTCTGTGTAACTCGTGCAGTCTGTACCCCAGGCTGAGCATGGGGTTCTAAGGATGAGGTCATGAAGGCAGAGGAGAGGAACATTACTGGCTCACACCCCTTCCTTCGAAAGTGTCGGAAATAGCTTTCAGATTTGGACAGTGTGGTCCTAGAACTCTTGTTCTTAATTACCCCTGGTGGAAAAATGGCTTTAGGATGAAAACAACATGTTAGCACAGGGCTCAGCAGCTACAGGCCCTCAGTATTGGGGGCAGGGGTCAGAAACTCCGTGGGGTGGTGATCTCACGGGCCTCGGCTCTGAAAACCCCTCAGCAAATGACTGCCCCTCAATATGGAGCTTGCAACGTTGTCCCCAGAACACACAGGCCCCAGCTGCACACCCACCATCACCTGAAGGGCAGCAGGCCCACTAATCAGCCTGAGGTCCAACCTCACTATTGGTTTTCAGCAAATCAACCTGCCTCTGTTTGCCCTTTTCCACCGAAAAATGCCTAAGTGAACACAGAAAAGGCTCCCATTTTCTGAACTGGGGACTCTAATAGGAAAGAATCATTGTAAGTGTGAATTCCACCAAGACAGAAGAGCAGGACTGCCCTGAGTTCAAGGGAAAGTCCAAAAGCCTCAGGGACAACATGGAAATATCGATGCACAGATGGCACAGGGCACTGAGGATGTGTCCGTGCATAGGTGACACGAGGCCCTGCGGTACATCCATGCATCGGTGACAGTGCCCTGGGGGTGCATCTGTGTGTAGGTGACATAGGGCCCTGGGGGTGCAGTGCATCCATGCACAGGTGACACGAGGACCTGTGGTACATCCATGCATCGGTGACAGTGCCCTGGGGGTGCAGTGCATCCATGCACAGGTGACACGAGGACCTGGGGGTGCGTCCATGAGCAGGTGACACAGGGCCCTGAGGATGCACGCTCCAGTAGGAAGCAGCGCTGTTGATTCTGCTCACTTTTCCGGGGCCTGGGCTGGTCACATGGCCCCTGGCCACTCGAGGCCCAGGAGTGTAGTACTATCACCTGCATACCCCAGGGGGGACGGAAATATTTGGCAAACAGCAGGATGTCAATCACCAATATCCTCCACCTACAAGAGGCAGTTTGTTGAGCTTTCTTTCGCTAGTTTTATTATGAAACCATGGGAACTTTTTTCCACTTTTCAAATACAGAATGTGTTATAGAGTTTAGCATCCTTTTTGAAATAACTGCCTTTCACTTACCACCACTATTACAATTCTGAAGTGTCTCTCAAGGCAACACACACTACACACACACGCACACTCCCATGCCTATGCACACACGCGCAGATGTGGACACCACACTGAGGTCATCTCTACTGCCTTGCACACAGAGCTGTGCCTTAGCTGTGCCACCAGCCTGAGTCATGGCGACCACCTTCAGAGAGGAACGAAAGGATCGCAGTCCTCTCACAGTGGTCTGCATTGCTTGATGTTTTCAAGGTCCACTGTGGCGTCTGCTTAAGAGCTTGGTGTGTGGTCTGTCAAAGCGGTTAAGACGGCCCTGCTATCTCTCCTGCTGAGATCCAGGTGTGTGGGCCACTTCCTCTCCCTGGCATACGGAATTTGTCCTGCTCTGACCACAACCACACCGTGAGCCCTGGCAGCAGAGTCCTGACTCTGACCTTGGGGAAGCCTCCGCCACGCATCTGGGTCCTGACCTGCCGGTCACGGCAGCCTCGGGCAGCTGTTGCCGATATGCACGCCCTTTTCAAACACTCACCCAACCTCAGGATTCCCAACTCTCTCAGCCTCCTGCTCACCTCCGTTTGTTCTCAGCATGGTTCTTCCTGCTACCTCCCCTGCACCTGAGCCCACTAAGTTCATCTGGGTGTGAGGTTTTCAAGTCATCTGAATGCAGCACATGACTTTCAGGGGTAGGACGAAAGGGGTTCAGAGGACACAAAGGCACTGATGGTTTAACAAGCACTGATTCTGTTGTTGTAGGTGCCAAGAGATTTTTGTTCGTTCACTCATTCAACGAGATTCACTAAGTACTTGCAACAGGCCTGCCTCTATTCAGGGTGCTGGGTGAAGCAGTCATAGAAACCAACCACGCAGGAAACAATGGGCAGGGGGAGAGGGGGCAGTCCAGAGACTCCTGAGGAAGGTTCACCCAGTGATGTTTGAGGAGAGAGCTCAAGGAAGTGAGGGACATTCCAGAAAGCACCCAACTTCAATTCTTGAATTTCTGAGAGGTTTCTACATAAAAATGTAAATAATAAACCATTTCCTAAATGTTCATGACAAAAAAAGACTCTGATAAAGCTTTGGTGATAAATCGCAGGTCTACTATGTCACACTGAGTCTGCCCTTTTGATGTGGTAATGTATATAAGCATGCATATAAATGAATTACCTCAGCAGGAAAACTATGTGGGCTTGAATAAATCTAAACCTCAAAAATATAGAATGACTGAGTAGTGATGCCTGGGTTCTTTTGAAGATGTCTGGTAGATTCTGCACTTCTGCACACTGTGTCATTTAATCTACCCAGGAAAGAATTCTTAAAAAGACATCATTTACCATTATCCATCCATCTGCCATGGAGAGATGTCCCGTGCTGAACTTACAGATAAGGGACTCTCTCTGGAATCATTGCTTCAGTTTAGCAACGACAGTCCATAGATTTCACCCCGTGGGCAGACATGCTTTGAAGAAAATGTACAAGCTTCCATCAGCTTACATAAATGTCAGCATCACTAAATACACACAAAGATTCGCCCTTACATACATTTCTTGCGTCTTCCACAGAAATGCTGCTTTTGTGGCAGTCCCAGGCGAAGGTCGCTGCTGTGCAGGGGTTGATGTGCCAGCTCCCATGTCCTTGAGGTCACCAGGACCTCACTGGCCCCAGGAGCATGGGGCTCTGTGGATCTCTTGTACAGTACGTGGGATGGCGAGCTGCCTTGGGCAGCTCTGCCGAGTTTCCATGAGAGGTGTGAAGGAAGTGGCCTTAGGAAGTAATCTGCCTCTTCTGTTCGTATCATGCCTGACTGGAAAAAATAAAAGGAAAGAAAGAAAACACAATTAGACTTTCTGGTTGAAGCCAGGGCCGATTCTCCAAGCATTGCATTTGTTATTATTCTCTTGGAAGCATGCTGTTCCCTCCAGTGAGAGCGAACATTGGAAAGGTTCAAAAACCCCGGCTGAGAATTAGCAATGGGAAAGGCCTCCACACACAGTCTGAGCTCTCTGGCTCTGCATACCTGGAGAAAGGCTGGCGTGGAGCTGCTCCAGGACTGGACTCCAGGAATGAGAAAGGGACAGAGGGTGCACAGCATACCAAAGTCAGTTAATTTACACCAAAAGTAATGACGGTGCAAGAAAGAACACGTGCACACTTAAATATTAAATATTCATATTGGTGAGGGGTCTCAGATAAAGTGATCAAAATTAGAATCCTAATAGGGTAATGTGCAAAACTCTGTTAAAACGAATTTGAAAACAAAGCAAATGTAACACTTTCTAGAAAAGGGTAACTTAACAAAATTAATCTAGAGGAAAGCATAAAAATTGTTCTTAGGGAATCAGGAAGGTTTCTCTAAGCAAGATATTAAAGGAAATAGGAAAGCAGTGATTTTATAAAAATACCAAAAATGTCTGTAGGGCAAAACAGACTAAATACAACGTTAAAAATCGTAGAGAGACAAAATCGATTGCTTTTTTACCTTTTAGGGTGACAAATATTTTTAAGATCTTGGTAGCACGATTGTTGGTGAGCATGAGGACAAGCAGGCAATCTTACATTCTGGGAAATGTAAACTGAGGCCCCACTCAGGAGGCAGCCCCAGGGCCAGCCCATATATCTGTGCACCACAGACATTATGAGTTAACGTGCACAATTCAACTCCAGGGAGTTAACTTTTGGGAATTCTCGCCAAATATTTCTTGTAAGAATTTCTTCAATATCAGTGAACAGGTGTGAATGTGTATGGCAGCCTTGTTTATAATAACAAAACTAAAAATAATAAAAACAAGAAACAATTTAAATGGTTACCAGTAAATTCAGGGTCAATTTTTAAAGTATATTTGTATAATTGGAGGTTATATAACCACTAAAAGTTAGAGTTACGTACTGATGATAATTATAATTAAACATTTTTTTAAGTTTCTGAAGCTGTGGCCCATATTTTCTACGTAATACCTATTGATTACTCATCCATAGTTACATTCTGTAAGGCATCAGTGCCCCCTTTTTATGGGTGAGGAAATAGAGATGTAGAATGATTCAGTAATGTTTTCAAGGTCAGCTCGCCAGGAAATATAGTGTAAGGATTAGAACAAAATCAGAGTACTTTCAGAACTTGTAAGTTTAAGGTTTATGCTACAGGGTTTCCAAAAGGTATTAATTTGTTAAAAGTATATAATACAGTATATAGCATGCTCTCAATTATGTTCATTTTAAAAATTGTGTATCTACACTTAAAGAATTTTCTTGGATGACTGAAGAGAAATTGTTGATGTTGGAACAATAACCATCTTCAGGGGGAAAAGCCTCTTCAGGAGGAGAAAGTTGAGTAGGAGGGATGCAAGAAGATTATACTTCCTTTTTATAGCTCTCTGCACTACTCAAGTTCAGGTCTGTGCATCCATTCTTTTAAAATAATGTCAATGGCATTGCTGGATCATTGGATTACAGATGAATTTTAAAAGTCCTAATAAATGTTATTACATATTGCTCTAATTTTATAATGCAATCTACTCCTGCAGAACATCAGGGTATCATTTAGAGCTCTGCAATACTGAACTATTAGTATTACTATTATGCTGATTTTTTTTTCAGTGATTTTGCAAATCTAGTGCTGCCCACTGACTGAGACACTCACTAGGTATTCTCAGCTGCTGACCCACGGCATCCAATGTCCATTCTAAATTTGCCTCTGATGTGGGGAGCCTGGGTCTGATTCTTACTTGGGAGTTGCGGGGAGAGTTCGCTCACATTAATGTCCACGTAGTGAAGCCCTGCATGGGGCTGGGCTGTCCTGGATGAGTCCAGACATTTGTACAGTGTGAACTGCAGGCCTGGAGGAGCATTTCCTAGACCTTGAGAAAACGCCAAACACAACTCTCAAGGAAAATAGGATTTGGGGTGGGAGACATAAAAGACAGAGGAGAGTAGGTTTATCAAATATTGGGAGAGGAAGCATTGGCTGCAGTGTTACCACTGGGGGTGAGAGGAGGCAAGACAAAGGTAAGCTTGGTAGACTATCAATGAAGCCATCAGCACCACCATGGGGGGTAGACCTCCTGGGGCCCAAATACCACACAGCCATGGGAAAGTGAAATTCTTAGAATTTATGCCCAGGATTGAGGGAGAGGGCAGAGGCAGCCTTTCCTGCAGTGCTATTCATGAATTACTTCGGAACCTTCTTGGCCTTCTAGAACTCCGGGAACTAAACGAAGACACAACAACACTTTACCTTTTACAGTTCTACCAGGGAATGCCAAGTGTGAAATAAATTAAATAATGGTTAAAGCCAATTAGCTTTCAACCTTTTTGTATTTTAACTAACTGAGAAGCGTAAGCAGTCATCAATGTGTTCAACCTTGTATAACGCTACCCAATTAGTTTCTCCATTACCGAAGGTAACCAGTTTAGGTATTAAACCAAAAAAGAAGAAAAATTCATGCATGGCTTAAACCAATAACAACACTTTTTGATATGCAAACACTTGCTCACTTTTCAAACCCCCCCTCAGAAGATGATTGGCTCCTTAAGAACCTAGAATAGATGTGATTCAGCATCTCCCCTGCAGGTTGCAGCGGACTGATAGAAGGGAAAGGCCGGGTGAGTCGGACACTGCAGAATTTATCATCCCATTCTCATACTTATTAGCTGTGTGACTTTGGATGATTTACTCAGCCTTTCTGTGCTGCTCTGTCATCTAGGATGCAGATATAAGAACAGCTACTTGTCACGAGTTTGTAAGACTTAATATACTTAAAGTATATGATCTAGTGAACATTCAAACAAGATTTGCTGAATTAATAAAACGAAGGATGTAAAATATTATGCTTCGCCCTGATGATCTTTGCTTTCCTTCTGATAATTCAGAGAGCCCCTGAGGAATTTTTCACTCTGCAGTTGGAGATCCCTCTGAAGCCCTGAGTGTTGGTGCACCCAGCACCACAATCATCCCAAACACAATTTTGTTTCTGACCTGCTGCTTTGCTTTTTACACTCTTTCTGGTTCCTGGCCTACACGCTTGTGATCCAACACAGCTGTTTCAGATTCAGAACCATCTCTCCTTTCCCCCAGGCTCAAGGCTACATTCTGGGTGGCCCAGGGTGAGAGGACCGGATCCCCAGGCAAAGGTGTCCAGCTGCAGTTGGCAGATTTTTGAGTTTTCATTAACCAAGTCATCAAGCATTATACTTGTTTCATTAATAATTTAGTCTGAGTTACAATATTCAGTATTTAAATAATCTCCAATTTCATTAAATACATAGAACATAGTAACTGATAAGACTGATATTTTGATATGCCTTGATAAACAACAGATAATAAAAAACACAAAAAAGTTACTTCATTAGCTTGTTTCATTATTAGTTTGCAAGCTATTCTAAAAGATAAGGTAAATTGCAGAAGATTAATGTTTTCTTCTTATCAGAATGAAGAATATTTGTTTGGAAACTCAAAATGTCTAGGGGAACCTGCCTGTAGCTCACAGTAACCACTGGAATGTCAGGCGGGTGGATTATTAACCAGGCCTCAGAAAAGGCCAAGTCCTTCAGGCTTTGCAAAGGACAGGCTTCGCTCTCACAGGGTCTGCCTTTCTCATGACCAATTCTGGAAATCATTTTACATTAGAAAAACTCACCAAACACTTATATTGCCTTCATAAGAAACGAACGAATATGTGTTGTGTTACTGCTGGGAAATGCTAGCTCTGAGCAATGTAAGTAAAGAAAATATTGAAGCTCGGCAGTAGGATGTTTACTGTAGTATATTTGTTGGCATTCATCATTAAAAGTTGGTAGATTTGTATTAATTGGGATCTGCTGAGATTCATAGAAACTGCTCATTAAAGTTTCATAAATCAAAAAATAAAATAGAAATTAAGAAGAAATGAATAAACGCCCAGTCACTGAGGTTATTTCTACAGCAATGAGACAGACTCCCAGTGAACCAGTTCCAAGCGTGTCTCAGGTGACGCCATGCGCCCTATTCATGAGAGCCACCTATCAATAAACACAGTAAAGAAGTAACTGGGCTCATTATAAGAAAGATGCATTTTAATTATCAAGTAATTTCATTTTTACTCTCCTCCATCTTTTCTCCTGAAGTGTCATTTGTTTTGGGAATATTCTATTCATTCTAGGTCTTCTTAGTGATATTTCAGAAACACTAGATAATTTCAACTTTTATCAAACTTTAATCAAAGTGAAACTTTGCTTTTTATTTTCTTATAACCTCAGAGCCAAATATGAATCTACACCAAAAGCCACAGTAATTCTTGTTGTGTGATTATATGTGATATCTTGAAAAAAAAATTTGGCTAAAATCTTAAATAAACCAAAAAGCTTCCTTTTTCTCCAAGAAATTTTGTGTCTGTTTCTTTTTGTTCCTCTCTCCACTACACCTGACTTAGGCACTGGGCTCTCTCAACCTTTCTGTCTTCAAGGACAACGGGGCTGATATGCTGGTCACAGGAATCATGCATCATCTTAAACCCAAAGAAGTCCAGGCTTCACAATTTCAGTCATTTGCCCAGCTCTAAACTTGTCCCCTGGTCACTTTCCAGTTGCTTATGTATAGACTCAAACTACTAAGGCTTTGACACTGGACACTCTGACAAAGTTTCTGGTTAAAGCTGAATCTTGCGAGTGATGAGTTACTCCCATCATCATAATCCATCAGAAAGGACTCAGTCCTTGGTTTCTCGCAAACCCCAGTTCCTCCTGCAGTGATATCAGCACATATTTGTAAAACATAAATACCTGTTGTTTGTGCATGAGGAGGAGAGGAGGCAAGGGTGAGGCAGGGCTGGACGAAGGAGAAGCAGGACTGGGAAGGAGTCATCTGGAGGTTGACTGGATATAGGCATAGATGGAATTGTTGAGTTCTACCTGGATCTTGTGGCCTGGCTAAACTGGATCAGTGTAATAAACATCCCAGCAGCAGAAGTGTGACTTGGGTGAAGTGCCAACTGTCTATGTGCCCCACAAATACTGTCTCAGATGGCCAACATGCCTCCCATGGTTTCTGCACAGCTGGGCACACCTGAGTCATCAGCCAATCAGGCTTTGGATGAATTCTATGGCAGGAAGAAGGCTAGAGAAAGCAGAGTATAATTTAATAGTATAATTTAAGAATGCGCTATGATTATCCTTGGTTATTCCAAATTATCATTGACTGTGGATTTACTCAAAACCATTCCTGTATCTATATGTTCCTTGTTCACTAGGAGAAGCAGTGATTTTTTTTGTACGTTAAAATCTCATCACTGAAGCCTCAAGGGTACAACACTGAGAACATCCATATTTCTGGCCTTGTTCTGAGAGCATGAAGAGCTCTCATATTTTTAGTATTTAATACTCATTTAATTCACCTGGACATTAATTAAATTTACCAAGATTTCTTGCCAAACTCTACAATCTAATCTTCATAGTGATATAATTTTTGATTAGAGCTTAGATGATAATATTTGTGACTTCCTCCATCCCTGGCTGAAGAAGGAATTTGGAGTGAAAGGTGATCCTCTGTCAGGGGTAAATACTTCTTACCCAGTTCTTAGGGTTTTCTAAGAAGGGCAGGACCCAGGAGCACAGCACTTCTCAAACCCAAAGTGCAACAAGGAAACATTTCAGTGGGAGAGAGGACGTTCTCACCATTGTCCTTGCCTGTGGTGTCAAGGGGAGGGTCAGGTGGAGGCAGCCAGCTGTGAGTGAGGAACAGCACAAGACTGCTGAGAAGCTGATATTAAGAAGGCAGAGCCAGATGGCCAGACAGAAGCTTCTACCAAACCTCCTCCTCACAGGAGCACCAGATTGGACAACCATCCACACAAAAAAGTACCTTCATGAGAACCACAATTCAGGTAAGCAACCACAGTACATGGTTTTAACCTCATATTGCTGAAAGAGTCACTTGAGGCTCTGAGGAGGGTAGGAGAGACAGTCTTGATTTGCCAAAGCCACCCCTTCCCCATCTCCTGGCAGTGGCCACATGGCACAGACAGAATCTGTGTGATTGTGGGAGGGAGAGAACAGCGATCATGGGACTTGGCCTTGGAATTCAGTGCTGCCCTATCACAGTGGAAAGCAACACAGGGCAGAACTCAGCCGACACCCACAGACGGAACATTTAGACCAGACCAGGGCAAGCTGGAGGGTCAGAACCATCCCAGTGGACAGAACCTGAGATCCAGTAAGCCTTGCCACTGTGGGTGAAAGTGCTCTGAGGTTCTACATAAACCTGAAAGGCAGTCTAGGCCACAAGAACTGAAATTCCTAGGCAAGTTCTGGTGCCATGTTGGGTGTACAACCGGTGGACTTGGGGGCATGCAACTTAATGAGACGCCAGCCAAGGTGGCCAAGGGAGTGAGTGTGTTAGCCCTCCCCCAGCTTCAGAAAGCACAGCTTGCCACTCTGAGACAGACTCCTCTCTACTTGAGGAGAGGAGAAAAAAGTTTAACGAGCACTTTGTCTTGCAATTCAGAGACCAGCTCTGCCCCAGTAAGATAGGGCACCAGGTAGAATTCTGAGGCCCCCATTCCTGGACCTAGCTCCCAGATGACATTTCTAGACACACACTAGGCTTGAAGGGAACCAGCTGCATTGAAGGGAATGACCCAGTCCTGTCAGGATTCATCTCCTGCTGAGTAGAGAGCCCTGGGGCCTGGAATAATCAGCAGTGGTACCCAGGCAGTACTCGACATGGGCCTTGGGTGAGAGTCAGAGATGTGCTAGCTTCATGTGTGACGTAGCACATTTCCAGTTGTGATGGCTATGGGCAGAGACTTCTTCTGCTTAAGGAAAGTAGGAGGAAAAGTAATGGGGATTTTGCCTTGCAACTTAGGTACCTTGCAACTTAGGTACCAATTCCAGGCTTTGGCTCTTGGATGGCATTTCAGGGTCAGCCCTGGGTCAGAGAGGAGCCTACTGCCCTGAAGGGTGAGTCTCAGTCCTGGCAGCATTCACCACACATTGACTGAAGACACCTTGGGCCTTGAATGAGCATTGGAGGCAGCCAGGCAGTACCTATCAGATACATTTAACAAAGAGATTGAAATAATTAAAAAGAATCAAGAAGAAATTCTGGAGTTGAAAATGCATTTTACAAACTGAAGAATGCATCAGAATCTTAATAGCAGAATTTATGAAGCAGAAGAAAGAGTTAATGAGCTTGAAGACAGGCTATTTGAAAATACAGTCAGAAGAGACAAAATAAAAGAATAAAAAAGAATGAAGCATGCCTACAAGATCTAGAAAATTGTTTCAAATGGCAAATCTAAGAGTTATTGGACCTAAAGAGAAGGCAGAGAGAGAGATGGAAAGTTTATTTAAGGAATAAAACAGAGCACTTCCCAAACCTAAAGAAAAATATCAAAACCCAAGTACAAGAAGGTTATAGAACATCAAACAGATTTAACCCAAAGAAGACTACCTAAAAGCACTTAATAAACAAACTCCCAAAGATCAATGATAAAGAAAAAAAAAATCCTAAAAGCAACAAGAGAAAAGAAAAAACAACATAAAATGGAGCTTCAATACATCTGACAGCAGACTTCTCAGTGGAAACCATACAGGCCAGGAAAGAGTGGCATAACATATTTACAATGCTGAAGGAAGAAAACTTTAATCCTAGAATAATATATGCAGAGAAAATATCCCTCAAACATGAAGGAGAAATAAGGACTTTTCTAGATAAACAAAAGCTGAGGGATTTAATCAACACCAGACCTGTCATCCAAGAAATGATAAAGAGAATTCTTCAGTCTGAAAGACAAGAACATTAGTGAGCAATAGAAAAATCATGTGAAGGTAGAAAACTCACTAGAAATAGTAAATACAAAGAAAAACACAAGATTTTATAATACTGTAATTACGTTTGTAAATCACTCATATCTTGAGTAGAAAGACTAAAAGATGAACCATCAAAAATAATAACTACAGCAACTTTTTGAGAAATAAGACTAAAATACAAGTAAAAACAACAAAAAGTTAAAATGCTGGAGGACAAAGTTAAAGCACAGAATTTTTATTAGTTTTCTCTTTACTTGTTTCTTAGTTTGTTTATGCAATCCTGATGAGCAGTCATCAGTTAAAAGTAATGAGTTATCCTGTAATCCCAGCACTTTGGGAGGCCGAGGCAGGCAGATCATGAGGTCAGGAGAGCGAGACCATCCTGGCTAACATGGTGAAACCCCATCTCTACTAAAAATACAAAAAATTAGCTGGGCGTGGTGGCGGGCACCTGTAGTCCCAGCTACTCAGGAGGCTGAGGCAGGAGAATGGCATGTACCTGGGAGGCAGAGCTTGCAGTGAGCCGAGATCACGCCACTGCACTCGAGCCTGGGGGACAGAGTGAGACTCCGTCTCAAAAATAAAAAAAAAAAGTAATGAGTTATAAGATATTATTTGCAAGCTCATGGCAACCTCAAATAAAAAAAAAAGTACAAAAGATACACAAACAGTAAAAAGCAAGAAATTCAAACATACCACAGAGAAAATAACCTTCACTAAAAGGAAGACAAGAAGGAAAGAAATAAAACGGCACAAAAAACCCCAGAAAACAAATGACAAAATAGCAGGAGTAAGTCCTTACTTATCAATAATAAAATTGAATGTAAATGGACTAAATTCTCCAGCCAAAAGACATAGAGTGGCTGAATGGATTAAGAAAAAAAAAAAACAAGACCCAATGATCTGTTGCCTACAAGTAATTTCACCTATAGTCACCCATAGGTGACTAAAAATAAAGGAATAAAAATAGACTAAAAATAAAGGAATAGAAAGAGATATTCCATGCAGATGGGAAAAAAAAGGGCTGGAGTCCTAAACTTACACGAGACAAAATAGATTTCAAGACAAAAACTATAAAAAGAGATAAAGAAGGTCATTATATATTGATGAGGGTCAGTTCAACAAGAGGATACAACAATTGTAAATATATATGCACTCAATATTGCAGCACCCAGATATAAAAAGCAAATTGTTATCAGAGCTAACAGAGAAATAGATCCCAATGAAAAAATAGCTGGAGATTTCAATGCCCATTATCAAGACAGAAAATCACCAGGGACACATTAGAATTAATCTGCATTATAGACTAAATGAACCTAATAGATATTTACAGAACATTTTATCCAATAGTTGCAGAATACACATTCTCCTCCTCAGCACATGGATAATTCTCAAGAACAGACCATATGTTAGGCCACAAAAAAGTCTTAAAAAATTTTAAAAACCCTGAAATTCTATCAAGTATTTTCTCTAACCACAATGAAATAAAACTAGAAATCAGTCACAAGAGGAATTTTGGAAACCATACAAACACATGGAAATTAAATAATATGCTCCTGAATGACCAGTGGGTCAATGAAGAAATTAAGAAGAAAATTAAATTTATTTGAAAAATGATAATAAAAATACACCATACCAAAATTTATGGGATAAGGCAAAAGCATACTAAAAGAAAAGTTTATAGGTATAACTGCCTACATCAATAAAGTAGAAAAACTTCTAATAAACAACCTAATGGTGCATCTTAAAGAACTAGAAAAGCAAGAGCAAACAAAACCAAAAATTAATAGAAGAAAAATAATAAAGATCAGAGCCAAAATAGATGAAAGTAAAACAAAGAAAACAATAAAAAGATCAATAAAACGAAAAGTTGGTTTTTTGAAAAGTTAAACAAAATTGATGAACCTTTAGCTAGACTAAGAAAAAAGAGAGAAGACCCAAATAAATAAGATTAGAGATTACGAAGGAGACATTACAGACATACAAAGGATGATTAGAGGCTTCTGTGAACAGCTATATGCTAATTGGAAAGCCTAGAAGAAATGGATACATTCCTAGACACATACAAACTACCAAAGTTGAATCATGAAGAAATCCAAAACCTGAACAGACCAATAACAAATAATAATATCAAAGCCATGATTAAAAATCTCCTAGGGAAGAAACACCCAGGATCTGATGGCTTTACTGTTGAATTTTACCAAACATGTAAAGAATTAATACACTCCTACTCAAACTATTCTGAAAAACAGAGGAGGAGGTAATACTTCCAAACTCATCCTATGAGGTCAGTATTATCCTGATATCAAAACCAGATAAGAACACACCAAAAAAAAGGAAACGACAAGCCAATATCCCTGATGAACATTGATGCAAAAATCCTCAACAAAATATTAGCAAACCAAATTCAACAAGACAAAAAAGATTATTCATCATGACCAAGTAGGATTTATCCCTGGGATGTAAAGATGCTTCAACATAGACAAATCAATCAATGTGATACATCACATGAACAGAATGAAGGACAAAAACCATATAATCATTTCAACTGATGTTGAAAAAGCATTTGACAAAATTCAACATTCCTTCATGATAACAATCATCAAAACACTGGGTATAGAAGGAACATACCTCAGCACAATAAAAGCCATATACAGCAGACCCACAGCTAGTGTCATACTGAATGGGAAAAAAGCTGAAAGTCTTTCCTCTGTGATCTGGAACACAACAAAGATGCTCACTTTTACCACTGTTATCCAAAATAGTACTAGAAGTCCTAATTAGAGCAATCAGACAAGAGAAAGAAAGAAAGGGCATTCAAATTAGAAAGAAAGAAGTCAAATTATCCTTCTTTGCCAGTGAAATAATCTTAGATTTGAAAAAAATCTAAAGACACCACCAAAAAGTTATTAGAATTGATAAACAAATTCAGTAAAGTTGCAGGACATAAAATCAGCATACGAAAATCGGTAGCATTTCTATATGCTAACAATGAACAATTTGAAAAAAGAAACCAAGAAAGTAAATTCATTTATAACAGCTACAAATAAAATACAATACCTAGGAATTAACCAAAGAAGTGACATATCTCTACTATTAAAACATTAGAAAAACTCTCCAGAACACTAGAATGGGCAAAGTTTTATTGAATATACCTCATAAGTACAGGCAACCAAAGCAAAAATGGACCAATGGGATCCCTGCAAGTTAAAAAGCTTCTGCACAGCAAAGAAAACAATCAACAAAGTGAAGAGACAACCCACAGAATGGGAGAAAATGTCTGCAAAGTACCCATCTGACAAGAGATTAACAACCAGAATATATAAGGAGCTCAAACAACTCTACAGGAAAAAAAAAAATCTAAGAATTTGATTTAGCAATGGGCAAAAGAGCTGGGTGTGGTGGCTCACGCTTGTAATCCCAGCACTTTGGGGGGCTGAGGCGGGCGGATCACCTGAGGTCGGGAGTTCAAGACCAGCCTGACTAACATGGAGAAACCGCGTCTCTACTAAAAATATAAAATTAGCCGGGTATGATGGCGCATGCCTGTAATCCCAGCTACTCGGGGGGCTGAGGCAGGAGAATCGCTTGAACCCAGGAGGAGAAGGTTTCCACGAGCCGAGATCGCGCCATTGCACTCCAGCCTGGGTGACAGAGTGAGACTCTGTCTCTAAATAAATAAATAAATAGAAATAAAAATAAAATAAAAATGGGCAAAAGATATGAATAGACGTTTCTCGAGAGAAGACATACAAATGGCAAACAGGTATACGAAAATTAGAGAAATGCAAATCAAAACTACAGCGTGATATTATCTCACTTCAGTAAAATGGCTCTTACCTGAAGAACAGGCAACAAAATGCTGGCGAGGATGTGGAGAAGAGGGAATCCTCGTATACTATTGGTAGGAACGTAAATTAGTACACCCACTCTGTAGAACAATTCGGAGATTCCTCAAAAAACTAAAAATAGAGCTACCATAGGATTCAGCAATCCTATTCCTAAGTATATATCCAAATGAAGAAAATCGAAGAGATATCTGCACTCCCATGTTTATTATAGCACTATTCTCAAAAGCCATGGTTTGGAAGCAGTCTAAATGTCCATCAAAAAACAAATGGATAAAGAAAATGACCCAATATTTAGAGATGAAGGTGAAGAGCCTCAACATTAGTTCAGCAGAATCAAATTAGGAGGTGACACACATCTCCAGGGAGTAGACACATCCACTTCTGCTGTCCACCCAAGTCCAGACAAGAACCCGAGGGCACATGAGCAGGCGAGAACAGGAACTCAGTAAGCACCCTCTCAGCAGAAACTGGGCGTGGACGACCTGCTTCTCACTCAAAAAGGAGCCACAGAAGAAGCCCGTGAATGGTCTATGAACATGCAGCAAGGACACCTAGCGAGCAATCGTGTGATTAAATGTTAATGACAAGAATCAACGCTGCAGAAAGGCAAACCAGCCATGTGGAGGAAAATCACTAATGGCTCTGTCAGATGCAACAGAGGAGGACCAGTACACCAAAGGCTCAAGGAAGGTGATAATACAGAAGCCAGCTGAGGCCCACCTAGGAATTCCACAGTGCACATCCAGTCATGAGAGGTCCCAGATAGTACAACTAACATGGAAAACAAAATTCCAGGAGACTGAGTGTGCTGGGCAATGACGAATGAATGTGGGGGTCCTCCTAGGTCCCTCTTCAGCCTTCGCTGGACATTTAACAAAACTGGAGGGGCCTTCTGTGAGAATTCGTAGCAGCTAAGCATGAATGTTTTCCAAAGGCTAGTATTTCCTTCTACGTTGAAACAAGAAATGTTGCCAGAAGGAGCATAGTGATAATTATTAAATAGAACTTCCATTTACTGAGCCTGTCATCTATGCAAGGAACTGCATTTCATAGGTATTAGTTTATTGGTCTTTGCTGTAGACCTGTGAAGAGGTTGTAGGAACTGATACCTATGAAGGATTAAGCCATCAACCTGAGTTTCCAAGCCAGGAAGTGAGAAATCAAATCCCAAAACATCTAGCCCCCATGCCATAGGATACCCATGCTATGGGTATGAGGTAGGATACGTAACACTACCTCATGAGATGGAGGAAGCGGCACTGCACAGTACTATTGAGAGGAATCCGGGGCTCAGGGGCTATCCCAGATTCAATGTGTTAGGATACTCCTGACCCAGCTTGTTAGCTGCTCCTTGCTAATCAGTAACTACTAGATCAAAAAGAAAAGAAGATTATAACAATTAGTTAATTATAAAGTGGAAAATAAGGGCTCTATCTATAATAAAATATAATAAAATATAATTATATAATTATATTTTATATAATTATATAATTATAAAATTATAATTATTATATATTATATTTATATAATTATATAATTATAATTATTATATAAATATAATATATAAATATAATTATATATATTATATATAATATAATATATAAAAATATAATTATATATTATATATAATATAATATATATAATAATATAATAAAAAAATAAAAATATAATAAAAATGGTGATAGTTACTTATGGTGCAATTAGAGACATTTAAAGTCCTGAATGCTTTTTTTTAATTAAAAGTAAAGAAAATAAATAAACTAGGCATTAACTTGAAGAGTTTTTAAAAAGTGCAAAGAATGACCACCCGCAAACCAGAAAGGAATTGTAAAATAATAATAATAATAATAATAATAATAATAATGTTTCGGATAAATAAAGACGTAAAAGAGTAAAACAATGAGAATATTAAAGGAGTCAAGACAATTCAAGAGCTAATTTTTACACCAAAATGGACATGCCTCATAAAAATGGAATGAAGGAAAATATTAAAAGGTCAAGAAAATAGATGATATATGACTGAGATTTAAAATAAGTGATGGAACTTTTCTTGGAGATTAAATGTCATCATAATAAGTATTGTTACTTTACATTAGTGAATTTGTTGTTGCATTTGTAGTTATATTTGTTACGCTTTTCAATTCTGTGACATCTTTCAGGCCAACATACTAAAAGGATCTAAGTCTATTAGATGAAGCCTTCCAGATGTGGGCTACTCAACATGGTAGACATGAGCCACATGTGGCTATGCACATTTAAATTTAAATTAATTAAAATTGGATACAGTTAAAAACTCACTTCTCCAGTTACTGAACAGCCCCACATGGGTATTCAAATTTAAGTTTAAATAAATTAAAATCAAATAAAATTTAACGTTTAGGCCTTCAACTCCTCAATTGCCACATGTGGCGGGTGGCTACTACCCTGAACAGCACAGACATTTGTATCCCAGGGCAAAGCACTTGTGGAGAGCAAGGCTCTGGAACCCTGGGTAATTAACACATCTTTGAAAGCTTACTTAAGGCTAATTCGCTAGACAAAGGAGAAGTGGCTACGATATTTCTGTATAAGTAGCACACATAGCCCAGTTAGGGGCAATTTAGAAATCACACTCACTAGCGACCTTCTAAAACTGTCCCAGCTAAAATATTTAGAACACGCCAACCTAGACTGATTAATCAATAAGACTGCTTTGGTTGACACAAAAACATCTGAACTAAGAACAACCAAAACTTAAGATTCTGAGATCCTGTACCTGTACATTCCAAAGACACAAAGAGAAATATTGAAGCAAATGATCATCAGTCAAAGGACTGAATATATTCCTGGGACATAAGATACCCTATGTCACCTTTAGACATGAATCTCATTCCATACCGTGGAACAAACTCAGTCTCTCTTATCCAGGGAGTGTAGTGTTTTTGTTCAGTCATTCAGTCACTATTCATGAACTGCCTGTTATGAGACAGGCACTCTACTACACAATCCAGACACAACAATGGATAAACTATGCAAATATCCTCATCCTCATGAAGCTTAGGTTCCAATGTGGGTGGGGGAACTGATAATCAACAGTAGTCATCATAAAATGTGAAGCATAAGAAGTTAACAGGTAATGAGCAGTACAAAAAAAGAAGAAGAGAAATAAACAATTCTGGATGAAAACAGATGTCAGAGTGCAGGAAAAAGGGTTTGACTTTTACATAGGGTCATCAGGTAGGGTCATCATTAAATAGGGTTATTATTTCAGTGACGGCTTTGATGAAGCGAGCAGCTGGCTGTGAGCATACAGGAGGGAAGGCCGTGGGCCCAGCGGAGGGAAGAGATGCTGTAAGGACCTGCAGTTCCACGTGGCAGCCACTGACATGTGTGTTCTTTGCAAAATATTCACATATGATACTTTCACCAATTAATAATAATAGTTCAGCAGGGCCTTATTTTCCAACTGGAAACACTGTCTTGGAAATTATCTTTTAGCTCATCCTATGGAAGGGACAGCTCAAAGTTTTGGGATTTTCTGTGCTATCTGAGACATTGCCATCTTCTTCCTCAGAGAGCTACACTTGTCATCTGGCTACTATCACTCTGGAATCCCTTATAATTTTTTTCTCTACTGATTTATAAACCAGATCACCCTCTACTGACAACTTTGCAGCGTTGTCTCTGGGAATACAGCCCAGGACTCCCGCAGGAAGCCTTCCCAGGAGCCTGCACCCCCTGGCCAGTGTTGGTTTCCCCCAGGCTCTCTGGGAGCTCAAGACCCTCCAGCCATGCCATGTTGCTCTTAAAGGTGCAGCTCATATTAGACCCAGGTCTGTAGCACACACAGTGGTCATCGGATAGCCAGTGGTGGCTTCTGAGGTCAGAGAGCTGGTGCAAGTTCTGACTCTGCCTGTCTTCAGGGCATGAGCTCCGTGTGTGTGCATGTGTGTGTGTGTGTATGTATGTGTGTTTGTGTGTGTGTGTGTGTGTGATGGTGAGTGGGGCAGGGGGAGAGAGTAACTGTATGTCCAGATACCCAGTTTCCATGTTCCCAATTAGAGGATAAATCCATAACTATTTCACAGGATGACTGTAGATTAAATAAACTTCAAAGATGGCAAAAAAAGAGATATTTTAGAGTTATCAATCAAGTTTACAGGACATATTTTTAAAGAATAAAGGCAGTGCATGGGGACCTGTGGAAGACAGGAGATAAAGTGGGTGCAGGACTCTGTGCTGTTGAAAATGACCGAAAGGCTAAGGACAGTGCGAGGGAGTCGCAGATGATTCAGGATAGCTATTGCCTGAGTAAGGGCAGAGGAGGCGGCCACACTGGCAGGCGGGGTGAGAGAAAGCCAGGCACGCACATGTGTTTCTCATCAGAGCCCATGGGTCATGAGGGGTTGTCACCTGGACCTATAAGCCATTGCTGAACTCACCCATGTTTTTGCACTCACACTCACTCCATCCCAGTGTGCGGCCCCATGGCTCCATTCCCTCTGGCCACAGCAGGCTGCCAGCCTGAGGCAAATTCTATGCTGAGCTCATCAAGTTGGCACTTAGCTCATGAATCAGCTGTTTTCTCTATTTAATTCTGACACTAGTGGTACTTCTCCTACCGGTTTTGCTGTTGATATCCAGTCTCTCACAACGATGCTCTTTAGGGTTCAGCTTCCAGGAAAGTTACACAATATTAATAGTTCTTCTCTTAGTCATACCAACATGGATAGCATTCACTTATTAACCACCTACTACACCTCTGCCTCTGTCCCAGGTATTTTATACCATATTATTATATTATCCATAATCCTTGGAACAGATTTGCAAGGTAGGGATTAGCAGCTGCATTTGTGTAGATAACACATTGAAGCTCGGTCAATCCAAATGTCCATTAACTGGTGAATGGATAAACACAGTGGGATACGATGGGGCGCCGCTGAGCAATGGAAAGGAGGGAAGTACTGATAGACACAACATGGATGAATCCAAACACATTATACTTGGCAAAAGAAGCCGGAGCAGAGGACCCAGTGTTGTGTGATTCCATTTCTATGAAATGGCCAAAAAAGGCACTGGAGGTGGGAAGCAGAGGAGTGGTTGCTGGGGCTGGGGTGGGGCTGGAGTGACTGCTAAGGGGTATGTGAGTGCTTTCTGGGTGCTGGAAATAATCTAAGACTGAACTGTGAAGAAGGTTGCACAACTCCACATTTACTAAAAAATTACTGAACTGTGCACTTCAAGTGGTGAGGGGTAGTTATGTAAATCATACCTCAATAAAGCATTTAGAAAACAGAACAAAGCTAGGCCAAGGAGGGTGGGTCATGAGGTCAGGAGATCGAGACCATCCTGACTAACATGGCAAAACCCCGTCTCTACTAAAAATACAAAAAATTAGCCGGGCGTGGTGGCGGGCGCCTGTAGTCCCAGCTACTCGGGAGGCTGAGGCAGGAGAATGGTGTGAACCTGGGAGGTGGAGCTTGCAGTGAGCTGAGATCGTGCCACTGCACTCCAGCCTGGGTGACAGAGTGAGACTCTGTCTCAAGAAAAAAGAAAAAAAGGAAAAAGAAAACAGAACAAAGCTGAAGCCCTGGAGGGTGACCAGGACACGGTGAGCCCAGGGCTGGCGGGCTCCTACTCCAGACACTTCCTCCACACCGTGGTGCTTCCTTGGTGCCCAGGGCATTGTGCTGTTGTCATTCAGAGAGAGTGCCCTTGGAAGAGAATCAGTCTAACAGTGCAGCACAAAGACTCAGAAGGCTGACTGAAGGGCTAGATTCCTTACAAAAGAACACAGAGGCAACTAAGAAAGCTGAGAGACTGCAGCCAGTGCCAGGAAGGCGTCATGTGCCAAACTCGCTCCCCTTGACTTATGCAGAACACAGCAAGATTGTGGACAAGAGTCTTTGTTTCCCTTTCAGCAACGTCACTCTAAAGGCAGCTATGATTTGAGACCAGTTGTTTCCTGCCTCCTCCACACTGCCACTGCACAGGGCAGCCCGAAATGGAAGGTCAGAGATATTTTCACTTGTGGGTTCCCAGCTGCGGGCATACAACAGGAACTGAATGTATCTGCGCTGAAAACGGGACTGATAGGTTGAAGGTTACCTATGGAGTTTGCCGCCTTCTGCATATCTACCCATGATACTCAGAACTCTTGTCTGTGGGAATCATCTCAGAAGATCTTCCTTCCCCAAATATTCTGCCTCAGCCGGTGTGGGTGGGGTGTGATAAAGGACATGTTTAGTAAGATTCACAAACTCAACACTGGGATACACCACATGGATCACAAAGGGCTAGTTCCTGTTCACCCTGTGCTCTGTTTGTTGTGTTTGTTTTTCTCCTCAGCCCTGCAGTCAGGGAGCAGGACATGGCCTCTGCAGGAAAGCATGGTGTTGTGGGGTGTCCACCACATATCCAAAGGACTGCTAGGACACCATCTGACTTTAAGTGGAGTTTGTTATTACTGACATTTCCTTACTCTCAAGCAAGTTGACCTTAGACACCAAAATTTTCTGATGGCAAATAGATAAATATCGAAAGCAATACTGAGTACAACAACCATCCATTAAGTTCACTGACACAGACTAAAGACATGGCCTCATCATGGCTTTTGCACTGTAGGGCCTGAGGATGATAATTTGTACCAATACTCATATTCTACATGACTTCCCTTACACATGTAACACCCCAGGCCATTACCTTAAACATCTGTTGCTGTGGCTACCAAATTTGACCATTCATAAATTCCAGCCCCAGTTGTATATATGACTGCATATACTCTCATACATGTCAGAATCCTGTGGGGATTAGAAAAGTTATGAATGATCTTTCAGGATGCTAGCTCAAATTGTATAATCTTCAGATGATGCGGTAACCACAATTCAGATGAGACTTGGGTGGGGACACAGCCAAACCAAAGCAGGCAGTGAAGTTATTTATGCTCAGGTTACCCAATAAAATAATTTAGCAAAACAAAAGGTTTCTAAAAAGAATTTTCTAAAATCACTGTATAGCAGTGTGTATGCTTGTCACTCATTGACAAGGATGGTTCCTGGCAAGTTACATATTTTTCTCCACAAAATAAGTGAATAAATAAATAAAAATGCCCCAATACCTATTCTCTCAGCAATTTGCAGGTGAGACCCTCACCCTTTTTGGTCAGGCAGTGGTGGCTGTTACCACGAAGCTCCCTGAAGTCACCTTCCTGTAAATTCTCCACGAGCATTTTTGGCTTGGCCACATTAAATGGAAATAATGCTGTTGGAACTATTGCTGTTATGTCCACAATAAATGCAGAATTCCAGATAGCTGTGAATCAAGCTGAACTAAGGAGACCATCCACTCTCTAGGACTGGAAATCTCTGTAGGCTTCTTTCAATTAGTTTTTGATCTAAAAATGCTTTAAATGTATGTGTTTTTCTGTCTGTCTACCATATTCTCTCTTCCTCTCCTCTCCTCTCCTCTCCTCTCCTCTCTTCTCTTCTCTTCTCCTCTCTCTCTCTTTTTCTCTCTCTCTCTGGTCTTTCATCACTCAATCATATAATCATGGGAGCTGATAGCCACCAGAGCTATGAAAGTTAAAGAAGCCCTCCAGAATTCTCTGTAGGAATCCTGGCTTTCTCAGCAAGGTCATACAGAATTGCAGAGCTGTTCCCCGTGCATGCACCAAAGTGATTAAAAGCACAGACTTTGTACATCTAAGTTCCTCTTTTCCCTCCAATACCCAATGTTGCCCAAACAATCAATTAGACTCCAAGGATGCTCATGGGAATGTTCCTGGGAGGAGATAACGGATGCCTGGTCAAATGCTCAGCCTTTACACTGAGATCCCATAGCCATGCTGTGGTTTCCGGGCTCTCACCCTTGTTAGATGTCAACTTTTGGCAGGTTAGATAATGGGTCTGATTGGCAGATTTCCCTTAAATAAAATAGGAATAAAAATGTTTCTCATAATGTTAATATAATTAAATGCAATAGTAGCTCCTGTAATGAATCTGCCTAAAATAATTTTTTAAATGCCTGGCATACAGTAGGTGCTTGTTTCAATATCAATTATTTTCCCGACTTATAATGGGTACATTTTCAGATTTTATTGGAAACTATTCAAATTATATCACTGGCACATACTTTAACATGCATACGTCTATCGTAATAAAGCAGAATTCACCATAGGCTTGCTCCATAACAACCAAGTATGGAAATTAGATTACAAGTATGCCTTGGTACTGGGGTACACTAAAGATGAGAAAACGTTTTTCTCCCAAGCTTTGGTTTGGGAGTTGGAGAAAAGGGATATGTGTGTTGAAAAAGAACAGTAAGATAAATAATGCCCTTTGCATAAAACTTTCACAGTCCCTGTCCCCTGCCCCAGCCATTATCTAGTTACAGGGAGCAGAAGAACCATTTCTGAAGACCCACATAAATGAAGCAGGTCAAAGAATGTGTCTGCTCTTCCTATGATAGAAAATATATTATTGAGTGCATCAGAAGCTACTCTTCTAGGTAAGGGCTGTGAATGTGGGCTACAAGAATGGTATTAATGTGAAGAGAAAAATAGTGGAAAGGACCTGTGAATGGAAGGTGAATTAAGACAGTATGGAAATTTGGAAATTTAGCTCATCACAAAAGAAATTATCCACAGCATCCAACCACACATGGTGGCAACAGCAACCAGACTCTTCTGACACATCTACGTATCTACTGATATTTTGCCCAACATGATAATTAACTGTCCATTATACTTATCGACTCTACAGTTTCACCCATATGTGCATTGTATCTAGGACAGCTGTGTTATGTCCCCTTATCCCATGACAGAGCCTGGAGTCAGCCACACCATTGACAAAGGGTGGATGAAAGGTGGAAACTGGAGAAAGAAGTTGGTTGTTGTTGACTTTGAAATCAAGATCAAACAAAAATGACCTCTTGAAAGTATCCAACTCTAATCCATTTTAGAGTGCAGAAGATGAAGGTGAAATCTAAACTGTGAATAATTGCCAAATAACAGGATGAATCTGCAAACTGTACAATGGAATGTGATACAATGTCAAAACGTACTTAATATGCTTGGCCTTCATAGTTGCATATGTCTGTTGGATAGAACAGATAACTCTTGATTTTATCATAGTATAGATAATGCCATGTGCATACAAAAATATAGGTAATAAACTAGTGTATATGTAACTGAAAGCTGACACTCAATAATGTGATTACTAAGGTATGGGCTTTTAAGATATTTTTACATTTAAATTGCAATCTGTGAGATTAGCAAATTATTCTAAGATAGTTAACACTTTAAGACAAATGTGCCCAAATCTATCGAACACTGTGTTTTTTGTATACACATAAAGGCACAGGGCTCCCAGGGCACTTGTCCTCTCTGGTGGGACTAAAAGCTGGGTTTGCCAGTTCTCAGCCAATGGTGCACACATGTAACTTAGGCCTGAGGTCAAGTAAAGCTGGTTTTTTTTTTTTTTTGGTATATTTTTAAGTTTGTAAAGTTTTAAGACAAGATCAGGTGCACTTTCACTAGTTTAAGTAAATGTAAACTTGTGCATGACCCAGTCAGTATTTGAGAAACCAAATTCAGAGGAAATTATTTATCCCATAAAGATTTTGCACCCACCACAGCCTGGGGTTGCAGTTGCAGGTATTTCAAGACTTTAGACTTGGGTCTATTTCAAATACGTGGGCATAGATAATTCTTCTACATTTTTATAAACGAAGTAGCTCTGGTTCTTCATCTAGTAGAGGAGGTATTGCTCTAACTTTTCATGGGGTAATCACAGCAAACTTCAAAGTACTGGGAGTCAGTGGGATTTAACTAGACTGCATGAGCCCACCACTATTTCCCAATGGACAATATACTGAACTACTGAAGGCAGAATAGATAATTAGGATTGACATTAGATCCAAGAAAGTTTTAAAGTAGTAAACATATAATTATGTTACATGTCAAAGCAACACTAGAAATTCAGAACAATGGTGCTGAATGGTGAAGATAAGGCTACATTAAATTTGGGGCCTTCTTAAGGAACAGATAATGACTTTTGCTTTTACTTATGGTCTGCCTATTCTGCACAGCCCTTTATTCTTAAACATTCAATATTTACTCACCCAAGTCTTCTACACATACTTGTACATTTCAGCTAGACATGTGCTATAAAAGATCCTAGCTTCTTTTTGGCTTAGTAGCTGCAATCCATCATTCTTTATTTATTACCTAATGATAACCTGCAAAGGGAATAGTAACAACTCCCCCATCTTCAGTTAGGTCATCTCTGCAAATAAAAACAAGGTTTATGGCTCCTTTGACTGCCTCAGGGTGAATACAAATCAAAATGCTGGTTATTCTGGGCACTTCCCTTGTTTATGATAACTTGTTAAGCACAAGTGATCTCCCGGTGTTGGGAATAGACAACTTTCTTTCAAAATGTGCGCGTCAGCAATGGCTCTAAACATTGCAGAACACTCTCACATTTTAAATAGCTTGCTCAAATGATATGTCTTTTTATCATCCTAATTGCTTTCATAAGTCACTCTGAAGGTTCTAATGTAATAAAATACATTCTAATCCTATTGCCATCCCATCTGTGGGACTTCTCTGAAGGTCAGTATAACTTCACCTCTTGGTTCCTTAACTCTGTTTGAACTGGCTTGCATTACAAAATGTGCACTGATTTTCTGATTAGATTTTATTTGTATTACACAGTTCAATAATGAGTGGGGGCGGCGGGGACTGAGGAGAACAAATACTTGTTCAGTTCTTACTTTGTGCCAAGCCCTGTATTAAGGGCTTTCATATGTTGTTACTCAAAACTCACTCAGCCCTAGGAGGCCACAGTGTTAATTGTGAATTAAGAAAGCTGAAGCCCAGGGTAGTGAGCTAGCTGGTTAGTAAGATAAATCACACTTGATCAAGACCTGTCTGACTCAAAAAGCCATGTTTTTCCATCATATTTTCCATTTACTTAAGAAGCATTTTTATTCTGCTTCTCGTTTGAATGTTTGTCTAAGTCAATATCTTTCTTCTCATGTAGAGTTCATGTTTTCCTGCTGATTTATTTTGCAGAATGACTTCCACAGTCCTTCAATTGTAGGTTCTCTGAAGTGCTTGTTGACTCACTTGGTTCTGGATTTTGATAAAAGACATTGATTATTATCTGGTTTATCTTAACTAACCAAACAAGGTAAATGTTGAGCATGTTTCTGATTTTACGAGAAGCGCCAGCCTTTCGGCTTTGGGTGTCAGTATAGATGGTCACTGTATCACTTTTTGTGGAGGATGCAGGGTGGTGAAAGTGCCTATTCATGAGAATCTTAATACACGATAGGCAATCTCTCCTTGGAGTAAGTTTGGTAATTAAATAAGACATGCCTAAGAGACTGAAGCACAGAAATTACAACTTCTCTATGCTTAAGCGGTAGATACAAAAGGCTAAGAGCTGGACAAATGCCACTTAGTTGCTTGAGTTGTACTTCATATAAATTACATCATATCATGTTACTTAAAGTGTATTGCAACATTTATTATTTAGAATTTGTGTAGAGATTTTCTTTATCTGTAACTAGAAAAGTGACTCACATGGTTAGGACTGAAAAGTGCTCACCTCCAATTGGCCTTTCCTGAGATCACCCACATGTGAACAGCACTTGCCCCATTTGCTTCCCTGCTTTTCAGATATGCTCCCAGGGCCTCAGAGACACTCCTTGGACCTGCATGATGGCTGATTGGGGAGTGTATGCTTCCCAAATGCAACTTAGGTCCAGTTTTAGATTGGGCCTTTTGCAGTCAATGCACTCCCTCTGTAGATACAGAGACTCTTTCCAGTACAGATAGAACTAGCATCTTTCTTCCATCCATTTACCCATCCATCAACTTATTCATCCAACCATGCACCCATCTTCCCACCCATCCATCCAGTTCCTTTCATGGGTTGGGAACGCTGCCAGGCAGTGGTGGTACTGTAGGAATCGTAACAATCATGGTGCTGCCCTTTAAAATGCTCTTTGTCTATTGAGAGGGAGGGGTAAATGCTAAACTGGTAACCCAAATAAGAATTTAATTGAGATAAGTCTTCATAAAGAGAAAAATAAGGTGTAGTATGGATGCATAAGAAGGAAGCCTGCCCTGGCTTGGAGCAACAGTGAAACAGTGTGATATTACTTATGGGAATGACTTTTCAACTGAGACCTAAAGAACAAAGTGACATTTAACCAGAAGGAATGGGATGGGAGTCGTTTTGCAGGCAGAGGCAACAGCATCCGCTAAAACCCTGAGGGGACGGGGAATTTCTTTATTTTGGAACTTACAAAAAGTTGGTGCAGGCCCCTTGCCCACTTTTGCTGGAAGTTCCACAGGGCACAACTTGAAGTGCCTTATGTGGAGGAAAGCTCAATCAAAAATAACATTCTTTGAAAAAGTTCTCAACAACTGTGGACGTAAAGAGGGGTTTAACACATTGAAGGAAAAGCTCTTGCTTTTTTTCACCTAAGAAGAAAAGACTCATACAGATTTAAATTATGATAAAAGAATAAAGGACCCTAGGGTTATTGAGACAATTACTTCTCACGGATTTTGGATACTAAAAGAAATCACCAACTGCTTAAGACACATTTCACTTGACATGTTTTGAGTCCAATTTCTAATGTCTTAAGGGCTGTACAAATACCTATTCAGTGACAGAAAATTAGAGCCACCAGATGCATCATGTCACTACTATTGAAGCTTTCTATTATTTTATTACCATATTTAAACTAAAGGCAACCAGCCATTTAATCATATATATAAAGCTAGGGAGTGATCAGCATATGATTTTTTTTTAAGTTTTATCCCAGAGAGGCTTATTTTTGCTACAAAACTGCTAAGATTTTACATAATGCCAGTACATCCCTTATTTGGTATTTCCATTTGTTATCAATTAAATATGAAGAAAAAATAGAAATTCAACCTATTTTTAGGTAGACATTTTTCAAATAAATTATTTTAATTTAGTTTTTATATATTTAGTTTCTATATATTTCTGTGAAATTATAGAAGATACAAAATTAGCACTGATTTTGCTACTAATTTAAAATGCTGATTTACTTGATTTTAAACACATGCTGTTCTTCCTAAAAAAAAAAAAAGTTAAACTCTTAAGTAGTGAAAAATACATTCAACTAATGACAAATGATGGATGTTATTATTTTAAAAGGAATCAAAGTCAGTAAAAATGATCCATGCCTGGAATCACTGGGGATGGAGGATCAACAGGAGAGCAAGTGCAACTAGGAGTTTCTGATTCACTGCTGCGGCTCATGGCACTTGAGAGTTGGTAGGGGATTACTGAGAACAGCTGTTGTCCACAATCACGAAGGACAGAACTCCACTGAGTGTGTAAATTCCCTTTGATACAGAGTCTGGCCTCAGGCCTCTAGAAGATATACCCTAACTTCTCCTTCAGAAGTGATTTAGAGTAGCCAAACTTAGACTGAAAATAGACACACACACAAGCCCCTGAGTGCTAATTTATACCTGTATGAGTCATGAAATACAACCCCCAAGCCTACTGAGGAAACTGTTCCTTCTCCCTCCTGGCAAGCTACATAGGAGGCTTAATTTTAATCAAAGCAGTAAAAGGTCAAGTGCAGCCTACCATGGGGGAGGAATGTCCGGACACATTGTGTCTGACAGTTCCAGCCCCATACAAGAATAAGCCTGTCACAAGGCCTAGCAAGGTTTAGTTAGCCCATTCCTTTCCCTATATAAGGCTGGAATATTCCTACTTCAGTTTTTGGGATCTCTTTTCCCCCATCCAAATTGGTGTTTGTGCAGATGATTTTTGTAAGGCAACAGAAGTCTTGTTCCTCCATTGCAAAAATCATTCATTCTTTGCACATATTTTTATTGAGGGCTTTACTATATGCCAGGCACTATTGAAAGTGTTGGGGATAAAGCAAGAAAAAGTCAAACATCCCTGGTAGTTATTCTCTCAATACTTAGGGTAGTAGGCAGCTTGATTATACAAAGAAATCGCCTCTCAACTCAAAGTTCTCCCTTTAAACTCTGTTTCCTGATGTGAACCTGGAACTATACAAATCCCATTTCTGCTTTGCCACCTGCTCTCTATTCACATCCACCAACAGCCCACACAATGCGGACAGTCTAAGGAAGGTGGAAGAACCTGCTCTTTCCTGTCTAGCCCCTGCGGACTGTCTACGCCTCACTTCCTGTCTGTTCCTTGTGGACTTCTTGTCTGTCCCATTGGGCTTCCTGTTTAGCCCCAGTGGACTTCCTATCTGCCTCCTCACTTTCTGTCTGTTCCCTGTGGACCTCCTGTCCATCCCAGTGGGCTTCCTGTCTAACCCCTGTGGACTTTCTGTTGGCTCCCTCACTTCCTGTCTGTCCCCTGTGGACTTCTTGTCAGCTCCTGTGGACTTTCTGTCTGTTCCCTCACTTCCTGTTTTTCCCAGGGGTGGACTTCCTGTTTGTCCCCAGTGGGCTTCCTGCCTCCTGTTCCTGTCATTCTCACTTCACCCTTGCTGTGGCAGATCATTCCAGTTGCAGCCGCTGATTCTAGTTTGTAGCTTACTTAAAGAACCAGCTACACTGTTCTCCCTCAGAGTCCTAGCACCAGCTAGCTCCTACTACTAAGGGATTTGAGGCCCAGCTCCAAACGTCTGAATTTTGAAAATCCCAAACTCTCCCCTTAGTTTCTTCAGCCCCAGGGGCAGTATATTCTTGTAGTTGTTGTCTAGGGTGCTTTGATATTCTCTGTTTAATTTTTCAGTACTCAAATGCCTACATAATGCATTGTATTAATTCTCTCTCTTCAAATAATTTGTGTGGTTTCTGTCTCCTGACTAGACTGTGATTGATACAGTTAATAATAAATGCCAAACAGAAAAATAAAATAGGGATAGGAAGTGGGAAACAGGGATAGGAATGAAACAGGGACTGGGCGAGTTTAGATGGGTGGGCCAAGGAAGCCCTTAACAGACTTCCTATCTGTTCCTTGTGGACTTCCTGTCTGTCCCAGTGGGCTTCCTGTCTAGACCCAGTGGACTTCCTTCTTAAAAGGTAACATTTAAGGAGGAAAAAAAGGTCATATCCATGTTAAGCAGATACAATCAGGCTGCTCTCGTTAAACCTCAGGCAAAGCAAGATCCTGCCTTCAAGAGCTTGGTTTCATTTGGACTCTTTTACTCTCTTTGTACTGGACTTTTGCTTGAGCAAGCACTCTCTTTAAAAGTAGATAGCAAGCACTCTCTTTAAAAGTAGATTTCAGACATCCTGTCATTCAGACAGTCCCAGGCCTGTATCATCCCCGAGAGTTAGTGGCCACAGGGATCATCTTCTGTTACACCCAGGGAATCAAGTTTCAGGTCTGAGCATTACTAAGAAGTCATCTCTTAACTCCAAACTATCCTTTTAAACTCTGCTTTGTGAGGCTGAGGATGGAACTCTACAAATCTCACTTCTGCTATGCCACCTGATCCCTATTTCATGATGATGAAGTAATATCATCAAGTGATTCTTGGTGAAAACATCGCTGGACAGAGAATCTGAAGACACGCACCCTAGACCTGTCTGAATTCCACCCGACTTTGTGATATTGCCCAAGTGACTCCACTCCACTTGGATCTCAGTTTCATCACTTCAAAAATGAGAGAAGTGGAACAAAACCATAGATTTTATAGCTAAATTTCTCTAGTCATCTAATTTTTGTTTACAACTAACAGTAAATTAATAGAAAAATCTGTTATCACTTCAAACTTGAAAGATTACCTTATAAAATATTATTTGATCTAATGAAATATATTCATTTCTGTTAATTTCCAAATTGCACTATTATATTTATTCTTATGTAATTAGCAGAAAAGTAAGAAATTATCTACACTTTCAATTAGTTCTTCACAACCACCTTAAATTTCCTAGTCACCACCAGCTTTGGCCGTTCTTTATCCAAAAACCTAATAGCTGTCTCACATGCCTCCCAAGACTGACATTTTCATCTGCTTATGCCATCAGCAGTCTTCTCAGATAGTGACACCTTTCTTTCAAAAATCATAGTATCTCTTCTGATCATACCCCCATGTGGGTTCTTCCTCTCTATTCCTATTTTATTATACTGGCTCAAGAACATTTTTTAAAGTCAGTTGAAAATCTGGCAGCATTTCAGACAGTTTCCTAGGATTTATTGAGTGTTTTAGAAAAATCTCTCAATGACTAGAATTTCCAGGGAATCCCTGGAGTTTGTGGGTAGAAATAAAACCCAGTACAATTCAAACCAGGGCCCTGAATAAGTGTCAAATCAAGTGAGAGTATAGACAGAACTGAGAATTACAACATTTACAAGTATTCCAACATTTTTGAAAACAATAATTAGACTTTAGGAAAAATGATACCTATCCTGTGCATTAATGCCTTGACAAACATCATGTTTTATGCAAGACGAATTAAATTTCATGCAGATTTTATGCCAATGGCAGTCGACAGATTATATATATTTTTTTCTAATCCAAGTACAGAACTTTCAGAAAATCCTAAGAAAAATCTATTCCCATCATATGCAACAGAAAACATTTTTAAACAACCCTCACTTAAAAATATTGACTAATGGAGTTTCTAAAAAATAGTTTTGTTAAAAACCCTAGTGATTGAACGATTTATTAATAAACTATACACTTCAAAAGAAAATTTACAGTGTTTGACATTAGTCATAGCAAGAAATCAGATGAAGTGGATTATAAAACTAATTTTACCTTTATTAATACCCAAAAATAGAGGTTGAGAAGATATAGGATTTCTGTTTGTAAATTGGAAATACAATCACTCATTACAAGAACAAAATGAATTTAGGTTAATGTTTAACAAGAACTTTGGGATACAAAGATGAATGATAAACGACTCTTGAAGAGTTCATAGTCTGGTATTAAAAAACCTGTAAATAAATAATTATGGAATAAAGTACACATATGTGCTTTAATATTTACACACTGCAAATTTAACATTACAAACTGCAAATGTGGTCACTAAGCTCAAACAGCATTAGATGCTGAGGAAGATGGCACTGAAGTGGAAACCAATGAGAAAGTCATTACCCCTTAGAGAAAGTTCAGGTGACACAATGCAAATTCATGTGCATGAGCTCACAGGTCCCTGTAAGGCAGCAACAGCTCCATGATTAAGGGAAGTGAAATAGTACTGTGGTTTCAAGTGCTAGTTCTGGATTCCCATGTTTTGAAGAATTAGCTTTGGGATCATCTGTAAAATGGGGATAATAAAGTGGTCTTGGATCATAATCTGTAAAATATGTTAATAATAGTGTCTATTGAAGACAGACTTCCAGAATGGCAATTTGAGGAGCAATGTGGGATTTCACCCCAGTGAAAGAACCACTTATTGCTGAAAATTACACACATGCATGCACACACACAGGCTTCAACCATTTAAAGTCCTTGGAAATTATCTTAAGTGCATAAAATATGGAGAAACAATTACTGAAAAACATTTTAATAAACCTTGAACAGAACAGTGAAATTTGGTAGTGTTTGAGCCATGGTTTGCTTAAGTCTTTACCTTGGCCCCAGCTAAATGCAACAGAGGTTCTTCTCCAGGCATGTGTAGCCAAGAAGATAAGGAATCCCTATTTCCTTACCCCCAGCCAACTTCTATTCTGAGACTCCATTTGCACTACAGGGGAGGCAAGCCACTTGCATCTGAAATTCCTTCAGTTCCATATTGCAGAAGCTCTGTTCCAGGCAGGCATGGCCAACAGAACTTGTTTGTCTTCTGCCAAGCAGCCCCTACACATAGAATGGACACTACTCTCCAGGCTTATCAGGCCGACAGCAATGAAACCCTGAATACCTCCACTCCATCTCACTTGTAGGTTAAAGTTTCAAGACAGGAAGCACAACCAGGGAAGACAAGGGGTTACCATCCCCACCGGAGCTCTGCTCATAGAGTAAGGGTGTCACAGTGGGAGAAGCAAGCCATTCTAGCAGTCCCATCTGCAATTCGGTGTCTTGGAGGTTTTGCCCAGGAGAAGAGACAGGCTGCATGAACAAGGAGCTTGCCTCCAGGGCCTGAAATTATTTGGAGCAGAATGTGGGAATTTCATGCCTAAGGGCATTGTCAAAAATAATAAAGATTTTGGTTGTGAGCAACTAGGAAGAACCATTTATGACAGCAAGGATGACCCTGGAAGACAATATGCTAAGTGAAATAAGCCAGACACAGAAAGACAAATACTATATGGTCTCACTTACACGTGGAATCTAAAAAAGAAGTTGAATACATAGAAGTAGCAAGTAGAGTATTGATTAGAACACTCCTTCCCAGTGGCAGAAAGGAGGAAAAAATGGGGAGAAGTAGGTCAAAGAATACAAGCTTACTGTTACATAGGATGAATAAGTATAAAGACCTAATGTACAGCAGGAAGACTATACTTAATAATACTGTATTGTATACTGAAAATTTGATTAAAGAGTAGATTTTAGGTGCTCTTACCCCCCACACACATACACACACACACACACACACACACACACACACACACACACACACACAAAGGGAACTATGGGAAATAATGGATAAATTTGCTTGGCTGTAGTAATCTTCTCATTGTGTGTGTGTGTGCGTGTGTGTGTGTATAAACATCATGTTTTCACCTTAAATATATATGATAAAAATACATTAAAAATAAAAATGGGCCAGGTACAGTGGTTCACACCTGTGGTTCCAGCACTTTGGGAGGCTGAGGCGGGTGGATCACAAGGTCAGGAGTTCAAGACCAGCCTGGCCAACATGGTGAAACCCCATCTCTACTAAAGACACAAAAAATTTGCTGGGCATGGTGGTGTGCACCTGCAATCCCAGGTACTCGGGAGGCTGAGGCAGGAGAATCACTTGAACCTGAGAGGCGGAGGTTGCAGTGAGCTGAGATTGTGCAATTGCACTCCAGCCTGGGCAACAGGGTGAGACTCCAGCTCAATAAATAAATAAATAAATAAATAAATAAATAAATAAATAAGAGAAAAGAAATAAAGGAAGCCATGATGGCAGTGTTGCACAGAGAATTTGAATGAAGGTACATTTTTAAAAGAAAGAAATAAAAATTTTGGAATTGAAAAGTACAGTACACACAATGTAAAATTTATGAGGGGGCTTAATAATATATTTGAACTGCCAGGAAAAAATCAGTGAACTTGAAGATAAACGAAGAAGACAGAGAAAAATGAATGAAGAAAAAATGAATGGAGCCTCAGAGAAATGTGGGACATCATTAAACATATCAACATATGCATAATGGATACCAAAATATACATACTAACATATGCATAATGCAATGTGCATAATACACCACAGTGAGATAAACAGTTGACTTCTCACCAGAAACAATGGAAGTCAGAAAGCAGTAGGATGACATATTGAAAGTGCTGAAAGTAAAACAACAAAAAACTGTCAACCTATGCAGAACAATTCTACGGATGACTATGGACCAACTGAGTCCTCCCCATTTTCTTCCTTGCCGTTCTCAAGAATGACTGCAAAATGTGCTGGAAATGCAACATCATGAGATAGGGAGGAAAGGGCAGAAACAACCTGGACTCTGTTGCAGTCCCTGCCTTGTGGTATGACGTGATGACTGAAGTGTAGAACTTGTTGTGATGATTGAACTGCAGAACTTGTCCAGCACGTCATGTGCCCGGGTATAAAACCCAGGGTGGGCTGCTTTTCTGGGTGCCCCAGCCATGTTGCATGCACAGACAAGACTTCATCCACTCAGGCTGCTGTATTGAGCCTTGTGCACCGGCCCGTGATGATTCCTAGGCTTCAGCTGTCCCTTGCTGCCCTACCTATCTCTAAGTAATAAAGCCACTTCATGTAACTTGTGTGTGGGGGTTGCTGTCTCACCAAACTCAGACAAGTTGCTAACCTCTGCACAGTGAACCCACTTCACAAGCCAATAATCTCTACCCAGTAAATCAGAACCACAAAGGATACTACTTCGTACTCACTGGGATGGCTATTTAAAAAGAGAGAACAATAACAAGATTTGGCAAGAATGTGGAGAAATAGGAAACTTCAGACATTACTAGGGTAATATAAAATGGTACAGCTAATATGAAAAATGGTTTGAAAATTCCTCAAAACGTTAAGTGTAGAGTTTCCATATGTCCCAGAAATTACACTCCTAGGTATTTACCCAAGAGAAATGAAGACACATGTTCATACAAAAACCTGTACACAAATGTTCATAGCAGCATTATTCGCAGTAGCCAAAAAAAGTAAAACAATAATGTCCATCAACTGATAAACAGGTAAATAAAATATGTGGTATACTTCAGCAATAAAAAAGGATAAAGTACTGGTATGTGCTGCAACGTGGATGAATCTTGAACACATTATGCTAAGTGAAATGAGTCAGTCACAAAGGCCACATAGTGTATGCTTCTGTTTATAATCAATGGCCAGATTAGGCAAACCTATACTACCTAGGATGGGAATGGGGAAATTAGGGGAAGTGAGAACTGCCCATAAGGGTTTATTTTTGAGGTGATATAAATGTCTCCTATTAGATTCTAGTGAAATTTGCACAATTCTGTTAATATACTAAAAACTACTGAATGATACATTGTAAAGGGTGAAACTCTATTAAATGAATAGAGCTAATTAACTCTTTAAAGAGTGAGTTACATCTCAATAAAGCTGTTTTAAAAATAGTACCTATTTCTTCGACTTATCTTCAAGCTAAGTGAGATAACAATTGTAAAGCTATTAGCAAAGTATAACATTCAGTAAGTCATTATTGTTCTTTGTGCTATTGCCATGGTCATCATTGTCTCTTACTTATAACTAGCCCTCTAAGTCTATCCATTATTTAACCAAGTACTGGAAAGTACCTGAGTGACACACATTTATGTGCTTGTGTTTGGTGACCACAAACAGATCTCTAATGACAATTTGGTAGAGACATAAATATAACAGGGACCCTTTTTCCAAAAATTACCCTTACTTAACTGAATAAGAAATATTTTAAGTCAAGATACTTGGTGGCAATACCAGGGTAAACTCTAGAAATAATTTTAGGGTTTACAGATCCCATTGAATATATTATACTTGGGTTTAATATGCAAATGTTAAGCTCTTAACATTTATAGGTAGTGTTACAAGATCTGTGAGCTTGGCAGATGCCAGCAGTCTTCTCCAGGACTGCTTGTTACTCCTTCACTTATGGGCATCACGTTCTAACTTTACTATGAGGACAGGGCTTGGACTTGGTTTCTGGACAGTCTCTAAAATCCTACCCTGACACTCTCCACCTACCAGCAAGGCACGCAGAGGCATCCTCCTCTGGGTCCTTCTGGCTCCCATGCCTGTCCCCGTTTCCTCCCCCGTAAGGGACTTGCCTGTGTCCTGCCTCTCTCATTAGACAATAAACTCCTGGGGCCCAGGTCTGCTAGGCTGCAGCCATACATAGTTCTCAAGGTCATTCAGTACTCAAATTGTCACTGTGAACATGAGATTTAATGTATTATGTTTGTTTAGTTTTTCCTTTCTTCTTTATGAATATTTGTTTACTATAAATAGGACAACACCTCAATGATTCACTTTCACACTATTCCTCAAACCAATCATTAGTGGACAACAGCAAAATCCTTCCAAATGCAGAATCTCAGAACCAGGGTGAAAAACTATGTACCAGTTTGGAAATTGCATTGTTTCACAACTGTAAACCATTTTCTCTAATTAAATGATACAAGATATTATGTAATAATTAAGCAATATATTTTTACACTTGAAAGTAATATTCTTATCCTACAAATTAAACAGATAGAATGGAATATAGAGCATTTCCTGCTAGAAGAGATCTTCTTTTCAAAGTGATCGCCCCTGGGCTCTGCAAAGATACCTAAATAAGAACAGGGCTCTTTCAAATGCCTTTGATTTGTCCTGTCTTATGACGAAAACACTAAGCCTCACACTCTTAAGTCTGGTTGAGGTCTCATTTGTAGTGACCATCTATGGACAAAATATCAGTAAAGCTGGACTACAAGTATTTGGAAGATTAATGAAGAAGACATATAAATTTCTCTTCCAACAGCTACAGTATCAGATACCACTGTTATTATCCAGAGAAGCATTTTTTTCTGTTATTTATAATTTCTTTATCTTTCATTATAATTATACACTTACTTTACTGTTAACTTTTCCTGTTAACTCTGATCAAGCTCAAAAAGAGCCAGAAATTTCAAGCTACTGCAAACCACCTCGATTCAGGGAACAGATTCCAGGGCACAGCTCAGCCTCCCTGGCTCAGGGAAACCCAGGGGCCTCAGGGAGCTTGCATCCTTGCTGGGTTAGCAAGAAGCACCTCACCAATTTCCACAACCAAATCCAAAATTACCCAAGTGTAAAGGGCAAGGCACACCTCGCTGCCACACAGATGGCTTCCATTTCTGGCTTAAGCCCTTGTGAAAGAAAACCAAGGAAGATGTATCTTCATTTTGTGCATTTCATGAAGAGTTCTAGTCCGTTAAGGAAGACTTATTTTTCTTGGGAGAGTGTGGAAGAAATCAGCCCCATTGTCTTCATGCTTAACAAGAGCGCCAAATAACCACCACCCTATCCCTGGCAACTCAACCCAAAAACTTCTTACAAGTGAAATAGCAATGAGATCAACTCATATCAAATTTCTCTAAAAAGCAGAATGTTAACATCTAAAAAAATTTTTTTACAGGATTTAGCATTTGCATATATTTAGTATTTTAAGAAATTGGTTATGAATTCAGCATCCAAAATTCACACACACAAAATCTTTATGAGATGTGGGGTCTGAATTCCCTCTCCTCAAAGAGGGAATGAAATTTAAGACACACTGAAAGCTTTTTCTAGAGAAGCAATAAACGTCCCAGACCTGTTGGCCAAACCTTTAACATCCTCAAGACCTTGAACTGTTGACCACACATTTTCACTCTGCTGTCTAAGTCACACTTCGCTCCTCTGCACCTGAGCAATTCATTTGCTGCCAAGAATCTAAGAATCTCCAAAGATTTTTCTCCCTAAATATATGAAAATATTTTAAGTAAAAAGCAAGCCATTGAGATTTTGACTTGGGTAGGCCTGAGGGATGCAGGTAGATTCTTAGCTCGGCCATAAGCCCCCGGCTCTAGCGTCCCTGTAAACTGCAGCACCAGAAGCATTGAAGTGATGTGCCATTCCAAACCCGATATGCAGGACATGGGGAATGCACCCCTGGATTCATCAGTCCAGGAAGACCAGCAACGCCCTGCCATGGATGAATGCCCTAATGTGTAAGCAGATTATCATCATCAGAATGAAAGATGTACAGTATTCAAAGTCTTTCAAATATCTGATCAAATAATCCTCATGGCCAATCTCTTGAATTGTGTTGTTTTATTCAAAATGAAGACATTTCTCCAGTTTCTGTCAGTTAGAAGCTGTAAGTTAGAGTAAAAACATCCCCTAAGAAGCTAAAGAATTCAGATTTGGCCAGCGGTTCTTATACACAAGTTTCAAGCTGAAGTGCTCGTCCACAATAATTCTAGAACAGCAGCAGCAGGGTGGGTGTGCACACTGTTTCCAAATAGGCCAGAGGAGGCACGCAATGTTTTTTGGAAAAGTTTTACTTGGCAATATTCCTCCTGCTTAATCTGCGCTGCAGTACTAGAAGAACATCTATGCGAAATCGAGGGAAAGTCCTGGTTACGCTCTCCTTTCCACCATCACCAACCTCGCCTCCCTACCTGGGGCTTGCGCTGTACTCACCAAGCCTTGGCAGGTTGAAAGGGCCACTGAGGAGTTTCTGTGTGATCGCAAAGAGCCTTGATAGAAACAGAAGTCCTCTGGCGGTAAAGTCTGCACAGACTTAGTGCCTGTCTTTCCCAACGTCTGCACAATAAAGCCAGGAGCCACTAGGCTGCTGGAAGTCCTCAGATCCATGTGGAAGTCGTGCCTGGAGCCTTTCAGCCGAAGGTGAAGAGACTCAACCTCGGACACGGGCACTGCTCTTCTCCGCCGCTGATGGTGCATGATTTCATGGGACACGTAATCGCCCCTGTGGTCAACCTCGTAGGCAGAGACCAGGTCATATTCTGAAATCAAAAGAGTGAGCAGAGGCTGAGTCATTTCGGAATTCCGAGAAGAATCAGGAAGTCTTAAGATATAATATTATTTTACCACATGACCTTTCCACCCAGTCAAAAATGATGAAGAAAAATGCAACACCTACCCATACTGAATTCAAAGTGTGCAATATGGAACATCACAGTTTAAAGAAAAAAATTGTAACAAGGGCCCCATAATGTGCTATTACCAAGCCAGGAAATTCTCCAACAGTGATGCGGTGATGTTAACAGCTGTCATCTGCCCTCCCAGCCACTCAGGGGCATGCTCCTCACCTCCCACCAGCTCCTACCACTGTAGCTGAGTCAGGGGAAGGATGACAGAAAGCAGGATGGCTTGTTCCAAACAGTGGAAGGTTAGCACATTTTATTGTGTATAAAAAGGTGATTACTCTTTAAGAAATCAAATTATTCTCAGATGAAATAAGTCATATTCTTATGACCTTTATTTTGAAGAGAGAAAATATTCGTCCTTTACTGGGGGCACATATAATATTTATCATGCAAAATAACTACTGGTAAGCCATGTTTACATAAACACAATGCTGTGGTAATAAACATTCAACAACCCGCTGTCTGGAGAAGAACGACCTGGATTTTGGCATTTGCCAATTTCCCTGGTGTAAATCTTCCCCTCATGGCTGATTTCAATGACTGCTGTGCCATCACTGAATATTCAGTGCACAGAGATACGCAGCAGCCCCCAGTGTGTGATATTTCTACCATACAGATGCAAAAGAGGCCAGTGGCCTCAAGAGCCTAGATTATTATCAAATATAGTGAAATAATTATGAAATGATGAGCTTTGAGTATTGCAATGTTTTTAATATAATTAATTTCACTGTAAATGTATGTATTTTAATTATTCTCACAGTGATTTGGTGTCTTTATTAATACAGTATTTTTTCCATAAATGGGAAAGACGTATTTGAAAGACTTCAAACACAATAATCTTGCAAGAGGAAAAGTTTGTCCTATCTAAAAACTCATATATATAAGTGGTAGGCTCATAATCTCCGCGTTCAGGCAAACTGAACTCCAAGAAGCCCTGCAAGGCTCCCGTGAGGCCCCAGTTGTTTTCGGAGAGCTCAATTCCAAAAGGCTGGGGGAGACGGACAGAGCTCCATGCCTCGCCCACCCAACAGGAGCATCTCCCACGGGCTCCACCCTTCCCACTCTTTCCACAGTTGGCTGCTTAGATGGCACCTGACTGCAGCTTGCTCCAGACTCAAAGACAGAGCCTGTAACTCTCTAAGAGCAGAGGAATGTTCACGAGCACCCTAAGAGGATAGCAGGGAAGGAGAATCCAGAAAACAGAGACAGAAGGGTGGGACAGGTGGCAGGAGATGTATAGCCTTCTAAATAGAAATCAATCGCATTAACAAAAAATCAGTCCACCACCGGCCACCTCTTTCAAACGCTGCTGATATCAGGAAATAAAAATGACACTACCCTCCTAAAGTCGGCTTTGGCAATGAGTTGCAAAATACTTTGACCTGGGAAATCACCCTGAGGAAATAATCCCAGACGAATTTTAAAAAGTTTATGTAAATATTTTCATGGAAGTATTATTTGTAATGAGGTAAAATTTTAAACAATAATCAACAACGGATAATTGGTAACTAAATTACCATAAAGCTATAGAAAGGAATACCTTAAAGCTTGTAAAAATATACTCTAAAAGAATGAAATCTAAAATATTATTTCACCACATGAGGCAAAGTTGATCAAATAATGAGCTTTCAAAGTACGTTGTAAGCTCTGAAGCCAAAGTGACCTTTTAAAGGAAAAAAAGTGTAGCCTGTAAGGAACACAGGGCAATAAGTAAATTCTTGTAGATTATCTGGACAAAATGCAGAAGGCAAATAGTAAAGGCAGAGGGGGGTAGGAAGAGAAACTAGCACAATTCTATTTTATATTCTCTGCATTGTTATTATGTTCGCTAGTGAGCATGTGACCATTGATTTTTTTTTTGTTATAATTTAAGTTCTGGGATACATGTGTAGAACGTACAGGTTTGTTACATAGGTATACATGTATCATGGTGGTTTGCTGCACCCATCAACCTGCCATCTACATTAGGTATTTCTAATGCTATCCCTCCCCTTGCCCCTCACCCCCCAACAAGCCCGGTGTGTGATGTTCCTTTCCCTGTGCCCATATGTTCTCAGTGTTCAACTCCCACTTACGAGTGAGAACATGCAGTGTTTGGTTTTCTGTTCCTGTGTTAGTTTGCTGAGAACGATGGTTTCCAGCTTCATCCATGTCCCTGCAAATGACATGAACTCATTCTTTTTTTATGGCTGCATAGAATTCCATGGTGTATATGTGCCACATTTTCTTTATCCAGTCTCTCATTGACGGGCATTTGGGTTGGTTCCAAGTCTTTGCTATTGTGAATAGTGCTTCACTAAACATATGTGTGCATGTGTCTTAATAGTAGAATGATTTATAATTCTCTGGGTATATACCCAGTAATGGGATTGCTGGGTCAAATGGTATTTCTTGTTCTAGATCCTTGAGGAATCGCCACACTGTCTTCCACAATGGTTGAACTAATTTACACTCCCACCAACTGTGTAAAAGTGTTCCTATTTCTCCACATCCTCTCCAGAATCTGTTGTTTTCTGACTTTTTAAAGATTGCCATTCTAAATGGCGTGAGATGGTATCTCGTTGTTGTTTTGATTTGCATTTCTCTAATGACCAATGATGATGAGGTTTTTTTCATATGTTTGTTGGCCGCATAAATGTCTTCTTTTGAAAATTGTCTGTTCATATACTTCACCCATTTTTTGATGGGGTTGTTTGTTTTTTTCTTCTAAATTTGTTTAAGTTTCTTGTAGATTCTGGATATTAGCCCATTGTCAGATGGATAGATTACAACAATTTTCTCTCATTCTCTAGGTTGCCTGTTCACTCTGATGATAGTTTCTTTTGCTGTGCAGAAGCTCTTTAGTTTAATTAGATCTTATTTGTCAGTTTTGGCTTTGTTGCAATTGCTTTTGGTTTTAGGTTTTAACATTTAAATAGTTAATCCACCTTGAGTTAGATTCTGTATAAGGTGTAAGGAAGGGTCCAGTTTCGGTTTTCTTCATATGGCTAGCCAGCTTTCCCAGCACCATTTATTAAATAGGGAATCCTTTCCCCATTGCTTGTTTTTGTCAGATGTGCCAAAGATCAGGTGGTTGTAGATGCGTGGTGTTATTTCTGAGGTCTCTGTTCTGTTCTATTGATCTATATATCTGTTTTGGTACCAGTACCATGCTTTTTTGGTTACTGTAGCCTTGTAGCATAGTTTGAAGTCAGGTAGGTAGTGTGTGACACCTCCAGCTTTGTTCTCTTTGCTATTTTGTAATTACTTCAGCCACCAAGAATGATTTGCAATAATAGTTTGAGTCATGCGCTACTTTAAACAAAATGTATGGCTACAATTAGTTATTTCAGAACCAACTTGTCTAATGGATACCTAGACAGGCAACAGTAAGTTGACCCCAGCAGTCACCAAGTGTCTTCTAGCTCTTCTGCTCCAGGTCAGAGGGAAACAGGCAACACTGTTGAGGAGGATCTTTTCTCTGGTGGCATAAAAGCTTGTTGTGGATGTCCAGACTCACACATTAGCCATTTATAATTAAGGAGCTAAAGTGCATAGAAGGTAGGGGAGGAGGGTGTGTGCTGTGTCCACTGGGCTAGAACTTCACTAAGAAGGGTTTGCCTCTTCCCCTTCAGGTTCTTACCAAGCCAGATAAGTGGTTGTCATGGAGACGATACGTTGTGACAACAACTGTGGTGCCAGGTGTTCAGAGCAGCACACTGGCACCCCACTCCCAGAGAGGATGCTGAAGCAGATTGAATCACTTTAGGAGAAAAGCACACTTAGGCACGAAGCCCTGGCTTTTCTTCTTCTTTCTTCTGTGTCTATAATGTGTTTTATCTTAAATAAAACTTCATAAATGCCATAAACTATTGTGGAAATCTCCTGAGTCCCTCTGGAATTTTCATGGTTTTAGGGAACTAGAATTTTTTTTTTTTTTTTTACAAAAATCTTACTTAAAAAGGTGAATTAGAATTAACCTTTAAAATTGTAAGAATTAACTTTTAGTATTGTAAGCAAAACCCTAAAAAGGACAAGGACAACCACAAGAGGATAGTCTGTAAATGGACAGATAATTAACTTTCTCTTGTAAATTCACTGTGACAATTTTTTTTAACATTTTATATCATTTGCACCTAGCGCCCCCTGGTGGTTCTCAAAAAGGTACTATGGTGAGCGTCAATCTGACACCGGTCACCTTATATACTATTTGTGTACTCATTTGGCAGGGAATAATTTCAAAAGTTAATGCATATATTAAGTGCTTGCCTTTATGTTATTTTATCAAATTGAAATAACTATACTGAGAAATTCTGAATTGTTAACTTTAATTTTCTAGATCTTCTGGAAATACATTGAGAGAATGAAACCTAGTTCTTCCTATAAAAGTCAATTAATATTAACATTTGATACGGCAATTTATTGTTGGTAACAATGCAAAATAATATTTATTAACTGTCATTGGATGGGTTCAGGTTAAAAAACCACCTAGCAACCAGTGCGACACACCTGCGTTCTCATTTACCTGATGCAGTATGAAGACACAGAGATCCCTTTCCATAAGACAGCAAATTTCCAAATGTCACTTGTAAGTGGCAGAAGTAAAAGCATGCATTGAAAAAGAATAAGACTTGCCCTCATGTCAAATTGTGGCCCAGGATATGAACGTTGCTGATGGTGTCACAATCAGCTGATTAGCCATTTCAGGCACTATTATGTTTGAAGTACGCCCTGATTGTTGGAGCATTAACTTTGGTATTGAGATGCTAAGCGCTTCTTTTATCTCCTTCACTGAGAATAAGCAACGATAGAGGAATATTTTAATCTATAAAGGAGGAGAAGGAGGAAAGGTTGGGGACGGGAAGGAGGATCCGAGGATGTAGAAGGGGACGGAAAAGAAAGTAATTTGCTCTTTATGACGGCTTTGATGCATACATTAATAGCTTTAGATTCTTCCTAAGCTCTTTAGAATAAAATAAAATGAACTTCCTCACCTTTTTCCTAATGTTATATCAATAACTCTGGCAAACCGTTTTGCCAGGGAATAAAATGTAAATATTGGTGGAAATCCACTCATCGGGGCTCGCTCATACAGTTAAAAAAAAAAAAAGTTCACAACAGCATCTTAAAAGTAGGGTTCCACAGAGTCGTGAACATTCACAGCACCTAATAAACCAGCGGCACGGAGATTACGAGCTGCTAAATGGCAAGGATTAGAAGCCCCCACCTCACGGACTTACCGCCCTTTTCCATCCAGCCCGGCCGCTCCGCGGGTGGAGGAGGACGCGGGACGCTCGGGCTCCCAGGCGCTGCCGCTGCGGGTCCCATGGCGCACGCAGGTGCCTGCGGAAAACAGCGGCGACATCGCGGTGAGACGGCGGGGTCCGCGGGAGAGGAGCCGCGGGGGACTCGCCTCCAGCTGTCCGGACCCGCGGTTTCCGCGCTGGTGGGAGCGCCCGGGACTCACCTGCTCGGCCACCTGCGCCAACAGCATCCACAGCGCCGCCAAGCCCCGCCATCCGCGCGCGCGGGGCTTCATCCAGGAGCGCTCCGAGGGGCTAGGGGCCACCGGAGGGTCCCCGGCCGGCAGCGTGCGAGCGGGCAGGGAGGACCCGACCCAGGCAGAGCGCGGGAGGATTCCCCACAGCGACTCCGCCGCCGCGCCGGGGTTATTACTGAAGCTCCGTGCGGCGCGGGGGGCGGAGTGGCAGCCGCGGCGGCGGGGGCGGCGGGAGCGGTGGGAGAGCGCGGGGCGGGCAGGGGAGAGAGGAGGGGAGGAGGTGAGGGCGGGGGGGTCAGAGGACCGAGGAGGGGAGAGTGCAGGGACAAAGAGCAGAGGGGAGGAGGCGAGGTCAGCGGGGCGCTGAGGCGGAGGCGAGCGGGGAGCAGAGGGAAGGCGGGAGACAGCGGGCAGCGCCAGAGGAGGAGGACGCGGGAAGATGGAGCTGCCCACGGCCTGCAGTCCGTGCCTCTCTGCCCGCGCGGGGACCACACAGTTGGAGAGGCTGCCGGGCACCGGCGCGGGCGATGCTCAGCATGGACCTCCGGCCGGTGCGCGCTCCTGCCCTGCCTTGGGGCTGGGGACTCGGCGGGACTCCAGCTACTGCAGTGGCTCCGCGGGCTCCCACCTCCGGGCCGCACCGGCGCCGCCAGAGGCCGGGACACCTGCAGCCCGCGGAGTGCGGTCTGGCCGCGCCTCTGTGCCCGGGCACAGCTGTGGGGACACTGGGTGCGGAAAACCGGGCGCCAGGACGTGGGAGAGCCGCGGACCTGCCTTTAAAGGCGCGTGCCTCGCTCTGGAGTTTGCGGAGCGATCGGAGACGGGGAGGCTGAGGAGGAAACTCTTCCCCCGCGCCATTTGCCCCGAGATGTGGCGGCGCTCCTGGCCCCGCGGTCACGGCCACCCTCAACTGGCCAGGCCGCGGAGGCCGGTGACTGGCTGCTGGGTGCAATCCCTAGGGAGGTCTCAGGGCTGCGGATGGGCCTGGGTCTCGGCCGCCACGGGGGTCGATCGGGCTACTGTGTGGACAGGGTGGCCAAGGAGGCAGCAGGTGTGCGGTCAACAGCCTGGCCAGAATTCTGCTGTAGCTGGATGGGGTGTGTGAGCGCGCGGGTGTACATGTGCCTGGGTGTGCGCGGGTGTACATCCACACCTGACTGCGTGTGCGCGAGTACACGCTGTGAGCCCATAGTGTGTCTGGAATTGGTGGGTTCTTGGTCTCACTGACTTCAAGAATGAAGCCGCATACCCTCGCGGTGAGTGGGTACAGCTCTTAAGGTGGTGCGTCTGGAGTTTGTTACTTCTGATGTTCAGATGTGTTCGGAGTTTCTTCCTTCTGGTGGGTTCGTGGTCTCGCTGGCTCAGGATTGAAGCTGCAGACCTAGGCGGTGAGTGTTACAGCTCTTAAGGCAGAGCCTCTGGAGTTGTTCGTTCTTCCCGGTGGGCTCGTGGTCTCGCTGGGCTCAGGAGTGAAGCTGCAGATCTTCACGGTGAGTGTTACAGCTCATGAAAGCAGAGTGGACCCAAAGAGTGAGCAGTAGGCCGGGCGCGGTGGCTCACGCCTGTAATCCCAGCACTTTGGGAGGCCGAGGCGGGCGGATCACGAGGTCAGGAGATCGAGACCATCCCGGCTAAAACGGTGAAACCCCGTCTCTACTAAAAATACAAAAAATTAGCCGGGCGTAGTGGCGGGCGCCTGTAGTCCCAGCTACTTGGGAGGCTGAGGCAGGAGAATGGCGTGAACCCGGGAGGCGGAGCTTGCAGTGAGCCGAGATCCCGCCACTGCACTCCAGCCTGGGCGACAGAGCGAGACTCCGTCTCAAAAAAAAAAAAAAAAAAAAAAAAAAGAGTGAGCAGTAGTAAGATTTATTGCAAAAAGCAAAAGAACAAAGCTTCCACAGCATGGAAGGGGACCTGAGCCGGTTGCCACGGCTGGCTGGGGCAGCCTGCTTTTATTCTCTTATCTGGCCCTAGCGACATCCTGCTGATTGGTAGAGCCGAGTGGCCTGTTTTGTCAGGGCGCTGATTGGTGCGTTTACAATCCCTGAGCTAGATACAAAGGTTCTCCACGTCCCCATCAGATTAGTTAGATACACAGAGTTTCCACACACAGGTTCTCCAAGGCCCCACCAGAGCAGCTAGATACAGAGTATCGATTGGTGCACTCACAAACCTTGAGCTAAACACAGGGTGCTGATTGGTGTATTTACAATCCCTGAGCTAGACATAAAGACTCTCCACATCCCCACCAGACTCAGGATCCCAGCTGGCTTCACCTAGTGGATCCCCGCACCGGGGCGCAGGTGGAGCTGCCTGCCAGTCCTGCGCCGTGCGCTCGCATTCCTCAGCCCTTGGGTGGTCCATGGGACTGGGCGCTGTGGAGCAGGGGGTGGCGCTCCTTGGGGAGGCTCGGGCCGCACAGGAGCCCATGGAGTGGGTGGGAGGCTCAGGCATGGCGGGCTGCAGGTCCCGAGCCCTGCCCCGCAGGAAGGCAGCTAAGGCTCGGCAAGAAATCGAGCACAGCCCCGGTGGGCCGGCACTGCTGGGGGACCCAGTACACCCTCCGCAGCCACTGGCCCAGGTGCTAAGTCCCTCATTGCCCGGGGCCAGCAGGGCTGGCCGGCTGCTCTGAGTGCGGGGCCCGCCAAGCCCACGCCCACCCGGAACTCCAGCTGGCCCGCAAGCGCTGCACGCAGCCCCGGTTCCCGCTCGTGCCTCTCCCTCCACACCTCCCTGCAAGCTGAGGGAGTGGGCTCCAGCCTTGGCCAGCCCAGAAAGGGGCTCCCACAGTGCAGTGGGGAGCTGAAGGGCTCCTCAAATGCCGCCAAAGTCGGAGCCCAGGCAGGGGAGGTGCCCAGAGCAAGCGAGGGCTCTGAGGACTGCCAGCACGCTGTCACCTCTCAGTAGGACTGCGCGCGTGGGAGTGCATGTTTGCACACGTGTGTGTGTGTGGCGCTCCCCATCCGTGGCTGCTTTCCCATCACACACCTTATGTGGATCCTGGGCCTTCAGCTGCCCTTTGTTTGGTTCCAGTGTCCTTCACAGCCAGCTTAGCTTGACGTTGCCTCTTTTGCACACTTTGGAGAGGGGGATGAATGGGGGAAATGGTGTCTTGGGCTCTGGCTTTCTTTGCCCAGCCTGTCGCGAGTCTGTGGGTACCCAGGGAGAGCTCCCAGCAGGCGCCCTGCTAGGGCTGTCCTGAAGCCCCAGACCCCAGGTAGGGGCAGTAGAACCGCCTGGCTGTGTATGGGCATCCTCATTCCATAGCAACACACACTCCCTCTCTTATTCATTTATTTGAAACCATTCCTCAAAGTGCAAATATTTTTTACATAAAGCCTGGCATTGGGAGGGACCTTAAAACACCTGCCACCCTTCCTCTCTGCCAATGCCTAACAAGCGTCTGCCTCAGCTCACACCTCAGGGAGCTTACACTTACCTTGAAGGGGGGGTTCGGCAGTGCCTGGAAGTCTCCAGAATCTGCCGGCAGAATTTCCCTTGTCCTGAGTACATTGCACGCTTGATAAATGGGGATCTCTACGTACTTCTAATTGTGTCCAGTGTAACATGAAAGGGAGTGAGATTTTTTCCAGTCTATCACATGGAGATACCTAGGGGCCCTCTTCTGTAAGTTCAAACAGATGGAAAAAAAGAAGAATGGCTGATATAAAAGGATTCACTCTTACGGTATGCTTAAGAACAGTAAGACCAGAGCAGTGCTAAATGAGTCTCTTTTCATTGTGAAGAAAGAAACAACATTCTTTAAAATGACTAGTGTTTCCCAGTTCCTCTAGCGGTGCACGGATTTCAGCGCTCATCCTGCAGTATGAATGTCTCCAGGTAACAAAGAGGGGTGGTTGAGTCCAGGCTATAGAGGCCAGAGTGGGAGCTGAGATGCAAAACACACGAGTGGACCGAGTTTAAGACTGGCCATCTAACATGGTGGCAGTAACTCGCAGCTGCCTGTCCGTCTCAGGGAGGGATGGAGAGGGAGGGGCAAACTGGAGCACACGTGTCTGCCTTAAAAGGGACTCCTGGCACTGAGTGGCCAGCGCATGGGTTGGTGCCATACAGTATTGGGGACCAGACCTGCCTAATTTTTAAAGGTAAAATGGAAATCTAAATATGTATATGGAGTCCCTTCAGTTTAAAGGTGTCCCAGCAAAGTAACCCTGAGAACAAATATTGGAAGAGTCAAAACAAACCGCCAGCCTCAAACTACTTCACTTTGCAGCCCTTCAAGAACTTAGCACTCTTAACTTTGAGGTCAAAGTTTAGGAAAGCAGTTTTGTCATCATTTGTTTACATCCAGGGTCAGAAAACTCTCTACTGCCTAAGATCAAATCTGGCCAGCTGACTCATTTTGTAAATAAAGTTTTATTTGTTTGCAGATCGTCTGTGAATGCTTTCACAATGGCAGAGTTAAGTCACTGCAACAGAGACTGTGTGCCCTGCAAAGCCTAAACTATTTACCATCTGGCCCTTCACAGAAAAATGTTGCTGTAAATTATTTAGACCATTCACAGTTAGCACTTGTTTCCTTTCAGACAGAGGTTCTGATTACTTAGGTCATTTTGAATATCAAGTAGACGTTTCAATAGAGAATAAAAATTAAATTAAAAATAAAAACAAAGTGCTTAGCAAAGGATCTGAGAGAGAGTTTCTTCTAACGGCTGCATGCTCTCCCATGCCCAGTGCCCTTTCACAATGAAAGGAGCCAGGGCCCTTTCTCATGTGGAAACAAATGGCATTTTAGATTAAAAGGACCAAACTTTGTCATAACCCTTTTCTAAATTGCATAAACTTTAAACTAAAGCAGTGCAAGTGGGCACATTACCTTGTATGTAAAACCACCATCCATACAACCGAAACAGAGAAGAATTGGATGTGTTTGTGCCCTACAAAGATTCTGTTTAGTCTGTAATTTTGTTCCTTCCTCATCTCACACACAGCTGAAACTAGTCAGGTTTCAAAGAAGGTAGCATTGTATTGTGCATCAACACTTGTCTTTAGTGGAAAAAATTACAATGATTGTGTGCAAAATTTTTGTAGTTCATATTCTTTTCTGAAAGATTAGAGTCGTTCTTTATTACTTTATACAAATTATGAGAACACAGTGTCATTAAAACACAGACACAATGATGTCAAATAACTTTCCAGCTTGGAGGCCTATGGGTGGCTCTAGTCCCTCTTTGCAGGTTACAGTTGAGAAAACCAAGCCCCAGGAAGGTCCAGCAGGTCTGCGGACCCACCGTAGGGGCACAGCGCTCAGGCCTCATATACTTACTCTTCCCCAGCCCTGCTCTTGGCCCCTCCGCAATAAGATGATTTATAGGCCAAAAGTAGTGAGGCACCGCACTGTCTCCCAGTGCTCACAGCACCCCGACAATGTGAGAAGGTCACATAGTAAAACACAAGAAAAAGATATTTTGAAGAAGAAATATTAAATGAATTATATAAAATGTAGAACTCACTATGAATTTGGACTCAGTATAACTTTAGAAATCAGAGGGCTCTGGAAGAACTGTGCCTCCGGAGTGGTTGGCAACACTTGTCCCAGCCCCCTGTGTTTCCACAAGATCCTTTGGCCAAGTTCTAACTGAACCTGAGCATCTCAGCTCCTCGGTGCTAATAGGATTAGCGTCCTTCCCTCCACAGGCCAAACACGTCCTTCAAATGCCTAGGCAGTAACCAGATCACGTCAGCCCACGGTTTACACGAAGATCCTGTTCATGACTGCACTCTTGTTTCTGTCGTCCTCCCTTACTTTGAGACTTGACTGTTTTTAGTAAAAAGAAGAAAAGAAAATTGCAAACCAATGACAATCACAATATGGCATTTATAAGCTCCTTTCCTTTTATTACTAAACACAGAAATACTTAGGTTAAATAGTAATAATGTATCTAATTATACAATAATTATCTTTTTTCTAATAATAATAAGTTAAATATTTGTTATTATTTTATTATTATTGCTATTGGTATTCCATAGCATCTCTTGCGGTGAGACCCCTCACTCTTCCCCAGTGCTGAAGATGCACATAGAAGATCAGTCACTCAGACACCTCAGGAAATAAGTCTCAGCACTTTTCCCTGAAGACTTCTGGTCCATACTAACACTGGCTTCTGCCAAACATACTTTCTTCCAATGGGTACAAAGGCGGCATAATTGTCGGAGCTTGGTGTATCAGTTAGCTATTGCTGCGTAAGAAAATACCCCGAAACCTGAAACAAAAGCCAGTTCTTTTTGCCTGTGCATCTGCGTCCTGGCTGGTTATCTGGTGGTCATGATGGGCCCTGTCGATCTTGGCTGGGTTCACGCAGGTGTGCTGTCCACGGGGTTGGGTTGTTGGCTGAGTAGAATTGGGCTTGCTCACATTAATGGAACAAGTGGTCAGATCCAGCTGTATTTCTTACAGTTTCTCACCCTCCTGCAGGCCAGCCTGGGCTTGTTTTCCCGGTAGTACTGGGTTCTGAGAGAGAGTAACTGCATGGAAGGCCTTGAAGACTGGGCTTGGGCCTGCTGTACCCACATGACTGCTTCTGCCACGTTCTACTGGCCAAGCTCTATGGGCAGCTCAGACACAAGGGAAGAGACTCTGCTGCTTCCTGGGAGAAGCTGCAAGACCACATTGCGAAGGTGTGAAGACAGGGAGGGGTAGAGAAGGTAGTCTTGCTTGCCGTCGGTCTGTGGCTTTTCATTTCAAACCTCACCATTTTGTGGATTTTGATCTAAGGAACATGTTGTTGCTGCTCCCATGTTACCTTCGTCAGTGACCTGAGATGCAGACTGGATCTAGGGAATGGTGTTTCCTGTGTGATGCCTTCCAGGAGTATCTGCACCACGGGCAGTGCCAGGCCGAGGACAGAGGTACATGGTGTTAGGTCAGGGCCGTGACGCTGGTGGGAGTGGGGGTGCGGTGGGGGGTGGGGCTGTTGAGAGGCAGCTTTCTGCACCTTCCCCCCAGTCATGCTCTCCAGGGGTAGTGAAGAAGAGCCTTGGTTTTCTTCATTTGTTGGAACACAGTAGGTTAATCAGTGTTTCCAGTTGAATCTACCCACTCCGTTTCTTATGTTGAAGGCCTAGACTCTAATACCTCAGATTGGGACCTTCTTTGGAGATCGGGTCTTTACTGAGGTGATCAAGTTAAAATGAGGCCTTCAGGGCGTGCAAACACGTACAATCAGCCAGAGCCAATGACGTTTCTATCCCCCAGGAAAGAGTGTTGAAACATTGTAACGTGAATATCCATTACAATCTTCTTTCCATCCCAGGGCCTAATGGAGGACACTCTACAACTCCATCCTGCTGCTGGGGGGGCTTGGGGGCGCCTCCACGAGGGTCTTCAGAGGAAAGGCATGTGTGTGGTCTGTGGCCTGCCAGCAGGAGAGCTGGGGGAGGCCGGCATCTTGAGGCTGTTGGCAGCAAGTGCAGGCAGAGGCCTCGGGCCAGAGGGGAGGTGGCAGGGCTCAGGTGCCCTGTGCTTCCTCGGAGAAGGCACTTGGGATGAAGGCTTAGTCCTGCCTGGTAAACCTGGAGGCCTGTGAACACTGGGGTTAGCCCCAACAAGGGAGGAGGTTCCCGCTGCCTCACTAAGAACAGCCTGCTGCTACACTCACCCTGACAGCTGCTCCGCTCCCAGTGAACCCCACCCCGAGAAGGCTCATCGGGGCCACGGACCTCCCTCAGCGCTGCATTCAGAATCCCTCAGGAGTTGTAAACTTCCTGATTTCTGGACCCATCACCAGAGCCCAACGTCACGGGTAAGGGTTAGGGCCTGGATGTCAGGATTCAATTTGGAGAATTCCCCGGGGCAATTCCACCATTGCAGACACTGAAACGGAGCTGGGGCAGAAGAATCACACCAGGTGGCTCGAGCTGAGCGGCTGGGAGTGTGGCAGTGAAGACACTGAGTGTCCGTCAGGGAAGATGGCTCTGGGTACAACAGCGTGCCCAGCCCCTTAGATATTCTCTGCACGGAAGTGGCCCCACCCTGAAGCGCGTGTGCAGTGACTGTTCATGCTTCTGTGTGTGTGCAGGAGTAGTTTGGTTGGAGTGTGCATATGCGAATGTGTGTGTATGGAAGTCTATCTATCTGTAATGTAAAGCAGTTGCGTAATGCAAATGTGTGTGTATGGACATCTATCTGTAATGCAAAGCAGTTGCGTAATGCAAATGTGTGTGTATGGATGTCTATCTATCTGTAATGTAAAGTTCCCAAGTATTGTGTATATCATTGTTTGAGTTTTTAAATTCTAAGATAATTTCTAGAGAAAAAGATGTACGGGTGATTCCTGGTGAAAAGCAGGGACCGTGGGCCTCATATTGAGACACATTTCACGCTGTTTAGATTGTAATGGCAATTATGTATGACTTTTGTACGTTTTTTAAAAAGCCAATAAAATACATTTTAAAATGTGGAATTATTTCTTCTAATTTAAAACCAGATGTTGGCATGGTTAGATTTTCTTTTTTTTTTTCCTTATCTCACTTTAAAAAAATCAAAGAATGACTTTTAAAATCTAAGAATGACAAAGCCATCTTCACTCCTGATCTTACTATTCTGTAAGTAATCATAATGCAATGTTTCTCTAAGAAATGTTGATATGTTTAATTTTTACAAACTGGGCTACGGAATTTAGATTATATCTTCAGCAATGTCATTGCTTCTTTTTAAAATTTTTTTGAAAAATGTTTGTAGAGACAGAGTCTTGCTGTGTTGCCCTAGCTGGTCTTGAACTCTTAAGCTCAAGAGATCCTCCCGCCTCAGCCTCCCAAAGTGCCAGGATTACAGTGTGAACCACCACTCCTGGCCCATTCATCGCTTCTTGGCAGGATAACTACGTTGGACAGAGCAGTGGAAAAACTACATTTGGTATCTGCTTTAAACACTTTCTTCTTTAATTGATAAATAAGAAGAAAACCAGAGTCAGAGGAAGTCTCATGAGGAGAAACCCTCTGAGTGGTCCACAATAAAAGAGAAGAGGAAAGAGTTTATGGGCTCCTGAAGGTGCTGTCCCAACCAGGACAGAGCTGGCACCCCCTTTTTCTGCCCCTTTATTCTCTATCACTTTAGCTTCTCCTTCAGCTTCCAGACAGGAGAGGGGGCCTGAGTGAGGCACAGGGCACAGGTGGCCTTCCTGACTAGGGATGGAGGACGTGCTCAGTTTCACCACCCAGCAGCAGCGCCTCAGCCACTGTGGGAGCCCAGTGGGCTGACCAGGACTATGGGATGCAGCAGGCTGGGCTCTTCCCCCAGGCCTCCCAGCCTGATGCCTTCTGTCCCAGTGCCATGGAGCCCTAGTCACTGTTCCTCTGCATGCTTGACCCTCCTTCAGAAACCCCCTCTTTCTGTGACTGACCTTGGTGGAGTGTGAAGCTAACTGCAAACAAAAGCAAACATCTAATGCTACATCAGCATCATATTACCCAAGAGGAAACACTCCCATATTGAAAAGGGCCCTTGGATGCCAAATATTCTCCTCAATGGCGTTGTGCAAGGGGTATTTGAAACATAATCCCATCATAAATGACCCGTCTACTTCTATAGTCACTCTCTTCTCTCCCTCCACCTCTTCCAGCTTCCAAAGAAAATCCAATCCTACCCCACAGGGAGTAGTCAGTGCTATCTGGTATCTAAACTCATTTCTTCCCCAATTTCTAAAACATTCTATTCTTTCCTTTGCACATTAAAAAATCATGTCACTGGGGCCGGGCACAGTGGCTCATGCCTGTAATCCCAGCACTTTGGGAGGCCGAAGCGGGCAGATCACCTGAGGTCGGGAGTTGGAGACCAGCCTGAAAAACATGGAGAAACTCTGACTCTACTAAAAATACAAAATTAGCCAGGCGTGGTGGCACATGCCTGTAATCCCAGCTACTTGGGAGGCTGAGACAGGAGAATAGCTTGAACCTGGGAGGCGGAGGTTGCAGTGAGCCAAGATCTCGCCATTGCACTCCAGCCTGGGCAACGAGAGCGAAATTCCATCTCAAAACAAAACAAAACAAAACAAAACAAATCATGCCACTGTGTCCATCATGCACAGAAATCCTGTAGTCTTTCCTCTCTCCATGTATTGCTCATTTGCGAGTCCTGTGAAGGTGGCTGCACTTGCTGCAGCTAGAGCTGAACAGAGTGGGAGATCCAGGCTCTGTGGAACCTACACTTTCACCATCTGGGAGTTCTCCTTAAGATAAACTATACAGTTACAAATATAAAATTGGTACTGGGGTTTTAGAAAGGGTCAGTGCAAGTGAAGGGCCCGAGAGCTGAAGTTTCATTAGCTGTGTGTGTGTGTGTGTGTGTGTGTGTGAATCCACTTCACGATCATTCGTGACCCTTTATAGTAGCCACAGTGGCCAGTTGACGTATTGTACATACAGCTTTACCCCCAGACCTATCTCCATCTTGCATCTGCCAGCTCCTTGGTGCAGGCATGACCTTCGGGTTATTTGTGCATGACCTCGGCTGGGATCTGGGATACTAGAGTGCTGTACTCATTCTAGCATGTTTTCTATCAGGACTGTATGGAAGAAAGTTTAGATTATACTGCTAAGAAAACGCCAAGATGTGGTGCACACTGTGTGCTGGGTATGAGTGGTGATACCAGCTGCCAGCCCGCCCTTCCGAGGCTGTGCATGATCCAAAACCAGTCTGCCCAGGCTCCCTTGCTGGAAGGAGCCCTGTTTGGCTTTGCTGGGGAGGGGCACATGCTTTGGTTGCAGAGGCAAAGAGACGGGTCAGCAAGGGCAGAGGGCAGATGGGTTTTGGCATTATTTAGGGGCAGGAAATCACCTCTCGAGAATCACCCACCATGGTGCTGTGGGCAGCAGAGGCTGCAGTGGTCTCTTATGTATTCCTCACCCCCGAGGGGTTCCTGCCTCTGCCTCCCCACCCAGGCCCTGGTGTGGAAGTCTCAGTTCCCTGCGTTGAACTTGCTAAAGTGGCCTCTGTTTTCCCTGCTCCCCTTGAATGCACTGTGAGCCCCATCTTCCACGTGGCACCTTCTCTGCTCAGCTCAGCATACTTGAGCTCTGTGGTCCACAGACAGCCCTGAAGTGATTCTCCAGAGGAGCCCTGGTCTTCCTTTCTATGCTCCGTTTTCTATCACTGGTTTGACAGCCACCTCTGCTTGAATGCAATCGTGTTTTGGCTTAATTTTTAGTTTGACTGTGACTGGCAAAGCTTTCTTGATATTTCTTTTCTCCTGGAGAGGAGACTGGTTTCACCCTAGCTTCCTTGTCCCAGGTTTGGTGCTGGCTTTAAGTGTCAATATTTTATGTGTTTGCTATTTGTATATGTGTATTATTTCATTCTTACACTGCTTTAAAGAACCACCTGAGACTGGGTAATTTTAAAGAAAAGAGGTTTAATGGGCTCACCGTTCTGCAGGTTGTATAGGCTTCCGCTTCTGGGGAGGCCGCAGGAAACTTACAATGATGGCGGAAGGTGAAGAGGAAGGAGGCACGTCTTACATGAAAGGAACAGAAGAAAGAGAGAGAGAGGGGGGAGGTGCTACACACTTTCAAACAACCGGATATCATGAGAACTGTATCATGAGAACAGCAAAGGGGATGTCCACCCCCGTGACTCAATCACCTCCCACCAGGCCCCTCCTCCAACACTGGGAATTACGATTCCACACAAGAGCTGGGTGAGGACACACAGCCAAACAATATCACTATTTATATGTTTCTTCAGACATCTATCTGCACCCCAAATTAGAAATATTTCCCAAAATTAATATTCTCATATTTTCTTCTGAACGTATTTATTATTTTAATACATTTGCAAAATTATAGATTTAAATTGCTATTTTCTTACAAGGTATAAAGTAGAGATCTAAATTTCAGTTTTTTAAAGGATTAAAAATATCCCATTTTTCTCAATTACTTGTATAATAATTCACTTCTTATCACCACTCATTTAAAAATTTAACTTTGTTTAATAATAAGTATTTGGAGTATTTTTGGCTTTCTACTGTCAGTAAAACACTGTTTTAATTGTTATTAATATATTTTATTTTTTATTATGATAGATTTTTAACACCGGCTGACTTGTATTCTCTTACTACTCTTTTTCAACAATTTTCTGTCTATTCTTTTTTGTTTATTCTTTCAACATTATTTTAGGTTTATTTATATCAAGTTTTAAAATCCCATTGGGATTCTGATTGGGATCACATACATTTATGAATTAATTTAGATAATATCAAAATTATTAAAATATTCAATATTATGAGACAAGTAATACTTTTTTCATGTATTCCTATTTTAAAAATACTTCTAAACATAATACGTGTATTTTTGTTCACACAGGTATTTAACATTTCTTATACTGTTTATTCCTAGGATATTCATATTTTTATTGAATTCAATTGGCTCATTGTATCTCATTTTCTAACCAGAATGTTAAAATAATGAAAGGAAGCCAGCCAGGTGCACTGCATCAGAGCACAGGCTCTGAAACCAGATGTCCCGGGTCTAGGGCATAAATCCTGGCTTGCTCACTTAGTCAGTATGGACACATCACTCAGCCGCTCCAAGCCTCAGTGTCCTCATCAGTAAAATGGAGACAATGATAATGACAATAATAGCACTTACTTCATAACTGCTATGAGGATTAAATGAGTGAATATTTAAATAATCTTAAAACGGTCTTTTAAGATTTAAAAAATCTTAAAACAGTCCTTGAAACTTATTAGTGCTATATATGCAGGGTTTTATTTTAAATAAAATAAATAACTTATAGAAATGGTACAGGTATTTTATTTTCCAGTTTCCTCTGTTTTTACGAGGTCTACTAAACTTTTAATTCATTTGCTTGCTTTTTCCAAAAAGATGAAATTACATTATCTCAAATAATTGTCTATTTTTTTTTTCTGGTATTTACACCTTAGTTTTTCCCCTACTTTAGCTCATGGACAGAGTTTCCAGAGACAGCGAAATACTGGTGATCAGGAGCACAGCTGTCTTATTCCTAACTGTAGTGGGAATGGCTCTTGCATTCTGTTCCTAAGGATGGTATTAGCCCTTGTTTTCCAGTAGATTTGTTTTATGATGCTAAAAAGAGTTCTTTTCTAGTTTGCTAAGAAGTACTAGTGGTAAGGAATATTGAATGTTTAACATAATCTCTCTGGATTAGTTTTCTTCTTTAACAAACCCAAATCTCCATCATGATTCTCATTCCGGAGATTAAGAAAATATGAGAAGGCGGGGATTTTTTTATACCTTTTAAGTAATTCTAATGTATCCCTCTGATATGGGTTGGGGGAGTGGATGTGTCTCCTTTTTCAATTTCTAAAAGTTTTAATTCTTCTTTGCCCCATTAATTAATGTAATTACCTAACTTAAAAAAATTGAACAATGCTATTCATGAATTTATCCTGCTTTATTTTGGTATGTTTAAACTATATTGATTAATATATAAAACTAAAATTTAAATTGAAAGTGTACTGATTAATTCAAATTTAGAGTATTTTGTTGAGTATGTTTATATAAATAATAATAAGAAATATTTGTCAATTGTGTATTGGGGGGTGTCTGTGTGTTGTCCCTAGACATACTGTAGTGTAAGACCTAAAAAGGGTCACTATTATATGCTGTCTTGACATCTGGTAAAATTGACAACCTTCCTTTTCACTGGGATGAAGCAGTGTCTGCTTATTCCTGAGTAGAAGATTTCAGTCTTCTGCCATCTCGTGGAATCGTTCAAACAGGCCAATCACACCCTCCCATGGGAACAGGGGCACCTCATCCTCTTGATACTACAAAGTCTTCTCCACAGCCCTTGTTGTTCAGTCTGTTCCAAGTGCAGCCCCACGTGACCTTCCATGGAGTGCAGCGTCCTCCTCCCCAGGCTGTGGGTGTAGGTGACTAATAAACGTTCCCCTCTGCCCAGCACCATGTGTCATGCACTTGGCCCTCCCCATAACCTTAGGGCAGGAATTCCTCCCTCACCAATGGGGCAAAAAAGAAGCAATTAAAACACGTTTGCCTCCCTTTTTACGTTTTGTTTTTGGTGCTTTAGCCACTTGTAAAATTAACTGGACATTTTCCCAAATGATTTCTGTGTTCTGGAACATTTTAAACAAGTGAAAATTATCTGCTTCTTCATGATTTGACAAAACACTTGTACAATTATTAGAGTCTGATTTATTTTTTGGAGGAAATTTTTTGCCTAACTATTCAATGTGTTTTATTGTTAATGGCCTGTTGTGCCTTCCTCCATCATCTTAAGAGCTTGTTTGGAGGTTTTAGCAGGGGAGCATAATTACTCACGTAGGTTTGACTGAAGACCAGTCCTCTTCTACTGGGGTTGGCTGTCCTCTTGGACTGAGTGTGCAGCTTTGGGAGAGATGCACATGGAGCAGTGAGGGATGAAGGGGACATCTAGCTAGCCAGCCAGATCAGCCCAATCCACCCTGGTGACACATGTTGCAGCCAGATTGCCTTCACTTCCTCTCCGTCTTCTTGAAGCAGTTTTTCAGTTTATGTTCTCCTATAAGAGAGTTCCTTTCATTGAGATCTTCAATCAGTTTAGAATAGTTTCTTACTTTTTTATTAGTCTCTCATTAATCATGTTTAATTATGAATAATTATCTACTTATTGAGAATCCACCATGGAGGTTCCTTCCCCATTAAGCTTATTACTCAGTGGGAAAGACAACATTGAACAGTTAGTTTCAATGTTTCACTGATCACATATTTTGAAGAAATACAGAGGGCTGTGTGAATGGTTACTGTGCCTTATAATTTTATTTTTGCACTTTATATTTTATTAAGAATATATTTATTAATTGGGCTCTTTTCCAAACACGTTGCAAATTCATGATAATATATTTAATGTAAATACATAAATATATGTGTCTTTCCTATCTACATTTATAAATATTTTCATCCACAGTTTTTTGGTTTTTTTTTCTGCAGAAAGGGTCTTCCTCTGTTGTGCAGGCTGGAGTGCAGTGGCACAATCAGCTCACTGTAGCCTCAAACTCCTGGGCTCAAGCAATCCTCTTCCCTCAGCCTCCCAAGTAGCTAGGACGGGAGATGCATGCCACCATGCTCAACTGATTTTTCAATTTTCTGTAGAGATGGGGCCTTGCCTTGTTGCCCAGGCTGGTTGCAAATTTCTAGCCTCAAGCAGCCCTGCCGCTTTGGACTCTCAAAACACTGAGATTATAGGCGCAAGCCACTGCACCAGGCCTACCCCCAGTTTTGATCAGTAAAGTCTTCATTCTTGTCCATGTGTCCTCCATTGTGAAGTTAATTTTCCCCAATTTAATGTTTGTTAAATTGGGGTTTCATCTTAAAACCTAAATGTATATTTAACATAACAGTGTGTTTTATCACACCTCCTCTCTATCCTCCTCCATCCTCATCCCCAATCCCTGCAAAGAAAACCCCTGTCACTGGATGTTGGAGCCACATCAATGACATTGTAGAGTACAGGTATCTGGCATCTGCTTGAGTCCTGATTCTGTTCTTTGTAATTCGGAAGCCCATTACGTATGTTGTTGAGCATCCTTTGCTTTGTATATAAATTATCTCCTGGCATTAATTTGATCTTTCTCTTCTTTTGTTTCCTATATTACTTAACTTGCATTAAAGTATATTTTTTGATTTTTCTGAGTGTCGATTCCTTTTTAATTTGCTCCACTGTGTTTATACAGTTTGCTTCTGCATATTTAGTTTTCACGACAAAAAAAGTCTCTAAAAAGTCTCTATTAACTGAGTAAATCATTATATGTTTTTCACCTTCACTTTTAGCTCATATTTTTTAGAACTTCATGCTCTTGTATCAACAATTTAGATATTTAGCCCAGAACACGTCAACCACTGTACCTCACAGAGTGGAGGCCAACGTGGAGTGAGGAGTTCCCAAGGCAGAGGAGGGAAAATCTTGAACTGAAGTCAAACTATCATGGGTGAGGAACACTTGGGACAAATAGTGCATGTTTGACAATTTATATCTGCTCCTTACATTACCAAAAACATCAACTTGGAACAGAAATTGTAAACCACAGCTTTTTTTTCTCTCAGACATGTCATGTTGTGATCTGACACGTACTTTTGCAGAGGAGAAATCTGGAAGCAAGTTCGGATTTGTTATTTTATTGGTAACCCCTTTTGCTCTTCCGACTGGATCCTCATAGGATTTTCATGTGTCTCTGACCTTGTGTTTTTCAAGATGTGTCTGGCTGTGCATTTTGCCATTCATTTTGCCTGGAACAACATGAACTTTTTTGAGCCCTACACTCAGTTTTGCTTTGTTTTCCAGCTTTAGAAAGATCTGTATACTTATGTGCTCATTATTGAGGACGTATAATATTAAATGAGTAGTGTCTAGCATTAAAAAAGATAAGCTGAGAGTTTATACAACTGTTGAAACCATAAAATGACAAAGACAATTACTCTAAAAACTATATATGCATATGTATCTTTAGCTAAATGAGGTTAATAAAAATGGTACGCTTCATATTGTTCACAATAATTTCAAGGATCAGAAAGGGAAGAAGTGGCGGAAAAGTGAAGTGAAATTCTATGAAATTCTGTCTTCCAGATGAGGGAATACTGTTTTATTCATAACTGAAAATCAGAAATAAACTAAAATCCTTTTGAAAAGTCAAAAGAAATATATTGTTGATAAAAAAGAGCAGAATATATTATAGAAGTAAATAGACATTGGCTACTTAGAAAAAAAGCCAACTGTAGCAATAGAAAAATTAAAATTAGAAGGCATAAGATGAATAGAATATCCAAAAAAACTTAATCTGTTATACGCAATAGCTTAAATTTGTTTATTACAAAACAATGTCTTAGATTTTGTAAAGAATTGAAATTAACAATATACTCTTAAAATACACACATACTGCAAATGAAAACTGAAATATAAAATTAAATTAATTGTTCCACTAATATTAAATTAATTTAAAATATTTTTTCAGGTAAGTACATAGCAGGGAGAACAGGATATGAGCATGGATGCATTTCTTGAGCTTCAAAAGTCTTCATGTTTCCATCTGTGTAGTGGGCATGATAAAAATACAATCCAACTCAGAAGGCTGTTATGAGAATAGAATAGATTAATATTTGTAAAGAACTTAGAACAATACCTGGAACATAGGAACTGCAATGTAAGTTTAGTAAAACTTTAATATAAATGAAATTTAATACATTTAAATGAAAAATAATACAAATTATTAAAAAATAAAACAAATGGGAAAAAATAGCTGGCAGTATCCGATCAGTAAAGACCAAATTCAAAATCAACATGAACATTTTCTTTGCTCTAAATGTTGCTTCCAAATCTGGTTGATTTACATGGGAAATAGTTCCAGTGATCCTTCCAGGATAAAGATTGCAGCTCTTGAACAGAATTTAGCATTCCTGCATCCCAAAGACCACAAACTGCACAGCAAATCTGTTGTGACAAATCTGATTCATTTTTCCCATATCGTATCTCATTTGTAAGTACCTTGAACGAATGGGAAAACTTCCCATCAGATTCACAAAAATTATAGGAGAAGACAACCCAGTCTTAATCTTTGCAAAAGCATATGGGAAAAGTCTGGATTATTTTCAGAGATAATGAATATCATCCATGATGTTGCAAATACCACAGTTTATGATGTTCTTCATGCCCTGGGACAGATTCAAGTGGAAAACTTTGATATGTACAGCTAATTAGCATCAAGACGCCATTGTGAAGTGATTTTAGTTCAGCTGTCCCATTCTATCTTCGAGAGATGAAAAAATTCAAGTTTCCAAATTATGAAATTCCAACTTGGTAAGCATACGATTTAATTTTATGGAGTAAGACCAGCGTACTTATAATAACAGTATTGTTTCTTTTATGAACAAAATTAATAGTGTGTAAAATCACTAGAGTACAAAACTCTAATTAACTTCTGATAACTGAGCAATAATTTCTCATGAGAAATTTCAATGCCTAATTTTCACATCTTAATAATCAAAATAAAAATGTCTCAGTCTCTATCTTTTTCTATCTGTCCTCTCAAAAGAACTGATGAATTTGACTATTGTTTCTGAAATATCCTTAAACAAAATCAAGCTTGATAATGTACATATCTGATAATTTCCTTTAACGTAATTTAGAATGTAAAAAACTGCATATATAACAATTAAAGCAAAGTAAATCAATGGAATTGTAGATGACACTTTTTCAAATGCTATCTGACTTAAACCTTTAACATATCTCTCTAGCAAGGGCAGACACTCTGATTGTGAATCACTAATTTGGACATTGAAAAATCACTGTGTATAAAAAGCATTCTTGGTGAAAAACAACAGGCCTGGGGAAATGTCATTCTCTTTTTTTCCTATCCCTTCTGAGTCATATGGTTTGACCATACTGATGTGTTTTTCTCAGAGGAGATAATCACTCCCTATCCCCTCACTCTAGTTTATGTTCTTTATCACTCTTCTACTGCCTGGAATCACATAACATAATTGTTCAGTGCCCTGTTGATCATTTGCATTCCCCCTAGAATGTCTTGATCACTGCTGTATCTCTTGTACTCAGAGAGTGCCCAGCACGTGGTGAGGTTGAATACCTGTTAGTTGCCTGGATGATGGAATGGGTCTACATACAAGTTTCCTTTTTGCCTTTTATGATATTCAAAAAAATCCATGGCTATTATTTTCCTGGAACAGTAATAGAAGAGCTGATATCCTCCAGCCTGTCCTCAAAAACTTCAAACTCTGCTTTCATGATAGGCAAAAAGTAGGAGCTCTCACTATGTATTTTAGTGGTGCAAATTGTTGAAAGAATGACCTTATTTTTTCTGCCCAGAAACACTGTGGCTGGCATAGAAAGCCCTCAATTGCCAGTGGAATGCTTATTAACCATGGACATTCAATCTCTGTACCCCTTCTCTCATTCCTTCCCTCAGCAGTCAGCACAGAGTAGAAGAGAATTTAGACCTTTATATTTTAGGACATGAAGAAAGTTTAAGCCTTTATTTATTTATTTATTTATTTATTTATCTTTACCAAATAGCCAGACTTCAAGGAGATGTTTAAGCCTTTCAATTCAATGTATGCCGACATATTTTTAAATTATTTGGGCTGCACCTTTTTCATTCTTTAGGATGGGATGACTAGAAGTGAAGAAGGGTTAATCAGGTTCCAGGGAAGGAACTAAACAAGGGGAGGCCTAAGTGGGCTTTCATACCTCAATAGGCACTTGGCAAGGAGTCTGGCACTGCCAGTGAACAGAGCTGGGCCGGAGGAACAACAGATCAACACAGAGCAGCACAGCAAAGCCACGGGACAGGAGTGGTTAAAAGGCTGGGGTGGCACGAGCACGCACAGAGGCAGGTGCTAAGAGCGAAGGGCAATCAAAGCACCAGAGGAGCATGCCTTGTCCATTGTCAGGACCATGTAGGTTAGGTCAATTTCAGATATGCTAGAATTAACTCTCAAAGAACACAGTGAACTCATTCTCATTCAGCTGTAGTCTTTTGTTAGAGTGGAGTAAGGATCAGCTTAAAGACTCAAGATGATAGAGCAGAGGCAGCTCCTGATCACCACTGTTAAAGAGAGGGGACAAAGTGATGAGTAAACACTGATCCTGGAAGCTGATTATCTAAGAAACCATATGGGGATCCATCAAAAGAGTGAGGGGAGAACAGAGAAGAATGAAGCTGAGTAGCTGCCTATCTGGGATTGGTATGGAGCCAGGAGAAGCTCCTCAACATGGGGAAAGGGTGAATGAGTGAGAGCCCCCACGGGATCCAAACTTTCCACAAGGGCCTGTGAAATGCTGAGAATGAGAGACTCCCTCTAAACCTCTTTGCCTCTAGACCAATAAAGAAAGTGCCTGCAGATTTGTGGAGGCAACACTCATGTCTGTGGGGCCCCACATGGGCCTTGGGATCTGGAGAAGCCTGGTGCCAGTGCCATAGCCCCCATAGCGGCCACAGTGACAGTGCCTGGAAGCAGTAAGATTGCTCCACAAACCCTCACTAGACAAGGCTCAATGACAGCTTCCAGGAAACTGGTCCTGCTTCTGCCTGAATTTTGTGGTAAGTGCAGCCCTGTGTTTCCCTAGAAAGAACCGGAGAGCAGAGCGGACAACTCTACCCACCCTCCCCACTCCTAGTTGAATGGGTCATGCCTGCTGGGACTTCCAGCACAGTGGACCCACTTCTGCCTGAACTCTGCAGGTGGGCACAGCCCCATGTTCTCCCAGGAAGCACTTGGATGTCAGATGGTGGAACAGATGATTCCACCCACCCTCATTGCTCCTAGCCAGTCAGGACTCACTGGCTTGGGTGGCACCCAAGCAGGAGGGGAGCCCTCACTCTCAGAACACTGAGAGAGGTGAGACACCTGGGTTTGTGGATTGGTGGAGGTTGGGGCATACCTCCCTCTGCAGAACCAGCCTGGAAAGGGCATGGCCTGTCTGCCAACCATGGCTTCTGCCTGAAGGATCCCCATGGACCAGAGCACCTAACAAAGAAAATATGGGTGCAGAGCCAGTGACTGGTTGTAGCTCTTTCAAAGCCCAGAAGCAGACCATGTGAGGGGGATAATCTCTCTTTCCCCTACCACAGAACACTTCTGCCAACTGCGCCAAAAGGCTAAGAGCCTATCTGCTGGCCAATACTCTTAAGTGCCACCGACTGGATTGAAGCCCACAATACAACACCAAAATATGCTGCCAGTATACAGTGCCTGTGAAAACTAAGAAAAAAATCCAGCCACAGATAAAGATTCTGCACAGTCTTGACCTTCTACAAATACCCAGAAATAAAGCCAACTGACTATACTCAACTTATACCACAGTTAAAGGAGCACCAGCCCTCATAGATGAGAAAGAATTAGTGCAAGAACTCTACCAACTCAAAAGCCAGTGTGGCTCTTTACCTCCAAACAAATACACTAGGCCCCCAGGGAAGGTTGTTAACGAGATGGAGATGATTGAAATGGCAGATGTGGAATTCAGAATCTAAGTGGGAAGGAAGATCACCAGGAGTTAGCAGAAAATTGAAACCCAATAGATCAAGTTGGGGAAACAATCTCAGAGCTTGAAAATTGGTTCTTCTGATCAACTCAGTTAGACAAAAATGAAGATAATTTCAAAAAATGAACAAAACCTCCAAAAATATAGAATTATGTAAAGAAACCAAATCTATAACTCATTGGTATTCCTGAAAGAGAAGGAGAGAGAGTATAGAAAATTGGAAAACATATTTGAGGATATAGTCCATGAAAATTTTCCCAATCTTGGTAGAGAGGAGGACATAAAAATTCAAAAACTACAAAATAACCCTTGCAAGCTACAAGATGATCATGAGATCCACCAAGGCATAGATTCATCAGAATTACCAAGGTCAATGCAAAAGAAAACATCATAAAGGCAGCTAGAGAAAAAGATTAGGTTACCTACAAAGGGAAGCCCATCAGACTAACAGCAGACTTATTATAAGAAACCTTACCAGCCAAAAGAGACTGTGGGCCTATTTTCAGCATTCCTACAGAAAAGAAACTCCAACCAAGAATCTCATATCTTGCCAAACTAAGATTCATAAGCAAAGGAGAAATAAAATCCTTCTCAGATAAGCAAGAACTAAGGGATTTTGTTACTACCAGACCAGCCTTACAAGAGATCCTTAAGGTAGTGCTAAACATGGAAATAAAAGTTTGAAACCTGCTACCAGAAAAAAACACAATCAAGCACATAGCCCAAATAAAATATAAAGAAACTACACAATCAAGTCTACAAAACAAACAGCCAACAACATAATGACAGGATCAAAATCATGTATATCAATGTTAAACCTTAATGTAAATGGTCTAAATGTCCCCACTTAAAAGGCACAGAGTGGCAAACTGGATAAAAAGTCCCAGCCCTCTGCTGTCTTCAAGAAACACATCTCACTTTGTGATAACACCCACAAGCTCAAAGTAAACAGAAAAAAAAAAAAAACCAAACCGAAACAAAACAAACAAATAAACAAAACTACAGAAAGATTTACCATGCAAATAGAAAATAAAGCAGAAGTGTCACTATTCTTATATCTAATAAAACAGACTTTAAACAAACAAACAAAAAACAATCAGGAAGGATAAAGAAGGGCATTACATAATGATAAAGGATTCAATTAAACAAGACGTAACTATCATAAATATATATGCACCTAACACTAAAGCACCCAGATTAATAAAACAAGTTTTTCTTGACCTATGAAAAGACTTAAATGGCAACAGAATAATAATGGGGAACTTCAACACCCCACTGACAGCACTAGACAAATTATTGAGGCAGAAAACTAACAAAGAAATTATGAATTTAAACTCAGTACTTGACCAATTGGACTGAATAGAAATCTACAGAATACTCAATTTAACAACCATAGAAGATACGTTCTTTTAATCTACACACAGAGAATATTCTAAGATCAATCACAAGCTTGCCATAAAGCAAGTCTCAATAAATTTAAAAAAAGGTGAACTCATACCAAAGACACTTTTAGACCACAGTGCAATAAACATACAAATCAATACCAAGATCTTTCAAAAATACACAAAAATGTGAAAATTAAACAACTTGTTTCTGAATAACTCTTGGGTGAACAACGAAATAAAGGCAAAAATCAAAAAATTATTTGAAATTAATGAAAATAGAGACACCATAAAATCTTTGAGATGCAACTAAAGCAGCATTAAGAGGAAAATTTATAGTGCTAAATGTCTGCCTGAAGAGGTTAGAAAGATCTCATATTGATGATCTAACATTGCACCTAGAATAAGAAGAAAAAAAGAGCAATCCAACCACAAAGCTGGTAGAAGAAAACAAATAACAAAGATCAGATAATAACTTACACAAATTGAGACCCCGAAGTCCATATAAAAGGTCAATGAAACCAAGAGTTGGTTTTTCAAAACAATAAACAAGATTCATAGACGGCTAACTAGATTAACAGAACAAAAAATGAGAAGATCCAAGTAGATGCAATAAAAAATGACAAAGAAGACATTACAACCAATCCCACAGAAATGCAAAAGATCCTCAGAGACTAGTAAGACAACTCTATGCACACATATTAAGAAATTGAGAGGAAATGGATAAATTTCTGGAAACACACAAACTCCCAATTTTGAACCAGGTGGAAAGTGAAAATCTGAATAGACCAATAACAAGTTTGAAATTGAATCAGTAATAAAAAATAAAACTGTATCACCCAAAAGGAGCCCTGGAACAGATAAATGATGTGGTTTGGCTCTGTGTCCCCACCCATATCTCTCCTGAATTGTAATAATCCCCACATGTCAAGGGCAGGACCAGATGGAGATGACTAAATCAGGGGTGGTTTCCCTCATACTGTTCTCATGAGTTCTTGCAAGATCTGATGGTTTTTAAGGGGCTTCCCCCTTTGCTTGACACTCATTCTCTCTCTTGCCACCCTGTGAAGAGGTGCCTTCTGCCATGATTGTAAGTTTCCTGAGACCTCTCCAGTCATGCAGAACTGTGAGTCAATTAAACTTCTTTTCTTTATAAATTACCCAGTCTTAGGTATTTTTTCATAGCAGCATGAGAATGGACTAATATAATGGATTTACAGCCAAATTCTACCAGACATACAAAGAAGAACTGATACCAATCTTACTGAAACTATTCCAAAAAAAAATCAAGGAAGAGGGACTTCTCCCTGACTCAATCTATGAAGCCAGCATCATCCTGATATCAAAATCTGGCAGAGAAACAATGATTAAAGAAAACATTTGGCCAATACCCCTGATGATTATAGACACAAAAATCCTTAACAAAATACTAGCATCCTGGAGCACATCAAAAAGTTAATTCACCTTGATCAAGTAGGCTTTATTCCTGAGATGCAAGATTGGTTCAACATGAAAATCAATAAATGTGATTCACCACATAAACACAATAAAAAACAAAGACCATATGATCATCTTAATAAATGCGGAAAAAGCCTTCAATAAAATCCAACATTCTTTTATGATAAAAACCCTCAACAGACTAAGCATCAGGGAAACATATCTCAAAATAATAAGAGACATCTATGACAAACCCACAGCCAATGTCGTACTGAACAGAAAAAAGCTGGAATTATTCCCCTAGAAAATTGCTACAAGACAGAGATACCCACTCCTACTTCTCTTATTCAAAACAGTACTGGAAGTCCTAGCCAGTGTGATCAGGCAAGAGACAGAAGTAAAAGGCATCCAAATAGGAAAAGAAGAAGTTGAACTCTCTCTTTTTGCTGATGATATGATTCTATACATAGAAAACCCCATAGACTCCAACAAAAGGCTCCTGGAACTTATGAAGGAATTCAGTAAAGGTTCAAGATGCAAATTAATGTACAAAATCAGTAGCTTTTCAATATGCTAATAACAGTCTGTGTGAGAACCAAATCAGGAACACAGTTTCATTTACAACAGCCACATAAAAATAGAATACCTAGGAATTCATCTAACCAATAAGGTGAAAGACTTCTCACAAGGAGAACTACAAAACACTACTGAAAGAAATCAGAGATGACACAAACAAATGGAAAAATATTCCATGCTCATGGATTGGAAGAATCAACATTGTTAAAATGGTCATACTGCCCAAAGCAATATACAGATCCAATGCTACCCTTATAAGAATATAAAATATTATTTTTTACAGAATTAGAAAAATCTGGGTGTTTCCAAGATGGTCAAATAGGAACAGCTTCGGTCTACAGTTCCCAGCAAGACTGACAGAGAAGATGGATGATTTCTGCATTTCCAACTGAGGTACCTGGTTCATCTTACTGGGACTGGTTGGACTGTGGGTGCAGCCCACCAAGGGTGACCCAAAGCAAGGCAGGGTGTCACCTCACCTGGGAAGCACAAGGGTCAGGGATTTCTCTTTCCCAGCCAAGGGAAGCCGTGTGTGTCTACCTGGAGGAGTGGTACACTCCTGCCCAAATACTCTGCTTTTCCCATGGTCTTTGCAACCAGGAGACCAGGAGATCCCCTCCTGTGCCTGGCTATGTGGGTCCCATACCCAAGGAGCCATGCTCTCTGCTAGCACAGCATTCTGACATCGACCTGGGATGCGGGAGCTTGGTAGGGGGAGGGGCGTCCGCCATTGCTGAGGCTTGAGTAGGCGGTTCTATGCTCACAGTGTAAACAAAGCAGCAGGGAAGCTCAAACTGGGCAGAGCCCACTGCAGCTCAGCAATGGCTACTGTCTCTCTAGATTCCACCTCTAGGGACAGGGCATATCTGAACAAAAGGCAGCAGACAGCTTCTCCAGATTTAAACGTCCCTGCCTGACAGCTCTGAAGAGAGCAGTGGCTCTCCTAGCATGGCGTTTGAGCTCCCATAATGGACAGACTGCCTCCTCAAGTGGGTCCCTGATCCCCATGCAGCCTGACTGGGAGGCATCTCCCAGTAGGGGCCAACAGACACCTCATACAGGTGGGTGCCCTTCTGGGACAAAGCTTCCAGAGAAAGGATCAGGCAGCAATATTTGCTGTTCTGCAGCCACTGCTGGTGATACCCAGGCAAACAGGGTCTGGAGTGGACCTCCAGCAAACTCCAACAGACCTGCAGCTGAGGGGCCTGTCTGTTAGAAGGAAAACTAACAAACAGAAAGGAATAGCATCAGCATCAACAAAAAGAACATCTACACCAAAATGCCATCCGTAGGTCACCAACATCAAAGACTAAAGGTAGATGAAACCAAAATGAATGGGAGAAACCAGAGCAGAAAGGCTGAAAATTCTAAAAACCAGAACGCCTCTTCTCCAAGGAATGCAACTCCTCACCAGCAAGGAAACAAAACTGGATGGAGAATGAGTTTGAAGAGTTGACAGAAGTAGGCTTCAGAAAGTCAGTAATAACAAAATTCTCCAAGCTAAAGGAGCATATTCTAACCCATCGCAAGGAAGCTAAAAACCTTGAAAAAAGGTTAGACGAATGGCTAACTAGAATAACCAGTGTAGAGAAGAGCTTAAATGACCTGATGGAGCTGAAAACCACACTACGAGAACTTCATGAAGCATACACAAGCTTCAATAGCCGATTTGATCAAGTGGAAGAAAGGATATTAGTGATTGAACATCAAATTAATGAAATAAAGTGAGAAGACAAGATTAGAGAAAAAGGAGGGAAAAGAAACAAACAAAGCCTCTAAGAAATATGGGACTATATGAAAAGACCAAATCTTTGTTTGATTGGTGTCCTTGAAAGTGAGGGGGCGAATAGAACTAAGTAAGAAAACACTCTTCAGGATATTCTCCAGGAGAACTTCTCCAACCTAGCAAGGCAGGCCAGCATTCAAATTTAGGAAACACAGAGAACACCACAAAGATACTTCTCGAGAAGAGCAACCTCAGGACACATAATTGTCAGATTCACCAAGTTGAAATTAAGGAAAAAAATGTTAAAGGCAGCCAGAGAGAAAGGTCAGGTTACCCACAAAGGGAAGCCCGTCAGAATAATAGCAGATCTCTTGGCAGAAACCCTACAAGCCAGAATTGAGTGGGGTCCAATATTCAACAATCTTAAAGAAAAGAATTTTCAACCCAAAATTTCATATCTAGCCAAACTAAGCTTCGTAAGTGAAGGAGAAATAAAATCCTTTACAGACAAGCAAATGCTGAGATATTTTATCACCACCAGGCCTGCCTTACAAGAGCTCCTGAAGGAAGCACTAAACATGGATAGGAACAACCAGTACCAGCCACAGCAAAAACAAGCCAAATTGTAAAGACCATCGATGCTATAAAGAAACTGCATCAATTAACGGGCAAAATAACCAGCTAGCATCATAACGACAGGATCAAATTCACACATAAAAACATTAACCTTAAATGTAAACAGGCTAAATGCCCCAATTAAAAGACACAGACTGGCAAATTGGATAAAGACTCAAGACCCATTGGTGTGCTGTATTCAGGACAAAAGCACAGGCGACAAAAGTAAAAATGGATAAATAGGCTCACATAAAGCTAAAAAGCTTCTGCACAGCAAAGAAAACAATCAACAAAGTGAAGAGACAACCCACAGATTGGGAGAAAATATTTTCAAACTATCCATCTAACAAGGGATTAATAACCAGACTGTATAAGGAGCTCAATCAATTCTGTAGTAGAAAAACCCCAAATGATACAATTTAAAAATGGGCAAAAGACTTGAACAGACATTTCTCAAAAGAAGATATACAAATGGCCAACAGGTATACAAAAAAATGCTCAGCATCAATAATCATCAGAGAAATGCAAGTCAAAATTACCATGAGGTATCATCTTACTCCAGCTAAAATGGCTTTTATCAAAAATATAGGCAATCATGGATGCTGGTGAGGATAGAGGGAAAAGAGACCTCTTCAACGTTGTTGGTGGGAATGTAAATTAGTACAAAAACTATGGACAATAATATGGAGGTTCCTCAACAAATTGAAAATAGAACTATCATATGATCCAGCAATCTCACTGCTGGGCATATATCCAAAAGAAAGGAAATCAGCATATCAAAGAGATATCTGCCTTTGCATGTTCATTGCAGTATTATTTACAATAGTCAAGATATGAAAGCAACCTAAGTGTCTATCAACAGATGAATGGGTAAAGACAATGTGGTGTATATACACTATGGAATGCTGTTCAGCCACGAAAAAGAATGAAATCCTGTCATTCATGGCAACATGGATGGAACTGGAGGTCGTAACATTAAGTTAAATAAGCCAGGCAGGCACAGAAAGACAAATATCACATGTTCTCACTAATATGTGGGAACCAAAAAAACTGAACTCCTGTAGGCAGAGAGTAAATGATGGTTGCCAGAGACTGGGAAGGAGAGTGAAGGGGAGAAGGAGATAAAAAAGAGATGGTTAATGGGCATAAAAATACAGTCAGATAGAAGGAATAAGTTGTGTTTGGTAGCACAATAGGACCAACATAGTTAGCAACGATTTATTGTGTACTTCACAATAACCAGAAAAGTGGAATTAGTATGTTCCTAACACAAAGAACTGATAAATGCTTAAGGTTATGGATACCCCAATTACCGTTATTTGATCACTACACATTGTATGCTTGTATCATAATGACACATGTAAGCCATAAATATGTATAATAATTATGTATCCATAATAATTAAGGGGAGTCTGGCCGCCTCCACAGCTATGATGTGGAGAGTTTCTGCTCTTTGAGATGCTTTGGTGTTTTGAAGTGGTGACAGTTAGGGTGCTCCTGCACTTAATCAGCAACTTCTCCCCCATTCACTGTCTGCTTCTATTTCTGGGAACCATCTCTGGTTTCTGATACAAGTACCAGTATGCTTGGGGCTCAGAGTCCTACAATATAATAGGTTTGCAATTCCATAATAGACTTGCCCATCCCAGATTCACCCACAAATGAGGCACCAAATCGAAGAGTACAAAATAGCATGGATGCAGTTAACAATGATTCTGCCCTGCCCAAATCCATAAGCATATTGTGTAGGTAAGTATCTTAAAGTTGACTTGATAACACCTTCCCAGCCTGTCCAGGTTTAGGTGTTTCCTTAGAAGCCTGTGCAAAGTAGGAGTTTGGTATGTTCCTCTGCATATCCTGTACTTCAACATGAAAGAAATGTGTGTCTGATGGATTTTGGGTTGAGAGAGAGGCAGTGAAAAGAGAGGAGATAGCCCTTTCCTGGGGAGAAATCTGCTTTAGCTGAGCTAAATTATGGTAGCTTGTAGCTGAAGGAAGTCAGAAGAATGAAGAGTTGATGATGCCTCTGGTCTTCCCTGGATCCTTTCACTGGCACGCCAGTCCCTGCACACATTGCCACTGTTCAAAACACCAGGTCCCTGACCCTCAAACGATCCCCAGGCTCCATCCTCAATCATTTGCCTTAGCTCAGCTCTTGCTGCATGGCTCAGGCTGTCCCCATTGCTGCGGGGTTCTGGCCTGGGGAGGTGTTTTTCAGATCAGCACCTGCTTGCCCTCTGCAGGAGTTGCCTCCCTCATCTCTCTCTATTTGTGTACCCCTGTTCATGTCCTCTTTGATTTCTATTAACAAACACTAATTAATGAGGTCCAGCCAGTACTTGCAAGCCTGCCCCTAGACCCAGGCACCTCTTCTCTGTCCTGCGGTTTATTCCAGCCCTCATTCATAAGCTTCATGGCAAGAGATCTGATCTTATGAGTTAGAGAAGACAGAGAGAGACACATGTGCATTCTTGACTGTACTAGTTAAGGTTTTGCAGAGAGAAAGAGCAATAGGATATAGATAGAGATACAGACATAGATGCAGATAAATATAGATCTAGATATACAGATAGATCAAGATAGATAGATAAATACATACATACATACACATACATAGATGGATACATAGATAGATAGATAGATAGATAGATAGATAGATAGATAGATAGATAGATAAGAAGGGGCTATTAGGGGAATTGGCTCACTTGATTATGGAGGCTGACAGGTCCCATGGCAGGCCATCTGTAAGCTGGAGATCCTGGGGTGCCAGTAGATTGGCTCGGTCCAAGTCCAAAGGCCTCAAAACTAGGGAGGCTGATGTGATTCTCAGTATGAGGCCAAAGGCCTGAGAACTTTGGAGGGCCACTGGTGTAATTATTGGAGTCCAAAGGTCAGAGACTCTGGAGTTCTGATGTTCGACAGCAGGAGAAAAGGAACATGCCAGCTCTAGAAGAGAGAAAGAGGAAATCACCTTACTTATCCCTGGTTTTTTTTTTTCTCTATCCAGGCCCCCAATTGATTGGATGGTGCCCACGTGCATTGAGGGTGGACCTCCTTCACTCCTCCCGACGACTCACAGGCCAGTTTCCTCCACGAGCACCCTCACAGACACACCAGAAGTAAAGCCTTACCAGCTTTTTACATATTTCTTAATCCATTCAAGTCGACACAGTTAAAAACTGACTGGGAAAAAAAATGTAACCTCAATACCCTAAAAGCTTGGAGAGTGACTGAAACCTTGCCTATGTCCAGGTGAGCTTTTATTAGGAAACAAATATTTTTCACGAATAATGTAATTCCTGGCTCAGCACCTGCTTCAGTAGATGCTATGTCTGCCTAGTTCGGGCTAAAGTCAGCTGCAGTGGCCAGCCCAGTAGACTTGCATGTGTAAGTAACCAGACCGCATGTGATCCACACTGGTTATGAGCCAACCCTGCACCTGTGAGGCTAGCGCATGCATGGAGTCACCCCACATACAAGTGCCAAAGTCTGTAGCCTTCAGGGCTGTGCTCTTTGAGGTTGCGACCAAGAATGCTGTCTACCCGAAGCTGGTCTTTGTCTGTGCTGCCAGGAGCCAGCCAGTCCACCTGTAGAAAGCTGGAGTTCCAGATGAACATCCATGGGCTATTCAGCCTGGGTAGGTGCCAGGGAGTGGTCGCAATGGGGCCTTACTCAAACATATCTCAAAAGACTGAGCTGTGCATGCACGCGCATGCACGCGCATGCACACACACATATATACACACACACACATACACACACACCTTTATAGGCTGTGGTGGAAAACGATGAGCCTCTCCGACAGGGACAGAGCCCCCACCCCACTAAGGAATAGAGAGCATATACTTTCTGCAGAGAATTGGACTCCATAAAAGAGAACCCAAAAGGGGCGTGCAGGTCACCTCAGGCCGCTCGCTGGAACCTGCCAGTAGTCAAGTTGCTCCTGCTCTCTGGAAGAGGAGAAGTGGAGGCAGATGGTGGTGAGAATTGGCCAGCCATGTGGTGGACATTCCTTCTGCCACAGAGAAATGGGCACTGCCCTCAGTATAATAATGAGAAGTGATGGGAGGGATTTGAGAGCTTGAGAAAGGAGGTGACTGGCTAGGGAAGGTCGGCTCCACCCCCAAAGGCTGAGGCCTTGTCCCCAGGGGAAACTCCTGGTGGCATTAAACATAACTGGTGGCACAGGGCAGCCCTCCAGCAGGCATGGGTTTCCCTGCAGTGATTTGAAAGCGCTTCTCAAGATGGTATCTGTCAGTCCACATCAGGTGTCCATGGGCAAATGCCAGCTGAGAATATTCTGAGTTTACTTGTTGGGAGGGTCCAGGAATTAAGTATCACCTTTGACTTTATACTTTGGTGTGTTAAAGTTTTCCTTTGTGATTTTTAAGGGCTCTTTATATAGCTCTTCATATACTGATCATATTAATTCTTTTATGTCATAACTGATGCCAATATATTGCATAATTTTGGTTACTACATAATGGGATTTATTATTTGAAACTTATAGGTAATTTATGGTAAAATCTGGTCCTTAAATTTTTTCTTAGAATTATAGTTTTTTTTTGTTTTTTAAATACAAGGTCTTTTATAAATCAGGTCTTTCTAATAGTGTTTTTATTATTTATTATCATTGATTTAAATTCTAATTTTTTAGTAATAGCAAATATATAGATTTTTTAGTATAATTATGTGCTTAGTTCTTTGATTTTTGCAAAAGGATCATTAAATTTATTTAGAAGTACTGAAAGTAATAATAGACCAAATAATAATCAAGAATCAAGAAGAGGAAGTTATGAAGCAAGAAAGATGTGTTACAAAATGCAGTAGGTATGTACTTATGAAAAACATTTTAAAATCTTAGAAATAAAAAGTATTGTCGTTTAAAACGAGCAAAGTAATGAAAGAAAGCAATGTATGACAACAGAGGAAGAGTGTATTAATGAACTGCTATCAATCTGAGGGACTCTCTTAACCTGCATCACCAAATGATAAAAGCTTCTCCAATGTCTATAAGAATAGAGAGACGTGAATTTTAGAAGAGAGGTCCCAATGAATGTCTAATAGTAGTTCTATTAACAAAGTATAAGGTCATAATATTTAAAGGGATTACTGTGCTGAGTAGTCCTAGAATTCAAGTATTTCCAACCAAGATGCTATTAACCAAAAAGTGACTAGGGCAGGTCTCAATACATGGAAGTTTATTTAGCCAAGGTTGAGGAAGACACACCTAGAAAGAAAACAAACAAACCAACAACAACAAACTCCGTAAGTCACAGGACTATACATGACCTGTGTTTTTTTAAAAAGCGAACTTGGGGAACTGCAGTGTTTAATGGGGAAAGAGCAAGCAGGAGGTAAAAAAGGGAAGGTAAGGCAGTGAGACAAATGGTTACATTCTTGTGAAGCTCTGAGTAGTCTCACTAAATCTACATTTTACATGTGAAAAGAGGGAGTAGAAGACAAGTCAATTATGCCTTATCTTGCATTCAGTAAGTCTACATTTTACTGAAGATACAGTAAATGTGAAAAGAGAGAGTAGAGGAAAAGTCAGTTATGCATTCATCTCAGACTAGGTGGGGGAATGATTTCTGGTCTTGTCCTGTACCTGTGAAAATAAGCTGGTAATTGACACTTCCAAGGTGAGATTCAACAGAACTCAGTTTTAAGGCTAATTTACAGGAAAGCTATGTATTCTGAAAGACTTAACTGCTCACAAGGAACTTCCTTGTAAGCAATTTTTGAGGGAGGTCATCTGGGGAAACGTGTGGCCCTATGATTGTAGAAACCTGGCCTATGGGTGAGACATAGAGTAGTGAAATTACATCTCCTTGGGAAGAAAAGAAAGGCAGTATTGTGTGACTCAGCCCCCAACCTTAACTTTCCCTTTGGCATAGTGAGTTTGGGGTCCTAAGATTCTATTTGCTTTCAAAATACATTTTTAAAATATCACACCTTCCATGTAGGAAGCAATCAGACTGGTGTTCTCTCCTGGTTTGTTTTCTGCTGCTGTAACAGAACACCACAAAATGGATAATTTACAAGGAAAATAAATTTATTTCTCACCTATGGAGACCATTTCTCTCATATGGAGTCTGGGAAGTCCAAGAGCATAGCACCAAAACCTGGCTAGGGTTATCTCATGCTGGAAAGGCGAGGGCAGAAGCCAGAATATCAGATAGAGAAAACAGGGTCTGGACTCACTTATAACAACCTACTCTCTGGATAACCCACCCTCTTCTGTGATAATAACATTATTCCACTCATGAGGGTTCTATCTGTATGACCCAACACCTCTCTTAGGCCCCACCTCCCAACACTGTTGTGTTGGGGATTAAGTTTCCAACACATGACCCTTCAGGGGACGCAATTCTCTGGCATGTTTTGAGTAGTGTTGACCTCAAATTTTAAAAACATTAGAATTTTGGGAATCAAAATACATATATCTATGGTGATATACACAGCAATTGCATTTGACTGGACCACCGCATTGCAAATAGAGAAAGCAAGTTATAATGTAAATTATAAAGTGAGTGGTCTGACTCTCCAGGTTTGGAGAACAAACGCATGAACTCGAACAAATGTGTTCAGGAGGAAGCAATGGACAACCGTCTATGCCACATATGTGATCCTTATTTTAAGAGAGTCACTCTAAAGAGAAATAAGGTCCAATGAATACCAGTCATCCATCAGTATCACCCATCAGATAAATCACGGGAGTAAGGCCCAGGAAAGATGGAAAAGAGTCCCCTGAGAAGAACAACCCTTTGGTAAGGGGGAAATAAGCATTCCCTTTCTCTGAGCCAAGGTGGAGATATGTGGATAGCAAAGGATTCAGCCATACCCTCTGCTTTTGGCATATTTGAGCACTGGTAAGATGAGAAGTATTTTCTATTTTTATTGGCAATTCATATATATTCAGTAAATTAAATATTGCCTTTGACTTTGTACTTTGGGGTGTTAAAGTTTTCCTTCATGATTTTAAGGGCTCTTTATGTAGCTCTTTATATACTGATCATATTGATCCTTTTCTGTCATAATTGATGCCAATATATTGCATAATTTAAGTTACTATATATTGGAATTTATTATTTGGAACCTATAGGTAACTTATGGTAAAATCTGGTCCTTAAATCTTTCTTAGAATTATACTTAAAAAAAAAATACACAGCCTTTTATAAATCAGGTCTTTTAAGTATTGTTTTTATTATTTATTATCCTTGATTTAAATTCTAAATTTTTAGTAATAGCAAATGTATTGATTTTTTAGTATCATTGAGTACTTGCTTAATTCTTTGGTTTTCATTACTTTTGCTGAATAATAAACCATTTAAGGCTATGTATTTGCCTCTGAATTCAACTTTGAATGTGATTTCATTTTTCATATTTTTTGAATTATTTGTTGTTATTTTCTCATTCATTTTCTCTAAAATCTGCAAGTGACTTACAACCTTTGCCAGTAATTACAAAGATGAATACATTATAGTTAGATGTTGCAACTTGTACAAGTTGAGATCTGATCAACAATAACAAATTATGAACATTGACTCTGCTTATGGAAAACAAATAGCATGTGTAGCCTTCAGTTGTGTTCTCAGTGCTTAACAGCCTTTGCTGCCCAGAGACTGCTGAAGTGGAGTCATCTCCTGCCTCTAGCATGGCTGCTTGCCCTTCTGCATTGGTAGGATGCATAGGTTAGCACAACATCCAGCTCATATTTACCGGCCATCTCCTGCCTTTCCTCCCCACCCAGATCTCCAGAAATGCAATGTGGCATGATCAAAAGCTAGTTCCCAGCCTGTCCTCTTCTGGAAGCTTCCATCTCCAAATTGAATTGCAGAGGTGTGGAGTAAGGTGCCTGCCTACTATGAAAAACAATGCTGGAAGTAGAGGAATAGGTCTCTAGGTTTTGAAATTTCTAGAATTGGAGATGCTGAGTCGTGTGACATGGAATGGGAAACAAACATGTCATTTTTCTAGCATGTTTAAACATGAGTACTATTTCAAGAGGCAAAGAACAGGTGGAATACTGACCACAAAATAAATATCTTCATTTATTTGTCATCACTCCCTCTATTTAAAAATGTGTTTTATTATTGTTATGTAGGTATGATGAATCATCACTGAACAGTCATTCAATGGTCATTGAAAAACTGGTGGTGGTGTTTGTCCTTTTGATGAGTAGAAATCCTTGCAGATTTTCTATCCATCTTAGATTTATGTTGGTTATGTTAGTTATTTTCTCTCTCTCTTTTTCTCCCTCCACCTCTCTCTCTTATTTTCCTTTGATATGCCCTTCAATTTCACTTTACCTGGAATGTTTTGTGGTATTAACTTTTGAGTTAGATTTGGGTGCTAACAAATCTTCTGCTTTTTACCATGTTTGGACACTGAGCAGTCTCTTAACTCTGGGATTCTTCATTTTCCAGCTGTAAATGGGACATGAGACTACCCATTTTACATGCCTATGGAAAAAAATAAAAGAGAAAGGCAATTTATGTAAAGGCAAAAGGCACTTAAATGTTGTTTTTACCTCCTTACCTACCTATCTGTCAAGGAAGGTTGATTTATTTCAGGCTCCACGGTGACTTTTGGAGTACGCTCAGGCACTGTCTTCTCCTATCTATACTCTATACTATAGAATTAATTTCCACTACCATTTTGCTCATCTGCAGAAAGCTTAATGTGGTCTAACTTCCATCCATTGACCTTTGTGTTGATCAAGCATAATTTCTCAATTTGACTTTGATTCTGGTGCTGTTTCTGTGGACACAGGATTTTCCTTCTCTGCCTTTCAAACCCTTTCAATGTTTTATACATTGGGCCAATGCTATATTCTTCTTGAAGCCTGACTTGCCTACATGATGTCTCCATTTATTTGTCATCACTTTCTCTATCTAAACTTGTATTTTATTATTGTTATTCAGGTATGGTGAATCATCATTGCAATGTCATTCAATAGTCATTGAAAAGATAGTTTGTTACAGATCCCAAGAGGAGTAGGAATGCCATACCATGGAGGTCCACATGGGGAAACACCAGCTTAGCCAGGAGGCAGAGGGAATGAGAGGCAAACATGAGCAAGAGCCTGCCTTGTGGTTTCTGCAGGAAGGAACAGGCCGAGACAGTATAGACAGGCTTAGAATTGGCTAGTTTCAATAATTTCAGCATGCACTGGGGGCTAGGAGGTGTCCCTTATCTGCTACCTGATTCTGGTGTAATTAGGACAGGAAAGTAGTAGCCCTGAGTATAAGTGTCAATAAAGTTGGTGGTCCAAGGTATAAGCTCTGGATTGGTTGATTTGCATATGGAAGGTACATTTGCAGGCAAGTCCTTTAATATCTCTGGCAATTAGCTAGCCCTGTAAGGGGCAATCTTTCCAGAGTTAGCAAGGCCCCAGATGTCAAACATAAAAAATACAGACAATAAAAAGGCATGATTAATATCCTCTTTTCTCTTGATACTTAAATTCTGCCATATATTCTTATTCATTAACTTACCTAACTTATTTAGTTAACCTCCTTAATAAGATGTTTTCTTGTTCAACTGTATATGTTCTACAGCATTTACTAGTCTTAGATGCTTATTTTAAATACTGAATCAACATTTATTCCCCAAAATACAGCACATTAGATGTTTTGCTTGGAATATGGCAAAGAAGAAAAAAAAACAGAGTGTAGAAATGAGATTATAAATCGTCTCAGGCACAGTGGTGACCAATAAATGAAATTAAATAGAACATGCACGCTTTGTTTATCCAATACTCATTATTTGACCTCTAAATGGATCATTAATTAGTAATTTTGGCCTCATTGCTTTCCTTTCTTTCATTTTTTCATCTCTTTTAAAAATCCAGTTTCTATCGTGCTATCAAATTTTTATCATGTGCTATATTCTACATATTGTATTGAATCTCTAAAGAAAACCTCACAAAATATGAAAGTGCTAGTAATTCATAAAAGAACTGAAGCATAAGCCCTTCTATTTAGACGATGCTTATCTTTCCTTGACTTGCTATGTATTTTCATGTCTTTATTCTTGGCAAATCCTAAGAAAGCTCACTATTAACTCAGTGACAGTGACAGCCCAGGGGACTTTTCTAATTAAGTAGGCTGAATATAAAAATGCACATTTATTTTATACATGTGTGTATGAATATGTATGGTGACTGAATTCATTTCCTTTTGGTCACTTGAGGAATCTGGAGATGTGTTCTCCAGCTGCTCCCGGCAGCTTGGGCTTGGTGGCCCTGCTCACACTGCTGAGGTGATTCCAGGAGACAAATGCAGGGTCAGGGACCCAGAAAACCACAAGACTCTGGGAAGCTTGCCATAGCTTTTCTTCAAACCAATCTTTCAAATTAGATTTGCAGTTGCCTTTTTTTCTCAGTGGGGAATTTGGAGGATAATGGAATATTTGTACAGTATGTGTTAATCTAATGATCTATCTCTTGTAACAACTTCAAAGCATCATAAACACAAGACACTCGTTAATGCTTACATGTGAGGCACACAGCTGGCCGGACCGTTCTGATTCTGAATCTTGACAACAGCTTTTGGAAACTGCTTATGTCTCTGCTGTGACATGAGACACCATCTCGAGAGACATCTTTTAACTTTCCTTTTTGGGCACAGAATTTCAGGAGTAAGTATGCCACAAGTGTTCGGTAGAACTGTCTACACTATAGGGCTGATGAGTTGAATGAGCTGATCCTATACTGCCACCCACTTGCTAGGGTGGTCATCTTGCCTCACCAATCCACACAATGAACTTTATATATGTGTCGGATAAACGTAAGGGCACATTCATCACATTAGTGATGTTGCAGCTGGGGAAGAGTTGCAGGTGGTGTCGCTGGTTCCAAGCTCATCTCCTGTGCTTCTGTCTTAGATGGACAAGCGCTCCTCCTATCTAACAATGCCATTTCTTCTATCCATGCTCTGGACTCCGTCTCCTCAACTCCTAGCTTCCTCTGGATTCTTGCTGTGAGTATCTCAGTTCTCTCTCTTGTGTCTTCTATATTTTCCTCTTATGTGGCTCTGTTTCTTCTAAGAATGCACCCAGTTCTTTCCTCCCATTAAAAGGGTCTTCTGAGTCTATGGCTTGCTTAAGCTACTATCATAATGTTCTTCTCTTTACTGCAAAAAGCCTGAGCATCTCCCCTTCCACATCCTACATACCCCAGGTAAATGCCAGAAACCTCTCTGTAAATGTCACTCATGTCATCTTGATTGCCAAATACGATAGCCTTTTTTGTTTTTCTAGCTAAATTTCTTCTTCTCACATTCTTTTTCTTTAAAGGACAGGCCCTAAATTCTATGTTCTTCCATTCTCAGCAAATGGTGCCTAAATCCAGAGTATTGTAACCACAGGTCTGTTCTGGAGCACAGAGATGCTATCTAGAGCAGCTATCAGGAACACAGATGCCAGAGCCCACTCCCTGGGGGACCTGAGCAAGTCACTCCCTGTCTCTGTACACATCTCTAAAATGAGCTTAACTACAGCCTCTACTCACAAGATTGCTGCAAGCTTTGGATGTGCTAATATATGAAAAGTTTTTAGAACAGTTTCTAGAATGCAATAGGCATGCTCGCGTTTGTTATGTTTTTGTTTTGCTTTATTTTATTTTATTTTATTTTATTTCTAGGCTTAGCCTCTACTTACTTCTGATCAAACACTGAGGTTCATGCTAGATGTTGGGTACAGGCTTTATATAGGAACTCAATCTATGCTTTTTCTCATCACACTGCATAAGTTGAACATTTTTTGTCACCCTTTGTCACCAGCTGTCCAGTATTTGGTTTCTGAAGAGGTGGAGACCTATTGGCAAGAACAGAGAAGTCTGGCCACTTTGCACATGGGCTTGAATTGTACCTAAGAGGAGGACTGATCATACGTCTGGAGTTAGAGGAGAGAGTTTCTCAACTCTTCAATACCACTATTTACCTTTGTTAAGGAGTAAAACTTCAGAATTAATTCAAGTGGCACTGTGAGACTCTTCCAGACTTGGCTAACACTCATCGAGAGCCACTCATTTCTAGTGTATTTCTTGTAAGTTGTGCATCAATTCTGTTGGGTGGCTACTATTTTCTATTCACAAAAAGGAAAACCCAAAAAATCCCAAGCCAGAGAGCATCATTTTATCATTTAGGGAGTAGCAAATATAGTACTTGACTCAGAGTTCCTGGGTCTAACTTTATTTTATCACAATCTACTAACAGAAAGAATTTGAATTTTAGTGATAAAGAAAAGAAGATATGAAAAAGGCAATAAATCATGGAAGAAAGATATGCCTCCTGATCTTTGGAGGGCAGCCACTGGCTGGGGGTCTCCCCTACTTAGTTCCTCCTGCCTTGTGTCTATGTTGCCCTGCAGGCTGGTACTTATGAGAATCAAGTATGGTTCATGGAATACTGGAACCGTTCTCATTAAAATATGACACCTTTCATGACAAGTGGCCTTGATATTTCAGGGGCATTTGCAGACCTCAGGGTCTCGCCTCTTTCTTCACCCTTGCTATGATAAAATCCCAAAGACTTCTCCTACACTTTCTCCTAAAGGAACAAAAAAACATGCACCTCCAGTCACATTGCTAAGTTTCATTGTCTTTATTCAAGGTCATCAAAGAGAAAGACAGACTCTGTAAACAATGACAATAACAAACATACTTAATGAATGATTGTAACATAACAATTGGCAGTTTTTATAACCAAAAAGATGATGCTTGCAAATGAACAACCAGAAAATAAAACGTTTAGAGATTAAAGGATTAAACATACAGAAAACGTTTTCAAATGTCGATTGAAAACTAGAGTTTCTACAATTTTGAGCAAGAAGAAGAAAGCTGGAGGCATCACAATTCTTGATTTCAAAACATATTTAAAAACTACAGTAATCCAAACGGCATGGTACTGTTGTAGTCACAGACATATAGATCAAAGAAGCAATAGAAAAAAAGGGAGTCCTTGTACACTGTTGGTAGAAATGTAAACTAGTACAGCCATTAAGGAAAGCACTATGGAGGTTCCTCAGAAAAATAAAAATATTTACTATTAGTATTAATTAACTATTAACTATTGAACATAAAATATCATCCAGCAATCTCACTTCTAGGTGTTTATTCAAAGGAATTGAAAAAAACATATTGAAGGGTTATCTGTACTTCCATGTTCATTGAAACATTATTGACAATAGCCAAGACATGGAAGCAACCTAAATGACCTTCAATGAATGAATGAAGAAAGAAATTGTGGTATATATACACAATGATATTTTATTCCACATTAAAAAAGAATAAAAAGATTCTTCCATTTGCAACAACATGAATAGATGTGGACGGTATTATATTCAGTTATATAAGCCAATCACAGAAATACAAATACTATATGATTTCATTTACATGTGGAATCTAAAATAGTCAAACTTACAGAATCATAAAATAGAATGCTGGTTTCCAGGAACTGGATAGAAGAAAATGGGAAGGTGATAGTTGAAGGATACAGAATTTCAATTATGCAAAATAAGTAATTTTTGCGACTCTACTATGCAGCATAGTGTCTAGAGCTAATAATACTTTATTATACACTTTACAGTCATGAAGAGAGTAGATGTTATGTTAAGTGTTTTTATCACAATAATAGTAATGGTAAATAAAAAGTGTAGGAGAAAAGTTTTGGAGGTGAGGAATAGGTTCGTGGCATAGATTGTGGTGATGGCTTCATGGGTGTATACTTATCTCCAAACTCATCAAGTGGTACATATTAAATATCTACAACTTTTTTTCATTAATTATAGTTCAACAGAATTGTTAAAAGAACTAGACTTTATAAAAAATGTAACTTGTTTGTTTGTTTTTCCAAGAAACAATGACTTAGAGAGGCATATAAAGAATGGTTAATTTTTTTAGCAATACAAGAAAAACAAATGTGTTTGGTTTATTAAATTTAACCAATTTAACACATCCAGCACTATAGTCAAGATTTTCTAGTAAATCCTGTGTTGTTTCTGGTGTAATTCGACCTCTGTTAAAATTTTTCAGCTCAAATAAAATTCTTTTGCCATTTCTAAAACACTTGTTTTATGATTTTCTATTGAACTGTTACTGATTGAGCATCAGTTACAGCCTTCCCACTGACATGGCAGGTCAGGTTCTGGATGAAGATCTGACCCCCTACACAATGACTGCCTCCTGAATTTCTAGTAAGTGAAAAGAAGAATGGGGTAAATGGAAGACAACTGGCATTGGCACTGACACATGGGAAAAGAAATCCAATATGCCATCTATAAACAAGAAAGTACTGAAGAGTTTCTGCAGGGCAGAGGAAAGGCAGGGCTGGCTTGAGGTAAGAACCAACAGGTAAATAATGTGAGACAATGCTCACTGGGGAAATCAGCCCAAAGGGAATCTGGGAACACACGTCACTGGGTAAAAGGGGTTGCAAGCAAAGACCAGAGCAGGCGGGGACAGAGATGAAGGGCAGAGCCAGGCCAGAACCTTCCACAGTCAGTGCCCACTCTCCAGAGCTGAAATGGAAGAGGCTGGGGCCATTGGGAATGGGAATGGTGTCAGGGAAAGCCTATGGGTGGGGATCTAAGATCTGTGCCTGCAGGTGACCTTGCACCTGGACAATGAATGGGAGAATCAAAGGGAGCATGCCTGCAAGAGACCCTGGGAAGGGACAGGGAGGCTCGATGAGGGACAGGAGCAAAGCTTAGGAGACCCCCAAGTGAAGATGATGCACAGGATACCATTTGGAATTCTGACCATTGAAAATTCACTTTGTGAAACTATTTTTAAGACAGAATAGCCTTTTCTAATTAATTTGTAAGAGCATGTTATGGTCTGAATGTTTATGTCTTTTCCAAATTCATATGTTGAAGTTGTGGCCTTCAAGGTAATGGTATTAGGAGGTGGGGTCTTTGGGAATAGCATTAGTGCCCTTATAAAAGAGAGCCCTGAAAACTGTCTTGCCCTTCCAGCAGGTGAGAACACTGCTAGAAGATGGGCATCTATGAACCAGAAAGTGGCCCTCACCAGATACGGAATATAGTATCTTGATCTTGGACTTCCCAGTCTCCAGAACCATGAGGAATAAATGTGCTGTTTATAAGCCACCAGTTTAGGGTATTTTATTTTAGCAGCCCAAATAAACTAAGACAGAGCTCATTAATATTAAAATAGAAACATTTTCTCTTATACTGTCTATGTTACACACATTTTCTTCCCAGTGGACAATGGACTTTAGCAATCTTTTAAATCTTTTAAATACATTGGTTCTCAGCTCTATCAATGTTTTCCTGCGTGGGTTTTGGCTATGGTGTTCCCTGAAAGGCCTTTCCCAAACTCTTCACCTCCCACTGGTGCCTCTTCCCCACTGAGTAACAGAGGAGATTCTCCATTTGTTCACATCTTTATGTCCTCTGAAAAGGTCTTATAGTTCTGTTCACAAAAGTCCTGTATTTAAATTCTGTGCCACTTATTAATATTGTTTTCCAATAACATTTTCTAAGCAGTTACTTCTAATTTATAGAAACTTTGGGGCTTTTTGATTTCTTTTTTAACCAGTCTTGATTTTCTTGTGTTTTTCAGCACACCAATGTACTTTTTATAACTAATGATTATTTACCACTAAAACTTTCTGTTATTTGTGACTTCTCATATTCCTTCCAGTCTTGTAGTAATACTTATTGCTTACAGAAAAATGTGAATTACAGAGATAATGGCAAATAATCTTGCTTCATTAGAAACTTTAATAAGAATAACACTACAATTCCAAATTATTTATAAAAACAGCCATGCATTAGTCAATCACTAAGTGTGGATCAGGAGGATGCAATTGTTTCTTGGTATCCACAGGGGATTGGTTCCAGGACTCCAGTGGATACCAAAATCCACAGATGCTCAAGTTCCTTATATAAAATGACATAATACAGTTGACACTGTGTATTTGAGAGTACTGAACATGAGGAGTCAACCAACTATGAATGGAAAATACTTTTAAAAAAAGAATAAAAAATAGTACAATAGTAAAAACTAATACAAATAAAAAGCAACACAGTATAAGTATTTACATAGCATTTACTTTGCATTAGGTATTACAAGTAATTTAGAGTTAATTAAAGGTATATTGATGTTTATAGTTCTATGCAAATACTGTGCCATTTTATATAAAAGATCTGAGCATTCACAGATTTTGGTATCCATGGAGGTCCTGGAACCAATCCCACATGAATACCAAGGGATGAGAGTATTTGCATGTATAACAGCCTACACATTCTACTGTATACTTTAATCAACTCTGGATTACTTATAATACTTAATACAATGTAAATGCCATCTAAATAGTTGTTATACTCTATTGCTCATTTGTTGTTGTTGTTTTGAGACAGAGTCTTGCTCTGTCGCCTAGGCTGGAGTGCAGTGGTGCAATCTCAGCTCACTGCAACCTCTGCCTACTGGGTTCAAGCAATTCTCTTGCCTCAGCCACGCGAGTAGCTGGGACTACAGGAATGCGCCACCACGCCTGGCTAATTTTTGTATTTTTAGTAGAGAAGGTGTTTTACCATGTTGGCCAGGCTGGGCTTCAGTTCCTGACCTCAAGTGATCTGCCCGCCTTGGCCTCCCAAAGTGCTGGGATTACAGGCATGAGCCACCACACCCAGCCTCTGTATATCTCTTTATTTATATTTTTCAAAATTGTTATATTGTTATTTTTGTTGTTAGTTATTTTTTCAAAGACTGTTGATCCAAGGTTGGTAGAATCTACAGATGTGGAACCTGAGGATACTGAAGGCCAACTTTATACTGTCTAAAATTCTATAAAAAGCTTTGTGAAACTATTAAAGTAGATATCTTTTTAATCCCTCAATACCACAATGTGATGAACTCTATTAATTTCCTAAGGTTAAATTATTCTCCAGTCAATACGCACTTCTGGGTTGATAGAATTTTGCCCCTCAGAGCATTGTTTTGGCAGATTTTGTTGGTAGGGAGATGCTTACTCTCAATCTAACAGTGGTTCCACCGTTGGTATTTTTATTTTCTCTCCTGCAGGTCCACCACGTATAGGTGTTCATGTTATATACTTTACAAACTAAAAAGTGCCATTACAAAACAGTCCATGTGCAGTGCACAGCCAGCGAATCTATGAGCAAAAGCCTTTTAGCTTTCAGGTTTTCTAAAACAGATTTATTTCCATGTATTCTAGTCAGCATGTGGTGTACACGTGGAATCTGGATTCTCATGTCTCTTTTATTCTGGAAACAGTTTATTGCCGATTTCAATATTGGCTTTCTGTCACTCTTTCCTGCTCTCTTCTGGAGATCCTATTTAGACATGTCCTTGCTTCTGTCAATCTGCCCTACATATTTCTTAACTACTTTTCCTATTTTATTTCAAAATCTTTTTATCTCTCTAATTAGATTGTATATCTGTTTATTGTTTTTCCATCTTGTTTTTATTTTTTTTTTTTCTCACTCTGGGCTTAACCCTAAACAAATTCTTTTTAGTACAATTGTCTAAATAAATGTGTTAACTATTTATTTGTAGCCCGTATATAGTTTCTCCCATTTGTTGTTAATTTCTATTTTAATGACCATGTTTAACTCTAAGTTTTGTTTATATTTTAGGAAGTATTTTTTATTTAAATAAACTTGTTGATTCTAGCATGGTTTTAGAGTTTCAGAGAAATTGCAAAGATAACAGAGCTCTCTTATACTCTGCACCTGGATTCCTTTATTGTTAGTGAATATTTCAGGTTGGTATTAAACATTTGTCACAACAAATAAAGCAAAATAATACATTATTATTAACTAAATCCTTTATTTAGATTTCCTTAGTTTTACCTACTGTTCTTTTTTATTCTAGAATCCCACCAGGATATCATGTTACATTTAATCATCGAGGCACTTTGGTCTTTTCTTAGCTGTAAGTGTTTTAATTGAATATCCCAAAAAAGTTTATTAGGAAAGACTGGGACAAGCTCTTTTTTACTAACAGAACAACTGAGATCCTCTTTTCATATCTGTAGAACCCATACTGACTTCTATTTTGTCTTCATGTGCACATGCTCTATAGGGAACTGTTAGATGAAAGTTGCTCCCGTGGCTTCCTGATTTGCTGAGATGGTGTAAAAAGGTATGTAAATAGTGATTGTATCAACTGCTGGCATCACCCTGTTGTAGAATATACATTTTTTTTTCTTTTTTGAGACGGAGTCTCATTCTGTCTCACAGGCTGGAGGGCAGTGGTGCTATCCCGGCTCACTACAAACTCTGCCTCTCAGGTTCAAGCAATTGTCCTGCCTCAGCCTCCTGAGTAGCTGGGATTACAGGCATGTGCCACCATGCCCGGCTAATTTTTGTATTTTTAGTAGAGATGGAGTTTCACCATGTTGGCCAGGCTGGTCTCGAACTCTTGACCTCAAGTGATCTGCCCACGTCAGCCTCCCAAAGTGCTGAGATTACAGGTGTGAGCCACCATGCCTGGCCAGAATATACTTTTAATTAAATAATTTTAATCTTGCTGCTTCTACTTTACTTTTTTTTTTTTTTTTTGAGACAGAGTCTCACCTTGTCACCCAGGCTGGAGTGCAGTGGTTCGATCTCGGTTCACTGCAACCTCCGCCTTCGGGGTTCAAGCGATTCTCCCACCTCAGCCTCCCCAGTAGCTGGGACTACAGGCACACACCATGTTCTTGGTTAATTTTTATATTTTTGGTAGAGATGAATGTTTCACCATGTTGGCCAGACTGGTCTCGAACTCCTGACTTGAAGTGATCTGTCGGCCTCAGCCTCACAAAGTGCTAGGCATGAGCCACCATGAGCCTCCATGTCCAGCCTACTTTACTATTATTACCAAAACAAAAGGCCTAACCCTAAAGCAATAAAAAAAAGTCATAATTTTGACTACATATAAATGAAAAACCTCCCTACACTAAAATAAAATGATTAAAAAGGAAAATTACAAGCTGGTGTGGTTTGAGTGTGTCCCCAGAGTTTATGTGCTGGAAACTCAATCCCCAATGCAACAATGTTGAGAGGTGGGACCTTTAAGAGGGTGATTATGTCATGAGGGCTCTGCCCTTAAGAATGGATCAATGCTCTTATCAGGGGTGTGGGTTCCTGGCAAAAGGTAAGTTTGCCCCCTTCTCTTTCTCTCATGTGTGTGCTGTCTTACCCTTCTGCCCTTCCATCATGAGATGATGCATCAAGAAGGCCCTCACCAGATGCAGCCTCTCAATCTTGGACTTCCCAGCCTCCAGAACCATGAAACAAATAAATTTGTTTATTGTAAATTACCTAGCATCTGGTATTCTGTTAAAGCAGCAGAACATGAACTAAGATACTAGTTGACCTGAAAAAAGTTAGTTCATGAAGGCTGAGGGTTAATTGTTTTAATGTAATAAAGTTAAAAAAAATCCATGTGGAAAACAAGGAAGAATGCAGTAGAAAAATGGCAAAAGATCTTAACAAGAACTTCACATACACTAAATCTAAATAAATATAATGAAATAAATATTAAACATGCTAAAATTTATTCACAGTGAAAAATGTAGGTGTACTTGGTATCAATAAAAAATATAGCACAATTGACTGATCAAGAGAACAGCAAGATGCTAACTCTCTTAGGTAACAGAATCATCAGTGGTGCCCAAGCTTGAGAGGATTCTATGACAATACTGATGGCAGCAGATGCTGTTGCTGCCCCACCTGCATCTCCTCTGTACCATAATGTCAAAGCAGACTAGTCTGACTTCCAGCTGCTGAGCACCTGCTTCTCTTCCACCAAGGGCTCGCTCTGCCCCAGGCTGCTCATTCAGGGAACATAGGAGGTGGAGGAAATCACATCCACCCTCTAACCAATAACTTACTGGAGTTGGTGGTGGACACCTCAGTGCCCAGCGTTCTCTGGGATGCATACACTGAGGTGTATGCTTCATTCTCACTCTCAAGAGTTCCCCAATTGGTAACTTGCTGGCTCAAACACTTACTGCTTTTCTTTGCTTCTCTTCTGATGTTTCCCATCATCTGTTGACAAAGAAACTAATTGCACTTGAATTTTTATGTCAGGGTCTCTTTTTTGGGGGAACCTAAACTAAAACACTGATATTTGTGTAACTGTGAACAGCTTACAAGGGGCTTTCCCATTCATGATGTCAGCCTTATTAAGTGCATAGGAGGAGTCACTGTGTGAATTTTACAGCTACATTGAGGTTCAGAGAGATTGAGCGATGCGCTCATGTTGACAAAGTTAATTGAGGAGCAAATACTAAAACCAGTGCTCTTGAGTACCACTTCCTTTCCTCATCTCCAAATTTGCCACTCAAGTAGATAGAGTCAGTACATAATTCTCAGTTAGAAGGGATAAAAACTGGAACGGTTTTGTAACTGGTCACATACATAAAAGCTACTTACCTCTACTTTAAGAATTTTTCGTTTTAAGGAGAGTGGCCAAGCACAGTTTGCCAATGGAAGTTATAGTAGGAGAGAAGATTTAAAGCATAATCTTTGAAACTCAGATTTGCCCACAAGTAGATCAAAGTTACGTAATGAAGACACTTTCTTTGGAAGAAGGAAAAAGCTCTCTGAGGTACAGAGAACTGGGCAAGATCCTGCATGAAGCCAGTAAGTGCTAGGCTGACGGATCTGCTGAGCAAAGCTCTATGCCTGGCTTGTTCTCTGAAAACAGGGCTCTCAGTTCATGTTGGCATGGTGCTACTTGACAAAGTTGGACCCAAATGTTGTGCTCCTCATTTGATAATTACATTCCAGCATTATTTTTGGCAAGTTTTTAACATGGAAAAGTGTGTAAAACATACACAATATAAAGCAATAAAAGTAAAATCATCAAGTTTGACTCAAAAATATATGAACTAAGGATTCTTGATGTATGAAAATAGATTTTATGGAGAATTTCTTGGAAAAGAGGCAGATTGTGAAAAACAAACAAAAATACAGCAGGTAAGTGTACATATCTATCCATGCACTTAAGCCCAGGATGAAGAGCTGTCAGAATTAGCAACCCTCTTGCATTTCCGAGTCCTTATGGAGATTATAGCCACCAAAGAAATATTTCATAAGAAATTCATGTTGGAAAGAATAAAATCAATATGCTGCAGCCAGAAGAATACTTCTCAACATGTGAAAGTCATATACAACCTGCATCCATGAAGCCAACGAAATCTATGATCCCATGTTGGCCAAGGGGCCCAAGTGCCACCACTATGTTGCTGATGGAATCAAAACAAGAATGAAAGTTTTCTATTTGGAAGGTTGTGGAGACATTCTGGGTGTCAGACTTCAGATGGCATAGGAGCCATCTGTGGTCAGAGGGGCAACTAAAGGAGCCAGCAGTCTATGGGGGTGCTTGGAGCACTCTAGGCTGTCTACATAAACCCTACCAATCAATCTTACCCAGGCCCTCAGGCAGAACTCTCCCTCCTCCATACTATGATGCTTTCAGATGCAAACTTAGTCCTGGTCACTGGGCCATCTGTGATAGTCACATAACTTAATGTATTTATATAAAACAAGAACTGTCATTTGTAATATTGTAAGCATATCCTTTTTTATTTTTTTTAAAATCTGGAATACTTGTGAATCTTTTGCTTTTCCTACATGCTCTATGGGGCGTTACAGAACAGAGATAATCAGTCTAGAATGTCTGAAGCACTGTCAACTGGCCCTGGATGTCTATTTTTGGGAACCATGGTTTATATCTTGGAAGAGCCATTTAACCTCCTGAGACTTAATTGTCCAAATAAAGATTTTCAACCATTCATTTGTTATATGGAATGACTTTTGAGGCCCACCATTTTTCTCTTAACATCCCAACATTTTATTATTGATGTAATCCATATTCATACTTATAGCCCACTTTACTTACTTAAATTGCTATGTAATATTCCATTCTATGAATATCAATTATCTGTATAACCTTTCCAATGACCATAGTAGGGTGGAAGTGGAAGTGGTACCACTCACCATCACCTCTAGTAATCCACTAGCAAAATTTTTGCTCCCTGTTCTGCGACATTATGTTCTGCTGGCCTAGATGTCTTGGTTCTAGAGGGAGGAATGCTGCCACCAAGAGACACGACAATGATTCCATTAAACTGGAAGTTAAGATTGCCACCTGGACACTTCGGGCTCCTCCTGCCTCTAAATCAACAGGCTAAGAAGGTAGTTACAGTGTTGGCTGGGGTGACTGACCCGGACTATCAAGACAAAATCAGTCTACTACTCCAAAACAGAGGTAAGGCAGAGTATGCATGGAATAGAGGAGATCCTTTAGGGCGTCTGTTAGCATTACCATGCCCTGTGATTAAGGTCAATGGAAAAATACAACAGCCCAATCCAGGTAGGACTACAAATGGCCCAGACCCTTCAGGCATGAAGGTTTGGGTCACCCCACGAGGTAAAAAACACTGCCTGCTGAGGTGCTTGCTGAAGGAAAAGGGAATACAAAATGGGTAGTAGAAGAAGGTAGTCATTAATACCAGCTACGACTGCAAGACCAGTTGCAGAAACGAGGACTGTAATTGTCATGAGTATTTCCTCCTTATTTTGTTAAGAACCTGTTTGTGTATGTATACACTTGTACTAAAAATATCTTTATTTTATTTCCTTTCTTTTTTCCTTTATTATGTGACATAAGATTTATTGACTCATATCAGAATTTAAGTGTTAGTAACTTTATGTAATAGCATTTAGGTTAAGGATTAATGCGCTTCCGGTTGTATGAAGGATAGCTGTATTATGTTAGATGTAATTATGACCTTATTATTGTCTTCATTTGAAGATTATGTCTGATTTCAGGAGATATGTATGGGTTCAAGTTGACAAGGGGTGTACTTGTGATGGTTGATACTGAATGTCAACTTGATTGGATTGAAGGATGCAAAGTATTGTTCCTGGGTGTGTCTGTGAGGTTGTTGCCAAAGGAGATTAACATTTGAGTCAGTGGACTGGGAGAGGCCGACCCACCCTCAGTCTGTGTGGGCACAATCTTATCAGCTGCTGGTGTGGCTAGAATAAAGCAGGCAGAAGAAGGTGGAAGGAGCTGACTTGCTGAGTCTTCCAGCCTTCATCTTTCTCCCATGCTGGATGCTTCCTGCCCTCGAACATCAGACTCCATGTTCTTCAGCTTTTGGATACTTGGACATACACCAGTGGTTTGCCTGGAGCTCTAGGGCCTTCAGCCATAGGCTGAAGGCTGCACTGTTGGCTTCCCTACTTTTGAGGTTTTGAGACTCAGACTGGCTTCCTTACTCGTCAGCTTGAAGATGGCCTGTTGTGGGAATTCACCTTGTGATTGTGTGAGTCAATTCTCCTAATAAACTCCTCTTTCTATAAACGTATATCCTGTTAGTTCTGCTCCTTTAGAGAACCCTGACTAATACACCGTTTTGGGGAATTATCAACCCAGCACCTGGGATTGCAAAACCATAATATCTGATACCTAATATGTGCAAGTCTGGCAGGAAACACTGGTGGAGTTTTTCTTTAGTGTATTCTTTATTCTTTATTTAGAGTGTTTATAAGTTCAACTGGAATTAACTTCTCTTATCATGAAAACTTTAAAAGTATATTAGTTTCATTTATAAAAAAAAAGAAAAAAAAACCTATCACAGCACTTGGAAACCTATTTCCACTTCCTCTTTGGGCTCCTTTGAGGTAACTGGCATGATGGTAAAGTGAGGAGATGATTGTGAAGGTCAAGTTCATGGGCTAAGGTCCTGTGCTCTGTATAGAGAGACAATGAGGAAGAGATGAGACTTTCATTTGCCTTTGAAATTCTGAGTTGCTAGTTATAGAAACTAATGTAAATCACACAATAATTTTGACTCAATATCCTCATTTGTATCTGAGAATAATTCCTTTGAAAATCACATAAGATGACTTAGATCAAACCATATAACAGCACAAAAAGTTAAGTAATTTAATATGATGCTATTGATAGTTACAATCTTCCCTAGAACTGTATACCTTTATATCATCATTTTTCTAGTAATTTAGATGGCCTTATTAGTAATAGGGGAAAAGTATTAAGGGAATTAGGGGAAGGGAAGGTGGAAAGGAAGAGAGGGAGAAGGCAGGAAAGGGCTCGTTCCACACTGTTGGTATCTCGTCCACCAGCTGTCTTTATTCTAGAGCTCGGTTACTCTTTTAGAAAGCAACAGGTAATAATACTTTTTACTGAAACAAAATGAATTACGGGTAGTGAGGGTAAAGCTGGTTTTGAGGGAGCTCTCAGATTATAGTCCCAGGGATCATAAGTAGAAAATCAACAGGGTTTGGTTAATATCTGACTATTAGAGAAAGAAACGGCTTTCCTTTGTACTCATATCCAACTCTTGTGTGACCAGATGTGTGTGTGTGTGTGTGTGTGTGTTTTCCCCCACACCAACCCATTCCTCAACTCTCCAGAAACCAAATGGATGTTATATAATTAAATTCAATTCTGACACTATCTATCTGGAGTTGATGTTGGATCCCATAAGATAAGGGCTCTGCCCACGTCACATGCCAATCACAATCCATGCTGTCCCTGGAGCTGCTCTCCTTTCTTCTGACCAACTGGCTATAAATCAGAAGTTCCTATGACCCCCTCCTTGGGCTTGATCATTTGCTTTGATGGCTAACAGAACTCAGGGAAAAACTTATGTTGCTGGTTTATTAGAAAGAATTGATCAAGAATACAGAAGAACAGCCAGATGAAAAGGTGCATAGGGCGATGTCTGGAAGAGACCTAAGCACAGAGGCTTCTGTCTCCGTGGAGTTGGGATGCACTACCCCCTTGGCATGTAGAGGTATTCTCCAACACAGAAGCTCTCTGAACACTCCAGTTCAAAGATTTTTATGGAGGCTTCACCACATAGGTGTGGTCAATTATTAACTCAGTCTCCAGCCCCTCTCCCTTTCTCACAGGACAGGGGTGTGGGACTGAAACTTCCAAGCTTCTAGCCATGGCTTTGTGTTTCTGGTGACCAGCCCCCATCCAGGAACACACCAAGCCATAGGAACAAAAGACGTTCCTATTGCTAGAAAATTCTATGGGATTAGGGCCTATATGTCAAGAACTTTGGTCAATGAACAAATATTCGAACAGAAGATGCACATAGCATTTCTGTCAGTCAAAAATTACAAGGATTTTAATAGCTGTGCGCCAGAAACCAGGAGCAGAAACCAAATATGTATTTCTTATTACAAACCACAATATTCCAATACCACATAAAATAAAAGACTCATATAAATGCTAAGACTCTCAACATAACAATTCATCTCTGGGGAGAAAACTGGCAAGAATGAGGCATATAAATTCACATTAACCAACCCATCATTTGATTCGAAACAATAGCAGTGTAAAGAAAAGCGGCCACTAAATTCGTTTTGAAACCACAATAAATTGGCTTGTCTATGCTTATAGGAATTACATATAAACAAAGTCTGCAGCATCTTGCTGCCATCTCATCTAAAAACACATTTTAGTTTAACGAAGTCTCAGGATATAGTGCGAGGCCCCACCTTGCCTGACCAGGCACTACAGTGGACTGTGTCTAGAACTATGCCTGTGATGTTATGTTACTTCCTTCTCATCTCCCACTATGTTACTTACCATCTATAAGCCTCAATTTCTGCACCTGTAGAAAGGGAGTGGGGTAATATTTCTATCGATTTTTAGATTCTCTTGTAGCAGGACGAGCCGCAGACAAGAACCCCTCAGACACCAAGTTGTGGAAGGAAAGGGCTTTATTCAGCTGGGAGCATAGGCGAACTCACGTCTCCAAAAAACCGAGCTCCTCGAGTGAGCAGTTCCTGTCCCTTTTAAGGGCTTACAACTCTAAGGGGGTCTGCATGAGAGGGTTGTGACAGATTGAGCAAGCAATGGGTACGTGACTGGGGGCTGCATGCACCAGTAATCACAATAGAACAGAACAGGACAAGGATTTTCACAATGCTTTTCCATACAAAGTCCGGAATCCATAGATAACATAACCAGTTAGGTCAGGGGTCGATCTTTAACTACCAGGCCCCAGGAGTGGTGCCAGGCTGTCTGCCTGTGGATTTCATTTTTGCCTTTTAGTTTTTACTTCTTTCTTTAGAGGCAAAAATTGGGCATAAGACAATATGAGGGGTGGTTTCCTCCCTTACTCTAAGAAAAAATAATTTGTTACATGCAAAGTTAACACACACATGTATTACAGTAGTGACTGTCCAGAGTGGCCACTGGAAGAAAGAAATCTTTCGGATTCCCCACAGAAATCATATAAAAATGACCATCCTGTTCCCTGGATAAGATAATGGCATGTGGAGTCTGCCAGTCACTGGGACTCTCCAGAAATTAGGAAGGCCTATGGTCCATGAGCCTTGGATGTGAAGGCATGAGATTGTGATTTTGGTGATCCTCATGGGTTGGTCAAGAAGTCTATTCCAAAAGGAGAATAGACTTGTTAGACAGGTTTATCAATTATAGGATAAAAACTTAGAGTGACAGCACAACGGGCATTTGGACTAAAGTTTTGGTTTTACTTGCAAAATGCACTTAAAGGGAATTGTAATGGTTGAATTACAGATTTCAATGCATGTTAAGATGTGGTATTTTTAGGAACAGCTCAAGTATCAGAAAAGCAGAAAACAAGCATCCAGTTGTGGGGCCTAGGGAATGTTTACTCTTCACCTTCTGAAGGTTCTCTGAAAATCAAATGACAAAGCAAAGCTTAATAGGAGAAAAGAGACATACAAATTTATTTTAATGTGTTTAGCATGGCAGAGTCCCAGGAATATGGTCACTCAGCAACCCAATAGGACACGAATGCTTACGTATTCATCTTTGTAGGGGAAGGGAAGCTGAAAGGTGTAGGAGCAAATGATCTTCAAAGGGAATGAACGGACCCAGAAGACAGAAATTATCTTGTGAATGATTGATTCTTTCTGGGAATTAAATGGGACCTACAAACAGACAACAGTTTAAAACAAAGTTCGAAGTGATTTTTTAAAAAAGCTAAGTTGACTAGCTTCAACCTCAGAAAAAATTTCTTAGTGATTCCCAGCCAGAAGGGTGGGAGAAAAATGGAAAACATTAGTTTGGAGGGTCAAGCCCAGATATTGGAAGAAACTAAAAATTCAGGATTGCAATCCAGATTTTTTTTTTTAAAGACAAAAACTCAAAAACAAACTGACAAGGCTAGAATCAAACAGCAAGTACAGTATAGTTTTTTTATTTTTTCTGAAACATGATTTTTCTTTTTCTAGTCTCCTAATTTTTACCAAAGAAAATCACAGTAAGACCAATTTGTTTGCAAAATTAGTCTTTGTTCTGATTATATAAGTTCAGCAAGGATAGTGATTTATGATATAGAACCTATCTAAATTGGGTTTGTTGAAACTTTTTCATAAGGAATCTCAAATCAAACCATTAGAAACTTCTCTAGAATAAGGAGCCAATCCAAGGATTTGACTTGCCCCAGACTGCCTGTTTAAGTTGGGTTAATTACTCTCTTCTTGAGGTCTTCCAAATATCTTGAGGTTCCTAGGCCTGTCAGAAAATGACATTATTTACTTAACTATGATGTCAGGAATCTTGTAAGGAAACTGCGTAGAAAAGGTGCCAGGCCAGTCTTTCCAAGAGGCTTTTTATTGGTTCCATGAAAGTTAACCTCAGTCCCTCAAAGCAGTCTGTTCACATATGAAAATATGATATTCCATTCAAATCTGTGGTAAAATAACCAGTGTTTCTAATTGTGTCCTGTTACAAAAGAAAACAGATTCATATTGAATTTATGCAAATAACTATAGTGTCATAAAAAATATCCGTGAATAGTTTCTAAATTCTGGAGGGATCAGGGAATCAAATGTTTTGATTCTGTTTCCAAAAGTATACCAAATTCCTGCAAGTAATAGATAACTTTTTAAAAAAGTTGTGTAAACTCTGGAAAACAAAGCATGAAAAAGAATCAGAACAAGTCTTAGAAGAGCCAATTAGGGGAGATGTTAAGCTTTCCAAAAGGCCAGTGATGTTATAGTTAACAAGGCTTAGAGAAAAATTTGTCTAGTTGACTAAGACATTCCCACTGAAGACATAGTATTTAAAAGAGATCACAAAAGAATAAGAGCTGACATTTGACTGTAGAGCTCTAAAAAATTCTTTTAAATCTACGAGTAGAAAACCTTCTGTCACACAAGCAGCTGGCCTTTGCTGGAACCAAAGGAATGGCAGCTGTGAGCTCAATGTTCCCCCACCCAGCACCCTGTCTGGGAGAATCCCAGCTTATCTGTTCACCAATTCAAATACCAGAGGTGGTGGGAGGCATGTCTCTTCTGCCCATTAGAGGCAGAAAAATAAATGAGAAAAAAGATACTATCACACTCTGGATATAAACCAAAGCTTTAAACCAGAGGTAAATCTAAACAAATGACTTAAAACCAAAACAAATAAGCACATGTGATAATAAAACCAAGAAGCCCTTTATGGGGTTAACCAAGGTCTCTAAAAAGGAAGCAAAAGCTGCAGCCTTTTCAAGATCCAGACCCCTCACAATGATGACTGAAAGAAGGGAAGGTTTGCCTGTGGCAAATGGGGAGCGACCCACATCTCTGGCCATATTCTCCAGGGCTCTCACCTTTTTGGTTGGCTACCTGTATTCAAAAACCCAACAAGCTTGTACACTGATAGATGGAAAATTCAAAGAGACAAACAGTAAAACAAATAGGAAATCAAAAGCTATCACTGGGGGGAAGAAAGAATGATAATAAATGGGTACCCCAAAGTCAAGGAACATACAAATAATTTAAACTAATTCTCATAAATATTTTCTTTTTATCCTGTGAGTTTAAGGGCTTACATTTCCAAGGGACTGGCCCCCTGAAAGGGAATCAGGGAATTGAACTGCATTCAGGCTACAGCAGTGTAAGTGCTCAATTTTAACCACTGGTCTAAGGGTGGGTGCCTTTTTTTACAAATCCCTCAGGGAATCCGAAGAAGACAGTTGGAACATTCAAGGATTTTAACTCTTGTTTTAGGTTAGATTTTTGTTCTTCCGTTTTGTCAAGAGAATTTCCAAGGCTAGTCATGACATTATTATGCATCTTTCTTTTAACTTGATCCTTCGGTAAATATAAAAAAGGCCTTGCTTAGAATGAGAGATTTCTAAAATATTTTTAAAATATAGGAGTTTCTAATGCCAATAATTTATCTTCTGGCCACAGATGATTAGACCTTCTAGTGGTGTACCTATTTCAATAGTGACTCAATCTAACAAGCCTCTTTACGGAAAGACCAGGAGCTCACCTTCCAGGCTTAGGATATGTTTTTACTGTATAAACAAGAGGCATTCCTGGAGAGGGCATAGAAGAGGCAGTCCTTATGATCCTAAAAAATTCACTTTCAGAGGTAGGTTAGGAAAGCAAAAGGACTTTGCTGCCCTGGGCAGTTAAGGATGGTGCAGTGTGAGTGATGCCTCTGGTCTCAGAATCACATGGATGCAGGGGCATGTGGAGGTGGCTCCAGTAACAGGCCTGCTAACCTGGGCTGCCAGGCGGGCACTTCTGGGACTGGACTTTTCCAGTACTAGACAGACAATAGAGATGGAACTTATTAAGACGAACTCTCCTGAGAGCTTGGCACATTCAGAACAAAGAGCGTGCTGCTCAAAATTTTACATGTCTTGAGATTCCCAGTCCTTTCAGAATGGTCGCTAGATGTAATCTGAAGTCATGCTCCCAGCTGGCAGAGACAAGGGGAAGAACCTTCCCACTTGGTTACAAAAGCCAGGTTCTCAGGGTGTAAATCTAGATGAAGCAGAACCTTATCATGTTTTCTTAAGGTACCCCTCTTTACAACACAATGATACAAAAAGAGAAAGAGAAAAGAAAAACAAAGACTATTTCTGAAAGGAAAAGGATCAGACCATATAAATATTCACACCAAAAGTATACCAGAGTTGCTACCCCTAAGACTAGCCATACAATGCTTTTCTCTCATTAATCTTAAATTTGGAAGGGAAAAAGAGATGTGTAGTGATGACATTTCACAGAGAGAGAGATTTCATAGAGAAAGAGACTGGGAGTAGTGAGAACTTATCATCTATTTTTTTTTTTCTGGTTGTCATATCCTGGGTTCCTTTGACTGTGGCTTCCAGAAGAGCAGAGTGGTTTGGGTCTACCCTGCTCACTGTGCCAAATCTGTAGGAGTGAAGGGAAAGATTCCCCTTTACCCTCTGAAGGTTGGTTGAAAATCAACCCACAAAAGGCAGATTAATAGGAAAAAAAGTCTGTATTAGTCTGTTCTCATGCTGCTAATAAAGACATACCCTGGACTAGGTAATTTACAAAGGAAAGAGGTTTAATTGACTCACAGTTCAGCATGGCTGGGGAGGCCTCAGGAAACTTACAATCATGGTGGAGGGGAAAGAAATACATCCTTCTTCACATGGCAGCAACAAGGAGAAGTGCTGAGCAAAGGAGGAAAAGTCCCTTATAAAACCATCAGATCTTGTGAGAACTCACTCAGTATCACGAGGACAGCATGGGAGTAACTTAACTGCCCCATGATTCAATTACCTTTCACCAGGTCCCTCCCATTGTAGATTATGGAAACTACAATTCAAGATGAGATTTGGGTGGGGACACAGCCAAATCATGTCCAGGAGGTACAAGCTTATTTTAATGTGCATAGCATGGAGAAATCACAGGAACATGGTTACCCAATAACCCAATGGGGTATGGATTCTTATATGCACTTCATCATAAAAAAGGGGAGATGGGGCTGTAGGAGCAAATGACCTTTGGGGAGAATGAATGGACCCATGAGGCAGACATTATCTTGTGAACAATTATTTTTGGGTGAATGAGACCCGTGAACAGAAAAAGTTCTAAGTCTCTCTGGGATCCGGGTGTGGTATTTAATTTTCAATCTCTTCCTCTGTGACACGAATTTTAATCTTCTCTGATTAGGCCAGGCTCAGTGGCTCACACCTGTAATCCCAACACTTTGAGAGGCTGAGGTGGGTGGATCACGAAGGTCAGGAGATAGAGACCATCCTGGCTAACATGGTGAAACCCCATCTCTACTAAAAATATAAAAAACTAGCCAGGCGTGGTGGTGGGCGCCTGTAGTCCCAGCTACTTGGGAGGCTGAGGCAGGAGAATGGCGTGAACCCGGGGGGCGGAGCTTGCAGTGAGGCGAGATTTGGCCACCGCACTCCAGCCTGGGCGACAGAGCGAGACTCCGTCTCAAAAAAAAAATAAAAATAAAAATAAAAAAAAAACCTTCTCTGGTTAATGAAATTTCAGGGAAGGCAATTGTGTTTCTCTCTGACATGTCTGGTTTCTCGGTAGATAAGGACACTTCAGAGAACAGTTTTGTCCTGTGCTTTGGGAGAGTCAGAGGATTGAGAGGTGACAGTGTGGGGGAGTGAAGGACTGACAGATCTTGTGACTTTTACTTTTTTAGTTCACACATATTTTGAAGTGAAATAGTCTAGTTTCCTACACAGTCATGGCTCCAAATAACCCAGAAACATAAAAAGAACTTGTAGCACAAGATAAATGTCACCTCTGTGAACACTTGAAGAATCTACTCATGTCATAAGATGAATGAATATGGCTGGGCTGGCCCAGCAGCTCCCAGTAGGGGCTTTCCCTTCTTGCTGAATGATAAGACCCCTTGTTTTTTATTCTAAGTTGGGCACAGGGGTCATGCTGAATGAAGACTACATTTTGCAGTTTTTGCTGAAGCTTGTTGATGTCAAGAGATCAGTTCTAGCTAGCAGAATATAAGCGGAGCAGAAACAGGTAATGTCCTTGGAGGAAGAATGCTCTTTTCTGCCTCCTTCCTGCTGGCTGGAAATAGATGCAATGGCTGGAGCACTAGTGACAATCTTGGACAATGAAGTGGTATTTGTGTGTGGAGTGCTGAGGAGGGTGCTATCCTCAGAGATCAGGAGCCTCCAAAAATCCTGCCAAGCCCATCCCGCAGCGTGCCACCACCTGGCCAGCTTGTCTTTCGTGAAAAAGAAATGCATATCGGTTTTGTTTAACCCAAGTCTACTACTTCTGGGGACAGAAGGAGTGATTAACTCTCCTATATGTGACTTCCAGGTTAGAAGACTAAAACAGTTCCAGAATGACTCACAGTTATCTATAAAGACCAGATGAGAATAAAAGAATATATATCTTAGGACACAAAGGGGACAATAATGTCCTAAAATGACAGAAGGAATTAATGTTTAATTTTTCAAGCCTAGTTAATAGCTGAAGTAAGAGCAATATGTTTTTTCTTTATTTATATTGGTATTCGCATATTAACTATTCCCATGTGAATGAATTGATGTGTTTCTTACAGTTTGTCACTGTAATAGGGCAGCTGTTTTGAATGATATTACTTTGCTCAGTATCAGTGTACTAACTACCATTGTTTTTTCTTGGGCATCAAGAACTGAAATATGCATGTTCAGCTTATAGATTTAAGTGTCCAAGTCCCTCTGCACATTGCCAGTTTTCATACTGGGTTTTACATGAAGCCCTGCAGGCACATGGGAGTGAAACTGAGGACATAAGACAGTCAACATGTGATGAAGCAAACTGGTCTCCCTTTTGCATGATAAGCAGTGATGGATGCTGTGAAATAACATCCTACCTGACCCAGAGCTGATGGGACAATGCCTGGGTGACCAGCGTTGCTCAAACCACCTCACGACCTCAGTTAATTGTTCACTCTTTACATAACTTATTTCTGATCCCAAGTGGTATTTCTAGTGTTCCAGTGACCACGCTCATCACTGAGTAACTGGGGTTAACACAACACACTGCTGTAGTGTCTCAGGTTCTTTTTGAGCCTCCCTGCTATATATTATCCTGGGACTTCCATTTCCCTCCCGCCGAGAGATTCCCCCTTCATCCAAACAGAGTGAACTCCTTAGCTCCCAGGGTGGTGGAGTCACACTGAGGATCTTGGCTGAGGTATGGCCACAGACCAGCTCACCCTGTGCTAAAAGTGGAGGTTGTGGCAATCTTGCCTGAACAGGCATAGTAGCTCTCCTTACACAAACACACACAGATACACAGCCACAATGGGGAGAGACAGAGAGAAAAAGAGAGAGAGAATGTTCCCCATATTCCCTAGGGTGTTCTCAAATTTTTTTTTTTTTTGAGACAGGTTCTCATTCTGTCACCCAGACTAGAGTGCAGTGGCACAATCACAGCTCACTGCAGCCTTGACCTCTTGGGCTCAAGCGATCCTCCCACTTCGGCCTCTGGAGTAGCTGGGACTACAGATGTGTGCCAGCACATCTGGCTAATTTTTGTATTTTTTGTAGCCATGTTGCCCAGGCTGTGTCAATTTTTTTTTTTTTTTTAATTTAAACTGTTGAGAGCATATCCGACACTCTGGCTTATAAACGTAATTTTCTAAAGCATCGACTTTTTCCAAAGTGGAAAATACTGAAGCAGCTTGTCCAAAGGCAACATTGTAAATAAATACTGAAAAATAAACAGAAGTGACCAGCATGGTTGCGACGTCACCCACAGCAGTGCCTGTTCGGTGATTAAAGATTCAGTGGCCCTGCCTCCAGTATGTACAACTTCCCATTCATTGCATGGGTAGAAAAGCTCTTCCTGAGGCCCCCAGCCTGTATGCCAGCATCTCCTCAGAGCCAGCAAGGCCTGGAGCATGTGTGGGGCAACGGCAGTGAATGGAAGAGCAGTGATGTGTGAAGTTCAAGTTCTCCCCTCTTTCCCATGAGGTCCACTGCTGGTGTGTTCTCTCCTCCCTATCAGGTTACTCCAGGCAGGTTAGGAGCAACGCTAGTAATCCAGAGAATCTTAAAGTCAGGCTTGGCTACATTGCTCCTAAGTGTACCAAGAAGACAACACCCTCCATTCTGATGATCAGTTCCTGGAGACTCTGTTTATGAACTCTTTAATCACCACCAATCACCCTTCAAAGGAGATACTGTCAGAGGCATTCGAACCAGAGTGACTCCATCTTGAATGAAGCCTGGACAAATGAGGCTGGACTTGCTGGGCTTCATTCCCAGGAGTCTGGCATTCCCAGCCTCTAGATGTTTACAGTTAAGAGAACAGATTAATAATGTTTACTAAACAGACCGAGGCCCAGGAATATCCTGATATTCTGATAGCTTGAGAACAAAAGCATTCCTAATTTTGCTTTAAAGATAACAATATCAATTCTTGCAAAATATTGTAATTAATGAAAATTAATCTTTTATCACAAACCCTTGTAGTAGAGCACATCACTCATGATTTTTTTTTTATCCTGTATGTAAGCAAGCATTACACCTAGGGTGGGTGCCTTCCTCCTCTTGTTTTCGGGAATACCCTGCTCTACCTATGGAGTAGCCATTCTTCCTTCTTTTACTTTCCTAATAAACTTGTCTTTTCTTTATTCTATGGATTCACCTCAAATTCTTTCTTGCGTGAGATCCAAGATCCCTCTTTTGGGGTTTGGATTAGGACCCTTTCTGTAATAATACTGTTATTACCCCTACCTACAGATGAGGATGAATTGTGACACAGAGGTGTTAAGTGGTGGCTACAGCTGGAGAGCACCAGGACAGGCTGGGGTTGGATGGTTCTCCTGGCTTCAGAGTCTGTGCTGTCATCAAGCATCCCCTGATGGATGCTCCTGTCTTCCCCAGGGACCCTGCTCAGGTTCTCAGAGTTTTGTGTCCTATTTTACTCAAGGGTTTTTCTTGGCCATGGCTGTGGAGGACACGCTGGCTATTGACAGCTAGGGTCATCATGCTCAAGAGAGGACTATCTTCATCACACTGTTTTGGCCAGGACTTAAAAATTTACCGCTTTCACGATGATTCGCCACCCGCTCTGTGCCCCTGTAACACCAGCTTTCTGTGTATGAATATCCTAACCTGCTGGGGGGAAGCCATCACTGGCACAGGCTGCCTTTTGAGGTTAAGAAGGTCCTTAACAATGAATCCTTATGCTAAGCACATGGCTTATGCTTGCTTCCCCCCACTCCGCCCCCAACTGGGGAGTGAGGAAATGCAAGGGAATCACCTCGTTTATGCTCTGGTTTCCTTTCAGTGCATTAAAGAATGCCCTTAGGCTGACAAAGCATTAACAGTCAGCAAATGTTTGTTTCATGTTTGCACATTTCTTTTGGCAAACACCCAATTTCCTCTCTAACATTTCTGATCAAGGCTCACTCTTGTCTTGGGGGTAACTTGAAAAGTGAGTAACCAGGATTTTAGTTAACATAACCAAAGTCACAGGCGCATGATATAAATGCTGATTTTGCCCCTGTGATGCCCTTGCAGTTAGCTTTTGAGTGCTCTCCATGTGACCAAGCTGTGCTGCGTGCCTTTTCATTGTGTTTCACATGCCTTTTGGGGTTTGTTTATCACAGATGAAAAAGAACAAAGACAAAAACAAAACTATTTTGGTGCTTTAAAACATCATGATCGGTAACCAGGTTCTACTCTACACAAGAAAACTTTCTAGGATCGCACCCTCCCAAACGGCATGCTAACAGTTGTTTCTTGATCGAAGATATCTGTGATCAAACAAGTTCCAGAAATGCAGGATTGGACCGAGCAAGGTGGGTTTCTTGGAGCAGAACAGTCCTAGCCTTTATTCTGCTGGGGAATCTGTGGCTCATTGTAAGGGAAGTCCAGCATTGGGCAGCACAGGCTTAACAGACAGAGGAGAGCTTTCCTGAGGGTCATTGCAAGGGATCAGTATCTGTTAAGATATTATTTAGGAAATGATATACTCAATTTAGGATTCTAAAGGTGAATTGCTGTGGCTTCTGCTTGCAAACTTTCATGTATTCTAGCTAGGCATACATAAACCAAAAATGAAATTCTAAGCCACCCAGCCAACCGAACGGACCTCCCTTTTGGCAAAGGAAATCCCAAAGAAACTTTAAAAACCACTTCAGGTCATGATGGAAAAGGTGGCCAGACATGCATTATGCCCTCCTCCCTTTAGGAAGCTGGCATAACAGACCAGCATTAATGCTAAAATGGAGATCTTAAGACTGATAAAATGGACTCTTTGTAGCAATAAGATACTGAATTCGAATTCCAACCTGACTCTGGTATAGCATCACATGGCAGAAAACAGATCCTGAAGGAAATCAAAGTATTTTACCCCACTATATATTAATATTTCTTTGACATATTTTGGAGGGGCTCTGCACAGCCTTCTCTTGTGAGGGAAATTTGCATTTTGTAGAGAATGTCCTTCCTTTACTAGATCTTTTCCACAGAGTTTGACACCTTTTAAGGTTGGAAAAGAGACATTTACCATATATTCTCTCTGAAGTCGGCTACCTGGAGTCTTCATCTACATGACAAGAACATCAGCTTCTACAACTTCCCTTATTTTAACACAAGTATGTCTTTCTGCAGACTACAAAGGTTTCAGCAAAGCTTAACTCTTTCAACCAATTGCCAATCAGAAAATCTTTAAATCCAGCCTCTGACCTATGAGCCCCCTTGCTTCTAGATGTTCTGCCTTTCCAGGCTAACTAAATGTATAACTTACAGGTATCAATGTATGTCTTTGCCTGTAACTTCTGCCTCCCTAAAAATGTGTAGAATCAAGCTGTAACTTGACCACCTTGGAGTGTTCTCAGGACCTCTTAAGGCTGTGTCCTGGGCCACGGTCACTCATATTTGGCTCAGAATAAACCTCTTCAAGTATTTTACAGAGTTTAGCTTTTTTTTTCCATTAATACATGTAAGACAAAGTGAAAAATTGAGTAAATTAACTACAACATTATGCATTTACATCTGGAAAGTTCCAACGGTGTGGTGGGTGGTGGAAGGATTCATGAGAGAAGTGCGTAGGACGAGCAGCATGCCATTTAACAAATGCTTTCATGTTGCTCCCCTTGGATAAGTACTACTCTTTCTCTTTACAAACTAAAGTTTATAAACTAAAGTTCTGCTCACATGGATACTGGAAAACATTTTCTACAAGCAGGCTTGCAACTCATTTGATGGTGTATATGACCATCATATATATATATATATATATATATATATATATATATATATATATATATATGTACACATATATGTACACACACATATATATACATGTATATACATATATACTGTCAGGCCTCTGAGCCCAAGCTAAGCCATCATATCCCCTGTGACCTGCACGTACACACCCAGATGGCCGGTTCCTGCCTTAACTGATGACATTCCACCACAAAAGAAATGAAAATGGCCTGTTCCTGCCTTAACTGATGACATTATCTTGTGAAATTCCTTCTCCTGGCTCATGCTGGCTCAAAAGCCCCTACTGAGCACCTTGTGACCCCCACTCCTGCCTGCCAGAGAACAACTCCCCTTTGACTGTAATTTTCCTTTACCTACCCAAATCTTATAAAACGGCCCCACCCATATCTCCCTTCGTTGACTCTTTTCAGACTCAGCCCGCCTGCATCCAGGTGAAATAAACAGCTTTATTGCTCACACAAAGCCTGTTTGGTGGTCTCTTCACACAGACGTGTGTGAAATATACATATATGCATATGTACACAAACACACACATATACATAACTGGCAAATGGATGCCCATTTTTTTCTGAGGATAATGAGACATAATTTGTACATTGTGGAAAGAAAAGAATGAACAACTAAATATTGTGCTTTAAAGTTAATTTTGAATCATGATGTAATTCTTCTCCTATATTATCTGCCTATTTACTTCATAAATAAATGTACTAACTGCCTCTGAACTGTACACTTAAAATGGTTACACTTTAAACTGTTTAATTCTATACTATGTGTAATTTACTTCAACAAAAACAAATCAGCAGAGGCTGGATGTATCCATAAATATTTATTGTCTCACCAATCAAAACGGAAATGGTATACTTTGCAAATAATAGGATTTATTTGACATACGATAGTTTTGCCAGAGTTCTCTATTTGTTAAAATAATTTTAAGTAATTTGTTTTCACTTATGAAGTCAATGTAAAAAAAAATTATGGCATCTTACCAAAAATCCATAACTCCAGGCTAATCATGAGAAGACATTAAATAAATCCAAATTGAGGAATATTCAACAAAACACCTGACAAGCAATCTTCAAAACTGTCAAATACAAGGAAAGACTGAGAAGCTGCCACAATCAGAAGAGATGAAGGTAACATGAATAAATGCAACTTGAAGAATTGGCCAGGCCCTGGCACTCCTTGGGCTTCGTGCCCAGGAAACCACCCTGGTGATGTGGAGTCCTGCATTGGACAGAAGGGTGCTAATCCCAGCACTTTGGGAGGCCGAGGAGGGTGGATCACGAGTTCAGGAGATCGAGACCATCCTGGCTAACACGGTGAAACCCGGTCTCTACTAAAAATACAAAAAAGTAGCTGGGAGTGGTGCCGGACGCCTGTAGTCACAGCTACTCGGAAGGCTAAGGCAGGAGAATGGTGTGAACCCGGGAGGCAGAGCTTGCAGTGAGCCAAGATTGCACCACTGCACTCCAGCCTGGGTGACAGAGTGAGACCCCGTCTCAAAAAAAAAAAAAAAAAAAGAAGGGTGCCGTTCTGTGGAAAGACTGCTGAAGTCTGAATGAAGCCTGGAATTTAGTTACTGGTACTGCACTCATATTATTTTTTTACTTTTAATAAATATATAACAATAAATTACATATTGGGGTAAGAGAACCCTTTCTCTCCCCTGTTGAGGTTTGATATTTGAATCTGAGAAATGAACTGAAATAGACTGATTAATAGGAGATAAGACATAAATTTATTAGGTGCATGGAAATATCACAATACCTAACAATCCAATGAGACTTATATAACCTTTTTCACAGGGGAAAGGGAAGTAGGGGCTGTAGGCACTGTTAGAAGAAAAGTAAATGATTTTTGGGGGAGATGAATGGGCTTGAAGAACCAACAAATGCCTGGGACAGAGTCTATCTGGGCTCTGGGTGTGGTGTCCACTCTAGTCTCTTCTCCCATGAGTTAATCTTCATTGTTTTATGAAATTATAAGAAGCAGGCTCTGCACAACTGCATTCCTTCCAGAGGAACTTCCCTTAGTTCGGGAAGTGAACCTCAGATAAGGTCCCTTGCCTGTACTTCTGAAGTGGCAGAAGGACAAGAATCTTGCATGGGGGCGTCATAGAGACTTTGGTTCTGGGGCTGCTCCTTTGGTTCAAAGAGGCCAGCAGGTCAAAGCACCATACTTTGAGGCATTGTTTTCTGAACCCCAACATGTGTAAACTGATAACATTAGAGATAGCTGGGTGGAAGATACCTGGAAACTCTCTGTAGTATCTTTGCAACTCTTCCATAAATTTAACATTATTTCAATGTGAAAAATTTTAAAGTAAGAAAATAATGAGATAGAGAATTTTTAAAAGTCTCTTTCAAAAGTTTATAAATAAATGGGACTCAATCATCTAGAAATTCAGGTAATTTTATTTAGGTTATCTAGAAATTGAATGCTTCTATCAACTTCAACTTAATTGGTTGGTTGTATGTCAACTGAAATAGATGAAAGTTTCAGCCCCTTGCATCTTTGGTTGTATGTCTAGGGGAGGTTCATTAACCTCTTGGTGCTTCAGTTCCTCATCTGAGAAACAAGGTATTTTAGTGAGTTCTGGCTGTCATAACAAAACCCCATAGGCTGTTGGACTTAAACAACTGAAATGCGTTTTCTCAGAGTTCTGGAGGCTGGAAGTCTGAGATCAGGGTGCCAGCTTGGTTGGTTTCTGATGAGGACTCTTCCTGGCTTGCTAACAGCCACCTTCTTGCTTAAGGGTCTTTCTGGCTTATGGGAAGGGACAGGGTGAGCTCTCCAAAGTCTCATCTTATAAGGGCACTAATTCTGTCATGGGCACCTATATTTAATCCATTTTCACACTGCTATAAAGAACCACTGGGTAATTTATGAAGAAAAAAGGTTTAATGGACTCATAGTTCTGCGGGCTTAACAGGAAGCATGACTGGGAGGCCTCAGGAAACTTACAATCACGGTGGAATGTGAAGGGGAAGCAAGCACCTTCTTCACATGGCAGCAGGAGAGAAAGAGTGGGAAGTGCCACACATTTTTAAACCATCAGATCTCATGAGAACTCACTCACTATCATGAGAATAGCAAGGGGGAAATTCGCCCCCATTATCCAATCACCTCCCACCAGGTCCATCCTCCAATTGGACATGAGATTTGGGCAGGGACACAAATCCAAACATATCAGAATCCCACTCTCGGGACCCCATGTAAACATGATTATCTCCCAGGGTCCCACCTCCCAATACCATCACATTGGAGATTGGGGGTTTAATTTATGAATATCAGGGAGACATAATTAAGTCCATTGCATGGGAATGTGCATACCAATAAGGCAACTTGTTTCTGCTGAGTGACATTATGTTTACAATGGTCTGTGAAGTTGCTGCCACGTGGCTGCCCTTTACTGAGCACCAGTACTGTTGTGTGGCTATCAGTGTGATTCCCCAGAACCTCTGTCGATATGAACAGTGATCATAGATTTAGTTCAGCATCTCCCTAACAACAAAAGGGTAAGATACTTAACTACATTAAAAAGTGACAGATGACATCACTGTCAGGAATAGATAAAAACTCTTTGACTCTTAATTTAATCCAGACCATTTACTTGACATAAGTAACTTTGCATCCACCAGGAGGAAAGGGGGATCAAAAATCCATCCATGCCAGAGTGATAAGCTCAGGCAGTGCAGGATAGGGGAAAATAATGCCACGTTAGAAAGAAGGATGACACAGCAAGGAAGGCAGAAGGCAGGACCTCCATCCTCACAACAGTGATGGCAGCAATGCCACCAGAATAGAACAGGAAGGTGTTGGGGAACCCTCTCCGTGGAAGGGCATTAGAACTGAATCCTGAAAGATCTGGATCTGAGGGACTCACCGGAATATAAAGGGGACAAAGAAAACACAATGAATACAAAACGGTCTGGAGGCCTGTCCCCAGAGATTTCAGGCTGGAAACAAATCTGACTGGGTTGTTCTATAGGTACACCCTCTGTATTTCTTTGTACATGGTAAAACACTTGGGAACACAAAGCCATCCAGCAGGACCATCACCACCACTTTATTTTGACTGAGCCCCAGCTCCAGAGAAGAAGCTTAGAGCCAGGGCATCTTCCTCCTGGAGACACCCTCTCACTGGCCTCCTCTGTTCCCTGAGCTGTGCATGAAGAAAGGGCTGTAACCAGGAAGTGAGTTTTTGTCCAAAAGGGTTGAATTTCAATGGGTCAAGACTTGGATGTCATAGTGTGTGATGGTTAATATTTAGTATCAACTTGATTGGATTGAAAGATGTAAAGTATTGTTCTTGGGTGTGTCTGTGAAGGTGTTGCCAAAGGAGATTAACATTTGAGTAAGTGGCCTGGGAGAGGCAGACCCACCTTCAATCTGTGTGGGCACAATCTAATCAGCTGCCAGTATGGCCAGAATAAAAGTAGGCAGAAGAATATGGAAAGACTAGACTGGTTTAGTCTCCCAGCCTGTATCTTTCTCCTGTGCTGGATGATTCCTGCCTATGAACATGGGACTCCAATTTCTTCAGCTTTGGGGCTCTTGGGACTTCAACCACAGACTGAAGGCTGCACTGTCGGCTTCCCTACTTTTGAGGTTCTGGGACTTGGATTGACTTCCTTGCCCTTCAGCTGCAGACAGCCTATTGTGGGACCTCACCTTGTGATTGTGTGAATCAATACTCCTTAATAAATTCCCCTTTATAAATACATCTATCCTATCAGTTCTGTTCCTCTAGAGAATCCTGATCAATACACAGTGCCATATGCAGCTTTTATTCCAACGAAGTTAAACCTGAGAAAGAGGCCACACAGTTGGTTCTCCTCTCTGCTCCTCAGAGGAGAAGTCCACTTGCCTTCCTGGTGACTGACAGGCTGTGAGGTTCCTGTTTCATTGTCGGTCACCATTTTTCCACCCCAAACTCAACAACAGGTCGGGACACACAGAAGCTCAGAGAAGTGTGCACGTTTCTACACTGCTGGACAGCTCAATGCTCATGTCCCTGGAGCTCTCCAAGGTTGACCTTCATGTCTCGCAGGAAGGACATTTCAGCCAGCCTTCGTCCCCCATAGAGCAGAGCCTGGGGTGAGAAGTAGGTGCCAGTCCTTCATGAGGTGGTGAGGGTGGTGAGACAAGAACACTGTGAAGCAGAAGTGGTGTGATGTCCAGCATTGCCCCTGCTCCAGGAGCCCCCAGGAGGCCCACCAGCCTCTCAGCAGGTGGCCCTATGGTCCATAGGACTTCTCCAGGAGAGCTGAAGGGAGGGATCACACCTCAGAAAATTCTGGAGAGGGAGGGAGGGGATCTTTGATCTACCTTGCTTCCTCCCACCTCCCTCCACCTTAGAAGAGCTGCCTTATAGGCACTTCCAGGTGTCCCCTCCTTTCCTGGGCAGCGGGGAGCCAGGCCAATGTCCTGGATCATGGGATTGTGTCAGTGTCAAAAAGGAGGCTGCCGAGACACAGGCAGAGCACAGAGCATGAGGGAGAGAGAAAGAAGGGTCGGAGGAGGCTGAGAAGGGTTGCAAGACCAAGCTCTCAAAATGGCCCTAGAAGTGTTTTATCTTTCCTCGTCTTTGGCATTTTAAAAAATGGTCATTCAGGCATGACAGAGCAGGGCTGGGCCAGAATATTCAGCTCACTGAAACACATGTTCGTTTGTTGTTCTGGATAAAGGATGTGAGGTAATGAATAATTCGTGAAGTTTGGTGGAGAATTTGGCCAAATTTTGAAGGCACTGGAAAGAAAAGCATTGTTTCTGCATGTTAGTGAAAGAGTAATGAAGAGCACAGCAGGGCAGTGAGGCTCAGGGGTGAGAAGCCGCCAGGGAAACAGGATCCCTGAAGAGGATGCATGGTCTTGATTATCTGGGATGATGCTGGGGATTCTGAGATGGAACCTGCTCCTTTTTAAGTACCACCTTAGTGCCATCAAAGGAATATGGCTATGAGTGGGTTGAATAACATTTGGATACACTATCTGAATGTCTTAGTACAATTTGCCAGGTCTAAGAGAGAGTACGTTTTCATTTTAGTAATAGCTTTTGGGTTCTCATTTCTCTCTGGTGGCATTATTTATTTCCCTTGGGCTCCTGGTTTAAAATGAAGGGTTCATGGATTGGTCTGATATCAAATCACTAACACAGCAGACACCAAAGTGAAAAGAGAGTCCCAGGAAGGGCAACGAGCCCAACGATCTTGCCTTTTTGATGATTCCCATAAATCCAAGCATTTTGCTAAAATTAAAATGGCAACCTCAAAATCAGGCACAGTGGTAATCTAGAAGCAAAGTTAGTACATTGCTGGAGAAAATAAAGAGAGAAATTAGAAACGAAAGCCCGTTTAGACTGACAAAGGATGGAGAGGGAGAATTCAGAGGAAACAAAGGGAAATTATACATTGTACACATACACACTTAGGATCGGGGACTACAAGGTCACACTGTTACTATGAAAGCAGACTGTTAAGTTTTATGATGCTGGGAGACAAATGCCTTCCAAGAAAAAGTAAAAAATCCCGCTAGGTTTATACAGTCCTAGCCAGCAAAGTTTATGCTTTCAGAAAAATGTGTCTGAAAACAGGGGATTACAATACAAACCATTGTGTACCACCCCCTCCTGCCCTTGAGTTCCATGATGGCTTTCACAGATAGACATAGGAGATATTGAGCTCGAATTCTGCGGTGGACGGGGGTTTCTTTGCCTCTGGTGGAATTCCTTTCCCTCTGAAATGCCCTTATTCTCAAGGACAATTTTCTTTCTCCGTGGTTTATTGTCTGAGCAAGACTTTCTTGTAGGCAAGGAATCTTTGGCTACACTGAGCAGTGCCAAGAACAGTCAACAATAAACAAATAGTCATAACATTCAGCAGCATGTCAGTTATTGGAATGCAAAAGATAATGGTGGAGCAGGCTGAGAGGGCTTTGCATTTCTCTCCCTCCAGCCCTAGAGATTGCTTGCAAGTTTTCCTTCACGTTTTAAAAATATTGGAGCTGCTTCTTAAATATTGTAATGGCCTTTTCCTCCCTCACATTCACTTCGACCCAGATTTCTGACTTAGCTCTAACAGGACACAAAACTGTCATCTCTACCCAGCACTTGCTATGTCTACTCATAGTCCTATTGTTTAAGTTTATTGCCTATTTTTTAGCTGGTATTCTGCATATATCTATTTGTGTTTATGATATGGTCAACTCATAGGTTTTGCTCTCTCATGCTTTGTGTCTATGCTTCTCTGCCAGGCAGCAAACCCTGCAATTTGCTTTTGAATCCTACAACGGAGTACTTGGATGGATGGGGTGGTTGCAGGATGCCTTTGAAGGATACTTGTGAAGGTGGAACCACCGTGGCTTGGAAGCTTCGCAGATGTCGCTGTCTCCAAGGATCAATTGCAAACACAATGACCTGATGAGCAGAGAAATCCCATCTTAGAAAAAAAGAGAGAGCTGAGTCTACAGAGCCGCTACTTAGGAGTCTGACTTCATAATCAATTGTGAAATGTGGAATATAATAGAAATTTAAATTCTATCTACATTATGTTAGGGTTAATAAAAAAAAAGGGCATATATGAGTAGTCTTTAAAAATTCCTTCTCGTGACTCCAGTTAAATAGGCTGAAATGAATTCGTTTAATATGCCTTTCCACATTCTATGTTAGCCATTTTATTCTTTGAATTATCACATACACAACATTCAATACTATTTTTAAAATAAATCCTAGAATCCCACCTCATACCATTTGCTGAGATTTTCCATTTAAGTTTCTTTGATGTGGCCTCTGGTAATGTGGATGTGCCTGTGTGTGGATGTGTGTGTATGTGAGTGTGTGAGAGAGAGAAATAAGTGTGTACAAGTCACCCTGGAACAGCGGGGTATTAAAGGAGCCAAACTCTGCATAGAAAAAAAAATCCATGCATAAATTTTTACTCCTCAAAACCTGAATCACTAATATCCTACTGCTGACTGGAAGCCTTACTGATAATATAAACAATAGATTAATGTGCATATTTTATGCATTCATAACATATCTAACATTTTGTAATTGTAAAAATATTTCTAGGCTACACAATTCATCTGTGAGTTTTTAAAAATTGTTGCAAACCTCCAAAATTGTTCCAATGTATTGATTGAAAAAAGAAATCCACATATAAGAACCTGTGCAGTTGAAACCTGTGATATTAAAGAGACTATTGTACTATGCTTTCAGCATGTGGGCATTTAGTGGGGTTGGTAGGCTGGGAAACTTACTCTAAAGCTTTTGGTGATGTAGAATACACTGGGTATACAGTACAAAACAAAATTACCAGGAGGACTGCATTTCAATAGAGTGAAAAGAATATTCAAAATGTATAAAAGATTTTCAGTAAAGGTCAGCACATTTGAAGAAGTAGGTAAAAACTTAGATAAATCTTATATAATATTTACTCAGGATAGATGATTAATTTTTTTGTTTCTGAATAAACTTTATTTTTAGAGCTATTTTAGGTTTATAGAAAAATTACACAGAAAGTACAGAGTTCTCATATACACCACCCCGTCCTCTACAGTTCCCCTTTTATTATTAACAACGTGCATGAGTGTGGTATATTTGCAACAACTGAGGAATCAATATTGATGAGGCAGTTTGAGTAGAGCCTCTGACCTGGACACCTAAGAGTTCCCTGCAGAATGGCTGACTTAGGATCTGAATCTGGGTTCACCTTCTTTTGCATCTATGGGAATGATAGTCTACCTTGTTTTATTTGACTTTCTTCAAATTGAAGCCTTCTTCTAAAGCAAACTCATGGAGGTTGTCTGCAGGCAGAAGGTGGCTGAAGAAGCTCTTCTCGCAGTCCACTTCCAGGAAAGACACTAAAGGAGAGGAAGAACCAGGGCTCCCCTTTTTATTACTCTCATATCCTCAGCAAAGGCTTGGTGTGAAATCCGGAACTGGGTGCTGTGAAGGCAACTATGAATTACTGGGAAAGAGTACAAACTATTTTGTAAATGCATTTACACACCTTTTTTTTTTTTTTTAACAAAAATACATAGTTTGAAACATGCCAATTCAACCCAGCAGAATTGCTGACTGCTGACAGTGCACGGTCTGTGACTTCACAGACCTATAGGTCTTATGAGCTCAGATTTCTGAAAATATGTTTTTATTCATCTGAACAGCCTTTACTCAGAAATAGGAATTGAGGGAGAAATGTCAAAATGGAGAGGACATTAAGTGTTTGCTAATATATTTGACTTTAGTTTCCTTGGATTCAATTTGGCAGCATGTATTTAACTTAAAACTCCCTTAGTTGTTTCTAAGAATAAATGGAAAGAAAAAATTCCCTTGGCAGAGAGAGAGATTAAATGTGTGAGACCTGGAGTGTGTTGGGGTGGTCGGGGGATGGCCAGCACTGGCTCTGCCTCCGCAGTGGGATGATCACGACTCGACTTTATCTGTCTGGGTTGCCATTCATTTTAATTCTAAAATGAGGCCTTCTAGCTCTAAAGGTAACAATTGTATCTGCAGTTAAATAATTCTTAGTGCATGATCATAGGAGGACCAGAAATATAATTTTTCTTGAAGTCAAATTAAATTCAACTTCAAGTTAAATCCATGTATTTGTTCAGAAAATTGTTGAATTGCCCTTAATATTTCATCTATTGCAATGCCACACCAGGTATCTTCATAGCACAATCTCCACAGTGTTGACATCTTTCTGGGGAGAGAAGGTTGAGGAGGAGAGGGACATCTGTGCTTTGGAAGCATCATCCACTGTTCATCTCTTGGAGACGCTGTGATAGTGAGTAACTTGTTATCACAGTTGTCATCGACTTCATTGGGCAATCTGTTAACTAATGGTATTTCAACTGCTTTTCCTGAGGAAAGAAAAGAGAATTAGATCAGTGCCAAAAAAAGTGGGCTTTTTGTCTGTTTCTTTTAAAAATTTTTAAATAAATTGCTTTCTTTTCTCCTCCTTAATCAGTGTTTCTCAACCCTGGAAGCATGTCAGAACCACCTGGAGAGCAATAAAAATACCAATGACATCATCTGGGCCCAGGCCAACTAAATCAGACTCTCAGGGGAACAGGGCTGACTTTTTTTCCCCCCTCTTGAGGGCGGGGGCCTGTTTTTGTTTCAGTTCTTTTCAGTTCTTTCCCCATAGAAAGAACTTGTGCTGCTAGTTGTCCAGAGACCACACTTTGAGCCACTGCCTCCTCAGTGACTTTTAAGGCAGTAGTTCTAAAGTGTGGTCCCCAGACAACTAGCAGCACCAGTATCTCCTGCCCAGGAAGTGCCAATTTCCTCCCAGCCCTGCTGGCTGAGAAGCTCTGGGTGTGGGTCCAGCAGTCTGTGCTGTAAGGAGTCCTCCAGGTGCTGCTGCAGTGGGCTGAAGTCCGAGAACCACCCATCTAAGGTCTATGGCTTCAACTCTCCCGTCTCAAGTGCAGTCTCAACTTTCTCTCTCTACCTTCGTTCAGCTGGCTCCAGGTGTGCATCTAGGTGTCCCAGCAATGCCTTGTATTCATGTCCAATACAAGACCGAGTCTTTGCTTGTTGTTACTTAACATGCTCCTCACCATGATTCTGAGGTTTAGGCTCAACAACTGACAGCTGTCTTCAGTTTCACCTGGTTTCCTTCGCCTGGCAATTGATCTGTCCCTGAGCCTGTGTGCCTCTCCCTTGCCCTCCCCTTTGCCACGGTGCTGGCTGTGCTCTTATTATCACTCTGCCATGAGCTCCCACTGCCATGAGCTCCCACAGAAACCCTTCTGGAGAGGAGGAGGACTCTTTCTTCATCTCTCCAGCTATCATCCTTATCATCTTTGTTGCTTTGTTCCAAAAAACCTTCAGTTCTCATCAAAGCCCTCTGCCTGTCTTAGCACCATAGATAGACCCATTACTTCACAAAAATTAGTACCAGATACAAGTCCTTGTCTCTCATCTGATCTGGTGACACCTATCCCCACCAAGTTGCTTTGCTGTATGCCCTCCTCAGACCCCAGAGGCTGGCAGCGTGAGCCGCCCTGGGCTTCCTGCCTCTACAGCTGGCATCACATCACAGCTTCTGCTGGAAGCTCCCTCCTGAGGTCTATCCTCATATCTGTCATCTATCCTTCAAGAGTCGGCTAAATTTTGACTGCCTCCCACCCAGCAGGAATCACTTCCTCATTTGTGTTCCTGTAGGATTTTCTTCATAACATTTATAACACTTGACACATTAATATGAGTCTAGCTTTTTTAATGACAAACAGGACCTAAACTTAGAAGCGCATTCTCTCTCTCACCACCCAAGCTTCAAACATGGGTTAAGTGTTGGCTCATTTCTTTCTCTCCTTGGATTACTCCTTGACCTTTAACTTCTTTAGCCTTCTGCTCCTATCATCTGCTTGGATGTCCGTGGCATCAGTAAACACACATAAGCAAAGCTTTGTCAGGGGCCTCTCCAAACAGATTCCCTATAGATTTTTTTCCAATTTTCTTAATGGTATTACCACTGTCAATGATTCAACGTGAATCCTTGAAGGTATTTCTGACATACACCCCTTCCACTCCCATATCTATAATTTGCTCCGAAGTGTTGATTCTTTCATTTATTTTTTTATTTTTTGAGACTGAGTCTTGTTCTATCACCCAGGCTGAAGTGCAGTGGTGCCATCTCATCTCACTGCAACCTCCGCCTCCCAGGTTCGAGCGTTCTCGTGCCTCAGCCTCCTGAGTAGATGGAATTATAGGCGCCTGCCACCACATCCAGCTAATTTTTGTATTTTTAGTAGAGACGGGGTTTGACCATGTTGGCCAGGCTGGTCTCAAACTCCTTACCTCAATTGATCCACCTGCCTTGGCCTCCCATAGTGCTGAGATTACAGGCATGAGCCAGCATGCCCGGCTTGTTTTATTCTTTATGATAGGAATTTTCCTCCTTAGTCAACAACCTAGTTGATCTCTTATACATTTATGCCTGCTAAATGTGGAGCAAACAGGCTGGAGCAAGTCTTTGGGCAAGGATGACCTTCTCCTGTGTTCTCCACTGTGAGTGCTAAAACCTAATGCCATAGGCAGGACCCATGACAACTATAGCACTGTACAGAAGGGACAACTGTTAAGAACCTAAGGAAGACAAATGAAGATATGCTTATGAATGATTACCCCACATTAGGGAATGAGCATGGTGCACATTTTACTTCCGTTCATAAACAAGAAATTAACTTCACTGTCTTTTGCCTCACCTCTGGACACATTCTTAGCTTCTCAAATCTCCCGTCTCACCCTTGAACACTTTGTCAAACAGGTTTCCCATCTTTTCCATTAGTTTCAGTAGGACATGCTCATTTTTTAGCAATTTAGAAAGTTGAGACTGTTTCCTGTTTCAATTTCTCATAACACCCAAGGCATACATCCTTCCCTATGGAGAGACCATCACCAGCTTGACAATTTGGAGCAGGAGGATGCCAGCCTGCCTGGTTTTCCTCGCTCCTCCTTTTGGGTGGAGGTCAGGACTTGGAAAGTGGAGACATAAAGGGTTAGAAAGTCTTTCTGGATGAGGCAGCAGCTATCTGGGTTAGTGCCATGTTCCTGGCAAGGAGGGGGGCATGCTGGCTCTGTCTCTCTTTCTCTCATGGTACCTGTAGAAACCTCACAGACCTGCTGTCCACTCAGCCTGTGGTTCCCTGGCAAAGTCTGAGCTCTGCTCCTACGCTTGATTGTGGCACCCTGTGCCTTCTGTTCCAGGATACCCCAAAGTTCCTTTCTGATAGAATTGCATCCCCTGGCAGGCAGGGTTCTTGGCAGGGCCTTCCACATTATGCAATCCTATCTATTTCTGGAAGGATCTTCTTGGGCCATGGGACAGGTCAGTGTCATGCCCCAACCACTGGCACAAGAACTCCCCTCAACTGGCCAGCAGGGGCTGCTCCTACCTGCCCAGATGAGAGTCTAGTGTCAATGTTGGTCTCCTACACGCTCTGGGAGGTGCACAGTGAATGCTCTCCCCAGAGAACTCCCCTAGGGCTTCGCAGGGAGCTTCTGCAGCTCAGAAAGCCCCCAGCAGGGGTGAGGGTAGGGAGATAGATGTGAGTCTTCATTCCAGCAGATCACCTTTGCTCTCTGATTTTTTCTCTCCAAGACACTTGTTTGTTTTGATGTGAGAAAGGAATGTAGAGCATTCCAATAACTTTGCCTGATAAATCCTCAATCTTTTTCTCACTGTAAATCATTAACATTCTCTATTATACTCTGGACGTGAGTGAATAGTCTCAGAACCAGGTTTGGGCCACCACATGTACTGTATGCACAGTTCTGCATCTCTTTTCAGAATGTGGTATGATTGAGACATGTTCTTCTCAGCTTTGATGACTCAGGTGAGACCAGAAAAAACAAAATTTAACATCTGGCTGCACAGTTAATTGTAGCAATATAGGTATATATATATATAGGTGTGTGTGTGTGTGTATATATATATATATATATATATATATGTATAATGTGACTTAGAGTAGCAAGTTCAAATCCAGATCAGAGCTAACTTGCTCCAGAACTGACAGAAGCTCCATAGCCTAGGTAGTATCTGTCTCGTTCAGTCCAACTGCCTCTTCTCCCACAATGGCCATGTTTCATGGTCTCATCCACTTTCTGTTCTCTTATTTTTCTCGTCAAGCCTCCCGTAGCATGGGAAGTTTCCCGTGTGCCTCTGTATGTGCACACATGCTCATGTACACTTAGTGTACACTTAGCTGGGCATATAATCTCAGATTTTGCAAATTTACTTGATCAATGTTAAAATTAAAAGGGGAAATTGTAGTCAGTTTTGTTCACAGGGCAGTTTTTCTTCTTCTGTTAAGCTTTACAAAAATATTTATTATCAGTGTGTAACTCCTCTCCCAATTCGCAGCTTCCTGGGGCTTGTATTTTTAAATTATTTTAATAACATCCTGGTGCACAGTGCTCTCTGCATTTTCTGCCTGAGCACCCTGGGAAGGCTTAGGAGGGTCCCAGGGGGAATCAGAGCCTGGAATCTTCTTTTCCCAAAGCCCCATTGGTTGGTGTTTAAATAGTAACTAATTTCCTTTTGTCTCTAGAAGTTCCATAGGCAGATTGCCAGCTGCCTTAGGTCTGCAGCTCTTGACTTTGCCAACCTTTAAGACATTGACTAAGCATATTAGATTAAAAAGGAAAACTCTCTCTTCCCATTATTTATAATTACTATGTTTCCAATTCAGTTTCTGTAAATATGTGTCATTAATATTGAACAAATTCTACATTAAATTAAAATGAACATATTTCATTTTACTTATAATTTACAACCATGCTTATTTCTTAATTATTTTACTTTGAATTACTAGATCAGGTTTCCAAGTTTAGCCCCGTGTTAATTTGCACAAATGGCTGGAGGTGGTCTGGGGAATTTATAAAAAGCTCAACCGTTTTGCTATCCACAAGGTGAACATGTTCTTTGCAGTAGAAGAAACCGAACTCTTCTATTTTTGGTCACTGAAACATCCATATTAAAAAAACAATTTTAAAGGAAACCGTTTAAATGCAAGTCAGCAAACACATGAAAAGAGTCTCCCCAAAAGGATAGATTAATTTAGTTTTATTCCAGGAGGGCAGCAGAACGAATCACAGGAAGTGTCACTGACATGGGTGTTTTCTTCTTTGGCGGAGAGGCTGACCAAGAATCGCCTGGGGAAAGCACCTCTAAAAAGAAAGAATTCATCGGGACGTTGACAGCTAGAACTCAAACCGTATGTGGTCGCCATCTTGTCGCCTCACTCCATATCCTTCATTTTGGTTCTTCGTTCCCAGCGGAAGCCTCAGCCTTCCTTGGAGGACTTTTTGAAAAGGTTTTCCGTTCTGCAATTTCACACTCACATTTTGAAAGAACATATAGTTGAATCTCGATTTCTTAATTAACATCAAGAGTGAAATAATACCTCCTGGATGAGTATTACTCTTCTTCCCTTATCCAGGTACCATTTCTGAGTTTGGAGTGAGGTCATATAACATTTCAGTGCAAATTTAAATTTTAAGTATAAAGCAAGAATGTTTTTAAAGTATTTGCATTAAGCTTCAAAAATACATGCATGGCAATTGTTTCTGTTTAAATAAATGCTTTAATGTTGTCCATTTGTCGGATATCTTTCTTCTGTACCATCCTTTCCTCTTTATTGATTTCTTTATCCTGGTTCACTTAAAAAATTCGTGTGTTACAGGACGGGGAACATCACACACCGGGGCCTGTTGTGGGGTTGGGGGATGGGGGAGGGATAGCATTGGGAGAAATACCTAATGTAAATGACGAGTTAATGGGTGCAGCAAACCAACATGGCACATGTGTACATATGTAACAAACCTGCACGTTGTGCACATGTACCCTAGAACTTAAAGTATAATAATAAAAAATTTAAAAAATTCATGTGTTAAAAGAGGTATTAAATGATATATTTCCTATTTTATTTATGTAATTTTTAATTAATTTTGGCTGTTGCACATGTATGAGGGTTAGTTGAGTGTTGAACTCAAGAGTCATAATCATTTTCCCTTAGAATTAGGTAAATATGGCTGCACAGACATCTAAACCAATTTGATTCTGGTTTCTTTGCAGGAAAATTGTCTATTCCAAGTAGATGTAGGTTTTATTTTCTTTATATTAAATAGTCCCTCAGTGATGTTTAATTGAAATTCAGGAGTCAAACCATGGAATTGGTACCCAAGCAGTACCTCAGAATCTTTCTTAACATAGGCAACCACTATCAATCAGTAATAATTGGTGCACAAGATGAAAGCTATTTTCTACCTCTTCTCTAAATAATAGGAGGTTTTTAAACTAACTTTCTAATTCATTAATTAGATTTTTGTGGTAGCTTGTATGTTATTTACTTCTATTACATTTTAAACTTTGGAAGTCAGATTTTTATTTCCCAGAATGCTTTGTTTCTTCCATATTGTTTTGTGCTCATGGCAGGGTTAGCATAGTGGTTTTAATGTTTTAAGTTTTTCTATTTTCCCTCTAAATTTATAGGGTCTCACTCCTGTAATTCAGGTGGGAGTGCATTGGCATGTTCCAGGCTCACTGCAGCTTCCACCTGGCAGGTTCAAGAGATCCTCCAGCCTCAGCCTCCTGAGTAGCTGGGATTACAGGTGTGCACCACCACAACCAGCTAATTTTTGTATTTTTAGTAGGGTATTTAGTATTTTTGTATTTTTAGCAGTTTAGTTTGCTTACATTCATTGATGAAGACATTAACAATTGACAGCACTCCTTTGGTGATGCATTGAGTGTACCCTCCCCCAAACCTGGGTGAACATGACCAAGAAGAATTTCTGCTCACTCAGCTCATCTTTGGTCCTCAGACACCTGGATCCAAGACCTTCTCATGGGCCCTGGAAATTCGGGGGCTGAGAGGCACTGCCCCTCTTTCTACAGAGGCTTCCCAATAGCGAGTAGGTTGTGACTGCTCAGTCTTCTGCCAAAGCTGCTCCACGTTTCAGGCACATAACTACACCCTCTTTATATTTTACAAATTCGATAATTTCTTTTCATGTTGCATTGGTTTTGACACTTCAGCAAGAAATTGGGAGACATAAGGATTTCCGTGCATGGCTTTATACATTTTTGAGGGTATTTTAAAATTATCCTTTAAGGCTTTTTAAAACCTAGTGCTTTAGAATCCCCATTTATATAATAATGTTCATATGATTAGCTATGATAAATTGAAATGTCACTAGAGCTCTTTTCTCATTCCACATCAGAGTAATGTAAAATATGAAGTCTATTTGTCTTTGGGTTGGAATTTAAAAATTTAGTGCTCTATAGTCAGTTAGCTTTCATCTACGACCTCCAAGTCGATGTGCCTGTTTTGTAGATTATCCCTTAACAAATATGCAGGAGATAAAATTGGAACAGTTATTGCTATTTCTCTCTTAAAATGTGGGACCAAGGATGGAGTGATGTCTGCCGCTTTGCCGTGGTCATGTGGTGGTGTGTCTGGCCCACTGATCAAGTATCTGTCCACCCAACTATGATGACTTCATTTTTTACCCAACTTTCTCTCCTTCTCCACCCAATTTTAGCCTTTTGGGCTTCTGTGTACACATACACTGCCTTCACAGCACTCTTAAATGACTACATCCCATTGTGTTTGGCTACATGTGAAGATCATGGTAGATTTCAGATTCTTGAAGATGAAGGATCTTCAATTCTCTAAAACAGCAATCCTAAAAATTAAAACACCATTTTAGAAGACAGACACATTCTCCGAGTACAACAGAATGTTTTTAGGCAATTATTGATTACATTTCGTAAGTAGAATTTTGCTACAATTTTTGGGAAATTGACATTGAGTCTATGCCCAAATTATAAAGTATTGCCTTTTCTACTAACAGCTTCAACAAAGTTCTGTTTTATTTGAGTTCCAAACCACCTTTATGCTGTGTTTGAAGTGCACTTAAAAGTAAAGAAGGAGCTGGCATGGCAGGAGGGGTGGAGATCTATAAGCCAAATCGGCAGATCTATAGCTCATCTGCACCTCTGCAGAAATCTACAATGCAGACACTCACGCAGAGGTAGCTTCTGTACCAGCAAAGCAATCAGACTGATCAATTAGAAGGAACAGAATCTAAACCTTTGACCAGTAAAACGGTATGTACTTGAATAATAACAAATGAATTTGGTAAGGTAACCTCAATCTAATTTGCATATAAATAATCATGTGATTCTAAAATATTAGGCTTTTACTCTATTTAAATCATATACAAAGAGAAAAAATAAGGAAATTCTTCAAATATCTTATTAGCAAAGTCAAATATTGATAACATTCAGACTTCTTTAAAAATAAATAAACCTTGGCATTGGCTGCCTGGAAAATCACTCCAGGACTAATAATATTTCAGGAAATATATCTCAGCTTATGTTAAGCAAGAGATGTAAACTGTGTGACTTACTTCAGCTGCCTGGGATTGATTAAAGTGTAACCAGTTGCAAATATAATAGGTTCCTATGGGTGTGCCCTAAGTATAAAACTAATGTTGGTTCAAAGCATTTATTCTGGGTCATCGAGCCAACATCAGCCATGAGGTCTAGAAAGATCACTGGATGGTTACTCTCCACTACTTTTAAAAGATATTTTTCCCCTTGATGACAATGAAAAGTAAAAGAATCATTGTGTCTCAGCCTTTTCACACTACTATAGCAAAATGCCTTAGATTGAGAAATTTATAACTAATAGAAATTTATTGATCACAGTTCCGGGGACTGGGAAATCCAGGACCAAGGTACCAGCAGATTCATTGTCTGGTGAAAGCGTACTCTCCTTCAAAGATGGCACCTTCTAGCTATGTCTTCACATGGCAAAAGGGATGAACAGACTCCCTCAAATCCTTGTATAAGGGGAGTATTCCCATTCATGGGGCCAGAGCCCTCATGACCTAATCACCTAATAAAGACCCTACAACTTAATACTACTGCGTTGGGAATTAAGTATGAACATGAATCTTGGAGAGACACAAACGTTCAAACAATAGCAGGGTGGAAAATCTAGCTTAAACTATTATTGGAAGTTAAATTACTTGATCTATTAAGAATGCAACATCTTTCCTCCTAGCAATCTCTAAAATTAAGGGTGGGAGATAATATGGTTATCAAAGTGAAATAAATGTCAACAGGCATTAAAATAAATTTCCATTTCTCCCATATCCAAATTGTATCTTCATTTTCCATTTGTGAAAAACTCTCTCTCTGTCTCTCACACATACACATGCACAATACATTTTTTTTTTACAAAAGATAACTAAATGGACACCACAAATTATAAAATAGATGACTATAACCAAAGCAACAATGATTACAATGACCAAAAATGAACACACTCATACTATGTTGTAATAGTGACAGATTTGGCCCAGTAACTTGCCCTTGTAGCAGTTCTTTTATTTTCTGTGATAATTGACTTACATGTTTTTTGACTTTGAGACCTTGTAGGATTTCAAGTTCACTTTCCTTTCTTTTCCTTCCTTTCCCTTTCCTTCCCCTCCTTCCTATCCCTTTCCTTCCTCTCCTTTTTGCTTCCTGTCTTCCATCAGTTTCTTCTTTCAAAAAAAATATGTGTTGGATCTCTAACGGGAGGCGGGAAACTCGCTGTACTCTGGGGATGCAGCGCAGAGTCCACTGGGATGCGTCTGCAGGAGTGCGCAGCAGTGAGCAACGTGACTGAGTAAAATTCTGGGAGGACACATAAGAGAGGGAGTTACGTTTGCCTGTGTACTCTGGAAAGTTTCAAGAGCCTAATACTTAAAAAAATGTGTCCTGAAATTGCAATTTATATTTTACCAATAAAGAGGGAGTAGAAAGCTGAGCAACCGGAAAAGCGAGTGGGAGTGTGCAGAGCCGGTGCGCGATTCTGCAAACAGAGCTGCTTTCCGGGGCGAGCAGCTCCTGGCATGTCTAGGGGAGGAGGTCCCTTTTGGGATGTAGCTTGAGGTAAGATTTAGAAGGATTTTAAAGGCAACGATAAAAGGATTGACATTTATTTTGAAGACAGTGGGGCCATGTCACATTTCTGAGAAGGGGACTTTATGAGCTGATCTGTGTTTTCAAAAGGCAACTCCCATCATGAGACTGGTAATAAATCAGCAGGGACGTGTCTGGAAGCTTTATTGTTTTATCTTGCACATTGAATTCTGTGGTCCAATTAAATCAATTTTTGTCTTTGGCATAAGTTAGAGGTCAAAATTCATTTTTTCAATGTAGATATCAGATTCACCTAGCGCTACCTATGGAGATTCTAAGACTTATCCCACTGATTATCAGTGGTTTCTTCATCACAAACCAGGTCACCATGTGGTAGGTTGGTTGCAGAAAGATCCTAATAAGTCTCCCCATATCTACTCCTTCAGTTCTATAATTTTTACTTCTCTCCAACTCTGCCTTGGACTCAGCCATGTGACTTACATTAACCAATTGGATGCGAAGAAAATCACATCAACGTACACTAAATTTCCATGTGCCTTTTTGCATAATTGGGCTTGCTGGGTTTTGGCTCTCTGCATTTACCGTGATGACATGTGTGGAGGGACTGAGGAATGTGAGAGTCCCGTGGATGAGAGCCCAGTTGTCTCAGCCATTGCAACTGAAACCATCATAAACTGGTCACAGCCACTGACCCCAAACATGTCAGGCAGCCCAGCCTCCATCAGCAGAGGCACTCACCAGACCTGCAGCTGACCACAGGTGAGACCTGCAGTTGACCACAGATGCCCAGGTGAGAATAGTAAAACTGCCCAGCTGACCACTGATGCATGAGCAATAACAAATTTACATTGTTTTAAGGCATCTGAGGATAGTTTCTAAAACATCATTATCATGACAATAGGTAATTAAGGCAGAACTGCTATGCAGAATTGGGGTGCTGGTGCTACTATAACAAAAATCGAAGATTCCTGTCTTTGCATTGTGGTCAAGGTTGGAGGAAGTGGAGGAAAATTGAGTCTGGAGTTATGGTGACCCATGTCATGTGGTGGTGGAACAAATCGTAAAGCCCTCATGCTTGCTAACTTGGGAGATAGCAAATGTACCTAATAAACTTTTTGATTTGAACAATTAAATTTTGAAGCAGAATGTTGAATGTTCAGCTGGCTCTTAGAGCTAAGTATAATAAGGTATTGCAAGAAAGAGATGAGCTAGAGGAAGAATGGAGCATTTTGCAATTAGAATTTAGAGGGAATATGGAAGAGCCAGAATTTTCAAATTTGGGAGAGAAACTTGTTTCTCATCTCCAGTATTTCCATTAGGTTAAAAAGGTCCTCAGGATAAAATCTCAGCTATGAGTGGAGACTAAATTAACAACATATTTGCAAAATCTTTTCTGATGACCTCAGCACATCCTCTCAGCTAGACAAAGGGATTTTACGTATCAGTATAGTAATCAAAATTGAAAATGTAACATTGATTCAATACTATTTTTCATCCATATTTCATATTCAAATTTTATTAATTTTCCCAATGATGTTTTCTGTAGCTACATTTCTTTTTTATATGCCAGGATCCAATTCAGAATTTGACATTAAATTTAATTGCCATGTCCAGTTTGTCTCCTTTAATCCAGAAAATTTACTCAGCTTTCATCTTTTATGATTTTGACTTTAAGAATTCAGCCCAATTACTTTGTAGAATGTTCCTCAATTTGGGTTTGTTGCATGTTTCCTCCTGATTGAATTCAGGTTATGAGGTCATGCTTTTCTTTTCTTTTGGCAGGAATATTAAAGAAGTGATGTTTCCTCCTCAGGGTGTCATAACTGTAGGCAGATGATATCAGTTTGTCCTATTATTGAGGATATTAAGTTGGATCACTTGGTTAAGGTTGTGTTACGTTAACCCATCCTAAAGTTTTTATTCCTGTTGTAAAAAAACAAATAACAGTGAATGTATGTAAATATTACTATTTAGCAAACTCACATTCATTATTTTCTGTGTCCAGCAAAGAATGCTGCCTGGATCAATTGTTATAGTACCATGGTGAAACTGTGTTTTCCTCACCATGCATGATGCCATTCAGAGTTGTTGGCTATATATTACAAATCAGTTCTAATTTAAGCAGGAAAGAGACTTATTTAGGCATACTAGAGACCGTCAGAGTGTGTCACAGAAGGCCAGAGAACCATCCTTTGCTGGAACACCCATGTGGCACAGCAGGACTGCCCCAGCAGAGGAACACCGAGCTGTGGGCACAGCCCCTGTAGATAACACTGAGAGCGCTGGGCCTGGGTGCTATGGCTGGCCTGGCAGAGTAGGTCTCCGCCCTTACCCTCACCACAATGGATGCTGCAAAGCACCTGCTTTTTAGATTCTCTGGACTCTGAACAGAAGCCTCACTCATGCCTATTCAAATATGCTTATTGTTGGAGCCAAGGTCACATGCTTGCACCTTAGCTGCAAGGGAGGATGCGAAGTGAGAGCTGGTTTCTTCCTTATGAGGGCAGAGCATCATCTCACAACATGAGGAATTCACAACCACTGGAGAGAAATGTTAGGAAGATTTAAAAACTTGATAATTTTTAGCAGTAAAGCTTTTCTCTTCCTTCCTTCTTCTTTCTTCTTTTTCTTTCTTTCCTTATTTTTTCTAATATTACCTTATATGATATTAAAACAGTTTTTTAAATTCTCTTTTACTTTCTTTAAGTTTATTCATACTTACATAAATAGGATTTATTCTAAATTTTTTCAACAGTGTCAAAAATTATTTAGGTCCTGTATCCTCCTTCCACAGCAGGACAAGGAACATGGTATTCGTTAGCTATTAACTAAAGAACCACTCAACCTGTTGTATAGAATTTTAACCGCAACTGTTTAATACACAAAAGTCAAATTTAGACACAGAATTGGTTATATGAACACATAGATGTTAGTAAGGTCTTTACTGGGCATACTTTCGTAATCCACACCATGCCTCCATAGGCACTTTGCTTTTTTTTTTTTTTTTTCTTAATATGTAGTCCTTCCTTTCAATGTAGAAAGCTTGTAAACTGTCTTAAATAAGACTGAAAATGTCTTTATTGCATCATAAATTCTAATGGTCATGGATTAGAACATCATTCAATATTGATTTTCCTCCCTCAGGTACCCTGAGCATACTTCATTGATTTCTTCATCAATTTGCCAGTGATGTGTCTGCGGTTATTCTTACAGATATTTCTTTTCAAAACATTTTTTATAACTTTTACTTTTTTTTCTTTAACTTGCTGTTCTAAATTGTACTAGCTTATGTCCCAATATGGATTTTTTTCTTAACTCACTCTAAACTCAAATTGAGTGTCCTACAGAAAAAGCAGAACTTTTAAGTTGGAAAATAGCCATTAACTTTTAGACTATTCACTTCTGTGTCATTGTCTTTTCATCTTCTCGAGCTGCCACTGAGAGTGTTTGGAGTCTCTCAATCTATCTTCTGTATCTCTTAGTTTTCCTTATTTTAAAAATAAAATCCCTTCTTGGCGTCTTTCTCAGTGCTATCTTACTACGTGGTAATTGTTTGGGGAGCTCAACTGTATCTTGTTCTCCACTCCCATCTCCAGTTTGACTGCCTAAATGTTAAGGTTCAGAGAGATTCATTTCCTTATGGATTCATACATTCATGCATTTACACATGCTTTCAAGAAGAATTCATTGAGTATTATTGGCACCGTGCTCTATGCTGAGGGTGACTGTTTCAAAGGTTTTTAGGTTAGAAAATTGACTTTTTTTTTTTTTTTACGTATTTTTATTATCCTAGTTCAAGATAAGGAAAGTGTGATCATTGATAATGTAAGTCTCAGGATATCGTTCTTAAAATGTATTAAATTTAAATTCCAGAAATTGGCTATTGATAGAAAACACAATAGCCATCTGTAAGTAAGATGTTCTGACATCTTACTCGCTGTGAATAGGTGTATGATACCTTCTTCCTGTGGGTCATCTAATGATACAGTCCCATTAATTTTTACACAATGAAAAAATTCAGGCCACCTTCAGTTGTCTTTTAGTTTTTTTTATTTATACAATAGAAGTAATTAATATTCTTTTTAGGTAAATGGCTATGGTTAAGTCTTTTGAAAAGAATGACAGGGTCTGCTTTTTTCCTTCCTGTGTTCTTCCTCCCCTTCTTCTTTCTTTCCTTCCTCTGTCTGTTTTTCTTTTTCCTCCTTTCATCATATGTATATTACCTGTATGGTACTAGCGGCTAGCAATCCTCACATCAGAAATATATAGTCCAGGTATCCAGGACTTCAGAGTCTCTAGAACAGCAGAGTTATGGTTAGTCTAACCATAGCAAGTTGACTGCTGTACCATTGTGGAAGTGAGACTGGAGAGGCTCAACTCCAAGGCTTCTCTATAAATCAAAGAAACTCTACAGAAGAGGTGACGATAGAATTGAAGCTTTAAGACAGGCAAATAAGAGAAAGGAAATGGGGCGGAATTTTAGCATAAGCAGCAGACAGAAAGATAAATTGAATTCAAACCCCGGGTTTGCCTTTGATTGGCTGTGAATTTAACGAGTCACTTAGTGATTACTATAAGATTCTGTTTCCCTATTTGCAGCATGGGTTAATGACAATATCTGCCTCAGCTGGCTTATTGTGAGGAGTACACCAGACAGAACACACAAAGAACTTGGCACAGTGCCTGGTGAAGTGGGAGCCCTCTCCAGGGATGAGCAGCTACAACTTTTAGTTGTTCGAGATGGGCCGGTGCAAGTGTTGCTTCCTTTTACTGTCAAAACACCAATACTCCACTGCCTGCATCAACTTTGCTGAGGTCCTGGAGCTCATTGGAATAATGGTATGCCCCCTGCCTCCAAGCATTAAGTGCCCTGTTATGATCACTGACCACTACTTTTCTGGGAAACTATCCACTCATTTGCCAGCAGCCCTCATCAGCTCCTAGAAACCAGGTGCTTCTGCTCAGCTTCCTACTGGGACCAATGAAGCAATGGAGCGAAGGTACAGGGATGACCGGTCAGATGCTGCTGCCCATGGGGAGAAGCACATGCCCTGGGGGCCTGATCATGAGGTGTCCAGTGTCAGAGCCCCTTGTTGGAGGGAGTGCAGAGAGCATGAAGTCAACCATCCTCCGATGGCTTTGCTCTGTCATCTTCAAGGACTTTGCACAGACCCTGATCAGAACAGAAGCTGCTGAGGCTGAACATGTGCTCATGGACTTAAGTGACTCTGAAACATCTTGACCACTCCTCCTACTCCTGGAAGTTATCCCAATGGCAGGAAGTAACTTTAAGATCACTGTGATTAACATGTAATCAAACAATCAATTAATCAACCAAATAGAACTTGCTTTGGCATTACCTTCTAAAGGAAACAAAATTGGTAACTTTGTTGAATGATTCAGAGCAAACAAGTAAAGTGCTTTGATAAAATCTGAACCCAGTTTGAAGTTAGAGGACATTCCCATTATTTTACTGAACTTCTGATTTATTGTGAGGTGAGAGAAACCTGTGTTTGTTTAGGGTCCCTTTATTCCTCATTCTGAGAATAGATCAGAATGCAAGAAAATCCTGGTCTGCATAGAAAAATACCTGAAGCAAGAGAGTGACACAAACTACTTGCATGGAATCCTTGGCAAAGAGTATATATGTGAGCAGGGGCTACCCTCAGGAATCTCCTTCCACCAAACCCCTAAGACACCCTAGACCACTGGCCCAAGTTTAAACTGTGGAAGTCTGGGAATAGCTCTGTCACGCTTTTTCTTTCCTTTAGAAAAATATTAACCTGAACACTCTATTTCCTAAAAGGCAAATACTCCATATTCCATCTTTCTCTCAATTATTGTTAATAATTATCGAGTACTTGCTTATTGGGCCATCCTTTGACCCAGCAGAGGGAATCTAGGGTCCATTTGCCATCCTGCTGTTGCTGTCTAAAGCAAATATTGAGAATGCTTGGATGCGAAATGGGGAGAGTTGTTAGACTTTAGGTAAGGAATCAACAACATTTGAACTTAATAAGAAATTAATTAATAAATAATAAAACTATATTTCTCACCTGAGCTCCCCTTTTCTCTTTACTGAATGGTGCAAAAGGTTCAGATATGCTAGGATCAAGAATAAAACAGCATGTGTCACTGACAAGAAAAAACAAGAAGGAAAACGTAGCCAAATGCACCAGAGAAAGCTCTTTATCTGTTTACAGTAAAGCTAATAAAGGGTTATACAGGGTGGGGGTGAAGGAGATCTGCTCCTGATTCCCGTCATGAGGGAGAGGGAAAGATGAGAATGAGTACTGAGTCACCCAGGATCAGGCCAGGAATTACTGTGTCAAGTTCTGTCTTAAGCTTCAAAACAGAGGAAAGAGGCAGTGAGGGAGAACCAGACTGATGACCACAGCCTGCATCTGGAAGACTGAGGCCAGACCCAGCACCCACACCCCCATCCAGAGGCCCCTGCAGGCCAGACATTCCGTAGGCCAACAAGGAGATGCAGGTGATTTCAGGTACATCTCACCCAACAAATGCTTCTGTGCCACCTGCTTGCTTGGACCCCTCTCACCTGGGCTTTCATTGTAGAAGAAATTATAAATGTATCTTGCCAAACAAAGAAAAACTTTCCAGTTTCAGTGAAAACTTACAAGTGATTTCAGAACAATGACAGGCTTCTCAGTGACTAAATCAAATGAGTTGAGATTGCTTTAGATTATCCAGGCAACCAAAGAGATACAATCAAACACAACAGTTTTCTGCCTTTAGCTGGAGAAGCCCAGAGGTCTTTAATGAGGCAGCCATTCCGCATATCCTTGCCCATTCCACGGATAAGTCCAGGTATATGCTAAAACTCATTGCAAATGCTCATGGTCTCCATGCGCGCCCTAAGCTAGCTCAACAAGCTCTAATTAGGTGATAGTCTACTGATAGGGCACTAGGATCCCTTCTACATAGCATAAGAAGAGAAAAGGGAAAGGGTTTTAATTCAGGGTCCACCTTCACATAATCCCTGCACTAGGCATTCTAGGAGGGTCTCATAGAGCTGGCTCTGTACACGGTGCTGTGATGTTTCAGATAAATAACTACAACACATGGCAACACGCTGCTCCTGCTGCCGTTGAGGGACTGGATGAGAGTTCATCAGTAAAGGGATGATGCGTCCAGTGAAGGAGGGATGTTGGATGAGGGTCATTAAGGGTCTTGGCAGGCAGGGGGATCTGGTCACATTTCTTTCTAGGGAACTAAGGGATGGTGTGGAGGCGGATGGAGGGCAGTATGTTCCAAGGTGAGTTAGGGGTAAAGCTTGACCACAGATTAAGAAACCAGAGAGGAGAGAAAGAGGAACATATTTACTGATATTACAAGGGGCCTGTCACATCAATGTAAGAGACATTTATTTTACTAGTTCAGCAGTAGATAGAGGGCATTATTAGGTTTTAAAATATCATCATGGCACACTGAAGTTAAAACAGGTAGGACAGGGGCTGGGCGGGGTGGCTCACACCTGTAATCCCAGCACTTTGGGAAACCAAGGCAGGTGGATCACCTGAGGTCAGGAGTTCGAGACCAGCCTGGCCAACATGGTGAAACCCTGTCTCTACTAAAAATACAAAAAATTAGCCAGGCATGGTGGCACACACCTCTCATCCCAGCTACTCAGGAGGCTGAGGCAGGAGAATCCCTTGAACTCGGGAGGCGGAGGTTGCAGTGAGCATAGATTATGACGCTGCACTCCAGCCTGGGTGACAGAGTGAGACTGCGTCTCAAAACAAACAAACAACAGCAACAACGACAACAAAAAACAGATAGGACAGGACAGTGACTATGGGCCAGCAGGCACAACTGGACACTGCTGCTCTACTCCTGACCAGTGCTTTCTCATATGCTAGTCACTGGCTGAACGCGGCCGCTGAGCAGTCGAAAGTAGACTAGTCTGAATTGAAATGTGCTGTAAGTATAAGGCGCACTGTATTTAAAAGTTTTAGTACGAAAAGAAGTAAACTATCTCACCTACGGTTTAACATTGATCACATTTTGAAGTGATAATATTTTTAATATATTGGGTTAAACAAAATATATTGTTGAAATAACGTTCAACAGTTTCTTTTTATTTTTCAAGGTGGTTACTAAGGTTACCAAAATAACTTTTTTTTTTTTTGAGACAAAGTTTTGCTCTTGTTGCCTAGGCTGGAGTGCAATGGCGCGATCTCGGCTCACCGCTGCCTTTGCCTCCCGGGTTCAAGCAATTCTCCTGCCTCAGCCTCCCGAGTATCTGGGATTACAGGCATGCGGCACCGCATCCAGCTAATTTTGTATTTTTAGTAGAGACGGGGTTTCTCCATGTTGGTCAGGCTGGTCTTAAACTCCCAACCTGAGGTGATCCCCCCGCCTCGGCCTCCCAAAGTGCTGGGATTACAGGCGTGAGCCACCTTGCCCGGCCTAAAATAACTTTAAGCTGCCTATGTAGCTGGAATTGTTTTTCTGTTGGGCAGTGCTGCGTTAGACAATGAGAGCTGGGAAGGTGGGCAGTGGGCCCAGGGAGGATCAGAAGAGAGGCTGACCAGCTGCCTGGATGGGTCTTTCAGGTAAAGAAGTGGGACCCCAAAAAAAGGTCCATTGGGAATAGGAAGAAGGACATCCTGTTGGAAAGATACCCTTTCTGGCTTGGAAAGGGTAAAATGTGTGTCGTGCAAACTGTTTTTAAAACACTGAGGAGTTTAAGTAGTTGGTCCAAGGTCATATCTCAGTGTGGGTCAGTGTTGGGAACCGTAAACCAAGTTTGTCTAAGGGAGGTCACCTCCCAGGGGTCACTCCTTTAGCAGAAATTTGGAGACACAAGGCAGGACAATCTACTTGAGTGGGCAAGAAAAGTAACATGCACAGACCAGTCACCTGTGATTCCCTTTCAAGCACTGGCAATGTGCACCTCTTGGTGAAAGCTCTAGGTGGCTGCCTTTCACTTGGCTAGAAAGAGGGGTCCTGTTAGCATGAGGCTTGCCCATCAACCTTTGTTCGTGGGTAGGTGCCTAAGGTTGCTGCCCACGTGTGTTCAGGAGGGAGCCTTCCTGGAACTGTGGAGCTCTTTTAAACTTGTACTCTTCTTTCAGCTCCTACAGGAAAAATCTCTATTTGATACATCTGAGGCCCTACAACTTCCCTAAGCTGCTATATTTTAACTAGGATTAATAAAGAGGGGCTTTGCTGATCAATTTCGAAAGGTTATACTTTATAAGCCCATCTGTTTTCTAAACCTACAACACAGATTTTTATATTTTTTCCACGTAGATAATTTGAATTCTTGGAGTGCATTAATCTGTTTTAACAATATTTTCAGTTGCCAGGTAAACTTAAATTGCATTTCTAAGCTTGACCTGAGGAATATCAATGTGTCCTGTCATTTTGGCATTTAAAAAGTTTTCTTTCAATTCGATGAACATAAAACTATTCCTCTAGAAAGATACATGCAATGGAGGCTTGAAAACATTTTGGTAATGCATTCAGAAAAATGAGATTGCTTCCTTGATTGGATTAAGATGTAATAGTCTTTGGGGAAATCGTTTAACCTCGTGGAGCTTGGATAGTTCCTTGGCTGGTGAGGAAAGTTCACCTACAAAGAACTTATCAGAAACCGTAGGGAAAACACTTTCCAGAACAATTATGGATTTGGCTATGGTGGGGATTGTTCTTTGCACAACCACTCCAAGGCAGGGCTGAAAAGGAACTGGGTCAGGGGCGAGTTCCATCTCCCTCATACCCTTTCCATGGGGCAGTATCAGATTTGGGCACCTGACAAAGGAAGCCAGTCGAATGACAGCCCCTTTGCAAAGTTTTCCAAAGTCTTTGAATCAATTTCCTTTGTGTTCTCAGGCCACTGAGATTTTCAGACACAAACCAAGAGGATTGAAAAGATCTCATTTTAGGGGAAAAAAAAACTAAAGAGGGGATTTCAAAGGCATATACCCTGGTTAGTAATTCTTCTCAGCTCTTCTGCATAACTGAAACTGAAACACATTACCCTCCTTCACTAGAGTTTTCATGTAAAAACTACAGCAAAATCACCTGGTTATGCTTGAGCCAGGACTGACTAAAACATTAAAATTTGGGCAGTTCTTTATTACAGTGGGAAGTCCCATGGACCGAATTCAATTGTCCTATGAAGCGGAACTTTCGTCCTAAAAATCAGAAGTAGCTGGTGTTGGACTCAACATGATCCCAAACTCACCTAATAGCTGCCTCTGAGAATGCAATTTTCAGTCAGGAGCACAAGAGAAGTGCTCATTAAAAGTGCTCATGGAACTTCATTAAAAGTTCCATGTTTGGCCAAAACCCCAGAAAAAAAAAATCAGTCAGTATTTTCAAGGTCCCACCTGGCTTGGTTCATCATCCACAATGAAACGATTGAAAAAAATGCATGTGCCTGACCCAGGTTCTTACTCATAATGTTTCTGTCTGAAATGTGAAGTTGCTGTCACCTGCCTGTAGACAGAATATTTAAAAACGAGAGTTCATGGTTTTAGTTGAGACTGTGTAACAGCCCCAAGAAAAAAAACAAGGGAAAAAAACTGGATGTGGAAAACCTAAGTTTTCTGTAGAGTTTGACAAAAATCACCACGTCTGTCAACATGTGGCTTCCAGCTTCAAGAAGTTTGTCTCTTTATGTTGAGAACAAGGACAGAGTAGAAAAGCAGAATAAATATTGGATCTAAGGTCTAAACAGATCTGCAAAGGGGATCAGCCCTCAACGGTCAGCTATAGTATCTGCCATCTTTTTCTTAGATGCTTTCCTTATAATTGCATAGATACAAAATGTTATTGTATATGAATCCAGGTATACAAATGGGACAAGGAAATCCAAAGTGTAACATTATAAAACAGTCACAAAAGCTTATTATATTCCAAAAGATAACTTGTCATAATAAAAGAGCAAACAAACAAACAAACAAAAACCACCAACTTCAATTTAAATCACAGAAGAGAATAAGTGGGCAAATGCTTTTTCAGGCACATCTGAGAAATTTTGTTTGAAATATCCTGTATCATGTCAAAGGACAAAACTCAGTTAAGGATAGATTAAAATGTACCAACACATGAATCTGGACTCCCTGAAAGACAGGAAATAGGAAAGAGAAAACTCATTGCAGTGGTGGAAAGTCCACTTTTTCAGACAGGCATGGGTGAGTGTCCTCCGACCAAAGAATTGAGCTGTCAGAATGAGTTCAGATGAAGCCTACATCCCAATGCTCTAGACTAGAATTCTTACCTTTGTCGTGGCTACGTAAGACTTGATTGTGTAGATAGGGAGAGTTGAGCCTGCGATTGAGGATTAACTGTCATTTTTTGTTGGGAGAAAACTTGTCCCTGACTTGGTTACTTTGAGTCAGTCTGAGGTACCCACTGTCCACTCTCCTACTGGGGAAGGTCAGCACCAGCTTCATTCTCCTGACTACTGTGCCCTCTGCATGCTTCCAAGCCCACCAGGTTCCGCCAGGCTCTGCTTATGTCCTGTGAGCCTTGGCTCTGACCCTTATTGCAGTTCACGTCTTGCCCATGTGGCCTGGTTGCTTGGTCTTTGGCTGGTGCTCAGCTCTCCTTCAAGAGCTTGGCTTGGACCCCCACTCTAGGGATTCTTTCTGGTTCAAAGCCAATGGCAGGAATTCCTGCCATGTTTGTTTCTGATCTAAAGCCCAGCCAAAGGTAGAAAACAGGGGTCCAGGCCGAGGATGTTGTGTTGAGATCCCACACAGCTATTGACTAATAGCAAGCAGCACTAGTATCATTGACGGTACTAAAAAAGGTACTCTGCTCTCATCACCTCATTGCATCCTCTCTCATATCTTGGCAAGAGAATGATTGCTACTGCTGTTTTGTAGATGAGGAAACCAAGGCTCAGAGGTAGAGGAGCACAGTCTCAAACCTGGTATCCTCAAGTGTCGGTTTTTGTGAAGAACAAATGAGATGAATTGAAATGAAATGAACGGATTATATGAGATGAGCAATTACTTATCAGTTTCCATCAAGGTAATTAGCCTCAATAGGCTTTTCCTATGAACTCTACTTTGGTTTGCAGGACTCTTCCAAATAACCTGAATACAGAGATTACTTGGTTCTGCGGTGCAGGATTCTGTTCATGTCCCTTGGGTTTCACAACTGCTTAGAGATTTTTGAATAACCTGATCTCTTTGAGCAGCTATACAGAAATTTTATCATGTGATTATTAAGCAGAATAAAACGACAGAAAGAGAGACAGAGCAAAGGACAGAAACATGTATATTTACCAACATACATGCACAGATATATATGTATATATGCATAAATACATATTTGTATATACATGTATGCAAGATGGATGGATGAAAAATTAATGCATGGATAATTTTATACATAATCCTCCACTCATACCTATAATCATACCATGAACCTCTGAAAGTTCATTTAAATTTTAACAATACCATTGCTGTCATGTGAGCAGTTTTCTTTATTCTATCAGGGACATAGGATACTGCAATGATTATGGAGCATTTATTTCTCTAAATTCTAAATCCAGTGATAAAATTAAACTCTGAATAGAGGATCACTGAGTTATGTTTAGAAAATTGTAGCAAAGCTATTAAAAGATAAGAAAAGTGTTCTAATGCAGAATTCAGGTCACTCATGCTTCTCACTGGTATGTAGCCAGATACACATGAGCCCAGAGAGCAGGACCAGATGCCCATGCAGTGACATGGAAAGCTGCCATTTGAAAATAAATATTTTAGCAGGTTTGGAAAGAGATATCAAGCATATTTTAAATTCCTAGGTAATCCTCATCAACTATTTGAACTATCTAAAGAAGACATACATATGGCCAACAGTCATATGAAAAAATGCTTAACGTCACTGACCATTAGACAAATGCAAATCAAAACCACAATGAGAACCATTTCACACCAGTCAGAATGGCTAGTGTTAAAAGTAAAAAAATAACAGATGCTGGTGACGTTGTAGAGAAAACAAAATGCATATACACTGTTGGTGGGAATGTAAATTAGTTCAACCATTGTGGAAGACAGTGTGGCGATTCCTCAAAGACCTAGAGACAGAAATACCATTTGATCCAGAAATCCCATTACCAGGTATATACCCAAAGGAATCCAAATTGTTCTATTATCAAAATACATGCATGCGTATGTTCATTGCAGTACTGTTCACAATAGAAAAGACATAGAATCAACTTAAATATCCATCAATGATAAATTGGATAAAGAAAGTGGTACATATACATGGAATACTATGGAATACATGGAATACTGTGAGGCCATAAAAGGGATGAGATCATGTCCTTTGCCAGAACTTGGATGGAGCTAGAGGCCATTATTCTTAGCAAACTAACGCAAGGACAGAAAAGCAAATACCAGATGTTCTTATTTATAAGTGGGAGCTAAATGATGAGAACACATGAACATGTAGAGGAGAACAACACACACTGGAGCCTATCAGAGGATGGAAAGTGGGAGGAGGGAGAGGATCCGGAAAAATAACTAGTGGGTATTAGGCTTAATACCTGGGTCATGTAATAATCTATAGAATAAACCCCCATGACACAGGTTTACCTACGTCACAAAACTGCACATGTACCCTGTACTTAAAAGTTAATAAATAAATAAATGAAATAGCAATTAAATATTTATCTTTGTATGTTTTTAAAATTATATATATTTAAGGTGTACATCATGTTGTTCTGATACAATCATCTTGATATATATAGGTATATATTTTGATATACATATCTTGATATATACACATCAAGATAAGTATACCCTCTCTCCCTGCTTCCCTTCCCTTCCATCCTACCCTTCCCTCCTTCCCTTTCCTTCCGTCCTTCCCCTCCCTTCCCTCCTTCCCTTCCCTTCCCCTCCCTTCCTTCCTTCCTTTCTTCCTTCCTTCCTTCCTCCCTCCCTGCCTTCTTTCTTCCTCCCTCCCTCCCTCTCTCTCTCTCTTTCTTTCTTTCTTTCTTTCTTTCTTTCTTTTTGTGGTAAGAGTATCTAAAATCTACTTTTTTGGCAAATTGCAAGTATGCAATACAATGTTTCTTTTAAAATTAATAAATAGACCCACAGATACCTGTTTATGTCTATATCTATGTCATCTATTTATATCCATCAAACATATATATGCATGTGAATAAGGTAGTTGTTACTCCAAATGTACAGAAGGATTGCAAATCCAAGCTGGGCTGATGAATTCAGAGCCATTGCCTTTAGCATAAATGCTATTTCTGGACCCTTCCTGGCATGATCCCAAGTAGTGGTAAGGGATGTCAGTTGTCCTTTACAACCACCACAGAGGAGAGAGGCAGAAGGCATCCTGCTGTTTTGCTGTCTTGTATTACAAGAATCCCAGGGTGATAGACAAATTTAGAATGCATTTATAAACTGAAGTTCATTGTAGAAAACCAGTTAGTCCTCATTGAACTTTCCCAGAGGGCATATTTCCATTGAAGCATGGGAATTTAGATTACATTCTTTTTCAGACTGGTCACTTTTCTCAAGGGTGTTTGAAGTTCAAGTTCAGAACCCTGAGTTATTCAATTTTCCATTCACAAGGTAGAATTCTATAATTCCTCAGACATCCATGGTTGAAGCGTCTGTTTGCCAGCTCAGAGAAGCTCTGAGTAAGAATCCCATGAAGACAATCCAGAGATTGGTCAGTTACTGGGTTTAAAGTACTCAGAACTTTTAAGCAAGGTGAGAAAATGAATTCCATATTTTCATGGTAAAAAAACAAGCCCATCTATGCAATCATTAATATCAAGTGCATGACCCTTACTCTCTGACACAGGTTCTATAACCTAGATAGCTGAGGTTTAAACCAAGAGAGAAAAGTTGCCTTTCTAGTCAGAAGCTGGGTCCAAGAAGCCCACCATTCTGTTGCCAACAAGAGTTTCCTGGGATTTCTATGAAATAACCTTTTTACTTGGCCTGACATTGACCTCTGAGGTTCATTTATGCTTTTTATTTTTTACTCAAACCAGTTTTATTTTTTTTGCCCTTCTTACTGGTAAAAATCTTGGAGTCATGAGCTCTGTAATCTGATTTTCTACTCTGAAGTAGCTTCTTTTTATTTATTCTCAGCTTGCCTTGCTCATGCTGAAAGTTGCTTTGTTTTAAAATTATGATCTCTCTATTTCTGTCCTCTTATTTGGTTTTCTCTTTTTATCATACTTTATCTATTTTCAAAAATAATTTGAGCAACAAGGGCCCAGGTTTTAGTATAGACACCAAATTCATGCCTCTTTTGGTCACGAGAGAGAGCTTTCCTTACCTCATCTTCATTATAATACAGTTCAGAGAAAAGTTCATATATTCTTGTTTTGAGACTATTAGCATACTTACCACTTCAATTTTTCTGCTAAAATAGGCCTGATTATGTGCTATCACAATTCTTTACAGTGTACATTGAAATGAAACATAAAACACATTATTGTGACCGTAACTTAACAAAAAATTTAGCCGAAGCTCATAGAACTATAAAAATTAGTATTTCGGTTCTCACAAATAAGATTTATCACATGCATTTCTTCAATAATTCAACAGGCAGCTTTGCTTGTCTTCTAGGGTTCCGACCTATGGCTTGTCGAAGCATCAGCACCCTGGAGCCTTGCTGAGCACCGGCCACTGCTGTCCACCTCCTCCCCATGTGACCTGGCTTCCCCCTCCCTGAGAAATAGGAACAATAAGAAAATAATGCCCCAAACTCCCTCCTCTTAGCTCTTCATCTGCCAGCACCTGTCTCCACTTTCTTCCCCTTTATACCTCTTCCCCGGATGCCCCGTCCGTGCTCCCACCAAAGCAAGCTTCTCCAGCGATGTGTGCCACCCTTCTGTTTTCCCCTGACTCCAGGGCACGGCCCCCAGAGCTTTCTCCACTTTCTCCCATATTGCCAAGTTTCTCCTCTTCACTGGATTATCACCATCTATACAAAAGCATGCTGTCATTTCTCCCAATTTTGATGACCCTTCTCCTAACCCCATTTCTTCTGCCTGCAATCACCTATTTCTTTGCTCCCATTTTCAATAAAGCTGTCAAGAGTTATCTATACTCACTAACTCCATTTCCTCTCCCTCTCTTGTCTTTTAACCTCACTCCACCCGCTTCTGTCCTCTATACTCCACAAACACATTGTGGAAGATCTTTGTGTCGCTAAACCCAATGGGACCAGTTACATTCCACCCAGCTGACCCCTTCCTCTCTCTTGATTCATGTCTTCTCTTAGATTCCACAATACCACACTCCTGTGGTTTTTCTCATAACAAATTTTCCTTTCTTTCCCCTCTGATTTTTTACTTTTTATGGCTCAGAGCTCAGTCTTCCTCTCCTCTCTGTCCACACACATTCCTCTTGTGACCTTATGCAGTCTCACAGCTTCAAATACCATTCACACGCTGATGCCCAAGTTCATAGTCCACACTGCGGCCTCCTGACATTTCCTCCTTTGTCCAACTGTCTTTTCGACATCTCCACTGGTGCTTTACCCACATTGGATTCTCCACACATTCAACACTGAGCCCATTCCCAGCCTTCCCTTCTCAGCTGTTAGCTGCCCTGCTCTACCAATGTTTTGCCTCCCCCAAACCTGGGGTCATTCTCATCTGTTATCACTCTTGAACATTCCATATCCTTAGAGTGAGGGAATTGTTTTGGCTTTATTTTAAACTTGTCCAGCAATCTTATTATTTCTTACCATCTCCAGGACTACCACTTTATTCTGAGGGACCACAATCTCATGCCCCTGTTTCCCAGTGGCCTTGGATTTGGTGTTTACTTTCCTGACCCTGACCCTACCCCACATCCTCTGGAGTCTGTCCTAGATATAGAAGCCAGAGTGGCTCATTGTAAATGTCTCTTCCTGGTATCCCTTACTGCTGAAAACCTTCCTTCTTCTTCTAAAATGGCTTGCTAGACTCCACATAATCTAGCCCCACATTATTTTCCTCACTACCAAATTTCTCCCAGTTCTCTCTACTCCAGATGTTCTGGCCACCGTCTTCCATTCCACTAGGCTTCCTCCAGCCTCGGGGCCTTTGTCCAGATGCTCTTTCTGCTGAGAAAGTCCTTGCCATAGATACAGAAATGACTAATTCTCCCACCACCTTTAAGCGTTTTCAAAATGTCCTTCTTAATAAAGCCTACCCTGGTGATATGGTTTGGCCAAAATCCCCCACCCAAATCCCATTCTGAATTGTGGTTCCCATAATCCCCACGTGTCATGGGAGGGACCCTATAGAAAGTAATTGAATCATGGGGGTGGTTTCCCCCATGCTGTTCTCATGACAGTGAGTGAGTTCTTACAAGATCTGATGGTTTTATAAGGGACATTCCCCTTGCTTCACTCATACTTCTTCTTGCTGGTGCCATGTGAAGAAGGATGTGTTTGCTTCCCCTTCTGCCATGATTGTAAGTTTCCTGCAGCCTCCCCAGCCATGCCAAACTGTGAGTCAATTAAACCTCTTTCCTTTATAAATTACCCGGTCTCAGGTATGTCTTTATTAGCAGTGTGAGAACCAGCTAATACACATAGTCAGTATATTTTAAAAATCATGACCAGCTGCCTTTGATACTATTTCTTTTCCTTGCCTTATTTTGTTTTTCTATTTGTCATTTAGTATATTTATTATTTGTGTTCTCACACTAGAATGTAAGCTCTAAGAGGACAGAGGATTCTTTTTTGTTGTTGTTCACTGATGGTTCCAGGGTGCCCAGAGGAGAACCTAGCACATATTAGGTACATGTTAGTTGAAACATGACCATAATATACTTAATTCAGCAACCTATCCTTTATGAAGTACTGCTGCTGGCCCCACAGAGGCACAGGAGGTGCATTGACTTACCTGCCCAAAGGCACATGGCACACAGCTTGGAAGCCACCCAGCTGGAATTTGAACCTAGGTAGTCAGACATCCGGAGGCCTGCTCTTAAGCACTTTGGCAAAATACCTGTGCTTCTCCAAGAACTGAGCATCCAGGGTGTCTTTTTCCTTTCTGTGTTGCTACAAAGAAATATCTGAGGCTGGGTGATTTATAAAGAAAAGAGGTTAATTTTGCTCATGGTTCTGTAGGCTGTACCTCTGCTCAGCTTCTGGTGGGGGCTCCTGTGCTGCACCAAACCTAGTGAGAAGGTCAAAGAAGAATCAGGCACTTGAAGGGGACCAAACCTGAGAGTGTCCTGGATTCATAACAACCCACTCTCAAGGGAACTCATCCATTCCTTTAGGAACCAATTCATCTCGTGAGATGGAAAACTCACTACCATATGAACAGCACCGAGTCATTCACAAGGGATCTTTTCCCGTGACTCAAACATCTTCCACTAATACCTTCCTCCTAATACCATCACGCTGGGGATTAAATTTCAACATGAGCTTAGGTAGGGACAAAAAAAAAACATAGCACAGGGGAACATGACAGATAAACCTGCCCTCAGTGATGGAGCAGTCCAGTGAGAGAAGTAGATATTAAACTCATAATCAAGCCCTATACTCAACTCACCTCAAGTCCTCTCTCAGGTGTAAACACTCTGTCTTCCAACTGGCCTACCCACCCCAGGAATATCTCCATATGGGTTTCATCCGTCACTTTGAAGCGAGTCAGTTCTGGTAGCAGCAGGTCACTGCAGGTCTTAAAAAGAAAAATCATAGCAACAACATCTGTAAAAAAATCATAATTAAAAAAACTCGAAAGTGAACTATGGTGCATTACTTTTCTGCTGCTATCATAACAAATTGCAAAAAATTCAGTGCCTTGAAACAACACAAATTTATTACCATACAGGTCTTTAAGTCTGATATGAGTCTCACTATGCAAAAATAAAAATGTCAGTGATGTTTTCTGGAGGATCCAGGACAGCATCAGCCACTTTGAGTTTTTCAGCTTCTAGCGGTGGTCCAGATTGCTTGGCTCACAGCCCCTTCCTCTATCGTCTTACTCAGCTATGTAGCATTTCCCTGGCCCTGCTTCCATTGACCATCTTTTTCTCTGATCCTATTTGAGAAAAGTTCTCCACTCTTAATGATCCAAATGATTAGATTAAGGCTCAACTGAATATTCCAGGATGATCTTCCCATCTCAAAGTCCTTAACTTTAGTCACATCTGCAAAGTCTTTTTTGTCATATAAGGTAATGTAATCACAAGTTCTGGAAATTAGAATGTGCTCACTACTAGGGACCATTATTCTGCCTATGTTGTAGGCAGAATATATAGCCAATATATATAATAGCTATATATTAAAAAGTTGGTTTCTGCCAAAAAACTGACCTTGTCCCTAAGGCTTCAGAGCAAAGGATTTTCTGCATAGTGAACAGTTTAGCTGATGAATTGAGATTGGAAAGTTGATCAGATGTGAAGGTTCATGAATGAAAGCTTCAGTCTGACTCTTTTAGGCTGACAACCTCCTACCTGCTCAGAGAAACACTGAACCCACAGGTTTGTTTTGACTCAAATGTTACAAACACTAAGAAACAGAGAAGCAGACATGGAAGCTGTTTGCAGACTTTTGTTTTTTCTATTTTTTAGTGTTTTTGTTTTCACTTTTGTTTTCCCCGTTTATTGAAGCCATTGTTTAATTTCTACCCATTCCCTATCTTTTTAGCTTTCTCTCAAAACCAAGAGGGAAAAAGAAAACCTATACTACACATACTCCCTTCAAAGGTCCAAGAATTCTAAAAGATTTTTTCCCAAACCAACAGTGTACTGTAAGACCAACTTTTACAGGCTTTGGATAGTGATAGGAATAGAGAAGAGTTTCTTAGGGGTTCAAAGGAATGAAACTAAAAGCTAACATGGGGATCCCTTGGAAAATGGGTAATTTTTTTGATTTTTGAAGAAATACTTGGAGTGAAAATTGGAAAAAGAAGGCGGCAGCGGGAAAAGGTATGATACAGACAACAGGGGTGAGGATGGAGACCAGGGTGAAAGCTCTTGATTCTGAAAAGCTCAGTTTTCATGGATTTATGACATAATCCATCAAGATTCAGTTTTAGTTTCTGAGCAGAGTTTAATAAAAGTGAATGCGGTTACATTTACATTGGCTTATATTTTTATTTTGTTCTTCGTATTTTGCCTTTCCAAATCTAATGTTTTATATAAAAGAATTTTCCCACTTTTTACTGTGATTAATTCTATATTTCGTTTTCTGAGCTAGAAATTCGTTTCAGAGATCAAATTGAGTTAGGATGCATCACCTCATACTGCCCTGTCATTCCATGCGCATCTATCTATCAGCTAACTGCATTTTGTTGGTCTTAGCTAGGGTGTAAATTATTTTATTTTATTTTATTTTATTTTATTTTATTTTATTTTATTTTATTTTATTTTATTTTATTTTGAGACGGAGTCTCGCTTTGTCGCCCAGGCTGGATAGCAGTGGCGCGATCTCGGCTCACTGCAAGCTCTGCCTCCCGGGTTCAAGCCATTCTCCTGCCTCAGCCTCCTGAGTAGCTGGGACTACAGGCACCCAACACCACGCCCGGCTAATTTCTTGTATTTTTAGTAGAGATGGGGTTTCACCATGTCACCCAGGGTGGTCTCGATCTCCTGACCTCGTGATCCACCCGCCTCGGCCTCCGAAAGTGCTGGGATTACAGGCGTGAGCCACCGCGCCCGGCCGGCTAGGGCATAAATTATATGGGAAGAGTGAGGTTAAAAAAAAAATGCTGATTGTGGCCAAATTGTAATCTTTTTTTTTTTTTTTTTTGAGACGGAATCTTGCTCTGTCTTCCAGGCTGGAGTGCAGTGGTGCAATCTTGGCTCACTGCAACCTCTGCCTCCCGGGCTCAAGTGATTCTCCTGCCTCAGCCTCCCAAGTAGCTGGGACTCCAGGCACCTGCTACCATGCCCGGCTAATTTTTTGTATTTTCAGTAGATACAAGGTTTCACCGTGTTAGCCAGGATGGTCTCGATTTCCTGACCTCGTGATCTACCCGCCTTGGCCTCCCAAAGTGCTGGGATTACAGGCATGAGCCACTTCGTCTGGCCTGTAATCATTTTTTATAAGGTGACGAGAAATTAGGACTTCATCCTGAGGGAGAGGTAGCAAAGGTTTATTAAGCAGGAGCCTGACATAAAGTGAGTTGCATTTTTGGAAGATAATTCTGTGGGAAGAGAGCAGGATTGGGTGGCAGGTCATCCAACGGGTGAAGGCAAAGTGACTGCCTCACAGGACATGTGACAGCCCCGTGGTGGTGGAAGAGAGGGAGGTGAGCTAAATATTTTTGAAGGTAGACTCAAAAGGATTTTATGATCTAGAAAGGAAGTCATAATAAAGAATCACAATGTATTTTTTTCTATTATAGATCCCTTTAAAATTAAACTTAGCATCTACTCATAGATATAATTAAGTAGCCAAAATATTAGTGTTCTTGATTCACTAGAACTAATTTCATATCTTGACAAATAAGGAAATATGAGGGTTTTATTTTTTATTATTTTACTTGTATGAATTTATTGACATTCGATCAGAATGATAAAAATAGGAGAAGCTGAAAATTCCCATAAACTCTTGGGGCTACAAGACAGCACTGTTCACTCCAATCCTTGCTGCTGTACAAAGAGAGCAGACACTGTTCCAGTATCTCACTCCATCACCAGCACCAGCCCAACCTCCACACCTGCCATCCCTCCAGTGGTGCAGGTGGAGGGCTGGGTGATGCTGTGTAAGCAAAAAGAAACTAGGTTCCTTTATAAACTCTTATTCTTTATAATCTATAAATACAGAATCTTGTTAATTTGACTCCTATTGACTTGTGATTATATAAGATGACTTCACAATCTACATTTTACTTTTTTAGTAAATATCAAGTGTGTTTTATATTTACAATAAAGCTGGAATTAAGAAACTTGATCTATAATTATTTTCAGATTAACTGATTAAATAGCCTGGCAATCTGTATGCATCAGCTAAAAACTACCATGATAAATTTATTAAAGTAGTTAACTTAAAAAATGTAAAAAAAGTATTTCATATATTTATTATGTTAAAATATAATAGAGCATGTATTAAATAATTTTATACATGTAAAAATTTAACCTTTTGAAATCCATATGGCAACATATGGGGAAAGCTCTAAAGACAGTCAAAACTTGAATCATTCAAAACATCTCTTAGGCATTTATAAAAAGGATCTGTTCTCCCAGATGTGATGAACCAAGCTTCCCTGGTGGCATTACCAATGAGAGCAAACAATTTAAAAAATTCTAAACATCTAACGTCAGAGGAAAGAAAGATAAAGAAGTTCATGAATTTATGTATAATATGTATATAACACCTCTTTCCATGAAATGTTTGACACTGCTTATAACAAATATCCATCAAGATAGGAAAATATGTTTACAATTACAACATTTTTACCAAAAAACGGTATACATCATGCATCGACCATAAAAGTTAGCATTATTTCTGTGAATGAGTTGTGAACAGGTATTTATTTATTTATTTATTTATTTATTTACTTACTGAGACAGCGTCTCCTTGTGTCACCCAGGCTGGAGTGCAGTGGTGCAATCTCAGCTCACTGCAACCTCCACTTTCCAGGCTCAAGCAATCCTCCCACATCAGCCCCTAGTAGCTGGGACCACAGGCGTGCACCACCACACCAGGCTAATTTTTATATTGTTTGTAGAGATAGCGTTTTGTCATGTTGCTCACGGTGGTCTCAAACTCTGAGTTCAAGCCGTCCACCCACCTTGGCCTCCAGAGTGCTGGGATTACAAGTGTGAGCCACTGTGCCCAGCCTGGAGACAGTGTGAACATACCATAAGGATCGGGTTCCTAATGGCCAATGAGCAGAGAATGAAAATAAGTCTGAGTTGTGGCTCAAGGCTGCTCCAACTTGGTCACAATTGGAGTCCTCCTGTCCTGTAAGGGGCAGCAATTCTTTTTGATAAGGAAAAGGCACATTCTGGTGGTGAGCTTTCCTTTCTGTTTTGGGGCCTCAGCACAGTATTCTGTTGCTCTGGGGGTTTACAGAATGTTTGGTGCATAATAAGGCATTTCATGTGACATCACGTCATACCCAGGGACCCACTTTATAAAAACGGAGACGTGACGGTGGGGACGTGACCACAGCACTAATCTCACCACACATCACACCATCAGAAGCGTCCAGTCCAGAATAATGGGACAGCCTACGAAGATACATCTGCTGGGCCAGCTCAGAGGTGATGTCCTGTGAGGATGAGGGGTCATTTTTTAAAATTCAGTGTAGGTGCTAAGTCAATGACCATTTCATGTGCTACATTTCCAACATATAAAATCATTAGGTTTCAGCAGAAGTGGCCTCTTCAGTCATCATATCCACTTGTGAATGTGTGATTTTCATCTAGACAGTTGAGATTTCTGTGGATTTTAGAAGTCCTGATTTCCAAAGGATACACTCAGAATTCCACTGAATGCAAAACTCCAGTCACCACGTGGGCAGTTCAGACTGCTTGTGCCAAAGGAAGGGAACCCTCTTACAGAATGACTGATTCCCAGTATGGCATTTCTTGTGACACCACATCAGACTAAATGGCCCACTTGATAGAAAGGGAGGTGCTGCAGTGCACATGGCATGCCAGGCCACCTAGAAGAGGTCCTACTGCTGCAGCAAGGTAGCTGCCCCTGCCTTCAGTAGGGTGTGCCGTCACCTCTCCATGGAGCCGGGGAGAAATAAGCTTGACACATGGTATCCACGTGGGTATTTCTTAGGACTTTCTTCTCCAGTTTTAGCAGTGAATGGAACCATTCCCTGATAAGAGCATGATAAACACAGACTCAGACCTCCAGGGACAGGAGCTGGTTCATGGCCCAGGCAAACCAGAAGAGATGCTGTCCAAGTGTGATGACAGCCTTGTATGGAAAGAAGGGAAAGATATGAGCATCATTTGAAGATTTGAGGCTGGCTGTAGTGGCAGAGACTGTAGTTCATTCCAGGAAATTTCCTCTGCTAAGTTTTTCCAGGAGGACATGCTAGCAGCCTCCTGGGTGAGCTGCTCCCAGGTCTCACATGTAGTGACCCTATCAGAGAGGCCACAACAGTGGGCTTTCAAGGGTGTTGGGCTCCACCTCCCAGATCCCCTTCCAGAACAGAAGGACTCCATTTCCCTGGCTGCCGAAAACATTTTGGGCTGGTAGATCTTCAGGAATTGCCTTGGCTGAGAGTCACCTTGCCCAAGGTCCTGCTGCCTTCTGGGCAGCCTTGACAATGACTGGTTAATGCAGTAGTATATAGGCTCTGTCTCCTCACACCAACTCTAGAACGCTCTTAGGGGGCATTTTAGATATAAGGTCTGCTCCCTGTAGGGTTAGCAGAGATCTCACTGGGGCTGCACCTCAACCCGTTTCTTCCTCTGCCCGATTCTCCTCTCTTCCCCTCCATTCATAGGTATTGGTCCTGTGATCACTCCCTAAAAAACTTCCAGGATGTTCATCTGTATTTCAGAGGCTGCTTCCCAGTGAATCCAACCTGTACATTAGGATTTTTAAAAACATCTGACACAAATGAAAATGTGAAATCTTTATTTTTTTAATCAAATGAATCTATGGCTATGACATAACCTTTTCAAAATGTATAAAAGAATATGTTTTCTAAAACATAATTATAAAATTCATCTCTCTTTTAGAGAGAAAAAAAAGAACTGAGCCTAGCCAGGCAGATTAGAATCTAGGGGATGGAAAGAAAATAAGTCAAACTCTCCATCTCCTCCCCACACGCCCACACACAATTTGCAGAGGGATTAGCTATTTAAATGTTAAATCCAGAAAAAGAACAAAAAGTAGTTTATTTATTAGAACTTGGAGTTGCAAAAGGCCAAGTTAAGTATGCAACAAAAACCTAAACCAGAAACTATAGAATAAAAGATTTAGAGTCGTGTCTACAGAAATTTGAAATCATTATATGATGATATTATCCAAAATCAAATAAAAAACAATAAATGTGACTCATAAATGTTAATATCATTAATACACAAAGATGTCCCGCAAATAATTAAGAAAGATAGAATCTGAAAAAATAATTAAGAATGAGAATAAGCAATTCGGAATTTTAAAAATAACCAGTACAAATACCATCAACCCTGAAATTGACTAATCTCAGTGATGATCAGTGGGGTATACATTTCAAATATGAATGTGAAATTATTGCCACCTGTCAAGTTGGAAAAGTTTAAAACAATGAAAATGTTTATGATTTCCCAGTTTATGGTTAAACACCTGTATTAGTCCATTTTTACACTGCTATAAAGAACTTCCCAAGACTGGGTAATTTATAAAGGAAAGAGGTTTAATTGACTCACAGATCTGCGTGGCTGGGGAGGCCTCAGGAAAGCTACAATCATGGTGGAAGGGGAAGCAGGCACACCTTACATGGTGGCAGGTGTGTGTGAGAGAGATCGTGTCAGAACACAGGAAAAGCTACCATTTATAAAACCATCAGATCTTGTGAGAACTCATACACTATCGCGAGAACAGCATGGGGGAAAATGCCCCCATTATAAAATCACCTCCCACAAGGTCCCTCCCTTGACACGTGGGAATTATAGGAATTACAATTCAGGATGAGAAATGGGTGGGAACCCAGAGCCAAACACAACTGGAACGTATAAACACAACTGGAATATGAAGGTGTAGATTTTTGAGAGGGGTAGTAGAAACAAAAGCAGTAGAAAGAAAACATTTTTCAGCCTTGTGTCTCAAGTATGTTTGACATGGCCTTATTTTTAATGCTGAAGCCTAAAAACAAATGAACTATGCAATAAAAAAGAATTGGAGATGTAAATCAGTCCGTCTCTATGGCTACAGAGTCATTTGAAATAATTTTGTGGCAAAATATTCAATTGCCTGAAAAAAATTTTCCATTATTTAAAATTTGTTTTTAAAATAGCATGATATCATTTTGAAGAATCAGATAACTTACCAAATATTAAAAGTAATCATTGAATAGTATCATTATGGGGCCATTGTTATTTTTTCCCTTATGCTTTTCTGCATTTATCAAATGTTTAATATTAAATGTAATGATTAGTTACAATAATAATCCCTAGGTATAATAGTTATAGACATAATTAAAAGCAAATGTAGTAAGTAAAAAGAAGGTTAAGGCAATGTCACTCATTTCTGCAAATTTATTTATTTATATTTTTTATTTTACTTTAAATTCTGGGACACAAGTGCAGAACATGCAAATTTATTACATAAGTATACATGTGCAATGGTGGTTTGCTGCACCTATTGACCTGTCTTCTAAGTTTCCTCCCCTCACTCCTCACCCCCCAAACAGGACCTGGTATATGTTGTCCCCCTCTCAGTGTCCTTGTGTTCTCATTGTTAAACTCCCACTTATGAGTGAGAACATGCAGTGTTTGGTTTTCTGTTCCTGTGTTAGTTTGCTGAGGATGATGTCTTCCAGCTTCATCCATGTCCCTGCAAAGGACATAATCTCATCCCTTTTTATGGCTGCATAGTAGTCCATGCTGTATATGTACCACATTTGCTTTATCCAGTCTGTCATTAATGGGCATTTGGGTTGGATCTATGACTTTGCTATTGTAAATAGTGCTGCAATAAACATACATGAGCAGGTGTCTTTATAGTAGAATGATTTATATTCCTTTGGGTATATACCCAGTAATGGGATTGCTGGGTCAAATGGTATTTCTGGTTCTAGATTCTTGAGGAATCGCCATACCATCTTCCACAATGGTTGAGCTAATTTATTTTGACAACAACAGTGTGAAACCGTTCCTATTTCTCCATAGCCTTGCCAGCATCTATTTTTCGTGTTGTTTTAATAATAGCCATTCTGACTGGTGTGAGATGGTATCTCATTGTGGTTTTTATTTGCATTTCTCTGATGATTAGTGATGTTGTGCTTTTTACATATGTTTGTTGACTGTGTAAATGTCTTCTTTTGAGAAGTGTCTGTTGATATTCTTTGCCCACTTTTTGATGGGGTTGTTTTTATTCTTGTAAATTTGTTTAAATTCCTTGTAATTCTGGATATTAGACGTTTGTCAGATGGGTAAATTGTAAATATTTTCTCCTATTCTGCAGGTTGCCTGTTCACTCTGATGCTAGTTTCTTTTGCTGTGGAGAAGCTTTTCAATTTAATTATGTCTCATTTGTCAATTTTGGCTTTTGTTGCAATTGCTTTTGTCATTTTTCATCATGAAATGTTTCCCCATGCCTATGTCCTGAATGGTATTGCCTAACTTTTCTTCTAGGGTTTTTATGGTTTTGGGTTTTAAATTTAAGTCTTTAACCCATCTTGAGTTATTTTTTGTGTAAGGTGTAAGGAAGGGGTCCACTTTCAGTTTTCTGCATATGGCTAGCCTGTTTCCCCAGCACCACTTACTGGATAGGAGACCTTTCCCCCATTGGTTGTTTTTGTCAAGTTTGTCGAAGATCCGATTGTTGGAGAGGTGTGGTGTTGTTTCTGAGCTCTCTGGTCTGTTCAATTGGTCTATATGCCTGTTTTGGTACCAGTACCATGCTGATATGGTTATTGTAACCTTGTAGTATAGTTTGAAGTCAGGTAATTTGATGCCTCCAGCTTTGTTCTTTTTGCTTAGGATTGTCTTAGCTATATGGGGACTTCTTTGATTCCATATGAAATTTATAGGTTTTTTTTTTCTAATTCTGTGAAGAATGTCATTGGTAGTTTGATGGGTATAGCATTGAATCTATAAATTACTTTGGGCAGTATGACCATTTTCACAATATTGATTTTTCCTATTGATGAAGATGGAATGTTTTTCCATTTGTTTTCCACTTATTTCCTTGAAGAGTGATTTGTAGTTCTCCTTGAGGAGGTCTACACATCCCTTGCTAGCTGTATTCCTAGGAATTTTATTCTTTTTGTAGCAATTGTGAATGGGAGTTCATTCATGATTTGGTTCTCTGATTGTCTATTGTTGGTGTAAAGGAATGCTTGCGATTTTTGCACATTGATTTTGTATTCTGAGACTTTGTTAAAGTTGCTTATCAGTTTAAGGGATTTTTGGGCTGGGATAATGGGGTTTACTAAATATAGAATCATGTCATCTGCAAACAGAGACAATTTGACTTCCTCTCTTTCTATCTGAATACGCTTTATTTCTTTCTCTTGCCTGATTGCCCTGGCTAGAACTTCCAAAACTATGTTGAATAGGAGTGGTGAGAGAGGTCATCCTTGTCTTGGGCCAGTTTTCAAAGGGAATGCTTCCAGCTTTTGCCCATTCAATATGATATTGGCTGTGGGTTTGTCATAAATATCTTTTATTATTTTGAGATATGTTCCATCAATACTTAGTTTATTGAGAGTTTTTAACGTGATGGGATGTTTAATTTTATCAAAGGCCTTTTCTGTATCTATTGAAATAATTATGCGGTTTTTATCTTTGGTTCTGTTCATGTTCTGGATTACGTTTATTGATTTGCATATGTTGAACCAGCCTTGCATCCCAGGGGTGAAGCTTACTTGTTCGTGGCGGATAAATTTTTTTGATGTGCTGCTGGATTCAGTTTGCCAGTATTTTATTGAGAATTTTCACATTGATGTTCATCAGGTATATTGGCCTGAAGTTTTCTTTATTCATTTTGTCTCTTCCTGGTTTTGGTATCAGGATGATGCTGGCTTCATTAAATGAGTTAGGGAGGAGTCCCTCCTTTTCAATTATTTGGAATAATTTCAGAAGGAAGGGTACCAGCTCCTCTCTGTGCCTCTGGTAGAATTTGGATATAAATCTGTCTGGTCCTGGGCTTTTTTTTTTGGTTCTAGGTTCTTAATTACTGCCTCAGTTACAGAACCTGTTATTCGTCTATTCAGGGATTCAACTTCTTCCTGATTTAGTCTTGGGCAGGTGTATGTGTCCAGGAATTTATCGATTTCTTATAGATTTTCTAGTTTATTATGTAGAGGTGTTTATAGTATTCTCTGATGGTAGTTTGTATTTCTGTGGGATCATTGGTGATATACCCTTGATCATTTTTTATTGTGTCTATTTGATTCTTCTCTCTTTTCCTCTTTATTAATCTAACTAGCGATCTATCTAATGTTTTTTTTTTTTTTTCCCAGAAAACCAGCTCCTGTATTCATTGATTTTTTGGAGGGTTTTTTGTGTCTCTATCTCCTTCCATTCTGCTCTAATTTTAGATATTTCTTGTTTTCTGCTAGCTTTTGAATTAGTTTGCTCTTGCCTCTCTAGCTGTCTAATTGTGATGTTAGGGTGTTGATTTGAAATCCTTTTTCTTTAAAAATGTTGAATATTGGCCCCTAATCCCTTCTGGCTTGTAGAGTTTCTGCTGAGAATTCTGCTGTTAGTCTGATGGGCTTCCTTTTTTAGGTGACCTGGCCTTTCTCTCTGGCTGCCCTTAACATTTTTTCCTTCATTTCGACTTTAGAGAATCTGATGATTATGCATCTTGGGGTTGATCTTGTGGTGGAGTATCTTAGTAGTGTTCTCTGTATTTTCTGAATTTGCATGTTGGCTTGTCTTACTAGGTTGGGGAAGTTCTCCTGGATAATATCCTAAAGTGTGTTTTCCAGCTTGTTTCCATTCCCCTTGTCTCCTTCAGGTACTCCAAACAATCATAGGTTTGATCTTTTTATGAAGTCTTATATTTCTTGGAGGCTTTGCTCATTCCTTTTCATTCTTTTTTCTCTAATCTTGTCTGCATGCCTTATTTCAGCAAGGTGGTCTTCAAACTCTGATATCCTTTCTTCTGCTTGGTTGATTCGGCTATTGTTACTTGTGTATGCTTCACAAAGTTCTTGCGCTGTGTTTTTCAGCTCCATCAGGTCATTTATGTTCCTCTCTAAACTGGTTATTCTAGTTAGCAGCTCCTCTAATCTTTTATCAAGGTTCTTAGCTTCTTTGCATTGGGTTAGAACATGCTCCTTTAGCTCACCATATTTTTTTGTTACCCATCTTCTGAAGCCTACTCCTGTCAATTCATCCATCTCATCCTCCATCCAGTTCTGTGCTCTTGCTGGAGAGACCCTGTGTTCATTTGGAGAAGAGGCACTCCCGCCTTTTGGGTTCTCAGCATTTTTTCATTGATTCTTTCTCATCTTCATGAGTTTGTCTAGTTTTGATTTTTGAGGTTGCTGACCCTTGGATGGAGTTTTTGTGGGGGCTTTTTTTTTTGTTAGTGGTGATGCTGCTGCTGTTGTTGCTTTCTATTTGTTTGTTTTTCTTCCAATGGTCAAGTCCCTCTTCTGCAGGGCTGCTGCAGTTTGCTGGGGGTTCACTTCAGGCCCTACTCATCTGGCTTACTCCAACACTGGAGAACAGCAAAGATAGGTGCCTACTCCTTCTTCTGGGATCTTTGACCTCAAGGGGCACCAACCTAATACCAGTAGGATCGATCCTGTATAGGGTGTCTGACAACACCTGTTGGAGAGTCTCATCCAGTTGGGTGGGATGGGGAACAGGACCCATTTAATGAAGCTCTTTGACTGTCCCTTGGTGGAGGGTGTGTACCTCGCTGGGGGAAACCCACTCATCTGGGCTGTCTGGATTCCTCAGAACTACCAGGAGGAAAGCCTAAGTCTGCTGGTCCACAGAGACTGTGGCCACCCATCCCCCAGAGGCTCAGGCCCAGAGAGATCCAGGTTCTGTTCCTGAGCCTCTGGCTGGAGTTATTGGAGTTTCTGCAGGGAAGCCCTGCCCAGTGAGGAAGGATGAGTCAGGGTCAGGCCTGAAGAGGCACTCCACTGCTGACTGCCACAGCCGGCGTGTTGGGCTGTTGGGGACTCATCTTGGGACCAAGCAGTCCAGCCTCCCTGGTGCCAGCAGGGGAAAAGCGCAGCCTGGAGCTATAGAGATAGATGCTGCCCTTCCTCCTCCCAGGGAGCTTAGCTTGTTAGGCGGTTGTGGGTCCCAGTGCTGGCTGCTGCCCCTCACCCAAGGAGCTCAAATGGTGTAGACAGCAGGCAACTGAAGCTCTGGTGCTGGTCGCCCCTCCCCCCGGGAGATCAGTCGGCTTCAGCAGATTCCAGCTGAGAGGCTGTTGAGAATCTGTGCAGCTCTGGGGTTGGGGGATGCCAGGCCTTGGTGGCCTGGGTTTGTGAGTAAGATCTTCTGATCCATGGGTTGCACAGTTCCGTGGAAAAAGCACGTTTTCCCCGTGAAGGACTAAGTGGCTAAGTTGGCTGGACTTCCTGAGTCAACAGGGACTTCCCTAAGGGGACTTTCCCCTAAGCCAAAATAAGTCATAGCTGCAAGCTAAGGGACTGAAACTTCAACCAATCATATAGGGAGTTTAAGCTCTAGCTGCAGCCTGACGTTTTTAACCAATCAGGCCCGCCAACCCACAAGCAGATAGAAAATAAGCTAATTCTATAGGACAGAAAAAGGAAAAGGGGAGGGGTCATGAGGGGATATAAGCATAAGACACCCAAGCCAGAAACTGCTACCCTTCCCGGTTCCCTTCCACCAAGTGGAAGCTTTACTTTCGCTTTTGCTTTACTTTTGCTTTCGCTTTAGTAAATCTTGCTGCCACACACTCTTTGGGTCCGCGCGTTTCTCCAATCGAGCTGTAACACTCACCGCTGTGGTCCAAGGCTTCATTCCTAGAAGCCCGTGAGACCATGAGCCGACTGAGAAAAACCTTCGATTGGAAGAAGACTTCTCGTCTCACCCGGCTGGGTAGCACATTCACTCACCACCTCCCTTGGCTGTGGGGAGGGGCTTCCATGCCCTGTGTGGCTCTCGGGTGGGCTGTCGCACCACACTGCTCTTCCTTTCTCTTCACGAATCACGCAAGCCTCCTAGTCAGTTCTGATGAGATAACCTGGATATCTTGGTTGCCGGTGAAGGATTTACATGCTTATTATGGTTTTTTTGTTGTTGTTGTTGTTTGGTTTTTTTTTTGATGGGAGCCTCAGATCGCCGCTGTTGCTAATCATCCATCTTGGCCCTGCCCCCACATTTCTGCAAATTTAAATATGAGATTTGTCCCCTTAGGTGCACAGTCCAGACCCCATCCAGTCCAGCTCCTTTTAAAGCCACATGGAAAGTCAGCTGAGAATGGTTTGGGAGCCCAGGCTGCGCTGTCTTCCTCCCTGGCCTATCCCTGATAACTCCTACTATTGAAACGAGCCTCTAATCTGGTCTTCTGTATTCTGTTTAATGTCTTGGATGCTTCTTTTTTTTTTTTTTTTCTTAGCTTCTCCAGACTGATGCTTCCTTCCTCTCAGGGGTCTTCCTGTTCCTTCATTCACCTTTTCTCCATCACTTCCTCCCCATCACCGCCACCAGGTGACATCCCACAACCAGCACAGCCTCACTGATCCCATGGATCACAGGTGCTAGGCAAAATCTTGCTCAATAGAAAACTCACTCTTGGTGATAACTCACTGTTCTATTTCATCTGTTCCGTTGGAGCTGGGAGCTCAGTGAGCACTTGCAAGGAAGCTGGTGTTGGGCATCTTGTCCATTTTTAAGGATGAAAATTTGCCCAGTTTTTGGGTAAACACAGGCCAGCTGTCCTGGGATGACAAAAAGTCCACCATCCCATGACTTTCATGTAGGTTTGGGTTTTTCATATTATTTGGGTCTTTACCTTGGTTCCTGACTCACAGATTCAGATCATGTTCACTTCTTTGGTTAATCACAGTGTGATTAGCGAGGGTCAAATGCAGGTGTATGCGCTCATTGTAAGCCCCGTGAGTGTGGTGATGTACCAACCCCACGACAGGGGTAAAATGGTCTTAATTTACAAATGAGGAAACTGAAGGAGGCACAGAGATTTCACAATGGGGCTAGAAAGACTTTCCTGCACCAATACCCTCAATCAAGCTATACAAGGCTTTCTAAACAAACCACAACAAATATCTCACTCATTTAGATCCAGACATTCTCAGAGGCGATCATTTGTAGCCATAGAGTAAACAGTGCGGGGAGAGGCAACGATCTTGTCTGGGGTCTGGATCTTCCATCCTGTACCTAAACTGTGTGGTTCTCCATGTTGGGTTTCAGGAGACGGCACTGAGGAAGAAAGCTAAGAGGGTTGTCTTGACTTCCAAATAACGGGATGGAATAGATGGCATAAAGTTGAAAATGTGAATAAACAGGTGGCCTTCTTCCCTCTGTGTGTCTCTGTGACACTTCTCACTTTATAAGGAAAAGAGTCATTGCATTTAGGGCCCACTTTAATCCAGCATTGCCTCATCTTAACTTGATTAAGTTTTCAAAATCCCTGTGTCCAAATAAGAGCACATTCACAGGTACTGGGGATTCGGACTTGAACACGTCTTTTTAGGGTGACACAATTCAACCCCCTATAATGAAGGAGAAAGGAGGTGATATACAAACACAAGATGAAAGCTCTGTCTCCAATCCCCTGTGGTTAGAAAAGTGTCAGATTCCTTTATGGAATAGGATTGGCCATGAAATAAGACCATGCCCACAAGAGACAGTTGGCTAATTCTCTACGTTAATTACAAATCCGTCTGCATATTGGAAAATTTTCACTTCAGTTGAGCCCCTTGTGTCCATATTGTAGACTCAAAGAATTCCACCAGAAGATGAAAACCACACACACTTGAATTAGTTCTATCAAACCAGTGTTTCTGATTGCTCACAGCTGCCTGATGGTAGCTACAGGAGTCCAGCAGATCTTGCTCTTTCACCTCCCTTACTACATTAATTCAAATTAATTAGTTAATTAGCCACTCAGTTGGATGCTTTGTCAAGCACCAAGCTAAATACTTAAAGGGAAGTTTGAATCCCCTTGTATTTCACTTATGTCATGAAAAACACACAAACACAAACAGAAAAAAAAAAACTATTTGAGGATATTTTCCCTTTGGTGTTTCATATTAGGTGAGTGGTTGGGATGATGTCAAAAGGTCTTTGTGAATGTCACACACGTGCTGGATTTTGCAGTGTACACAAGACATCTACGCGAGGCTTTTAGTTCTAAAGGATCCCCACAAGTTATTCAGAGACTAAGAAATAGTTAGATCAATGTCCTTTGGCATCCATTTTAACTCCCAACACACGTTACACTTTTCTATATATTTGAATCTGTTTTACATTTTTTAGATAATATTTGTAGTTCTCTTAAAAAAAATACCTAATTCTCATTAAAATCTCTCTAGTTAGTACTTTTTCTGGGAGAGGATTTTGAATTTTTTTAACGCAGTTGTGATATTGGAACTATGTTTTTATAAATAGGTGTATCTGGGTTTTCATTTAAATAATTTTTATTACAAAAATAATGACATGCTATTTTGAAATACCTCCTTGCAATACTTTTTATCCCATTATTATTTGCTTCTTGACTTTGTTCACTGAGTAAATTATTTGCTTCTTGACTTTGTTCAGCATATAATTTGCAACACAATAATTACTGTGTTATATATACTAATCTACATAACCACTCATGTTTAGAAAAACAATTTCATAGGCCACAATTATTTTAAAAAATATTTCTTCATGTAAGAAATAATGTTAACCCATTGTCATTTTCTAGATGGCAGTTATTTTAATACCATTTCTTAACTAATCTATATATTGCCTTAACTAATTTATATATTCCTCCCTTCATTTGAAATTCTGTCTTCATTAAATATTAAGTTGCCATGTGTACTTGGTATGTAGCTGGGCTCCTTGCTCTATCAGTCTATCTTTTAATTCTTCTTTAGTATGAACGGTTTTAGTTACTGCTGCTTTATTTTATATAATATTATTGAGTGGCAAGGTCCTGTTCTCCCTGTGTTCAGAATGTTCCTGCCTAGTTCTGAATTATCCAGAAGACTGAATTTTCAACTTCCAAAAATGGTGGAAATTTTGATTGCGATTTCCTTTAATTTACATAGTTACGTGAAGAAATCAATATACTTAACATACTGTCTTAAGTACCAAATCTACTCTTAATTTATTCGAATATTTTCTGTTTTCAGAAAGATTTTTATAGGTTTACACATGTAGTTATTTGTATATCTGGTTCATTTATGGCTTTAGAGGAATTTTTTAGGACTTTGGTTTCTATCAATGGCATGGCTGCAATTGTAACCTAGGCCTTCAAGATTCCCCTTTTCTGGGGCTCATATGTATATTCATTTTATATAGAGGATGATGATGGGCCAGTGTTGCAAGACATATTTTACTGAAAGATTCATATTATCAGTTCCATAAAAGAGTAGGTCTGGTAAATTGATGATCAAAAGTGTAATAAAATGTACTTGTGTAGCACTTTTCCTTGGGGATGCATTTCTAAGGAAATAATTCAAGTGAAAAATCACTCTGATTTTGGAAACCTACTGGAAAAAATCAAGTAATTCTCGTACAATGGAATGCACCTCTAGTCCCAGGTACAGGAGGCCCTGTGACCAGAGCTGGGTACGAGAGGTTCAGACATGTGACTTATTTCATTTCTTTATGATTTAATAAAATAACAAGCAAAAAGTGTCAAAATTAAGGGAACCTGTGTTCATTTCTGTACAGTAGTGATATGAACATTTCAATTTGTTTACTGCAGTAAGTATATAATGCATGTAAACTAAGTAAACATTATACCCCAAGGCTAATTTGGATCTAGTCATAATATAGGCAATGGTTTGATGCATTGTGTATATTTTCCTTCTGCATATTTTCTACCCCTAGGTTCTGGCTCACGGGATGATGAAGATATGAAAATTTGACTATGGCACTGACAAGCCCAGATGGCACCTCCAGGAGCTCCCCATGCCCTCCTCTGTGAGTCTCAAGCTTCTGTTGGGCTGCTGCTTCCCTAGCTTTCTGAATCATTCCGCATGCCAGGGCAACGGTTTATTCTCATGCTATGTTGTTGCATTATTATACCAAGAATCTAGATCTTTAACTGATATGGGTTTCTTAAAAAATTGCATCTCCATCAGACGTGGTGACTCACGCCTGTAATCCTAGCACTTTGGGAGATTGAACAGGTGGATCACTTCAGTCCAGGAGTTCGAGACCAGCCTACACAGCATGGTGAAACTCCTTCTCTACAAAAAAATACAAAAATTAGTTGGGCATGGTGGTGCATGCCTGTAATCCCAGCTACTTGGGAGGCTGAAGTGCGAGGATCACCTGAGCCGGGGAGGTCAAGGCTGTGGTGAGCCGTGATTGTGCCACTACACTCCAGCCTGGGTGACAGAGTGAGACCCTGTCTCAAAAAAATAAAAAAATAAAAACACACATAATAAATAAATGCATCTCTGTGATTCTTTGCTTAACATTGTGCCTCATGTTCCCTTCCAGGGCGGGGCTGGGTGAAGCCTGTACATTTATGAGTAAAAAGCAGGGGAAATGTGAAACCCTGTTCTCTCTTCCTGATGTATCTGCAATCCACCTCACAGGAAGCGAATGGCAGGCAGCTAAAGAAAGCTGGCCTCTGCTCTTTCCTCCTTTTAATAATTACTTTCCCGTTCTAGAATTCTGCTACTCTGTTATTCCAGTATTTTCACCTGTCAGTGAGCTCTTGGCTACAACAATTTGTTTCTGTACTGACTTACAATAAGGCATACTATTTTGAAAATAGCTGCTCTTTCTGAATTTATTATGCCAATGGACTTTAAAAATCTTTATTTTCTAAATTTCCTTTGATATGCCAGTGTGTATTTGTTTTATAATGGCAAAATAATATAAATTTGCATAGTGAGCTTGCCAGGAGCACTGAATGTCAGTGTCCTCCATGAAATAGCAACAAGAGGATGACCAGCCCAGAAATCCAAGTACCCCCTCATGTTGCCCAAGACAGATGAGAGGTGGTTTCTAGAAAAGTCTGTCTGGGGTATCTGTACCACGTGCCTCTCCCCAACACTTTCTACATAGGGTTTTTGTTTTTGTTCGTTTCTTTTTTGTTTTACTTTTATCTTGAAACTGTAAAACAGGATTATCAGGGAAAAAGTGAACTCCATCCATTGGATAAACCAGCCACAGTATCTATTAGCACTAAGTCGAAAACAGAGTAATAATTCCACAGTACAAACTGGGATGCACCTGGGGGTCAGTTCATTGTGACTGGCTACAGATCCAACATCATGGCTGAGCTGATGCATCATCCAGCCTCCCGGTTTTCCTTCTGATCACTTATCACAGCTCATGATGGCTTTGTTCGTTAATTTTTATTTGTTGTTGCTGTTGTTGTTTCTGTTTGGTCCCTATGGGCAGAAACCAATTCTGACGTCTTGCCCGTCGGTCACTTTCTCACACAGATCAGGCCACCCCAATCCCCACCCTCCATCACTCTTCTGATCCTGCTTTGCTTTTTATTTTTTCTTTGTAATACTTGATGCTTCCTGACATAATTTAATCAGCTTCTTCTTCATGCCTTTCCTGGCCCTTCAGCAGGACATGAGCTCTGAACTCACAAGAGCTCTGTCTCCCCGGCACCCGCTCCAGCCCAAGGCACACTGGATGTTGTGGTAATAAGTCTTTGATAAACATGTGCTAAGAAGCCCATTGTGCACTTCAGCTTCTGGATTAGTTTCTAGACTGTGTCCTATTTCATTGTTCACTTTTTTTTAGAATCAAAGAAATAAGAGCAGGAAAAGGCAGAAGGGAGCCTGATTGCTATAAGGAAATACTGGAAAGATTCCTAAGAAACTGAAACTGCGTGGGCAGAGGGCCTGGTGTGGATTAGGTACATGGACCCCAAGGTGAGAGGGAGAGGTTTTGAACCATGTGAACACATCACATATTTAGCAGCCAACAGAAATGATTCTTGTAGGAAGTTGCTGTGCTGTGATACTTTGCTCTCTGACCGCATCATGCTGGCTCTGTGCATCCACAAATGTGTCTTACCATGCTGGTACTCCTGTTAAGCAAGAATAATTTTGTGTAAAACTCACTCTCAGCCGGGTGCGGTGGCTCATGCCTGTAATCCCAGCGCTTTGGGAGGCCGAGGCAGATAGATCACCTGAGGTCAGGAGTTTGAGACCAGTCTGACCAACATGGAGAAACTCCATCTCTACTAAAAATACAAAATTAGCCAGGAGTGGTGGCTCATGCCTGTAATCCCAGCTAATCGTGAGGCTGAGGCAGGAGAAACACTTGAACCCAGGAGGCGGAGGTTGCAGTGAGCCGAGATCACACCGTTGCACTCCAGCCTGGCCAACAAGAGCGAAACTCCGTCAAAAAAAACAAAAAAACAAAAAAACACACCTGACTCTCACCCACCTTGAATTGGATGTTTTCTTTTGAGAAAACACAAAAGTGCTACGGTATTGAATGAATGATTGACTTTATATGTTCACTTTATATCCAAAATATGTCACAATTATTCTTATTTTACTCACAATGTAACTCAAAGTTTTCCCTACATTGACTTCTTTGTGGGGGTTCATAAAAAGTTAACCGTATTATCTTCAGTTCATCCTTAACCTTTCCACCAGTTAACCTTTCCAAATACTTCTTTAGCCCTTCGTTACAATGATTTTCCAGTTCCTGCAGAATAAAGCCCTGGCTTCTTAGGCCAGGATTTAGTGCTTTCCAAATCTGGTCTCAGACAACCAAGCCAAATGTGTGGGATCCTGCTTCACTCAAGGGTAGCACATTTCCTGCCTGCCTGACACCACAGACTGGCTCTACAAAGGCACGCAGCATCCTGTCTGTGCTCACAAAGCTCCTAGACAAGCACCCCATCCTTGCCGGCATGGTGCAGTGATGACACTGTGACTGTGGCTGCAGCTTGGGCTGTGGGCCCAACACTAATAGCTGAGTTTACGTTGTCTTCCTGTCACCAGTGAAACCAGGAATATCTTTACAGTGTCAGCTGTCAGACAGTTCATCAGAAGGTAGCCGAGATGATTTGGGATCCAAAACCATGTCCTCCAAAGCAGAACTGAAGAGCCCCAGCTTACAGGGGCATGTGTTCAAAAAGAGGGCCTAATTGACTGGGATCAGAATGAATCATCAGTGTGATGTGGGAGCCCAAAGGGCTGAGTCGCCTGGGGCTGAATCAACAGACTCCAGCAGCCGAGGTCAAGGAGGCAGGAGCCTTTCTCTGATGTCTCTCTGGCCCCATCCGTGGGTGCCACATTAGTTCTGGATGCCTCATTCAGAGAGCATTAAACAAACAAAGCACAATCCAAAAGCCATGGCCAGGACAAGTAGCCAGAGAATGCTTGGGAGAGGAAAGGTGGAGGCCATGACAGCTGTTTAGCTGTTCAGAGAAATGGAACAAGGAACATAGTCCCCCTTCTGAGTGCTAGGAGGAATCACTTGGAGAAGCAGCACTGCATCCATCTCTGGATGGGCTCAATGGATCTGTCAGGTTCAAGTCCTGGGGCAGGAAGCCCCGGTGTGATCAGAGGCAGAACTGTCCAAGGATGGGGAGGTCCCAGCAGCGAGAGCTGTCACTGGAGGCCCCAGAGTACAGCCATGTGACTGCCTGGCATGGGTAATGGGGGCGCTGAAAAGAGCTTTGAAGTTGTCTTGACCAAATCTCACCAGATGAAGACTTGTCTCCGTCAGAGATTCCTTGCTTCCCTAATTAAGTTGACCTTTGTAACATGCATCGCTCTCCTCCCCAGTCCCCAAACAGGTCCTCCCTCTGAAATCTTCCCTCTTCCCTTAAGAGAGACCTTGCCCTCATCCAGACAATCTGGTTCACTCTCCATCCATGCTCCGACCTGTCCGTCAGTTCTATCTCCAAGCACACCACAAATTCAGTCCCCTTTCCTCCCCTGTGGCGGTGGTCAGGTCACCCTGACAGCATTGTGCAGACATGGCAGATACTCCCAGGGGGCCTAACTGCTCCCTGCTCCACCCTCCTTCCCACGATGCAGGCTCCACACAATGCCACCTGGATTAAAACACTCCCATGACTTCCCATTAGCCTAGAGATAAACCTGAACTTCTCCCCTGCCCCCAGGACTGCAGGGTGGACTCAGACCCATCCCTTCAGTTCCATTCTGGGCCACCCTCCACTCACTCCCTTGTCCATCCCTCTCCCACACCCACACTGGTTTCTCTTAAGTCCTTGAGGAACCAGGTTGTTCCAGTCATCAGATCAGTGCAATTGATGATGGCTCTGGTGGAATGCACCTCCTTCCACTGGACTCAGCTGGTTCCTTCTCAATCGTCAGATCTCAGGAATCAGGTCACCCACTCAGCACAGGATCCCACACCACCCTCTGTAAGGGCAGCCCTTCCTCCATCATCCTGTCTCCCAGCCTCCCAGTTTTCCTTCCCATCACATATCACAGCTCATGATGGCTTTGCCCGTTGGTTTGATTTGTTGTTGCTATTGTTGTTTCTGTTTGGTCCCTATGGGCAGAAACTAATTGTGTTGTCTTCACCATCAGTCACTTTCCCACACAGATCAGGCCACCCCGATCCCTGCCCTCTGTCACTCTTCTGATCCCGCTTTGCTTTTTGTTTTTTCTTTATAATACTTGATGCTTCCTGACATAATTTAATCAACTTCTTCTTTATGACTTCCCTGGCCCCTCAGCAGGGCATGAGCTCTGAAGGTACAAGAGCTCTTTCTCCCCAACGCCCACTCCAGCCCCAGAAACACAAAATGCTATGGTAGTAAGTGTTTGATGAACATGTGCTACATGACCAGATGTGGTGGAAGAGCTTCTTTGGTGCTTGGTGACAGGCGTCACGTGCAACAGATACCTGGAAAGTATTGCAGTATTTATTTAATAAGTGTATATATGGATAACAAAACATCTTCTTGGTTACTGGCATAGTTTGTAGCTTTCTTTTTTTTTTTTTTTTTTTTTTGAGACAGAGTCTTGCTCTGTCGCCCAGGCTGGAGTGCAGTGGCATGATCTCAGCTCACTGCAACCTCTGCATCCCTGGTTACAACTGTTCTCCTGTCTCAGGCTCCTGAGTTCCTGAGTAGCTGGGATTACTGGTGCCCGCCACTACACCCAGCTAATTTTTGTATTTTTAGTAGAGATGGGGTTTCATCATGTTGACCAGGCTGGTCTCAAACTCCTGACCTCGTGATCTGCCCACCTCGGCCTCCCAAAGTGCTGGGATTACAGGCATGAGCCACCACACCTGGCCAGTTTGTAGCTTTCAATGGTGCCACAGAAAAGATTGAAGATTTGGAGTTGGAAAACCCTACAGTCCTGTCCTCACCCTATGTTATACTCTGTGGGATGTTGGGAAAGCCATGCCAGGGTACAGGGTTGTCACCTTCGAAATGGGATGATGACATAACATTGTCCCACAGTTGTTGAGAGGATCAAGCAGAAGAGGATGTATGGCTCCTCCCTTGACCCTCTTGACAATGCTTTATCTAACATGAGTGATGATTTTCTTCAAATTATCAAGTAAATTCAAACTGAATTCTCCTGTGGCTATTTTTTAAATTCATATGTGTCAGATATGTTTAAAATTTTTAGTTACGAAAGACTTCTCATAACTTCTTTGAAAAATTCTGGGCCTTCTTCTACTTTATAAGTTGATGCATACCCACAGATAATCAATTCTATTTAATAGGATCCCGAGGAAAGCATGTCAGAATGGTATCTAGTGTTGTTGCTATTAAAAAATATATATATAAAGACAATAAAAAAACTGGAAATCTAGCATGTGGCAAATAGAGAAGTTTCAGGAATCACTCTTGATTTGAGGCTAATCTGGGTACTTCCTCTCAGTATTGAAAGCATGAAATTGAGTCCCATTAGATTTGAATGGCATCTGTATGACAGAATGTATTTATTTTCCTCTTACTAGCATAAACATATTTGACACTAATGCAGTGGGATTGGAATACTAAATCCTCTCTTCACTTTTATTTAAGCTAAAAATGGGCTGCTGCAGAGTGTGTTAAAGAGCTGTGGATTTTCACCATGGAAATAAAAGGTCAGAGAAGGAAAGAGAAGGGCAGGACGTAGCCAAAGTGTCTGCCGTGGCGATGGGATCCCCTTTGGATGCCGTGTAGCCTGGCCTCTCTAGCAGCAAGAATAGTAGTCAAATTGTAGGACCACAGAGTGTTGGGTGAGGAGGAAGGGTGTGCAGGGACCAGACAGGACACACACTTTCTTTGAAAATGTGGGGTAAAAGTATTGAACTGGCAGAGGGAATAAACCACACCCGAGCCTGCTGTAACCTCCCGCTTGGAATCTGGCTTAGCTGAAAGTCTTCCCCACGCAGAATACACAGGTGTCAATGCTTTTCTTTGTCAGGGGAAGAGAAGGAGCCTCAATTAGAAAAATGTATCTAAGGAGACCTCTTGGGGTCTGACACAAACTCTCCTTTCAGCCAAAAGACACTGACATCCAATTCACAGCTTCTTTAGGAACCCCTGTGATGACATTGTTTGGCAACCCAGGAATGTCTAAGAATTTAGTTCCAGTCTGCTAGCAGAGAGCCGTCTCCCGCACTTGCCAGCCCACACGGTGTGAACACACCATGAATCATTTCTGGGCTTTCTCTTGGCCCCTACCACTTTGCTTGGGGCACTTTCCAAGTCTCATTCAGTAGGCTGTCCTGTGTCCAAAATACTTCCCGAAACCTTTTCAAAATCCCATAAAACATGGATATGGCAGTTATGGGAAACAGGATGCCAAATTGTTGCAGTTAAAAGAGTAGAAACAGTCACTCTTAAGCCTTCAAACATCTGAATGACAGGATCGTGTTTAATGATGGAAAGATGAATAGGGATTAAGTCAAGATTAGCATACAGGCTTAAACATACAGCACAAAGGAAAAAACCTGAAAGTTTCCAGGAAAAAATAATACAAGGAGAAACCATTTTGCAGATTCGAAATTCTTAATAAAAACACATCCTCTGATTTAGCATATTAGCCGACGATTTGCATATGTTCGTGACGTTTGCTTCAGAGACTGACCTTAAGCTGATTGAGAAGGCACCACCTGTCTGTTTTCTGTTAGACAATTATGCAGATTAGAGCAGATTATATTTAAAAGTGTTATCCCTGCTGTAGTGATATTGCAGCTGAACAGACTAAGATGATAAAGAGGAGCTAGATGGATAAATAAAAATTTCTTCTCCAATTTTTGAGTAAGGATGTTTGGGAGGCAGAGAAAATTAAAGCGATAAGTTAGAAATTACCAGTAAAAGATAAATTATGGCATTTTTAACTACAATTTTCTTCACATTTTGGTTGAAAATTCATATATATATGTGTGTATATATATATATATATATGTGTGTGTGTGTGTGTGTGTATATGTGCATGTATAGATACCCACAAACATGTATACATATGTTATAATCCACAGTACTGTGTTGGGCTTTAAAAAATAAGAAGTAGTTTTTTAAAAAATCATATGGTTCTTTATGTTCACTTCAACCAATTCAATTCATTTCAGTCTGTCAAAACTAAATTTATTTTGTTTGTATTATTTGTCAAGTCAAACCGGTAAGTTTAGACAATGCCCCCTGTGCAATGAAAATGGACTGTGCCTGCAGTTGTCAGTCTAGCACATAATGGGCCCCAAAAGTCCAAAGAGAGTGAACCCAAGGGACATTTTTCACCTGAGCAAGGAAATGGGGACCAGTGATTTATGAGTTAATTTCCTGTCGCTGCTATGATAAATTGCCATAAACAAACCCGAAATGTATTGTTTCCCTGTTCTGAAGGCTAGAAGTCTGAAGTCAGTTTCACTAGGCCAAACTCAGGGTGTCAGCAGGGCCTGCTCCCTCCAGAGGCTCTGGGGAAACATCCATTTCTTGGCTCTTCCAGCTTCTGGTGCCTGTGGTATTCCTTGGTCTGTGGCTGCATCCTTTGCTCTCTGTGGTCCTACCATCTCCTTCTCTTCTGGGTGTATATTACCGCTCGTCTATAACAAGTGATTGCATTTAGGGCCCACCCAGATAATCCAGGATCATTTTCCCATGTCAAAATTATTCATGACAAAGCTCCTTTGTTTGCCATGTAAGCTAGTACATATAGTCTCCAGAGATTAGCCACTGATTAAATTTTTGGGGGGGAAGGTCATTTTGTCACAAATGGTTGTCTTTTAAATAACAAAATAATGTCAAGATTCCTTTTTAGAGCCTCAGGTGTAACTGTGTCTGATGAGTATTATATATCTTTGAATCTTGTATGTAAATTTACAGTCTCATCTAAAATGGCAGGATCGAGATGCTATTCTGTAGATAGAGTTGCTGGAAACTTACAGAAGGGTCTTCTGGTTGACAGGGTAAAAATTGGCATCCATTTTTCTTACACAGTGGTTGGTCAGAATGTTCTGTAACTCTGTAATGCTATGTGTTTTACTATATATCAAACTTGTCCAACCCTCGGACTGCAGTCCGCATGTGGCCCAGGACAGCTTTGAATGAGGCTCAACATGGCTTTGAATGCAGCCCAACACAAATTTATAAACTTTCTTAATATATCATACTTTTTTTGTGTGATTTTCTTTTAAGCTCATCAGCTATTGTTAGTGTTAGTGTATTTTATGTGGGGCCCAAGACAATTCTTTTTCTTCCAAGGTGGCCCAGGGAAGCCAAAAGATTGGACATCCTTGCTATGTATGTTTTCCTCCAAGTATGATGTCTTCGGGTTAGATAGCTGAAAAGGTAGAATCATAGTCAAGGCTCTGAATTGCTCTTACTTACCTAGTAACCACGGCTAAGCTGTTTGCTTTCATAGCCTGCTTCTCACTCCCCAATGGGCAATGATCAACTCAAGAGGACGATATGATGGTTGGTGTGGTGCCAGGTCCAGCTCTTCCTTTTTAAGATGAAAATGGTAAAACCATTTGGGTGAAAAGTCAAAACTTCTGGAAATTTTTTTGAATGCTTTGAGGCTGTGATGCCAACCACTGCATTTTTGGGAGCTGTGAATGGATATGGAGGAGCATGCTATCTGCTGTCTTCTGAATGCTTAAACAGTGTGGGGACCTGGCCTTGCACCTTCTCACAGAAATGCCACAGGTTAGGGCAACACAATAATACCTGTCTCTCCTCATATGAGCATTTCTTTTTATAATTAATGTTTTTGAGAGGTGATTTCAAGGTACGTGACCGAAAAGTGTCATTTACCTATCCTTTGAGAATTATCATAAATTGAAGTCTCTTCTCATGATATTCCCAGGAAAGGATGCAAAGATTCTGGCTAGGTGTGTTAAATTTACCAGTAAGAGTGTTAAATGTTACCAGCCTGGCCGATATGGTGAAACCCCATCTCTACTCAAAATTCAAAAATCAGCCAGGCATGATGGCGGGTGCCTGTAATCCTAGCTACTCTGGAGGCTGAGGCATTAGAATAGCCTGATCCTGGGAGGCAGAGGTTGCAGTGAGCAGAGATTGTGCCACTGCCCTCAAGCCTGGGTGACAGCGTGAGACCCTGTCTCAAAAAAAAAAAAAAAGTGTTAAATGTGATGTTTGTTCTGTAAACTGTTGTTAGGGTTTCGAAAGACTTACTGAATGTCTTCCCTAACCCCACATTTAAATTAATTAATGTATAGGGGAGAAACCAAAGAGATAGACAACAAAATCACTGCCTTTATTACTAATCAGGCTGTTTGCACACAACGGCTCCCTCCTCTGCAAAAGTGGGCTTCCTGCTCAGCACCCCTGCATTGAACCCAACTGGTTATTGATGAACTGAAGATTTCAGCCTTCCCTGACCTTGAATATTTATGATACAGATAATCCAAGAATAGATGCTATTTCAGATTTCCAAATAAACAGAGAACAAAAGACAAACAGGTTCAGCCCTAATTCTTTCCCTAATACAGCCAATCAAATAATTAACTTTGTTTTCTATTTAGGAGGGGTGAGTAGGACAGAAAGGAGAGGCCAAATTAATGTAAATAAGACATCCACGGGGAAATATGTTGAATTTTTCTATTAAATTTATGTTCTTTCCTTATATGTCTTATTTATTTTGGTAAGTCAAAATTTAAGTCATAAAGATGGCAAAGGTTCCCCAAGTGCCCAAATCACCCTAATGAAGTAACTTCCCTCAAGCTAGGCAGGAATATCCAGGGACTCTTTAAGAGGAAAGCATGACGGTAGCAATTGGATTACTGGCCAAAGCATAACTAGGGGCAGATGGAGAGTCACAGATTGTGTTGCTTGTAGATGATGTGGAACACAGAAATTGTTGCTCATAGCATGACTTGAGTCATTGACTAAGAGTTTACGCGGGAAATGCCTGGAAAAGAGAAACCGTATAAAACATATATAAGTATCTTTATATCTACCTCTATATCTCTCTATACCTATGTCTCCATATTATGTATCTATGTATCTACCTAACAAGGGAGAACATAATGCAGGAAAACCATTGCACAGGTGAGGGAGGGGCAGAGAGCCAAAAGAGAATGCAAGTACACAGGGATCAGTGTCAGCAGGAAGCCACTGCACCAGGCCAGTGAGTGCCATGAGGAAGTGATGGAGGTGATGTAGCTCACCCGTGGGTGCCTCCCTGGGGAAACTGAGGCCATCACACAGCCACTGCCATTGGAAGTGGGTAAAGAGAAGACAAGGCTGGCTTGATTCTTCTCTCCACCTCCCAGTCTCCCTCTAGTGCCTCACAGGGCCACATCCAGTGAGTTGTCCATGGATCTATCACTGAGGAACACATCACAGAGCATCAGATCTTGCAGTTCAAACTACAGCAGGGGAAAAGAGTAGAATCCACCAGAGAGCCAAGCTGCCCAGGGTCACTAACAGGAAGAATGATTTTCTATCCCCTTTTAATCAGGGAAACATGTAATCTTTAGAAAAAAAAATCCGCAATCATGGTTGTTTTGTTGAAATGAATCTAAGGTGGAAAGTCTTAATAACTTCAAAAATGGTGAAAAATATAAAAAGAAGAGCAGTTTTAGATAATTTTGTAAAACAGTATGAACCATGAAAATATCCAGAAATTTTGAGGATGTCATTATATCAATAGTAAAATGCAGTAAAATATTTCATCTCTATTTCAATGATTGTCAAATAAAATAATCTGGGTTCCATGTAATCTCTTTGGAATGAAAGAAAATACACACTGTAATTTTTTACAAGATTCTCAGTATTTAAGGTATTTAATGAAATATCTGGAAAAGTTGTCTTCTGTAATTTATTCCAGCTATCTTTATAATATTTTTAAGACATAACTTGAATGCTCTTCTTTGTGTTATAATTAATACATCATAAGTTTTCCTGACAAAATTTAAAGAGTAAGTGAACAAATAAATAGTAATTATTATTGTAGAAAGTAAATTCTTTATACTTGCTTTAGCTTTTATTGTTTCAAGGAATACCAAGTCTACTCAGAGTCAAGTACTGTTCTAGGTGAAGGGGTTACAAAAGTGAACAAAACACAAAATGTTTATGCCTAAACGTGTAAAACAAATAACAGACAAGGTCAATATTCACAAGAGGCTATGTTGTAGTTATTGACAGGTTTCACCGAGGAAAAGACATACAGA